>NC_000018.10:55787528-57037528 GCF_000001405.40 Homo sapiens
TTTGTATTAAAGAATTAAGTGGATTTTTTAACCAGGAGGAAAATTCTCTAGTGTTGGGTTTAATCCTTAAATACCAATCAACAATTCTTTTAAAGTTCTTTAAATCATCACAAGATGAAAGAATTCTTTGGATTCAAAGCCAAAGAAGTAATCCCTTGTCTTGTGTATGACCAAAAAGAATGATTGTAAGCAATGAGCCCTGCTTTTAAGTAGATTATAGTGTCACTGGGAGATAAAATTGACATATGAGAGACAATTATAACAACTAAATGGTATGGCAGTCATAGTTTATGAGTTTAGAGTAGAGAAGGATGACTAAACACGGGAATAAGTGCTTTGCAGAGAAGGTTGGGTTCAAAGTGGTTGACAGGAAGCCACTGATGGTTTTGTATGAGGGAATGACCCAAATGTCAGTTCCTTGAGGTTAGAGGTGCCTGAATCTTTTTGATAACTCAAATAGAAGGCACACGTTGTGGCATAGAATACGTGCTTAAGAAAAGTTCTTTTAGTATGAAAATGGAATTTTAAGGAGATTAGTATGTGGTGCAGACCATATGTTACAGAGATTGAAATTAGAGAAAAAAAGATGGCAACCTTTTTGATGACCAGTAGTGTGTCTTGATTGTTTTTGCCAGTCAGATGTGTAACAGCTACCAGTACTAGGTAAGCTCTCGAGACATATTGAGTAAATTCAGCAAATTAGTCCTGGACATCAATTAGCAGGTTTAAAAAATTGTCTTAATATTCCAAAAAATGTGAACTCCAAATTTAATACAAGGAAGTTGATCTCCTTTCTTGAGTGAAATGAAGGAATGATTGTATGCTGTACTTTCAAGGAAAGTAGCATAGTAAAAAAAACTCACGGGCATGGGGGTCAGACAGATCTCAGCAAGGAACTTGGCCATATCAGTTGTTTGTTTGTTATTAGCTGGGTGAGCTTCAGTGAGGTCAGTGTTCTATGCTTCAGTTCTGTAACTTGAAAAATAGGGACAATGATGTATAAAATATCAGCACAGAATCCGGTACAAGGTAGATCATTCATAGATACTAGATACTCATTTCATTTTTCTTTCTCCTCCTATAGAATTGAATGGAATGTGAATCTACACTCAGGTGAAGCCAGGGTATTTTGAACGTCCCTACAAGACTGAAGCACCACTGGGAAATAAGTAATAGAGATGCCATCATTGTGGAGGTCATAATGCTTGTCCTGAACACGAGGGGTCTCTAGTGGTGAGTACAAAGGGGAAAGCTCTGAGCACTGAGTAAGCCTGGTGGAATATTCACCATTAGTGCTCAAGAGGCAAAAGGAAAGAAGATAGTATTAAAAATAAATAATAAATAAAATTTAAATGCAATGGAAGGCAAACGAGCAAAAGAGACCATTCATTATTGTTGGTCAATAAAAATATACAAATTCTTTAGATTTTGCAAAGTCATTTCATTACACATGGACGTATTTACTAGTGAAAATGGGTCTTAATGAAAGCTTAAAGTGAGCTAGCTCTGTTCAACTAAAAATGAGTTTCTTTTATTCCTCATGTGAACAAGAAAAAGGGTCTGTTTAGTTAAGCAGAAAAGTACTGGGAAACATTTGCACATGTTGTTTTTTCTGCAGTGGGGGAAACAAGCTTAACAGAGGATTGAAAGCTGATGCCTCCAAACTGTAAGGAGAAGTTTGTGAAGCCTAGAAATTTTCAAAGGAAATTGGCACACAGGCTGTTCTCATGGGCAACAGTAGGTGGAACAATTGACTGAAGTCAAAGTAGAGTTTCTTGCTCCACAGAGACCACCTTTTTACTGCTGGCTTCTCCTTTTTATTCTCTTTCCCAGTCCTTGTCCTGGATGCAGGAGTTGCACTGAGAGAAAAGTTGCAGCATCTCCTAAGGCCCTGAGGTGCATTCTGTGATGGTTCATTCTTGGCTAGAGTGGCCTTGTCCTGGAAATGACTATGTAGCCTCCTCCGAACCCAGATCAGTGCAGCGCACTGGAGTATCAGCTTTGTTTGTGATCTATCAGTTTTTTCTTTTTCTTGCCACTGTCCACATGTGATCACCTCTGTCTTTAAAATGAAACTGCTGAGTGATTTGCCAAGGTTGCATGAAAAGGCAGATTGTAAAGCTAAGATTAGAATAGAGGTCTTCAGGCTCCAGGAGTTTGTTTCTGTAGACCAGTGATCATCAACAGATAGGAGACACAACTTCTCCACCTCTCTGCCCCAACTCGGATAGAATGTCATAATCTAGGGGAAGAGAGTGTAGTTTCGAAAAACACTTAAAGAAAAAATCCTTCTAAGTACCTACTGTTTTCACAACCAAGCCACCCAAAGTTTTCTGTTCAAAATCTTCTTGGTTAGGGGACAAGCAAATGTTGAACGTGGTACTAGTGACCATGTGGCTGCCACAGGGACCATGGCTTCAGAGACACAAAGGAAAGTGAAGACTGAGAAATATCCCCTGGATTTGCCAGATAGGAAGCATTTGGTAATCTTTAAGAGCCTAGTTTCAGTACTGCAGTGAAAATGGAAGCCAGGTTGCAGGAATTAAGAAAAGAATAGATGAGGAAAAGTGCAGGCTTGCATGAAACAGAGAAGTAAAAGTATGGAAAGAAATTGAATTAGAACGTTTGGCAGGATCAAGGCTTTGTCTCCTGGCCGACTGGGTGGGGAGTCCCCACCCCCAGTTCCTCCATCTCTCTCATTTTGTGCACTGTTACTTAGCAGTTTACATAAAAAGGCAGAGGGGTTATATCTCCATACATTGATATATTTAATATATTAATAGATTTTTTTTTCTATCCTTGAGGTAATTGCATTTCTTTACTTGTTTCCTGAGGACATCCTCCTGATCTCTGCAACCCTCCCTTTTCCCTATCCCAGGACTAGACAGCTAGACAGTGAGTCACCCAGAACAAAGGCTAAAAATATTTGAAAATCCTCTGGTCTTAGTGTAAATCAGAAAGATTTGAATGCATACTTGTTGAGTGAGTTTTGCTGCCTTTAGAGACTAATCTAGTTCAGAGTTTTAATTATATATCCCCAGGGGCAGGGTAAGAGGAGGGGGAGAATGCACTATAGAAATAGAGAGCAGGAGGTGAAGGAACTACAGATCTCTACCAGGGAAGGCACTCTCTGTCCCCAACCCTGGTGAAGTGCATGGAAGCCCACTTAGCACCCAGCTGCCCTTCTCACTGACCATGAGTAAGAGCCATCTTTGAGCAGCATTTAATATGGCACTCTAGAGCTAGGTTTGTGTATTCCCGAGACCCTGCCCAGGCCTCATCTATCTTACAACAACCCTAGGTGTGGGGCTTAAGGTGGTGATAACAAAAAAAAAAAAAGAGGAAGCCCCTGCTTCTCTCCAAAGAGGCATTAGCTGGAGCTAGACTGAACTCTTCCACAGGACAAGGAAAGTGGTAGAAGACACTATCCTGTTATGTATGTCTTCATGAGTAGAAGTGGGTCTTTCTCATTGTACTGGGCTATTCTTGAAGGCAAAAATAATATCTTTTTACCTTTGCATACTCAACAGCTGGATAGTACTTGGCATAGAGCTTAATTAATGTTTATTGGATGACTAAATGAGCAAATGGCTGATTGACAAATACATGAAAGTGAAAATATTTAGAGGTAGGAGGAAGTAGCCAAAGAGAGAGACAGAGGAGAGGTAAAAGATGTTAGTAGAAGGAAGAATGATCGTTTAAACTGAGCCGAGCAATGATCGGGGCAGAAGAGGTTGAAGAATAGATCCAAGTTCGTTCAGAGCTTGGAAAAAGGGATGAAATGAAATAAGGTTAGTAGTCTCTGATATGTTGAAATGAAAAAAAAAAGCCATATTCTTAATTGCCTTAGTTAAATTTAGTTAACACTAAATTTATCTTCTTTATAGTTCTATTTCTGACCATAATACATGCCTTATACAGTTGACAGGTAAGAAATAGTCAAGATGGTCGTAGCCTCCATAAAAGATAAAGGCACAGGGCTATAATTTAAGTCTTTTGGTATTCATATATAGAGAAGCATGTCACCACCACCATTAGATAACTCTCTTTATGATCTAAAGACAGAATTCTGCTGTAAGAGTATGTTCCAAGTGCCAGATAGAATGTGTGCTCTTCTACTTTTGAGAGTGGTTTCATGTTTACTCATTCACTAATTTTTCACTCTGGGCCCTGTATTCACTCATTTAGAGGCACCAATTCAGCTCCTCTTCTGTGGAGAGACTACATGGGTGCTGAAGAAACAAAGACACAACGCAGCTCCTCTCAAAGGAGTTCAGAGCTTAGCAGGGGAGACAGAACCATGAATGCATAGTTACGCATCAATGTGCTGCACGAGCACTGAAGCCCAAGCACAAGCGGCCTGAGTCCCAGTGAGTCTAACCCCTCCCCATCCTGCCCTCCCACACCACAACCCAATCCATCCTATTGACTGCCTGCTTTATCCCCCATGCTGCTCTCAGCCTGGACACTGTATCCAGAATCCTGGGCTCTAGCAAAGACTGGAGCTCTGAAGCTCTCCTTGGTTCTCCCAGTCTCTCTCCCAGGAGCTTAGATCTTGACTCCTCCCTGGTGAATACAGCTAGACCCTGTGCTCTGAATTTTGCTCTACTCCAATGCCACTTTGTTCCACTTGTTGTTCAATCCTAGTTTGATCTAGACAAGACCTTTGGACACTAGCTTTGGACTGCCTGACTACTCTTGCTGGAGGCTGTTCTTAGCATTTCTCTCAGATCTTGTCCTCTGTTCTCATTGAAGCTCTCTGCTCCTTCATGCAATGTCTTGCTTTGAGGTCTCCCAGCTTGTCTCAGGTTAAAGTCTGTCCAATATAGCTTTGCCCCTTAGGCCTACACTGTCATGATCCTTGCGGATACCTCTTTTGGCAGGGAAACTTCCTTAGATCTCTCCAGAAGGGAGGAGCAAGATTTTGCTTCTGTCAGGGATAGCCCATATACTGAGGCCTTGTGGGCCTACAAATGCAGTCATTAGCATAATTCTTCTTTTTTTTTCCTTTTGAGACAGGGTCTTACTCTGTCTCCCAGATTGGAGTGCAGTGGTGCAATCTTGGCTCATTGCAACCTCTGCCTCCTGGGCTCAAACATTCCTCCCACCTCAGCCCCCTGAGTAGCTGGGACTACAGACATGAGCCACCACACCCAGCTAATTTTTGTACTTTTTTATAGAGATGGGGTCTTGCTACATTGCCTAAGCTGGTCTTGAACTCCTGGACTCAAGCAATCCTCCTGTCTTGACCTCCCAAACTGTTAGGATTACAGGCGTGAGCCACTGTGCATGGCCCATTCACAGATTACATTATAAGAAGCAGAAGAAGACTAGTGAGATATGAAGTGACGTGTAACTCACTCACTAACTCTACCATGTGGAAGTCAAATGCTTTGTGTTCACTTCAAGGGAAAGTATAAAATTGTGGATTAAATAACTTAATGAAATATATATGTATATGCCTGTGTGTGTGTGGGTTTGTGTGTATGCATATATTAGTGGGAAAGATGGAAATGAAAATCAGTATTTCTTAGTCTCTTACTTTAATTGTTAGGTCATGCCAATAAATTTCAACATATACTTTTTTGGTGTGATAGGGTTATTTAATTTAGAATATGACAACGTTTAAGAAAAAATGTTCTTTCTGTAATATTACCCCTTGATTTACTGAAGCTTTAGGATTACTTTTGTTAAACTCATTTGCCAATATGCCTCTCAATGTTGTATTTCTCTGCAAGAATAACAGCTTAAAACATAAAAAGACACCACAAAAAAGAAGAAAGATGATCTTTCAAACCATTTTTTTAAATTTTTATTTATTTATTTATTTATTTATTTTGAGACGGAGTCTCACTCTATAGCCCAGGCTTGAGTGTGGTGGTGTGATTTCGGCTCACTACAGTCTCTGCCTCTCGGGCTCAAGTGATCTTCCTGCCTCAGCCTCCCAAGTAACTGGGAATACAGGCATGGCCCACCAGTCCCAGATAATTTTTGTATTTTTGCATTATTATTATTTTTTAATAGAGATGGGGTTTCACCACATTGGCTGGGCTGGTCTCAAACTCCTGACCTCAAGTGATCTGCCCGCCTAGGCCTCCCAAAGTGCTGGGATTACAGGCTTGTGCCACCGTGCCTGGCCCCAAACCATTTATTTTGGAGGCAAGTGTGCTATTTCAAAATCAGAGTACTTAGTTTCAAGCCTTCAATTCTGTTAAAAGATAAATAAATAAATATATATATTTTTAAAGTAAGCAAAAATAACTTCTTTATTGTAAACACAGTATTACTGAAAATTCAAATAATTTTTGAGCTGATGGAAAAATAATTGTGAATCATCAGTTTGTCAGATGTCAACATCAGCTCAAACAAATTTGGACTGACTTCTTAACAGGTTTCTGATAGCTGAAGTAGTGGAAGTCCAGAAGGCAGATAGGGAGGAACAAGTGTAGATAGATGACCGGTTTGGAATAAATGGCATCTTGCTGCTGAAACAAGCTTCACACGTTAACCAGCAACCGTGAGGTTCCTGACTTTCCTGATCCCCAGGAGATGCTTACGCTAGGGATAAATTTCTATGTTGAAGCATTTGACAAGCTTTAGTTCCTGATGTCTCACACTCAAGCCTTACTTTATAGTCACATCTGTTAGTTTAAAGCATTTTTAGTTTATTGAAGAAGGCTTCACAAAGAAAAAACAGATGATGAAAATCTCATCTGTCAAAACTGTTATTAAAACCAGTAACAGTGTGAAATTTTGTTTAAATTGAAAGCATCATTTATTTTTATCAAACATTTTATAAACAATCACATTTGAGAAAGATTTGGGGGACCTGGAGAGCCCTCAACAAAATGCAGCTCATTATGTTGCTTTGTTTAATGTGTAGCTTTGAGATGGCTGGGGCTGCCTCCCTTTATCTTAGTGTGAGCCCGGAAGGGTGAGGAAATTACCAAGGAGCAGGGGCTCGCCCACCTTGATGAGGGAGAGTGAGCAGGGAAGAGGAGTAGCCCTTAAATGGAGGCTGAAAAGCAATATTGTGTTGGCAGACAACAGGAACACCTGACTGGCCCTTTTCTGATGGATTAGGTAGAGTGACATGGCCTGAACCTTGAAGCCCCTGAAAGAGTTTAGGAAAAATAATGAAAAAGAAAAAAGAAGAAAATTCATGGAAAGATTGAGTAAGGCTTCGTTTCTTTTCCTCTCTGGGTAGACAGCTGACTTCGTGCTCAGATCTGCTACTGATATCAAAGGGTGTTTCACGGCCAGAAAGAGTAAATGACACCCTTAAAAAAGAAAACAAGATGAACATCAAATCCATTTAGTCGAATCTTCATTCAATCCAGATGTTTGGCAATGTAGAGACAAAACATCCGCCACTTTGCTATTGTGTAGA
Organism: Homo sapiens; assembly: GCF_000001405.40. Taxonomy (NCBI): domain Eukaryota; kingdom Metazoa; phylum Chordata; class Mammalia; order Primates; family Hominidae; genus Homo; species Homo sapiens. Next base: position 55,794,919 of record NC_000018.10, read on the forward strand.
CTTGGCCTTAGAATATACAAAAGATCCAGTTTCACATTCTTAACTGGGCTCATAGTTCTTTGGCTGTTTGGTATTAGCAGCTTGGAAAGAGAAAACACGTCTAAGGAAAGTAGAACAGTGTAAATCTGAATGATTTGTCCAAGCAGTGACCTTTCCTTCCTTTTTCCAGGTGATGCTGTACTTAATTTTGTCACACTTGGAGATCATCCCCTGGGGGCCAGCAAAAGTTTCCCCATGGGGTATGGGGTACTGGAATGGGGGCACACAGGGTGTTAAAAGGCTTTCCAGATCCTCAAGTTCCCATTCACACTCTTTCCTAAGGCTGCCTGGTCTAAGAATGGGTCTAGTTCTTCCATATCTGCCCTTTCTCAAGCCCTCCTTCTTCCACCTCTAAAACAAAACAAAACCAAAACCAAAACCTTCTCTCTGGATCCCACTGGGAAGTGTTCCCCCAACGTGTGCAGAATCTTCAGCACAACCAAAAAAGGGACTTGAGAATCTTTGAAGCCTACTAAAATCAAGACCTCAGTCTGTGCCTTATCTGCCTGTATTGCACAATTTCAAAGAGAAGAAGGTGAAAATTATATATTTACTTCCCAAATACCAATATTGTGTTTTCTAGAAAAAGGATCACATATTAGTGTTAAGTTTGTATTTATATTTTGTGAACATTTATTCAGGGCCGCAGAAAAAACATTTTCATTAGCTTTTGCAAGATTATTGTGTACTTTAAGCCTCTATTTTATTTTTACTATAAGCACAAATATCCTGGTCTCTACTAGCCTCTTTTCTGCTCACTTATTTATTTAACTTTTGCCATATACTTATAACAGAAATGTCTTGTTGGTTCTACTCCTTAAAAATCCATTTAACAACACTAATTAATGTACTTTTTGTAAGTTCTGAACTTCCTGTGGCCCAACCCTTTTTCAGAATTGCTGTTGATTTACTCTGAACCCTGCATCGCTCTAGCTATAAGCTATATTTATCCATGGAAACAGAAACTAATTGGGAGAAAAATCATTATTTTTTTCATTAAAAGATGCATTTCCAATAAAAATTTATTACATTCAATCATGTTTAAATCAAAAGTTACATTTATGTTTGATAAATTGTGGATTCACAGCCATAATAATTCAGAAAAAATTTTGATAGTATTCGGCATATCGTTCATTTTTATTTCAAGAAGTCACATGAAGTAAAAACAAGGTAAACTTTCCCATTTGTATACATATTTTTGTTGCATAGAAAATTGTTTACTGAAAAGTTGAGCAAAAGACTTTCAAGCATATATTTGTTAAGAAAAAAATTCATGAGAAAAATGGAATGGAAATATAAGATCAAGGGGAAAATGATACAAATTTTCCATTAAAGAAGTGTTTGTCCATGTATTTTATAAATGTATGATGATGGTTATGGAATTCTGCTGTGTATCAATTAGAGTCCTGGTGGAGATCAGGTGACACATTTCAGTTAGAGAAACTGAACTGAGTTTACTAAAAGAAAACTTACAAAGTGAAATCTAATTGGGAGTGATGGGGGAGGGACAGCAAAGTCCTGAAGGTGTCACGGGAGGGAACTGCCTCCAGTTCCTGGAGAACATGGCTGTAGCTGAGGAGAGAGCTGCATTGTAGTAGCTGTGGCTTTTGGTAGACCAAGGGGGCAAATCTGTATTCTAGAAAGAAGGAAATCTGGGGTATCTGACCAAAGTTTCCACATATCCTCTCGTCTCCAGCTAGCGCCCCCCATTGGTGAAACCCAACCCCTGAGAAGTGGTGATAAACCTCAGGCTTCTACTTCCCACTCCCCAGCTTCACCTCTCGCTTCCAAGCTAGTTCTGTTGAGGTAGAAAGGGAAAATGATGTCATGATGTGACCATGCAGAGCTAGCTTGACTCCTCACAACTCTCTTCTGGGTTTTCTGATTGCCCACAGAGTTGTGTGGAAGAACAGGTGCACTTTTCCAGTATGCCTGAGAAGGACAAGAAAATTAGCTGAGCAAAGACTAGGTCTTGGGACAAAAACTGCATGCATTGATAGAATGCAGAAATTCCAACATCTGAAGCCCGGACATTCCCACCCTGAAATCCTGGCTCAATGTTGTCTCCCCTAGAACTCAAACTTCACTCTGGAGAGGAAAAGCAGAGGACAAACCTTAATGTGACTAAGAAAACCCTAAATTGGCTAAAATGACCAGATTTAAGTTTCTAGTATTACACAGAATAGGGATTCAAATTAGATATTTCTCATCCTTCAAGATGCATCCTTCAGGACTTCCATGAATTCTTCCCTGTCTTCATCATTTTCTGTCTCCATACTTCTGTTCCAACTGTTCAGTGATTATTAAATTAAAAGTGTTTGTGTGCTTGGATTTCCCTCTTAACAGGGTAGATGCTGTGTCTTATATTAGCTGAGGAGAGAGCTGCTTTGTGGTAGCTGTTCATGGGATGGAACTGTGTTCTAGAAAGAAGGAAATCTGGAGAATGAATACCCTGACCCCAGTCTCCACTTGTTCTCTGCTCTATGTGCCTACTGCTTAGTGCAATGCCTGTCATGTAGTAGGTTTTCATATTTTAAAAAATTAGGTCAGAACTCATGTTCAGTAGGTACTCATGTTAGTGTTCCTTTTTTAATCTGTGGTAATGTTACTGTTCTGAAGCCTACTTTGCCTGATATTAATATAGCTATTCCAACTTTCTTATGATTCATATTTGCACGGTGTATTTTTTTCTGTGTTGTTACTTTTAATTATCTGGGCCTTTATACTTGAAGTGAGTTTCTTGTAGACAATGTATAGTTAGGTCTTGATTTTTCACTCATTTCAGTGATTTATGATTTTTAACTGAGAGGTTAGACTATTTATTTTTTAATATGATTGTTATGGTTAGGTTAAAATCTATTATCCTTGCTCCATCTGTTTTTTAAAAGACTCCTTTTCCCCCCTCTCTACCTGTCTTATTTTACTTATTTTTTAATGTTCCATTTTATTTCCACTACTAGCTTACTAGCTACACGTAGCAGTTGCTTTAGGGTTTACAAAACACATCTTTCACACATCACTGTCTATCTCCAAATCATATTATACTATTTCACATATAATGTAACAGTCTTACACCAGTATACTTTGATCTCTCAATCCCATCCTTTCTTCTATTATTATGCATTTTATATCTTCATATTTTATAAACCGCATAGTCAGTTGTTGTTTCTGCCTTAAACAGTCAATTATTTTTTAAAGAAAAAATTTAAAAACAGGAAAAATTTAGTCATTTTTATTTCTCCACAAATTTATCATTTTAACTGCTCTCCATTCATTTTAGTAAAGTCAGTTTCCATCTGGTATCATCTGCCTGAAGAATCTCCTTTAATTTTTTTTGTATTGAAAGTCTGCTGGTAAAATATTCTGTTTTTATTTTTCTTAAGGTCTTTATTTCACCATTATTTCTGAAACATATTGTACTGTGTATAACGTTCTAAGTGGACAGCTGTTTTTGTCAGTTTCTAAAATATTTTCTTTTAAGAAATCTGCTGATAGCTTTATCTTTTGTTAACTTTTTATTTTTTATTTTTTAATTTTCTTTATTATACTTTAAGTTCTAGGGTACATGTGCACAACGTGCAGGTTTGTTACATATGTATACATGTGCCATGCTGGTGTGCTGCACCCATTAACTCGTCATTTACATTAGGTGTATCTCCTAATGCTATCCCCCCCACCCACCCCACAACAGGCCCCGGTGTATGATGTTCCCCTTCCTGTGTCCAAGTGTTCTCACTGTTCAATTCCCACCTATGAGTGAGAACATGCAGTGTTTGGTTTTCTGTCCTTGCGATAGTTTGCTAAGAATGATGGTTTCCAGCTTCATCCATGTCTCTACAAAGGACATGAACTTATCATTTTTTATGGCTGCATAGTATTTCATGGTGTATATGTGCCACATTTTCTTAATCCAGTCTATCATTGTTGGATATTTGGGTTGGTTCCAAGTCTTTGCTATTGTGAGTAGTGCCGCAATAAACATACGTGTGCATGTGTCTTTATAGCAACATGATTTATAGTCCTTTGGGTATATACCCAGTAATGGGATGGCTGGGTCAAATGGTATTTCTAGTTCTAGATCCCTGAGGAATCGCCACACTGTCTTCCACAATGGTTGAACTAGTTTGCAGTCCCACCAACAGTGTAAAATTGTTCCTATTTCTCCACATCCTCTCCAGCACCTGTTGTTTCCTGACTTTTTAATGATCGCCAATCTAACTGGTGTGAGATGATATCTCATTGTGGTTTTGATTTGCATTTCTCTGATGGCCAGTGATGATGGGCATTTTTTCATGTGTCTTTTAGCTGCATAAATGTCTTCTTTTGAGAAGTGTCTGTTCATATACTTTGCCCACTTTTTGATGGGGTTGTTTGTTTTTTTCTTGTAAATTTGTTTGAGTTCACTGTAGATTCTGGATATTAGCCCTTTGTCAGATGAGTAGATTGCAAAATTTTTCTCCCATTGTATAGGTTGCCTGTTCACTCTGATGGTAGACTCTTTTGCTGTGCAGAAGCTCTTTAGTTTAATTAGATCCCATTTGTCAATTTTGTCTTTTGTTGCCATTGCTTTTGGCGTTTTAGACATGAAGTCCTTGCCCATGCCTATGTCCTGAATGGTATTGCCTAGGTTTTCTTGTAGGGTTTTTATGGTTTTAGGTCTAACATTTAAGTCTTTAATCCATCTTGAATTAATTTTTGTATAAGGTGTAAGGAAGGGATCCAGTTTCAGCTTTCTACATATGGCTAGCCAGTTTTCCCAGCACCATTTTGTTAAATAGGGAATCCTTTCCTCATTTCTTGTTTTTGTCAGATTTGTCAAAGATCTGATAGTTGTAGATGTGTGGTATTATTTTTGAGGGCTCTGTTCTGTTCCATTGGTCTATTGGTCTATATCTCTGTTTTGGTACCAGTACCATGCTGTTTTGGTTACTGTAGCCCTGTAGTATAGTTTGAAGTCAGGTAGCATGATGCCTCTGGCTTTGTTCTTTTTTTTTTTTTTTTTTTTTGAGACGGAGTCTCGCTCTGTCGCCCAGGCTGGAGTGCAGTGGCGGGATCTCGGCTCACTGCAAGCTCCGCCTCCCGGGTTCACGCCATTCTCCTGCCTCAGCCTCCCAAGTAGCTGGGACTACAGGCGCCCGCCACTACGCCTGGCTAATTTTTTGTATTTTTAGTAGAGACAGGGTTTCACCGTTTTAGCCGGGATGGTCTCGATCTCCTGACCTCGTGATCCGCCCGCCTCGGCCTCCCAAAGTGCTGGGATTACAGGCATGAGCCACCGCGCCCGGCCTGGCTTTGTTCTTTTGGCTTAGGATTGACTTGGCAATGAGGGCTCTTTTTTGGCCCCATATGAACTTTAAAGTAGTTTTTTCCAATTCTGTGAAGAAAGTCATTGGTAGCTTGATGGGGATGGCATTGAATCGATAAATTACCTTGGGCAGTATGGCCATTTTCACAATATTGATTCTTCCTATCCATGAGCATGGAATATTCTTCCATTCGTTTGTGTCTTCTTTTATTTCGTTGAGCAGTGGTTTGTAGTTCTCCTTGAAGAGGTCCTTCACATCCCTTGTAAGTTGGATTCCTAGGTATTTTATTCTCTTTGAAGCAATTGTCAATGGGAGTTCACTCATGACTTGGCTCTCTGTTTGTCTGTTATTGGTGTATAAGAATGCTTGTGATTTTTGAACATTGATTTTGTATCCTGAGACTTTGCTGAAGTTGCTTATGAGCTTAAGGAGATTTTGGGCTGAGATGATGGGGTTTTCTAAATATACAATCATGTCATCTGCAAACAGGGACAATTTGACTTCCTCTTTTCCTAATTGAATACCCTTTCTTTCTTTCTCCTGCCTAATTGCCCTGGCCAGAACTTCCAACACTATGTTGAATAGGAGTGGTGAGAGAGGGCATCCCTGTCTTGTGCCAGTTTTCAAAGGGAATGCTTCCAGTTTCTGCCCATTCAGTATGACATTGGCTGTGGGTTTGTCATATACAGCTCTTATTATTTTTAGATACGTCCCATCACTACCTAATTTATTGAGAGTTTTTAGCATGAAGGGTTGTTGAATTTTGTCAAAGGCCTTTTCTGCATCTATTGAGATAATCACGTGGTTTTTGTCTTTGGTTCTGTTTATATGATGGATTACATTTATTGATTTGCATATGTTGAACCAGCCTTGCATCCCAGGGATGAAGCCCACTTGATCATGGTGGATAAGCTTTTTGATGTGCTGCTGGATTCGATTTGCCAGCATTTTATTGAGGATTTTTGCATCAATGTTCATCAAGGATATTGGTCTAAAAATTCTTTTTTTTTGTTGTGTCTCTGCCAGGCTTTGGTATCAGGATGATGCTGGCCTCAAAATGAGTTAGGGAGGATTGCCTCTTTTTCTATTGATTGGAATAGTTTCAGAAGGAATGGTACCAGCTCCTCCTTGTACCTCTGGTAGAATTCGGCTGTGGATCCGTCTGGTCCTGGACTTTTTTTGGTTGGTAAGCTATTAATTATTGCCTCAATTTCAAAGCCTGTTATTGGTCTATTAAGAGATTCAACTTCTTCCTGGTTTAGTCTTGGGAGGGTGTATGTGTCGAGGAATTTATCCATTTCTTCTAGATTTTCTAGTTTATTTGTGTAGAGGTGTTTATAGTATTCTCTGATGGTAGTTTGTATTTCTGTGGGATCAGTGGTGATATCCCCTTTATCATTTTTTATTGCATCTATTTGATTCTTCTCTCTTTTCTTCTTTATTAGTCTTGCTAGCCGTCTATCAATTTTGTTGATCTTTTCAAAAAACTAGCTCCTGGATTCATTGATTTTTTGAAGGGTTTTTTGTGTCTCTATCTCCTTCAGTTCTGCTCTGATCTTAGTTATTTCTTGCCTTCTGCTAGCTTTTGAATGTGTTTGCTCTTGCTTCTCTAGTTCTTTTAATTGTGATGTTAGGGTGTCAATTTTAGATCTTTCCTGCTTTCTCTTATGGGCATTTAGTGCTATAAATTTCCCTCTACACACTGCTTTAAATGTGTCCCAGAGATTCTGGTATGTTGTGTCTTTGTTCTTATTGGTTTCAAAGAACATCTTTATCTCTGCCTTCATTTCGTTATGTACCCAGTAGTCATTCAGGAGCAGGTTGTTCAGTTTCCATGTAGTTGAGTGGTTTTGAGTGAGTTTCTTAATCCTGAGTTCTAGTTTGATTGCACTGTGGTCTGAGAGACAGTTTGTTATAATTTCTGTTCTTTTACATTTGCTGAGGAGAGCTTTACTTCCAAGTATGTGGTCAATTTTGGAATAGGTGCGGTGTGGTGCTGAGAAGAATGTATATTCTGTTGATTTGGGGTGGAGAGTTCTGTAGATGTCTATTAGGTCTGCTTGGTGCAGAGCTGAATTAAATTCCTGGATATCCCTGTTAACTGTCTTGTTGATTTGTCTAATGTTGACAGTGGGGTGTTAAAGTCTCCCATTATTATTGTGTGGGAGTCTAAGTCTCTTTGTAGGTCTCTAATAACTTGCTTTATGAATCTGGGTGCTCCCATATTGGGTGCATATATTTAGGATAGTTAGCTCTTCTTGTTGAATTGATCCCTTTACCATTATGTAATGGTCTTTTCTCTTTTGATCTTTGTTGGTTTAAAGTCTGTTTCATCAGTGACTAGGATTGTAACCCCTGCCTTTTTTTTTTTTTCCATTTGCTTGGTAGATCTTCCTCCATCCCTTTATTTTGAGCCTATGTGTGTCTCTGCACGTGACATAGGTTTCCTGAATACAGCACACTGTTGGGTCTTGACTCTTTATCCAATTTGCCAGTCTGTGTCTTTTAATTGGAGCATTTAGCTCATTTACATTTAAGGTTAATATTGTTATGTGTGAATTTGATCCTGTCATTATGATGTTAGCTAGTTATTTTGTTCGTTAGTTAATGCAGTTTCTTCCTAGCCTTGATGATCTTTACAATTTGGCATGTTTTTGCAGTGGCTGGTACTATTTGTTCCTTTCCATGTTTAGTGTTTCCTTCAGGAGCTCTTGTAGGGTGGGCCTGGTGGTGACAAAATCTCTCAGCATTTGCTTGTCTGTAAAGTATTTTATTTCTCCTTCACTTATGAAGCTTAATTTGGCCAGATATGAAATTCTGGGTTGAAAATTCTTTTCTTTAAGAATGTTGAATATTGGCCCCCACTCTCTTCTGGCTTGTAGAGTTTCTGCCGAGAGATCAGCTGTTAGTCTGATGGGCTTCCCTTCGTGGGTAACCCGACCTTTCCCTCTGACTGCCCTTAACAGTTTTTCCTTCATTTCAACTTTGGTGAATCTGACAATTATATGTCTTGGAGTTGCTCTTCTCGAGGAGTATCTTTGTGGTGTTCTCTGTATTTCCTGAATTTGAATGTTGGCCTGTTCATTTTTTAATAATGTGAAGTTTTTCCTTCCTTTCTCTCTCTCTTTTTCTTTCTTTCTTTCTCTTCTTTCTTTCCTTTCTTTCTTTCCTTCTTTCTCTTTCTCCCTTTCTCTCTCTTTCTCCTTCCTTCCTTCCTCTTTTTCCTTCCTTCCTTCCTTCTTTCCTTCTTTCTCTCTCTTTCCTCCCTCCCTCCCTCCCTTTCTTTTTTTTTGACAGGGTCTCACTATGTCACCCAGGCTGATGTGCAGTGGTGTGATCTCAGCTCACTGCAACCTCCACCTCCCGGATTCAAGTGATCCTCATGCCTCAGCCTCCTGAGTAGCTGGGATTACAGGCATGCGCCACCATGCCTGGCTAATATTTGTATTTTTCCTACAGACAGGTTTTCACCATGTTGGCCATGCTGGTCTGGAATTCCTGGCCTCAAGTGATCTGCATGCATTGGCTTCCCAAAGTGCTGGGATTACAGGCCTGAGCCACCACGTCTGGCCCAATAATGTGACTTTTTTTTTTTCTCTCATTGCCTTTATGATATTTCTCTTTGCATTGTTTTCCAGCAATTTGATTATGATATGTTTTGCCTTCCCACCCCCATTTTGCTTGGGGTTTTTTGAACTTCTTGGAGTTGTGGATTACAGTTTTCATCAAATTTGGAAGTATTTTGGTCATTCAAATATATATATATTTTTTATTTTTTTGGTCTCTCATTCTACTTGTCTCCTGGGATTTCAGTGGCACTTATATTTGACAGTTTGATTTTTTCTCTCAATCAGTGAAGGTCTTTTCATCTTTCTTCTTTTCTCCCATGATGTTTCATCTGTCATTTTTTATCTTGTTATGTCATCAAGGTCATTTATTTATTTTGATTCTGCAGCATCTAATATTCTGTCAATTTCATCCATAAAATTTTCATTTCAGATTTTGTACTTTTTAATCTCTAGAATTTATATATAGTTTTTTTGTATCTTCTATTTTGTTTCTTATGTACATGCTTTTCTTTAAATTCTTGTGCATATTATGCATATTTATAATAGCTGTTTTAATGTCCCTGTCTGTTAATTCATCCTCTCTTTCATTTCTGATTCTGTTTCTATTGACTCGTTTTTCTTCTGGTATGGGCCATACCTTCTGATTCTTCACATATTGTAATATTTAATTTGATGAAGGACATTGTGAATTTATATTTTGGGTACTGGATTTTGGTGTTTTCCTTTAAAGAATATTAGACTTTGTTCTGACAGGTAGCTAAACTTCTTGTAGATCAGTTGGATTATTTCAAGATGTTAAGATTTATTTTTTATGGCAGATCAAGATTAGCCTATACTCTAGGAGTAATTTAGGCTAATTTCTAAGACATAGCCTTTCTTGGATCTTTTTTGAATTACATATTCAAAAATCTGTCTCCATTCTAACTAGTGGAAATTAAAATTATCCCTGGCCCTTATGTGAGCTCTGCGAATTTTCAAAAATCTTGTATAACTTCATAGTAATTGTCTTTTCCCCAGAAGTTGTTCTCATGTGTGGAGTTTTACCCTTTACATACACAGATTAGTATTCGTCAGAGGCTCAAGAAGACCCCTACTCAAATTTCTGGAGCTCTTTCTCTGTGTAGCTTTCTCTTCTCTGATATTCTGTCTTGCAAATTTTTAGCTACATCTGCCACCCTGAATTGTGATATCTGTCTCTTCAATTCAGCAATGATATGAAGCTCTGCTTGAATTTCCCCTCCCTGGGCTAGAGGTTTGCAAATTACTTCCAGGCAGAATGCCGGTGTAACTGAAAGACTCACCTTATTTTTTCTTTTCTTTCCTTTTCTTTTCTTTTTTTTCTGCAGAGATTATGGTCCTGTGCTGCCAATTGTCCGATGTCAGAAAGCTGTTGTTTCATATATTTTGTTCAGTTTTCTGGTTGTTTATGGCAGGAAGATAAATCTGGCCCCTATAACACTTTCATGGCTAGAAGTGAAAGTCCTTGTGTCATCTTTGATTTCTCTTTTTTTTCCCTTTGCTTCCACATCCAAGTTGTTTTTATTCCCTCCCAAGTTCTATCACTGCAACTTCTCTCATTTCTGTCTTCTGAATAATCACAAGTCTTTTACCTAATCTTTCTGCTTCTAGAGTCCATGCCTCTAATCAAACCATCAACTCATTATCAGAAGAATCTTCTTAAAATTCTTGCAATTATGATTTAAAAATCCCCTTAAAATCTTCAATGGCTCCACTATGGTAGCAGAGTAATTAAGAATTTTTAATATTGGGAGTAAAGCAATTTTAGGCTTTTCTCTTTTGCTTTCATCTCTCATTTTACCTACCATGATTTCCCTCTGCTTTCCTTCCTATCTTACCTTTTCTACTGTGTTTTCTCTTCCCGATATAGTAAAATCCTTTCTATTTTTGTGACCAGGAGAAAATAGTATTTTCTTTTGCAATTCCTTCCTGGATCAAATTTCTTAGGCATTTCCTACTTTTCTGAATTCTGAAAGTACTTTGTTGACATTTCTCATGACACTTTTTACTCTCTACAACTTTATCATAGTCCTTTATGAACACTACTGTTGACATCAAGTATTGATGGTATGTGCTGTGCTTCTTTTTTATGTTTTACTTTCTATAACAAATGTTGGCAATGAATTCCATTGACTCGGTGCCTAATAAAATTTTGCTAACAAAATTATTGCCTATCTTAACATCTTGACATCTTCGTTCTTCAGGTCTGTTGCTTCAACCCCAGAAGAGGAGCCTAATGCTGACCACTCAACTGTGATCAGATTTAAAGGCAACTCTTCCATATCATATTCTGCATCATATCACCATTATCACCATTGGATATCACACATCATATTCACATCACTAATTTGATACATTAAAGACAAATAATTCGATTATCAAGTCATACTTACTGTTTCTCTTTCTTCTACTTTTATATTTGCCAATATTTTTAAGTATGTATTTCATTCTCATTAGATTATCAGCTCTATCCAAATAAAACTTTGATTAGTCCTTTAGTACAGTGCTTTGTATACACAAATAGAGGTAGAATAATATCATTATGATAAGCCTATTTTGTGTGTGTTTTACATAAACATACACATACACACTTTGGCTTACTGAGCAAAGGACATCACATGTTAAGGACTTAATACACTTAAATATGCATACACATATCTATGTATTATGTATGCCTTTAGATAGTGATCAATATATGCGTATTTTATACAAAAATGGAATGTAAATGAGAGTCAGATGATAAGAAAGCAAAAATTTTTTAAAAATTGAATGTAAAAATATTGGGATGTTATTGAATATTAGCTGCTTCATATTAGAAAATAACACTAGAATATTAGCTTTAATATGTACAGCATACATCTGACAGAGATACTTTAGTTTTAGTGTCTCAAATTATAGGGACTCAATTATCTTCTCTAGAAAATACTTGTGTCTCAATCTCATTATCAAAAGACTTTCCACATACTTTGCCTAAAATTACCTTTTCTTCATTTTAATTATACAACTCCAAATCACTTTCCCTCATTAGTATTTGATAATTATAAGCAAAGAAGCAAATATAAGAACAAGAAATACATAAGAATGCAGTCATGCATTTTCCCTTCTTTCTGTTGATAGCACTGACTTCATTGAGATGAAGTGTATTTAATTTCAATTCACTAAATGACCGCATTCATAACTTGAGTTCATTTCCATTTTAGGCTGATTTCTTTCAAATCTGATTCGATATGCATAATTTTTCTTTAAGCATACATAGCTACATTCTTTTAAACTTGTTTTTCATCTAGAGAAGGAGGGAGAAGGAAATTAACATTTATTTTGTATCTACTTTTGACACAGCCTGTTTTTGGCATTTGACATATATCATCTCATTCAGTTCTCTCCTCAATCCTGAGAAACTGAAAATATTATTCTCATTTTAAAAATGAAAATCTGATGGCTAGAAACTAACATGCCCAAGACTGCTTAATTAGGAAAAGGAAGAGTCAAAATTCAAACAAAATCATCCTTTTTCTTTAATCTTTTTCTTTCTTTTTTTTTTAAGTGGCACTACATTGTCCATTTTCAGGCAAAGATTTTGCAGAAAAATCATAGGAGGCTGGGCAGTTAATAATTTTAAAAATCATATTGTTTTATCTGTGGTGTAAGTGTGAAGTCCTTATGTTAAAATGCTTATCAGAACATGACACTTGAACATGTTCCATGTTAGAATTTGGGGATGTCTCAGAATTTGCTGAAGTATGAATGTAGATTCAAAGGGAAACATTCCAAAACTACATTGTGAAGTGATTTCTCTTTTTATCTGAGCTCTCTTTTTTTTCTATTTTTTTTTGGACTGTGATAAATTGATCCAAAGAGCCCACTGAAATTAAACTAGATGAAAACCATCAGTGCATTTAACAAAACCCAGAAGTATGTTAGGTTTGGGGTGACAACCAATGGAGAATGTAAGCACACTCACTTCCACTGCTAGCAATTTGGTTTCATCTACCATGCCACAGGTTTCTCCAGAAGCCTTGCTTACTGGAGTTGTAACCTGCCCCTTTTGGAATTATTAAAACTCTAAGCATACCATTGGGAGACCGTAGATTGTGTATGATGATGATATTTGTTGTTTGGTAACAACATTATAAGCATGAGGTAGTATATAGCATGTATTAAAATTGACTCCAGAAAGTGTGAATTATAATCTCACATTAACTATGTGAGCTTGGTCAAGTCACTTAATTGATCTCTAGTCTGCTTTCTCGTTCATAAAATAAAGATGTTGAACAACAAAATCACCAGTCAAGTTTTCTTTTTTAAAATATTTTTCCCTAAAGAGATAAAGCAGTAAGTGAATGTAATAAAAAATATAAATGATGCAAAAGAAAATACAATAAAAAATAATTCTCCATTCCAGCTTCCTAGTCCTTCTCCTTATATGCAATTGCTATTGACAGATTTTGTGCATGTCGACACACGTTTTCTATGCATTTACAACCAGTTGTTATAGGTATATGTGTGTGTATGTATAACTTTCTTTTTCTTTTTAACTCAAATGGGAATATACTGTAACTACTGTTCAGCTGAATTATATAAAATGATACATATCTTGGAGATTTAAATCTACTTTATTATTTTTAAAAGAAAATACAATAAAAAATAATTCTTCATTCCAGCCTCCTAGTCCTTCTCCTTAGATGCAATTGCTATTGACAAATTTTGGCATGTGGACACACATTTTTTCTATGCATCTGCAATCAGGTGTTATAAGTATATGTGTGTGTATATATAACTTTCTTTTTTTTTTAACTCAGATGGGAATACACTGTGACCACAGTTCAGTTGAATTTTATAAAATGATGCATATCTTGGAGATGTAAATCTACTTTATTATGTTTTAAAGTTGCATAGTATTTCATTGCATGGATGTGCCATGATTTATTTAATCAGTTTTCTATTGACAGACATTTAAGTTTGCCACAATGAACATACTTTTATGCATTATGTTACAGGCCTGTATAGGCAAATAGATATGTAGAATGAATTCCTAGAAATGAAATTACTGTTCTAAATTAATTTTAAAATGAGTTTAGAATAATTCACGCCAGAATTTTTTAGCATAGGAATCTCTTTTTGAAAAGATCATACATATTTATAAAAGTCAAAGAAATAAAGAACAATAAAAAGAAGAAAGCAAAATTTATTCTAATACACAACTAAATAGAAATCACCACTTTTTACATTAGATGACTATCATAACAGATATCTATTAATGCTTTTGTAAAAGAAAGCCAGATAGATAAAATAATTTTTATTTTAAAAAGAACCATGGTATGATAATTTTAAAAGTATATTACACTTAACTTTTATTTGGATCCAGCAGGATAAAAAGAAACTCAGGTGGAACTGAAGGAATCTCTCACACTTTAGATAAGTGTTTCATTGCCACAAGAGACATTAGTTTCCAAAAGTTCCTTCCAAAATTAAAAGGAAGATTCCCAAAATACTGAGGATTAAATCTACTCTTACACAATGTTCTATTTTGTCTTCTGTCCCCAGCAAAGTTTTGTTAAAAAATTTTAGAAAATTTTGTTAAGGCCTATCACTTTACAATCTATTCTGCAATGATTATTCCCTTAGTTTTTAAGCTATATTTCTATATTTAACAGATTTAGGACTCATCACATTTTTTTAAAAAACATGGTTCTTCTATCTTTAATTTTTAAATTTTGATTTATCTCTCAGTTACCTAGATTTAATTGACATTGTTGTTTTTCAACAAAGAGTCATATTACTATTTTTTTCTATGTGCTTGAATGATTGAGAACACGATTCAGCAGTTTTATAGAAAAGGGAAAAATTTACCAAATATAATTGTTTTAGGTCTCATTTTCCCTCAGAATGTTCTAGACATTACTATCTTTTAGAATGGAGAGTTGTAGTGGAAACTGTCTTACTCTTGTTTTACCTTACACCTTGTAAATGTCTTGCTTTGTTATGTGGATGCCTAGACATTTGTTTTTTCATGTTAAAACTCAAAAATTTAATTTGAATACATCCTGATGTAATTTTTCTTCTGTATCAACTTTTCCAGGAATATGGTATACGTTTATGACCTGCATGCTTACTTCTTCCTTCATTCCAAAGAGATTTTTGTATTATATTTTATAGTACTTTCCCTTTTTATTAAATTTTTTTCTAGTTCAACATTAATTACTTTATATTGAATCTTGTTGCATTTTACATCTATTTTCTTATCTTTAATGCATTAATCTCTGTTTCCTTTGTAGTTTATCTTTAGCTTTTCCTACCAACAATTTAATTTTCAGGCATGTATAGTTTTCTCTTGCTGTTTTTAACATTGCTATTAAATCTATAATGCTATTTTTTGATTCTCAACTTATTTCCTCAATGGTTAGTTCCCTTTACTTTATATTTCTATGTTTTATTATCTATTTCTTCCCCAGCTCCTATTAAAATTAATTCATGTCATTATTAAGTTCTCTTCTTCCTTTCATTGTGTTTTTTATGAGATTTAAAAGTCTATCTTCTATTAAATTTAAATGCCCAGTTCACTCTACTTGCTATAGAGGACAGCTATCTTGTTCCATTTTTGAAATTCTACCAGGAAGTGCATGAGCCTTTATTATGCCTGTGTTCCTACAATTTTCCCAGGTTGCTTGCTCATCCCCCTCGATATGCTTCTATCTAAATTGAGGAATACTCATGGGATTTTCAAAAATTTTGTCTTAGGTTTTCCCTAGTTCCATTTTTGGGCAGTGAAAGGTTGGTGATGAGCAATGAAGAACAGCATTGCCATCATTTATTTAGTTCATTAACCACGACATTTGAAGATGTGGTACCCAGTTGTTACTCCTTTCTTTGACTGTTTGCTGCTGATACATGTTTTGCAACTTTGTTTTGAGAGTTATCATATATATATATATATATATATATGGGCAGGGGGATGTTTTAATCTGGCATTACCTTTTATGTAGAAATACTCTCCCTTCTGTGTTGTGAACCAGCTTCCAAAGTGGCAGCACCATTGTACCTTCCACCTATGTAAACCCAAAACGCCAAATGTTTTAATCTTTGGCAATCAGATGCATAACAATGTTATTTTATTGTTTTAATGTACAGTTCTTATGAATGAGGTTGAGTGGAAATTTGTTTTCTTGTTGCTTTATAAGAGCTCTTTATTATGGAAAATCACTTTTGCAAATACTTCCCCCAGTTTGTCATTTTTCTTTTGGCTTTGATTATGATGTTTTGATTATGTTTGTATTAATTTCTAATTTTTATGAAGTCAAATGGTGCATTTCTCTTATATTTTTTAAGTGTTGTGACTTACTTAGAAAGCCCTTCCTTAGTCCTAGATTTTTAAAAAATCCAGAAGCTGAAAAAACAAAGATTACTCATCCCTCCTCACCCCCTCATACACCTGCTAAGCCTAAATCCATGAGCAAGGGGCTTAGCATATGTTTTAAAAAGATTTCCCTGGTTAAAACTTACTGGATCTGATGGTCTCTACTGTGTCTTCCAAATATGACATGCTATGATTGTAAGTGATACTTCACAAATAGAAGAGCGACAGACATTTTGTGAGGACGAAAAAGCACCACAGGCATTAATTTTTTTAAAAAGTTGTTCTCAGTCCAGGACTTCATAACATATAAAGATTTACAAAGTATGACATATTTCTATCATTTAGAGGAAACCAGTAAAATATAATGATTCCTCTGACTGGAGGACTTTATTCAGATCAGAAAAGAAAAAAAGATAGTTACTCTCTTAACCAGAGGAGCGAATAGCTTTTGAAAATATTAATAGTGATTTGGAGAATAATATGAAACAAGAATGGGTTATTGCTAGATTTAAAGCCAAGCAGATCAAAGGGACCAGAAAAAGAAGAAGGGGGAAAATAAATATTTTGTGTAGCTTAATTGTTACTGTTATCTCAGAAACACATTTTATCAAAAAGAAAGAAAAGCCTTGTTAAATTATTGCAGGCATGTGCCATCCCATCTTCTGAAGGGGTTCTATTGAGTTAGACTATTCTATCATTATTGAGGATGTTTCCTAAACAGGATATCTCTTCTGTTCAAAATGATAAGGTGGAGAACATGTAGCCACATGAAATTATCCAAGTGGCAGAATATTCGCATATAAGATAATTTATAGTTCCCCATAAATGTTGTTAAATCTGGGACCTGTACAATGATGAGTTATGAATTCAGCCCTTGTTAATGTTTCCTTTGCAATATGTGGTGGGAAACAGCTATTAAAAATACTAGCGTCACTATTTATTCAAAGGTTCCACATCACCAGAATAAACTGCCCAAGAGGAAACATCTTGTTCATAACGATTTGAAATACAGAGCTTAAAGTTTCATGCACTGAATGTTCAGCTTTATAATAATAAGGAAGCATTCATAATATATGTGTGACATTGTTAGTGCTAAACATATAGCTAAATATTTCATGAAAGGGCTATTGTGCACTTGATTTTACAATAAACAGTTAAACCTCCTGGAGTAGATTTGATGCAAGTGGAATGTTTGCTTAGATTTAGCACAGAGAAATAGTGTAAATAATTCATGGGGTGTAATTCGACTCAATATTTTTCCTGGTCTATGAAGCATATGAACTTACCTTTTTTTTCCCCATTTAGCATTGCTGTCTTCTTAAGGTTGTAGGTCTTTTTGGTTTGTAATTCACCTCTGGGGTCAATTTGAAAATAAATTAAGATTAGCTGAAGAAAATATATGCCTTTTTCATTACATAGTGTTGAAGGCATTCAAAAGAACCACCTGCCACTTTTTTTAATTCAGAAAAACATGAAAAAGAAGACAGGTAAGGAAGGCTGAACTCAAATAGGATCCACGATTCCTGTTCTTGAGTGGCAAAGGTCTTTTCCTCTGCTAAATTAAATTAAATTTGACCCCAAACTGCTTCCATATGTAGAAACTTAACTAAGAGTATATTCTTATAAAAAGTAGCTGAGTCTCGCCAATTGGCTAAAGCAGCTGAGCTTTAGCCAATCAGAGGTTGCCAACTGATCAGAGCATTGACCATGTAAGGCAAATTCTGAGCTGTAACCAATCGAGCTGTTCTGTATGTAACGTCCTCTTTCTATTAATAAAGAAGGCCTGTCTACATTGCATGAAGGTTCTGAGTGCTGCGAGATTTATGAATTGGCCTTTGCTCATATAAACTTTGCAGAATTTAATTTGTTTAATGTCTTTCTTTTCTCTTTTTGAGTCAGAGTTTCTCTCTGATGCCCAAGGTAGAATGCAGCGGAGCAATCAAGGCTCACCGCAGCCTGGACCTCCTTGGCTCAAGCAGTCCTCCTGCCTCAGCCTCACGAATAGCTGGGAGCACAGGCCTACGCTGTCATGCCTGGCTAGTTGGTGTTTTTTAATTTTTTGTGGCGACAGGCCTCACTAGTTGCCCAGGCTGCTCTCCAACTCTTGGACTCAAGTGATCGTCTCACTTCAGCCTCCCAAAGTGTTGGGATTATAGGTGTGAATCACTTACCCACCACTTTTTTTTTTTAAGTTTGTTATTGGAGGTAGGGTCTGAAGTAGACCTCCTGCAACCCTCAGGTCAGAAGTAGTGAGTGACCAAGTGGAAGTACCCACCAGGCCCATTGTGCTCACTGATCTCTTGCAGCAACTGGGGCAATGGGTGAGTTCTGTCTCAGGTTCAAGCTCTATGAAGTTGTGTTTTGAAATATCTGAGTTTATTTGAGCTTTTAAAAAAAATCAGACCTGGGTTCAGAAGTTGCAACAGAAACAGGACAGGGTCTTATAGGGAGGCCTCAGTTGTCTAACTGGGTCATGCAGAAACTGTACTGGGTTCAGTAAGTAGATAAGGTTACTAAAGTACAGAGAATCATGGGTTCATTTGGATCCAAGAAGGCCAAAACTCCTCCATTTGAAACTCCAGCTAATTTCATGTATTAGAACTATGTATCCAGAAACTGATTTTCTACAGAAATGGGTGAACTTTACCAAAGGTAACTTAGAGTTAGAGTAGTCACATTGAGGCAACTTCTTCAAGGGGCAACTTCTTCGAAAGGCAAAGAGGTGCATGTCTTTACAGTTACAACAGCTAAAAAGATCAAGAGGACCTCCTCCCCAAACTGAGGGCCCCCAAAGGAAAGAATCCTATGGCCTGAGATGTTTGCCTTTAATGTAAGTGGTCAGGCCATTGGAAAATAAATTATCCACTTTCACAACAGCCATCTGATGGAAACATTCATTTTGGCCTGGAATGTTTCCCCACTAAAAAACAATAATCAATCTCTTAGAAAAAAAATTCCTATGGCAAGAGTTTCAAATTAAGTTCAAAAAGTTCCTGTGTCCAAACTTACCTAATAAACACTTGGACGATTTTCAGAAAAACATGTATAAGAATTAGTTTTTTTGTGTTTTCTCTATTCAGTCCTGTCTGCTTCTCCTATGAGGACCTCTCAGTTGACTGGATCCCTCTTTTTTTTTTTTTAGACAGAGTTTCGCTCTTGTTGCCCAGGCTGGAGTGCAATGGCATGATCTTGGCTCACTGCAACCTCCGCCTCTGGATTCAAGTGATTCTCCTGCCCCAGCCCCTCGAGTAGCTGGGATTATAAGTGCATGCCACTGCACCCAGGTAATTTTTGTATTTTTAGTAGAGATGGTGTTTCACCATATTGGCCAGGCTGGTCTTGAACTCCTGACCTCAGGTGATCTGCCCACTTCAGCCTCCCAAAGTGCTGGGATTACAGGCGTGAGCCACTGCTGCCTGACCAAATCCCCTCTTCTTAAACCCCTGCTGACTATATGCTCTGTCAACTCTGTCCACCTCTTTCTTGTTGTCATGATATTTACTATGCCCCCAAACTCTTTTTTGGGAAAAAACCCCAACTGATTCATTTGTCATTCAATCTTGAAAAAAAACAAACAAATAAACAAAGGCTGAACTAGTTTCTGACTGTAAGGCAAGATTAGAAGTATCCATGCTGAGTCCAGGCATAGAAAATGCTTATATTTTTGTACCTGGCAGATGGCTAAAATTTTAGAATGAAAGCTATATGATCTGTTTCTATCTATATGTTTATGTATGCCTATATGTATGATATATATATGTGTGATCTTTTTCTATCTCCTAATGATATTGCCAAAACTAAATTGTGAAAGAGCTCTATTTAATTGGCTTAAAGAAAAATATATGCTTATATAAATTAAATGTCCTCTCAGAAAAATAAGAACTAACCCAGATGCTTTCCAAATTCATGTGGTTTGAATAATCTTTCATAAATAAGAATATTGTTGGTTTGATTAAAATAGGCATCTCTTTAGAGTTGTCATCATTAAATGGTACAGATGCATGACTTTTCCTACCTACGTTTACCAGTAAAATAAGCTTTTTATTTCTGTATTTTAAAGTTTTTCAGCAAGAAAAATAACTTAAGATGATGGCTAGCTATTTAATGTCTTTTTTAAAATTAGAAATCCAAGCATAATTGTTAAAAACAAGTGAGTTAAATAGATATAAGGAAAATAGAATTCCTATATGAAAGACATCCTCCCTATACTACAAGGTTTAAACATTCTTAGAATCAAGAATGGATAGTTAAGGCTGAGAGAAGTCTTTATAAACAACAATTTAAATCTCAGGTCTAGCCATAAATCCTAATAGGGTAGAGATGAAATTTTGCCTTCTTTACAGTTTCTTGTTACAAAGAGACTGAAGATATTTGGGACTATTAGTAAACGTGTTCTGTGCCACACTGACAAACTGTGCTATGAAAAAAACACATGCTTCTAGAATTTATGATTCATAGATTTTACAATCTGCAGATTTCTTGTGTACAGACAGTTCAGTATTGTTTACCTCTTATTGTCCATTAGAAATTAAGGCCACTAAGGATTAAGGATTCTAGTTCATATATGTAACTGAAATTACTAGGAATAAAGGAAATAACTCTATTCAAATATGCAAGGAAGGTAAGGTGTGCTTTTGGCAAGGAAATGCTATAAGGTATGAGGGGTATTGTTTGTTATGGAAAAAAGTGTAATTTTTGTCCTGAAGTAGAATGACCGGTTGCTTTAAAATAAGAAAGAGGAAAAGTATGAAATAAAAAAACTAAATGGATAAGAAATTGTAGAAAGCTTGTGGAAGATGAATCTTGTGAAAGGAATTTTGTGTGTGACCAAACTGGCTAAGATTAGAAGGGAATCATTCATAAGTTTTTCTAAAAATTAGCACTAATATCAAAAGTACATTGATGCAAAACCAGAATTTGGTCACCTCTGTTAAAACAAAGTTTTCATAGAGTATTGGTCTGCTTATAGCAGGAAATTGTTGAAAGTTTTTCTTTAGCTTTTAGGTAATCCGCCTAGGAAACAAAGATCCTGTGTTTTACCAAGATGATTTCCTGTGCTTCATGTTGTCTTTATTAGGCTTTTGATCACTTAAGAAACTGAGTCCTGTCTATTGAAAGCGCTAAGGTTTTTCTACAATTATGTATCTTTCTGAATTTGCCTTTGAAGTCTTTTAATTAAATAAATGACTATTGCTTTCACAGTGACCTGTGATTCTATTTTAATCAGCTGTTTTAAAACCTTGATTTTTTTTGACAAATTTCCAATATTAAATTCTAAATTATTTTTTGACCTCAAATTAACTTTGGGATTTTCCAAATGGTCTCTTGGAATATCTCAAAAGGGTATCTCTCCTTATAAAGAGTTATAGTAAACTAACTGGGCTTATTCGACATATTAAATTATATGGGCAGCATTGTCAAATAATAACTAATACCAAACCTTTTTTGAGTTATATTTACATCAACGTGTTATTAATATGTGTTCTAGAAATTACATGAAATTCCTAGAAATCGGATTATACCATTGAATTGGGTAAAAATTCCCAGAACTTTAATGAAAAAGACTGATTAGTTTTATAAAACTGCTAACCCAATATCAAGCAGGACAAGAATACATTGAATACCAAGGAAATACTTTGGGGGATTTTCATGCTAAGTCAGCCAGTATGAAACTTGATTAGATATGCAATTTGAATGAACTCCACAAAATTGATCCAAGTCCAATTACCTATGATAACCTACTTAATCAACAGTGCTATACCCCTAAGTTGTAGAAATAAAACTGGTATTTAAGGTGATGTAAGTCCAATGTTAAGTGTGAGGAGCCTGGGCAGCTGCCTGGTCCTTCCTGAGTCTTCAATTTTTCCATTATTAAAAGCTCTGCACTCTATGACTCATCATGAAATAAATAAAATGATAAAAATGATTTTAAAAAGTGATGGGATGACTGTTCTAAAATTAATTAAATGGTTTGTAACCAATGTTTGATTTGTCAAATCCATAATTCTGGTAAGACAATAAAAACTTCAGGTGATACATTTCTAGCACCTGTTGGATATTTGAACACTTACAGATGGATTTTCTTCAGTTGCCACTTTCCATGCATGTTTTCTGCTTGCCTAAAAGATTTTCCATGCAGGAAGGCTAATGCTATAACAGTAGCTAAATGCTTACTAGAACATATGTTTTCCTTATGGGGCATTCCTGGAGAATTTTCCAGTCATAGAGGTACTCATTTCACTGGACAAGTTGTAAAACAGTTAAGTAAGGTATTACAAACACAATGGTATTAAGCAAAGCTAATAGAATCAATTGTATTACCTTGGTAAAAGGTATTACTGACTGATGGCAATCAGACCTACCCTTAGTGGAAAATACAGATTAACTCCTTATGAAATAGCTACTGGAAGGCCTATCCTCCTAATAATAGAAGCTCACATGTCTCCTGCTCTTACAAACTCTGACATGACACAGTATTGCAAGGCTTTAATGCATTATGCCAAAGTACTAGAGAAAGATTGCCCTTGAACTCCATTGAAGGGATCATCCTAAGTTTTTCTCTGTAGCAAAATTTTAGGGCCTCGAGTCTTGGATCCTTGAGTTGTGGGGCTTCTCTCAACTCAAAAAGGCACCTCCAGACTCTTACAGGCTCACTGGAGACCTCAAGGTAAAACTGACCGGAGAGGTTTCTCTTCAGAAGCAGATGGCATCCTAGATGTTGACAGCTTTCCCAAAATCACAGATCATCAAGACTTCTCTCTTCTGTCACTGTAAGATCTTTGTCCTCTTTCTCCTTGTATTTGTTTTCTGTTTATATGTGGCAAGATAATGTGATAACTAAGATTTCATAATTGATAGCTTCTGCAGGGAACTTAACTGAATGCTGGGCAGATCATGTTAAATCTAAATTATTATGTGACCTTAGAGATTCTCTGGTTCACCCTGTAACAAATTTCACTGATATTCCAAGTGTGGCTATCTGTTCAAATTGCTCATCTGGTCCTTTATGTAGGGTTAGGTTTTTAGATTTATGGGTTCAGATTCCCTGTTTAAATCTAAGAGTAGACAAAATCTATAATGAGGGTTTTGCAGTAAAATTATGCCAGAAATTGACTGAGAAAACCAAAGTAAAGATAATTCAACAGTTTGTAGACAAATTAATAACATTAATCCCTTAATTGTCAGTAGCCTCCAACCATGCAATGATTCAATAATGGAGCCTTAGATAAATATTACTAGTGCTTCCCTACTGATGACTCTTAATGCATAAGACATCCCACAGGGATCTGTCTGTTGTGCCCCTCTAGGATATATTTTTATCTGTGCAAGATTTAATAACAACCATATGTGTGGGCAAGTTCATGTCTCAATAATTAAAAAATAAAAAGGACCAATGTGGATTAAGGATCCTAATAATAGTGTCACTCCATAACCAATTGGAAACTTCACATTGGTCTAAACCTCGTAATTTGTAGTATGAAATAAAGAGGAATTTGCCAGAAGGTATAAATGCCTCTAAATGGGCATCTTTTGGCAGAATACTCCTTTCTTGGTTTGGTATAAATGTAAATAAAGTTTGATTAGAAATCTATGTTAAACATTAGCTACTATAGCTGACTCTACTGAAAAGGATATAGTTATCCAGCAAACTTCTTTAAATTTTCTTGCTTGAGTTGTTTTAGATAACATAATTGCTTTGGACTATCTGTTGGCTGAATGGGGGGAGTGTGTGTGATAGCTAACACCTCCTGCTGCACTTGGATAAATACATCTGGTATGGCAGAAACTCCGTTGCAAGAAATCAACAAACAAGCTACTTGATTAAAACAAGTAGATTCCTTTTCTGGTTCATTTTTGATATATTTGATTTTGACCAGTTCAATCTGTGGGGGCCCCTGTTAAGGAATATACTTCAATCTCTCAGCATTATTTTCTGATAACCATCATAATAGTCTCCCTGAGGATATGTGCCATATCCTCTCAGGAGGTTTAAATGTTCATATGTAGCCATCCGTTGTATGTCAAATGGTCTCACTACAGTTAGAAAAACAAAAATATGAAGAGAATATAAAGAGTCATCCAAGTGACTTGTTGTTGTGAAGTATGAATCTCATACTGAGAACAAACAACCATTGTTATGGTGACAGAGGGTGGCATCAATGCCCAAGGTTTTGGTCAATCTCTCAAAATGGAGAAGGAGACCAAAGAGGGGAAATTGTTTTAAATTAATTTTGGCTTAAAGCTGTTTCTGTATGTAACAACTGCAACCTAACTTAAGAGTATATTCTTGTGATAAGTAGCTGAGTCTCAGCCAATCATAGCAGCTGAGCTTCAGCCAATCATAGCAGCTGAGCTTCAGCCAATGAAAGGTTGCCGACTGATCAGACCACGTCCATATAAGGCAAACGCTGAGCTGTAACCAATCAAGCTGTTTCTGTTGTCACTTTATTTTTCTGTCTGTAAATATGCCTGCCCACATTGCTGGGTAGAGGAGGTTCTAAGTGCTTCCCAATTCATAAATTGTTCTCTGCTCAAATAAACTCTGCTAAATTTAATTTGTCTAAACTTTTTCTTTTAGCATGTCTGGCTTCTCTCTCCTACAAGCCAAACATAATTAGGCACAAGATTAATTGCAAGACATGAAAGGAAAAATGTGATGACTTAGGGTAATCATGGCATAGGATAAGTTGCACATTACTAATTTAAACTATGACACTCAGGGCCATCCCTGGGGTTGTGTAGGGTTCTACGCCCCTTCTTTTAGCATTTGTGTTAAAGCAATTAGGTACCAAAGAATATCGTAAGAAGCCTTGAAAGGAAAACATAGAAAAATGTGAGGGGGAAGCCCAGCCATTTTTCCTAGTGATATTGAAGGCTTTGTAGACCTTTGAGTTGCCAAGGCCATCGTCCTCTCACCCACCAACTTCTTTTGAGAACAATTCTTGACTAATTTCCTGCTCATCATTAGTTAAGTTATTAGAAACATAAATATGTGTTTCCATTTTTAATGATTGTTAAACTATAAAGAGGTTCTTGGTTATTTCCTTTCTTTGATTTGTTCTTGATATTTATATATATATATATATATATATATATATATATATATATATATATATATGTATTTTTTTTTGTTTTTGAAACAGGGTCTCACTTTGTCACCCAGGCTGAAGTGGAGTGGCATGATCATAGCTCATTGTAACCTCAAACTCCTGGGCTCAAGCAGTCTTCCTGCTTCTGCTTCCCAAGTAGCAGGGACTACAGGTTTGTGCCACCATGCGAGGCTAATTTTTAAAAAAACTTTTAGTAGAGATGGGGTCATGCTATTTTGCCCAGACTGGTCTTGAACTCCTGGTCTCAAACAATCTTCCTGCTTTGGCCTCCAAGGTGCTGGGATTACAGGTATGAGCCACCAGGCCTGGCCTAATATTTCTTTTGAATGTAGCAAAGCAAATCTTATTTTAAAATTTGCTGGCGATAACCCATTCACTAAGTGTAATTTGAGTTATCAGATTTTTTTTTTCTAGTGTGGATTGTATGCAATAGGCTTCTGAGAGAATGATTGCCCTGTTCTTCCTCCCCTACCCCAACCACACAGACACACACAGAAGGAGAATGGTCCCCAAGTCTGCAAGCAGGAAAAAACCTCAACTGAAGGATACAGAACCTTAAATTAGAGAAGGGGAAACAGTTGTTTAGGAAGATGTCTATATCAAGACCACTAAAAATTTAAGATTATAAATGAGTGCTACAAAAATTCTTTCTTATCTGCCTTTGTGTATCCAAGGTAGAGAAGGGTATAATGAAAAGTGTGTTTCCTCAGTGAGCATCCTATAGTTATGATGCAATTTTCAAAAGCTCTGTGAGCCAGAAAATGTGAATTCTAGTCTCGGCTTCAACACCAATTAGCTGGTGATTTTGGACCATTTCCCCTTCAGTTTCCTTGTGCATAAGCTGATGGAGCTGGTTATAAGTAATTCTAAAATCCTTTCCAGCTCTCATCTCCTGTTGTTCAAACAGAGTGTTATCTGAGTTTCAGTCTGAGGCGTATCAGAAATGAGCCAGAGTTGAACTACCAGATTCCATGGAAGCGAGTTGCACTCCTTATAATATGAACACTCTCTCCACTGGGCATGAGCTTGCTGAGGAGTGACAAAAGTTTCTTTGCTTGACCAAACTTAAGTCTCTTGAAACTTGTCCAAACAGGATCATCTGCCTCTCTGTTTTACTTTTCTTTCCCAGTAGCCAAAAACTAGGGTTCTGAACAAGTTCAGAGGCTCACCCACCTCTTTCTGAGTCACTGCTTTCTAAGACAACACTCTGATTTTCCTTGGAGTGTGTCCATTCAGGCACTGACCAGTATTGAACCTATTTAGCTTATAAGACCTGGCAGTTTCATAGCCAAAGGTGGATTGAGAGGCAGTTCATCAAAGTTCAAATCATGATAAGAGATCCGGCATGAAATGGGAGGCTGGACTTGCCAATAAAGGGAGGTATTCTTTTGGGAAAGGTTGGCATGTTTATGATTCTTGAGGTTATGTGAGCTCAGTTTTTCCCCTTAAACATCTGCCACAGGTGCTGGGGAAACACTGCTTGTATTTTTGTATGAACATGGTGTAAATAATGTCCACTTTCAATAAACTTTTAAAAATGAAACAGCTGCCATGCAGGGCTTAAAAACAACTTGTGACTTCCCGCAAGTCTGAGAGGACGTTATCACTATTCTCCATTTAAAAATGTTACCCCTCCTGTCACCTTCACCATGGGTCTATAGCCCTATAAAGTTCATAGCCCTCGACTCTGTTTTTCACAAATGCATTGCAATGGCTTCAATAAACAAATAAACCACTTTTTCTGTCTTCTTGGAGGAAATGCTGAAGCTGGAGCATTTAGCACTGTCCTGGTGAAAACACTCTATGCCTTATAATTAAAAAAAAAAAACAAACAAACAACTCTGGTACTCAGGGGGAGTAGGGGGAGGCTTTCAAAAATGTGTGTAACTGCCTCTCTTTGTATGTTGTTTGTCATATGTTGTAAGCCACAACAGCTAGGACTTTATCTTCTAAATTCTTCTATGATTCCTGAAGATTTGGCCTTGGGCAAGGAAGCAATCTGTAAAGCCTGTGCATGCAGTACATATTAAGTGTGAGTTTTCAGGCACTTATACATGTTTTCTTTCTTAACCACACAGGATTTTCTTTTTCACAATTCCAATAGAGTTAAAGGCAGAGAAAAGTTTTCCTTCTATGCAACAATAGGCTCTGCGCACATCCTGGGAGCAGATCTGTAGCATCCGAGAGACAATGGGGTTCTATTCTCACTTTTAATAGAATGAATGTGGTTTACTCTTTAAAGATTTTATTTCAAAAGATAAGATGTGAAATGATGGAACAAAAATAATCCAGAACATTTTGCATGTTATGTGATTTTTTGGTGTGTGTTTAAAGACTCTTAATAGCCACTAGATTAATTGGTTGAGTCAAAGTTTGTTTATGCAGATTACCAGTTTACCACTGTTATCCTGGTGAATTAAGGCCAGTGGTTTTCAACCAAGGTAAATTTGCCCCCCCAAGGGACACTTAGCAATGTCTGGAAACATTTTTGGTTGTTACAACCGGGAGAGAAATGCGACTGGCATCTAATGGGTAGAGGCCAGAGATGCTGCTAAACATCCTCCTGCCGAACACACACAACAAGGAACCATCCTATTGAAATGTCAAAATTGAGAAATATTGGGGAAAAAAGTGACAGCGAGCACAGGGTTGAAGACCAAGAGGTTAAAGAGGGCATAGGGGATCAACTTGAAGAGTGCCATCTTCAAATGCCAGTTCCTGGCCCATCATCAAGCAAGAAAGAGAATCCTTCTTCAAGGATACCATAATAGAGTTTTACACAATAGCAGAACTGATAACTGATGACCTCACCCCACTGATTGGCCCAGATCCCTATGGTGTCTCTACCACTCCTTAAGCCATCTCTACTAGGCAGATCCTGACATCCACGAAGGATAGTTATAGAATTCTCTGAGTATTTCCATGGTTCACTCCCTTGATTTTTTAATTATTTATAAGAATATTTGTTTATAAGAAGATACAAGCTAATGATGGCCATTTAAAAAATACAGAAAGTATGTAAAGTCAGACAGAATCTTCTGTCTAGTCTTTAATCATTCCCCCATTTTGCTAATGTAACATTATTCAAACCTATTTACAAGTAGTTTTACTTCCCATTTTACCTCCAAATACTGCAATTATTGTGAAATTTTTTTATTTAACAAATATAGCACTTTTTGATCTTAAATCATATAGATTGATCTTGTAATTTTTAAATTGGCTGTGTAATATTCTGTAGAATAAATGTACCATAATTTATTCAACTATACATCTTCTATCGATCTGTTCTTTCAGTTTTTCTTTCTGTTATAAACTGCAAAAATAAACACATTTGTACATATAATTTCAAGTACTAGTATTTTTATCTATTTATTAGTACTCTTATTTCTGTTGGATTCCCAAATGGGATGGCTGGGACATAGATTATGCATTTTTTTCAAAGTATTACTATTTTTATTATGGTATAGAGTTGTACTTTATATATTAGCTCATTTTATAGTAAAAATTTTTTATTTTATGTGCAACTGTAGAAAAACTGCTGCATTTTGTTTTTCTGTAGAAAATAGTAAAAATGATTACATTTCCCAGGCTAGCCCAACAAGCTCATTTAAACCAAATAGTACCTGAATACACTATACACTTATAAATATGGTTTGATTTCTTGGATCCCAGGGAAAACTTTAGTTTCATTTATCGAAACAGCCATGTTTTTCTTTAAGTTACGTGAAGTGAAATTCCTATTAATCTTCCCTTTTAGTCTTGATTTATGCCTGATTATTTTTCTTTATGCTAATCCACAATCCATAACAAGGTTTTTGCTGTTCTTTTCTGAAGGACAGATACGATATGGTTTAATCTGCTTGATAAGGTACCCATACCTATCCAAATAATGAAATATCTTGGTTGTTATTAAAGCATGCCCAATATTTGGGCAAAACCAGAACCTAATAAATTTCCCTGTCCCCTAATACACACAACTTAATGGGAAGCCATGAGGAACAGGAGTAAAGTGATAAAACTGGCAAGTGGATCAAGAGAATTCTCAAACCAGAGGCAAGAAACATCTAATCAGGATTCAAAGACAGAACCGAAGTTCAAATAGAAAAAGGGTGGTTTTGCTTTTTTTTTTTTTTTTTGAGGCTGAGTCTCGCTCTGTTTTCCAGGCTGAAGTGCAGTGGCGCAATCTTGGCCCACTGCAAGATCTGCCTCCCGGGTTAGCATGATTCTGGTGCCTCAGCCTCCTGAGTAGCCGAGATTACAGGTACCCGCCATCATGCCAGACTAATTTTCTTATTTTTATTAGAGACAGGGTTTCACCATGTTGGCCAGGCTGGTCTCAAACTCCTGACCTCAAGTAATCCACCTGCCTTGGCCTCTCAAAGTACTGGGATTACAGGCATGAGCCACTGTGTCTGGCTAAAGGATGTTGCCTCAAGGATCAGGAGCTAAACTGGCTATCAGAGCTCCTAGAGATTATGCATTTCTAACTCTTAACATTACTGCTATTATGTTTTTAGAAGTTGTAGTGATGTAACCTCAATGAGTACTCATTTTCCCACAATTTTGGCAGTAAAAGTTAGTCAACTTCTAGATTATTTAATATCATCCAATACATTCTTATATCATAACACTATAAAATAGCCCACTATTGTTTCTTGTATCATGTGCAGATATATATGTGTGTACACATATATGTATATTACAACATTTATTCCTTTAATTTGGACTTTATATATGATGTGAAATAAAGGTCTAATTCTTATTGTTCAGAATGGAAAACCAAACTAGGCTCAAACTGATTAAATAGTTTGAGCCTATCTCATCGCCATAGATTTGAAATTTGATCTTTATCATATACTAAGTTTTCATAATACCAGTATTTGTTTCTGAGCATTCACTTATGTTAATTATTTTCACTTCTGCCAATACCATACTGTTTTGATTCTTGTAGCTTTATAATAAATTGTGATATCTACCAAGGCAAGTTGCTCTTGTTTTTTTTAATTGTGATAAAATATACATAATATAAAACGGACCATTTCAACTATTTTTAAGTGTGCAGTTCAGTGGCATTAAGTACATTCATGTTGTGCAACCATCACCATCCATCTCCAGAACTTTTTCACCTTCTGCAGCTGAAACTCTGTGCCCATTAAACACTAACTCCCCATTCCTCTCTCCTGCTAGCCCCTAGCAGCCACTATTCTACTTTTTGTCTCTATGAATTTGACTACCCTAGGTACCCTATATAAGTGGAATCATACATTTGTCCTTTGTGACTGGCTTATTTTACTCAGCATAATGTCGTCAAGGTATATCCATGCTTGCAGCGTGTGTATTACTTTCCCTTTTAAGGCTAAATAACATTCCATTGTAGGTATAAACTGCTATTCATTCATCATACACAGATTTTTGGGTTACTTTCATCTTTTGGCTATTGTGAATGCTGCTGCTATAAACATGGGTGTATAGTATTTCTTCAAATCTGTGCTTTCACTTCCTTTTGGTATATATTTAGATGTGGAATTGCTGGATCATATAGTAGTTTCATGTTTCATTTTTTGAGGAATCACCAAGCCACTTCCTACAGCACCTGCACCATTTTACTTTCCCACCTGCCATGCACAAGGATTCTCATTTCTCCCCATCTTTGCTAATGCTTAATTTCTATTTTTTTAAATAATAATGTTGTAGTAAATATAAAGTGGTATTTCACTGTGGATTTGATTTGCATTTTCCTAATGATTGGTGATGCTGAGCTTCTTTTCATGTGCTTGTGGCCCATTTGTGTATCTTCTTCAGAGAAGCGTCTATTCAAATCCTTTGCCCAGTTTTCAACTGGGTTGTTTATTTTTGCTGTTGTTTGTATTAGAGTTCTTTATTTACTCTGGAAAGCAATCTATTATCAGATAGATGATTTTCAAATATTTTCTTCCATAATTTGGGCTGCTTTTTCACTCTGTTAGTGTTCTTTAATGCATAAAATTTTTAATTAGATGAAGTCTATCCTATTTTTTCTTTTGTTGCCTGTGCTTTAAGTATCATAGCCAAGAAATCATGGCCAAATCCAATGTCATGTAGTTTTCTCCCTATGTTTTCTTCTAAGAGTTTTATAGTTTTAGCTGTTCTATTTACGTCTTGATCCATTTTGAGCTAATTTTTGTATGTGGTTAAGGTGAGGGTTCAACCTCGTTTTTTTGCATGTTAATATTCAGTTTTCCCATCACGTTAGAAATGTCTGTTCTCCATTGAATAGTCTTGGCATCCTTGCTGAAATTCATTTGACCATATCTGTGAGGGTTGAATTCTGGGCTCTATTTTGTTGTGTGGGGCTATATGTCTGTCTTTGTGTCAGTGCCACATTGCTTTGACTATCACAGCTTTGTAGTAAGTTTTCATCTTGTTTTAAAATTTTACTTATTTCTCAAAAATGTCATGGCTATTCTTACCCATGTTCTATTCAGGTTGAAGTTTAGAATAAATTTGTCTGTTGGGCTTTGGAATAATAAATAGAAAAATCTGGGAATAATTGGTAGCTTCACAGTATGGCTTTTACTATCTAGGATCACAGCTGTTCTCTTTTTTTATTCAGATTTTGTTATATTCCTATATAAAGTTTTATAATTTTCACCGTCTTGCATATTATTAGTTTTGTTAGTTCTTATTAGTTTTTCAAATAGATATGTTGATCTTTTAATGAAGTTTTTTTCTCATTACATTTTCTTATTAATCATTTTTGGAGCTGACAAAAGATTGTGTTTTAACTTTGGTGTTTTATCTGATTATCTAATTGAACATCTTTATTTGTTTTAATATTGTTCCATTTTTTCTCTTGAATTATTTGGATATATTAGATTATAATATTGCCCACAAATAATGTTGTCTTTTAAATTCTAATACTTATCTCATTAATTGCTCATGTCTTATGATGTTGGCTGGTGCCTAGTGCATAGCATTTCTTAGCAGTAGTCATAACAGGCATTATTGTCGTTTTCTTGAGTGTATCTAATGTTCACCAACAAGTACGATGGTAGCTACAGGTTTCTGATTGAGAGCCTTCATCCAATAAGAAAGTATTTTCCTATGTTTAGAAAAAAATACTGAACTTTACCATGTAATGTATCAACCTGGATTGAGATAATCATTATTTTTATCTTTAATTTCTTAAGGTGCTAAATTGTATTCTTATTTTCCTAATTTTGAACCATCCTCATGGTCCTGGAATAAACCTTCCTTGGTCACTTTGTTTTGCATTATAATGCTTTACTAGATTCAATTTAATAATATGCGATTTAAGACTTTTTGCATTTATATTCATGAGTTAGGCTGATGCATCATTTTCTTTCCTGTGCTCTGTTGCTATTGGGAGTTTTGCTCACTTTCTGCTGTGAGTTAGACTCTTTTTTTTTTTGGCTATGAAATACCTTAAGTAATAGAAATTATTTGTTTTTGAAGAATTAGTAAAACTCAAAACAGGAAGGTGACCCATTTCTGTTTCTCGAAGGAGTTCTGTTTCTTCAACTATATTTTTAGTGCCTTTTCTGGTTATTGGTCTAGTTACTATTAAAAAACAAAACAAAACAGAAAAACCTTTCTTGACTAAATTTTGAGCATTTGCATTGTCTTAGGATATGATCCACTTTATCTACATTTTCCAGTATATCTGCATAAACCTTATACAGTGCTGTCTTACGGTTTTAAAATTTATTATACCTATATCTAAACCTCTGTTCTTTTTCTAATATTATTTGTTTCCTTTTTTCCTTGATTATATTTGCCATAAGCTAATCTGTCTTCATCTAATAATCCTTTGTTTTTATTAGCCAACTAAACTAATGATTATTTTTTCTATTTTAAATATCTATCTCTATCTCTATACACATATCTGGTAATATTATTTTTTTTTTTGGTTAGTAGGCTCATTTGTTCTTATTCAGCTTCTAGAATGTGCATTTAGTTTACTTATTTCCAGTCCTTTCTTGCTTTCCATGAAGTCCCAAATGCCCCCAAATATGGATGTGTAGTGTTCTCAGTATCATTATTTTATAAATAGTATGTAGTATCAATTATAAATTTCTTTTAAATTAAAGACCAATTTAGGAGATGTTTTTATATTTCCAGTGGATAAATTTTAATTTGTCCATTTTCTGTTGTTAATGTTTAGTTTCATTGCATTATAGCTGTAAAATATGGTTTGCATGATTTCTACTATTGAAACATCTCTTGAGAATATTTTTCTGATCTAATATATTGTCACTTTTATAATCATTCCATGGGTATTTGAAAATAATGTTTATTCTGCTGTTTTTGTTACAGAGATGTCTATAAATTATTAAATCAATGTTGTTAATTGTGCTATTCATATCTTCCTTTTGGGAATGTGATTATTCTATCGATTTCCAAGAGAGGAGTATTAAAATTTTTCATCATGATATTAAATTGGTCAATTGCTTTCTTGATTTCAAATGGATTTTTTTTAAATGTAGTTTGATAGTTGAATATTAAATGCACTGAGTTTATATCTTTTTTATGGATTATACTGTCTTTGTCTTATTTAATGCATCTTGCCTTGACTGACTATAATGTTGCCATCCCTGCTTTCTATTATTAGCATTTGTCTACTATATCTTTGTCCATCCCTTAATATTTGATCTTTCAGAATCATTTTGTTCTAGACATATCTCTTGGAAGCAGATATACCTGGATTTTGCTTAAAGAAAACCTAATCTGAAATTCTCTGTCTTTAAATTGAGAAATGTATCTGTTGCCATTTACTAGAAAAATGAAAACATTTGGTCTCATTCTGACATCCTGTTTGGTTTCCTATTTTTATGTAAATTAGTTTTTACCCTTTCCTGGTGTGATCAAGTTTCCTTTATTGTTATTTTTTCATTTCCTGGTTTGAAGGGTGTATATATACTACAACTATTCTATTCACCCAGTGCTTATCCTTATTTTTAAATAACATATTTAAACATGTTTCTTTCTATCAATTTCTAACATTAGTCAGTATCTTTTACCTCCTTTTAAATAAGGCAAGACTGTGAAACTTTACCTCTTCCTTCTTGTCTATTCCACGACTTCACCGGTGTTGACATAGGCAGAAATTTTGTTTCAACCTTGTATTGATTTTTTAAACATCTTGCCTCTATTTTACAATGAATTTTTTCAAAATAATTGGACTAAACAGCACCATTATGAATCTTTATTTTGATCTAATTGTAACTTTTGTGAATTCTTAACTTATCATTGTCCCTTCACTCTCATGCTTTCCTCCTCCTTGGATTCCTTTTTAATTTTTCTGGCATACACTCTTAAATAAGATTTTAGAAAGGCTTTGTGGGTGGTGCATTTTCTGAGTCCTTGAGTGTCTGCAAATGGCTTTATTGAGTTATTGGGAATAGAAATGGAGAACCCACATCTTTTTCCTTCTGAACTTTGAAGCTATTTCTCTACTATATTTTAAGATTCTAATTTTTGTTATTTTTTGAGTGAAAAGATGAAACAGGTGTGCAGTGACTTATTTAGTTGTCAAGCTACTATACTTTAGGTACAATATTAGACTACAGGAATTCAGAGAAGGTAACACTGATCTATAAATGAATGTCTGTGGGAGAAAGGAGAACGGGGTGACTACATTTGCTTGGAGTAGTCTTTTTGCAAAGGAAACATTTAAGACGGGTAGTGAAGCAAAAGCAGAAACTTACAAGATAATTTATAATCTCATCTTTTTCATATTCTGGTTCTTATATTAAAATAATAGAATTATTATAGATTAAATAAGTTTAGACTATATTAGAGTTACATAGAATTTGAAATAATTATGTTTTCCCCAAATATAAATAAATCTTATTCCTGATCTAGTATCTAAGTATATACTTTTCCCTTTATTAAATTTTCTAGGGCAGAGGTTGGCAAACTAAGGCCCACCACTTATTTTTATAAATAAAGTTTTATTGGAACAACTATTCTCATTCACATATTTATTGTACAACAGAGAATTGAGTAGTTGTGACAGAGGCTGCATGGCTCACAAAGTCTAAAATATTTTCTATTTGGCTTTTTACAGAAAACATTTGCTGACTGCTGTTCTATCTAGGATATCATCAGTGTGTAGATGATCAGAGTTCATGTCAGTGTTCCTACAAGCCAATGAAGGTAGGATTCAACAGTAAGTCTTGACTTCCTTAAGGTGTCTGATGAGTGCGTTTATGCAAGTTCAAGAAACAAGTTTGGCTATATTTTGTATTAAAATTGAAGCTTATCTCTCAATCGTGTATAATTGTCAATAATTACTTGCCCTTTAAATGAGTTTCTTCTTTCCATTTTGTTTCTTTCTCGTGTTCTAGGCATTGCGCAATTCAGCCTTGCGGTTTTCGTTTCTTTGACTTCGTGATGTGAGGGAAGCTGGCATGTTTTCTAATGTGCTGTTGTGTGGGCTTGGGCTGTTGATTGCTTTTGGCCTAGGTGCTGTGCAGAGCTCCAAGGTTTGGCTTTGTAAACGCTGCCTGGCAAAACGGAAACATTTTGTGAAATTTGACAAATGTCACACACACCCGCACACACACACATTTTAAATTGCAAAATTCTCCCCTTGGCACACAGTTTTCCCCGGGTTTTTATTCTTCATAATAAATCTTTAACCATCTTCGTGTCTATATGAGCTCTTTAGTGGATGGACGTGCTTTTGCTTTGATGAGACTTGCAGTTAAAAAGCCCTTGGTTTCCAGGATATCCTTATTGTTTTTCTTTTCTCAAAAAATTAATGTGATATTTTATTCCAATGAGAAAGCAGTCTTATTTCATTTCCAACTGCTTTCTCAGACAAAGATTCCCACCGAAAGCCATTCTCCAACATGGGACCCCTAGAAACTGACCTCTTGGCTTCTCTCTTCTGAACTCAGAGTGAGACACAGGGGAGTGGAATTCAGAGAAAAACTGGGTGAATTAAATTCTTTTCGTGCATGAGTTAAAGCATCTAAGAAACTATAATATGAGTGCTTAATCTCAAGAAAAATCTTGGTATATTTTAGTACATTTTCCTTCATGGGTAGCTAAAAGCACTTCACAAACAAATCATTGACTTTAGAATGAGGGGACAAATATGATTGTCCCTAGGTCACAGATGACATTAAATCCTGGGGAGGTAAGCTTTTGCTTAAGGTCATTCAGGGTGTCAGCAGGGGTGAGGCGGGCTTTAATTTTATGGTTGGGGTATCTGTTTCAAGTCTTCTGCCAATTTTAAGACATGCCTCTGGCTTAAGAAAACTCTTCCAATTTGACTACCCTAATTTGCATCCCTCTCTGGATTTCCAGCTCTACTTTCTAGTTTCCTGGCACTCTAATTACTCAGGCGTTACTTCTGACAATGACCCCCAACTCTCATCCCTTCAGCTTGACTCCAGGGTCCTCGCACCTGTGAGCTACCGTCCCTGGCAGCCTCGAG
The DNA here is from genome assembly GCF_000001405.40 of Homo sapiens. NCBI lineage: Eukaryota > Metazoa > Chordata > Mammalia > Primates > Hominidae > Homo > Homo sapiens. The sequence goes on from NC_000018.10 coordinate 55,831,761, forward strand.
TAGACGGGCTCGGCTGCCCTATGCATTGAGCAGAGCCCTTCCTGGTTCAGACCTTTTAGGGCAACAGCAATTTGGCAGCCTTCTCTAGATCCAGGGTTGCAAGAGCAATCAGGCCGAACGGGACTGCTTCAGCCATACTGTTGAAACACATCATATTGCCTGGAGAGCAGACAGTGCCATTCAGAAACTCTAAAGAGAAAATGTAGTGCCTTTATTTTGTCAGTTACAGATCTGGCTTTTCTCCTAAGTCTCCAACTGTCAGAGAGAAAAAGAAACTAAGTGTTCGATTCCATAATTTTAATAGTGCCATAGGTTATGCTCAGTGTTTTGGGGTGATTGCTTAGAATGTCTCATGGAAATGTTAGGGCTAAAAATGTGTGCTCCAGAGACAGATTGACTGGGTTTAAACCATGGGGTTGCCTTTGAGTCAATCTGTGGCCTTGCACAAGGGACAGGGACACTCAGCACTTCAGTTTCTCTGTGTGTAAACCAGAAAAAAATCTACCTCTGCACCACCCAGTTTGGTAGCCACTAGCCACATATGGCTACTTAAACTTAAATTTAAAGTAGTTCTTAATAAAATTAAACACTGTTAATAATTCAGTTTCTCAGTCACACTAGCCACATTTCAAGTACTCAGTAGCCACAAGTGGCTAGCAGCTACTGTACTGGAGAGCTAAGAGATTAGAACAGTAGACCACTGCTGTCCATCATAAAGTTCTGCTGGATTGCACTGGTCTACATCACAGGGTTATAATGTGGAGTAAGTGAATTATGCAGCTAAAGTGCTTAGAACAATGCCTGGCAAGTGGGAAAGATTCAATACGTTTATCACGATCCTACTCTTTCCCACTCCCCTTCAAAATGGTGCCCAGGTGTACTGGAGAAAGGTTAGAGGTACTCCACTTTCTGGTTCCTATATTTTTACTAATGCTTTATTTCCTGTGCCACTTTGTAAGTTTCGATGTCTCAAGGATTTCTTATTTTGTAAAGAAAGACACCACAGCAGAATGGCTATGAATGAGTGTTTTAAAGCCAGACTGCCTGTTTTGAATCCCAGTTCTGTCACTTGAGTAGCTGTGTGATCTTAAGCAAATGATTTATTCCGTGTCTCAGTTTCTATATATATGAAATGAGAGTAATAACATATACAATTGAATAAAATTCCTCAAAGGTTGTTGGGAGATGAACTTATGGAAGTAAAATACCTTGAATCGGACCTGGCACCAAAGTTCTCAAAAAGTATTATCTCTCATTAATATTAAATATTAGTATTTTTTTCCTGTCCTCAGCTCATCCTCAAAATGGCAATGGAGACTCCTGGGGGAAATGTATGACTTGGCTTCTTGGTGGGGAGAGTTGTCGGAGTACTCCCATTCATCTGGTCTTCGGGGTGATATCCTTTGTCTCTCTCTCTTGTCTTCTGCAGTGGATGGGATTGGTAGTTGATTTGTCTTGTGGTTTAGTAAGTCTCAGCATGGCTAGGGAGCTACAACCCTTTCTGGCTACATGGTCTTTTCATGGCTCTCGCTGGTGCTACAGACCCATCGTATCCCTGCCTTACCTTCCTTTGGTCTCTGGTTGGGCAGTCACCCCCAGCATCCATCCCAGCAAGTCTCTCTCCATCTCATCATTGCTGGCCCCTGGGCATTCCACCCTTTTCTACCAAGCTTTTAATTCCTTTGGGGAGCCTCAGAAACTTCAGGGCTCCATCCGTGCTAGATCTGAAACAGAAGGTAGAACAAAAGCTCCTTGTCCTCAGTGTTCCCTTCAGTTTATCTAACATATCATTCCTATTCCCCAGTGATTTCAGAAATTACCCCATTCTACCCTGGCAAAGGGTCTCAGACCATGTGGATCCTCTTAGACGACGAGGCCATGTAAGACAGCTCCCAGGAAAAATGAGATTTCTCAACCAGACATTCCTTAAAACTGACTCATTTCAGAGGTTCTTAGGATCCTCTGGCTCATCATTGCCACTGTGGAGATTCTTTGATAGTGACTCCACCACCCATCGCTTAGTCATGACTTCAGGTTGGAATCAGGCTTCAGGCCTGTGTATCCAGACATATCAAATGACCTTATGCCCATGAGTTCCATTCTCAACTGTTTACTGGGATTCTGAACCCGTGCAGTAGACATACCAGTGAAGAAGGGTGAGAGATAAAGGCATCAAATACCATGAAAGTAGAGTTAGTACGTTTAGCCACTGCTTGAATGCAGTAGGCAAGGAAGAGAAGATTCAAATCTGACTCCATGGTGTTGAACCTGGTGATTGGGAAAACCAGAAGTTTATATGCTGTCTTCCCAACTGAATCCATTCTTGAAGCACAGAGCCCAAATAGTAGCTGCTTACTACACCCTTGCTGATGATGAACTGATGGAGTTATTTGTTTTTCTAGGTTCTGAGGAGGCAGGACCAAGAAATGGATGTTGATGTTTAGGAGACTGTATGTAATATGTAAATAAAATGGTAATTATATAATGATTAAAATTATAATATTCAGGTAATAATTTGGACATCTTTTCTATGACATCAATAATTGAGTTTTTCAAATAAAACTACAAGTAATTGAAATAAGGCCATTGTGGAAAGCAGTGTGGCAATTCCTCAAAGAACTTACAGTAGAGTTTTCATTTAACCCAGCCATCCCATTATTGGGTATATACCCAAAGGGATATATATACCGAAGGGATATAAATTATTCTACCACAAAGACGCATACATGTGTATGTTTATTGCAGCACTATACACAATAGCAAAGACATGGAATCAGCTGAAATGCACATTGGCCATTGGATAAAAAAGTGTCGTACATATACACCATGGAATACTATGTAGCCATAAAAAAGAGTGAGATCATGTCCTTTGTAGCAACATGGATGGAACTGGAGGCCATTATCCTAAGCAGACGAACAGAGTACAGAAAACCAAACACTGCATGTTATCACTTATAAGTGGGAGCTAAACAATGAGAAGACATGGGCACAAAGAGGGAAACAGTAGACACAAGGACTTGAGGGTGGAGAATGGGAGGAGGGAAAAAGTAAAAAAGCTACCTATTGAGTACTATGCTTAGTACCTGGGTGATGAAATAATCTGTACACCAAACCCCATAACACACAGTTTACCTATATAAAAAACCTGCACATATACCCCGACCCTAAAATAAAAGTAAAATAAGACAAAACTGGACATGATGAAAAAAAAAAAAAATCAAAGTGGGTCCTCTGGCCAGAAGCTGTGGCTCATGCTTGTAATCCCAGCACTTTAGGAAGCCAAGGCGGGAGAATTGCTTGAGGCCAGGAGTCTGAGACCAACCTGGGAACATAGCGAGACCCTGTTTCTGCAAAAAATTTTAAGAACTAAGTCAGGCATGGTGGTGTGCGCCTGTAGTCCTAGCTACTCAGGAGGCTGTGGGGGGAGGATCCTTTGAACTGCAATGAGCCCTGATCACACCACTGCACTCCAGCCTAGGTGACAGAGGGAGACCCCGTCTCAAAAAAACAAACAACAACAACAAAAAGGAAGTTATTCCCTTTAGGAATAATATATACTAATTTTTCCTTCGTGGCTGCATGAAATAAGTTGTTATATCATCATCAGTTAAGAGTCCAGTATGTACCCAAGAAAGGGGAAGTTGCCTTTCCGTGTCTTAAATGAAGATTTGCATGGTATTTAAGATTTTGGAAGAGGATATGTCCCTAGATGCGCCATGAATATTACTTGATGATGACAAGCACTTGATGAATAATTTTTGGAGTATTGTTTAAAATTACAAGGATAGTAGTAATTATAGATCCCAGAAGCAGAAAAAAAAAGCTTAATTATCAGATTTAAGAATAAGAGGTTACTCCTCATAGAAAAGTGATCATTTTTAGTGGTCGTGGAAAAAATGTTCAAATGACTAAAGGAACATATGGGGAACTACCAGCAGACCAATTCATGTGTTGCAGCTATTTAACTGAATTACAAATGCAAAATGCATTCTTTTTCCAGTTTCGTTCCATTTAAACCCAAATGGCTATGTGAAATGGTGTCATACACCTGGTGAAAAGCTCTGCTTTTTAAAAATCTTATCGCTTCACCAAAATGCCTGGTGTTGAACCAACAACAGCGTTCTTTTTGTATTGTTTAAACGAGTTTAACCACTTTTCAGAATATTCACTTCTCGTTTGATGGAAAAACTAAACATCAAAAGAAATTTAATTTAACCCTCCTTTTCCCTTCATGGATCTATTGACATCAATGATGATGCTAGCCATCATTAGAAAAGTAAATGAGGATGGCTTTTTTTCCTCTCTTAAAGCCAGGAAAAACAAGCAGTGGAAAAATATATAATTTTTGTTATTAGAAGTGGAAGCCTATGTTGTAAAACAGTAAGAAGCACTCTTCGAAACTGCTAAGAAAATGTAACCAGGAGTGGAGGATTAAAATCCACAAATTACACACTTTGAATTATACTTGAGAGTGCAACAAGAAGAAAAACACAAACAATTTTTAGCTGAGGAGGAAAACAAGCTCTCTTACAAAAACACGTTTAATGTATTTAGGAGCACTGGCTATATTTAGTTACGATGAATTATATAAATTGGACAGTGCAAACTGTTGGCCTTTGAGCCACATCTGGTACCCAGTTGTGTGTTGTTTGGTCTACCCACTTTTCCAAAAAATTCTTATTGGCTACCATCATTTAAAAATTGGGAGCATTCACATAAAAATCCAGATTTTTAGTTCTCTTGGAAAAAAGGATCTGGCAGTACTGGGCTTGTATTTCTGCAAGGTGTCAGCTACCAGATGCTTCCTCTACGGCCTCTGAGATGCACTCATGTGACTTCAGAGCTTGGAGGGAGGATTCCTGGTTCTGAGGCTTTTACCGGTGCTATGCTCCCCTTGGGTGTCTGAGACAGCTCTTAAGGTCAAGCTCAAGCTACTAAGACATTAAGATTTTTAGAGATACAGAGCTATGCAAACCTAGTCTTGATTTGCTATAACTAGATTTTTCTCAGTCTGAGTGTGAGTTACCTTCAGCTATTCATATTTGATTTTTTTTTGATAGAATTAAACAATCTGAGATTATCATTTGATGGCTCTATTCACAATTTACTTCTGGACCTATGCAACTCCCAGGTGGCCTTTAAGTGAAATCACTTAAGTACTTCCTACAACCTAAGGGAATGCAAAACTACAAATACAAGTAGATTACTAAAGCACATGTGTGGTTCATAATTTGTATCTTCTGTTCATTTTTATCATGCATTGGAATAGTTTAGAGTAGGGAAGCTGGAGGAGTGCAAAGGGACACTTTAATGACATGGCATGAGTCGACATTTAAATAAGATTTATTAATTTATTCTTAACATTAAAAATTGGGGAAATGATAAAATGCATCCTGGAGTTTAATTTTACAATGTGGCTCCATATTCATTTGAAGAATTATATGATTCTAGAATGTAATAATCCAATAATAGATATGCATTACTGTGGAATTGCCCCCATTTGTATTATCTGTATTGCTAGCCAAGAATATGCATAACTATTAATAACACATGACCAATTAGTATTATGAATTAGTGAATTAACTGATACATAACCAGAGAGGCTGCTCATGCACTTTAGCATTTTAAGTATTCTTTCAAGAACAGCTTCCAACTATTTTGTTATGGGAATCCTAGGGCATAAAAAATTCAAGTTTATTTTTTTAAAGAAGTGATTTTTGAATGGAGTGAATTCCAAAAGCTGAGAAACTTTTTTAAAAAACCAAATTTAAAAATATTGCATTTTCATGACCTTTCTCTTCATGAGTAACTCAGAAAATTTGATTCAAACTTTCCAAAATAAATTTGTCTTTGGCTTTGAGACGAAAGCATAATAATTTTCGGTTCAAAAGGAGCTGTTGGAGGACATTTTTTTTGACACCGTGAGAAAGGAAAGAAATTAGGGCCCCAAATAGAGTACTAGTTGTTGGCTTAATTAGGGAGCAGGGCTGTGGTGCCATAATTGCTGAACATGATGCAACCACAGCATCCATGTTATTTAGCTGCTAAATTTTTGACTTTCTCTTCCCAGAAAAACAGAGATCTGTGTTCTGAATGGAAAAATTCCTACTGATGCCAGTAAGTGAGCCATCCATCTATGATGTGTCTATGGGGAAGAAAGTGACATGAATGAGTAAAATAGAATATATGCTTTAAATCATGAAAATTGAGTCCAGATGGAAAGGTTAGGAGGAAATGGAGTGGAAAGGTGGATGAAGAAGAGTGAGAACTCATGCAGTCGTTGCGACTTGGTTGACACTTCCTTCCCTGTGACTACAATTCCAAGTTCAGTACTCCTGAGCTTTTATAGATGGATGAGAATATAGGGGGAAGAAACAAGAGGAAGGAGTTTTCTGAAATCTCGGTGGAGAGGAGGGAGAAAAAAGATGGGAAAATGTTACAAGCATTCTGTTCATGTTGTATCACTTAGTGCAGTCTTGTCTTCCCAGCCCACTAGTCTGGAACAAGTCAGTCTCAAACATAACAACAGACACTGGGGAGCTCTCCAACAAAAGATCACCTCCCAAAGAACAGGATGGTGTCGAAGACTGAATGCCAGCCTGAGGAAACAGAAATACTACAGAAGCACGCCAGAGCCTGCAGTGTCTCCTCGCTGCCTCTCAATGAACTGCTAAAAGACCAAGAACTCTGCTGAGAGATAAGAAGAGGGGAGGGTGTGCTGCAGGTGGTGCTGGGAGGCCCAGACCTTCTCCTGACATCTGGGGCTGGCTACAGGAAACAGAAACATCACCCAGGCCTTGGCGCGAGACAGGACAGAGGCAGATTGTGACTCAGATCTGCAGGTGGAAAGTGGGCCTTTCGTTTTCTCCTAGGGGTAGAGCAAAGCCAGAGGGCTCAGTCAGAGGAAACCTAAGGCAGTTCATGATCCCTTCAACTTTATACCATTTCCTCAAAACTGCCTCCAAACAGTGGGCAACTGGAAAGGTGGTCTGACCTCCAGTGATCACACAGTATGCATTATAACAGAAGGCTGTCACTGTCAATTGCATGGCTCCCTCACTATGCATTCCTTCTATCAATTTACGACAACACACTGTAGTGAGTACCTGCACATTGCTGGGTATTTTGGCAGACATTGATAGTAGATGAATAACACCTGGTACTTGACCTTGAGACGCTCACTGCCTAGTGTGGGGAACCAATGGTTGCAATATAAAGTATTAACTAGAGGGATAGAGGACTGCCTGAGGATCTCTGCACTCAGAGGAAGGGCCATGAGATCAGCCAGGACAGTAGGGAGGCAGTGACTCATGAAATTAGCAAGTGGTGAGAAGAGGGCAGTAGATTCAGCGGCTGCTAAAAAAGGTTACTGAACTTTTTGTTTCATCAATGCCAAGAAATTAATCTGTTTTAGCCTCTTTCATGGCCTCTGTTTGAAATTTTTTAACTTTTTTTTTTTTTTTAGATTTAGGGGTACAAGGACAGTTGTATTGCATGAGTATATCATATAGTGGTGAAGCCTGGGCTTTAAGTGCACCTATCACCCGAATAGCGTACATTGTACCCACTAGGTAGTATTTCATTTCTCACCCTTCTTCCACCTTTTGGAATCTCCAGTGTTTGTTGTTCTACTCTGTATGCCCATGTGTACTCATTGTTTCACTCCCACTTATAAGTGAGAACATGTGCTTTTGACTTTCTGTTTCTGAGTTGTTTCACTTAGGATAATGCATGTTCCTGTTTTGATTCAGTCAAAATCCTGGGGTCAGCACTGACAATGTGATTAACCCCTGTCCTAAATTCACTGCAGAGGAACTGCTCCCATATGACTACTTATTACCACCCAAGCCAGAAACCACAAAGATATTCTGACCTCTCCTCCTTCACTCCCCACCAACTGGTGAGTAAGCTAGTCACCAAGTCTTGATTCTACTTGCAAACATCTTTGGAAGGGATCTCTCACTCCACACAGTCTCTGTCATTGCCAAGTATACCCATTACCTCTGCTCTGTCCTACGGCTCATCATTCCTCATCTACATGCTGCACCAACCTCCTAACTCCCATTCCTCCCCCTCCTAGTTCACTGCCATAGCGTAATCTTTCTATATCACGGATCATATTGTGTCCGAAATTGGTGGGTTCTTGGCCTCACTTACTTCAAGAATGAAGCTGCAGACCCTCGTGGTGAGCGTTACAGTTCTTAAAGGTGATGTGTCTGGAGTTTGTTCCTTCTGATCATGTTCGGAGTTTCTTCCTTCTGGTGGGTTCGTGGTCTCGTTGGCTTCAAGAGTGAAGCTGCAAACCTTCAAGGTGAGTGTTACAGCTCTTAAGGCAGCGCATCTGGAGTTGTTTCTTCCTCCCGTCCGGAGTTGTTCATTCCTGCTGGTGGGCTCATGGTCTCGCTGGCCTCAGGAGTGAAGCTGTAGACCTTCGCAGTGAGTATTACAGCTCATAAAGGCACTGTGGACCCAAAAAGTGAGCAGCAGCAAGACTTATTGCAAAGAGCAAAAGAACAAAGCTTCCACCCTGTGGTAGGTGACCCAGTGGGTTACCACTGCTGGTTCCAGCAGCCTGCTTTTATTCCCTTATCTGGTCCACCCACATCCTGCTGATTGGTCCATTATACAGAGAGCTGATTGGTCTGTTTTACAGACAGCTGATTGGTCTGTTTTGACAGGGTGCTGATTGGTGTGTTTATAATCCCTGAGCTAGACACAAAAGTTCTCCAAGTCCCCACTAGATTAGCTAGACACAGAGCACTGATTGGTGCATTCATAAACCTTGAGCTAGACACAGAGTGCTGATTGGTGTATTTACAATCCCTTAGCTGGACATAAAGGTTCTACAAGTCCCCACTAGACTGAGGAGCCCAGCTGGCTTCACCTAGTGCCTCCTGCACCAGGGCCGCAGGTGGAGATGCCCGCCAGTCCCGCCATGCACCCGCACTCCTCAGCCCTTGGTGGGTTGATGGCACCGGGTGCTGTGGAGCAGGGGGCGGAACTCATCAGGGAGGTTCCGGCTGCACAGGAGCCCATTGCTGGGGTGGGAGGGAGGCTCAGGCATGGCGGGCTGCACGTCCCGAGCCCTTCCCCGCAGGGAGGCAGCTGAGTCCCTGTGAGAATTCGAGTGCCGGCAGTGCTGGGGGACCGGGTGCACCCTCCACAGCTGCTGGCCCAGCTACTAAGCTCCTCACTGCCCGAGGCTGGTGGCGCCCGCTGGCGGCTCCGAGTGCGGGCTCGCCAAACCCACGCCCACCTGAAACTTGCGCTGGCCGGCAAGCGTGGTATGCAGCCCCGGTTCCCGCCTGCGCCTCTCCCTCCACACCTTCCTGCAAGCTGAGGGAGCTGGCTCTGGCCTTGGCCAGCCCAGAAAGGGGCTCCCACAGTGCAGCGGCGGGATGAAGGGCTCCTCAAGTGCGGCCAGAGTGGGCACCGAGGCCGAGGAGGCACCAAGAGCGAGCAAGGGCTGCGAGGGCTGCCAGCACGCTGTCACCTCTCAATATAACATTTCTCCACTGCTTAAAATCTAATTTATCCCTGGTTTCCTACTGTAAACAGAATAAAATCCTAACTTTTTAGTATGATCTAAAAAATCCTTTATGACATATTTAAACAGACACCACCAAAGAAGATATAGGCATGACCAATAGGCATGTGAAAAGACACTCAACATCATTAGTCATTCTGAAATGCAAATTAAAACCACAGTGAAATAGCACTACACAGCTATTAGAACGGCTACAATTAAGAAGATTCATTGTATCAAGTGTTGGCGAGGATGTTGGGGAAATGTAGGAATGTAAAACTGTATGGTAGGAATGTAAAACAGTATGATTACTGCTGGTAGGAATGTAAAACAGTATGATTACTTTGGAAAATAGTTTGGCAATTTCTTATAAAGTTAAAGATATATTTACCATGGGCCCAGCCATTCAACTCCTAGATATTACTTAAAAGTGAAAGCTTTTGTCCAGAAAAAGACTTGCACACAAATGCTCATGGAAAATTTATTTATAATAATCGGAAGCTGGAAGCAATCTAAATATTCATTAATGTCACATTCATTAATAGTGAGTGGATAAACACATTCTTATATATTCATATGATGGAGTAGAGCAATAAAAAGGGATAAACTATGGATACCTGCAACTCTATAGTTATACTGAGTGAAAGAAATCAGACAGAAAAGGATGCATACTGTGTGTATTGGTTTGCTAAAACTGTCATAACAAAGTACCATAGACTAGGTAACTTGAACAACAGAACTTTGCTTTCTCAGAATTCTGGAGGCTAGAAATCGAAGATCAAGGCCTTGACAGTGTTGGTTTCTTCTGAGGCCTCTCTCCTTGGCTTGTAGAGGCTGTCTTCCCACTGCGTCTTCACACGGTCTTCCCTCTGTGTCCATGTTTTCTCTTCTCGTAAGGATTCCAGCCATGTAGGACTAGGGCCCACCCTAACGACCTCATTTAACTTAAATATCCCTTTAAAGATCCTGTCTGGAATACAGTCACATTCTGAGATACTGGTCTGAGATACTGGGGGTTAGGACATCAACCTATGAGTTTTGAAGGAACACAATTCATCCTATAACATGGTGTGATGACATTTAATAAAATTTTAGAAACTGCAACCCAATTTATAGTGACAGAAAGCAGATCAGTGGTTACCAAGGACAACAAGAGGAGTTAGAAAGAGACAGAGGTCTGGGAGAACTTTTGGGGGTGATGGATATGTTTGCTGCCATGTTTGTGGTGATGGTTTCTTGGGATTATGCATGTATCAAAAGTTATTGCATTGTACACTTTAAATTTTAATATGCATAGTCTATTGTAAGTTGATTATATGTCAGTCAAATGTGTCATTTGACAGAAATGCTTATTACGATCTTACCTTCACATTCCTCTCTAGTTCTAGATGCAGCTACTCAGTTTTAGGCATCATGTGCCTTCACTATACTGAATTCTTACAGTTATTTGAAAATTGCAAATTTTCTCATATTGGCCAGTAAGACTCTGCAGATATTTCTTCTACCTGGAAATGTCCTTCTTCCTTCTCTGCTTAGTGAATAAAACCTGAACATCAGTTTGCAGATAGTACCTATCTCCAGGGTCAGCTAACTGTCCGTTCTTCCTGCTTGGATTGCTTTGTTACAGTACATAGAATATGTCTTTTGGGGCCCGGCATGGTGGCTCATGCCTGTACTCCCAGCACTTTGGGAGGCTGAGGTGTGTGGATCATGAGGTCAGGAGATCGAAACCATCCTGGCCAACATGGTGAAACCCCGTCTCTACTAAAAATACAAAAAATTAGCTGGACGTGGTGATGCGCACCTGTAGTCCCAGCTACTCAGGAGGCTGAGGCAGGAGAATCGCTTGAACCTGGGAGGCAGAGGCTGCAGTGAGCCGAGATCACACCACTGCACTCTAGCCTGGGTGACAAAGTGAGACTCTTGTCTCAAAAAAAAAAAAAAAAGAATATGTCTTTTGGCTGTTTATTTTCTTGTTTGTATCCCATTAGGTTAAAATTTTCTTTTGAGTTTAGGCACTTTTGTCATTTTATGTATGTATATAATTTTTTTTTTTTTTTTGAGACGGCGTCTCACTCTGTCGCCCAGGCTGGAGTACAGTGCTGTGATCTCAGCTCACTGCAACTTCCATCTCCTGAGTTCAAGCAATTCTCATGCCTCAGCCTCCCGAGTCGCTGAGATTACAGGCGCCAGCCACCACACGCGGCTAATTTTTGTATTTTTAGTGGAGATGGGGTTTCTTCATCTTGGCCAAGCTGGTCTCGAACTCCTGACCTCAAGTAATCTGCCCACTTCGGCCTCCCAAAATGTGCCATAATATATTTTTAAATAAAACTTTTGATTTTGGAATAATTTTAGATTTATAGAAAACTTACAAACATCATACAGCGTTTCCATTATACCCTTTACCTAGTTACCCTTATTAGGATGATATTTTACATTACTTTGCCAAGACTAAGTAGCCAACACTAGTACATTGCTATTAACTTGACACCAGATTTGGTTTTGATTAATTTATCTTTCCACCCATGTTCTCTTCTTGTTCTGGGATCCAATACAAGATATCACATTACATTTCATCCTCGTATCTCCTTGGTTTCCTCTGGTCTGTGACAGTTTCTGAGTGTTTTCTTATTTTTTGGTATATTTTTATCCCCAGAGCTACATAATGCCTGGCCCCTAAAAATTTAAAAATATGTATAGCAAAGATTCATGCTGCCTACTATGTGTCAATCATATTGTTAGTATCTGTCAGAGAACCCACTCATTTAACCCTCATAATAATCTAGAGGTAGTTGCTGTTATTATGACTGCCTTAGCAGATGAAGAAGTTGATGCTTAAATAACATAAACCATTAGCTAGCTTGGCTCTTAACCACTATTCTGCAACTAATACATGTTTGTTAGATAAATGGATTAATTAAAAGCTGCCTTTTTCTATAGGTTGAATTCAAGGAATGATGAAAATGCAGAATGTACACAATACTAGACCTTCTTAAGAAAAGTGGAAGCATTGAATTCTGGGGTGACTTTCTGGAAAGGACGAGGTTCTGGTCCTGGGTTGGCTGACTGCTCTCTGCCCGGTGCACCCATCCCCGCTACCTACAGTAGCCAGAGTTAGTCAGTGTGCCATCTGCCCCACCATCAAGGAGAAGGAGCTGTTAGGAAAGACAATGAGTTTACTAACCCATAAATGTGAAGTCCAAGACACAGGTATTTATGATAAGGAAATGGTCTGCAATGCTGAACTATTTTACAGGGCTCATGGAAATAGCCCAAGTCCTTGAAGACCAGAAACCAGCTGAAACATGACACTGAAAAGCTGAAAGCAAATGCAACGTGTGCTTTAAATGAGAAAATAGGCAGGGCAGCTGCAGTGATTTCTCTCTGGATACTTTGCAGATTCCTTAAAATAAAATGCACTGTTCCTTTCGTGGCACTTCAGCATGTCCTCGATGAAAGGAGATCTCTGGGAATCTCCCTTCACACTGAGTAAGTGGTAATACCATGTCAATTCTGCAAAGTCAGTTTTTTTTTGCCATAAATGTGAAGTCCATTTATGATAAGGAAATGGTCTTATCCTCTGTTTGTATCATAATTAGGAGGACAATGTTTTGCAGATGGATAGGGCAAGGAACCTGTCATGCCAAAAGAGAGCAAAAAAGTCAAAGGATAAAGATAATCTCACCATGAAAAGAAACAGAAATAACTCAGTTGTCTGAGCATTTCCTTGGAAGATGCCTATCTGGGTTACATCTCGATACAATGGGATTTCTCCTTGGCCACCTTGCAATGACCCATGTAATGTGGGGAAGCTAAGACAATTTAGAAGAGGACTCTCAGCCGGCCTCCGCCCCCTACCCTGGTCTTACCGTTCCTCGTGTATTTTTAAATTACCCACAGGCCCAGGAGAATCTTAATTTATTATTGTGTAAATTAATGGCTATTAGTAATTTTGACAGGTGAGACCATGGCATTAAAAGTTGTTACATAAAGGGGACCATTTAGTACAGATGTCAGGGGACGCCGGGGAAGGTGCTGATGGCCAGATTCTTGGATTTGCAGAGCTCAGGTGGCACCCTGTGCCAGATCCCCACCTTATTGTGCTGTTAATCATTTTCTGGCGTTCTTCCACTAATGGCTTTCTTTAGAAAATGGGAAATGAGTTGGACTCAGAAGCATAAATGACAGCCCAGATTGTCATTGCTTTTCACAGCCCACATAACATTCTATGATTCTATATATTTCGGGTGCAGAGAATTATCATCATGGTTGAGCTCAGTGCCCAGTTTAGGCATTTAGTTCTTTCACCTTTTTTTTTTTTTCCAAAAAATTGAGTTCATATTGGTTCGTGAGTAAATGTTTAATTATGCCCTCACATTCTTCTGAAAGTCACAGTTACAATGATAAAATGAAATAATAGATGTGGAAACCCGCTCATGCAACCTCTCTGTTGTGATGCCTTCTCTTTCTACCATTTGTTGTAGGACATCTGGAAATTAAAAACATCGAAAAGAAGGAAATAAAAATTAGCTATTGTCCTCTGCCTAAGAAAAAGCACAGAGATATTTTAATGTACATATAATATAGTATTGTATTCTTTGGACAGTGGATAGCTTATCTAGATGATAAATTGCTTTCTATTTTGATTTAAGTTGTATATATATTTTTCCCCTATTAGAATGAAGCTCTTTGAAAGAAAGATTAGTTTCCTATAACAACTGTTACATTTTATTTAATTTATACAAGTGGTGGAGATCGCCAGTTACTACTGAATATTCATTTTTTTCCTTTCTCCTCAACAAAGAATACTGTTGGATAACAATGAATCCAGTTAAAAACAAAAATAAGGAGCCACCTTTTGCAGCTTTCCCTGCATATAGGAACCCATTAAAAAATAAGTAGAAGTCGTTGGGTAGAGCTTCTTTATTTTTACTCTCTCTTTTTTTTCTCTTCCTGCCTGAGATTTGAATGTATTAGCTGGAGCTCCAGCAGCTACTTTGGAACCATGAGAGAAAGGCTGAGAGAATTGAAAGATCTTTGTCCCTGACATCCTGAATCAGTTGCTGAACTAACATCAGCAATTGTTGACTCAGACTTTTAGTTATATGAGAAAAATAAGCCCTTGTCTCTTTAATCTACTGTTTTGCAGTCTGTAGCCAGCAACCAAATGCAATTCTGAACTCACACCATCATACCACTTTATTTCAAAAAGGATTTGTGGGAACAGCCAACTCCTATTCATACACCATTGTATTTTTAAAAGCAACTAACACAGTGTGTCTTCCTGGTGGTAGGCATTCTATAAATGTTTGTTGAATGAGCTCTAAGAAGATTAAATTCAACCCCATCAATAAGATCATCTTCCTCCACTCTCTTACCTACATTATTTCCTTGAACTCAAGTAGTCACTTTTATTTTTTCTTCAAGTAGGAGATTTTTATGGTTCAAATCTACAAAGGAATTCATTCTGGGAAACATTCAGCTTGGCTCTTTATTTTAGGATAGTCTTCATTTTGTCGCTTCTGCTGTTTTATTTCTCATATTTTTATGTTCATGTGCCTATACCATAAAAATAATACATTACAATTGTTCAGCATGTTTAGCTTATCAGAAGCTCATTAACTCTTTTGTTCTCATTTTACCCACACTCTGGCAAGTGATCAAAAAATATAATTAGCCCTACTTTGTATAGAAAAACCTGAGACACAGATAGTGTAAGTGACTTAGTTTCTAAAAATATAGTTGAGATGAGACCCAAAATCTCTTGCCTTTCATTGCTAACTAGTCTCTTTTCTTAAAAGATGTCAAAGTGAGCCAACTCTGCTCAGTTTGTATGGCTCTCTGGAGCACTGTGTTAAGTAGGATTCTGAAGCTATGTTCAGGCTCCACAGGCGAAAGGGCAGTAATCATTTTAGCAATGCCTGTTGCAGTATGAGTAGTGAACAGAGAGTTGTCTGTGGTGACCCAAATACCTTGTATTCACAATTCTATATCTATACCAAGATGAATTTACTTACACACATGAACACACACACACACATTGCTAAAAGCTAAAAGGCATCTCATTCTTTAGTAGGATTTGCTTGATCCCAGTGTTTTTCTGCCAATCTTTTTCTGCTCATTTAGATGCATTCAGTTGAATTTACATATTCATGTAATGTATATACACACACACATAAACTGTGTGTATATATGTATATATATCTTTATGTTACCTTTTATTTTTTTGTGCCTCAATTTAGATAAGGTTACCCAGGGTAAATCCTGCATCTATTCTAAGTTTTTAAATTTAATTGTAAGTTTTTTAATTCTTAAAAACAGCGAGTTCTTTATTGAATTAGCAGAATAACCACATGATCACATTGTGTGCCAAGGTAAAGTTTTTGATGACAGTATGCTTCCAATTAGCTGGATAATGAACAGTGTGGTATAGTTTATATTTGATCCCACCTGGGAGGGAGGAGATGCTACACAGCATCTTAAGGCCTCTTTCAAGAATGTAAGTACAAAGCAATAGGCCAGAGGTCAGCACACTTTTTCTGTAAAGAGCAAGATAGTATACATTATAGGCTTTGCTTGCAGGTCATATGATCTATGTAGCACAGCTACTGAACTCTATAATTGCAGCTCAAAAAGCAGCTATGGCTCAGTAGTGGACAATATGTAAGTGAATGGGCATGGCTATTTTCAAAAGGAGGGCAGGGAGAACTCATTCCACCCACAAACCTAGTCTGTGGACCTTGGACATAGGAAACTTTTCACTGCAGAGGGAACTAAAAGACTAGGATGCTTCCCTACAAGGAATTTATGTGAACTTTAGTTTATTATCTCTGCATACCATGAAACATGATGATGATGAAGATGATGATGATGATGATGATGATGATGTCTAGCCTCCAGGGTTGCTATAAGGACTAAACGACTTGATTATGAGTGCCTCTAGGTGGCACTTTATTGGGCTGAGAAGTGGACACCACAGTTGACCATTTGAATGTTTCATCCCCAGCAGGGCTCTCACCCCATCCATCCATCTGTAGCAGGTGGATTGAGCATTTGGGTGCCGCGGACCAGGTGGAGATGGCAGCTAATGGGAGAGCGAAAGTTCCATTTAAGAAGCGGACTGTTGTTCACCTCCAGGCCACTGTAGTCATGTGAGAATGGAGTCTCTTTTTTGCCAGGTCTTCCAATTTTTCAGGAGAAGATAGAAATCCACATGTTAAGTAGAAATTTCCAATTTTAAAGAAGTTTAAAACTTTGGAAAACTATTTAAAATTTTTAAAAAATTGTGGGAGCTAAAAACAATCCAAGTATGAGGGCTGGATCAACAGAGGCACCGTTGTGTGTCCTCTGGCCACTATTCCTAAGTGTCCAGATATTAAGGAGGAAATGAAATTTTTCTAGGATGTGCAGCACATGTCCCATGCTAAAGCACTAAGCCCTCTCATACTTTAATCATGACAACTCTATCCATTTACTTGATATACACCAAAGAGTGTGTCCTCTGTTCCATGCACTGGTCTACAAACAGGGCATCTAGCAGTAAAGTAGGCAGAAAAAAACCTCTGCTTTCGGCTGGGTGCAGTGGCTCACACCTGTAATCCCAGCACTTTGGGAGGCCGAGGTGGGTGGATCACTTGAGGTCAGGAGTTTGAGACCAGCCTGGTGAATGTGGTGAAACCCCGTTTCCATTAAAAATAAAAAAAAAAATAGCCAGGCATGGCGGTGCATGCCTGTAGTCCCAGCTACCCAAGAGGCTGAGGCAGGAGAATTGCTTGAACCCAGGAGGCAGAGGTTGTGTGAGCTGAGATCGTGCCAGTGCACTCCAGCCTGGGCGACACAGCAAGACTCCATCTCAAAAAATCCCACAAACCTCTGCTTTCACAGAGCTTTTATTCCACTAGATTGGCAGGTTTGCAGTAATATAGGTGGAGAATGACATTTAGAGGAAGTGATTCTAAGGACAGAATTACTTATTCCCAAAGTTGCAAAGGGTGACAGAATTATTAGGAAACATCAAGGATTATAACAGGAAGGCTACATATGAACTGCAACAACAACAACAAATCACTGGCTGGCTGAGCTCTGGGCTCACTAAAGATAAATGAGAGAAAACCTGGTACATTTCCAGGGAAGGTTTTAAGTCAGGTACCAGGAAGAACTTCCCAATAGTTAAGGCTGTTAAGCAGAAACAGGTGGCTGAGTTGATTGAGGACTCTTTCCTCTGGAGAACTTTAGGAATGGGACAGGCAACATCTATCCAAACATATAGTCTCTCTTGGAGGCAGGGAGTTGAACGTGAGCCAGGGGTCTGAGTACTTCACTGGAAAGGTTTTAAATTTCTAAATTTCTTACTTTGGCCTATATAGTCATTTTTTTTAAAAAAATTTTTGGTTAGAAAGGTCTCTTCTTCCATAGATCAAGCTACATAGATGAGCTCATCTGAGGAATGCATTTTTTAATTTTAGCACTTTCTATAAATGGGTTTTCTAAACCCTAAGCTGAAGTTGTTACCACGACGGGGAACATGGAGATAATTTTTCATTCTTTCATGCTATGCTGAATGTCAGCAGTAGCAGCTCCTAAAAATAATCATACCTTGTATTTCTATAGCACCTTTCCCGGAGGTTCTCAAACTGCTTTGCAGACATCATGTAATTAATCCCTATAAAGCATCCTGAAGACAGTGGTATAATATTAAGTTAATATTTGTCGTGTATATAAAGGTTACACATTTTATACTTACTTACTATACTGATCTTGTGTTCTGTGAACTCTACAGCAGGCATAAGGTTTGCTGCCAAAAAAACCACGTTCTGATGATTGTGTTGTGAGGTCTGACAAGCAGGAGAGATGGAGAAAATGAGCTGCCGTATTTGGGGAAGTAAAGGGGAATTCATGCGTGGGCTGCTGGAAGTTTGTGAAAGTTTAATTTCTTTCTAGGGTTCATGAGGAGCTATTATAGGAATATGAGAAGGGGATATGGCAGGAGGATTTTAACACTCCTGCAAAACAATATGTATGGCTTATTTGAACGAGTGGAGGTAAATGAGGGAGTTGAAGACGGGAATGAGGCAGGCAGTACTATCAGGTCGTTAATGTTCATGTGCCAGGTCCCCTTTCTTTGTCCTCTTCTCCCTGCTGTGCCACGCAACTTCTCCTTGAGACACTTCTGCGTATTTATAACAATTACAACAAGACCAGATCTGTAGTTAGCTGTAGACATTCTAGTATGAATTTCAGCAGAGACAACCTCTGCCAAACATTTTGCCAGTTTAAACCTCATCTCTCACTTTGCAATGAAAGGATTAAATGAGTTAATATATGTACAGCTCTTAGACTAGCACCAGGCACATAGTAAAGGTTGGTCCAAGTCATGACTATTATTTGTGAAAATGTCAGACGTCATTGAGCAGGAGTGGCAGTATACTGGGTCTCCACAAACATTTATGCACTCTTGAAATCAGGCCTCATGGGTAGCCTTCAGCTCCATCTATGCATAAAACTGGTCCTGGCAGTGAACACAGCAAAGAAGCTGTCATCATGGCCCCAGCAGGTGGCTGGAGAATTGACAGAGCAAAGAGGGAGGGAGATCAAATCTGAGGAAGTTTTCTGGGGAAGCTGGCGGCAGGGTGCGGGGGATGATGACAAACTGGATAGAGAGAGAAAAAGGAGAGCAAAACTCTGGAGGAGACCCCGAGGTCCCAGCTTGGAGGGGTGGGCACTCGGCTACTGTGGAGCACCATGTCCAGGTTTGGAAAGGGAAAATGTTTACGTAGGCTCCAGCCAGGGCCCAGCCCAGCAGCCTGCCTGCAGGTTTACAGCTGAACATTCCCATCATGGCACTCTTCTCTGGAGTGGCCAACAGGAGGGAACGGCCAGGGACATTCTCGCCAGCCCAGAGGTTCTGGTGCTGCCCTTGAGTGTTTTCAGATTGGCAAGAGCTGTCTGGTGATTTTCCACTGGCCAAGTCACTCTTCCACGCTCATGGACCTAAAATTTAGCATTTGTCCTGGCTCCAAAACTCCTCTCATTGGCTCTGATAATCCTTTTCAAACAAGCTGAAGACTTAGCACCAAATCCACTTTCAAGTGTGAACAAGGCTTTGAGTAGTTCCAGATCCTAAGCCTGAAGTCTATTGTCTGTTTTTAGTTGATTTTACTTGAGGCACCTAAGTTAGCCTTGACTCAGCCTGAACAGAAAACACTCTTGAGCAAAGGCCCAATGTTATGGAATTCTGCCCTTGGCACTAAAGCTGAAGCCTTAATGGAGGCATTCAGCACGTCCTTAGATGCATTGATTCTGCCATGCGGTGGCCACCTATGCTTCAAGGCCACCCAAGAACATAATGGACAAGGTTTTCTCATGTGTATTATCTGCAGGAAGAATATTTTCTTTAAAAAATCTAATTAATTTTTAAACAAGAAGAGAGCTAGCTGCCTTGAACATTTGATTAAAAATGGTCATTTTAAAGATATTTTAAAAAATTAAGATTAGCCAGTCATGTGATAGATACCAATATTTGTGTCTATGATCCAATATTAGTCTCTATTCGAAGTGGGTGATGCAAAGTTGAATGTTAAGTTTTCCTAAAAGTTTATAAATTCTACCACTTTTTTATTTTTTTGCCTGGAAATGTATATGTTCTAGCTCAATAGTGGAAAAGAGAAAACTGGCCCTATGTGGAACTGACTGAAGTTTAATAAGTTGAGCAGTTTTCTGCCTCCTGGCAATCCTTCACTAGAATGGGAATTTCTTGAAGGTTATATTAGTGAGACATGTTCTGGGTGCAAGTGAAGAAAGTACAATTTCAACTAGCTTGAGCAAAAAGGGGTATTTATTGATTCCACTGGGAGCTGTAAGGGGATGGGCCGTCCCTATACTTTTCTGGCTCAGGGGTGCAAACAATACTTTCAAAATCAGGCTCTCTTATTCTCTCTGTGAAATCTTTTTTCTATATTGAATTTTTCCTAGGCAGTTTCTCTCCACATCTTGGCAAGGAGGGCTACCAGCCTTTTCTGCCTTCTATCACTCCTACTGCTTAATTAAGAGGCTGGGCTAGTTTTGTAGCTAAGGAAATGAGGAGAAATGATGAGACTAGGGAAGCAGGTTTGGGGGTGAGCAGGCAGCTTGAATATCTAGGGGCATAGGTAGAGAATGAGAGGAAGAGATTTGATTCAAGAAAGCCCAATCTGAGCCCTTTCCAGGACTGATACTGAGCTTAGATTTGATTGTCTATTATTAAAACCATTCCCTTCTATCAACGCTCTTAACCCCCTCATCCCTAAGGGGGCTACGCTAGAACATGATCCCAATATTTTGTCAAATGTTTTCTGGGTACATGACCATACCAAATAAAGACTATATTCAAGCTTTCCTGGCAAGTATGTGTGGCCTTGTACGTTCTGGTGTCTGGGATATGAGTGGAACTCCTGCCTATATTTTCTGGGTCATACCGTTAGGGAAGGGGCATGCTTCCTTTCTCTTTTCCCCATTCCACAGGCTGGATATGGACACAGTGATGCCCCATTTTGGGGATGCAGATGAGGGCAAAGTCTCCAGGATGGCCAAACAACAAGAGAGAAGGAGCCTGGGGCCTGGACTCCATGTAGCCCCACAGCAGACGAGAGTCCTGATGACTTCCCAGAGGAGAGCCACCTCCTAGCAGGCATGAGAGAGTGATAAATGTGAAAGAAAAATCATCTTTTGTCTTACTCAAGTCACTGCTACTTTAAGTTTCTAATTCATGCTCTGAGCCTATATCCCAACTAAAACAGTGAATCAAAAAGCTTTCACAGAAACATTTGGGCCAAGCAATCTAGAAAGTGCAACATTGAGAACTGGGCTGAAATCTAAGAGAATTTAGATTATCTCAAATAATTAGTTTTTTGGCATTCAGAAAAAAATAGCTTAAAAATAGAGAATGATAAAAATAATTAATTGCACAGTCTGAGAGAATGGCATTTACAATGCATTATGGAAATCAGTACTTACAACGTTTTTTAGCTGGAAGGAATGTGAAAGTTTACCTGGTATCATTACCTGGCCCAACCACCTAATTTTAGAGCAGGGTTTCTCAGCCTTGACACTATTGATATTTTGGGCTGGATAATTCTTCATTGTTAGGGCCTGCGCTGTGCATTATAAGATGAGTCGCAGCAACCCTGGCCTCCACCCACTAGATGCCAGTATTACCAACCCTCCAATCATGACAGTCAAAAACATCTCAACACACTGCTAAATGTCCCTGGGGTTGTGGGGGATTGGCTCCCAACTGAGAAGCACTGTTTTAGAGATCAGGAAATTGAGATCCAGCCAGCTTAGGAGTCAGATTCCTTCTCTATGCTGCTGTCTTCATGCAAGTTTTGAAAATGCTAGTCTTTTACAATACTGATCTAGAATTTAGGAAAACATTAGAAGGAAAATTCTTTAAAATAAAATTTAAAAGAGTGATAGCAATAGCTGATATTTATGAAAATCAAGTTTGCTTTGACATCGTCTTACTTAACCTTCACTTATAACTCTATGGACCAAGTTTCTCCCATTTTAAGTTGAGGAAATGGAGCATCGTCAAGGTCAAGTAGACTTACACAAGGTCATACAGCAAAGAACCAGTAGAACCTGCATTTAGACCTGGCCTTGAACCCACTCAGCACTTTAATATAAAGTGAATAATAAGCAAAGCATCTTTCCGTGTTGAATCAAATTACCAAGTCAACAAAGGCAAGTTGAATATATATATGTCTGGATAAGTTCAAATTTTCTTTAGCCAATTTATATATTCTCTCATTCAATAAACATTTATTGAATGCTGACTATATGCATAGCACTGAAGGATAATGAAAAGATAAAATAATTTCGATTTATTGCCAGATGCTGATACAAATTTTACATGCATGTATTCTTTGATTCCTTACATATACACTAGGATATTCGTTCTATTATTATGATCATGTTATAGATGAGGACATAGAGTCATCAGGTGTTGATGTAACTTGCTGAAAGTCATGCAGCTGAAAGCAGCATAACAAGGTGTCAGATCCAGGCAGTTTGACTCTGTTAGTTTTCTAGAGTTGCAACAACAAAAGACTACAAACTGGGTGGCTGTCAAGAAGAAATTTGTTGTCTTCCGGTTCTGGAGGCTAGAAGTCCAAAATCAAGGTGTCAGCAGAGACATGCTTCCTCTGAAACTTGCAGAGGAATCCTTTTATACCTCTTCCTAGCTTCTGGTGGTTTCTGGCAATCCTCAACATTCTTTAGCTTGTAGCTGCTTAACTCCAATCTTTTCCTTCATCATCATGTGACATTCTCCTTGTGTCCCTGTGTATTCACATGCTGGTCTTAAAAGAACACTAGTCATATTGGATTGGGGGCCACTTAACTCCAGTCTGACCTCATCTTAACTAATTACATCTGTAACCACCCTATTTCCAAACAGGGTCAAATTCTGAGGTACTGAGGGGTAGGAGTTAGGACTTCCAACACATCTTTTTTGGAAGAGACAATTCAACCCATGACAATTCTTAATTAGCACACCATTGTGCCTGTTTGTAAGTATGATGGAATCCTTGTCCCTAGGGAGCTCACAGAGGCACAGGAAATAAGGCATGTGAACAAATAATCGCAATAATACAAATGCTAGAGTCACTTCATTGGTGTCATAGGAGAGGTAAAAACAATGAGCTGTGGAAGTTTGGAGAAGGTGGAGAGATTTAACTGAGTCTGTGGAAGGAGGTGGTGATGGGTAGACCTTTTCCAGGAGGTGATGGGTAGGCCTTTTCCAAGATTCCGTTTCCAGAGAGTCACAGGAAACTTGAAGGGAGGTTTAAGGACACACAGAACTGCATTCATACAATGCATGGGGCTGGGAAAACTCAGGACTGGTTCCTAAAATAAGGAGCTACCCAATAGTACGTAGAGTCTACACATAATGATAGTAGGAGGTCAGAATATCATAACTTTTCAGGATCAGTACTTCATGACACCAACTAGAGTAGCTTTTTCCTTTAAGGAAGGCAACATATTGCACAAATGGAGTTACCAAAGCCAAGAGATGTTAAATGACCTGCCCTGTTAGCATAACTAGTTAATGAAGGAGAATGGTGAATTGGGGACACATTTTTTTTATCTCTCAATGAATCTGCCTGTTTTTTTCTCTATCATAAAGCTAGAACAATAGATTGGGGAGGCATCATGAGTGATTGAATGCCAGGCTAAGAGTCTAATTTAACTGAGTTACACAATGACAATGTTTGAACATGATGAAGTTGTCATCTCCAAAGACCCATGGGTAGACAAGGTGCTGTATGAAGAATGGGGCCAGGAAGAAAAGGGCAGGAGCTCACAGAGGCTCAGGATGGAGGTAATAGGGGCTCAAATTGCCATCAAGCATTGGGAGTGAACATGAGGAAGTAAAGAGAAGAGTCTTCAGATAGAAAACAGAAACCCTTGAATATTTGAATGTGAGGGTCAGGAGGTCAAGAAGACTTTGAGGTTTGGGGCCCTAGAGATAATGGCAGTGCCACCAACACAGATGGAGAATTCATGGGATTGTAAATGGTGATCAGCCATGCAGATTTGCCTGGACAGAGGCAAGGCAAATCAGAGGTGGAACTTTCAGTGCTAAAAGCCTGAAAGTCCCAGTCAAAAGTCCTGGGGTGAGTTGGTCTCCCTAGAGGAGAAGCTGGTTTTTGCTTTCATTTTATTTTTTATGGGGATAATTAATACTAGATTTAGACTTATAAAATCTAAAAATAGGACAGGAATCTTAATTTTTTTTTTTCAGCTCTAAACTTCTATGAACCTATGAATACAGCTAAGATCACCTTAACTGGCTGCATTTACAAAGTTGAAGAATGGTAGAATCAGCAATGAATGAGTTAGTTTTGGAGGTTAACATACTGGAAGGTTCCTGCCTTTAGTCAATTAATTCTTCAGATCTAAATCTCAGCCTGTGACTCAGGCCTCCCAATGTAAGCCTTACCTGCTCTTCAATTTGCTGTTTATTTCACAATGAGAAGTTTCTGTAAAATCACCATGTTTCTCTTGCTTGGATGTAAAAAGAATTGCAAGGCTTTGACAACACTTTTCCTCCTTTGTTGTGAGCAGATCCTTGATCTAAGAGTTGTTCATATCAAATCTGCCCTGAGGGTTTGTCTGCGGAATGTCTGCTAAATGAGTCACCAGCTCCTTATTCACATTCGGACTAGAAAGGTATGTTGGAAGAGCTCCTGATTTCCCAGGCTTTTCCTGAAACTTAGTTTAGATAGTAAGAAGTAATTTTTCATTGCAGTGCACATGAAATTAAGCATGCAATTGCCATTATTAATGGGTCTTGTGCATCTCATTTCTCCCCCTACACAGTTACATATACACATGCTGGAAGCTGAAGCTGTGTAGGTTGTTCTATGAGAATTATAAAATCTGTAATCTGTCTCTTGGGTTGCATGCACAATTCATTTTTTTATTGAAGGAAAACTGAGCCTTGGTCTCTGACATCTCAAAGGGCTTGCCCAAAAGAATTTCTTTCTGGTGTAAGTATTTGAGTCTTATGTTCTATCTTTTATAATATGACCATGTCACCAAAATATGCTAAAAAATGCCAATAGCACTTTCTTCTGTAATTTTGCATATTCAGCATTGACCACATTCTGTTCATCACCTCAACACATCAGGAATTAATATCCTCTGTTTATTTATAAATTACCATCTTTTCATGACAAAAAAGGTCTTCCATGGTGTTTTAGTTATGTGTCTCAGTGATGTGGGGAGATATCTCTTCTAGGGATGTAACAGTTTTGGTCTTTGATGCCTGAATTTTCCTAGAAAAAAATGTTTTAGCATTTTTTTCTCTTTTAAACTAGGAGTGGGAGTCATTAGTGCTCAGTAAATATTTCTGGTGACCTTGTCTGTTCTCACCTTATCTTTGTTGGCCCAGTTTGGGGCAGTTTACAACTTTAACAGAGGAAATCTGGATTAGTTAGAGTAGGCAAAAGACATGGAATAAAGAATAAAAGAATCAGGAGTTGCTGACTTTTAAAAGCAAGAAGGCACTGAAATTATCTAGCATTAAAAAAAAAAAAGAAGAAAAGAAAAAAATCAATGACCAGGCATGATGGTGCCACCTGTGACTTAGAAAGGGGGCTTACTTATATCCCTTTGAGCACTTTTGTGGGGTTTTCTTGGCAAAATTGATAGTGGATAGAAGCCTACAGGTGAAAGCCATTACTTAAACCATGAACTTCAGCAATTCTTCCAGCTTAATCATCTGGGCAGGCTTAGCTACCAGATCTTTTTGATGGGAGCACATCCACCCCCAGAAGGCCAACACCGTTGCTCAATTAATGTTGCTCACAGCAAAATTCTTTTGTTTTATTTTCTATGTGTCCCAACCTGACAATAAGTATGACTAGCATAGGCTCAGTAAATAGAAAAACGATGGCAAACTGAAGCAGACATTTCTTTCTAACCCAAAGAGACTATAAAAACTCTTGAGATGTTTGGTTGTCACTATTTTTCCTCCTAAAAAAGATTTTTTCCTATGGTCCCAGTTTCTTTTTGTTAAGAATTTAAACTTTGAAATATGCTCGACCGTGGAGTAAAATCCCCTGAACGAGTCTCTCCAGCTGCTATCGATGATTTTGCAGCCATTCAGAGACGTCTCCTCCAGTCTTGAAAAACTGCCTAATTTGGGGTTGGGTCTTACGTGCCACCCCATTTTGTATTTTCAGTGTCACTTTTAACAGGCTTGAAGACCATGACATAGAACCGCAAACTGAGTGCTCAACATAATGCTGGTACTCTCTACGCACATAGTCTTTATCTTTTGTGGCATCAGGTACGTCTGCACAGCTGCCCAAGATGAGCAGGCAAGAGGCTAAACTAAGCGAGAGCTAATCCACCTGTCACACTGTTGCTGCAACTCTTCCAGCGTGTTTACAACACCGTGGTCACTTTGAAAGCCCTCAATACAGAAAGCCATTTGTTTCTTATAAATGCATGTTTAGATGTAGAAGAAAGTAGCACCTCTCTAAAAAAAAATCACCCAGCAGAATACCCTGTGTAGTCCTACCATGTAGGCAGACAGCTGCAGAAAAACAGAATATTTAAAATAAGGTAACAAAACAACAGTGCCCTGGGGACGTTCGCTCCTCCTTAAGTATGTAAAACAAAGCATCTTAAAGGCTTAGTTTTATAGACATAGAGTGTTATTGAATTCCCAAGGACACTGTTCTATGCATCGGATGTGGCATGGGTATATATTTTTTTCTTTGCGAACTTTCTTTATTGAAGGTTTGTGCGACGGTTCAGCGGAAATTATGCGGCATCTTGCCTCAAAGAGAGCTGCATTAATGTGCCAATGCCCTTTATTTAATGCACTTTAAAATTCTGACGCGCCTTTTAAAAAGTATGAGTTGTGTTGGGAAAGTCTAATCACCGTTCTGCATGAACGGAAATGTGCTATTTTTGTAAGGGTAGTGCTGGAGTCGGGTTTTAGCATAAGGGTGTCTCTATAGTACAGATGTCCGGAGACACTGGTTCGTTTTGATGCCCAAATCAACCAGCTAGAAATGTTACTTCTGCCGAAATTAGTCAGAGGAACTTCAGCTAATCATCATTTAAGCAATTTGGGACTGAAAACTCCTAAGACTGGAGGGAATATTTAGAATTAATTCCTCAGAAACTCAATCTTGAGGGCAAACTTTCTTTGCACTCTGAAGCATGCATCTACGCCGCAAGATTATACTGTGTGCTTGTAATGACTTCATACAGATTTTTTAGAAGTCTCTTGGGATACTGTAGTCTTGCTTTGCTAATCGAATCCATTTTCCTTTCGTTTCTATCACGCACCCATCCTTCTCTCTTTGGATCTCTTCTCATTCCAAACAGTGTGTCCTTTTAAAAAGTGTTTCATTAAGGTTGAAGTTCCAAGGACATCACTTTCTCTCTTTGAATAAAATGTGCCTTCTTTTTTGAATGCAAGCTGCCTGTGCCCTGACTGTATAATCAAAACAACGGGAAATACACCCAGTGCACGCAGGCAAAATTGGTGTGTGAGTGAGTCTCTTGGAAATATCTAGTAACAGGTGCAGTCAGATAGGCTGGCAAAACGGTCTGTTTTTATAACAATTACTAATAAGAAAATAAACGTTAGGTATGCATTATTAAAATATCTTGTGATTTTTTTCTACTGAAAAAATAAAAAAATGTAGTTACCAATTCCATAGCATTCAAACCCATAATAAAAAACATCTGACTCCATCTTTCCCAGTTTAAGCACTCCTCTGTTTATTTTAATGAAATTTGCATATAGATGTTTGTTTTTGTAGGAGGAAAATATGTACAGTTTTTACCCAAATCTTTGTAAAATCTGTGTTGTCTATCAAGACAGTAGGAGATTCTTCTATGTGTGGTTTTTGATGACTGTGCGATCATTTATTGCACACACTCTGTATCCTAAAGAAATTTCAATTGTAATAAGCTAGTAGGCATGCATACAGTTTCCCCTTTTCTAATAAAAAGAAAACAATTTGTCAATTTTTTGGAGTTTTAAAGATTTCTATGAATAAGGGTTCTGTACAGTTGTAGGAATGACTCAAATGCACTTTGGGAAGGAAAATTGCTTTGCAATTCTTTGAGTCTTCAAACACAGCCACTGTGTTAGGAACTTCTGATTGCTAATTTGCCTGCACGCAGTCTATATGGAAATCTGATCACTTACTGTTATCCGCTGTATTTGTGCCATTTTGCTTCGAACCTGAAAAGAGAAGGAAAAAGTTTCCTTTTATAACTAAGAGAAGAGCATATTATGTGTTAGAATCTAGGCACTTTTTTTTCTTAAACTTTGGATTTTTACATGTGAATTTAGTGTACCACTTTTGCTGCCATCACAAGCCAAAATGTCAGGTTTTGTCTAAAGAGGGGATAGGTGTGTTATGGAGATTTTTACAAGTTGAAGACAACAGAATTTTGGGGAGGGTGTAGAGTATAAGTACTTGAAATGTATCAGGAGATTGGGGCGGGAAGGAAGGAACAGGGAAAAGCACAGATGCAGGGGGTGAGGAGAAAATCCATATCGTTAAGTGAAAATGGTTAAGAGCCTTACATTCTAATGAATGCCTTGAATTAACAGCACGGAAATGTGAAGATGTATTTGCTGGAATGGAGTTCTAATTTGACACACTCTACAGGATTTCTAGAGATTAAGGTTTAGAAAACTTGAAAACGACATGGGTCCAGATATCATCAATGCTCTAAAATAGGAAAATGACCACAGGTGAGAGGAAACAATCAATTCTGATCCTACTTTGACAGAGAGAGAGAAAAAAAGACCAAACAATTACTTCAATTCTTGCTGTCCATAAAAGCTCTCATCACTCCCTGCATTACTCGCAAATGTTCGCATTCGATTTAAATTCTGAATCACTAGAGCTATGGTGAGCCAGCAGCATTAAGCAGGGGATGGGGAACAAAGTCCCTTTAGGCCAGTCACCTGTTAGGTTTGGGGTAAAACAGAAATTGAAAAATTACTTTCCTCTCAAAACATTAGAGTAGCTCCAAAGCATTGAGGACTAAAACTGTTGCAGAGTCGTGTGTGTGTGTGTGTGTGTGTGTGTGTGTTTGTGTGTGTGTGTGTGAGAGAGAGACCAATGAAACAGAGGACAGAGAGAGGAAAGAGAGGAAAAAGAGTTGTCAACATGAATGAAATTGAAGAAAGATTTCCCTAAAGAATATATATATATATATATATATATATATATATATGTATTCACATATTAAAGAACATATGTGAAACTATATAAATGGAACATAAGTATTTCCAGCCATGGAATTAAAAACACACACATATTGTGTGTATATGTGTATGTGTTTTTTAAAAATTTTTTGTTAGTAGTTTTTTTGGAAGGAAAAAGGAAACAAGTGCCATTTTACCAGCTATATCATCGTATTCACAACCACCAAGCTGAGGTATCCTGACTGAGCCAATTAGCCTCGTTTAGTTCTTCATTACCCCGCATTGCTCGACCTGCTTCTGTGCATAACAGGGTTAATCATAATGAAATGAAATGAAATCATTTGATTTTATTAATTTCGTATATAGTATGTCCTCCAGAATTCTTACCAATGCTAGGACATTAGGGAATACTGCTGTGTGCTAAATTTGCTCCCTCTGCTGGCTGTCTCTGAGGGAATGGCAAAACTACTGGCTCACACATACACAAGAACTATTGTTTGGGAAAACACACACACACACACACACACACACACACCACACCAATTTGTCCTCAGGGAAACAGTACCAGTGCATTGTGAGTTAGCTCTGTGCTCTTCTGACACTGACACCAGTAGCACAACCAGCGCAACATTTTCTTCCCGGAATGCCTTGGCCACTGAAGGAAAATAAAAAGTTGGGAGGGATTGGGAGAGAAGGGGAGGCTGGAGCAGGAGGTGAGGCTTGTTCTGTATCTAAGGCTTAGATAAGAACACTGCCCCTACCTCATCTCGGGAGCTTATTTCATCTTCATTCCTTGCTGATACCTGTCAAGTTCCCAAAGGAGGGTGGGAGAGCTTTATCCTACCAGTCTTTCCCACCATGAAAGCCATTTGATACCAATAAGTGCATCACGTTTGGTTCCATAGGACTAGCTGGACAGGAGACGGGTCATGGAATTAGTTAAAAAGCCAGTGCCCATATTAGAATTCCTAGATTCACGCAATGTAAGGTAGTTTATATAAAATATGTAGAGTTAAAAAGAACAAGAGTTAATTTTCCCAAATGAGTTAGAAAATTTGAAAAGAAATAGGGAAACGCCGTGATGTAGTTTTGAACCATGCATAACATTTCCTGTGAAAGGGCATTCTGTTTAGTAATGAAAGTAGTTAAATAGATGGTGTTCCAAGCATATTTTATTTTATATACCAACCTAGAAATTGGAAAAAATCATGCAACTGTAATAAGATTTCAACAAATGAATAGATCAGATTAACCTAACATAAAATGTGTTTTTTCTTGAAGTTAGGGAAAAACTGCCTTTCTCTCTGAGATACACAAAATTATTTCTTGCCCTTTGTGAAAAGATTGAGTTAAATCGTAGCCACAGACTTGGAACCACCAGGAAATTTTTCAAAAAGAAAAAAAAAGGAAGAAAGAAAGGAAGGTAAGGAAGGATGGAAGAAAAAATGCTATCTATCAATGTAAATTCTTTAATAAAGTTTCTTAATGTACTTGATCATATGACATTAAATTCCACTTTTCCCTCTTAATGACTTTCTTAGAGAAAAAAGAAAGCCACAATCAGAAAAGATAAAGAGAATAAAAGAAATGAGTCTATAAAAATCTGAATAAATGGGAATTTATACGTTATTTAATGTCAATCTGCTCCAATTTTTATGTTTGTTATCTGTACCCGCCTGCATACCTGGGATTGCATTGAATTGTTTTGGTATCGAAATATACTCTCTTGCCTTTGAAATTCATGCAGACCTTACTTGTCCTTCAAAAAGGAAAGCATCCTGTTTTGGTTAATGGGCTTTAAAAAAACAACAACAAAAGTAAATTGTGATAGCAATTAGGCTCCTCAGTGAGCATGCTCAGTGGGTTTCTCCTGGTTGCTAGGCAACCGGCTGAAGGTGTGTGGCAAAAGAGGGCCCCAAATGTGAAAACATAAGCACCTTTGGCATAGGTTTCATCCAGTCTAGAAAGCCATGTGCATTTACTTAATTAATTATGGGATGTCCTTGGGTGGGTTTCCTGCATTCCCTTTCCGCACTTGGGGGGAAAGGTGTGGGGGTAAGGAAGGATTACAGAGTGGAGGATCAAGCAGGATGGGTTCAAGAACCACAGTGAATCCTTCCAGAAACGGCGTCGTATCTAAATTGGGTTGCAGTTTTATAGTGTGTGTGTGACCATTTATCTTTCATTTCGGGAGTCGTAGTTAGCTCTTAACCACCAAGCTCGGGCGGCTCAGTATGTCACGGCACCGTCCTAATCCCACCCTGGATCAGCGTAACAGCGCACATCGGAAATGTAAGCTTCGCAAATAAATCCATTTTCACGTACTCGAGTCGTATAACAGAAAATTTCCAGTTAAACCACATTGTTAAATTAAAGGTTGCAGCCCATATTCAAAAGCCCATCCGCAAGCTCTGGGGTTCTGCTGAAGAGGCACTTACAGTAGTTCAGAGAACGATGCAGTGAAGTAAAAATGAATCAACTTTTAGAAACCACACAAAAAGCTTCGTCTTTGGTGAGTACAGTGCCATCTGCATCAGCACCTCTAAGTAGCAACCCCACCAAACACCTGGTTCGGTCCACAGTGACAGCTCACTGTCTCTCCAGTGGTAACAATTTAGAGGCAGGATGCTAAACAAGATATATACATGATGTCAAATATTGGCTGCACACATCTAAGCCAATCACTTCTAAATAAATTAACCATGGCACTGCCTAATACGATCCACCTGCTTTCTTCCTTGCGTTGTTCCAGACCCTACCTGAACCCCCCTTTGATTAAATGTCAAAAGCTTGCCTTGTGCCTGCAGATTTCACTGAAGGCGGATAACAGAAAGGTTCCTCCTGTGACTCCATAAAACTGAAATAAATTCCACTGGCATCTTGTAAATTTTTATTTTCTACAATGACTGCAGGCCCCATCTGCGGCCCAGCTGTTATTAGAACGGAAAGCGTTGGCCCTTCTGCATTACAAAACAGCATAGAACAGTAATTGCCAGTGGAAGAGATTAAGTGTAGACACTAAAAATGTTTACTCGCAATGAATATGCATAACGATGGGTAGGAAACAGCACTGGAAGATTAAAAAGAGAGAAGGGTTTGTTTACAAGGCTGGGAAAAAAAAAAGAGTGGAATGTCAGTTGGCCCCGAGCCTGAAATAGGAACGAAAAACCTTTGGGCAAGGCATTAGGGAGAAAAACAGATGGTTTGTGAACCTTTTATTAGATAGAAAAATCATTAATCAAGCCCAGGCTGGAAATGGCAGGGTTTTTGGTAGTTCATATTTTAGTTTATTTTTTCTTAAAGTGACAGTATACTTTTTTTTTTTTTTTTTTGGTCTTTTTGGGACAGTCATCTATGGATAATCTGTCAATAGGCACTGCATTTGTATGACATTCCACATTAAAGCCAGCTTCATTTTAAGGTAGTGTTAGTACTCATTTGTTCTACTGAGAAAATTCCTCCAAAGGGTTTCACATTTCGGCACCTGTTTTGCCCATATAGCAATTTAAAAAAAATTGCAGCATGAAATATTTTTTTTTCATTCATGTGCCATTCCTTTGCTTTGGGAACTTGGAGAAGAAAATGGAGAAGAGGAAACTTTTACATGTAAGGCTTTGCTCACTAGATTGATTCATAGCACTTCAAGAAAAATATGTAGTAACAATAATTACAAATAGATTCATCTCCTGAGAGGGAATCTATGCCATTTCATTGGAAAGAGTCATCAAGAGGTTGGAAGGGACCCATTTGAAACTATACTTCTTATAAAACTAATCTGTGCCCTTTGGACTCGAAGATGTTGAACTTTACATTTTTGTTAATAATGGTAGTGAAAATCTCAGGGAAAAGTATATCCTAGAGATTCATAAAATCCTGAAATTAATCATGCAAAGCCCCTTATTTGCTATTAGCCAGTCAACAAACCCCAGGAAAGAATGCCAGGGGCATTATTATTTAAATTAAATGCAAGTAACACTTTTATATCCACAGCGTGTATGTATACCTAAACATATACATTTATATGAACATACCTATACACACACGTGTGTGTGACTGTGTGTCTCTAAGTGTGTGTATGTGTGAGCTACTGACTTCAGGAGTGAGACAGCAGGGTGGAGGAATATCAGAATAAAATTGCCTACAGCCAGACTCAGGGTTAATCTTGATATGCAATCCTAAGGTTTTGCCGTGATTTGCCACGTGCTTGAAGCTGGTAACTCATTTCTACTTTGGGAAGCTACTCTCGATCTTAACGTGAAATGTTCATTTTCCTGCTTACTTTATTTAGTATTGGGATGGAAAATTGACCTCACCTGGGTTGTGACTCCTGGAGCTAAGCATTGTTGATATAGGACTTCCATGATTATGAAGTGGGGTGACTTCTTTTTAAGGAATTACAAAGTACTTGGAAAGAATCTCTTTCATGTTTTTACTCTTTCAGTCAGAAATATTTTTAAAATAACTTTATTCAATAGTAAATATCACCAATAATGCCAGTTATTCTTTGACAAAAAATGCTCCTAGATAATACATTGGTTTCCTTTTCTTATTTCTCATGACAGCAACTGTGGAAGTCAAGGCCAGAAATCACTCACTATATCATCTGATATTCCTCTGATCGTTATACCTATTCTCAGTGTTAAGGAAATGAGACCAGTTGAAACGTCCACATTAAAATAAGAAGAAGGAGAGAAGGTTTTCTAATTGCAGGTCTCTGTTCTGATCCCATTACCATCTCCCTCTGATTATCATTCTCCTGAAAATCTTAGCTTCATTCATACCCCTTCCCTTCCCTTAGTTTCCTTTATGAACTTATTTATCTTCATGCAATTTGCCTGCAGTTAATGTCATCGTTAAATAAAGAATGCCATAAAGGAACGAGATCAGCAGTGACCTTCTGCACAGTTTCCAAAGCCTCGCCAACCTACCTCCGTGTCCTGGTCTGACTTATGGCAGAAACAGAAGTTCAAAGACCTGGCTGATATGCTCCGTTAAAAACCCTTCCACAACGCAGTTAACATTTTCTGTTTTCTGACTTTCTTTTTCTAAAGAGATGCTTAAAGCAAAAAAGGTTTCCTGCCACAAAAATGACATTAATATTTCGTAAATCAAGAACTAAGATAATGTTTTGGCTGCTACAGAGACGTTTACCTTATGTCGTTTATCTAAATGCTTTTCGATTAAAACATGACACAATTTTTGGACTGTTTTTTACCGGAAAAAACAATTCCAAGAACTTTCTTATTTCAGAGCCTAAAATTCTTTAGTATATTCCTCATCAGAATTCACTGTGGAGTATACAGCCTTTTAGCTCATTCAGAAAGTCTTCCCAAAAAACAAGCCTTTGCCAAAGATCATTTGAGTGCACTAAATCAAATAATCAACTAAAAGTCAAGAAGAAACCTTCAAATGAAAACCATATAAATATGTTTGTAAACTTTCAAGTAACTGCAATGTCAACAATTGTATTCCCCAAGATACAATTCTTTTCTATATTGACCTATTAAAAAACTCGATTCGTTCAAAGAACAGATTTTTTTGTTTGTTTTAAAAAGAACAACAACAACAAAAGAAACCAAAACTTTAGAAATCAAAGAAGCCCTCTTGAGTGAGCATCTGCTGAAGGAGGTATTAAAATCACAAAAGTGGTTATGGATTTCAAACTTTTTTGCAAATTTGAAAAATATAGGGAGGAATAAAGTGTTAGAGGTGATGCTGATTTCCTAGTATCATATACAAATCTGTATAGTACTTTTTTTCCCACAAAGTTGCTTATAATCAAACATTTTATCTCCAACCCTGTATTATCTCATTTTATTTATGGTTAATACCTTTTTCTTTTTCTTTTAGAACCGTAAGGGTTCTACCAATTGATTTTGACTTTGGGAAGGAAAATACATTTATGAAGCAACAATTTCAAAACATCGAGGGGAATAACAGTTACCAAAAGGTAGCATTAAGATTCTGCCATAAACAATTCCACAGCAAACAGAAGACTAAAATTCAGGCCAAGCTGCTTCTCTGGAGAATAGTGAAGAACAATTTCTTTTCCGACTGTGTATACCACAGAAGAACGGCCCACATAGTTCCCAAGTCCTGGACTAATAACTCTGAAATGAGCTTTCATCCGCAGATGAGCCTCCTCAAAGGTTGCGAGAGGCTGATGCTGGCTGAGGCTGGAGGAACAGGGCAGGAGGACAGGGTCTCGCAGCGAGTACACAATGGTCTGTGTAAGGAAGAGTAGCTAGGATTGCTAACCTTGTGTGTATTATGGCACATCATTAATAACAATGATCAAAAGAAAGAGGATGTCTTAACAGCTGCATTAAATTATTAGGGATACTGGCATTTTAAAATGATTTCAGGGTGAGACAATAACAAAAAAGCAGCTACATATAGAATGGGTCACGTTATAAGGCCAGAGAGTAATTCTCAAAGGTAAAGCACTTGTGATCAAACAGAGATTCTTTTTTTCTTTCATTTATTTTTCCTTGCATTTACCGAATTTGTTGAAAGATATTCCTCACCATACCACCTGATTGAAGGAAGCTGCTTCAACAGCACTGTGTTCTCTGGAAGATATGGGAAATATGTAATACAAATAAAAAGTACATATGTTTATAAGAACAAATGAAAGACTGCAACAGCCTATAATTCCATTCTAACAGTAATTAAATATTATAAACTCCAGTTTTGAAATGAAAGTTGTTATCATAGACACAAAGGATTTTGAAACAATTGGACTTGGACATAAATATTTTGTATTAGTAAAAAACAAAGCACAAATTAGAAGCACACATTTTTTATTCTATCCTTAATGGAAAAAAGGGAAAAGATGAAAAATAATTTGAGTTGTGTAGCATTGAAATATTTGATTTTCAAGATGTTTTATATGTATTCTCTTTCTCTTTTTTAATTGGGTTTAAAAAGTCATGATTAAGTGATTTTACTGAAGTTATAAAATTGATGTTTTATAAAGTATCAGAGTATCTGATGAAAAGGTAAAAAACCAGTCAGTGATGGGGATGCTTGCATCTGTAAACCAGATATCTGAATGTTTTCTTTGCTGTATGAAACTTTTGGTCCCTGGTGTAGATATAACCTGGATTTCTTTATTCACTACTAAGAAGCTATGAAAAGTTTCTTGCTCAAAACTTTAGAATGGAGGACAAGGGCTTCATAACTGGTTACTAGTACAAACTCAAGAAAGAAATCCTTCATGAAACACTTTCAACTCATACCTTACACAGAAAGAGCATTATAAGGATAAGTTCAATTTTTCCTCTTAAAGTCAGGTATTTTGGGGTTTCTTTTGATCCTTGATACAGACTTAAAATGGACATCTGTGTCCATGATGATAAAAGGGAAGTAATACTTTCAATTTGGATAACCTTGATTTTGTGATTGTTTTGGGAGAAGTGCCTTATCTGGGTCTATTTTGGCAACAGTTGTATCCATTTTGGAGGTACCTCTGTTGGATGACTTTGTTGAGTGCTATCTCCCAGTTTTTACTATAGATGTTAGAAATGAGCCTCTGGACAATTAAAGGGAAATCCTTCCCATTAACGTTGCTGACAGCCAGCTGCCATCATAGTCTTTGTAACTTCTGGCCATCACAGTATTATTTGTGGGACAGGAAAAGAGCCACTGGCACAAACGAACTTAAGAAACCATCCCTACACTGCCTCCTGTGTTCCCTGATTTTTGTAGTCCCTCAACTCCTGCACATGTTTTAACATACCAGACCTACATAACTGCAATGAGCTCAATTATCCTGCATTTTCATGGGTTTGTTAGTTTTACTTTGCAAGTGTGCCTGGGCAGAGTTTTAATAAACATTTCATTCTTCATCAGTATTTTCTAGTCCTGGTAACATAATAAAAATTATCAGTGGGTTTATATTTTAGAAAATATTCAGATGAAAGGAACTCTGACCAACTGTGTGAAAATCTAGGAGTGGAATCAGACTCCTGCATTTTAATAAAGCCCTACTGGTCATTCCAATGCACAGCCAGATTGGAACACTACCACCTTATGTTGTCATATGAACCAGAATGTATACACAGTCTTAAAATATGGGCGGGCTGAATGTTTTGGTGCCCTGACTCACCAATTCAGCATGGAACATTTATGCAGTGAATGGTATACCACTAGTCTGAAAGAATTAATACACTTCAAGGAGTGCTCAGTTTATACTCTGAGCCTAACTTAAAGACCCAATAACTTCAAGCTCCTGGAACAAGGGCATAGTTGTCAGAATATACATGAATATTTAACAGATATAGTGGGAATATCCAAAATGACTTTGCAATATGTCCAAACAGCTTTGCCCTGTTGATTCCATTTGCTGTTTTTTGGCTGTAGTTTGAAGACTTAGCAGGTGCTTTCTACACCTCACTTTCCTCATCACGACTAGAGCTGTAGTCTCTGAGGAATTATTTGAATTCAGAGAACTGCTGGGGCTGCAGAATGAACAGCCATGTAGCCCTTTAAAAATACTATGTGCACCTACAGGTCAAAATGTCTTTAATTCACATTCTGCAAGAGGCTGCATTTTCATTCCAAGAACGACTTTTAATTTTTTAAAAGTATGTTTTCAGAATGGAAAAAATGTGGACAGATAAGGTCTTCTGGGGGAGCTGATCATCCCTGGGAATGACTTGGAATGAGTTTTCCTGATGAGTTATGGGAGCATGAACACATATCCTGTTTTCCTTCTCAATTCAGAAAGATTTTCACATAGATCCCTGTTTGCTCCAACTCATTCATTCTGTTTGCAGTCCTTTTGCTAAGACATCTGAAAGGAAGCATTGGCTTAAAGGTTCCGTCCCAGGTGGGATGAGGATTTCTGGAAGGACAATTCTTGTTGAATGTTATAATTGTCTGCATTTCATTTTTCCTTTCTAAGGAATTTCAAAATAAGTGATCCATTCTTCAAGTCCCAGATGTTGTTGTAAACCAGAATTTTGGAACATTTGAATTAAAATTCAATCCCCCAAAGTTCTGCTGAGTCCCAGCTCTCAAACCAAACACTGACAAAAATGTATTTGTGCAATGGTTCACATGACTTCCTCAGTGCACCGCGTCCTGGGCTGTGTGACTCAGTCCCAAATGAACTGACACACCATACTGTAAATTTTATAACAACCAAACTCCAGGACACTAGAAATGACTCCTTGGTTCATAGTTTTTGAAAGACTAAAGTTCTGGAAACATCCTTGAATATTGATTTTTTATGACTCTTAAGCTATGTTGTTTTCCTAACAAAACTCTCAAAAAAAAAAAAAAAAAAACCCTAAAATGTTCAAGTCGGTTAAAAAGTTTCCTGCATAGCATTGGCAGCCGTTTCAGTAAGACTAGTGAAGAACACGTGTCTTAGGGGATGGGGATTAGTCATTATTATCTTGTCCAAATTTAAGCAGATTATTTTGGGAAATGTAAATATCCATGATTTAAAAGCAGTTGAGAGACAGGCCAATATATTTAGCAAAAAATGTTTTCAAAGTTTCATATGAATCTCCGATGTTAGATTTTCGCGGATACAAATCTCAGTTTTCCATTCCCCCTTCTGCCCGCCATTCATTCACCTGTGTTTGTATAATGGAAACCAGTTATACAGCTCTGGTTACACATCTGTTTCATGCATGTGCAATTACAAGCCGTTTTAGCAACTAGTAAAACTACAGGTGTCTGGGTTTTAATGTAACCGTTTAAAAAGAGCAGTTCATGGGCCTCTGATTATTATTTTTTATAGCTGGCAATGTTCCTAAAGTAGACTGCCAGCTCAAGGGTTAAACATAACTCTGTTTCTCTCCCATCTGGTGGAATCTCTGAAACCCATTTGTAAATTAATTTTTGAAACTTTGAATCCATACTGCTGCATACAGTTATTGTATTCTGCACAGACAGCTTGTACTGCTGCTTTACATGGCTCCAACAACAAACAATTAACTGGATTTTGAGTGGTGGATGCTAAAGTCATTAAGTACGTGTATCTATTTGGCTTGCTAACTCCTATACCATAACAGAGACCACAGTTACCATCAAATCACTTTGATAAATAATGTTGTCATGTAGTTTCATAACAGCTGTAGAATGTCGATCAGTGCCTTCTTAATCAGAAGTTCAGTTCTGTATAAATGAAAAATTTCACTTGGAGATCTCTCTTATTTTTTTTTATTTTTTTTATTTTTTGAGACTGAGTTTCGCTCCTGTCAAAACTCAGGCTGGAGTGCAATGATGCGATCTTGGCTCACCGCAACTTCCGCCTCCTGGGTTCAAATGATTTTCCTGCATCAGTCTCCCGAATAGCTGGGATTACAGGCACCCACCACCATGCCTGGATAATTTTGGTATTTTTAGTTGAGATGGGGTTTCACTATGTTGGCCATGCTGGTCTTAAACTCCTGACCTCAGGTGACCCGCCTGCCTCGGCCTCCCAAAGTGCTGGGATTACAGGCGTGAGCTACTGCTGCGCCAGACCAGATTTCTCCATTTTTAACCTCTCTCCATTTAAGAGCAGATGGAAGATGAAAGAGTTCTAAGAACTATTTTAACAACTACTGAAATTCATTATTTGCCAATAAAATAGTCCAAGAATAAATTCGTCTGCTCTTAGAAGAGAAAGATAGGTATGTAAAAATATAAGTGGAGAGAATTGATTTACAGATTAATTTCATTAGACTAAAATTAAGATTTCAAATTTTTAAAAAATGCTGTCCAGCACTCCCAAACTCAACACACATGGTAGCAGGTACAAGTCAAAATCAATTACAAATTTGAGTTTGCTGCACTGTAGTAAAGATAAGTTGAGCTGCTATATTTAAGGCTCTGGTGACATTTCCATTATGAATATAAGCATCACTTTTCAGGGATTTATTGCTCAGCCATAACAATTTTTAGGCACGATCAGTTATGAAATTGTAGGACTTGGCTTTCAGACCAGATATTTTTATTTACTTCTTTTGAATTAAGGAAGAGTTTAAAGGATGGAGAGAGTAGAAGCATGGTTACCAGAGGCTGCGAAGGATAGTGGGGGGCTGGGAGGAAGGTGGAGATGGTTAATGGATACAAAAAATTAGCTAGAATGAGTAAGACCTACTATATGATAGCACAATAGGGTGACTATAGTCAATAATAACTGAATTGTACATTTAAAAAAACTTAAAGAGTGTAATTGGATTGTTTGTAACTGAAAGGATAAATGGCTAAGGGGATGGATACCCCATTCTCCATGATATGCTTATTTCATATTGCTTTCTGGTATCAAAACATCTCATGTACTTCATAAATATAGACAACTACTATGTACCCACAAACGTTAAAAATAAAACAATTTTTAAAAAGAAAAAAGAAAGAATTTAAATGTTCTGGATGAATGAAAACAAATTAACAGTAAGAACTATGAACATTTCCTTTGTTAAATAAAATTTGGCCATTTCACAGAAGCATTGAAAACTGTAGTTAATTTCTTGGTAATATATTTTCATTTGCCCTTTATTCCTAACAGCATGATGATGTTTCTATGGCAGAGATGAACCTAGAATTGATGACACCCCAAACACTTTCATTCTCCATATGCTAATTATTACTCAAATTAGAGAGAGAAAATTTTCCTTGTGTTTTATGATAGGCTTAAAACATAAAATAAGTGAAGATTAGCTTTCTAGAATATGTAAAAATTTGACTCCAGTATTGTTTTTGAATAATATTTTAGGCAAGTCAAGCCCCTGGTTAAAATCCTCAGCAGTGACTGTTGTCTTCTAAAGTCCTAATTTTCAAGGTGTTCCAAAATCAGTTCCCAGCTTACTCTTCATACCTCAGCTTTCACTAATTCTCTTTATGAATCCTACAGCAAACCTAGACTCCCTGCCCTTTGTCAGGCACATCTAATTTACCTACCCTCTTCCTTTTTCTCTCAACCCATCTCTATCTAAATCCTTCCCATTCTCCCAGGCCTACTTTAATTATAAGCACCTCCAAAGATGTTTTCTTGATCCTTCTTACAGAAGCATTTTTTTCCTCCTGAACATAAAAAAATTGGGGTTTTTGCAACAGCTGTTTATGTGTATGTTATTCACAACCTATTTCCTAATGAGGTGCTCACCTAAGGTTTGTTGATCACATAAATGCATGAATGAGTATCTGCTATTGAAGACTTACCTACTTTTGGATTTATGCTTTCTACTAGGATCAAGTGATAGATAAATAACAGAGCATGACATATAAATATGTTAATATAGATACATATGTTAACACTGTATCTTTAGGGGATCTTAGCCCATCCATAAATAAATAACATTTGAAACAAAGGCATAACAGAGGCAAAATTGATTTGCTTTAGAAGGTCATCTTCCTCTCATTCATCAAGGCTACAAATGTAGCTTTGCCTTCTGTCTCAAAGCCATTTCCATGGTTGTGTATCTGAAATGTACATATCTGTCTCCTGCGCATCCTGCCCCACATCATGCCTGGACCATCTCTGGACCACAAAACATTTTCCCAAAAGGTCTCTTTGATTCCAGCTGTCATGGGCTGTCAGGATGAACTTCCTAATATGCTGATAAGAATATGTCAATCCCCTGCTTAGAAATCTCTAGGTGGGGGATTGACTACTCACAAAGTAAACTTCTGATCTACAAGTAAAATTCAAATCCCTTAAGGTGTCATTCAGTGCTCTCAATCATCTGCTTTCAATGTTCCCTTCTGGC
Organism: Homo sapiens; assembly: GCF_000001405.40. Classification (NCBI taxonomy): domain Eukaryota; kingdom Metazoa; phylum Chordata; class Mammalia; order Primates; family Hominidae; genus Homo; species Homo sapiens. Next base: position 55,873,732 of record NC_000018.10, read on the forward strand.
TTCATCTCCTCTGGTCTCCACCACATGGCTTATGCTCATTCTCTTGGCTAACTTCACCTCCATGAAAATGCAATTATACTTCCTTCTTGTAGACTGGAACACTCTTCCTCACTTTCCGCCTATCCTTTAAAGCAGTGGTCTCCAATCATTTTGGCATCAGGGACTGGTTTCATGAAAGACAATTTTTCCATGGACCTGCTGGGTGGGGATGGTTTCAGGATGAAACTGTTCCATCTCAGATCATTAGGCATTAGACTGTCATAAGGAGTGCACAACCTACATTCCTCACATGCACAGTTCACAATAATGCTTCTATGATAATCTAATGTCACCACTGATCTGACTGGAGGCAGAGCTCAGGCAGTAATGCTCACTTGCCCGCCACTCACCTCCTGCTATGCAGCCTGGTTCCTAACGGGCCACAGACAGGTACTGTCCATGGCCCGGGGATTAGGGACCCCTGTTGTTTTAGGTTTGACTTTAGTGCTCCATTCTCTGCCAAGTCTTCTGTGATCCAAGTGGTCAGAATGTATTGCATTTCATTTGGATTTTTGTATATACCTCTATTTCACTGTACCTAGACCTATGGTGAGTAGCTTGTATTTTCAACCCTACCAAATCACTACTTCTAGAAAACAGGAACCATGACATCATTATGTTTATGTATATCTCTTTGAGCTAGTAGTGTCTTCTTATATTGCTTTCTACACAGTAGTTAATTGCCTTGTGATGAATTCAACCACACCTTTTGGGTATATAATATACCTTAATGAGAATTGTATTCCTAGGATAAATAAATAAATAATTTCAGAAAATGCTAATCAACAATTATCAGTTAATCATGTGCTTATAATTGATGAAGCATTGACTCATCAGATTTGAATCATCAGGTAGATTTTAGTGACTTATCTGTGTTATTGTTTTCTTAAATAAAATATTTTGAGTAACGAGGGGGAATAAGTTTGATTTTTTTAACTTCTAAATTCTTTTTTAGAATTTAGGACAGTTTGGAATTGAATGGTCTCTATATTGGTAAGTATAATAAGACCTTTAGTGCTGGTAGTTTTATTTAAGTTTGGAAACTCAGGTGGAATAAAATACTTATGGAATAAGTGATTACTTCATTCTCCATGGTAATAATCTACCTTTCAGAAAAGGTCAAAGAAGCTCTTTTATTCATTTTTTTATTAACCTTTTTATTTTAAAACAAGCTCCTTTTGTAAAGAACAAAAGTAGGCTTGAATTTTACTTTGCTGGTTGTCTGGACTGTAAAAATGAAAGTATAAACCAAGCCACCAAATGAAAAGAAACAGGGGGTCTCTTTCATTTGGAAGAGAAATTGTAAAACACTGCTCACACCAGGCATGTATTCATTTTTGTATTTCAAGCATTTAAAAAGTTGCTAGTGCAACTATAATGTTTTAAATACTCAATCTTTAAATGTTTAGCCTTTTTCTGAGGCTGAGAATCTGCATTGTGAGATGGGTAGCTCCTTCTCAAGATGCAAGACCCCCAAGTGCTTTTACATAGAAGCTCACTTATTTTTTACTATTCCCGAAGGAGGCATTCTAGCACATGTCTAATGTCAGATTTCTACAAAGGGCAATTGAACATTGTCTGTTAGCCTGTAGATGGAACAGAGCTCTCTGATGACATTGAAGGGAAGGGTGGGGATTATCATAGCTTGATAAGCCTGGAAATTCTGCCGGATGGCATTTGGCAGTATGGAAATGTGCTCAGCTTATCTTACAGACAGGAATACAAAATTCAAAGAGTGAAAATGACTTCTCTAGATAGAGGCTGATCTGGACCAAGACTTGTAATTTTCTCAATGCCCAGTGTTTTTTCATCACCAGCCCACTCTTCTCACTGTTCCAGATGTGGGGGTTTTCCTCCTTGGTAAACACTGTGATCTATCCCTTTAATTGATTTTGTTCCCTTCTGAGCTTGGCAGCAAGTTGGAGGTAAGCACAGCTGCATGACTGCTGAGCATGCTCCAGATGCTTTCAGATGGAGACAGAAGCTCTTTTATCCTGTAAGCTCCAGCTGAATCGGGGGCCAGAGGTCAGGACTACCTTTACACATTTTCTTTAACGTCACCAGCCAGCTTTGCTGACAGAATTGTATGGCTCCCCATGTCCTAATTCAAGAGAGATTTATTTAGCAAGGGATTCCCGGTAAAGCACAGCATGTCGAAAGTATCCCAAAGCTCTATAAATGAGTCAACTAGACATAATTGAAAAGAGGGTGTTACTTTTTGCATATTCTCTATAACAGTGCTGTCCAAAAGAACTTTCTGTAATGATGGAAATATTCTATATTGGTGCTGTCCAATATGGTAGCCACTAGCAATATATAGCTGCTATATCCTTGAGACGTGGCTACTGTGAATGGGGAGCTGAATTTTAATTTTAATTTTATTTAAATTAAAATGGTCACATTTGATTACTACTGCCATATTGAACAGAGCAGCTCTATATAAATGTGGTGGATGTGTTATGGCACAAAAGAAGTTTTTAAAATGGTGGTTAGTTATTAGCCATTTTTCTCATATTTAATAACTATATCTCCTCATTGATAAAAACCAGTATAATGGAGTAAATAATAACAATCCATGTGATAATATGAGTGAGAGAATTACTCACTGAAATTACAGTGCCACAGACAAATAGTGAAACTGCTTGCAACATTGCTACTACTGTAGAGAGCCAATCCATGTCTTAGAAAAGCCAAAACATGTGGAGGCAGAGGAATTTGATTTGAATTTGGCTCTCCCATTTTCGGAGTGATATTGAGCAATCAAAATATTTACTTGTGCTTATTTACTTCTTTTTAAAAATGACCTGTTGGCTTTCCATTTTCTCTTCCTCTCTGCATCACTTAGCTATTACCCCAGTAATACTGCCTAACGAACCACCCCAAAACTTAGCAGCTTAAGAGAACAATCATTTCCTCTTGTTCACGCACCTGAATTTGGTCAAACTGCAGGGACTTGGTGGATTTAGGCTGGGCTCGACAGATGTTGGCACCAAGCTGCAAGTGAGTCCAGCTCAGCTCCATGTGTTTTCTGTTTTCCTGGCACCTGTGGGCCAGCTTGGGCATGTCACTTTCATGTGATGGTGGAAGTGCAGAAGAACAAGCCAAATTGCACAAGTGTATTTCAAATATCTGTTCATTTCTTGTCTGCTAGCATCTCATTAGATAAATCGAGTCACATGGCCAAGCATCAAAGTAGCAGAATCTTATATTCCTCCATGAAGGTGCAAGAAGAAAGTGAATACTTGACAAACAGTTATGTCATTTGATCACAGTCTCCATAAACTCATCTTCCTCAAATGTTTGGCATCTACTGTTTGATAAGTTCAGTGTTCGTTTGTAAAATGAGAATAGTAGTAACAATGTCTGCTTCACACGATTATTTAGGATTGCTTAAGAACTTTGAAAAGGAGCTTTTTTCAAAAATAAAAATACATCAAGTGAACACAATATTTTGAATGATTTTAAGCAATATTCTCCCTCATCACAATTATCACTTCATGAATAGACCAAACTTTAAAAAATTTCCTTAACATAGTCTGGATAATAACATCTAACTTATACCTACCATTTTTTCCATATTCAATCCAATAACTTACATATTGGCATTAAAAAAGGTAAGTCGGTTAACTGCTGGAGTGAATATTGTGTTTGACTCTCCAGCATACATTCCATACCTTCTGTCTCAGTAAAAGGCAGCAATGTGGTTAGAGAAGTGACCTCTAATTAAAGGATGGGCCAGACTGGTATAAGAATAATTCCATCTCCCTTGCAAGTCCTTTGTTTGAGAGAGAATGTGTAATGTGGTTTTATCAAATAAAACCCAGCTAGAGGGTTATGGGAGGCTTGTAAGGCTGTTTCTCTATCTTGAGAGAGTTGTGGGAAGCCATTCTCTCTTTCTCTTACTAAATGTGAATGAAGAAGCAGATTGTCTTAGTTGCTGCTAGTAGGTAGCCTGCAGCTCCAGGTCAGAGAAAGGCTGAGTTAAGAGAATCACAGAGAAATAAGACTGTAGTCCTGATAGGACATTGTCACAAGCGTATACCTTTTGGGAACATTGAATTATGTGATTATTAATTATTCTACTCATTTAAGCTTATTTGATTAAGCATTTTATAGTCTTTCTCCTCTTCTAATTATTCATGTTATTTCATTCCTTCCTTCATCACTCATTTATTCATCCATTCATCTCATAGGAACTCATAAGGGTCCATAGTGTGCATAGCTCTTACCAAGCATTAGGAAAGATGAAAAATGAATTTTAGAAATAATTTTTTGCAATTCTGTGTAAAATTGGTAAGTGAATTTATGCTTTAACAAAATCCTCTCTTTCAAACAACTGGAAGCTACAGATGAAATTTAAAAAAAGATGACCAAGATGATGTAGGTAGGCACCAAAATGGGATAAACATATCTGTGAATCACAGATAAAACAGGATCAAAAAGTGTCATAAGGGCTGAACATGCAGCTCTGCCAGATTCCAACTCTGGAATCAGGTAATGGCAGCTTGGATCCTGTACCAAACATACAGATGACATACTTAGCCAAATGTACAGAGGACATACTTAGGCAAATGTACAGCTTGAATCTAGGAACTGAGGTAAGCCTACCACTTCCTGAAATGAGGTTGGAAAAAGTTACTGCTGAGTCCCTGTCTGAAGTCATAGCTTTATAGGACTCTGTGGGCGTAGGCAGACAACAGACAAAAACACTGCCTCACAACAAGGAGCTGAGCCAAACCATCTGATTATTTGATTTGTTATATCTCTCAAATTATGGTAGAGCAGGAGAAAGGATGCATTCTAATATGAGCTGGATGTTGACTGGGTGTCAGTCTTCACTGCTAAAGACTGGGAAGGGGGAATCCAGGAAGAAAAAGAGAAAGACAAATAGGAACAGAGAGAGAACAGAACAAATTCTGCAGGGGAAAAAGAAAAACCCAAAACAAGAAAAGAAATCTAATGCTAAACAAAATAATCAACAAAATCAACAACCAGAACAAGAGTTAATTTAATGGTGCAGTTAGGAAGAGACTTAGATGAAAATGTTTAGAATGTTCAAAGAGATCAAGGAAAATATTATATTCATTAAAAAGAAAAAGATCATGAACCAAAGTCAGGCAGAGTTGAAACAGGAACAGGAAGATATGCAAAAACATAGAGATGTTGCAAAAAATATAGCTATTGAAATAAAAAATATCACAATAAATGTGATAACATTTACAAATAAATAACTGGTGGTTTAAATGATCATAATAATAACTCAGGTCCCAGCATCAAAGCTTTAAGAAGCAAATGTATCATGTCTTGTCTTCTCTACTTCAGAGCACAGAAAAGGAAGAAAAATTATAACGCTGGCAAAACTTTTAAAAGAAAAGTAAAAGAAGGAAATATAGATTAGTCATACAAGCATAGTTGCATAAATCCTAAATAAAATAATATCTAATTATCCTCTACTGGTGAATTTTTTAAAAAACATACAAACAAGTGATTTACTTCAGGGATTTAAGGATAATTTAACTCCAGAAAATGTACTAAAGTAATTCACATTAGCTGACAAACAGAGATAAAGTAGGTGATTATCTTAAGAGACGCAAACTAAATTGATAAGATTCTGCATTCATTCATAATTTTAGAACAGTAACAAAATACAAAACTCAGAGCAAGTTAGGAATAGAAGAAAATTTTCCAAACCCAAAGGATGAACTTTGAAAAGCCTCGAGCAAACATCATTTATCTGTGAGCCATGAGAAACATTCCATTTTGGTTAGCAAAAAGACAAGAATACCCACCATCAACATGCTTTAGTATTTTACTGGTAGTTCTAGTTAGTGCAGTAAGAGAAGAAAAAGAAGTAACAATTGCACACATTAGAAAAGAATAGAAAATTGTTCTTATTTTAGGTAACATAACTCTTCTATAGAAAAAAACCACACACAAACCAAGAAACTATACAGAAAAATTATTTGAACAGGAGAATTCAGAAAGGTTGTTGGATAAAACATCAATAAACAAAAATTGAATAGTGCTTCTCTTTCATATGAAATATTCAATTACAATATAATTAAAAATTAAACATTGTTTCAAATAATGACAAATGCTATAAGGTACCTAAACATAAATTTAACTAAAGACCAGTAATATCTTTGTGGAGAGCCTTACAAATATTATTGAAAGACAAAAGAATGCCAGAATAAAAAGATAAACCAAGATCCTAAATGAGAAAAGCTAATACTATAAAGATATTAATTCCTATCTCCACAACTAATCTATAAATGGAATGCTATTTTAATTGAAAAAATCTTATCAGATGACTCTAAAACTATTACTGTAACAAACAGCCAAGAATAATGAATGAATTCTGAATAATAATAAAGGAACTAGCTCTACTAGTTCAATGAACAGGGCTCGAACAATTGCTTTTCCATGAAATTATATTTTTCATTACACCAGTGCATACATATAAATTTCAGGGCAGATAAAATATTCAGATGTTAAAGAAAACTACTGCTTTCAGAAAAAAAAATAGGAAATATCTTTGTGAGTGCAAACTATCCTCCTTAAGTAACATGCAAAAAGCATAAAACATATAGGAAAAGATTTAGGACTTCTGCTGTACTAAAATATCAAATTATTACAAACAAAAACATTAAAAGTAAAGTTAAAAATAACAACAACAACATAAGCCATACAAATAGATATTAGGAAAAGATATTTTCAACTCAACAACAAATTAAGGATTACTATCCAGAACACATAATGACATTCTATAAATTATTTTTGAAAACCCAGTGTAAAAATGAGCTAAGGATATGAACAAGAAATTCACAGAATAGGTAACCCAAATGGCGAGTACATACATGAAAGCTTCCTAATCATACCAGGAATTATTGATATTCGAATTCAAACTGATGCAGGGTAGATAAGCTCCAAAACTGGGGCTTAGTCTGGGCTGGTTTTTGGCTTCGCTGGGGAAAGAATTCAAGAGTGAGCTGGTGGTAGAAGAAAACAGCTTTACTGAGGCACCAGCGTTACAGCGCCGTGACTGCTCCTGCAAGGCAGGGCTGCCCCATAGGCAGTGTGTTGAGAGCAGCGGCTCAGGGGAAGTTCGGCAGTCATATTTATTCTCACTTTAAGGGGCAGGCTATTTAGAAATTTCTAGAAAAAGGATGGTAATTTCCAGGTTGTCTCCATGGAAAAGGGTGGTAATTTTGAGGTGTCACCATGGCAATGGTAAATTGTTATGGCTCTAGTGGTCGTGTCTTATGGAGAAGTGCTTTAGGTGCCTCTTCCCTGTTTCAGCTAGTCCTCAATCTGATCCAGAGTTGAGTCCTGCCTCCTGCCTCAAAACCAATCAGATAAATAAAAAGGAGTTTGGCAAATAAGTGAAGTAACAGGAATTTTTAGGAACTGTCCAAATCACTTTTGAGAAAAATGTGTCAGTATCTAGTCAAGTAGAAGAGAATGCTATCCCTGACTCATTTCTACATATGTGTATCACAGGAACTCTCATACTTTTGTACAAGAAAACATATAATAATGTTAATGCAATATTATATCTCTTATTGATATATCACTTCTCCATAGGGAGAACAGGTTTTAAAATTTGGTGTATTTATAGAAAAGATGGCTTTATAGCTTTTAAAATGAATGTGTTAGAGTACTATGCTTTCAATCATTAAAATTTAAAAACATTTTAAGCAATAAAGAAAACAAGTGTAGGATAATACATGCAGTATGATGCCATTTATATGAAGTTTGCCACCACGCAAAAAACGTGCTATATGTTGTTAATGAACATTTATGCATGGAAATAATCAACATCAAGCTGATGTTTACCAGATTTTCAGTTGATTCAGATTTAGCTTAGGGATTACCTCTGGGAAAGGAAACAGGAAAATGAGACACAGGAACAGTATCTGGGCACGGTTCAACGTTTTAATGATTATTGATATTAGTTCTTAAAATTATCAGAAACAAGTGTACAAAAGGGTTAAGATTTTATAAAGCTGGTGAAAGTTCCTTATGTTAATTTTTCTTCCTGATACATTTCATGTAGAAGATAGAGAAGAGCAGAGTGAGATTTTTCCGAGGTGGAGTGATGATTATGGATTTATGAGTGATGAAGAAAGCTTTGGAGTTCAAACGATGTTACAGACTCATGAGGCTTCTGAGCGAGTTGCTGCTCCACTTCACCAAGGGTGCTTTTTTCAACATCCTCTCTTTTCCATCACCTCCAGCCACTTCCAGATTAATATATACTTCTGGATTCAGACAGCTTGAGAAGAAGAAAACCAGTATTTCCAGGCACACTCTTCTTAGGATGGGTGTGACTGGAATTCACTTGTCAAGATTACAGAGACAAAAGACATTTTCAGATGGTAACTGGTAGGAGCCTTAGGTCATGAAGCTCTATGGTTCCCAATTGGAGATCGGCAGAAATAGTTACGGGAGTGGCCAATTTCACCTCCCAATAATTCCGATACCTTCATAGAAATTGAGCAGTTATCCAAGCAAGGTCTATGAAGGCCAAATAATGTTTCCAGTTTCTTACCTTTGTATAGAATTATGTATTGATATGGTTTCATCAGCTACCGCTTATTGTTGAGGGGCTCTTATAACACGGACTCGTATAACATTATAGGAATGTCTGAGCATCTTAGGGAAAAATAATGTAAGATTCTAGTAGCTTAATTGGGAAAAGTTGAGAAGTATAGGTTTGTATCAATGACTTTGAAAAAAAGAAATGCAGAGTGATTTCATGATTTACTCAATCAGTCAGATAGGGCAGAGCCAGGGCATAAGCCAGGTTCTCCTCATGCTTAGTTCAAGGGTTCGTCCCACTGGTGACAGTCCCCCTTTTAATACTGTCAAGTGTTAGGATCAGGTTCTAACTCACTCCAAAACTATGATCTAGGCTGAGGCAACTCTGAATACAGAGGCAGTGTGTTGTAGTAGCAAGAGCACTGCATTTAATGTCATGTGTCTGTTTTTGAGTCCTGGAGATTCTACTTACTGGCATGTAGCATTCAGTCTGCCTTTTCTTTAGAATAGAATTGCACTGAAAAGCATCTGCCCAGGCTGCAATTATTTCTCAGTACCATCGTCTTGTATCCAGATGAGGGCCAGGTGATGTTCTAGTCATAGGATATCAGCAGATGTTATGTGTTTCAGTTCTGGACCAAAGAGCTTAAACTAAGGAATGCCTATTCCAATTCCTCATTCTCCATCTGCTTGTTGGATGCAGAAGATTTGAAGACTAGAGGAAGGTAGAGCCACAGATCCCTGAAATACCTTGTGGAAGACTCTTCATCTACCCAGAACACCGTATGGTGCCATAGGATAATCAAAAAGTAAGATTTATTGTATTAAGTTCTGAGATTTGGGCATTTATTTGTTATAGCTGCTAGCATTACCTTAACTAATGTACAAGTTCCCTGGCTTTTAATGTGTAACTCCTTCCTCTGTGCTTCAGTTTTCTTATTTGAAAAAAAGAATAAATAATCCCCAGATTCATACGGGATTGCTGTAGGTCTCCAAAGGGATGTAACAAGGTGCTTTATAAACTGTAAGGTGACGTTATTATCTTTGAAGCAAATTGAGGGCAGCCACTTAGAGCTCTACAATTTAAATATCCTCAGAGCAAGTATAGGAGGCAGAATAGGAATCTTTCTGCAGCTGCCAGAAAAGGAGATTTAACTTTAGCATTTAACTGCACCACTATCCCTCTGTAAGCTTCACATTTGCTTTTTTATAGTGACACATTTTCAATCAATCAATCAATCAAAAATAATTAATCCATAGTTCTTCAGTACCTATCATGTTCAGGCCATGGCGTTAAGATGCTCCTGATTCTTGTGCATTTAGTTCCAACACTTAATGTTGTCTTCAATGTATTTCCCCTGTTGTGAAGCAAAGGATACAAGGCATACGAAAAATAAAATAAACTTAGTCATAATCCCACTGCAGCGATAACCACACATGGGTGAAGATTTTTCAAGCGCTTTATTTTCTATACTAATGTAAACCTTTTACCACTCTCTACACATTGCTTTGTAAATATTCTTTTTTTTCCACTGAAAATATCATACATGTATTTTCTAAGTTAAAAAATACAGCACTATATACTCATTTTTCTACTGGATATAAGAATTTCACTGTATGGATATTTGATGATATAGTCAATCAATCTCTATGACAAACATTTAGGTGATTTAATTTTTTAATATTATAAATAACACTGCACCTTTTTTTTTGCACAGGTATACATCTTTGCCATATTTGCTTGATAATTTTCTCAGGAGAAAAATCCTAACATTTATATTTCTTTTTTTGTTTGTTTATTTTTATTTTTATTTTATTTTTGTGACAGAGTCTCACTCTGTCACCCAGGCTGGAGTGCAGTGGCCCGATCTTGGCTCACTGAAACCTCTGCCTCCCAGGTTCAAGTGATTCTCCTGCTTCAGCCTCCCAAATAGCTGGGATCACAGGCACGCGCCACCGCACTTGGCTAATTTTTGTATTTTTAGTAGAGATGGGATTTCACCACGTTGGCCAGGCTCCTCTCAAACTCCTGACCTCAGGTGATCTGCCCACCTCAACCTCCCAAAGTGCTGGAATTACAGGTGTGAGCCACTGAGTCCTGCCTAACATTTGTATTTCTGTCTCAAAATATATGCATAGTTTTAAAGCTTTTTATCCAGAGTGTCCAATTAACTCTAGAAATATTTTTACCTTTTTTATTCTCCAATAAGCCCAAGTATTTATTTCTATTTTTTAAAATCTGTACATAAAAAAGTGAAAGGCAATTAGTGCCCTGTGCAGGGTCGTTTGTTCTGGTCTTTCCATCTTAGAACATATTCCCAAGATGATATCCTTTCTCTGGGATATTCCTCACTTCCCTCTCAGTGTCTGCTCTTCCTTCAGAACTGAGCTCTTGAGCACTTCCCTTTCTGCTCAGAGGCTTCCACAAAACCTGGGCACCTAGACTCACTCCATGTTCAAAACTTCCCCTTTGACTTTTTTCGTCTCTCTACTGTTTTCTCCATCAAAGCTGTAATGCCCATGGTGAACATTTACCATGTAAAAATGTAATAGACACCATTATTTAATTGATGTAATTTACTAAACTGTAAACGTCAGATAAGGAGTTAACTTAAAAGGTTAATTTAAGGGTTAGCATGAGGTGCTAACTTACAGCCCCACAGCCTATAATCCTGGTAATGGGTCATTTCAATAGAGATTTTTCGTGATGAAAGACTTTCTAACATTTCAGTTTTGGATGCCAAGGGCTAGCTATACAACAAGGCTTTGCTTATAAGTATTTGGGAATTCATATTTATACCATAGATTGTTTTCCAAACTGCTAAAGAATAAAATCCTAACAGTTCCTTTATGAATGGCTACTTAGTCTGTTTTGTAGGCTAGAACAACCCTAATCAATGAATATTATATTGATCACTTGAAGCAGTTTTCATGATGTACAGGTTATGATCATTGTTCATATTGAGCTTTCATTTCATGTGACAAGTTCTTTTCCAATGTAACAAAGAAAATACAACCTAGCACTCATGAATTTTATAATTCAAATGAAACAGCACAGATAACAAATGCAGAAAATAGTGAAGGAAATGGGTTAAGTATATTTGAAATTAACCTACATAAAACCTCCCAATTGCCATGTTTCAGTGACTGAACCGCACATTGGCTGTTTCTGGTGGGAAAATGCACTCTATCTAGTGTGATTTATTGAGTTGCATCACGCTTGCCACCTGAAAAGTAAAAATAAATTAAAGCTCTCTTAGTATTTATTTTAATCAGTTTCTAGGTAAATACAATTAAATGAGAATATTGAAGAGGACAGTAGTCTTATTTACAATATACTCTGAATATAAATATTGTCCTCGGTAGAATGTGGACATCTGTTATACAAACTGACATGACTTTGTAGGGACATTTAAGCAGCTCTGTTCTTAATTGTCAAGGAAGCCCTTAGGGTTCTTGTTTGTGGTATTTGCAAATTTTTTACAGAATATTCATTATTAAAAATTATCATTAAAGAATCAACCTCATTCATTGTTTTTAGCTTTGTGACTTCTGCTGTGTCTTACCTGGGTCAGAGATCATTGGAATTTGAGTTAGTAAAATGTAACAAAGTCTGTTGATTCATTATAATAATGCAAATAATGAAAATGGCCTATATGTCATATATGTCTTTCATATATGTCACAAATAATTTTATGTCATGTAGAATATTGATGTTAATACCATATTTTATTGAAAAAGCAAGTTACAGATTGTGGTAGTAGCTGTAGGATACTAATACAGGTTCTGGCACCTACTTGGAAGTTGAGGAGTTTTTCTTGTATTCACACAGTAGATTAACACTCAGCAATAAAAGGGAATGTGCTATTGATACATTCAACAACATAGATGTCCACTGATATGTACTCTCTTGCAGATAGACATTTGTGATATTTCTGCTTTTTGGCTATTATGAACACAGCTGCTTAGAACATTCTTATTCCCGCAGTCTTTTATTAACATATGCATTTATTTATCCTCAGTATACACCTAGGATGGAACATATGTAATAGTTTAACTGCATTAGGAAATGCCACACAATTTTCCAAAGTGGTGGTACCATTTTACACTCTCATCAAGGATAAGCACACCAGAACTTTGTGCTTTTACTTTTTACTTTTTGGCATTATACTACGTGTGTAGTAGCATCTCATTGTGGTTTTAATTCGCTAGTTTAATTTGCTGATTACTAGTGCTTTGGAGTGTCTTTTCATGTCTTTATGGACCATTTAGATGTCTTCTTTGGTGAAGTGCCTATTCATGTATTTTGTTCACTTTAAAAATTTGTTTTTTATATTTTTATTACTGATTATCCTCTTAGTATCAATTTATGGGAGTTATTTATGTATTCTGGACATAAATTCCTTATCAAAGATATATATCTTTTCTCCCAGACTGTGGCTTGCTTTTTTTATGTTTTTACTAGTGTTTCTCAGTTTAAAAAATAGTTTGTAACTTAAAAAATGGTTGTAGTGTTTAACCTACTAGGTAATCCATAAGTAGATGTATTTTTCCATTACCTAGTAAAACACATGATAAATAAGATCAACAGTGATTATTTCTGGTAGGCGTTACTTCTGTAGGTTTTATTCCCCCTAAAGGCTAATTATGAAACTGTATCCTACATTTTCTACATCAGTCATTTATTTTCTAGATGATCTTGATTCTAGCAAATGAACATCATGAAAGTCTTTTGCCTCTTTGTTTTTGGTTGATTGGTCATTTGAATCATTGATGAATCACTCAGGCTCAATGATGACAGGATTATCTCAGCTGTCTCTGGGGCATTTCAGAAATCATGCTTCCGGAATTTTTTCTCACTCTTCAAAAAAAATTCTTGAAAATTGATGCTCAGAAATTAAGCAGCTTTCTCCTATAACATCTGAAAGTTTGAGAGACATAATCTGGCAAAAGTGGCAGCGGCACTAGACGAAGTCACATTGGGTCCGTAGGGAAACTCTTGCTTCCAGGAGCAGCAAGGAGTTAAATGACACTGTAGTGACTCCTGAAACATAGCAATAATGTACATGGATGTTGGCTTTGTAGGTAACATAAATATTTTTTTTTCTTTTATTATTATACTTTAAGTTTTAGGGTACATGTGCACATTGTGCAGGTTAGTTACATATGTATACATGTGCCACGCTGGTGCGCTGCACCCACTAACTCGTCATCTAGCATTAGGTATATCTCCCAATGCTATCCCTCCCCCCTCTCCCCACCCCACAACAGTCCCCAGAGTGTGATGTTCCCCTTCCTGTGTCCATGTGATCTCATTGTTCAATTCCCACCTATGAGTGAGAATATGTGGTGTTTGGTTTTTAGTTCTTGCAATAGTTTACTGAGAATGATGATTTCCAATTTCATCCATGTCCCTACAAAGGACATGAACTCATCATTTTTTATGACTGCATAGTATTCCATGGTGTATATGTGCCACATTTTCTTAATCCAGTCTATCATTGTTGGACATTTGGCTTGGTTCCAAGTCTTTGCTATTGTGAATAGTGCCGCAATAAACATGTGTGTGCATGTGTCTTTATAGCAGCATGATTTATAGTCCTTTGGGTATATACCCAGTAATGGGATGGCTGGGTCAAATGGTATTTCTAGTTCTAGATCCCTGAGGAATCGCCACACTGACTTCCACAATGGTTGAACTAGTTTACAGTCCCACCAACAGTGTAAAAGTGTTCCTATTCCTCCACATCCTCTCCAGCACCTGTTGTTTCCTGACTTTTTAATGATTGCCATTCTAACTGGTGTGAGATGGTATCTCATTGTGGTTTTGATTTGCATTTCTCTGATGGCCAGTGATGATGAGCATTTTTTCATGTGTTTTTTGGCTGCATAAATGTCTTCTTTTGAGAAGTGTCTGTTCATGTCCTTTGCCCACTTTTTGATGGGGTTGTTTGTTTTTTCTTGTAAATTTGTTTGAGTTCATTGTAGATTCTGGATATTAGCCCTTTGTCAGATGAGTAGGTTGCGAAAATTTTCTCCCGTTGTGTAGGTTGCCTGTTCACTCTGATGGTAGTTTCTTTTGCTGTACAGAAGCTCTTTAGTTTAATTAGATCCCATTTGTCAATTTTGTCTTTTGTTGCCATTGCTTTTGGTGTTTTAGACATGAAGTCCTTGCCCATGCCTATGTCCTGAATGGTATTGCCTAGGTTTTCTTGTAGGGTTTTTATGGTTTTAGGTCTAACGTTTAAGTCTTTAATCCATCTTGAATTGATTTTTGTATAAGGTGTAAGGAAGGGATCCAGTTTCAGCTTTCTACATATGGCTAGCCAGTTTTCCCAGCACCATTTATTAAATAGGGAATCCTTTCCCCATTGCTTGTTTTTCTCAGGTTTGTCAAAGATCAGATAGTTGTAGATGTGCGGCGTTATTTCTGAGGGTTCTGTTCTGTTCCATTGATCTATATCTCTGTTTTGGTACCAGTACCATGCTGTTTTGGTTACTGTAGCCTTGTACTATAGTTTGAAGTCAGGTAGTGTGATGCCTCCAGCTTTGTTCTTTTGGCTTAGGATGGACTTGGCGATGCGGGCTGTTTTTTGGTTCCATATGAACTTTAAAGTAGTTTTTTCCAATTCTGTGAAGAAAGGCATTGGTAGCTTGATGGGGATGGCATTGAATCTGTAAATTACCTTGGGCAGTATGGCCATTTTCACGATATTGATTCTTCCTACCCATGAGCATGGAATGTTCTTCCATTTGTTTGTATCCTCTTTTATTTCCTTGAGCAGTGGTTTGTAGTTCTCCTTGAAGAGGTCCTTCACATCCCTTGTAAGTTGGATTCCTAGGTATTTTATTCTCTTTGAAGCAATTGTGAATGGGATTTCACTCATGATTTGACTCTCTGTTTGTCTGTTGTTGGTGTATAAGAATGCTTGTGATTTTTGTACATTGATTTTGTATCCTGAGACTTTGCTGAAGTTGCTTATCAGCTTAAGGAGATTTTGGGCTGAGACAATGGGGTTTTCTAGATATACAATCATGTCGTCTGCAAACAGGGACAATTTGACTTCCTCTTTTCCTAATTGAATACCCTTTATTTCCTTCTCCTGCCTAATTGCCCTGGCCAGAACTTCCAACACTATGTTGAATAGGAGTGGTGAGAGAGGGCATCCCTGTCTTGTGCCAGTTTTCAAAGGGAATGCTTCCAGTTTTTGCCCATTCAGTATGATATTGGCTGTGGGTTTGTCATAGATAGCTCTTATTATTTTGAAATACGTCCCATCAATACCTAATTTACTGAGAGTTTTTAGCATGAAGGGTTGTTTTTGTCAAAGGCCTTTTCTGCATCTATTGAGATAATCATGTGGTTTTTGTCTTTGGCTCTGTTTATATGCTGGATTACATTTATTGATTTGCATATATTGAACCAGCCTTGCATCCCAGGGATGAAGCCCACTTGATCATGGTGGATAAGCTTTTTGATGTGCTGCTGGATTCGTTTTGCCAGTATTTTATTGAGGATTTTTGCATCAATGTACATCAAGGATATTGGTCTAAAATTCTCTTTTTTGGTTGTGTCTCTGCCAGGCTTTGGTATCAGAATGATGCTGGCCTCATAAAATGAGTTAGGGAGGATTCCCTCTTTTTCTATTGATTGGAATAGTTTCAGAAGGAATGGTACCAGTTCCTCCTTGTACCTCTGGTAGAATTCGGCTGTGAATCCATCTGATCCTGGACTCTTTTTGGTTGGTAAGCTATTGATTATTGCCACAATTTCAGATCCTGTTATTGGTCTATTCAGAGATTCAACTTCTTCCTGGTTTAGTCTTGGGAGAGTGTATGTGTCGAGGAATTTATCCATTTCTTCTAGATTTTCTAGTTTATTTGCATAGAGGTGTTTATAGTATTCTCTGATGGTAGTTTGTATTTCTGTGGGATCGGTGGTGATATCCCCCTTATCATTTTTTATTGCGTCTATTTGATTCTTCTTTTTTTCTTTATTAGTCTTGCTAGTGGTCTATCAATTTTGTTGATCCTTTCAAAATACCAGCTCCTAGATTCATTAATGTTTTGAAGGGTTTTTCGTGTCTCTATTTCCTTCAGTTCTGCTCTGATTTTAGTTATTTCTTGCCTTCTGCTAGTTTTTGAATGTGTTTGCTCTTGCTTTTCTAGTTCTTTTAATTGTGATGTTCGGGTGTCAATTTTGGATCTTTCCTGCTTTCTCTTGTGGGCATTTAGTGCTATAAATTTCCTCTACACACTGCTTTGAATGCGTCCCAGAGATTCTGGTATGTTGTGTCTTTGTTCTCGTTGGTTTCAAAGAACATCTTTATTTCTGCCTTCATTTTGTTACGTACCCAGTAGTCATTCAGGAGCAGGTTGTTCAGTTTCCATGTAGTTGAGCGGTTTTGAGTGAGATTCTTAATCCTGAGTTCTAGTTTGATTGCACTGTGGTCTGAGAGATAGTTTGTTATAATTTCTGTTCTTTTACATTTGCTGAGGAGAGCTTTACTTCCAAGTATGTGGTCAATTTTGGAATCGGTGTGGTGTGGTGCTGAAAAAAATGTATATTCTGTTGATTTGGGGTGGAGAGTTCTGTAGATGTCTATTAGGTCCGCTTGGTGCAGAGCTGAGTTCAATTCCTGGGTATCCTTGTTGACTTTCTGTCTTGTTGATCTGTATAATGTTGACAGTGGGGTGTTAAAGTCTCCCATTATTAATGTGTGGGAGTCTAAGTCTCTTTGTAGGTCACTCAGGACTTGCTTTATGAATCTGGGTGCTCCTGTATTGGGTGCATATATATTTAGGATAGTTAGCTCTTCTTGTTGAATTGATCCCTTTACCATTATGTAATGGCCTTCTTTTTTATCTCTTTTGATCTTTATTGGTTTAAAGTCTGTTTTGTCAGAGACTAGGATTGCAACCCCTGCCTTTTTTTGTTTTCCATTTGCTTGGTAGATCTTCCTCCATCCTTTTATTTTGAGCCTATGTGTGTCTCTGCACGTGAGATGGGTTTCCTGAATACAGCACACTGATGGGTCTTGACTCTTTATCCAATTTGCCAGTCTGTGTCTTTTAATTGGAGAATTTAGTCCATTTACATTGAAAGTTAATATTGTTATGTGTGAATTTGATCCTGTCATTATGATGTTAGCTGGTTATTTTGCTTGTTAGTTGATGCAGTTTCTTCCTAGTCTCGATGGTCTTTACATTTTGGCATGATTTTGCAGCGGCTGGTACTGGTTGTTCCTTTCCATGTTTAGCACTTCCTTCAGGAGCTCTTTTAGGGCAGGCCTGGTGGTGACAAAATCTCTCAGCATTTGCTTGTCTGTAAAGTATTTGATTTCTCCTTCACTTATGAAGCTTAGTTTGGCTGGATATGAAATTCTGGGTTGAAAATTCTTTTCTTTAAGAATGTTGAATATTGGCCCCCCACTCTCTTCTGGCTTGTAGGGTTTCTGCTGAGAGATCTGCTGTTAGTCTGATGGGCTTCCCTTTGAGGGTAACCCGACCTTTCTCTCTGGCTGCCCTTAACATTTTTTCCTTCATTTCAACTTTGGTGAATCTGACAATTATGTGTCTTGGAGTTGCTCTTCTCAAGGAGTATCTTTGTGGTGTTCTCTGTGTTTCCTGAATCTGAACGTTGGCCTGCCTTGCAAGATTGGGGAAGTTCTCCTGGATAATATCCTGCAGAGTGTTTTCCAACTTGGTTCCATTCTCCCCGTCACTTTCAGGTACACCAATCAGACGTAGATTTGGTCTTATCACATAGTCCCATATTTCTTGGAGGCTTTGCTCATTTCTTTTTATTCTTTTTTCTCTCAACTTCCCTTCTCGCTTCATTTCATTCATTGCCTCTTCCATCGCTGATACCCTTTCTTCCAGTTGATTGCATCGGCTCCTGAGGCTTCTGCATTCTTCACGTAGTTCTCGAGCCTTGGTTTTCAGCTCCATCAGCTCCTTTAAGCACTTCTCTGTATTGGTTATTCTAGTTATACATTCTTCTAAATTTTTTTCAAAGTTTTCAACTTCTTTGCCTTTGGTTTGGATGTCCTCCCGTAGCTCAGAGTAATTTGATCGTCTGAAGCCTTCTTCTCTCAGCTCGTCAAAGTCGTTCTCCATCCAGCTTTGTTCCATTGCTGGTGAGGAACTGCATTCCTTTGGAGGAGGAGAGGCGCTCTGCTTTTTAGAGTTTCCAGTTTTTCTGTTCTATTTTTTCCCCATCTTTGTGGTTTTATCTACTTTTGGTCTTTGATGATGGTGATGTACAGATGGGTTTTTGTTGTGGATGTCCTTTCTGTTTGTTAGTTTTCCTTCTAACAGACAGGACCCTCAGCTGCAGGTCTGTTGGAATACCCTGCCGTGTGAGGTGTCAGTGTGCCCCTGCTGGGGGGTGCCTCCCAGCTAGGCTGCTGGGGGGTCAGGGGTCAGGGACCCACTTGAGGAGGCAGTCTGCCCGTTCTCAGATCTCCAGCTGCGTGCTGGGAGAACCACTGCTCTCTTCAAAGCTGTCAGACAGGGACATTTAAGTCTGCAGAGGTTACTGCTGTCTTTTTGTTTGTCTGTGCCCTGCCCCCAGAGGTGGAGCCTACAGAGGCAGGCAGGCCTCCTTGAGCTGTGGTGGGCTCCACCCAGTTCCAGCTTCCCAGCTGCTTTGTTTACCTAATCAAGCCTGGGCAATGGCGGGCGCCCCTCCCCCAGCCTCGCTGCCGCCTTGCAGTTTGATCTCAGACTGCTGTGCTAGCAATCAGGGAGATTCCGTGGGCGTAGGACCCTCCAAGCCAGGTGTGGGATATAGTCTAGTGGTGCGCCGTTTTTTAAGCCTGTCGGAAAAGCGCAGTATTCTGGTGGGAGTGACCCGATTTTCCAGGTGCCGTCCGTCACCCCTTTCTTTGACTAGGAAAGGGAACTCCGTGACCCCTTGCGCTTCCTGAGTGAGGCAATGCCTCGCCCTGCTTCGGCTCTCGCACGGTGCGCGCTCCCACTGACCTGCGCCCACTGTCTGGCACTCCCTAGTGAGATGAACCCGGTACCTCAGATGGAAATGCTGAAATCACCCGTCTTCTGCGTCGCTCAGGCTGGGAGCTGTAGACCGGAGCTGTTCCTATTCGGCCATCTTGTCTCCTCCCCCCAGGTAACATAAATATTAATAACATGATTTCATTTCAAGTAAATAACCTTGTATTTTGTTCACTTTAAAAATTTGTATCTGTGGGATGTGTCTGTGGTTAGCCAGAGAGCAGCTAGAGCTGAGAATGTGACCCTATCAAGAAGAAATATAGTTATTTCTGAACTATATCTGCTATTACTGTGTCCATCCAGTTTTACTCCATGATGATGGTGTCTTGGAGTAAGAGGACAGTGACTGCTACTGGCATAGACTCAGAGTTCCAAATGGAAGAAAAGGAAGAGGACAAGACTGTGGGAGATTATGCAAGTAGCTGATAGTGATAGCAAACACAAGGATGTTGAATGATTAAAGAGTTCAAACTTGTTACAGCCATTTACTTGACATATTTTGGTAATTTGAAAATCCATTCTCCATTCTATTTTTAATCACTGAATTACTGGAAATGTGTTGGGCCTAATTTAAGTAGCCTGATAAATTTTGCTTTAACATAAACATTTGAGTGCTAGGTGATATTATTGAAGGTTCAGGAGACAGCAGAGTTCGTGAGACAGACGTGATTTTTTGCCCTTGGAACTTAGTCTAATGGGGAAGACACTTAAAAAGTAACGTGAACTGGAATTAATGTTGCCAGGGGAATTTCAGAGTGATGTGGAAGCACATAGCTTGGGTACCTGTCTTAGAGTGGGGTTACAGGGAAGACCTGCCTAGGGAGTGTCACTAAGTGGAACACAATGATAAATAGCAATTAGCCTTATAAAGGGGGCATGGAGAAGTGAAGTCTAGAGAGCAGGGCAAAGAAAGAACTGGTAAAATGTGAAAAGGCGATATTTAGAGAGAAAGTCTCATTTTGCTGGACTTTCAGCGTATTCTGGTTAAAATGTAAACAACATGGTACATTTTCACATTCATGGGAAATCTATTACATAAACCTTGTATATGAATATGGCAAAGAAGTTTCACCAAAAGTAAAAAAAAAAACGCCTTAAATATACATACTTTAAAGTTTTTAATTGATGCCTTCTTACAAATACTTCTTACTAACAATCAGGGTTGGCCACAGTTGGGCCTCACTCCGTCTATTTCTTCTCTCACCTGATCTCCCATGCAGGCACTATGGTTTACTTATTACTGCTTTTCTCTCCCTAATTGTCAAGTTTCCATAAGATTTTCCCGAATAAAGAAACATTAAAACAAATCCCTTAGATTATCCTGGGATTTTGTTTTCAAAAAAAGTTAAAGAAGATGTTTGCATGAATTCCATTCTTTTTCAGTGCCCTAGAGCTGATTCCTCACTTCCATAAGGGGAAATATCAAGTTAAAGAAATCATATAGAGATTACTGCCATAGCTGATTTATTATATTTTTGCCTCTTTTACTTGCAGTATATTTTAAGTAGCATGTTATAATTAATTCCTGTTTTTTTCTAGTCAATAAAACCAACTTTATCTTAAATCCATCTACAGTATTTGTCTCTGAGATGAGCCTCTGTACCTCTCTCTGCATTTATAGCAAATTCATGCTTTATGCAACAACTGGTTCCCCACGGTGCACTGGGTTCACCTTCATTTCTCTGAAGTGACAAACAACAAACAACTTCTGTTTCCCAGAGCAGCTCATACCTATTTTTGAAAGTAGCAGTCTTGAAACAGAAGAGCTTATAAGGCTCAACAGAGAATGAGAAGACTCTGAAGGAGGAAGGGATAAAGGACAATGTTCAAGTGGTTATTTTTTCGAAGTACAATAGTCTACAGATTCTTTGGTTGCTCTAAAAGAGTCTGTGAGTCTTTCCTTTATCCATCTACCAAAAACAAGTGATGTGTTAAAAAGAGGTTAGATACAAGAACCCAGGAATATATGACTGTGTACGGACATACAGAAAACTCAAAATATAGAAGAGAGTAATCTGTTTTACTTTTCTCTTGTAGCTTCTCTATGTTATTATGAATTTATCTACTTCCTGGACATTTAAGGGACATTGCTATAGTTTGAGATAAAAAGAAGATATGCTGACTTTTGGACCTAATTTTTATCGATTTGTAACAGAATAATTGGAGGCATTAGAAAGAACCAAATTACTAGGATGCACAAGGCTTTGTGAATTATCACAGCTAATATAAACTGACTTTTTGGTAATTCTCAGCCTGGAACAAGCCTTCTCCATTCCTGCTGCTGTGTAATGTGGGCAGGTGAGGGTGTCGGATTTTCACGGCACTTTAGGTCTGGTACCTGTAATGCAATTCCTTGAGGCCACCATAATGTAAACATATATAAAGGTGACGAAGAAGAGAGAGGAGCAGAGCCCTCTAGAGAAGAAGGGGGGACTGTATATTGATGGGAGAGGAGGTTAAGCAGGGCATGTGGGCCTGGCATTCCCAGTGGAGGGAGGCATCTTTGGCCAGGAAAGGGGAAAAGAAGCCTTCAGGCACAATGAGAATGTCTGAAAATAAAGATTTTTTTTTTGTAATATAGGATGGAAGAAGGGACTGTCAGACATTGCTTTTGTCCTCCTTAAAACCATTTTTTTTTAAAATTCTGGCTATCAAAGCAATACATACCATCAGAGAAAACACAGAGTATAGAGTAATATAAAAATGTTCTTAGGATTTGGGAGAGGTGGCTCTCACCTGTAATCCCAGCACTTTGGGAGGCTGAGGTGGGCAAATTGGTGGAGCCCAGGAGTTGGAGACCAGCCTGGGTCACATGGTGAAACTGGATCTTTACAAAAAATAAGCCTGGCAGGCATGGTGGCACGTGCCTGTGGTCCCAACTACTCAGGAGGCTGAGGTGGGAGGATTGCTTAAGCCTGGGAGGTTGAGGTTGCAGTGAGCTGAGATCACGCCACTGCACTCCAGCCTGGGTGACAGAGGGAGACCCCGTCTCAAAAAAAAAAAAAAATTCTTAGGAATATTCAAGAATATGTAGAAGAAAGCACCTTTGTTCCAAAGAAGTCACTTATAAAATTGATAGCATAGCATATTCCACTATTCCTTTGTACTATGCTTTCTGGAATTGGAACCAAATAAATGTACCTGACAGTAGAATCTCTTTTTTCTCATACCCTGCCTAGTAACAGTCCCATTGAGAAAACTGAGGCAGCCTTCTACATTCAGTTCAACAGATGGTGATTCTAGATAAAAGAGCTTACTGAGGGGCTTCAGAAGCTCTGACTTGGTCTTTATTCATGTTGCTTCATTGTAATCTTACTGGAGGCATTTATTAATGTCTTTGAAACTTAAACAAATATACCTATTTTCTTCCAGATTAAATTTTTCTATAGAGTTTAAATGTATTATCTTTCTATCCTGGATCAAATCAAGGTGTTAAGAAGCTATAAAGTCTTTTGAGAAAGTAGTTTTCCCTTTTAAAAAAATGTTACACATTCCTCTACTAGACTAAGTGGAGCCACAGCTAAGGTTTGGTCTTGTCTTGCTGGGCTAAAAAAATATGAGTTCACTTCATCTGTTAATGTATCTCCTATGTCCTGAGATTTTGACTTCTGAGGAGGATATGGAAAAATTGCAATCTGTTAAGGAATCCAAAATATACATAATTTAAAAATTTTACATGTCCATGTATGTAAAATTTAAATTTTACATATATATATAATTTTTAAATTTTACTGGTTACATCAATATATTAACAGTCAAGAATAGGGGATATTATTTTGTTAGAAAATGAAGACAAAAATATACCTCTTTTTTTTTAAGAAAAAGTCTCTATCTGGCTTGAATGTAAACCTTTAAGTGGCTTACATTTGGACGTCTACTGATAGATTTCACTTCACGAAGACTTTTCAGTAAATACTCGTTCTTTGTTTCTTAAGAACTTTTATAACTTGGTTTTCCTGTAATTCCTGTAAAACCAGAAATAAAGCTCTGAAAGTTGGAGAGTAAATTGCATCAATAGCCCATAGCACTGGTGATGTACTCCAGGGAACACTTTTTTTTTTTTTTTTTTTTTTTTTTTTACTGGAAGGCATGAATTTTCTAAAAACAGTCACTCTGTCTGCATATGTATCTATGCATGTAACATATGGCACTTGTGAATATATAGGGTTACCTTATTACCATGGGTTACCAGTGGCAACATGTGCACTGAGCTAAATCCTTCTTGGATTTTAATATTCTGTCTATGAGAGATCAGAAGATAGTGAAAATGGACTAGTCTGGCACAAACTGTATGGTATTTTAAATGGACATTTTATATGCATATATAATACAACTGGTGGAAACAGAGCAAAAGATCAAGAAAGCATCATGTATATCTCAACTGAAAAAAGAAAAAGAAATTAGGGAGTTAGCTTCTCCCTGTGCCCTACTTTCTGTGGCCATGCCTTCGGCTCTCTCTGTGACAATCCATTGAACAAGGTTCTTCTAGGCTTCTGCAGCTAGGGAGAAAGCATGTGATAAAGAACAGAGGCCATAAGTGGGCAAGAGTGTGTCTTTTCTCTGTAATGGGAATTTAAATTTAGGGAAATTACTCTGCCAGTTTGATTATTCCACTTAATAAAAAGAATTTAGCCATTTTTCATTCACAAGACTATTCAAGTACAATCCACATTTTACCTTCTTGGCCTGGGGAACAGAACTCTTCTGAATAGAGTACAGAGGGCTAAATACAATATCCCAGAAAAGTAGGAAGTACTCCTAGCAATTTGCATGCAGATAGCTCTCCATTATGCATGAGCTGCTTCTTTGGTTTCGAATGATCAGTGTCTCCGCTGTTCTTTCTTCTCCCTTCTGTTTCCACCATATTGGCATTTCACTGCTCATTAATAATTGTGGGAAGGAAAAAGAGAATGCATTAATTGAAGACTGCATCAATCAATACACAACTTTCCACTGGTGTAAAAGTCTGGTGGCATTTTTAAAAAGGTAGATATTTTTGATTAACATACCAGTGGGAGGTGGGGAGCAGGTTGTGAGTATTCTTCTCCATCATCAGAGAATGAGATAGTCATCCAGCTTTCCTGAGACATAACAAATACCCTAAATAAAAAGTTACAGTAAATAGCAATCATACACCTTTGAAATTTCTATCTTGAAGAGACATGAGGCTGGGTGCAGTGGTTCATGACTATAATCTCAGTGCTTTGGGAGGCCGAGGAAAGAGGATTGCTTGAGGCTGGGAGATTGAGACTAGCCTGGGCAACTTGGTGAGACCCTGTCGCTACAAAAACTAAAGCTAAAAGTTAGCCAGGCATGATGATGTGCACCTGTAGTCCCAGCTACTTGGGAGGCTGAGGTGGGAGGATTGCTTGAGCCTAGGAGTTTGAGGCTGCAGTGAGCTATGATTGTGCCACTGCCCTCCAGCCTGGGCAACAGAGTGAGACCCTGTCTCAAAAACCAAACAAACAAAAAAGAAAAGAGACATGAGAAATAATTTTAGTAGAGTAAAAACAGGATTGACAATTTTCAGATATGTGGCTTAAGTCTAACTCGAGTATACACACAGTATGTTCTCTGTGCATATAGAGAGGTGGATAATTGTTGTGTAATGACAGGATAGAATTAGACAAAGCACCACTTCATCAAAATATTTGATATAAACCGATCAGGTTCTACCATAACTCAAGATGCTTTCTCAGACAAACAGAGCTGCCTGTCATGTGCATTACAGAACTGCCAGTAGGCTCAAACCCTCCTGTCCATTTAAATGGATTATTTGGGGTAGACCGGCTGACCTGACTTGAGACCATTTCCACACATTCTTTGATCACCATGTGCTTCTGCTCTCACATAAGAGCAAGCATCTGTACAAAGTCTACTATGTATAGGTCATAGCATGTGCTAGAAACACAAAGATGTATAAAATTCCTGAAAGAGGCTATTATCCAGTTAGAGGAAAATAAATACAATACTAAGAAAGTGGAATAACAAACAAGATAACAGACCAAGTGCCAAGAAAAAGGTACAGATATTATGTGCTAGTGAATTCAAAAGAAAGGGAGAAATTGCTAAGTATGTGTTGGAATGTTCAATGAAGGTCCTACAGGAAGAAAGAGAATTCGAGTTAGGCTGAAAGAAGAGTTATGGAAAGAGGAGGAAGCATTTCAAGTGAGGAAAATGGCAGACTCAATATCCCAGATGCGGGAAGGGGCATGACATTTTTGGGAAAGAAGGACTCTCCAGTGCTGAGTAGAGCAGAGAGCTTGCATAGGTGATAGGTAGGGAGTGAAAAGAGGGCAGAAGTTCATGACCAGGCTAAGTTGTTGGGCTCAGTCCAATGCACAGTATCTTTAAAGTGCTTGCAATGGATTTGTGGGTCTTTTATTATCTTTAAAATATCCTTTAGGTCAAAGAATGTGGCAGTGGTTAAGGAGAAATTAGTCAGTTGACTGATTGTGACTGTTCCCTGTACTAAATCTTAAAACAGGCCCACAGAGCACTGTTTTGCAGACTATCAGGCCCTAAAAGGGAGAGCCAAGATTCACACCCTCGTTCGTTATGTTCAGAGTGCAAACCTAACCACTACTTGTACCATCGAGGTATGATAGTTATAGAAGTTTGAGTGGAAAGAACCATGGCAGGGATTATGTTATATGAAAAATGATATTTCATCTTTTCATTATTATTAATAACCATGGTGATCGTCCTGCTACCTCCTGTCTGAGCTTTCCAGTCTTCAGCGGGCTTTCAAGTACATCATACCTCTTGATCCTCACAACAGCTCTGTTAAGTAGGCAAGAATTTTAAATTATAAAGTTATTTCTGGGTTCCCAATTATCTGTGCAATTAATCCTGGTTACATATGCAGTGCTTTCATTTGTATTGTCGTAAAAATTATAATGAACAGTTTGCCCTTCTTTTTTTTTCCAAAATAGTTTAAAATTCAGGACAGGTTGTTGAAATTCTCTCCAAAAGCGTGGGCTTATTTTAGCATTGCATTTTTCTCAGATTAAGAACCTCGGTTCCACATCAAAATAAAAGCTTGGATGCCACAAAGAATCATTTAGGACAAGGCACTGCATCTTTAGCATTCCTTAATTATGACCAGATAAAGCGATGCACTTGGAAATCTTTGGGGAATAGGCAGGTGATCTGCTACATGTGTTTATTTATCTAGAATGATTTAACAATTTACAACCATATCAACTCTGGTCTGCCTGTCGTGGGGCATTTTCCAGGACTCTTTGATTTGGTCCACATCAGATTTTCCTTTCACATCAACTTATCCTGCAAGCAGTATACTTTTGTTTTCCTTGTTGCTGAGCCAAAACTTGTCCATACCTCTTGAGTAAATTAAAGATAATGCTGTAAAATGCATGCTTAAAATTCCAGTCTGCCACAGACTAACTTCATTGGTATGAAACTCAGACCCCCTCTTATTAAACACTGTTAAATATTCTCTTCATTTTCAAGACAAATATGAACAGAAACACAACTAAATATGTACTGTATTAAAATCATTGATTCACAATATTTAAATTTTCAGCTAGCCTCCAATTAGCAGGCTTTCCAATATTTGAACAGAAGACCATTTTAATGTAATTACAAACACATTTTAGGCATCTAAATTTTTTGCATAATTAGTTCCCTATTAAACTATTTATGTAGCCCTTTTTCCATCAGAAACAGAGAAAGCAGAACAATTTTATTCCTTACTGTTACAATAATTAACTATGCAAGTAGAACAGCATATTAATAGAGTATAATTTGTTTACATTTAAAAGAAAATTGTGTTAGATTAGCATAGCAAAAGACTATTTCCATATCCAGGCAGTAATATGCAGGCCTAATAGCAATTTACAGTGTAGTTAAAGAATATTATTAATAAAGTAATATAGCGTAATTCTGTTTGCCCCACCATATTTCACAATGTCCTTAATTACAGCTAATTCCATCGAGACTAATTTGGGTGTTATTAAGCAGTAGACACAGGAATCTTAAATATAACCTTTGCTAATAATGAATTTAAAAGTTACCATAGAACTTGTTCTTGTAAAATGTAGGTAGAAGATGAGTATTTGTATTTTCTCCCCAGGGTAAAATCTATAAACATACACAGAATGTAATTGAGATCTGAAAACAAACTTTTCTTGATCCAATGTATTGTTCTTCACTCAATGAGAGGTTTATCGGAAATAAATACAGTGCAGGTGAGATGGGAATTAAGTGACAATTTGGAGTGGCAATATAGAATTATCTTAGGTGAAAATTCTGCTTATTAAAAGCTTGATTTTTTTTTTTTTTTTGAGACAGAGTTTTGCTCTTGTTGCCCAGGCTAGAGTGCAAAGGCATGATCTCAGCTCACTGCAACCTCTGCTTCCCGGTTTCAAGCGATTTTCGTGCTTCAACCTCCTGAGTAGCTGGGATTCCAGGCACCTGCCACCATGCTCACCTAACTTTTGTGTTTTTAGTAGAGACAGGGTTTCACCATGTTGGCCAGGCTGGTCTCGAACTCCTGACTTCAGGTGATCTGCCCACCTTGGCCTCCCAAAGTGTTGGGATTATAGGCGTGAGCCACTACACCTGGCCTGATATTTTTCAGTTGAAAAATGGCTAAACTCCATGATGTGTTAATATTTTTCCTTAAGGGAAATTAATAATAATACCTCTTACTAAAGATCACATTTTACTTGGCACTGTCTAGCCAATCGTGTTATTTTTTCAGTTGAAGAAAGTCAAGCTATTAATAAGTGAAAATTTTCACCAAAGAGAATTCTAGGTTACCAGTACAAATTGTCACCTACTTGCCATCATGTACCCCATCTCACCTTCAGTGTGTTAATAATTAACCTCTCCGTGAGTGGATGAAAATACACTGGACTCAGAAAAACTGGGTGCTATACAGGCATTATCATCAGTCCTCAAAGCAACCCTTGTAAGGTAGGAAATATTGTGTCTCTTTTTCTAGATGAGGAAACTGAGTCTCAGAAAGTTTAAGGGATTTCTAGAGGCCAAGAAACTAGGAAAAAGTCAGTGAAGTTTCTAACCAAGACCTACTGTGGCTTCAAAGTTCAGACTTTACAGACACAATGCTGTTTCTTTTTTAGGATGTATACCTTTGATCTATTCCAAAGTGGGCTGAAAAAAAATTCCTTAGGCTTTGTTGCCTTTTTGGGAGCACTACAGTGTGCTCTCTCTGTTTTGAATTAAGCTTCGATGTGGAACTAGATAATGATGACTATTTCTATTTTCTATGACACCTGTGTAAAAATCGGTACAGGCAAACAATATGATAATGTTCCAATTTCTCCTCTAATATGCCTGCCTATATATATATTTTTTGAAAGAAAAACTGGGATGTTAAATGTGAGTGAAATAGCTCTGGCTAGAATTCTGAGTAGTATGAATTCCAGTCTGCCGTTTGTCTTCTGGCTAATTCAAGATTCAGAATTGGTCATTAATAATATTTGAAAAGTAAAGGCCTGACACTGATAATATTTGAAAATTATTGGGTGTTTAATAGACACAGAGCAACAAATACTTAATTTTCAGGTTGCTAGTGAACATGCTTGAGGTTTAGCTCTTTATTTTCAGACTTGGCTTGTGTTCCCTATCACCTGATCCTTTTTTACATTTTGTAAATTAGAATGGTGCTACCCTTTTGTGCATCTCTAAGGGTGATATGAAAACTGGTTTACCTTTCTTTAGTGGACACTACTAATTAAGTGGTAAGGGACCTATAGGTAGGCTAGATGGTGAGGCAAAGCTGCTCTGGGATGAGGCCACTAGCTCTGGGGTCAGAGGCCCAAGACCTTGGCTCTGCCACTTACTAGCTATGTGAACTTGAGCAAGTCACAATCTCCTAGAGCAGTGCTATCCAATGGAGCTTTCTGCTGTAATGGAAATGCTCTATATCTGTGCTATTCAATATGTTAACCATGGCACCTATGTGGCTACTGAGTACTTGAAATATAGCTAGTATAATAGAGAAGCAGAATTCAAACTTTTATTTAATCTTAGTAATTTAAATTTAAATAGCCTCATATGGCTAATGGCTAACTTATTGGAGAGTGTAGTCTTGGAGCACCAATCACCATGCTCATAAATTAGTGATAAAAATGATTTCTTGCAATACTTCAGAGTATAGCTGTGGGCTTAAATAAGATCATATAAGTAATGTGATTTGTGAACTCTAAGGCATTCCTCAAGTATAAGTCATTAACATAATATTAATGATAATAATGATATCAGTAATGGTCACTGCTTGTACATAGGGCACAAAATAGAAAATCTGAAGTTACCAAGCTTGAACTTTAGAACTGGCTTCTACTTTTCTCCTTTCCATAGTTGTGTTGATCTGTGATCCACACTTCCTAGGGGCAGATGGCAGTCATTGCAAGCTTATTTACATGTACTGTGGGGGGACCAAAGTAGATAAAAAGACAGGGAGTCCAGAGAATTAGATTCTAATTGTAACTCTGCCATTGACTAAGTGTGTAATCTTGGCTTCCACTAAAGCTCCAGGAGCAAATTTTCTATAAGCATTGACCAAGAAAGTTCTCCTAATGGTTTGCAGGCTCATAAAATGTTATCAAAAAAGGGATCCCAGAGGTTATCTTAACCAGAGGTTATCTTAACCCAGAGGTTATCTTATCCTTTTCTTTTTCTAGGCAAGAACGGTGAAGGCTACAGATAGTAAATGACTTGCCCAAGATCACTCGACTAGGTGGTGGGAGACTCAGGCCTGTGATGCAGGTCTCTGTCTCCTTGAAACTGTACTCCAGGCTGTCACTGTCTGCTATCAAGGCGGGCGGGTGGGGGGGGCAGGGGTGCGGGGAGAGCCACTGTTTAATGCCATTGAAGATAGATAGTCAATTGGTTATCACAGATCCCCACTGGACTTAATCACACTTCTATAAGAGCTGTGTAAACCCTTCTGTAATTAGCTTAGCACCATGAGGTAGATTCGTTCATGGAGCACACATTCCATTAACTAGCTGTGCAACTCTGCTTCCACATTTGTAAAAGAATGGGGCCGGAAAAGTCAATCTCCAAGGTCCTATCCGGCTCTGAAATGCTGTAGTTCTAAAACCCATGCACTGAATTTTTAAAAATTGTAAATGAAGTTTTGCTTTATTTATGACAGTAGTTCCTACGAATATCTGAAGAGCAAAGATGCATACATGTGTGAGTCATATTATTCTGTCTGCAGATATTATTCGGTGAACATATGGATCTGCAGACTTCTTGTGAAAACTCCATAGTTTTGGAAGGGCCTGGAATCTCCAGGTTCATGTTGCTGGTCTAGAGAGGCATTGTTCTCTGGGGTCTAACATGGAATCAACCAAGGTTTTATTTTTTGGAGTATCTGACATGTTTCTGTCCTTTCCCCCCCGCCCCCCAGCTGATTGTTAGAGCTCCCAATCATGATTCTACATTTTTAATTTAAAAATTTTGAATATATACTACATGCACAATACAATATTTAGAGTTGTATAAAAGGGGACATGATAAAAAGATACTCTTCCCCCAGGTACCACTTTTAACAGTGGGACCGCCAACCATCACATCTACCCTGTACTGAGGGGTCTTCTGGGAAATGGAAGGTTCAGTGCTAAAACTGAGAAAAATTTCAAGTAAACCAGAGCAAATGTGTCACCTTGCCAGGTTTCCTGATGCACCCAATTCCTGACTGATGACCCAGCAACAGTCTTAGCAGTTGCCCCGACATGGAATTTCAATGGGCACGAAGCAGCCAGTGTTCAACATTTTTCTCAATGACATCTGAAATAAATAAAACTCACCACTCCAAAGGAAAACATCTCAAAGCCTTTGAATATTTCATATTCTATAGGTTTTGGAGGAAAGGGGATAGGTGTTAAAAACCAGACCAACTTATTCAAAAGAAATAGAATCAATACGGCAACTACAATTGTCCAACTAGTGATCTCTAAAGAGTTGGGAAGATTTTATGCATGAGAATACATTATTACTTGATGAAACCAGCCTCCTAAAGAAAAATCATGTGACTCATTTAAAACTCATTTGTTGAAAGGCTTGAAAATGGACTAAAATTGACTTCTGCTTTTAGTAACACTGAATAATGGAATTAAATAAGGATCTCGAGTTGACAGGGCAAAAAACCAATATAACCTAATCACTCCTTTCCATTTTAAATTTCCATAATTTTATGTTTGGGAATAATGGTAATGCTTTCCATTTCTGAGGGGTGAGCAGCTCATTCTAGAATGTGAATGATGTACATTCCTTAATATTTTTCTCCAAAATTAAGTTTCTATTTACCTTTATAAAATTTCATATATAATGTTTTTCAAAATATTCCTCTCTTTTATTGAAAAGAACACAAAATTTTGTTTTTCCCTTAAACCATCTTATTTGAATCACCATATATTCATGGAGTAGCTATGATGTTTAAGGGACTATTCAGAGTGCTGTAGGAAATACTAAAAATGATTAAGAGATTCCCTGCCCTCAAGGAGCTTAAATTCAGGTGCAGTAAGTACCCAAACAGCCATAGGAGCAGGCAACATAAAATAATTGTCATAAAGAAAGTTTAATAAGGAAGGGCTAGTACATCTAATTGATGAGTAGGAACAACTTTAAAAATGGAAATAACAATGGAAAAGGATCTTGATAATGAGTAGAATGTCGATGATTCAAAGCATTAAACTTTAGGTTCAGGGGACTGTGTGATAAGTATTGTTGGACTGCAGTGTCTGGTGTATAGAGAGGGTCAAAAATAAGTTGGAGCTATTTGAGCAGACCAAGGACAATAGGAAGAGTTAGCGATTAAATTCCTTAGTCAATGGGGAGTAAATGCAGATTTCAGAGCAGAGGCATGATATGCTCAGACCTGCATTTCACGGTTTTTCCCGGGCACTGGTTTATAGCATGAACAGGATGAAAAGAGCGTAGTAGAGATGGAGACCAGGAGAGAAGATGAGAAGTGTCAAGAACCGCTGGGCATGACGGATCATAACTGTAATCTCAGCACTTTGGGAGGCCGAGGCGGGTGGATCACTTGAGGTCAGGAATTCGAGACCAGCCTGGCCAACATGGTAAAACCCCTTCTCTACTAAAAATACAAACATTAGCCGAACATGGTGGTGGGTTCCTGTAATCCTAGTTACTCAGGAAGCTGAGGCAGGAGAATCACTTGAACCTGGGAGGCAGAGGTTGCAGTGAGCTGAGATCACACCATTTCACTCCAGCCTGGGTGACAAGAGTGAGACTCTGTCTCAAAAACAAAACAAAACAAACAAACAAACAAACAGAAGTGATGAGAGCCTCAACAAAGGTAATAGGAACAAAAAGGAGGAAACACACTTAAGAGGAATGTGGTTAAAAATCTTCATAACTTGGAGCGCCTGAGTAACAGGAAGTCAAAGGTGACTCAGGTTGAACCTTGACAAGGGGGATTTAAATTGGTGCTAAAAAAGCAGAAATGGGGGAGAAAGATGAAACGTTGGATCTTCTTGGTAATTATTTCCATTTGTATTACTTGATGTTGATATTTTCCTTCACATTTTTTCTAGCTAATGTTATGCCATCTCTAATTTTTAAAAGATTTCCTTTTCTTTTAAATAGATTTTCAGCCCCTTGAAGCTAATTTTTATTGTGGACTTTCTTACTGCTTAGTACTGCATGGACACTTGGTAGTACAAGCTACACAGAGTCTAGATTTACATTGTCCTAGATTGTACTAATTGTGAGCTCTTTCAGTCTTTCTTTTACTCCAAGCAAAATATCAAATAGCTTTTCAAAATGTCGATAGGGTAGTTAGGGGAAGAACAGCAATCACAGATTTTAATATAAAAATTGGCATTATACTCCCAACTTTGTTTAATCAGAAAGAACTGTTATCTAATGGTGCTTTGCACTGGCTTCACGTCACCCTCATTGCCTTAGATATCTCCTGAGCTGTTGATGCTACTAGATCCAACTCTCTAGAACAAGTCAAAATGCGGAGGCTTTCCAAGAGGCTTGGGAATGTAAATGCTTTTATTTTCTCCCTCTCTTAGATTGGTAAATATTCCATCAGCTTGATAGCAAAAGTGTTGTCCCAAATAAAGACAGAGGCTATTCCCTAACTGCAGCTATTATAGCTGAAATCTTCTCAGTCACAATGGTGGCTGACTTAGTCAAATTAGGTGTTTGTCATTCTTTGCCTGGCTAGCAGGAAATTAAGTTTCAGTGAAGCATTTGGGTCACACCCTTAGTATCTAAGAATGATCTCCTCATAAGTTTACAGTATTCAGTTGCTCTGGGGCATTACCTTTTGATTACTTTTTTCATAGAGTGAACATGTTTAAGTCAGCTTTAATATTTTACACAGCTGTTCCAGTTTCAAGATCAGCATCGTTTTGAGTCACGTGGCAACCCTGGCAAAGTCTCCCGTAATGTCAGAGGAGAATCTGGAAAAAATTGTCTGAATGTTTTCTCAAAAGTAATCAGTTTTATTTCTTCAAGTGGGCATTGTTTTCACTGTAAAATAGTATCCAGCCCTGACAGGCGTTAAGTGGTGGTGGCTGCCTAATCTTAAATGGAAGCAACAAAATGAATCTGCCTCCAAAAGAATGCCTTTCTACCAACGTGTTTTTCTCATTCACTTTTTTCTTTCCTTTCACTGATGACTTTCCAGCTGTTCATCGGGTCAGGCATAGTTCTTGCCTGTTTTTCTTTGTAGGCTGTTGACTCTCTGAGACTCACATTTTGGTGGCATACTCTTTTTTTTTTCCTTTGGTATGTTCTCTGACATTTCAACATGCTAAGAAAAGCATTCTACAATTTCCACCTGGGGCAAACTTGGAACATTTCATTCTAAAGTTCTGCTATTTCTAGTTAGTCAAATGATTTTAGAAGAATTTGAATAAGAGTAAAAATCACAGATTGATTGCAGAACCAGCACATCACTTGATTGCTTCTCTCCATTTATATTTTCCAGCTCACACCTGAATTCCATATGGTTTTCACGGCCATTTAATAAAATTTGAAAAATTGCTTTCTCTCTCCTCCCCTCTCCCCCAAAGAGAAAACTACCCAAAGAGAAAAATCAGTAGCCCTATGTACCATTCATCCATTCATTTCATCTTTTGTTGATTTTATAGGAAAGAAGCTATATGAGTGCTTAGCTTTAACTTTATAATTAAAATTCAGAATATGGTACAATTATCTCTGTGTTGTGTTAATGCACATGTCTGTGGTTTTTCAGGTAATCGATCATTTAAATTTGACAACCGTGATCAATTCCAAAAATATTTGTACTCTCCATTTCCCTACTTATTTCCCATATTCCTCTGTCCCTGAAAAACAGTCTGTTGTTATAAAGGAGAACCCATATGAGCATTTGGAACCCTCCTACCCTGAGGGTGATTGGGAAGTCTGTACTTTCATTTTTATTTTACTTTTTTGTACTTTGCACTTTACAGTGTGATTCAAAGTTGCCGAGTCAAATGTAATCTTTGTGCTTACAAGTAAATTCAACAGCTTGCTACTGTTTGTCACAATTTTCATTTGGGCCCTTAGAATCTTGCTTTCTTTTTGTAAAAGCCACATTTTGCATTCATAAACCATTGCATGTTGCTCATTTAACCCTGTTCCCACGCTCCACTCCAAATGCATTACTGAGTGACCCCGCATGTCAGCACTATAGCATTGTACAGTAAATAGAGTGTTTTGCTTCATAAATCAAGCATAGAACTTATAGCCAACTTCAGCATAAAAAAGTCACTGAAATAATATGGCCCAGCTGCAGGAGAGAGACATTGTATTCATAAAGCTAGCCTTAAATTACTGACATTTAAATCCAGATTTGACAAAGCTAAGACTATTTTGGAGGATTCTGAGTAATCCTCATGAAATTCCAAATTTTTCTTTTGTTGTTTTGAAGGATATTCGTTTTTGAAAGGAGAGGTTAGATTCCGTCCTCCCCACAATTATCTTTGATGGTATCAGCAAGGCACACTTGGGTGGCCAGTTCACATAATTATCCAAGTCACTTTGCAAATTGTTTATTTTTTCTTTGGGAACCTGCTCTCTGGGGCATAGCTCTCTGATACTATTGTGTCAATCAGCAGTGAAATGCAAAGGTGATTTGGAAAAATCAGGTTTGGGTTTCTCCCCCATCTAAATCAAATTGAACACTAACATCTCATTGAGGATGTCCAAAGATAGAAACTAATTTTATTTCAAGAAGCAATTTTTATTTCTCTGTTGGAAAAAAAAAGAAAGTCGAAAAGCCCGGCAATCAGCCAGACTTCCAGCTTTCACTGTTCTCTGTTCATTTTCCTTTATAGGTAGCAGTTTTAGCATTCAAAATTTAAAAATACACCAGAAGAACACGTATTTACTGTGCTCTCTCTGAAAGCATGCTTTGAAAATCACCTATAACGGTAACACCCTGTCATTGGAGAATTGTCAACATACTGGCTAGTTTAGGCCATAATCTCTCTATCCAATGCAATTTGCTGAAGTAAATTAAAATTATTCTCTTCCCATTAAATTTCACTCTCCCTACCTCACCAAAAAATCTGTTTTTTAAAGCACAAAACTAAATGCTTATAACAAATGTAATTAAAATAATGTAAGAATTAATGAGATACATGAAAAAGTAATGTCTGTATCTTATTTTTCATGCAAGCAGATTGATATGCATTACCCACTTTGTTAAAAACATTTATCTAGTAACTATAACATGAGTTCGACTTGATTTTTTTTTAATTTAATGTCCTTACTAACAGGTAATTTCTTTGTTCACCCAGGATAGATGAATGCAACTGAATTATGTTCTTGAATAAATTGCCTTCTGGATTTCAACTACTTCTTTTGGAAAGTAGCAATATCTTCAAATTAACCTCAGTTAACACGAATGGACTAAAAAAATTGTTCAAGAATTTATGTAGTTCAAAAATTGTCAGATTTGTGGAAATGAATAATGTGTTTGGATTTTTGGAAGACCTTTACAAATTTTGAACCTCCTGCAGTTCCATTTGGTGTAAAGAATTATACTGTAAACAAGGGGCTCCATCTGTACTTTTGAAATAACTATTCAGTTTTCCATTTCAGTGCTCAGACAAATTGACACGACAAACTGAAAAGCAGAAGTTAGTGTTCAAAGAAGTTCAAGAGTAAACATTTAGTCAACTCGTCTGCTCAGATTGAGAGAGATTCAGTGCACAGGAATCCACAATTCTGAATGTAGGTTCTAGAATGGCAGTGAAGACTGTCAGGGAGTGGACTTTCCAGTTGCCCCAGGTCACATCTAAAATATGAATCTACCTGCAGGGCCCTCACATTTCTAGGTATTTCATATACATTTGGCTACACTTAGGAATGAGAAGAAATATTTGTATTAAAACTTTATTTACTAACTTTAGGTTTTTTTCTGCCCCTTTCACTGCTGACTTCAGGCTACTATTTGGTCTCCATATTTGGCTAAGGGGATAAGAAATCACATTTCTAGGAAGGAGACCAAGGTGGTAACAGCTGTCAGGAACTTTTTTCATAGAACCCAGCAAGGGAAGTTACAGAATGCTGTTTGAGTCATTATTTCAATTCAGCTCAATAGGAAATTACAGATCACCAATGCATAAGGTTTTATGCTAGGTGCTCTGTGATCTGCTTATAGCAGGAGCTTTCATATTTAAACCAAAATTTAGGTAAATATAAATGGAGAGGGAGGAGAGCAATAAGTCCAGACTCCCACAGAACATTTGGTGCATGTCATTCTCCTGATCTCAACATTTTTTCCCCCAGTGCTTTCTATTCAGGCCTGTTGCTCCAGGATTTGGGGTCCAGTCCCAGTTTCTCTTATGATGCCCAAGAGTCATGCATGCCCCAGTCAGACATGCATTCTCATTGAGTCTGCATGAAGCCTTGCACATCCTATGTGAGACCACTCTCATGCCTCTTGCTTTTCAGTAATGCACTTTCTTCTCATTTCCCATTCTTTACATGCTCTCTCCTTTTGGGCCTAATATAAAGCTTCCATTCTTGGTGCAATCATGCCTGCAGTACTGCATGGTGTGGCTGTACTCTCTTTCCATATCTTACAGCACCTATGGTCTCTACCATTAATTTGGAATACACCACGCTTACCCTGGCATTGTGATCTATCTTGTAATATGTCTATTTTTCTCTCCAATGAGATCATGTGTTGTCTGAGAAATCAAAATGTCTTTTTGTTCCCTTTGGCCTGAGTACATAGTAGGCTCTCAAGGACATTTGGCTGATTTAACGATGAAGCATTGTGTGGGAGTCTGTGAAATTGGATAAGTTAACATGGTACATTCCCATGGCAGTTAATCTGTGCAGATTTGTGTTGGATTAAATTCATCAAACTTAGATAAGACTCTTTCTGCTACTGACTGGTGCAGTATTATTTCCTCCAGATGAAAAGACAACTAAATTTAAACCTCTCTAAAGTGTGGAATGCAATTGAAAGCAACTTAAATTCTGAAAATGTTTTATTTATTACAGGAATACTATTAAATTTCTGAGGTTGTCCCTCTCAGTGGAACATTTAATAATTTCTTTAACAGTTTGATGATCTCCACTCAATGTCCTAAAAGAGATATCAAGGAAACTCCGGATGAGGATAAGGGATGGGAAATAGCATTGAACCCATGTTTTTTGGCATTTCATTCTCCCTGACAACCCTGCAAGGTGGATGGAATTATCTTCATTGTATGCATGAAAAATCAAAAATTCAGTTGTCAAATTAATTGTCCAAGGTACACAGAGACAATTCAAGCCTCTCTGTTTTTTATGTCTGTTGTCCTATGCTATCACTATTGCAATAAGAAAGCCTGCACTGTTCTGATAACTGGGTCAATGTCTCGTCAAAACTCCTCATTTCGTTCCAACAGGAACATTGCCAGCACTTTCCCCCATGTGTGGTGCTGTGGCATTTCTACAGATTTGGGAAGTGGGAGTGATTCTGCTGCAAGGCAAATGTGGTTTGGCTCATCATAAGCCCTTTATGTAGAAGGCTTCAGAGTTTTCCTCAGTTATGTTTTTCCCCTTGACTAAAGCTTGCAGCTCTATGCTGTAATCTGATAGGTTCCTTGGTTCTATGTGAGGGGCCATTAAGTCTGAGGGCATGGAACATCAAGACAAGTATCCTAGAGAGGGTCAGGATGATCACTAATGAAGAGCTTGCATGTGAAGCTTCAGCAGGCAAAGTTGGACCAGAGAGACATTTGGTCTGTATTTTGCACTGGACTCATCAGTGCTCATCCATCACACCTCTTATGGGTAGCAGTGCTCTTATAGTTTGGCTGTGGTCATCTTATGGTTTTTGCTTGTTTTGATCATGTTTTGCTCTCATAGGTCTCCCTAGAGTGGACTTGATTCTCCACTTCCCTTTCCTTTCTCCTTTCTCTGATCCATACAAAGCTACCTTTGTTTGTGTTCTAAGTGGCTCTTTATTTTTTCATTTACCAGCTCTGTTGATGCCCTGTCAACTCTGCTAGACTTGCTGTGGTAATCTCACAAGATGGCTGCCACAATTCTTCCTCTCCTTCTGTGCATGTGACACTTCTCTCCTTACAAATAAGGCCTAGATCCCTTCCCCTGAAATCTGGCCTGGCCTTGTGACTTGCTTTAGTCAACAGAATGTGAAAGAAGTGATACTGGACTAGTTCAGATCCCAGCTGTCAAGAGGTCTGGAGGCTTCCACTTTCTTTCTTGGAAGCCAGCTGTATGTAAAAACTCGAACTACCTCGAGACCACTGTGTTGTAAAAAAGGCCTGGCTAGCCACTAGGAGAGACCTTGTGGGAAGAGAAAGAGAAATAGAAACTCAGCCAGCCCCCTTTGTTTCAGCCATCACAGCTGAGGCACCAGACAGCTGAGTGAAGGAGCCATCTTGGATCTCCCAGCAACGATCACGGAGAGCAAAGCAACCACTCAGCTAGGCCTAGAATAGATTACAAAATTGGAGAAATAATTTTTTCGTTGTTTTAAGCCACTGAGTTTTGGAGTGTTTTGTTATGCAGCAGTAAATAATTGAAACAGTTGTTTAAAGCATGCATCCATAATCCACTGTGATATTCTAGAGCTGTGTGCTACAATATGGTATTAGCCAAATGTGGTTGCTTAAATTTAAATTAATTAAAATTAAACAAATGTAAAAATGCAGTGTCTCAGTATCTCTAGCCACATATAAGGTGCTCAGTAGCCCTTGTTTTGGAAAGCATATATGAAACCTTTCCATCATGAAAGAAACTTCTGTTGGATCATAGTCATTTTACATTTTCTGGAACTATATGTTACTTATTTATCAAGAAATATCAATCCTAGGAAATTAGTTCAGTGGAGCGCAAGGCTTTTGTAAGGAGTAGAGACAGCTCCTCTGGCACAGGTGCACAGGTGCCAGGCTAGGTGTCAAATATCAGGCCAAGATGGTCTACCCTTAGCCTGTAGGCAGTGGGAGCCACTGAAGGTTTTTAAAAGAGGGAAATGACCTCAGCTTCTAAATATGTTCTTTGGGAAGGTGAATCTCATGCAACATAAATTTACCTGGGTTCTACACCAAAAGGACCTCTGTTAATCCTGTTAGTCATTTGTTTATCCAAACATCACTTATTGTCAACTGTTGTCTATTTCTTCAATTATAATTTTAACTCACCCTCCTGGGGGTAGGGTAGGAATGGAATCAAGCCTATTTTCTGTCAATGGAGTAATTTGGCAACTCATTATATTTTGACTTAATAGAATTGGCATAAAACACAACAAAAACCATAGTGCTGTTTAAGATATTACAGTTTTCCGCAACATCACTGATAAAGGTACATTATTTACATCTTCTCTAACTATGCCAATAAAAAGTTTTTTGCTATGGGTTCTCTCATTATTGTTTTTAACATGAAGTAAAATAAATGTTCCTTATCTGTGTTGAAACTAAATCACAAACAACCTGGTCTAATATCAACCAAAGAACATAAAATAATTATATTGAATATATATATTATTATAACTGAAAGAAAAGCTATATTTGATTAGTTCAGTTTTGTAGTAATTCTCTTTTTGTAGAATGTTACATAAATCCGCTTATCTCAATTAAAACCAAATAGATCTCTAATAGCATAAACAGTAGGCCTCCTTCAACATATCTCTTTACTATTTTAAAAATAATAGTGCAACAGGGAGCTAGAAAGCTTTTGGCTTCTTCACTTTGAAGCTGCAGATGTAGATCTTGGTATTGGTTCATTCACTGGTGAGTGAGATGACCATGGACAGGTTCCATCACCTATTAGATATGTCTATAGGAGGACCCCAAGGTCCCTTCAGCACTGCATTCATCGATTCTACACTTTCTTATAAGCTCTTCTAGCTTGAGCTACTGAAAAAAAAAAGATTGTTTTGACTCAAGATGTTACCAAAGTACAAAAAGCACGACAACTCTGCTCTTCCTCCCACTGGGACCTGATTCTTTGCTCCTCAAATTAAAAAAAAAGAAAATTCAGGACTGAGTATGAAGACCTACTTGTTGCTAAAGTTTACCCCACCATGGTTAGTTTTGGAATGGTTAAAAGGAAAGAAAAAATAGAACATTTCTGTCTCAAAAAATATTTTTCTGTCTCTGACTCCCTGCCGTGCTCTCATTTTAATGTGTTGGAGGCTAGGTCATTTTCGTTTTTTCCCCCAGATCTTCATGATTGCAGCTACCATATTTATGTAGAGTATCCGCATAGAATTCTCTCCCACACAACTAAGAAGAATTTTTTTTCTCAAAGCCATTTGTTGAAGTAACCATATGGATACTTCTCCCTCCTGTTATTCTGGTCTTGGGACTTTTTCTTATTTGCATTCATCCTTGCTGCCTTCATTCCGTCCATCCACCCATTCATTAGTCCATAAGACACACATGAATTATAGACCTATTCTCATGACACTTCTGTAGGGCTATAAGAAATAAAAGATCACCCAGAAGTATCCTCTCCTGAATAGGGCAGTAAGGTAGCTGGGAAGCTTTCCAAGTCTTAACTTTGGAGGTGTAGATGGAGATCCCGGTGTTGGCTTGTCCAGCATAAGTTTTGTGTCTTTGGACAGGTTACATCTCCTGTAAGATATGTGAAGGCTGTTGGCAGAAGAGTGGAGATTATCTTGCCCTAGAAGGAGAGGAGCCCAAGAACAGCCCACAAGAGGCTCTCCCTCAGCTCAATGCACTGATTTTGTGTGAATGTGGGAGTGACAAGGGGCAAATTAGTTCCCTGCCTGAACCCTCTTTACCCATTGTACCTTGTCCTTATTTCCATAGGCACCAGAATTCTTTTTGTATTTCTGCCACCTTCCCTTTATCTTGCTTCATCTGTGGCTACTAGAAAAACAGGCATCCTTCATTGCTGTCAGACGTATATCATCTATATGTATATCTATCAGCTATATGCATAATGCATCATGTAAAAAATAACTATGTTGAAAGTAGGACGCAATAGATCTACAGAACTGAGTAAATCTCATACATTAGAATATTTTCTTTGCAGTGACTTATAAATCACAATGATCTCAAACATTCAGTGGAAATATCAACAAGTCTGATAGAGCTATTTGAACATGGAAGTCAAATTAAATATTCTACTTGCTAATTGGTAATATTTGCTGGTCACTTGCTACATGCCAGGTATAATGCTAACAGTATGATAGGCATTATCTTATTTAATCCTCTTGACAAGCCTAAGAGGTAGGTGTCTTTATCATCCACATGTTTCAAACAGAGAAATTGCTATTCAGTAACATAACCAAGTTCTTATAGCTAAAAGGAGGCTAAGCCAAGAGTGAAACCCAGTCAGGGTGGGTCCAGAGTTTCTCTCTTAGCCATCTTGTTTCTTTGATCCATTAAAAGCAAGCATGCAAGCAAACAAACAAAAAGGTTCTCGGTCATCTCCTGCTCTCCACCCCTAAGAGGCAACATTAAGACTCAGGTTTATTGAGAACCTTGCATATGCCCAAAAGATCCATCATGATTGTCAGCACAGAATGCTTTGATTCTGACTAGATGCTCATAGAACAAGTCCTTGGAGGGCCATATGAGACCTTGATTCTGGTGTAAGCTCAACCACTGACCAGCTTCGTGACCATCTCTGACCAAATGAGCCAAATGACTGCTTTTGTTTCCTCTCTTTATCTGTTCATAGGACTTTTTTCCTTCACATTTTTCAGCTCACTGTTTTGAAAAGCTGTGACTTGATATATGCAGCCTCCTCTTTCTCATAGATTCTCTCTGTCTAGCCAGACTCTAAGCTCCTGCAGGCAGGAACCGTCTCTTGTGAGATCTGCACCAGCACCTAGTGTTGGAGAGCTGGAGTGAACTAAACTGTTTCGAGATAGTTAATATCTTTTATTTTCTCCATCAATACCTGTCATGAGCATACCTCCCTCTCAGATGAAGAAAGAATTTTGGTGATAAACAATAATTAGTAGATCCCCATCAAGAGTTAGCAGAGGAAATCCAAAAAGTAAACAAACAAAACAGCAAAAGTAATTAAGAGTTGTCAGGCAAGTATCAGGAAGAGGTTGCAGGCCCAGCTGGATGGACACAGCTGGTCAGAGGGTGGAAGGAGCTCACAGCTTGGGGAGATGGAGTGTATGAGTGGGGAAGGAGAAGTGTGACCCTAGAAATGGACACATGAGGACAGACCTTCATGCTTTCATTTGAAAACATTTATTTATCACACCTTATATGTCACTAATATGGTTTGGCTATATCCCCGCCCCGCCACCAAAATCTCATCTTGAATTCCCATGTGTGTGGGAGGGACCTGGTGGGAGGTAACTGAATCATGGGGGCAGGTCTTTCCCTTGCTGTTCTCGTGATAGTGAATAAGTCTCGCAACATCTGACGGTTTTAAAAACAGGAGTTCTGCTGCACAAGTTCTGTCTCTCTGCCTGCTGCCATCCATGTAAGATGTGACTTGCTCCTCCTTGCCTTCCACCATGATTGTGAGGCCTCCTCAGCCATGTGGAACTGTAAGTCTATTAAACCTGTTTCTTTTGTAAATTGCTCAGTCCCATGGTAATTCTTTTGTAAATTGCCCAGTCTTTATCAGCAGCATGAAAACGGATTAATACAGTCATGTACTGAGCTACAAGGATAAATAAGACACAACCTGGTTTTCTGAGGGCTTACAACTGGTAGGGAAGAGAGAGATCTAAGTAAATAAAATCTATCAATCAGTAAGATCAATAAAATAAAGAGGGTACAGATTAACCTGGAGACACAAATGAGTGATCTGCTTCATGGTAGAGGTCAGGCCTGAAAAACCTTATGCAAGGAGAGGCCTGAGGTTTTCACCTGGATAAGAACAGGAGGGCATTCCAGTACCACATGAACCTAGGAAGCTGGCTGGCACAGATACTTGGCTGCAGGGACTTGCAGAGTTGGTTTCGGCTAGAGTACCATATGCCGTTGGTAGAGATCACAAAGATTGGGATGGGGGTATTTATGGGTTCCATATGTCAGTCCATAGGTCAAGAAGAGCAGACAGAAAAGAAGGAATTTGGCAAAATTATACAGATACTTTCTCATTGTGTCAAAACTTGTTGCTTCTTTTTTCCCTTAATTTCAGTAACAACAAACATTTATGGGGCATTTCCTGTATGTTGCACACTGTGCTTAGCTCTGCACGTGCAGTAAGGGTTGTTTTGCAACCTACTCTATAGTTGGAAGCTGGGGAGGATTCAAGGAAGGTGACACTACCTTGTAAACCAAAGGACCTGAAAATCTGTATGCAAAGACAAGAGCACATGCAAGAAATAACTAGACAATGCCATAAGAAACTATAGGGTTAACTGCTGCTGTATCCTGAAAGTAGCAAGGTGAGTAGGGGTACTTTGCCTCTGCAAAGGGACATCTTTGCAACTTAACATAGTTTTCATCTCTAAACACTGGGCTGCTTTAGGGGGCCTGAAGCAACATGGAGATTTGCTTGATGAACATACTGCAGACACAGGAGCTAAATGGTATTTATTAGGTTTGCTCGTCCCTCCTATATAAGCAAGTAATCACATGCTGATGCCAGAGGGTTCAAGGATGAATGAAGTCTAGAAACTGACAGGACATAAATAGTTAACAGTAAAACCTTGGGC
Organism: Homo sapiens; assembly: GCF_000001405.40. NCBI lineage: Eukaryota > Metazoa > Chordata > Mammalia > Primates > Hominidae > Homo > Homo sapiens. The sequence continues at coordinate 55,918,436 of NC_000018.10, forward strand.
CCTCTCTGAACCTTTCAAGGCAGCCAGTAAATTGAAAGCAGCAGCGAGAAAACAGAGCCACTTCTGCACACCCATGGAAACAGTCAAGCTGCCACAATTTGCACAAGGTGCAAGTAACAGATCAGCCTTCCAGAGGACCCGGTACACGCTGCACATTGCGGCGGTCTCACCTCGGTCACAGAGCCTCTGCCTCACAGCTGGGCTGAAGGAATTAGCTTGCATACCAGAATATTAATGTCAGCATCTTTTATCACATGGGTTGGAGATTTGCAACCATTTGAAAAAACCACCAACTCTGCTTGTGATTATCTGTGATTTAGAGAAAGGGGCAAAGTTATCATTTAAAAAAAAGTCTGTCATCAAATCTGTTGATGGCAGCCTCTGTATAAGAAAATGTCACTAAAAGCACTTGGAATGCTTTCTTACTTATAAGCTATCATAACAATGTAAAATTAAAACCAAAAAATAAAAACCACCCAAAATTCTAGAAGGTGCTTTAAAAAGAGAATGAAAGGGATGCTTCACCACTTCTACCCCCCGCCCCCCACAAATCCAACTGGCTATGAATTGGATATCAGTGTAGGCAGAGACACATCATAAAATATTTTTGGATTGTGTGGTGCTATTTGGTATATATTGCCTATCTTGTTAGGATTGGGTAACAGTCCAAACAGGAAGACTCAGGGAAAGGTGGGGAGTAATGGTATAGGATTAAACTGGGGGTAAGTTAGGACTCAGGACTCACTTCCCGCCTTGCTTCCTGCCATGGTCAGGACTCAGGGCAGCAGAAACCAACAAAGTCCAACAGAGAGAAGCCAACTTAGAAACTGGACAAGGTATTCTTCAGGCATGAAATATCTCCTACTTTTGGGACACAGATAATTAAGAACCCAGCCTCAGGTCTTTCAAGTTCTTACTTTTCTGTCACCAAATCCCAAAGTCAAAGCAATTTCTCCCTATACTTCACAGATGCTGTCCAAGGTTGCATCAAAGTCAACAAGAAATGTGTTCTCTGTCTTCTGACAGTGACCATTGTGAGATAGCAGGATGTTCTCATCATACACTCAGTGATGGTAAAAGTCTGTGCTGATAAAACCTATTACAACACAACTATCGTGGAATTTTTTTTTTTTTTTTTTGAGACGGAGTCTTGCTCTGTTGCCAGGCTGGAGTGTAGTGGTGCAATCTCGGCTCACTGCAGCCTCTGTCTCCCGGGTTGAAATGATTCTCCCGCCTCAGCCTCCTGAGTAGCTGGGACTACAGGCACGTGCCACCACACCCCACTAATTTTTGTATTTTTCATAGAGACCGGGTTTCATTATGTTGGCCAGGATGATCTCAATCTCTTGACCTTGTGATCCGCCTGCCTTGGCCTCCCAAAGTGCTGGGATTACAGGCATGAGCCACCACGCCCAGCCTGAAATTTTCTTTAAAAAAAAAGACTTGAAAATAAAATTCCACTACAACTTGTCTCACATGAATAATTTTTGTCTTAAGATCTTAACCTAGATAAATCATTTCCTTAAATACTTCTTAAAGTGAGATGTTTAGTGCCTATCATGGTATATGTCTTAATTGAATCCCTCTCCAACTGCCTTTGTCCTCTTTAGGGATCTCTGCTCTCTCTTATTTGTTACTCATGTTTTTTTAATGTACTAATAACTGAAGCTATGTTCTGCCTTACCTCACCTGACACTGGAGAATGCCTGCATCAGCACATACTCACCTTTTTCCCATCTACAAAAGACAGCAGCTCTGTACACTGCAATTCCCTGTGATGTGCTCAAATTATAGGCTGTGTCACTAAGAGGCAAGTCAACCCTAGTCTCATAATGACACACCATTGTGTGTTGGCATTGTGGTTTAGAACTCTTCCCTGCCTGATCTTCCACCATGTCAGTCAATATTCATTAGCCAAATGTAAACTGAGTGTCTATTGTACACTCGATGGCAGGCAACAGATGATATTCATCTCCATGCTGGTAACACGGTAACATGGAGTCAAATAATATCTAGTGCCCACCATCAGAGAGTGTTAGGTAAAGACAGACACAGAAACAGTTGATCTTAGTGTCATGGTAGTGACATGCACAAATGTTATACAGTGTATGCTGTAATGCCTGGTTGAAAAGCTTCGCTGTAGAGATTAATGGGACTCTGCTGATCTGGCTGTTGAAATGTTCCTGGATCCTTTTGCTCTTCCTCATCCTTCCCTTTCACCTTGTATAGCTCAGTCCCAAAATTTACTGAGTCAAATGGTTTTCTGTCTTTAAACTCCAAATTCCACCCATCACTCTGGACAGTTGACTCATCTTATACTTTGCTAAACAATTCCAAGACTCCCTACCAAGATCCCATGCCTTTCCTTCTCTCTACACCCAATAATCTCTTGGACTTCAGCTATCTTCATATCCTTCAGGCCTCCACGGTAGGACATCTGCTCTTTCCAAGGCTAATTCCTACTGATTTCATTGAGTTCTGCCTCCTTCTCTAAAAGCTCACTGTTCAACTAACTCCCATCTCTCCAGTGTTGTCAATCAGTCTCTCTCTGTCACTTTTTTTTTAAACATGTATGTCTCCCTTAACCTAAAAATATCCTCTCATGTGCGGAGGGTTTTTTAAAACAATGATTTAGATTTTTTCTTCCCATCTTACTATGGCAGGTGCATATTATGCCTCTTAAAGGCTCCCAATGTTGTGCCCATACATGCATATTTTTTAAAGAAAAGATGAATAAATGAATTCCATAAGCTACCTGTAGTTACATAATAATGGTCTAGTGGTGATATAGTAAATAGTGTATAAATTTGGGGCTCAGTATTGTATTCTACATATCATATAAATGACCTTAGAAAAGTTACTTGAATTTTCTCTGCCACAATTTCCTCATCTGTGCAATAGGGATAATGACATTTATCTCACAGATATGTCCATGAAGATCAACTGAGATGACAGATCTAAATTACTTGACATAGTCTTTTTGTCACAGAGTGAATTCCCATAAATGCTAGTTCATGCTACTTGGATTTCAGGAAATAATAGTTCACATAGACTAAATAAAGGCCAAAGTTATAGTAGTTATAAAGCAGTTACAGAGACTACTCTGGCTAAAGTATCATATTTGTTTAAGATATTAGAGCAATACTGGTCAACACATAAGTGACCAATTTACATACAGATATATCATTTTAGCATATATTCAATGAAGTAACATTTTATAATACATTCTTTTGTCTGGGGATTCTTTTGTAGAAAGAGGCAGAGTGAATGATTGAAGCACATTGTTGTTTAATTGAAAATACTACTTTCACCTTATGCAAAACAGAGGCACATTAAATCACTACCTTCAAAAAATGTAAATTCCAGGTCAGTAGAGTCATTTGGGGACAATTGATGCTTTATAGGTCTGGATAAAGAGGAGATGTCTACTCCTATTTCCAGGAAAAATAACATTTCTAAAAGACTGCCATAAGCTCTCATCTGCAAAATTTCATCGATTTGGGACTTTGTCCTTAGGGTAAAAGTAGACTCTTGTTCTCTCTGTTAAGGTGATAACCAAAAAACAGTAGGCCCATATGAAAAGGAGGCATATTTAACATCTTAACAAAGTACATGGTTTTTAAGCAAGGGGCATTGTATATATTTTCATAAAACAACATATTTGCAATGGTAGCATAGGCAGGCATTCTTCAGGCCGAATCTCTATTTCCTTCTCTTACAGCCTTGATTCCCTCCAGGCAGCACATGGTTAAATACATTCCAGTTACTACAGGATTTTGAAACTTAAGAACAGGAAAGCAAAACGAGTAAGAAAGCAAATAAAGAAATACTCTATAAGTCAACCTTTCTTCTTCTATCTCTATACATCATTTCTCCCATACAACCATCTAAATTATTTTAGATTCAGTCAAGGTTAGACAACAAAGTTTAATGAGTCCTCTTGTGAATTGAAAAGTGCCTACCACTTAAATGTATTGAATCTCAGGGCTTCTGTCATTCCCTGATCTGGTCCATAATTGGCCAAAAAGAAATTATTGACACTAGTACTGAGGTCGTTTCTATAAAAATATGAAATCTTATGCATGTAATTTATGTTTGCACAAATCTACTTTTTTAAAAAAGTATCTTATTTATTTATTTTATGAAGAAATACCCACCACCAGAGAGGCAAATGACCTCTTTGTCGTCAAGTCTCACTATTCTCTGTAAAGTCTGTAATGCTTTCCTTGTATAGAATAAAGATCATAGACTTCAGGGAAACATGCTACGTCAATGAAGGCCTTTATTGTATTGTTTCTTTCCTTCTCTTTTGTTCCTTTCCATTTTTTAATATAAATTAACCCTCTCTTCCTTTATCTTGCATGTTTGGATTCTTAACTAGATCATTAACTTTTCAGAAGACAGAAGACAGCAGCCAATATCTACCTCTAACTGACATTCATTTACAGCAAAGACATACTCTGCAAAGAGCAAGACTCCAACACATTGATTCTGTCTCTTGTCTTTTCCATCTATATTGGAAACACCTACGTTTCACTTCTTATTTCTGGAGCCACATTGACTGTGGTCCTGTTGTGGATCTCTATGGATATAGGGGGAAGATATTTCTGAAAGTGATGGAGGGAGATGTCTCTGCCTATTCTTCCCATTAGCCTCCAGCATCACCTACCCCATATGATACAATGTGACATCCAAATGTCCTTGAGGGAACATCAAAATCTATAAAGGCTAGATGTGTGATAGAACATGAAACACAATGGTGTACAAAATGAGCTATACAAATTGTGAATTCAACATCACAATCTTTTGTTCCATTAAAAAATGCTAATTTTTCTTCAAGATAGGGATTACAAATAAAGGTTTATACCATCTTGTGGCAAGTCTACTGCTACTACATAGACCAGCGGTCTCCAACATTTTTGGCACCAGTGACTGGTTTTGTGGAAGACAATTTTTCCACAGACCAGGGTGGGGGATGGTTTTGAGATGATTCAAGCACATTACATGTATTGTACACTTTATTTCTATTATTAGTACATTGTAATAAATAATGAAATAATTACACAACTCACCATAATGTAGAATCAGTGGGAGCCCTGAGCTTGTTTTCCTGCAACTAGACGGTTCCATCTGGGGGTGATGGGAGACAGTGACAGATCATCAGGCATTAGATTCTCATAAGGAGCATGCAGCCTAGATCCTTCCCATGTGCAGTTCAAAACAGGGTTTGTGCTCCTATGAGAATCTAATGCTGCCACTGATCTGACGGAGGCAGAGCTCAGGCTGTAATGCCAGTGATGGGGAGCAGCTGTAAATACAGGTGAAGCTTTGCTCGCTTGCCCACTACTCACCTCCTGCTGTGTAGCCCAGTTCCTAACAGGCCACAGACCAGCACTGGTCCATGATCCAGGGGTTGGGGACCCCTGACATAGACTGTTTCTTTGCCTCCTCCCAGCCATTTCAGCCATGCTATGTCCCTGTGTAAGATAAATGATTTTAGATAGTAACAAGATTATTTTTTAATTTTCCAGAAAAAAGCATCATCCTCATTTCCCATTTCTTTGTTAATCAGGCAGTGAATAACCTGTGGAAAGATTATGCCAATAAGTGACTCTACTAGATCAAGAATTAAATTTTTTTTCCCTTAATAAGCAATTGGGTCTTAGTAAATTCACAAACTGGAATCAAATATCATGGCAAGTTGCTAGCATACTTTACGGTTTATTCATTATTTAATACATCTCATCGAATTTTGGAGCTGGGAGAGAGTTTGAGAAGTCTAGTGAAGTCTTCTGGCCTCAGGGAAGACACTCAGAAATAATTTCAAACATAGGAAGACAAATAATTGCTGATGTGACTCTGCATGGGCTAAAATGGCAAGCACATGGCACTCCAGCCCAGTCAACCTCATAGATACCTGTTCTTTCCTCCCCATCACTATGTACATTTCAACCTATTTTAGAAGGAAATTTATTTCATTTCCTTCTAAAGGAATGTATTTCTTTTTACAAAGCTTTTCTTTGATGTTTCAACATATTGTTTTCTTCCAGATTAAAAAAAAGTTTCATCTTTGTAAATTGTAGGGCCTTTTTACTTGCCTTTCTGTTGTTACCCTTCTCTTAACTATAAATGCTTTGTTTATTTGCATTTGTCTTCATAGTTTGTTTGCTTGGCCTGGTCCTTCTACGAGTTATTTAAAAATATATTGATTTTGAAATATTACTTCTACTCCTTAAAAAAAAAGTAATGCAATCACATTCAGGAAGGCATAAAAAATGGAGAAGAAAAATAAAATTAGCAAGGGTCTCACCATGGTAGGAAAATCCCTGCTATTGTTCCGATATACTCCTTTCCTGTCTTTTTACCAATACAAAATTTTGTATTGCTTATAGTCAGAATTTTTCTGCTCTTTACAGTCTGTATTATAGCAAAAGCATTTTTAAGTTTTTGTTAGTCTTCATAATCATCAAATTTTAAATCATCTCGTTGAACAGCTTTAACATTCTTCTATTTTATGACATTTAAGCGCTGTTTCTATATTTTGTGATTCTACATAATGCTGTAATGAACAATCCTATACATTTACTTAAGATTATTTCCTTAGAATCAGTTTCTCAAGATATTTGCATATCTTGATAATTTGCAAATATCAAGATATTTGCATATAAAATGCATAAATATTTGAGGATTTTAATATGCATTGCCAAATTTCTTTGTAAAAGATTTGTATCCATTCAGATACAATTCAGAGTGAAACAACAATATTTGGAACTATACATTTCTTCTGACCCTCACCATCAAAGTCTATTATACGCTTTTAAAAATTGAAATTTAACAGACCAAAACAATGCATCATTTTTAAAAGTTTAGATTTCTTTTGTTTGTAGTAAGAATAAATATTTTTCGTTATAACTCTTTTCCTTTGTGAATTATCTTTTCTCTGTATTTGTCTATCTATTGACTAGTCATTTTAGGCATTTAAAAATATCTGCTTTCAGTTTTTTAAGAAACCTGAAATGCAGGTACCAGGTCTTATAACTTGAATGCATCTGGTTTTTTCCCCCTATTTTTCAACTTCCACCATGTCCCCTAATTTTAGTTTACTGTAATTCGAAATATTCATTCTGATTTTCAAGACAGCACAGTTTTTCTCTTTTTAAGGAGCTTTACTTCTTTCATGATTTCACTTTGCTGATTTAGTCTCATGTAGTAATTTTGGGTTTTGGCATTATTCTTCAGAAACTTGGCCTGTTGTAGTTCTCATCCACAGTATAGTGCTTGCTCGAGTCTAGGATCACCTCCTAATTAGTTTAACCATGGATTGCCAATCTAGAGTGGCCTGCCAGTCTGATTTCTGTCCCCACTCGTTAATGGAAAGCCCTTTAAGACTGTATAGAATTTAAAAACCTTGTAATTTAGCAGATTTCCTCTTCGTCCCATGACACATCCTCCAGAGTGTTGGGATGATAAAATAATAGGAAGAGCACAAGGCTGGTGAACGTGATTTTGTTTTCTTGGCCACAGACTTTTCATTCCCAAGGTATAACACTCATGTCTGTTAGCTAAGCTCTGGAAAGAAATAATCAGAAACAGGTGATGGCCTCGAAAACATCATGGAATCAGTTCCTGAGCAATTGACTGCTCTCCAAAATGATGCCCGGGGCATGTTTAAGGGAAATTCAAAAGAGTATAAATGTGGCAAGCAGTTCCAAGTCATGTCTGGGGCAAAAGAGGTATCACAGTGCGATATAGAATATTGATTAGGGTGAGCAACAGAACAGGATCTGTGATTTCAAGACTTGCAGGTCATATTGGTATGACAGCCTCCTAACTTCTTAAGCTAGGGTTGTATTATTCTCTACCCTTTGGTCAGTCTCCTAAGAGATGGTCACTGTTTTCTTTTATCCACTTTAAACATGTAAGACGCAACAGGGTTGAGGAGAGAGTGTGGGCTTTGTGACCAAACAGACCTGTATATTCATGAGCAAATGACTTAATGTGTTTAAGACTCAACATCTTCAACTGTAAAATGGAAACATTAGAAATATACTTGTCCAGGTTATTGTGAACATTAGAAGTAGTGTGTAAAATGTCTGGCTCAGATCTTAGCAAATGGTGGGTTTCCATAAATGATATTCTGGCTGCTGTTGCTGTTTTTATTAGTGTATAGGGTTAATCTTGAGCTGTGACCTTGTTATACATCAGAAATTACCCTTTGGAGAGCTGAGCTGAGATCCAAGTGTGTAGAAACTGCTAATTCATACTGCAGTGCTTTTGGCTGGGAGTGGGAAAAAATATTAATCATTCCCACATCAGTGCTGCTTTCTTCAGGGAAAAAATACTTTTGGGTTTTTTTGTATTTTCACTGTATTATATTTTTGCAGGATGTGTAACGTTGATTATAGTAGAAAGGGGAAAGAGAAATTTGCAATATTGCTATTTAGCTATTTGCGGGAGTTAAGAAGGCACAGTGACGGTTTCATTAACCTTTGTACTCCCTGGAAATCATGATAGTGCTATCCGTAATCCAAAAAGTGATACACAGTATCATTTAGCTAAAGGAAATATTCATTTACCATCTATAAACTAGATCTACCCTAAGGATCAAAGTCTTATTTATTAAATTAGAAAACAGACTTGAAAAAGTACTTAAATTCATGATCAAATTCCCCTCCCCACTACTTGGCTAACTTTTAAAATAAATAGAATGCACTAGGAAAGTAATAAGAAAGAAAAGTCATGGATCAATGATTTCAGCCTGATAGTGTAGGCCCCCATATAAAGGGAATGTTCAAACATCCCTTGCCATCACCTCTAAAGATATAAAGCACTGCAAGAAATTCCAGTCGACAATGACTGAAAATAGATTGGCAACCATAAATTAAAATTAAGGAGTTTAAATATGATTTAAAATCATTTAATCTTGATGATTTATGCTGGTTCTCAGAGGCAATTGTTGACTAACACTTATGTTTATTGCTCTTTTGACTTTTTTAAATTACGGTAAACCCAAAATTCAATTATACTCTCTAGTATATATTTCGAGCAATAGTATTGTAAATAAAAAGATAGCCAATTAATAATGTGCCTAGTCTAGCAAAGCTAAATCAAGTATAATACAAAACATGGTGTAACTTGATAGAAATTTGAAAGCTGCAGAAAAGATCCCGTCTGCTTATGCTGGAAAATCTGAAGGTTGGAAATGATGATCACTTTTTCTTTTTAAAAAATTGAAGAGCTCTTTAATAAATGACTTCTAACAGGTTATATAAGTTATAACTTTCTAAGTTTAGAGGTGATTAAAAATATATATATTTGAAAACTGCAACTTTCTAATCAATAATCAAGTTGTGATTTTTAAGCAAAACTCTATTGTTTTGTGGGCTTATCTCCTTTAACATCTCCCACTGGCATATGCTTTGAGAATGATATAGGCCGATCCAGCTGTGTTTTGGGTTCCTTAAACATCTCACACTATTCCTCAAATGTTTGGGGTTTGAGAAAACCCCAAATGCATTTGGCCAAGCACATTTTCTCTTGATTTTTAAACACATGTGGGTTTTATGAGAAATTTAATCCATGTGTTTTTGATTCCTTTACACTTAACTCATCAAAATGTTGTTGTGTAAGGTCTCTTTGATGTCCAAGAAGCTTTTGGAGTTTCTGCTTTTTTTTTTTTTTTTAATGGGATACTTTAATCCTTTTTTCTTAGAAACAGGAAGTTGCACGATGCCAAGAAAAAATAAATGCCTACAAAATACGGTGGTGTTTGAGCATTTTAAAACCCTAGGGTTCAATTTGGTTCAGAATTTGACTGACATAAGTCTCCTGGTCATTAATTTCTTGTTAAATTTGTTGCTTCTTGGAGGTTTTTGAAACAATAAAAAGTTATGTTTTGCTTCAGGAGAAAAGATAAAGGTGGTAAAAAATCACAGAGGGTTTTTAAATGGATGGTGACATACTATAAATGAAGTTAGCATTTTAACCTCTCTGTGTCTACTAAAAGAGGCTCTGTAAATTGAGGATTAAGTATGCCTTGCTCTATATGCCACATCCGGGCCTGGAGAAAGGGTTACAGTGAAAGGAAAAACTCACTCAAAATGTCAAAATAGGGTTGAGCTTAGCTTTCCCAAATGTTGGGAAACAAGTGCATGAGCTTTAATAGCATTTGTAATTCAATGTGTCACAAAGAAATTAGAAAAATGTCACATATACATATATAAATGGGGGGTTATAAAATGAGAAGTGTGTGGACAAAGGAAGGCGTCATGGTGGATTTCTGTGAAATAATAATAATTGTACTTGCCTTCTAGAATGGCCATGAAGTTTAAATTAGTTAATGCCTATAGCATACTTAAGACAGTGCCTGGCACATTGTAGGTGCTCAGTAGGTACGGCTAATTTTATTGTTCAGAGTCAGACTAAATCTAGGTTTGATTCCAGCTCCAGGAGTTATTGTAACCTTGAACAAGTCCCTTCTTTCCTCAACCTCAGTGTCCTCCTCTTTCAGAAGTCCTCTAAGAATTACTGTGAGGTTTATGCGAACATGATATAGCACCTAGGGGTCTTTTATGCATGAATACATGAAATATCACCTGTTTTCTTATGAGGAAGGAATAAGCCCAAAGTCACAGAATTGTGAATCATTGACCAAGGGTTTGAACTCAGTTCTTCTGTTACATAGTCCATGTTCATGCTATTGCTTTTTAAGAAAACAGGTAACACCTCATAAAAATAGAAAGAAAGATCAAGAAATAGAAAGCTGATGGTTTTGCAAGAACTGTCAGGGGCCAATACCTTAATATAAGACCTGCCATTACTTCTTTCTTTGAGGGTCATCCATTTGAAATGTGACAGTCTTTCCAGAATCATGAAGTTAGACCATGTTGAAGCAAAGAAAAGAGTTGTGTTTATGAAAGACAATTTTTCTGGTGACATGGTCTCCATTTTGCCAGTTCTGAGCCTAGACAAGCTGGAACAGAAAGCCTAGGAGTCTTTTTCTGGGTTCTCTTAGTTTGCTCCCTCTTTTGTAAAGCTCATATTTGAGATTAGATGTTAGAATTTAATGCTAGGGGCAAGGAGGACAGATAGACACTATTATTATAGAGACCTTGTTATCTCTCCAATAATATTGTGAAATTGAGGAAATACGTCTCATTAAAATCATTAGCTTCAGCCCATTCTATTAACATCATCAGAATTCGTCTACCAATTAAAATGACAAAAATTTTATCTTACAACGTCTGGAAGTTATCACAAATCATCAGTGCCTCCAGTTCACTGATCCAGGAGACTGGAATAGCAGTGGAGGTCAACAAATACCTAAATAATTTGTGTATTTTACTAGTTACCTGCCTATGAGGTAGATAAGAATTAGCTAAGATTACCTGCCTATCAGATAACTAAGAAATACACAACTCGTTTAGCTATAATCAATTTGTTAAGTAAACAGAGCGGGAAATACTGGCATTTCACATCTCTATGGCCAATTTAAGATCAACCAGATATGAAATTAATAATGTAAATTGATGAGAATTTTTTCTCAAACTACAAAATTATTACTTTGTATTGTACTTTCAAAAACATCTTTTGGGCAAAGTGAGTGGGCCTGTATTATGTTTTATTGGGAAGAAATCTATGCTTATGTTGCGTTTTTGCTTATACTTTGCACAAATCCGTAGACAAAACGATAGTATTATTTTCATTGTAGGTTCCATGAATGATAATGTGGAAGAATAACGTACTATAAATTATTGATAAACAATATGATAGATCGTAGATTTTCAACCAAATTCTCACACTGTTAGCCGTATTTGCTATTTATATATTTATTTAAATAATAGCAACTTTTATTGAACAATTGACATTTAACAGGTACTGTTCTTGGTATATTACAGAAATTAATTCATTAAATCTGCACATGTGGATATTATTATTATTTTCATTTTACAGATGAACATTAACAAAATAGAGTTGCAGGTTAAATTACTTGCCCAAGATTACTCAGCTGGTAAGTGGCAGTGCCTGGAATACAAAGCTTTTACCTAACATATGGATTATTTGAAAGGGTCACCCATTCTATGACTCTTGGGTTATAAGCATAGCTTTCCTCCTTCGCATAGGTTGGCCCTCCATGGATATATGGTATAGAGTCCTTGGGGTAGTGTCTGTGTTTATTTAATCTTTGTGTCACCAAAGGACTAAGCAAGTTTCTTGTCCACAGCTGTTAGTAAGTACCAAATCTCACTTTCTTTTTTTTCAAATGAAAATGTGTCTCTACATTCAGTAAATCTGACCATAAAGAGTGTTTTGCAGAAACATGATGTCCACAGATTTTAATAAGTCATTGAGAGGGTCAAAAGAGCAGACCATTGTCAGCCATCTGGGAGAGGGAGCAAAGAATTCTTCTAAGGTTTGTGCCCAGGGAAAGCCTGGACAGCATGCCTTGGAAATGAATGAATAAACTGAGCCCAGAGCCTTGAATTACGTGGTACTGCAACTTTTCATGATGCTTCTCATCATACTTCTAACCAAACAAACCAAAGATGCAAGTCCTCTCCAGAAAGCCTTACTACAGTATTGAAAACTCAACTCCAGACTCAGTTAAAAAAAAGGCAAGAGAAAAAAAACTAAGGCAACAGGAAGACTAGGTAATTGTCATGCTTCATGGTATAGAAAGCCTTAGAACTTATTTAGTGGTTAATTTCTTTCACTACACTTTTTATTTTGAATAATTTTAGATTTATAGGAAAGTTGCTAAGATAGTATAGACAGCTGCTGTATACCCTTCACCTAGTGTTCCCTAATGCTTAAAATCTTATGTAACCATGATTGGTAAAGTTGTCAAAAGCTAAGACATTGACATTGGTACAATACTTCTGTGGTTTGGATCTTTGTCTCCTCCAAACCTCATGTTGAAATTTGATCTGCAGTGTTGGAGGTGGAGCCTATAAGGGAAGTGTTTGGGTTATGCAGATGAATCCTTCATAAATAGATTAATGCCCTACCTACGTGGAGGTAGGGGTGAGTGAGTTTTCACTCTATTAGTTCCCAAGGGAGCTGATTGTTAAAAAGAGCCTGGCACCTTCCACTCCTCATTCTTTCCTCCCTCTCACCCTGTGATCTCTGCACACTCTGGCTCTCCTTCACTTTCTGCCAGGGGTGGAAGTAGCTTGAGGCCTTCACCAGATAACCAATCTTGAACATTTCTAGACATCAAAATCATGACCCAAATAAATCTTCTTTTCTTTATAAATTACTCAGTCTCAAGTATTCCTTTATAGCAACACCAAATGGATTAAGACAAATACTATGTACTTAACTACAGACTTTATTTGGTTTTCACCCGTTTTCCCACTCATATCCTTTTTTGGTTCCTGGTCTAATACAGGAGACCACACAGCACTTACCTATCTCATCTTCTAGTCTTCTCTAACCTGTGACATTTTGTGCATCTTTTCTTTTTCATCAGTTGCGTCAACTTTTAAATAAACGGGAGTTCTTAGATTAAACTGTTTTATGTGTATGTGTATGTGTGTGCATATACACAGAATGGTCAGGGATAGTTCTCTGGAGGTGACACTGAAGCAGAGACCTAAGTTTAAATGAGAAGAACCAAAGGATGAAAAGATCTAGGAAAGAATTCCAAGTACAGTGGGCAGCAAATACAAAGGCCCTAAGGCTGGAAGGCAGGAAGAAGTGTGATGTGTTCAAGAGTCATGGAAATCCAGGATGGCTGGAGTGGAGTGGCAAGAGGGTAAATGATGGGGAAGAGATTGAAGAGGTTCAACAGGTAGCTAGGGCCATATCTTGTATGGCTTGGAGACCATGGTGCAAATGTAATATTGGTAAAATGATAGAGGCAGGAGGCAGAAAAATTCTAGGTAGACAGGGACGGGTCCGTGGCAAAACCCCGTCTTCAAGCCCCAAAACCTGAAACCTGTGGCTCAAAGTGAGAAGTTCTATCTCTGTTCCCTCATTCAAATGTTGCCTTTTCCTGAACTACCCAGGGCCCGCCTACCCCATCCTGTGCCTATAAAGACCCCAAACTCAGCTGGCAGAGAGGAGAAGCAGCCAGACATTGGGAAGAAGCAGTTGAACATTAAAGAGAGGAAGCTTGAGTTCGGAAGAGAGAGGCAGATAGGCAGCTTGACTTCAGGGGAGAGCGACCTTCCCTTCCCATCCTCTTTCCAGCTCCCTTCACCACTGATAGCCATTTTTATCACTGGACAATATTCTTCACATTCACCATCCTTCCATTTGTCCATATGACCTCATTCCTCTTGGGCACTGGACAAGAATTCAGGACACACTGGGTGCAGGTCACCAAAAAGGCTGTCACCCTGCCTTTGCCCTTGCTGGCAGAAGGCAGCCACCCCATGTGACAAGGCAGGGGGCCCACTGAGTTGATAACACACTGCTCTCTGCAAACAGCAGAGATAAGAGAGCACTGTAACATGCCCTCTGGGCCTTGGGGTCAGAGGCATCCCTGCCTGGACACTGCTGTGGGGCCTGCGTAGTGTTTACACCTACAGGTGCCAAAGTTCCTGCACTCTCTCACTCCAGTTCCTGCACTCATTTGCTCACATGCTCCCTCCCATGAGGGGTAGACAGAGGCAGGCTGAGTAAATGAGGCACCCCTGTTGCTAGTCCCACAAAGGGTCAAGAAAATATCTTGCATCAATATCTTTTCCAGAAGATTCCCTTTGTGCCTTTTACAATAGAAAAAAATAATTCTCCAAAAATTAACTGTAGGTGGAATTAAACCGTGACTACACATATTTAGATATTTCTCTGACCACCAGTACCAATCCATGCTCATTCTTGAGAAGTTAAACAGATACCTGGCTGCCTTCTGAGACTGTCCAGCAATACTTGCTTTTCCATGTGAGGACCCATCTGAACAAGCTAAAAGGAGTAGCCAATATTGTATAGCTCTCTAGGTACTTGATGATCTATTAGCTGTTACATCTTTCATTCCCCCTAGAAACCATTTCTCCACCTTAATCTACCTCCACCTCCATTGCTCCACCAATCAAATTTATGCAAGTTACCAAATATGATAACATTAAAGTGAATCATATAATTATTTTCATGATCTGAAGAAAAGATTGTATCCTTGTAAGAGAAGGGTAAGAAAGTATATAGTCTCAGAATGATTATTTTCTCTCCAAATTCCTTCCTTAAAGTGGCTTGTGCAATCTCTTGATTTTCTTCTGTTGAGCTATACAGTTCATCATCTGAACACCACTCTGTCATTGGACCCTTGTCTTATATATGATAGACAACAAAAGAGTGGTTTGTGAGCCATCGGTGTTGTTGCTTCTGCAAAAGCTGTTGTATAAATAAAATTGGAAAATTTCAAAAGCAATAAGTAAAACTTCAGCCACCTCTCTCAATAGAGCTCTTCAAATCTTCTGTCATCCACAAAAATAAAGGGTATAAATTGGAATTGATTTTTTATGAAGCCTTCATAAAAATAAATATAAACATTTAGAAACATCTGTTGGATGGCTCAAGAATTGTATTTTTATTATTTTTGAAAGAGTTCACCTTTAAAGATCTGGGACCAATTAAATCTGACAATGTATAAAATCAATCAGACATATAGATACACAAAATGGGAAAGGATCATCACAAATGTGCTTTTCTTGTTGATCTTAGGCAACTTCAGCTTTTCACTGCATAGCACAGTAGGTACTACCATGGGCTTTAGAGATATACAGTCCTGGTTTTACCTCCTGGATCTGCCACTTATTCGCTCTGTGACCTTGGATAAGTTACTGAAACGTTTCTAATCTTCAGTTTATAGATTTTTAAAATGGAAATAATAATATTTCTACCATCTAGAATGATTGTGAAGATTAAATGAGATAATTTACATCAAGGGTTTAACATATTTTAAATGAGTTTAACTCATTTTAAATGGTCAATAAAAGTTAACTATTAACATTATTATTATTAATAAAATCAAATATTTATGGTCCTTATTATGTTAAATGCAATATTGCAAGAACTGTAAAGTATTCAGCATAGTTTCCTTCTAGAGAACTGAGACCTTGTCACAAGCAAGGTTTACTATAAGTAGAAGATCTAATAACAAAAATAAAAGGAATTTAGAAAGGAAATTGATGATTAATTGTCAAGGAGCTATAGGGTCAAAAAGGAGACCTCTAAAAGTAAAGATATTCGGGATTCAGAAAGGTTGGGGGGAAAGGAGAGGTATTCTATTATTGTGCTTAAAGACTACACAGTTGCAAATTACATATTAAAGATTGTATTAATAGAAAACAGTTATTGTTAAATGAATAGTTATAGTGAATAAAAGTAAGATTTTGATAAGAGATAAATATGGAAATGATTAACAGCAGTTAACTAGATTAATTAATGTCAATTAAATATACTGAATTCACTGAAGCCTTTACATAAATCAGAACTCTTTTTTTTTTCATGAGAAATTCTTGTAATGGGTTGGAGTGTTTTTGTTAGACTTGATTGCTCCTTTCACTCAGCAACTCTGATCTTGTTGAGCAGTTGTGATAAGGCCAGCTGCATCTGAAATGAGCATGTATCAGTATTGTAACACCTTTAGGTCTATCACCCCTACAAAACCCTTGTCACTTTAGTTTAATTGCAAATTCCCTGGAGAGCCTCCTCTAATGACCCATTTACATTAAAGCTTTTAAATTAGATTTCAATCTTAATTTCACTTGAAATGTTACCCTGGAGTAATCATTCCATTATAAATCATTTTATTTGATTTTATGGAATCCCTCAATTACAAGAGAAGTATTGAAATAAAGTGCAGCTATATTGAGACAAGCAGAGAGACAAAAGCAGAGTCTGTTTGACTTTGGGAAAATGTTATCAGTCAGGGCAAATCTTAGTCATTTATAAGTCACACAATGTCTTACAGTACTGAACTGTGGGATATTTTGTACCAGAGATAATTGGAGTAGTCTGACAGTTTGAATGGATATTAAGGCTTTAAACTTGTGCAGGAAGCATAGAAGAATGCCAAGATCATTCCAGATCAAGGCAGGATGCTTATGTCCTTTCTGGACAAATTGCTGACCCCAAGAGGCCATCTTTAAGACAGAGTGGCATTTCAGAAATTACCTTCCTCTTTAAGTCTGTATTCAATTTATATATATATGTGCTATTGAGTTTCCTTTGATTGACAGCTCCTGTAGTACATATTATTTAGGCTTCACTCTCCGCATGGCAACTTTCCTATACACTTAACATGAGAACTTTCTCACAAGGTCTTTTTTACCTACTTTAGAATGGGTCAAGATGCTTTTTGTTATTTAAAACTATGCCACAATACATTCTTCAGTTAACAGATATAAAAAGGAAAAGAAGGAAAGACAGACAGGACTTTTAATATGGATAAGTAGTAAACAAGTGTTAGAATTGGAAGGGACTGCAAACACAAAAGTCCAACCACCAAATTTTAGAAGAGGTTGCTGAAACTTAGAGTTAAGTTACTTATTCCCTTTGGCTTCAGTAACAATTCTAATTACTAGCAGAGCAAGAAGCATTAACTAGGAACTTCAATGTATTTTTGCTCTATAATGTCAGTATTTCACTCTAACAATACAGACTTCTTTTAAAAATTTCAAAAGAGTTTCCTTAAATTCTCCGAAAAGAAATGAAATGACTGTAAACACCAGCTAACTATAAGTAAGGCGTTGTCATAGGATGCAGATTGTGTCATTTATAATTTTTTTTTCAAGATTTTCCTGTGTGGCCTGACACCAGGTTAATTTTTAAGTAAATGTGCTGCATGTACTTATAAGAATGTATATTGTCTATTTGTTGCATTCTGGGTTCTATTTGTTTATTCATTCATATATTCAGGAAACATTTAATATCTACTGTGTTCCAAGCACTCAACTAGGCAGTGGGGTGGGGACTATAACAGTGAACCAGAAAACAAAAAGTCCATGACTTCTGTCAGCTTGTTAATATCAGACTTTCTGTGGTCTTACTAATTTTTGTTCTTTTTGAGAACTGATTTTCTGAGAGACATGTGTTAATATATCCTGCTATGATTAGGGATATGTCATTGCTTAGAATTCTGTCAGTTTTTGCTTTAATTCCTTCAGCTAAGTTTTTAAGTGAAGACAAACATGATTGATATAGCTCATCAGTGAACTGCACATTTTATGTTTAGGAATGTCCCTGTCTTGATGATTTTTGCCATAATTTTATTTTATCTGATATTAATGTGTAGAGAACAGCTTTCCTTTGAGTTGTGTGAAATATCTTTTAACAATCCTCTGTGTTAAATTTTTGTGTTATTTTCTTTCTTTTAAACAACATACAGGCATTTTTCGTTGTTTTTCTATTTTATTTCAAGCTCCTAAGCACAGCATTTTGTCAGCTCCATTTTTGTTTCTGGTAATCTTTCTACTTTATGCACCCATTTTCCTCTTCTAGTCTGTGTTGAGGATTCCTTAGGTCTGGTGCACAAATATTGTCCTGAGATTTTTCTTTGGATGCCATATTTACTCCTAAATTTATTGTTTTATTTTGAGAATCTACATCTTCCAGTAGCTTCTTAAAAGAAACCATATAGGTAGTAAGTACATGATATTTTATATATTTGGAAATTTTCTTTTTTGGCTTCATTCATGTTTGATTGATAGTTTGGTTGGGTATAGAAATTATTTTCCCTTTGAGTTTTTAATTGCTCCCTTGTCTTCTAGCTCCCAGTGTTGTTCCTGAAAATCTAATGCCATCTGACTCCTACTTCTTTGTACTCAACTATGTTTTTATCTTTTTAGAAGGTATTAGTAGGGCAAACTTTCAAATGGAATAATTGGCTGGCTAGGGTGGGAGGGGGTTTTGTTGAACATACACATTTTCAACCAGTTCCCCTATTTTTAGCCCTTGCTTTATTCTCCTTCTACCATGTTACACTACATCATGTATTTTTATTTCTTGATGACTTTTAGGTTTCTGCCTCACCAATAAGCATGCTTTGCATTATATCATTATCCTAAATTTGTGTGGTAATGTTCTCCTCTGCACTGAGTCAATTATCATTATCATACCTCTCTTCTAACATTTGTTGATAACTTCTTGTTCTCTGTTGTGCCTTCTCCTACTCAATTTGTCTTTAAGGGTTTATATAATTTTATTTCTTTATTTTGATGGAATCTTAGGAAAGGTTGATGCTAAATCCACATGTTCATTATGCTATATTTAAATATTTAATCAGAAGTCCATTGGATATGTTCTAAGAATTTACTTTTATTACTGCTAAAATCTTGGCCAGAATATTTCTGTGAGTTGGGGAGGTTGGTTTGCGTGTGCATGTGTGTGGAGCAGAGGGGTTGGAATGTGTTTTTCCACATCGATCCAGTTTGGTGTATTTATTCTTTTATTTTTATTTCTTATCAAATCCTTCACAGAGGAAGAAACTGAGACTCAGGGATAATAAATCACTAACTGAAGACAACAAAATCATGTCAAGTTGCAGAGTCCATATCTGGCTCCAAAGCAAATGCGCAATACAAATTATATTTATGGGTAATGATTAATTACTTAAAATGACAACAAGTGTGTCTGTTAATAACGAATAGTTTCACCCACCAAAGGTCTGACTTGTGAAGTGTTATTGTTTATAATTTACTTACACTCAACTTTCCACCATCTATTGTTTGGATTCCCATCCTTTGTACTAAGATTTTTATAACAATAGATTTTGCCTTTTTGATTATGGACACAAGCATACATTATAGAGGGTAATTTATGATGAAGAGACAGTTAAATATGATCTAACTAGTTTACCGTGGCATGGTTCCACAATCATTCTACATAATTAACAATTAGAGACATCTGATGAAGTAATGTAGCAGTATAATAGAGAAGCATAGGTCAAACTCACTCAGAGAGCCACTTCCAGCCCATACTGCATCATGGAGACAACTAACAGCTTTCAGGTACTCATATTTTGCATATAATCTTAATTAATTCCTTCTGTGTCCTTTCCATTTTTTTTTTCCTTTTTTCTTTCTTCTTTCCTTTTTTCCTTTCTTTCTTCCCTTTCTTGGGAACTATTCCTTCAAAATTGTGTTCAGGGTAGGCAGGTAGCATCAAATAATTCAGAAGCTTTTGGGTCATTATAAGAACTTTACTATAAGCACTGTACCCAGAGAGTGAATACACGTTTGCCGAGTGAATAAATAAATTGATAGGTCATTGTATATTTATTGGCGCCTTCCATGATACATACAATGTGTTTGTTAGCTGCTGGGAAAATGTGAACAATCCACACAGTGGTTTGTTTTATTTCATCCCAGCCCATATTTTTTAAAACAAGTTACAATTCTTAACAAAGGTTATTTAGTGACTCAGGCTCTCAATACATATATTAACTAGAAACAAATGAATGTAAATATTATATTTTGACTTGGTCAAACAAAGTATTAGGTACTATAAATACATGACCTGAAGTGTTATGGCTATAGAGAATTCTGGGTCCTGCAGGAATGAAAAATGGACAAGGGTTAAACAATGAAATACTTACAGGGAGAAAATATATATAAGGTGCATGGCATGTGCCTAGGATGTGAGATCCTGCTCAATGTTACCCTACAGGGATAGTTAAGTTCAGGGTTGCCAGATCTGATATTCCAAAATAAACTAGAAATTCAGGGGTTTTGGTAAATTTCCTCAGTTTTTAAAGGTTGAAAACATAGCTGAACTGCTTAGTTGCAAATAACAGAGGCCTCTCTAGCAGGTATAAGAAGCAAAGGAATTTATTAAACAGTATAGATGGACACAGGCTCCAGGAAACCAGAAAATCCATCCTAGGATTATGCTGCCAACAACTACACCTACAACGTACTGCAGGGCTAGTCTAGTGAAGACGCTGCCGTTGCTACCTACGGGCATAGACACTGAGTCTCAACACCATTGATGCTGACTACCTTGCTGGAACTCTGCCACTGGCGTTGTTACCTGAATCAGACAGGTTTCCCTGCAGTGCCTATTTCTGAACTGAAGCCTCACTCTAGTGTATTTGATTGGGATAGTCCATATTCTTGCTTCACAGCAGCCTGGCAGGAAGTGTATCTGACTTCTATGTCAGAGAGATAAGTACTTATAAGGAGGAAAAACAAACAAACAAATAAGAAGTGTATTCAAAGGAAATGGGTGGCTAAAAGGTATGACACATTTCCTCGAAAACCACCAATTCAAATTTAAAAAGATAAACACCATGCTTGCCATCAAAACCAAACTTTGTGTGAATTTGCCTGTCAATCATTTGTTTGTGGTCTCTTGTCTAGTGTAGGAGTTTTCATTCTATATATAAAAGTAAAGTAATACTATTAATACATGAAAAAATAATTGAGACAGCTAGCATGTCCTTCAGAACAATGGCAGAGAGTAGACTTCCACAGCTCTAAGCTCATTATCTCAGTAGCTAGAGTCATTTTTAATCTACTCAGATCTGCCAGCAATATCATGTATAACATCATGGCTTGTCTCATATGTGCTTTATATAGTCTTATAACAAAACTATGCTGAAAGATAAATGAAATAATAACTTTCTGCCTAACTCAAATTTCTAAAATGTGGTGCTTACAGCTTAGAAAAGTTTTACTTGAGCAGAAAGAAAAGATGGAATTAATAAACTCAGAGAATAGATCCAAAGCATCCCTCATATATTCAATGACACCCTATTCTTTTCCTCCATCTCCCCTAGACTTTTCAGCAGTTGAGTTTTGAGCTCCACCCTTGCTTCATAGGAATCCTGAATGCATGTCTAGAAAAAAAGTCCTTTTTAAGAGCTCCTCTTTTGAACTATTGCCCAATAAATATGTCATTTTCTACATTATAAAATTAGTACATAGAAATTAATGTGTAGCCATCTTTTACTTATTTACTATAAATTATGTTACTGAAACATCATTGAGACCATGATTAAATTATCATGGCATGGTAAGTTGGCCTTTCCCATCTTGTGGTTGAACTACTCCTATGTCTACCCTGGAGGAAATTTAGGGTTTTCTATCTCCCAGAATTGAATGTTTCCTCTGTGTTTCAGACACTATCCTCATGCTTAGGGAGTAAATGAGTTTTGAAAAGAGAGCATCATATCATCATTGTGGTGTGGTTTCCTGGCCTCAAGACAAGAAAGCGATTACAACCTCTGAATAGTTCTAATGGTGGATTGTTCTTGAGGGCAAGTCTGAATACAGCTTGCTTTTTCTCTAGCCCTCAGTCTTTTACTCTAT
Organism: Homo sapiens; assembly: GCF_000001405.40. Taxonomy (NCBI): domain Eukaryota; kingdom Metazoa; phylum Chordata; class Mammalia; order Primates; family Hominidae; genus Homo; species Homo sapiens. The sequence continues at coordinate 55,940,689 of NC_000018.10, forward strand.
CCAAAATTCAAATAGAGAAAAGAGATGATTTGTTGTGAATTATTTTAGCAGTAGCAGTTAGCATCAGCTTTGGGAAAAACATTTCTTCAGATTTTGTGACATACATATCTCCTGTTGGTCTGATTTTTTTTTTCACTCATTAATAAATTCTTGGTTAAAAGTTCTGAAGTTTGACCCGCAATCTTGGTATCGTCGTCTTGATGAGTGGCTAGGACCATCAGGCTACACCCATCCTCTTCCCCAAATAGGAGAGCTGATTATGTACAACATAGGCTATCTGCAAATAATTATAACTACTACTCAAGATTTCCAAGAGTGTGTGCATTATGGAATTATCAGTTGGGTTGGCCAATTTTCACGAGGTGCATAGAACTAACATTACAAAGCCTCCCAATGTCATGCCATAATAGAAGCCAGATCTCTTGTGTCAAGAATACCTGACTAGAAAAAAGCACTGTTAACAGATAATTAACTGCCCCCCAAAACCCATCTCTTCTTCCTTTCAGAAGTAGAATTCCTTCAGTGCCTAGCTGGAGGAGTCATTTTTCAGCCTCTTTGCAGCTAGGTGTGTTCATGTGTCTAAAATAATTAGATGTGAGTGCAAGAGATTTGTATAACTTCTAGATAAAATCCATAAAAGGAATCTGCTTACTCTCTCCTTCCTCTTGCCACGAGCTGGAAGTGGTACTAATGAGCTGGCTTTAATCATCAAATGTGGAGATCGTCTGGATGGTATGGTGACAAGACAGAAGGAGTCTAGGTGCCTAGATGGCTTCATGGAGCAGAGTTGTCATACATGTCCTAGACCACATGTCTCTTCACTGCCCTGAGGGAGGGAAATGAATGTCTTATGTTATTTACACTTGGAACATTTTCTACCAAGGAGTTTGGTTTGTAGGTTAATCAATACAGCATGGAATGTAAAAACAATTCTTTGTTTACTTTCCACTATTTTTTCAATTACTGGAAGACTGGATACTATGATAGAAAGATCATGACATATTAATGTTAAACAGATCTGATTTGACTCTAAGTCTTGCAACTTTTGGAGCTGTATGATCTTGAACACATTATTTAGTGTCCTTAAACCTCAGTTTCCTTATCTTTGAAGAGAGTATATTAATAGCTGTTTCATAGGGCTCTGGTGAGTTCAGCAATTTCTGCCACATAGTGGGTATACAATATATTCCAACTATTATGCTTGTATTATCTATTGGAATTAACCCTAAAACGTGACAATTGTATAGTGGTTGTACTTTATTAAAATAGTCTTTTCATTGAGAGACATACATTGGAACATTTACCGATGAAATTAAAAATAAACAACTATGGATTCACCATAATTGGTTTCTCAGCCTCCATTCTCTATCTTATCCAGTCTTACCTTCCTCCAGCCTCTAGATTTAGCTTCCTACATGTTGGTTTTAAGTTTTTAAAAATTGATTTGCTTGTTTTATTATTATTATGTTTTGGGACCTCTTTATAGACTCTGGATAAATGTCCATTATCAGATATGAGATTTGCAAATATTTTCTCTTAGTATGTGGCTTATATTTTCATTCTCTTAACAGTATCATTTGAGGAGTAGGCATTTTTAATTTTGATGAAGTCCAGTTGATTATCTTTTGCTTTTACATATTGTGTTTTTAGTGGGTGTCCAAGTAATCTATGCTTAACCTAAGGTTACAAAGATTTCATCTATATTTTCTTCTAGCAGTTTTATATTTTTAAGTTTTATATTTCTGTGATCCATTTAAGAGTTCATTTTTACATATGATACATATACATATTCAATTTTTACAGCACCATTTGTTGAAATACCATTCTTTCTCCACTGAAATGTCTTTGCACCTTTGTGAAAAATTAATTGACAGCAGATTTGTGGATCTATTTCTGTGCTCTCTGTTCTGTTCCATTGATCCACTTATGTATATTTATGGCAATTCCACTCTGTCTTGAGAACAGTAGCTTTATAATAAGACTTGAAATGAAGTAGTGTAAGTCCTCCAACTTTATTCTTCTTTTTAAAAGTTGTTTTGGCTATTCTAAGGCTTTTGCATTTCCATATGGATTATAGAATCAGCTTTTCAATTTCTGTAAAAAGTCTGCTGTAATTATGATTTGAATTACATTGAATCTATTGATCAAACTGGGGAGAATTGAAATCTTAATATTTAGTCTGCATTTACAGGGCAATGGTACATCACTCTATTTATTTAGGTTATCTTTTTTTCTCCCAAAATGTTTTTGCAGTTTTGGTGTACAATTCTTACACATCACTTATCAGATATACCCCTAAGTATTTCAGGTTTTTGATGCTATTGTAAATGCTATTTTAAAAATTTTATTTTCTGATTTGTAGTATATAGAAACCCAATTTAATTTTGCATTTGTATCTTGTAGTCTATAACCTTGCTAAATTCATATATTAGTTCTAGTAGCTTTCTTATAGATTCTACAGTGTTTTCTATAGAAATGATCACATAATCTATGAATAAAGACAGTTGTCTCCTGGCAATCTGGATTCCTTTTATTTCTTTTTATTGCATGAATGCACTGAGTAGGCCTCTAGCATAATATTAAATAGAAGTGATGAGAGAGGACATCTTTGTCATGCTCCTGATCTTTGGGGAAGTATTCAGTTGTTCAACATCAACTATGTTGTTAGCCATATGGTTTTCACAGATACTCTGTTAGATTGAGAAAGTTCACTACTGTATTAGGACATTTTTGTGTCACGTATATAAAAACATACCTGAGAATGGGTAATTTATAAACAAAAGAGGCTTAATTGGCTCATGGTTCTGCAGGCTGTACAGGAAGCATGATGCTGGCATCTGCTTGGTCTCTGGTGAGTCCATAACAATGCCTTTAAATAAATTTTTTTATTTCATTAAAATTATTGAACTTCTTAGCATAAACTTAATCATAATATTCCTTTATTATTTTTTAAATATCTGTCAAACCTGTAGTGGTGTCACCTCATTCCAGATATTTGCAATTTGTATCTTTTACACTTTTTTCCTCATCAATCTGGGTACAGGTTTCTCAATTACATTGACCTCAAAGAACAGATGCTGATTTTATTGATATACTCTGTTTCCTATTTCACTGATTTCTGTTCTGATCTTTATTGTTTCCTCTTCTTTTTCTTGTCTTGTTTTGGGTCTTACTTGGTCTTTTTCCCCCCAGTCTATTAATGGTCTTAATAAAAAGTAAGGTCTTTGATTTGACATGCTCCTTCTTCTTTAATATAGGTGTTATATTGCTGTACATTTTCCTCTAACTACTGCTTTAGTGGCATCCTACAAATACTGATATGTTTTGTTTCCATTTTTATTCAGTTGAAAATACTTTTGAATTTCTCTTTTGATTTACTCTTCATTGATGAGTTTTTAAAAATGTTTTACTTAGTTTTTATATTTTGGGGGATTTTACAGATACCTTTCTGTTGTTAATTTCTGAATTAGGTCCATTTTGGTCAGAAAACGTACATTGTATTACTTACAGTTTTAAAATTTACTAAGCCTTTATAAATGGCTCAAAGTGTGGTTTATTTTGGTAAATGTTCTATCTGCATTTGAAAAGTGTCTTTGCTGTTGTTGAATGGTACATTTTATATATGTCTATTAAATCAAATTAGTTAATAGTATTGTTCAAGTCTCCTATATTCTTAGTGATATTCTGTCTATATTTTCTTTCAATTAATGGGAGAGGGGTGTTCAAAACTCCAAATGTAATTGTGGATTTGTCAAAATCTCATTGAAGTTCTGTCTGTTTTTGCTTCATGTGTTTTGAATCTCTATTAGCGGGACATAAACATTTAGGACTGTATGTCTTCTTGATGACTTTACTGCTATTTCCTTATGAAATGACCATCTTTGTCTCTTTTAGTAATATTTCCTCTGAAATCTATTTAGCCAGATAATAATATAGGCACTCCATATTTCTTTACTTTTGATTAGTGTTAGCATAGTCTATATATTTTAATCCTTCTACTTTTAACCTAGTTAAGTCTTTATATTTAAAGCTTAGCTCCTTTAGGCAACATATGGTTGGGTCTTGCTTTTTATATCCAATGAGAAAAATATCTGCTTTTTGGTTGGTGGGGTTATACTACTTACATATAAAGGAGTTTTTCTATTGTTGGGTTTAAAATTATCATCTTGCTACTTGTTTTCTATTTGTTTCAACTGACATTTGTTCTCTTTTTCTCTATTTTTCTGCTTGCTTGTGAATTGAGTATTTTGTGATTATTTTGTATCATTTATTAGTTTATTAGCTATAATTTGATAGGGATGTGCATGTGTGTCTATGTGTGTATTTAGTGGCTATGTTAGAATTTTTAGGGCTCTTATGTCTTCTATAGATCTAGTATCATTATTCTTCTGCCTGAAGTAATTCTTTTAACTATTTCACAGTTCTGGTCTTATAGTGATTAATTATTTTAGCTTTTGCATATTAGAATTGTTTTTTAACTACATTTTAAAGTTATTTCTTTGCAGGGCATAAAATTCCACATTGAGAGCTTTTTTCTCTCAGTACTTCAAAGATGTTGCTCTACTATCTTCCGGCTTTGCAATTATTTTCTAATAAGAAACCTGAAGCTGTTCTTATCTTTGTTTTTCTATACATAATGTGTGTCTTTTTTCTGGATGCTTTTAAGATATTTTAATCCCTGATTTTAAACAATTAGATTATGTGGTACTCAGGTGTAACTTCTCTTCAGGTTCTTGCACTTGCGTTAGGTGAATTTCTTGGATCAGGGGGTCTATAGTTTTCATCAAATTTGGGAAACTATTAGCCACACTTGTTAAAATATTTTTTCTGTTCCCTTCTCACTCATTGACCTTTTGGGGACTCCAAGTACATGTATATTATAATACTTAAGTTTGTCCCACAGGTCTCTGATGCTCTGTTCATTTTTTTCAGTCTTTTGTTCTTTATTTTATTTAATTTCCATGGCTGTGTCTTTGAGTTCCACCTCAAGGTCAGTGTGTTTTTATTCTGTTGTGTGGAAAGCAGTTGATCTATTTGTATGAAAAAGAAAATATTGTCTCCAGCTGATGCACATCTCCATCAGAGTGTTGCATGTAAGCAAAACACAGCACAAGCTGGATCTTATCCTCCCTCGCTCCTTCATCTACAAATCTATATAAGGTCAGACCCTATTTTGCAGTACAGAAACCACACAAGTTTATGTTGTGGCCCTGTATATCCTATAGTCCATGAATAAAACACTAGACCTAAGCAGTTGTGTGGGGAAGCCTTAGAATTTTTAGGGAAAAGACATTGGATTTTAAAGCATTAAACTGTTCCAAAGCCTGGAAAAAGAATGAAAACTTCAAATTGCTGTTATGAAATACACATATATTGATATCAAAGGCCCAAAATAAACCCATATATGCACATACACTGAAACTACCAATGATCTCACAAACAAATATTAATGCAAAATCCAAAATAAAAGACTAGCAATAGTACCTAGCAGGATACTAACAAAAAATATGCTCTGGGCAAATGAGGCTTATCTCAAGCATGCAAGGCTGGTTCAATATTACCAAATCTATTAATATAATTATAATAGATTAGAAGAGGAGAACTCTATGATCCTCCAAAAAAGATGCTGAAATGTATTTGATAAAATTCAACATTTATTCCTGACTAAAATAAACAAATGAACAAATTCAATAAAGTGAGAATAGATATCGCAGTAGCATGATAATCACACCCTCATGTATCTTAACCCTCAAACCAACATAATTTTTTTTTTTTTTTTTTGAGACAGAGTCTCGCTCTGTCGCCCAGGCTGGAATGCAGTGGCACCATCTCGGCTCACTGTAAGCTCTGTCTCCTCAGTTTACACCATTCTCCTGCCTCAGCCTCCTGAGTAGCTGGGACTACAGGCGCCCACCACCATGCTTAGCTAATTTTTTATATTTTTTATTAGAGACAGGGTTTCCCCATGTTAGCCAGGATGGTCTTGATCTCCTGACCTCGTGATCTGCCTGCCTCGGCCTCCCAAAGTGCTGGGATTACAGGCTTGAGCCACCATGCCCGGCCCCAACATCATTTTTTAATGATAAATCATTCCAGTGAAAGTCAGGGACAAGATAAAAATTCCCACTATAATCAATTATAGAACAATAAATTTGAGGTATAATAATTGGAATGAAGAAGATAAAGTCATTATATTTAGGATATATTGTTACATCCCTGGAAAACAATCACATGGAAAAATATTACCAGGAAAAGAAATCAGTAAGTTGATAAAACAAGAAAAAAATAGACTTTGTATACCTATAAGTAATGAACAGGAAATATTATGAAAGAAGAGTTGATTTCTAAAAGCTGGTTGATAAAAATTATTTATAAAATAAGTTTATTGCTAAGAATTGTAGGTTGCATTTCCAGTAGCAACAGAAATAATACAAATTTTTAAAATCAACTTAAAAAGAAATGAGCAAAAGATAACAAAGAGCTTCAGAGAGCTATGAAGAAACAAAAGAACGAGAAAAAGAAAAGCATGTTTTCTTGTAAGAAGACAATATTAAAATATGCTAATTTTCATAAATTAATCTGTGTATTTACCTCATTCTCAATAAGTTTATAAGCAAGAATTTGAAAGCATATTTAGTTTGAGAACTAAATATCACAAACTAAAGTTTATATAAGAAAAATGCATTGGCAAGAATAATCAGCAAAATTTTGAGGGAAAAAAAGAGTAATTAAGGAAGACTACATTTACCAATCATCAAATCATATTATAAAATTAAAGTGATTAAAATAGAATAGTAGTGACACTTGATACCAGTAAGCCTCCCTTATGGAGAAAAATAAAACGATATAAACTGCTAATGGGAGTATAGAAGCCTGTATCTTTCATGAGTGGAAATACAGCAAAATTGATCAAAATTGTCAAAGCATATAGCTTTTGTCCCAGCAAGTCTACTACCATATAGTTATTCTACAAATATATTTCCACAGGTTTAAATAATTTATAATCAATATATTTCACAGTATTTTTGAAAATAGCAATGGACTAGAAGCAATGAGAATTTCAGTGATGGTGAACTGGTTAAGTAGTTTATTGTAAATTCATGCAATGGAATCCTAAGTGCCCATTAAAAGCAATGATGCTATTCCATATGTAATCCTATAGCTAATACACATTGTTAAGTGAAAAAAAAATAGACATAAAACATTATATATAGCATGCTATCATTTTTGAAAAACAATGTAACTAGCATTGTTGTATATTGATATGTGAAGATTATCCCTAATACAGAAGAAAACAAGGAATAATTATTAACCTCTGGTGCAGGGAACTGGGTGGTCCAAGGACTTCAGCTGGAGATTAATTTATCACAGAATGTTTGTCTGCTTCTCTTGAATTTTGTATCATATACATGTGTCAGAGGTCTTTGAACCAGAGCAACTCCATCTTGAATAGGAGCTAGGTAAAATGCGACTGAGACCTACTGGGCTGTATTCCCAGATGGTTAAGGCATTCTAAGTCACAGGATGAGATAGGAAGTCGGCACAAAATACAGGCCATAAAGACCTTGCTGATAAAACAGATTGCAGTAAAGAAGCTAGCTAAAATCCACCAAAACCAAGAGAGCGACAAGAGTGACCTCTCTTGTCCTCACAGCTACACTCCCACCAGCACCATGACAGTTTACAAATGCCATGACAATGTCAGGAAGTTACCCTATATGGCCTGAAAAGGGGAGGCATGAATAATCCACCCCTTGTTTAGCATATCATCAAGAAATAAAAATAAAAATGGGTAACCCACAGCCCTCGGGGCTGCTCTGCTTATGGAGTAGCCATTCTTTATTCCTTTACTTTCTTAATAAACTTGCTTTCACTTTACTCTATGGACTCACCCTGAATTCTTTCTTGTGGGAGATCCAAGAACCCTCTCTTGGGGTCTGGATCGGGGCCTCTTTCCTGTAACATGTGCATTACCTAAGTTAAAAGAAATCATTATTTGATTAATAGACTAAAGAATAATGCACACAGTAGGCTAATTTATATTGTCCCTCATTTATTGTGTATTCTAGAATATTAGAAAGCAATGTTTATAAACAGCCTTGATATTTTCTTGATTTATTTTTAGTATAAATGATCTTGTCATGCTCTATTCTGGACACATGAGTTAACCTTCATTCTCCAAGGAGAATTTGAACTCTTGTTCCTTCCCATGACTCCACTAACCTTACTGAAGCTGCTTAACAGTGAGTTATGGAAATCAGCACTTTGGCTAGTTTTCCTTAGGACAGATAGATCTCACCTGGATCCTTATATGTAAATCAACGATCATTTAACAAAATATTTTTTAATCTTAAACCTGTACACTGTAATGTAAGGCAAATTTAAATCTCAGAGTATTTTTATAGTCATTCAATACTGATTTACGGTGTGTGCCTGTGGGATACCAGACTGTCCCCATTTGGAGTTGAGACCAGTGCGGCTTTTAGAGTAGGGTCTCTCCTGAGTTGGAACACAAAACCAAGAGGAGCCCAGTTCTCAGTGGAAGTCAGGGAACCGCCTCCTGCAGAATTAGAGGGAGGTCGATTTCCACAGCGGCAAAGTATAAAGAAAATTTTTTTGCTCCCCTGAGAGAAGCCCCCAAAAGGAAGTAATTCATGAAAAAGGTAATTACCAAGTAAATAGTAAACGTGCTACTTGGCCTGTAAGAAGAATTAAATATATTTACACTTCAAAAAGAAGCAATTAGTGGTAGTTGATTCACTAAGGAAAGTGCCAGACCAGGACAGAGGAAAGAGTGTAAATAGATGAAGACAGAGAGATTTATTATTAAATTAAAGTTCCTTAATTACTGCAAATGTTAAATATGCAGTTTTCTGACATTTAAATGATGCTTTTCACCAAAATGAAAATGAATTGTCCACCTTGGATTCCTACTTCTTAGGCAGCATGTAAATGTCAGTCCTAAATTAAAGTTAACTAGTTTCTGCTATACATTAAAAAAATAAATTAGAATCAATAAACCATTTTCTTAAAAAATTGAAGTCTTTAAAATGTTCTAGTCCAAACATTCAGTCAGTTCCCTAAAAGGAAGAAACTGTCAAAGTTTCCCTTAGGTTTAAGTGTAAGGGGAGACCTCTGTCTCCAAGGCATCATCTGCAAAGCCAAGAACAAACAGGGTGGCAAACCAGGAAGAGAACTCCAGACTCCCAGCTGTGGCCGGTGCCTTTTAAACCTACTCTCTCTTTCCTGGCCTTTCAATGTCCCCAAGTGATTGAAGATTTGTTCTGGTATTAGAAGCACATTTCTTTTTAGGATATAATAGAGCTACCTCTTATGAATGAACTACTGTGTGCTAAGAGCTTAATATATATGTCCTATTTCAGCCTCATAAGAGCCCTCCGAAGTAAGTTTTATGATCATTATTTGATACAACGCAGACAAAATGGCTGACTTTCAGAGGTCAAGAGCCTTAGAGAGAGCTGGGATTCCAACTTGGAACTCTCCGCCACAACATCATACTGCCACCATTACAATACAATGAAAAGAGAACAAAAATAATAAACTTAAAATTTTTTTTAACAATCTGCCCTGAATCATAACTTTAGAGAACACTACAGTCATGTTAAAATATTTCTGGCTGTATAGTCTCCTAACATATCCCAGAGATGCTGGAAGGTAGTCACTATGTGCCTTAGTTCCGGCTCAAGTAAAGGAGGAGAACACCCCTCATATTGTCTTATGCCCAATTTCTGCCTCCAAAGAAATTAGAAGTAGAAACTAAAAGGCAGGAATGGAATCCACAGGCAGATAGCCCAGCACCACGCCCTGAGCCTGGTAGTTAAAAACCCCTGACCTAACTGCTTGTGTTATCTATAGATTTCAGACATTGTATGGAAAAGCATCGTGAAAATCCCTGTCCTCTTCTGTTCCGTTCTGATTACCAGTGCATGCAGCCCCCAGTCATGTACCCCCTGCTTGCTCAATCAATCATGACCCTCTCACATGGACCCCCTTAAGAGTTGTAAGCCCTTAAAATGGACAGGAATCACTTACTCGGGAGATCGGTGAGATGAGAGTATGCCGATTCTCCCAGCTGAATAAAGCCCTTTCCTTCTACAACTCTGTGTCTGACGGGTTCTTGTCTGTGGCTTGTCCTCCTACATTTCTTGGTTCCCTGACTGGGAAGAGAGGTGATTAGCAGAAGCCTGATGCAGCTCCTTAGGCGGCTTAGGCCTGCCTTATGGAGCATCCCTGCAGGAGACTCCGACCAGCCTGAGCAATGAGAATCCAAAGAGCACTCCCAGTTAGGCAATTGCCCCGGTGGAATGCCTCGCCAGAGCAGCGTGTGGCAGGCCCCCATGGAGGATCAATGCAATGGCTGAACACTGGGAAGGAACTGGCACTTGGAGTCCAGACATCTGAAACTTGGTAAGACTGGTCTTTGGAACTTGTCCACTCTGTTTGAGTGGAAGCGTGGCTTGATCACCCATGAAGTGCCTGTACCGGCACTTTGGTTTTTGTTTTTGACTTGACTTGGATTGCTTGAAACTTTGGTTTTGGTTTTGACCCAGCTTGGATTTCTTGATACTCTGATTTTGGTTTTGATTCTGGTTTGGTGTAAACTGTAAAAGTGTGTATGTGCTCTCTTTACTCGTTCTTTGTTTTGTGGTGTGCTTGTGGTGTGAGCATGGTGTTTTGTCTCGAGGAAACATGGGTTAGGCACAAAGTAAGCCCACCCCACTAGGAACTATGTGGAAAAATTTCAAAAAGGGATTTAAAGAAGACTATGGAGTTACTATGACACCAGGAAAACTTAGAACTTTGTGTGAGATAGACTGGCCAGCATTAGAGGTGGGTTGGTCATCAGAAGGAAGCCTGGACAGGTCCCTTGTCTCGAAGGTATGGCACAGGGTAACCTGTAAGCCAGGGCACCCAGATCAGTTCTTGTATATAGATTCTTGGTTACAGCTAGTTTTACATCCCCCACAGTGGTTAAGAGGACAGGCAGCAGCAGTAGTAGAAGCAAAGGGACAGTTAGTTAAGGAACGTTCTCGCTCCACCCGCCGAGGGAAGTCAGTGCCAAAAGTCCTGTCCGACCCAACACCAGAAGAATCATGGCAGGAATTGGTACCAGCAGTACTCCCTCCTTATCAAAAGGAAGGGCTCCCCACTCTCGAGGCCACAGCACCTCCACCTCCACCAGATATCCACACTCCTAGACCACCCAGAGTAGACAAAAGAGGAAGTGAAGCCACGGGAGAAACTCCTCCCTTGGCAGCTCACTTATGGCCCAAGACTGGAATCCAAATGCCCCTGAGAGAACAGGGATATACTGGGGTAGATGAGGAAGGACACATGGTGGAAAGGCGTGACTTTGTGTATCAACCTTTCACCTCTGCTGACCTCCTCAATTGGAAAAATAATACTCCATCTTACACTGAAAAGCCTCAAGCTTTAATTGACTTGCTCCAAACTATTATACAGACTCATAATCCTACTTGGGCTGATTGCCACCAGCTGCTGATGTATCTCTTTAATACAGATGAAAGGTGAAGGGTGCTCCAGGCAGCAACTAAGTGGCTAGAGGAGCACATCCCAGCCGATTACCAAAACCCCCAAGAATATATAAGAATTCAGCTGCCAGGAACAGATCCCCAGTGGGACTTGAACAAGGGACCAGACATGGAGAGGCTAAGATGGTACCGTGAGGCATTGATAGAAGGTCTAAAGAAAGGGTCATAAAGGCTACAAAGGTAAATAAGGTCTCTGAGGTCATCCAAGGAAAAGAGGAGAGTCCAGCGCAATTCTATGAAAGGCTGTGTGAGGCTTACCATATGTACACTCCTTTTGATCCAGATAGCCCTGAAAATCAGTGCATGATTAACATGGCCTTAGTTAGTCAAAGCGCGGAAGATATCAGGAGAAAATTGCAGAAACAGGCTGGGTTTGCAGGTATGAATACCTCACAGTTACTGGAAATAGCCAATCAAGTGTTTGTGAATAGAGATGCAACAAGCCACAGAGAAAGCTGTAAGGAAGGTGAACGCCAGGCCAGGTGAAACACTGACTTACTGGCCACGGCCATTGGGGGAGTTCCCCCGAAAGGACAGGGAAAGAGTGGTTCTGGGAAGAATACGCAGTCTAATCACCCAAGCTTACAACGTAACCAATGCACCTATTGTAAGGAAACAGGACATTGGAAAGATAAGAGTCCCCAACTGAAGGAAAAGCAAGGTGATTCGGAGGAAAAGACCTCAGATAAAGATGAGGGAGCTTTGTTCAATCTGGTTGAAGGGCTATTAGACTGAAGGGGACTGGGCTGAAGCGCCCCCAAGGAGCCCACAATCGGGATTACAATTGGGGGCAAGGACATCAAGCTTTTGGTCGATACTGGTGCTGAACATTCAGTAGTGACCACCCCGGTTGCCCCCTTATCCAAGAAAACCATTGATATAATTGGAGCAACAACAGTTTCCACTAAGCAGGCTTTCTGTCTACCGTGGACCTGCTCGGTAGGGGGACATGAAATAGTTCACCGGTTCTTGTACATGCCTGACTGTCCCTTGCATTTGCTGGGAAGAGACTTGCTTAGCAAGCTGAGAACCACCATCTGCTTTACAAAACAGGGCTCTTTACAGCAAAAGTTACCAGGAACAGGAGTTATCATGGCCCTTATGGTCCCCCGGGAAGAAGAACGGAGACTTTTTCTAACCGAGCCAGGCCAAGAGATAAAATCAGCTCTAGCTAAGTGATGGCCCTGAGTATGGGAGGAGGATAATCCTCTGGGACTGGCAGTCAACCAAGCCCCCGTACTCAGAAGTTAAGCCGGGGGCCCAGCCAATTAGACAAAAGCAGTATCCAGTTCCCAGAGAAGCTCTCGAAGGAATTCAGGTTCATCTCAAGGCGCTTGAAGCCTTTGGAATTATAGTTCCTTGCCAGTCTCCACTGAACACCCCCATCCTGCCTGTCCCTAAGCCAGGGACCAAGGACTACCGGCCAGTAGCCAGTAGAGGACTTGCGCTTGGCCAACCAAGCTACAGTGACTCTACACCCAAAAGTTCCTAACCCTTACACATTGTTAGGGCTGCTGCTGGCTGAGGACAGCTGGTTTACCTGCCTGGACTTTAAAGATGCCTTCTTTAGCATCAGACTAGCTCCTGAGACCCAGAAGCTGTTTGCCTTTCAGTGGGAAGATCCGGAGTCAGGTGTCACTACTCAGCACATTTGGACCCGGCTTCCCCAAGGGTTCAAGAACTCCCCTACTATCTTCAGGGAGGCCCTGGCTCGAGACCTGCAAAAGTTTCCTGCTAAAGACCTAGGCTGCGTCTTGCTCCTGTATGTGGATGACCTTCTGCTGGGACACTCCACGGCAGTCAGGTATGCCAAAGGGACGGATGCCCTGCTTCGGCACCTGGAAGACTGTGGGTATAAGGTGTCCAAGTAGAAATCTCAGATCTGCAGACAGCAGGTACGCTACCTGGGATTCACTATTCTGAAAGGGAAGTGCAGCCTGGGGTCAGAAAGAAAGCAAGTCATCTGCAGCCTACTGGAACCTAAAACCAGAAGGCAAGTAAGGGAATTCCTAGGAGCTATGGGGTTTTGCAGATTATGGATTCCAAACTTTGCAGTACTAGCCAAACCTTTGTACAGGGTTACAAAGGGGGGCGACTGGGAGCCTTTTGAATGGGGGCCTCTACAACAGCAAGCCTTTTGTGAATTAAAGGAAAAACTTATGTCGGCTCCAGCCCTAGGACTACCAGATTTGACAAAGCCCTTTACACTCTATGTGTCAGAAAGAGAAAAAATGGCAGTTGGAGTTTTAACCCAGACTGTGGGGTCCTGGCCAAGGCCCGTGGCCTATCTCTCAAAACAAGATGGGGTTTCGAAAGGCTGGTGACCATGTCTAAGGGCCCTAGCAGCAATGGCCCTGTTAGCACAAGAAGCAGATAAACTAACCCTTGGGCAAAACCTGAATATAAAGACCCTCCATGGTGTGGTAACTTCGATGAATACCGAAGACCATCACTGGCTAACAAATGCTAGATTAACCAAGTACCAAAGCTTGCTATGTGAAAATCCCCGCATAACCATTGAAGTCTGTAACACCCTAAATCCCGCCACCCTGCTGCCAGTATCAGAGAGCCCGGTCGAGCATAACTGTGTAGAGGTGTTGGACTCAGTTTATTCTAGCAGACCTGACCTTTGGGACCAGCCATGGGCAACAGTAGACTGGGAGTTATACGTGGATGGGAGCAGTTTCATCAACCCACAAGGAGAAAGATGTGCAGGATATGTGGTGGTAACTTTGAATGCTGTCACTGAAGCCAAAGCATTGCCACAGGGCACTTCAGCCCAGAAGACTGAGCTCATTGCTTTAACTCACGCTCTAGAACTCAGTGAAGCACAACGCAAGGCAGGGCCCCACTGTTCCGCCAGGCCTACAAGCTTATGAAGATGATCCTTTTGAGGATCTTCAGGTGGATTTCACAGAAATGCCAAAATGTGGAGGTGATCGCGTGTGGATCAAGGACTGGAACATAGCCCCTTTGCGGCCACAGTGGAAAGGACCTCAGACCGTCACCCTGACCACCCCCAAGCTGTAAAGATAGAAGGAATCCCAGCCTGGATCCACCACAGCCGTGTGAAACCTGCAACTGCTGAAACCTGGGAGGCAAAACCGAGCCTGGACAATCCCTGCAAAGTGACTCTGAGGAGGATGACAAGCCCTGCTCCAGTCACACCCGGAAGCTGACTGGTCTACGCACGGCCGAAGCATGAGGAGAATCATCGTGGGGCTCATTTTCCTTATAATTTGGACTTGTATAGTAAAAACTTCCGCTGATTTTCCCCGCATGGAGGACTGCTCTCAGTGTATACATCAGGTTACTGAAGTAGGGCAACAAGTTAAAACAATCTTGCTGTTCTATAGTTACTCTGAATGCCTAGGAACTTAAAAAGGAACAGTATGTATCCCAGGAAATGACCGGCCAGATGTGTGTTATGACCCCTCTGAGCCTGCCATGTCCACAGTTTTTAAAATAAGATTAAGGACTGCAGACTGTTGGGGACTCGTAGATGATACAAGTAAAGTATTAGCCAGAAAAGAAGAAAAAGGGGTGCCCAAACTCATAATCTTGAAATTTGATGCTTGTGCTGTCATTAATAGCAATAAGTTAGGAAGCGGATGTGGCTCCTTTGATTGGAAGAAAGGCTATAGGACCGAAAATAGGTACATTTGTCATGAATTAGGACTGTGTGGAAATAAACGTGGATACCGGTCTTGTGTCATTTGGGCCACTTGGATAAAAAATGAAAAGGATCCAGTCCACCTTCAGAAAGGAAAAAGTGGCCCTTCCTGTGCTAAGGGACAATGTAGCCCCTTAGAGCTAGTAATAACCAATCCCCTTGATCCTCGCTGGAAAAAAGGGGAGCATGTGACCTTAGGAATTGATGGGGCTGGACTGGATCCTCGAGTAAATATCTTAGTTCGAGGAGAAGTTTACAAATGCTCTCCTGAGCCAGTGTTTCAAACTTTCTATGATGAACTACATGTGCCAGTACCAGAAATTCCAGGAAAAACAAGAAATTAGTTTTTGCAATTAGCCGAGCATGTAGCCCAGTCTCTCAGTGTCACTTCATGTTATGTATGTGGAGGAACTGTAAAGGGAGATCAATGGCCATGGGAAGCCCGAGAATTAGTACCTACAGACTCAGTTCCTGGTGAATTCCTGGCTCAAAAGAATCAACCTGGTAATTTCTGGGTCCTAAAAGCCTTAATTATTGGACAATATTGCATAGCTAGAGAAGGAAAAGAATTCATTCACCGTGCTGAACGACTTAGTTGTCTGGGACAGAAACTGTATAATGGTACCAAAAAAACAGTCACTTGGTGGAGTTGAAATCACACAGAAAGGAATCCATATAGTACATTCCCAAAGTTGCAAACCGTGTGGACCCACCCAGAGTCCCACCGGGACTGGACAGCCCCCACTGGATTATACTGGATATGTGGGCATAGAGCTTATGCCAAATTAACCGACCAGTGGGCAGGTAGTTGTGTTATTAGCACTATTAAACCATCTTTCTTTCTACTGCCCATAAAAACAGGCGAACTCCTGGGCTTCCCTGTCTATGCTTCCCATGAAAAGAGAAGCATAGCTATAGGAAATTGGAAAGATGATGAATGGCCCCCTGAGATAATCCTACAATACTATGGGCCGGCTACTTGGGCACAAGATGGTTTGTGGGGATACCAGGCCCCCATTTACATGCTCAACCAAATCATACAGTTACAAGCTGTCTTAGAAATAATCACTAATAAAACTGGCAGAGCCTTGACTATTCTGGCCCAGCAAGAAACTTAGATGAGAAATGCTATCAAAATAGATTGGCTCTTGACTACTTGCTAGCAGCTGAAGGAGGGGTCTGTGGGAAATTTAACCTTACTAATTGCTCTCTACACATAGATGATTAAGGGCAAGTAGTTGAAGGCATAGTTAGAGATACGACAAAACTGGCACATGTACCCGTGCAAGTGTGGCATGGATTTGATCCTAGGGCCATGTTTAGAAAATGGTTCCCAGCGCTAGAAGGACTTAAAACTCTTATAATAGGAGTTATAATAGTAATAGAAACCTGCTTACTGCTCCCTTGTTTGCTACCTGTACTTCTTCAAATGATAAAAAGCTTCATCGCTACCTTAGTTCACCAAAACGCTTTAGCACAAGTGTACTATATGAATCACTATCGATCTGTCTTGCAAGAAGACATGGGCAATGAGGATGAAAGTGAGAACTCCCACTAATGAGTGAGGTTCTCAAAGGAGAGGAATAAGGGAGGAGACCACCCTTCATATTGTCTTATGCCCAATTTCTGCCTCCAAAAAAAGAAGAAGCAAAAACTAAAAGGCAGAAATGGAATCCACAGACAGATAGCCCAGCACTGCACCCTGAGCCTGGTAGTTAAAAATCAACCCCTGACCTAACTGCTGTGTTATCTATAGATTTCAGACATTGTATGGAAAAGCATCATGAAAATCCCTGTCCTGTTCTCTTCCTTTCTGATTACTGGTGCATGCGGCCCCCAGTCACGTACCCCCTGCTTGCTCAATCAATCACAACCCTCTCACGTGGACCCCCTTAGAGTTGTAAGCCCTTAAAATGGACAGGAATCTCTCACTCGGGGAGCTCGGTTTTTGGAGACGCGAGTCCACTGATTCTCCCAGCTGAATAAAGCCCTTTCCTTCTACAACTCGGTGCCTGAGGGGTTCTTGTCTGTGGCTCATCCTGCTACACAAATACCATAAACAAAGTGGCTTATAAATAATAAAAATGTATTTCTCACAGCTTTGGAGGCTGGAAGTCAGATATCAGGGTGGCAACATGGTCGGCTTCCATGGAGGAGCTTCTTTTGGGTTGCAGATGGCTCACTTATTGCTGTTCCCTCACAGTGCAAAGCTACAGAACTCTCTGGGGTCCCTATTACAAGGGCACGAGTTCCATTCATGAGGGCTGTACATTCTTGACCTAATTACCTCCCGAAGGCCCCAATTTCTAATACCATCACATGAGGGGCTAGGATTTCAACATGCGAATTTTGGGGGACACGAACATTCAGTTCATAGCACTATCCATAAAAAATTTCTTTTCTACTTAAATTTGACAAGGTTGGTTTCTGTTTTTTACTGCTGAGCACCCTGAAAGCATGGATCAGGTTCTCCACTTCCAGCTTAAATTGTTCCATGTCTTCACTGAATTCTTCAAGTACTTACAGCAATTCCACATACGTCCATTGAGTGCCAGGCATTGTGCTATGCACTATAAGGATCATCAACTCACTAACAGGAGTCTTTCCAACTGTTCTTCTCCTGAACTGTATATTAATGAAGAAGCACGTATACAGTGATAATATCTTTTGAAAACCCTGACTAATCCTTGCTCACCAGCATTCTTTTATTTCAAGACTTTATGGAGTCTTTTTATGTTAATATGCACTAGGAAGCTTAAAAAGAAAGATAATATGTAGGGATTTCAAAATGTATGTGACATGGAACTTCTTTTATGAGAATCTTTGTGTGAATAATATCTAATTAAAGATATTAGGAAATTCTGGAATAAAAATAAAAACTATAAATGAAAAAGAAGAAAGAATTTAAGAAAGTGTGATAGAGGCAACGGGAATTTAAACAGAAGTGGGGAAAGGGCAAAAGAGAGAAGGCCAGTGGGGAATGAGCTGAACTCTGAGAAGGCAGATTAGTAAAGTCAAAAGTTAAAAAAAAAATTTGTTTCAAATCATTATCACATGCAATAGGCAACAAAAATTCCCCAAATGAAATCTTACAAAGTATTCTTGGATCATAGCATATTGAAATCTCAATATGCCTCATTTTTAATATAATATTTAATAAAATAGAAGAAGTAGCTTAAAGTCACAGAATGGAGTCTCATATGCAAATCCACTTACCTCTGGAGTTTACAACCAAGAAAGTCTACAAAGTGCTGGTCATCATCAGAAACAAACTTACAAATCTTATCTTTGACATAGTGCATCTATAATTGCGATATCATAGGCTATTCTGACCTGTCTCCCTCAAGGAAGCAAGAAGAAGCTAGAGAGATTGAGAGAAGGTAATTAGAATTGTCAACAGCATATAGCAACTTTATATGAGACTTGAATAAAAAATATTTAGAGGAGAAAGAAAGTTTACATATTCATATTTATAAAACTCTTGCTATTGTAAGGGTGATGAGAATTTTCCCTTCCCCTTTAAAGGTTCAAATCTGCTGAAACGAACTCACAAGAGGCAGATTTAACAGGAGAAAAGGCATACAAATTTATTAACATGACGTGTATATGAGCCATGCAAAAAATGACACTCAACGAAGGGCCAGATGGCTGAAGCTTAGATAGCACCCTCTTCAGAGGCAAGAAGGAAATAGGGGAATATAGGCAATTTTGAGAGGTAGCACATGATTTTCAGGGGAATTGAGTGAGCACAGAGGACAGTCAATGAGCTGGGACAAAGTTCCTCTGAATTCTGGGGAGATGGCAATAGATAGTGGGAAGTTGAGGGACAAAACTTCACTGTGAACGAAGATTGTCTTATACAGATAAGTCTCCCAGGCAACCTCTTGAAGTTATCCTCAGAAGAATAAGTGAAAAGAATAGGTGTCTGGGTGTGATGACAACGTATGGTATCTTTTCTTCTCCAGTGGTTAACCTTTCTGGTTACGGAATGAAATTTCTAGAGAGGGGATTTTAGGACAATTGCATTTCTTTTGGAAGAAGTTTTCCTCCGTTAGATAAGGGAACTTCCAGAGAGAGCCGTTCCTGTGCTTGTTGTGGTGTAGGGGTTGGGGTTGTTGGAAGAGAAGGGAGACGGTTAGAAAGTCTCTAGTTTTGAGGCCACTTCTAAGGCCTTCCAATTTCACTTAAATCAAAAGTGCTCAGCATTCCAAATAACCATACTTTGGGGTATCATTCCGGGAACCCCAACACTGTATTCAAGGACCTGTGTTAAAATAAAATCCCGAAAATATGGAGAGTAGAACATCAGTTTTCACATTGAATCTTGGAATAGGAAACTAATTTTTTCCTCCTGTGTTTTTTTCTTGAAGC
The DNA here is from genome assembly GCF_000001405.40 of Homo sapiens. NCBI lineage: Eukaryota > Metazoa > Chordata > Mammalia > Primates > Hominidae > Homo > Homo sapiens. Next base: position 55,960,306 of record NC_000018.10, read on the forward strand.
TTCAAAAAATTGTTTTAGGGAAAATGAAAAGAAATTCTTATTTATACAAATCAATCTATGTAAAAAACTCATCTTTCTTAAGGATTTGTCAAAGTGTGTTTTATGGTGTTAATAATTCTTGAATAAAAAAAAGGATTCCATGATTCACTCATTTGGGATTATTTTTCAGTGACTTTGATATGCTACTGAGCTTCATGACTCTCTACAAGAGGATGATTCTAAATATTCCCAATGAATTATAAATTTTAGCTATTTAGATTCTGTTATGTATCACTGAAATCTAAGAGAAAAAATACATTTTTGAAACGTTTAACAGCTTATTGAGTGTCTTTCCACACACTCTCTCATTTAGTATCCTGACAACAAGCATATCAGGTAGATGTTATTAAACTATGGTCCAGAAATAGCTAGTTATTTTCTCAAGGTTGCATAGTTTGTAAGTGGAGAGGCCAGAACCTAATCCTAGGACTTTTGACTGCATATTTTGTATTCTTTTCATTCCAATCACTCTTTATAAGGTTAAACAAGAGAACTCAGAGCCCTTAGGCTGGTTCAGAACCTGCCCTGAAATTTTCCATTGCTGCTCTTTATTGCAATCCCTTGATACCTGTCTAAGAGAGACCCAAATCATCCTGTGGTCGGTGTAGATACCCCTTTAGATCTGGTCTTAGGAATCACATAATACAGATTTTCATTCTCGGCTATACCTCAATTTGAACAGTTATACCAGAATTTGAACAATAAATGATGATTATTGAAGTGCTTAGTACATCGATGCATGCATGGGAGGAAACACAACTCTGCCTCTTTTTGTTGGGCTTAACAAAATTCAGAAATGACTTCCACAAAGCAAATTTCTCTCTTTTAACTTTCAAACCTGTGTGCACTTTAAAGGAAATTTAATCCACATGTTTCTAAGTCATTTGCACTTAATTTATCAAATGCTGTTTGGTAAAAGCTATTTGGTTTCCCAGAAGGCTTAGGGTACTTTTGTTTATAGGATTTAAAAGCCCTCCTTTCCTTAGAAGTCTCATTTTGTAAGGTTCTCCACTGTACGTAAGCCACAAATGACCCAAACTCAGGATCCCTAATCCTGGATTTCCTAGGAAACATCTTTCGATGATTCTTTAAAGTCACTCTGCTTGGCTTCCATACTAATGTCACAGAGGTGGAACTGTATCCTTCCACTTAGATTTGTCATTTTTGCTGTGGATGCAGACAATCACAGGTAAAGCTAGGCCTTCTCGCCTTTGCAGGATTAACTGAAAAACATCTTATCCTTGAAATCAAGTCTCCATTTCTTCAACATTCTTCCTAATTTTCTTTCCAAAGTTTTCTGGAAAATCTAGTCATGCCAGCAGCCAATATGACTGGCTATTGATGTATCATTCTTGCTTTTGACCCTAGAACAAAATAGCATAAAAAGAAGAAAGAAAAAGAAAACCAGTGGTTTTGCTGCTTAAGAGAAAAATAACAACAGAATTTCTTGTTAGAAAATTGAGAGTTTAATGCCTTTCATAATTTAGCATGTTCAAAAAGCCTAGGGCAAAATGCCTCAGGATGTAGCAGTATTAATAATTATGTGCAAATTTATAAATTTAAGTTAAATTGCTGGTATAATATGCTAATAATTAAGAAAGAGTCTTTCTATAGCATTTTTGTAAGGTCCTTTGCCAAAATTATTTAGACAATTCTTTAAGATTATAATAATTAGCATTAATTGATCAATGCTAGCATTAATTAATATTATCATTAATAAAAACTAATATTTATTAGCTATTTGCCAATGTATCAGAAACTTCAGTATCTTATTATGGTCTCACAGTTATTCTATGAGATAGATGGTATTACGAAGACCATGCATTTATGTGGCCAGAAATTCCACTGGGAATGCCTGGTGTGGATCTTTTGCAGACAGATAGCTTACTATCTTCATTAAGAACAAAAGGCTTTTGGTAAAAGAATAAGCTTCAAGCTTAGATGTTATTCATCCAAGGCATTAAAATTGTTAGAATGGTTCAACTAGAGGAATTGTTGATGGATTTCTCAAGGTATTTGCTGAAGATTAGAAAAATCTACAGCAGGGAAACAGGCTAGAAATAGAACTTTCCTTCTAAGAAAAAATGGTGAAATAGCTTCAATAAACAATGGTTCTCAAGTTAGCTTTAAGCACACCTTGATCATTAATTAATCCATTTTCTGTGGTGAACTCAGACCCCTTCCAATTCTCTCTCCTTTCCCCCAAACCCTACATTCTAGTTGCTGAGGAAAAGAGATCCTCCTTGCTCAGCCAATGTGCCAACTTGTTTTGAATGAAGTATGCAAGCCAAGGGGAGGAGTAGATTTGCAGGGATAATAGAATACAAAATTTTAGATAGTATAGGGAAAGTAAGGTGGTAAAAGATGAGAAATAGGGCAAGAACACCAACTTTGGTGGGATGGACAGAAACATCTAATCAGGAATAAGAATTTTATTTCCTGAGGAGTGTTAAGTAAAACATTGTCCAATATCTTGTGGAGTTGGGGCTTTAGAGTGCCCTCACGCCTTAAATTCTGCTTTAAGCCAGGTGCAGGATAAGAACAGAGGTTGGTCAAATTGTGCCATATATACAGAAATTATTAATTCATTCAACACATTTATCAAGTACCTTTCTGTACCGTGGTCTGTGCTAGATACTAGGGATACTATGTGAATAAAAACATTTCTCCTGTTCCCAAGAAATTCAGTCTTGTGAGGGACATGGGCACATAAATAGGCAAATCTGATATAGCATGAGAAGGGTTAAGAGGTAAATAAACATAGGTTGCTTGAGAAAAGGAGAGGAAAATGCTATTCCCATAAGAACATGTGTAGATGGAAGAAATGTGAGCTTCAGTGGCAGAAAGGTGAGAAAGATTTTGCACCCCTACATGGGAAAGCTCTCTAAAGACCAAGAGGTTCGTGATGGGTTTGGAGGCCTGGGGTGACTGAACTTTTAAAATTGAAGAATTAGAAAAACAATTAGGAATATATATGAGAGTTGCCACCAGCCCAAGAAGAGGACATAGCTGACATGTGCACAAAATTGCACTCTTTTCTAACACTTTTTAGCAGCCATTAGCAAGCATAGAATAGGTTTGTACAACGATGCCCCCCTCCCCACCACTGTTGGTTAAAGAGTGCATTTACTAGGGAGGAATTTTCCCTGTCCCAAGAGGGTATGTGGCTAGATTAGGCCACAGGATAAGGCTTGGAAGGACTGGTTTGTTTTCCTTGTATTTTCTCACAGTGGTGACAGAACTAAAATTGGCCCCATTAAAGAAGAGACCTGAAAGCCCGCTTGTCTCCTCCTTGGCCTAGAACCGAAAACAATAAAATCGCATAATTCAACACTGACCAGGAACAAAAATACCTACTCTTAGGGTTAGTGAGGACTTTCATCACTCCTTGACTTTGTGTGTTGCTGATGAATGAGGCCACCACAGATACCTGGCATGAAGAGTCGGGCAGATTCATATTTTTGAGCTAAAAGCATAACTGTGGCAGCATTTTTTCTTTCTTTGAAAATGTTCAAAGCACCTTTTTGTTGTTGTTGTTGTTAGATGCATTGCATAAGGCCACAAGGCAGCACAACTCCATGAAAACGAGTCTGAGAAGAGGCCATTTATGCTCTGCAGGCACACAAATCAGCCTGTCATCAACACAACATTGCCCCTGACTCCCCAAGCCTGAGAGACAAAACGTTCTGTAATTGGAGATTGCTTTGAATTCGTTTTAATTTGATTAGTAATATCCCGGAAGGCTACCTTAGCATACAGAGATTATGGACAATTAATGCTGTGATCAATTAGATCTAAATTGTTAGTCCATTAAGAGGAACTAACAAGAACTCTGATTTTCAAAGACTTTTCTCCTAATCCTCTTGCCCTAGCACTCCTTATAATGACAGATAAAAGCTCTTCTATTACTCCCATATTATGCCACAAATTTAGACAAATCCATTTGTTTTTGTTATTTAGGAACATGCAACCAGATATCCCAGGTCCAAAGAACATCGAAAAAATCTTTGCAAATGCCACACACTTTCTTTTTATCACCATCATAAAATCAATAAAAATAACCATCAGAATGGCTTTAGCAATCCAGAATATGCAGACCATGTGTGCAGTACAATGACCTATTGTCTCTGGATAAATTAGGTACAAATATCCTCAGATTAGTTTGTAAAAGCTTCAGAGCACTGTCTTCAAAAGGTGCTTGAACTTTAAAGATATGAAGTGAGAAAAAGCAATGTAGAAAAATCCTGACTTCAAAACCAGACTTTGGTCCTTTCTCTTTTTTTCTTTTTTAGTAATAAACTCAGAAGAGTTTTCTGTTAGAGGAATTTTCAGGAACACATTTTAGTTGGCCTCTGTTTATGTCTTTCGTCTTTATCCAGGGCAAAAATATCTCTCTTATATTTTCCAGCGAAATTCTCCCAACCCTCCAGACTTGGGTCACATGCTACTTTCTTCGAGAAGTTTTCCATGATCAACCCAGAAAACGGATGTCTAAACTCCATAGGCATTCATTCACTGGGCCCCTTGAAGTTATGTCGTGATATTTTTCTTTGTCTTAGTTCCCCTTCTCTTCTAGAGGGTAGGAAACACATTGTATACTATTTTCTACATTCTGCAGTATCTGGCATAGTATACTGAGCCCAGAAGGCACAAATAAACATTTGCCAAATTTATCAATGACTTACAAAATTCTTATTAGAAGTTTATTTTTATGGCCTTTAGAAGATCACATTATTTTCATCAATAAGATCAAATTGGAGTCTTAGTAAGATTTAAACTTGTGACCAGTGATACATCAACAAAGAAATGTGGTTGCTCACTTAAGAAGGTTACTGCAGGAAAGATTTTATACCCCATACTTAAAACGATGCTCTTTAAAGCTTTACTCAAGAATAGATGTTTAACACACTCTTGGTAGGAGTTGATATTTAGGAGAATTAACCTAAAACCTTTTGATAATTTTTGAAATCTTATTTTCAGAGAGCAAAGCCTATGAATGTTAACATTTTAAGTATATTTTATGTATAATAGAAAATAAAAATTCCAGGTAAGAGTTTATATTTGATTATGTGTCCTACAACTGAACAACAGTTATTTTGTTAAAAGCAAATGCACATAAATAAGTGCATTTGCAAACCTAACAGCAATGAGATTGAAGGTGATGGAAGAGGTTGTCTGGCTGTGGCTGTGATAACATCCAAAATTCCTTCTATCCAGGTTTAACATTATATCCCCATTTAACAGCAAATGGTCAATAGATGCTAACAATGATGATTTGAAATGAGGGAAGGGGGCCGCTGACAAGACAGATGTGAATAACAGCTTCAGACCAGGATCCCTGAGATTAGGATTTTCATTCTAACATCATCCCATTGGAATTTTTGTTTATAATATTTGCAAAAAAGTAATATTTCATTTTTTTGTTTGACATGTTTACATAAATCTAAGGGTCAGTTGTCATTGCAATACACAACAGGAGGCATACAAGAGGTGTCTTTGGTAAGCTCATGCAAGGAAGTTCCAAGGAAGGGGCAGAGGTTCAGAGGGAAAGATGTTCCAGAAGAGATAGGAAAAATAGAATTCTGTAGGGGCTGGAGGCCTGCATTCCATCCCTGCCTTTCCCATATCACGGAGTTTATATCACTTCATTTAAGACCTTGCAAATCTTTTAGCAGAAAGAGAAAACTTTTTTTTAAATGATGCCAAGAACATACAAAATGTGATTCTGCTCCTAAGCAAACCATAGACTTTGCATATCCTAAAAATAAGATTTCATAAATTATGAAATGAAGTTTTATGTAATTTTCTCTATTTTTATGTTGTCTTCTAAATATTACTCCTACCTAAGTGCGTATTGTTAAACCTTTATTCTTGATCACAACTTTAGAGAGTGTCATTGTCATTCTTTACTTTAGATGGGATAGTTCTCTAATTCCCAATCCTTTTAGAGAAACTAGGGGTAAAAAACTGCGCCAAAGTGCATGGCTAGTTACTACTTAGGCAATTATGTTGTTGCCTGACACTGGATTAAAAAGTCCTATAAAGATTCTTTCTGTCTGCAAATATTTCTGTATTGGTCAACCCAGGCAGAGGAGAAGCTGTTCCTCCAAGCCACCTTGATTTACACATTTTACATATGGCAGTATATTTGGATGTAATTCTCACAAGCAAGGGCATATAGTGCTATCACCACCATTTTAAAGATGAGAATGTAGAAGTTCAAGGAGCTGGAGCAGATCCCTTAGCTGGTTAATGCTAGGCTTGGGAAGGAACTCTAGTAAAGAGGACTTTAACTCCACACAGGGCACAAGAAGTTAATATTGTAGCTCCCTGATGGCACTGAATTTCATTAATTTGGTGTTAATATTTCCAGTGTGAAACATTCTAATGAAGTGTTTACTCAAGGACAGGAGGAGTAGGGTGGAGCCTCAACGTTCTATCCCTAACACCAGAAGAGTCAGAATTTCTTCTATTTAATTACTTGTGGGGCATCCTGCACTGTTGGGAATACAGATGTTATCTATGTAAGAAAAAACCAATTTGAGGAAATAAAAATGTTTCATTCTGGAAGTAATTATTTGCATTGCAGAAGGATTCTTAACGGATTTACATTGTTTCCTTTAAATAGTGAGTTACTTAAATGCATTTATAATATGATTAATCTACAAAAAGATCCGATTGACATAATTTTCAAATGGATCCATTTATTGATTGCTTTCAGAACATATATATTTCTGAAGACCAAGCAAACTGACCAAAGAATGATAGGAAGAAATTAGAGAATTTGAAACTCCTCTTTTGAAGGTAGTTTTCTCTTTTTTCTCAGGGCGGGGAAGTCCCTGAGCAGCCAAAGCACAGAGACCAGCCTTTGCTGGAACAAGACTCATAATGAAATATCCAAATCTCTCATCTTTAAAAGATCTACTTTATGTTATGTATTGGCAAAATTTTCCTCTCTAATATCTCCATCCTATCTCTTGTTCTGCACTAGGGAGCCAAAAAGACCATGTGGCCCTCTTCCCCAAATTATTCAAATACGCACATGAAGACAACTTAGACTCTTAAAAAATCATATCCATTTTGACTGTTTCTCATAGAATATGGTTTCCAAACTCTCCTCTCTATTACGTTTGTCCTTTTCTGGGCAATTCTATTCTAATTGATGAATGTATCCTCTTACATCTAGGGAACCAGAACTGAAAACAAATATAATAAATGTGTTCTGAAGAGCGCAGAGCATGATGTGGACACTACACTAGCATTAATAATGCAGCCCAAGGAAAGGGTTCTTTCAGCCTTAAGCCTGCACTCCAAGGCAAAGAAGTCACTGACCTTGACTTTTTTTTTTTTTCTTTCTTGTTGAGACAGAGACTCGCTCTGTCACCCAGGTTGGAGTGCCATGGCATGATCTCAGCTCACTGCAACTTCCGCTGCCCAGGTTCAAGCGATTATTGTGCCTCAGCTTCCCGAGTAGCTGGGACTACAGGTGCAGATCACCACGCTCTGCTAATTTTTTTTTGTATTTTTAGTAGAGACGGGATTTCACCATGTTGGCCAGGCTGGTCTCGAACTCCTGACCTCAGGTGATCCACCTGCCTTGGCCTCCCAAAGTGCTGGGATTACAGGCGTGAGCTACTGCGCCCGGCTGACTTTGACTTTTGATAGTGGTGAACCAGCATCTTGATATTCAGTCCACGTCTGCCAGTACCATTTTCAATGAGTGACTGTTATAAGACATTTCATTTTAAGGAATTTTCTTTTACATTTGGTCTTAATTCAGAAGAAAACAGAGGTCACAATAAATCAGCTCTGTGAATGTTTACGTGTATGTTGCAAAAGAGACATACGTGTTTCCCATATATGAGTCCTTAATTCATTGAGGGGAATAAAAGCTTGGGGGCATTTGCTGAGGGAGAGACCTTGGACTAAAGCACACACCAGTGGATCGTTTCCGAGTTGTTAAATGACGTGGAAATTCTGGTGAGGAGAGACTTCTGTTTACGATGAAGTTGGTCTGTGTAAAATGTGATTTCAAGATGGCTTTTTGGTGAAAACTTGCTGTTTCAAGCACCGGCTATTCACACTTTAAAATGTACCCTGTGCTAGGCATACATAGGCATATTCAATCACAAACAAGAACTTGAAAATTATGGCTTTTTAAAAATTACAGTGTCTCAGTAATCAATGTGAAGCACAGGAAATTAAAAACATGAAACATATCTAGGTGCTAAAGCTGTATCCAAAATTCTTAGCAAGCAGGGTGACCTGGGATTCCTTGGCAAATGACTTTAAAAAAAATTCTCATCAGACATTTTTAGTTCAATTCAATAAAAAGAGGGTGTGTGTATGGGAGTGGTGGGGGTGGTATGAATCACTCATTTGGTCAGTCATCATTCGTTTAAATCATAGGGAGTCAATAGTCACGGTCAGTTGTAGAACTATCTACTGCAAAGCAGAGACATAACACTAACCAAGCCCCATGAGTCACCTGCAGGAGTGAGCTCCCTGTGAAAAAATGGGATTCCATGGCTCACTTTCCTTGCTTCCTTTATTACCACTGCCCTGTACCCTCGCCTGCCCTTACTATTCAAGGTGGGCTCCTAAGTTTTGGGCCAAGGATAACATAAATGTGGCTCTTACATGGGCCATGGCAGACCTTGGGAGTCAGTCTTGACTGGTACTTGTTTCCATGGAGCCTGGATACAAGATCATGCCCACTCTTAACATGGGGTGCTAGGCAGCCAACATACAGAATCGATCCAGGAATTTGCCATTCTCATTCAGTCCCATTCAGATAACCCATCTCCTTTTAGTGTTCTTCCTTCCCCACCTTTACACTCTTTCAGGCAGACACTTCAAGATATCTTTATTTATCCTAGACCAGTGCATTCTGGTCAACTTCTATCCAAGGGCCTGAAGACTTGGTAAAACTAGGGTAATAGATGAAATATAAAGAAACAATGGGCAACCAGAGAACAAAGACAACACAAAGGAGTCTTAAACAATCCTCAATATCTTCTGTTATATCATTTCATATCTCAATAGCATGAGTTTTTATTGTCAGTGAGTTTGTTCAAGAAAACAAATAGTTGGAATAGGAAGCCCTGTTCCCATTCAGGATATGACTTTTTTGCACTTTGATAGAGTGAAAACCACTAAAGCATGGGTCATCTGTGCAGAACTGTCACCCTTCAGGTGCCGACATGATCAGTAACAGCAACATGATCAATAACAGTGAACCTTACTCAGAAGATGATGTCTTAGTTTAAAAAGTTAATCTTTTTTGTTTTTCTTTTTAATTTTGATGAAGAATATTACCTTTAAAGTTCAGTCACTCTGTGCAATTCTTTCTTTCTTCTTTTTACTTTCCTTCACACCTTCCTGCCATCCCTCCCTCCCTCTCTCCCTCCTTTCCTTCCTTTTCCTATTTACTTGAGAATTTTCTCCCACTCATGAACATTTGGGAGAAGTTAAGCCAATTCAGGGATGACATTTCATGAAAATTACACCTAGTAAGACAAAACATGTTCCGTCTCTTTTTTGGATGCCTGCATTGAAACTAAGCAAATAAACACAGGTGGGAGGTGTCACTCATGCAACAGAACCAACTATACTCCAACATGTACCTCAATATAGCATAGCTATTATTTTCTAGACTGGAAAAGGCCCTGGGCATTTATCTTCACTGTCACCATTATCATTATAATGGTAGCTAAGGTGCTGAGGGCTGACCTGATACCAGGCACATTGTATGCATTACATTACTGAATCTCCAACAACCCTAAAAAGCATAAACTTTTCTAATGTCCATTTAGGTGATGGGGACACTAAGGGTTAGTACAGTTAAGAATCTCATTTAAATGTCACAGTGGTGAAGTGGTGAAGAGGAATTTTAAACCCAGGTCTTCTGGCTTCAGCTCCCTGTTTTAGGGCCTCCACAGAAACAGTAGTAGAAATAATTTCTCCTCCACCTCTGTTAAATAAGCCTTTGTCTACAAGTTCATTATTCCTACCTGTAAGAAATGAGGTACATAATGACATAAATGAATTAGTTCAAGTTCATGTGGCTCCAAATTGGAGGTGCAAACCATTATTGACAAACCACCAGCTAACCACCATCATTCTACATTTCCTGAGGAGTACAAAGGAAGTTACAACCTATCTTAAATCTCTGATGTGCAGGATGATAATTTTCCAGTAAACTAAATCCTGTTCCTATCGGATGATTTGAACATTTCTAACGATTATTACCAATGCCTCCAAACAACATGGACTGCAGCAGCCAATCAAAAGGCTCAGCTGGGTATTGCTTGACTTTTATTTCCAAAAGGTAACTTAGCAGAAACAGAGTAACTGTTCATTATTTTCTGTCATTTTTATATCATTTTTTTGCCATCCATATTGTGCAGTAATTGCAGGAAATTAAATTTGAATCTTGTGACACAAGCATGTTGTGAATATCATAAAAAACACACATGTTCATAAATGGTAAAAAAAGAAAGGTGATAAAAATTACATTTAGGAAACTTTTACAATCTTTCTGAACAATGGAAAAGAACATGTTTTAGGGTTCTTTGTTTAGGTTGAATTCTGAGCTGATGCACTTTTAGAAGGCAAAGTTTTGTGTTTGGTGGGCATGTTTGTATTTTTGCTGTTTTCATTGTTTTCCCTGAGGCCTTTTAAATGGTACACTATGAGCAAGGAGGCAACTGAAATCCCACACAAAGAAGTGGCTTGAGCAAAATTCCCACACATGTCCAGTAACTGCAGAGCCTGTACATGAAGCCATTTTTCATTTACTACATGGGGGTGAGAAAAGACAGAAAATCTTTGTATGTGCTTTGGATTCTGCTTGGCTATGACTCCTTTGTGGCACCTGCTGCTGCTGTCCTTGCTGCCTCTTTGTAGATGAGGTTACTTCCTATCTGATCCTTTTAGTGACATTGTGAAAACATTCATGAAGCTAAAACTTCACATCCCATTCTCTGGTTTGGCGTAGAGTTGGCCTCATCCCTTGACATGGTGGAAAAATAAGTGATTGGCTCCTGGACTTCGGTTTCATTGCTGTCATGAGTTTCATCTCAAATCCAACTTTGACATCAGATTTCTCTGGGTCTGTGATGGTTCTTGGGAGTTTCGAGCAATTTCCTTCTACATTTTTCTATGCTCTGGCAGAAAATGAATCCATGCTAACACAGTTGTAAAATTAAAACCACTATCTTTTATCAAATGGATGCCACCCAGAATTGACAAGTTTTGTTAAGCACCCAAGTCTCTCTACCAACTGGCCAAAATCCTTCACATTCCAACCATCCAGATGGTATTTATGGCCCAGCTCAATCTGAAGCTTTCCATGAAGGGTCTCTGACCACCTCAGTTCACAATAGCTCCTCTTTGAAGTACTTGATGATTTCAGGTTCACTGTTGAACACTAATTGCTAGGATCTTTTGTAAAATTTTCAGCTCTTTTTGAAAATTTTAGGTCTTTATCATCCCTGAAATCCTAAGAATGCTTAAATATTCTTTATCTTCATCCCAAACCAACCCAGATTTACCTTCCCAAACTAGTTCCACTGCCTTCCTTTTTTGTTATTATTATTATTTTCTGAGACGGAGTTTCACTCTTGTTGCCCAGGCTGGAGTGCAATGGTGTGATCTTTGCCCAGGCTGGAGGGCAATGGTGCGATCTCAGCTCACTGCAACCTCTGCCTCCCAGGTTCAAGCGATTCTTCTGCCTCAGCCTCCTGAGTAGCTGGGATTACAGGCACCCACCACCACGCCTGGCTAATTTTTTGTATTTTTAGTAGAGATGGGGTTTCACCACATTGGCCAGACTGGTCTTGAATTCCTGACCTCAGGTGATCAACCCTCCTCGGCCTCCCAAAGTGCTGGGATTACAGGCATGAGCCACCACGCTGGCCTGACTTCCTTATTTTGTTGCTGCTGTTACTACTGTTCTGAATACCAGGCTCAAAATTCTAAGGTCTGATTCCCTCTTTCTCTGTCAATCACCATACCTAATTAATTAGCAAGTTCTATGGATTGACAATTAAAACTTTTTTTTATTTGACTTATTTATTTGTATTTTAAAGACTTTGTCAAAGGAAATCTTATGTGGAAACCTAATAGATAAGAAAAGTCATTCTGAAAATAAGAGGCTGAACTGAGATCCTTGAACCCGCAACTGCAGCCCTTGAAGGAGCCCTCAGAATCCCTGAGGCTGAGCACTACTGGGGGGCGCTATAGCGTTGGGCCTGCATTATAGGGTTGACCTCTACATTTTCGGGAAACAGCATAGGATGGTAAAAAGAACACGGTGTGAATCAGAGTACCTGAATTGAGCCTTGATTTTTTCTATCTGTAAAATAAGATATCTTTTCTACTTATATCCTGGGGCTGTTATAAGGATCAAGTAAGGTTCTGTGTGTGAAAGCACATTGTGAACTGTCTAAGGCCATGCAGATTTAGGGAGCTGTGACCTCTTCTTCCGATCTCCTGGGCTCCATTCTCCTTTTCATCCTGCCCACTATCTAATCTAACTATTGTTTCCATATTGATCTTTCTAAAGCACATTTCTTTACATATCATTCCTTGGCTCAGAAATGTCCAGGGATCACCAGTGGCTACTAAATTAGAGAGCAAGTATCTTCGCTTAGTATGTAAGCCCTTTCACAGTGAGGTCAGACCTCTGCTTCCAGTATTAGCTGCCTTCATCCTTCCACATAAACCCAATGCTCTAGAAAGATTACTTCCTCGCTCCTTCAGTGCACCACCTTCTGTGCCATCCCTCAACTTCTGTTCTGGCTGTCCCATTTGGCATCACTCCTGAAATGCAATGTATGATTCAAGGTTCATCTTCAATACTTTATGCCCAATGAAGTCCTTCCTATTTCACCCCCTACTTTCCTATCCTCCAGATTACCAACAGGAAACAGGGTAAATTCTCATGGATTCCTGAAGTGTAGTATGTAGGTCAGTATAGATCAGGAATAAGAATGTATAAAATTTGCTTGTAAGAGCTTAATCAATTCTTAATACATTCTTGTTAAAATGAAGTGAAATATGTTTGGGAAAGCCACCTTTCTCACTCTCTCTTTTTTTAAGGATAGGTAGGCCTCTATCTGAAGGTATGCTTTCTCAGTTTATGATCTTTTCCTTCTTTCTGCTGAAAAATTGAAATGCAAGAGGATTCTGGCTTGGCAGGTGAGGCCTGCCACACTGGGGTCAGGAAGATCTTGTTTTCCTGAAAGCTTTTATTTCCTAAACTGGAAAGTATGGGTTTCTGTACACAAAAAGACTCTACTTATTTAAAAACACTTCACAATTATCAATATATAATTCAGATTTCAAAAAGAGAAATGCAGGCTGAATTGAAGAACACATTTAACAGAAAAAAAAATGTTACTTTCAGGTATAAAAGAAAAAGGGGCCATCTGCTACGTAGAGGTGCTTGTCAGTATTTACTATGGTGACTAAAAAATCTGTAGAAAATTCGTAATGAGACAGAGTAACTCAACTAGGCATTTAATTTCATTTATTTAACTATGTCATAGAGACCTTAAGTAACTTGTTTAAATAAATAGGCAATGATGGTTTTAAATGATCAAAGCTTTTTGCTCGTAATTATCTACTTACGTTAAGAGTAGTTTTTTAAAAATTAGCTTATATCCTTTCTTGTTGATATCCTTTGTACACTTTATACTTGTCTTTTTTATGAAGAAAAAATCAACTGTAAAGATAAATTTAGTCTAGTATCATTTGAGTGGTTTATCTTACCAATTAAAAAGTTTTGAATCAATAATGTTTTATGGAAGTACACCTGGAAACATGATATTACATGGAAACCCATCTGAAACTTTATGTTTTCCTTTGTCACTTAGATAGAGAAAAATTTTTACAGCACATTCACTCACTCAGGTAACCTTGGAGAACCAATGGTGAAGTAGAATATCCAAGGCATCATTGTCGAGATGGTCTGAAGGCTGGCATGCTCCATTGCCTCACAGGAAATTGACTATAGGTGCTGCTCGGGGAAGAGGCAAATTAAAAAATAATAAGAGAATTTCTTTTTCCGGCTAAGAAGGAATCAGGGATCAGGTTTACCCTACTGCCTCAAACAGTAAAAAACAAAGCAATGCAATATGAAAACCCTGACAAAATAGATAAAACAATGGTTTTCAAAACACTGGATAACAGACAATTAAAGACAGTTTAAAACAAATTAAATATGCCTGCTTTACAATTGCTTCAGAATACCTCCCTGAGAGAGTTTCTAGGTTTCAGCGCAGGAAGAGAACCCAAATAGAGCCTAGCAGTATCTCTAAGGTGAAGGAGGCAGAGCTGAGCAACCAAGGAGGGCAAGAGGTTTAGATTACACAGAGTAGAGTATGTGAAAGGAGAGAGCTGCACAGAGAAGTAACTCCAGAGCTCTTCAGAGGGCTCCCCCCTTAAATAGTCAGCTGAATGCTGATCAGACCTCGTGTGTGAGGAGGCTACTCAAGGCCTTGAAAAAGTTCTCCTGAAATGATTAGCGATAATGATACCCCACACTCATACAGAGTTCACAGTACTACTTGTTCTCATCAACCAGACTAGAGAGTCTCATGATTCACATGGTGCTGGGGGAAGAAACAGAGGGATCTTGCCTCAGTAGTTGAGAATAATTAACCTCAGAATTAATACTGCTAAAGTCCTGCCTAACAAATATTAGAAGACCAGAAAAAATGAAGTTGTTTCCAAATAACTTAAGTATGTTGCAGAACAAAACTCACAAATATTTATAGAAATACAAAAATTCAGTGCCTAAGAAGTAAATTTAATATGGCATTCAATCAAAAATCACTAGATAAACACACACACACAAATATAACCACTGATGAGGAGAAAAAAAATAAATTAATTGAAACAGAACCAAAACTGATGCAAACATTAAAATTAGCTAACAAGGACAGTAAAAGTTATTATAACTACATTCCGTAAGTTTACTAAGTAGACAAAAAGTTAACTAGAGACATAGATATTTGAACTTGTTCATGTACAAATGTCTGCATCACTATTAACAATGTCTGAAATGAAAAATACACTGAATCAGACCTTGCAGAAAAAAAAAAAGATTAGTGAACTTGAAGACATAGTGATAGAGAGTATTAAAATGAAAAGCAGAGAGAAGTCAGAATTTTTAAAAATGAACAGAGCATCAGTGAACTGTGGGAAAATTTTAAGTGACCTCATATAGATATAAATGGAAATCCCAAAGGGGGAAGACAAAATTATTAGAAAAAATAATGGCTGAAAGTTTTCCAAATTTGGTAAAAACTATTATCCTAAAGATCCAAGGAGCTCAATGAACCTCAAGCATAAGAAATACAGAAAAACAATACCAAAGCATATCACAATCAGATTGCTCAAAAACAGTGATAATGAGAAAAATCTAAAAGGCAGGCAGAAGGGGAGGAAAACACATCACATGCTGAAGAACAAAGATAAGAATGACAGCAGACTTCTCATCTAAAATAATACAACTGAAAAGATAAAGGGGAAAAATTCTCTCAAGTATTAAAAGAAAACAAATTGTCAACCTTGACTTCAATATCCAGTAAAAATATTTTTCAAATTTAAAGGTACACTAAATACATTTTAAACATATAAAAGCTGAAAGAATTAATCTACATCAGACCTGCACTAAAAGAAAGTCCTTCAGACAGAAAGAAAATGACACCAGATGCAAATATGGATCTAAACAAAGGAATGAGGAGCACTGGAAACAGCATCTACATTGGTAAATATATAAATGTTTTATAAATGGAAATATATCCCTTGCTCATGGATTAGAGGAATCAATATGAAAATGACCACATTCCCCAAGGCAATATAAACATTCGATGCAGTTATCAAAATACCAGTATCATTTTTCACAGAAAAAGAAAAAAAATCCTCAGATTTATATAAAACAAAACAAGAACCTGAATAGCCAAAGCAATTCTAGACAGAAACAATAAATATGGAGGCATCACATTATCTGACTTCGAATTATACTACAAGGCTATAGTTACCAAAACAGCATGGAATTGGTATAAAAGTAGATACACAGACCAGTAGAACAAAATATAGAATGCAGAAATAAAACCAAATACTTAAAACCAGCTGAACTTTGACAAAGCATACAAAAACATAAATTGAGGAAAGGACATCCTATTTGATAAATGGTGTTGGGAAAACTACAGAGCCACATGTAGAAGAATGAAACTGCATCCCTATCTTTCACTATATACAAAAATCAACTCAAGAGGGATCAAAGACTTAAATCTAAGATCTGAAACCATAAAAGTTCTAGAAGAAAACTTAGAAAAAACGCTTCTGGACATTGGCTGAAGTAAAGAATTTATGACTAAGACCATTAAAGCAAATGCAACAAAACCAAAACTTTATAAAATGGGAGCTAATTGAACTAAAAACTTTCTATATAGCAAAATAAATAACCACCAGAGTAAACAGACAAACTATAGAATGGGAGAAAATATTTGCAAGCTGTGTGTCTAACAAAGGACTAATACCTATTGTCTACAAGGAACTCAAACAAATCAGAAAGAAAATAAGAAACACAAATAATCCCATCAAAAAGTGGGCAAATGGCATAAATAGACATTTCTCAAAAGAAGATACCCAAATGGCCAAACATATGAAAATATATGATAAAATGCTCAACACCACTAATCATCAGGGAATGCAAACTAAAACCACAATGAGATCTTACCTTACCCCAGCCAGAGTTGTCGTTACTAAAAAGTCAAAAAACAACAGATGTTGGTGTGGATGTGCTGTAAAGGAAATGCTTATACACGGCTGGTGGGAATGTAAACTAGTACATCTTTCTTTCTTTCTTGAAACAGAATCTCTCTCTCACCCAATCGCCCAGGCTGGAGTGCAGTGGCATGATCTCGGCCCACTGCAACTTCCGCCTCCTGGGTTCAAGTAATTCTTCTGCCTCAGCCTCCTTAGTAGCTGGTACTACAGGCAAGTGCTACCACGCCCAGCTAATTTTTGTATTTTCAGTAGAGACAAGGTTTCACCATATTGGCCAGGCTGGTCTCAAACTCCTGACCTTGTCATCTGCCGGCCTCAGACTCCCAAAGTGCTGGAATTACAGGCGTGAGCCACCGCACTCAGCCCGGAGATTTCTTAAAGGACTAAAAGTAGATCTACCATTCAATCCAGCAATCCCACTACTGGGTTTCTACCCAAAGGAAAAGAAGTCATTATATCAAGAAGACTCCTGCATGCATATGTTTTTCACAGCAAAATTCACAATTGCAAAGATATGGAACCAACTTAAGTGCCCATCAACTGATGAGTGCATTAAAAAATGTAGTCTATATATGCTGTGGAATACTACCCAGCCATTAAAAATAATGAAATAATGTCTTTTGCAGCAACTTGGATGGAGTATGAAGTTGGAGGCCATTATTCTAAGAGAAGTAACTCAGGAATGGAAAACCAAATACCTAATGTTCTCACTTATACATGATGTGCTCACTTATAAGTAGGAGCTAAGCTATGTATACGCAAAGGCATTCCAAGTGGTATAATGGACTTTGGAGATTCAGAAGGGAGGAGGGTGGGAGGGAAAAGAAGGATTAAAAACTACACATTGGGTACAATGTACACTACTTGGGTGATGGGTGCACTAAAATTTCAGGCTTCACTATTATACAATTCATCCATGTAACCAAAAACCACTTGTACCACAAAAGCTATTGAAATACAAAATATATAAATATATAATATATGTGTTTTAGTTAATATTTAAATCACTTTAAATGATAAATGATTCAAGAAAAAATAATTTAGTGTGGGGTTATAACATATCTAAAAGTGAAAGTATGACAGCAGAAACACAAAGTTAGGGAAAGAATATGCTGATAAGAGTCTAGTATTATATGTGAAGTGGTATAATTTGAATATTTGAACTTGTATAATATAACTTGGTAAGTTAAAGATATATAGCAGATATTTAAACCCTAAAACAACCACTAAAATAACAAACAGTTATAGATAATAGGTCAACAAAGAATATAACAATAAATTATTTTTGAACAATACATTGTTTTGAAAAAATTTTTATGAAGAAAGAAGTCCCCCCCCCAAAAAAAACCCCAAAAAACAAGTGGGATAGATTTAAACTCAATCACATAAAGAATCATGTTAAACGAAATTGGTCTAAATACCTCAGTTAAAATGCAGAGGTTGTCCGGGCGTGGTGGTTCACACCTGTAATCCCAGCACTTTGGGAGGCTAGGCAGGCGGATCAGGAGGTCAGGAAATCGAGACTATCCTAGCTAACACGGTGAAACCCTGTCTCTACTAAAAATACAAAAACAAAATCAGCCAGGTATGGTGTCGGGTGCCTGTAGTCCCAGCTACTCGGGAGGCTGAGGCGGGAGAAAGGCGTGAACCCAGGAGGCAGAGCTTGCAGTGAGCCGAGATCACACCACTGCACTCCAGCCTGGGCAACAGAGTGAGACTCCATCTTGAAAAAAAAAATGCAGAAGTTGTAAAATTGCATTGAAAAAAAAATCCCAACTATATGCTGCCTATAAGAAAGGCGCTTTAAATATGAAGACACAAATAAGATAATAGTAAAAGGGAGGAAAATGATATACCATGCTAAGACTTATCAAAAGAAAGCTGGAATCTACTTATCTACTTACCAAAAGACAACATAGATTTCAGAGCAAAGAATTTTATTGGGATAATGATATTATTTTATTGTAATAGAAGGGCCAATTCCTCAAGAAGGTATAGCAACACATATATTCTGTGTGATGGTTAATTTTATGTGCCAACTTGACTGGGTCATAGAATGCCTAGATACCTGGTTAAACATTATTCCTGAGTGTGCCTGCGAGAGTGTTTTTAGAATAGATTAGTGTTTGTATTGGTGAACTTAGTAAAGCAGACGGCCTTCTCCAGTGGAGACGGGCCTCATTCAATCTGTTGAGAGCCGGGGTAGACTAAAAAGATGGAGAAAAGATGAATTTATGCTCACCTGACTGCTTGAGCTGGTACTTCTGGTTTTCAGGCCTTCAGACTAGGACATGAATCTACACCATGAGCTCAGTGGCTCTTAGGCTGCCTTCAAACTATACCACCTTTCCTGACCCTCCAGCTTGCAGACAGAAGTTTGGGCTTGGTTTCTCTGGAAAACCCTGACTATCACCTTATGTGATAGAATAATTTCTGTCAGTCTGAGGTCCTCTGTTTCCTGCTACCATATCTAAGCTGTTGATGCTTATACAGTACCAATGCATACTGTGTCAGATCCTTGGATCTTCAATGTTGACTGTGCATCTAGGAACCTACCACTTTATATGGTCCTTGTTTCTCTGTTTATGCAGGTTGCTTGTAAGAAGAAAGAGTTCCTCTTTCTTCCTATTTGCCTATACCCTTTAAAGCAAGGATTTCTTGGCACTATTTCTGTGCCATACTCAGGGGCATGGAAATTATGCCACTCTTAAGCACAAAGTAGGACAAAAAATGTTGTTGTCTACAGGCCTATTAGCCAAAATCCACTAACCATTTCTTCTTTATGATTTGTCCCCTCTTCAGAAGTCTACCATGGGCACAGAGATCAGGTTCCCAAGCTCTCAGAGATCACACACTTTAGTCTTCACCTCTCCAGGGTCCTTCATGGAAAGCTACCCTAAACAGTGCTCACCCATGTTTTACTCTCATCATTTTCTTCTCTTTTGATCTTCTACATTTTCCTACCTGGGGAATTTTTTTAAGAAAGAAAGAAAAAGAGAGACACACAGAGAGAGAGAGAGAGAGAGAGAGAGAGATTGTATGTGTCCATGTGTTGAGAGGTGGCATAGTTGTTCTCAAATGTTTTCTCTATGCCTCTTGATTCCCTGTTGCTTTTGAAACACAAAGATAAAATGTGCATCCTTTCTTATTTTATTTTATCTTTTTTTTTTGCTTTTTACTCTGTTATATCCTACCTTGAGATAATGGGGAAAAAATCTAGTGTCTTGAATAGAAGATGAGAAAGGAAAACTAGAAAGACCATGAGAATGACATAATAATGTAAAAAAAAAAAGATACATATACATGGACTATTCCTATTTCTTCATTTGATGGCCATCATAAAAATGAATATTTTATAATGGCAGTCTCATCAGATATATTTTAAAGATCCCAACCATTGCAAACATACATCTCAAGATAAAAAATATGATTTAATGGGAAATCGGAACTAAATGACACCAAGAAGTAACTGGGCAGGTGGATGCTGTGTTGGAAACTCTCTCACATACTGCTGCCACCTTCTCCAACCACAACATTCTAAAATATACATCAACACAAGGCCTTCAAAAGTTGGCAGACTATTGTAAGGCAAGTTACTCAGAAATAAATATAGATATACTTTTAAAAGGTTTCATATGCCTTTTTGCATTATTCCAAAAATGTGTAAATTAATTCTACATAAAATAAGAGGTGGAAATATACATAAAAGGTTAAATAACAGCACCAGGAAGAATATGATGAAATGCTAAGTGAATGATACAGACCATTTTTCTCAAATGGGAGCGCAGAAAACCCTGAGCATCCACAACTTCTTTAAGAAATGTAGAATTTTGTTTAACTATTTCGGTACCTGATTTTTAATTTAAGTTTACAAATGCATGTATGATTATAAATGCATCTTCCAAGTAAAGGTCAACTGACAGCACAACTTACTGTATAAATGCAGATTTCACAGAAGTCCAAATGGAGAAACCTAAAGGTAGAATTGAGTCATAAAATATACATGATAATATTGTCATGGAGACTCAAAAGGCTTTGCATGGCAGGATTATATCTTCACCACAACCATAAGCATTCAAGGAAGTCCCATTCTGACTCTAGGTGTCATTGGATTAGTTACCCATTTAATGCAGGTTTCTATAACACTATCATGTGATCCTTATTTCCAAGTGAACAAGTCAGCATTCCAGAGAGATCAAAGGACATTGCATTAAAGTTGAGTTGTTAAGTAATGGACTTGATTATCTTAATTATCAAATAAAGCCTTGATGTTACCAATGCCAGTTTCATTGCTTGTAGTTAATAGGCATTCTCTGTATAAATAGTATTAAAGTTACACCACAAAAGCAGGTTTAAGTTATAAGTAAGGCTATATTTCTTCCATGATTAAGCCCAATATTACAGGTTTAGTTTCTGCAAAACAGTGTAATCTATCCCGTTTAAAATTCACACTGTCAAATTGAATTTTATTGGTTTTGTGGTTTCGGTGATATAATTGTATTAATACTAAACACACAAAGATAAATGTGCTAATACTTGTAGAGTACTTGGTACAGTCCCTGACACAAAAAGAGTGTTCAATAAGGATTAGTTATTACTATTTTGTGGAAAATATATATTAGTACATCTCATTTAGGATGAGACTGAGGTTCTCAATCTTTTCTTTAAAAGTTCTCTAAACATTACTCAAGTATAGTAAACACAAGATGGGGAGTAACTGCCAGGAGATTCATCTGTGACTGGCGAGATAGGGGTGGGTTCCTGGAAGAGAAGGGATTCAAAGAGATGTTATCTCTTTCAATGAAACACCAGAAAAGTGGTGTCATTGTTATGACAAAAACTTAAAATTGAGGCACAGAAAAATAAGGCACCTTTTTCAAGCCTTTTCATCAGGGCAGTATAAGAACCGCTTTCACTTTTAGTTCTCAGTCGCTAAGACTATGAGTCCTTTCGTTTTTCCTTGTTACTTAAGCCCAAGAGTATATAGCACTTATTCTTTTGTCTTTACATAATGTTTTTGGAAATAAATAACAGTTGATTATATTTGGCAAGCAGTACTTCTTACCATATTTTGATATAATAACTTTTTTCAGTTTGCTTTGGAAATTGACAATTATGACGACATTGAATAGAGGTTAGAGGTGACGTGAATCATCAGGGTAACCTAGATATTTACATGAATGCTGGTTTTGATGAAGCATAAAACTCTTCTTTGACATACACATTATCTCAGTTGTGAACATGAGGACCACATTGCTGTGGAAATGCTGACAACACCTCTCAATCTGCTTGCCAAAAAAAAAAAAGCATTAAAAAAATCAATGTGTATCAGATGTGTTTAAAAGGTATATAGATACCTCATTTTAAAAGAGATCTATATATGTGCTAGAAAAGACATTACACATAAAATATATTCTGTGGAGTACATTCATAGTGGTTGTAGCTCTCCATTTAAAAATCATAACATTGCAAAGATTGACTACAAAACTTAGAAAGATTTGCCTTCCAACTACAAAGTAATGAGAAACCAAACACACAAAACAAGCACAAAAGGAGTGATTATTTAATCTTTTCTTTCCTAGCTATTCAGCAGGATATCTGAGAGGAACTTCCATGTGCAAGGTGAATTAATTATGACTAGGAACTCTAAAATATATATATGTATAACACAAATATATGTTTACATATGTATGTATATCTACATATACATTTCTACATATACATATGTGTATATACACACATGGCAAGTATGGTCTTCTTTTAGGAGCTAGAAAAATCTACTGGGGAAATGAGATTAATGCATAGAGCAAAAGTAAAGAATTCAAAAGAAGATATAACTGTAAATTGCAGCTCCATGTCTCTCAGCATTCTGGGTCACCCTTCCCTTTTGTATCTTAACACCACTTAGAATTCCTCCAAGAGGAGGAGGAAAAGAAACTTCTTTCAGGCAATCCACATTCCTGAATTCCTTGTGCCTGGTCTTTATTCCTTCCTGTGATGCTATATTTTCTACACTAACTGCCCCTGCCCCTCCTAACCTCATGAGTCATTCCCAGGGTATCAAATGATAGCTATCTGCAGGTCTCTCTCACTCTCTGCTTCTCCCACTCTTCCGTCCTTTCCCTGTGCTAATGCCGTTCTCTAGCTGAGCAAGAGCTTATTCCCTTGCTATCTGGGTATTCATCCTAGGGAAGGTCACCAAAAACTCGGCCCCAGTCAGATCCTGACCTGCTGCCACTATTTGGAAGTTTGTTTTTCCTTCT
The DNA here is from genome assembly GCF_000001405.40 of Homo sapiens. Taxonomy (NCBI): domain Eukaryota; kingdom Metazoa; phylum Chordata; class Mammalia; order Primates; family Hominidae; genus Homo; species Homo sapiens. The sequence continues at coordinate 55,983,411 of NC_000018.10, forward strand.
TTATTGGTGGGAGTTCTTCCCTCCACCTCTTCTTTTTCATCCTTTCTTTCAATATTCTCTAAAGTTCTGTCTCCTAGTACATGAGGTGGTGATCCGGGGAGGCTGAACAGCCTGTTATTTCATTATGCAGAACAATTGTCTGCATCATAAAACCAGTCTCAGCTGCTTCCATTCCAGACAAGCCCCTGTGTCCCAGCTTTGTTTAATTAAAATAGTCCATTGAAGTATTTTCCCAACAGTGGAATCCACCCTTAAGAGGAATTTTGCTACTTCCCCTGAGCACAGAAACAGCATTTTTCTTAGTGTTATATAAATAACAGTATTGTAATAGACTGTAGGAGTAATACAATAATAGTAGCACATTGTGTTGCTAGGGAAAAAAATTGTCTGAACATAGAGTTGGAGTAAGGTGGAAATGAGTTGAATGGGTAGGTAGAATTCATATGGCAGGAAGCGTTGAAGGCCAGGCAAGAGTGTTTTATTTGGGAGTGGCAATTTTGGGAGGTACTGGTGGGTTTTGAAGTAACTTTTCCTGGGAAAAATATTAGGCAGATATATTTGAGATTTAATCTTACTGTATATAGTCTTGTATCTTTTTTTCTAGTTAATATTGTTTTATAAGCACTTCACTATATCTTATATGAATGTTCTTAAAAACATGATTATTCTGTGGTGTGCTAGAAATAGCGTGCACTAGTTAACAAGAGCCAGTTGTGTTCGTGGCTCTTCAAATCCACATTGAATGACTTTACTTTGATTGGTAGCTTGAAATTGACCATGGTGGGAGTATTTACACCATGAAAGTTCTTCTACCGGTACCATGCTGTTTTGGTTACTGTAGTTCTGAAGTATAGTTTGAAGTTGGGTAGCATGATACCTCCAGCTTTGTTCTTTTTGCTTCAGATTGCCTTGGCTATTTGGATTCATTTTTGGTTCCATATGAATTTTTAAATAGTTTTTTCTAGTTCTTTGAAGAATGCCAGTGGTAGTTTAATGAGAATAGCATTGAATCTATAAATTGCTTTGGACAGTATGGCCATTTTCACAATATTGATTCTTCCTATCTATGAGCATGGAATGTTTTTCCATTTGTTTGTGTCATCTCTATTTCTTTGAGCAGTGGTTTGTAGTTCTCCTTGTAGACTGGGTAAAGAAAATGTGGTACATACACACCATGGAATACTATGCAGCTGTAAAAAAGAATGAGGTTAAGTCCTTCACAGGGACATGGATGGAGGTACAGGCCCATTATCCTTAGCAAACTAACCCAAGAAACCAGTAAAACCCAGAAAACCAAATACCGTATGTTCTCACTTGTAAGTGAGAGCTAAATGATGAGAACATATGGACCTAAAGAGGGAAACAGCACACACTGGGGCCTACCAGAGGGTGGATGGTGGGAGGAAGGAGAGGATCAGGAAAAATAACTAATGGATACTAGGCTTAATACCTGGGTGATAAAATAATCTGTACAACAAACCCCCATGACACACATTTAGCTATGTAAGAAACCCGAAGTCCTGCACATGTACTCCTGAACTTAAAAGTTAAAAAAAGAATTATTAAGAGTTGATTATCAAGAATCAGGATGATATTGCTTTAGACATAAGATTCTTACCATAACAAGCAGGATTCTTCTGCTTGGATAAAATACAGCAACATACTTATTTTGGGAGCTGAGACATTGTTTATGTACTAGACTGTGAGTTCCTCTAGAACACAGATCACATCTTAATGATGTATTCTTTTTGTGCCCTCCTGTCCCTACTACCCAGTGTAGTGTCTGAAAGATGATAAAATGTTTATTAAATGAATCAATGAGTGAGTAAATTAATGACTGTTATGATCCTTGAATAGGTTATACAAACTAAAATGATACTGCTTTGCAGCACCTCTGCAGATGCATCTGGAGGCAGAGTTCTCACTAAAACCTTTCCAAGAGCTGTTTCAATTATCCCTTCAAGCTTTACTTAAATAATAATTGTTGAATAAAGTAAGAGGCTCGGTGCACCTTTTTCCTAAAAAACAAACAAACAAAAAAACCAATTTAACTGGTAAAAAAAATACAGAGCAATCATTTAAAATGTCTGTCTGAAAATTGTCCTAAGGGCAGAAAGATTAATTTTAAAAAATCTACTAAATCTCAGTAAAAGCTGTGACAGTCTATGGCATCTGAGCTATGATCCAGTCCATTACCTCCACCTTAGCTCAATGTTACAGAAGCTTTGCCCTAGGCATAAACAGCCAAGTAGACAGGGGTTCCTTCTCCCTCCATCTCCAAGTCTGGGCTATGGTTTGATTCAGGAAAGGACAGGCTGTTGGCATTTCTCTCCCTCCAGCCTCACATGTAGAAGCTTGATTCCAAGTAGGTGCACCCAAGACAGCTAGCTTTCCTGATTTCAAAACTTACTACAATGCTACAGTAATCAAGACAGCACCACATTTCATAGGAATAGACATATAGATGAATGCAATAGGAATTGTGAGTTCAGAAATAAACCCTTATATTTCTGATGAATTGATTTTTGACAAAAGTGCCAAGAAAATTCAGTGTGGAGAGAACAGTTTTTTTTTTTTCATCAAATGATTCAGCAAGTACTGAATAACCACAAGCAAAGGAATGAAGTTGACCCCTAACTCACATTATTAAAAAATTCATTTAAAATGCATTACCAACCTAAATGTAAGAGTTAAAACTATAAAAATTTTACAAGAAAACATAAGGCATAATTCTCTGTGATTTTAATTTAGACACAACTCCAAAAATACAAGGAAGAAAAGATGAAATAGAGTGAACATCACAAAAGTTAAAAACATTTGTGCTGCAAATGATACCAGCAAGAAAGTAAAAGAATGGTGCACAGAATGGGGGAAAATATTTACAAAACACATGGGATAAAGGACTTGTATCTAGAATATGTAAAGGACTCTTACCACTTATTAATAAAAAGTTCAAAATCCAATTTAAAAATGGGCAAAGGATTTGAATGAAAATGTATCCAAAGAAGACACACAAATGATCTATAAGCATATGAGTATATGCTCAACATCATTACTCATTAGGGAAATGCAAATCAAAACCGCAATGAGATCCCATCTCACACCCACTGATGGCTAAAGTTAAAAAAGGGCTCTAGTTTCTGGATGTTCGTAATGGAAATGAGCACCCTGCAATCTGGGGCTGATTTTGAGAATGTTCTTTTGGGACAGTTTAATATGAAGGTAGAGATGTGAAGTGAACATAGCAGAAAGCAGCCAGATGAGATGGAGATTCTAAACCTTCTTCTGGAATGCCCAGCATGTCTGAGTCAAAAGACTTTTGGATGACTTGAAGGATACTGGACCCTGACAGTGGCCCCAGCACTGAGAGTGGAGAGTCGCCCAGTTGATGCTTGGACCTATGACTAATGGAGAAAGGACAGTACACATTGGGGCATCTGTAACAAATGGTTTGTAGACCACTAACAAATTAGATGTTTGTAGAAGTAGCAAATACAACATGTGATTGAGGATTAAATAGACTCTTCCACAGGTCAGTGAGGAATCAGTGAAAATGAAATCTCCATGGAATGGTAGCTATAGGCAATTCCAAGGAAGAACGATGGACTCTCATCACAGAATTCTCTATTATTAAAACAACTGGGTAATATCTTAAAACATTACCTAATTTATTTTCATCCTGTTAATTTCTACTGCCCAATGGCCTTTCACATTTGAGACTGAGGCACGCATCCCTTAGGTGGGAGGAAGTGTCCATGGCCAACTGAATATCATGAAGATAATCAAGATTTTGCTTTCAAAAGAAACCTTTATAAAGTGAGTATGTAGAGACAAAGATCAATAAAATTCTGCTTTTCAATTTCAAGAGCCAGATACTTAAGAAGAAAAAAGGTGTCCTGGGTTCAAAAATGTTGTCATGTAAAAAGTCAAACTTGTGAGTACTCAGAACATAGATTATGTATCACATTGAATTTTCTCAAATTTTTTTTCTTGCAATTGTTGACATGGCCATATAATTTTCTCTTTTATTCAGTGTTGAGGTGAATTATATTAATTGATTTTTGAATGTTAAAAAAACCCTTTACATTTCTGGGATACATTCAATATAGTCATGATACATTATCCATCTTATATTTTGCATTAAAGAGACTTGTCTGTAATTTTACTGTATTATAATATCCTTGTCAGGTTTTAGTATCCAAGTTATACTAGCCTCAAAGTGAGCTGAAAAAAATGCTATTTGTTTTTCCATACTGTAGAAGAGTTTCTAGAACTATGATATTACATCTTTGTGAATGCTTAGAGGTGTTGACCAGTGAAGCCATGCGGACCTGAAATTTTCTTTGCAAGGAGATTTTAAATTATGGATTTTTTTTTTTTTTGGTTTGACTTTTCTATTTCCTCGTTTTCAATTTTGGTGAGTTGTAATTTTCAGTAAATTTTTATTACTTTATTTTACTTTATTTGAATTTAATTTTAAATTCTTTTCCTAAATTATTGAGTGTGAGGGACGTCATTGGTTTTCAGGTTTCTCATTTTCTAATGTATACATTTTAAGGCTATAAATTTCCCTCTAAACATGGCATTACCTGCATGTCACAAGTTTTTGAGATGTGCCATATTAATGATATTTCAGTTTGATTTTTATTTTTTCTTCTTTGACTTACTCATATTCAAAATGTTATTGCTTAATTTCTAAACATTTTGGAAATTTTCTAGTTATTGTCCTACTTTTTCCTTCTAGCTGAATTCTACTGTGGTCATAGAACACACTCTGTCTGATGAAGGGAATAAAGATCTCTGCTCTGGAGCCAATTAAACTCCTCAGATAGGACACACCTAAACCCAAATGAGAAAGGACAAGTGAAGACATAAAAAGGCACAAAATCCCAAGAGCTATTCCCCCATTCCCTGGGACAGCACCCCCACCCCCACTCAATCCAGTCCTGCTCTTCTAGATATCCTTAGATAAGTGCTTGGGGAGCGAGGATAAAAAGAACAAAAATATCATCAACCCCATTCTGTCCTACACGGATGCATTAACTTCTTACTTTCAAAAAATGAATATTATTAGCAATACATCTATATGTTTCTGCTGTCTCATTCGCTGTTTACCAAATCTATTTGCCCTCTCTGGTCCTGTTTCTTCCACAAGGACAAGGTGAGTGACATAGTATATAGGGCCATCACTCATAAGATAACTTCTCCTTTTTTAAGGGGCTTGTGACAGAGCACAACCACCCTGTGCTGAAATGTATGCAGTCCATAGACCAGGTGCTACACAGCGTATAAAAAGTGAAAGAGTCCTGTGATCCAAGAGTGTTTTTTTGATCCTGGATACACTTCTGCTATGGCAACAACCCTAAAGACATGGCTTAAGGCTAATCCTGGGCTGTGATCTCATACTTTTTTCCATGTTTTATTTATAAACATTTCAGGAAGACAGTTGACGACAGGGTCATGTGCAGGAGGAAGACTGTTGTGCAAGCAGACTCAGAAACAGGAAAGACTAATTAAAGTTCAGTAGCCTTTCCCAGGTGTATGTTTTCTGGACCTCAGGCATAAAAAGCTGGACCAGTTGCCTCCTTTTCCCAAAGAAATCAAGGAAAAATAAATGTGCCAATGACATCTACAAGGCTTACTAGAAGCAGAAAAAAAGACAAACTTTCTCTGATAGGGTCATGTAGAAAACCAACCTAAACAAGAATCACTAGTATAAGGGCACTTTTTAACCCAACTAATATGGAAAATTGTATAGCTTTTTTGATACTGTATATCATAAATTTGAAATATATATTTTTAAATGCCTTGAGTTCAACTCAGTTTTTTAGTTACTTCCATTTAAATAATTTTGGAACTTTTACATAATTTTATGTAACAGCCTCATAAAAATTCCCAATTTTGAGATATCTGATTATATCTTAACCAGCAGCCTACAGTTACACTGTTATATAATGATCCTTTCAATTCTACAGATAATGCGTTATCTGTAGATAATACATTATATTCTTTGTTAGTTTAAAAATAAGCTAGCAAAATGTTTAAAAATGCAAAGAAAAAAATCACACAATCTTTTTTATATCCTTTAAAAAATAAAACCATATTTTATATAGTTGCCATCATACTGTAATTGTAATTGTGTCTTTTTTCACTTAGCATTATGTAATAAACATTTCCTTAATGCCATAATGTTTTATAATTATCATTCCAATAATTCTATAATATTTCATCTAATAGAAATCATCTAAGTGAATAATTTTTATATTACTAGACATTATTTTATAGTTTTAAAATAAACAGTGCACTAATGAATATTTTAAATAAATACCTTTAGATTATTTTTTAACAAGAAATTCCCACAAGTAGAGTTGTTGGGTCAAAAGGCATGGATATAACTCTTGACACACATGGCGAAAAATTTTGGTGATAGATAGCCAACATCAATTTTTGTCTTCTTACTAGGAGTACCCTTTTTCTATCCCAGGTGTCTATCATTTTCTATTCAGCCACATACTTCAAGGAAACGTGGACTCATCTTCAAGCACAATGGTTAGAAAAAGCCCACCATGGTAATTCCATTCCCACTATCAGTGATTGGCTTAGAAAAGAGAATATGACTTAATTTTATTTAATAATTGGTGAATGAAAATTTGCCGGGGTGATTTCAGGGGATGGTTTCTTAGATGTTAAAAACAGATTTAAGGATAAGACCACCCTTTTTAAAATTTCTGTTATTGGTGGATAAGGATGTGATGCCTAGAACTATAGCAGTCACCGTGTGATGTTGAAGAGAACTAGCTCACAAGCACATGACACAGAAGAAAGACAGAAAGAAACTCAGTCCTTGTAACCTGTTGAACCACTAAATTAACGCCCTTACATTTCTCTCCTTCTGGAATCCTTATCATGTGAAATTACAGGGTTTTTGTTGTTGTTGTTGTGTAAGTGAATTGAATTGGACTTTCTATTATGTGTAATGAAAACTTCCAAAATTATTAATCATATTGTGCAATTAGTTCCCAAAGGGTGGCAGCAATTCTCCTATCAGCAATGTGTTGATGTATGTTTCATAGCAATACACACACACACACACACACACACACACACATATATATATATAAACATCCACATATATACATAAACATATATAAACTGATGGGATATGTATATTTAAGATTTGCTAAGTTAAGTTGGTTAAATTTAAAATGTTATCTTTCATTATTTCTTCTGCATTTCTGTGTTCAATAACAAAGTTGTATTCCAACTGTTAGGTTTAAAGACACAATGCTTTTTACTACTACTAGGGAATAGAGTTGTTTTTGATGTGCTGCTGCTGCTGCTTCTTTTTTTTTTTTTTTTTTTTTTTTTTGAGACAGTGTCTTGCTCTGTTACCCAGTATGGAGTGTGCAGTGGTGCAGTATCAGCTTACAGCAACCTCTGCCTCCTGGGTTCAAAAGATTCTCGTGCCTCAGCCTCCCAAGTAGCTGGGACTACAGGTGTGCACCACCATGCCCAGCTAATTTTTATATTTTTAGTAGAGACGGGTTTTTGCCATGTTGGCCAGGCTGGTCTTAAACTCCTAGCCTCAAGCGATCCACCCATTTCAGCCTCCCAAAGTCCTGGAATTACAGGCCTGAGCCACCGTGCCCAGCCTGTTGTGCTTCTTTATGTTACGAATGGATGACCAGAGCCATTTGCAAAAATTTGAATAATTATATCAGAGGTACACAAAAATTTGAAATAAAATCCCTTTTTTTTTGTTTTTTGAGATGGAGTCTCACTTTGTCGCCCAGGCTGGAGTGCAGTGGCACGATTTTGGCTCACTTTAATCTCTGCCTCCCACATTCAAGTGATTCTACTGCCTCAGCCTCCCAAGTAGCCAGGACTACAGGCACGTGCCACCAAACCCGGCTAATTTTTTGTATTATTAGTAGAGACGGGGTTTCACTGTGTTAGCTAGTATGGTCTCGATCTCATGGCCTTGTGATCCGCCGGCCTTGGCCTCCCAAAGTGCTGGGATTATAGGCATGAGCCACCGTGCCTGGCCTAAAATCCCATTTTATCAAAATATTCTTGATACCATAACCACTGTCCAGCCTTCAAACATTTTTTTTTATTTCTAATAGCTCTAATTTCCATATCTGTTTGTAGGTTCACATTAAAAAGAGAAGGAGCTGGTAGTTCTCATCTCTAGCTGAGCAGTAATTGTATAGGAATATAGATTAGATTTCTTTTGTTTGGTAGTAACTATATTTTTGAGATTATCTTGAATCATAATTCAAGGAATTTTCCAAACAGAACATTTCTAATGTTTTGTATTACAACTGCATCTGTTCTATAAAGAATAGAATTTAAGATGTTAATAACTGGAGGTAGCTATTAAATAAATATTGTCCAACATGATAAATAAATGTGACAGATCTAAAAATGCTACTATTCTTCTAGGAAAAAATTTAAAGAAATAAATGGATAAAATATTTTTTGTTATTTTATAGTCTTTACTACTTATTTTAATGGATAATTAAATACTTATAAATACATTAAATACTTTAATGACTACTTAAAGGATACCTATATCATTTTGAGTAAAAGATAAATATTACAATCCACATGTTTCAACCGCAAAGAATAATAAAGAGGTAGGATGGGATGTGACACGATCATGCCAGGATATAGTGACTCCTGGCCTTTGGGGACACCCTGCGTTGAAGAGAAAATGATCTTGTGTGATCATGCTAACAGGTATGAACTTCTCTGCAACACTCAGGTTACAATATTTCATACTTCCTATCTTTCCACAAATCCACTTAACCTGGCTTGAGGCTGCATGGTCCAGATGGACAGGATTATGTGCCAGCCAAGAACACAGGGGTCTTAAATGGTACCCAGTGAAGCCCACTGGCCTTCCACTTTTGAACAGGAAAGATCCCTGGTTCCAGGCAGTGGATGCCATCCTTCTTGCTGCTAGATTTGGATCGTAATCCTGAAAAACACAATCCCAAACACCATAATCCTGAATTTGAAATCTCCAAAGATCAAAATCCATAAACTGTAATATCACTCACTTTGAAAATCTGGAAAATCACAATCGTAAAATAGTTACATCTTGTTAGACCAACTCTCATGGGCCATCTCCATGCCATTGTCCATAATCTAACCTTGTAATCCACTGCTTCATATGTTGAATTTTCTTTACAGTTTTTTTCTTTTTAGGATTTTTTTTTTTACTACTTTAAATTGTCAGCATTATTTTTCTACATTTTTCTATGCTTTGTATTTCATCTTCATATTACTTACAATACTGGAGGTATAAATTGTGTAAAGAATTTTAGAGAGCTCAGATTCATTTTATGAATTTTTAACAAATTTGGCTCCACCAAAGTGCATTATGATAATGTTGACTTTGTGTTCAAGTATTGTGCATGTATATAAAAATGCTGAGACTTCCTTAATAAATGAAGAGATGTCCTTTTTGTACATCTGCATTTGTGAAAGGCTCGTGATCTGGACTCTTTGGGTGACTGCATATGTAGTGGTGACCCATCCAGTTTCTGATCAATTTCATTAAAAGACTTAAGTGGTTTGTCACCATATTGCAGATGATGGCAGTATTAAGTTGGGTGCACACAATTACCAACCATAGTGATAGGTGATAACACATTTCCCTTTTTGACCAATGTCTTTATGAATACGGTTCATCTGTTCATCTGCCCACAACTGTTATACCCATGCCATTGTCGTTAGTGCACCTGACTGCTCCTGCTTGCAAAATATGTATGTTGCCATTGCCTCTTTTATTCTGTAAAGTGGCCTATGAATGTTCTGTCCTGTTTTTATATGTTTCTCAGATAAGTCCTCCTTTAAAATGTAAATAAATACGTTTTAAAGAAACTTTTTTTTTTGAGACAGAATCTTGCTCTATCCCCCAGGCTGGAGTGCAGTGGCATGGTCTAGGTTCACTGCAACCTCTGCCTCCCAGTTCAAGTGATTCTCATACCTCAACCTCCCGAATAGCTGGGATTACAGGTGCCCACCACCATGCCTGGCTAATTTTTGTATTTTTAGTAGAGATGGGGTTTTGCCATGTTGAGCAGTCTGGTCTTGAACTCCTGACTTCGGGCGATCTGCCTGCTTCGGCTTCCCAAAGTGCCGGGATTACAGGCATGAGCCAGCGTGCCTGGCCATTTTAAATAATTTTTAATGATTTTTTCCAGAATTATATATTTTCAAGATTTTCTTTTAGGGTTTCAGCATTCGTGATTATGGCATTTGGAATTTTGTCTTTCAGGATTATGATTGGCTTGCCTTGCTGCCACATAGAGTGGTTCTCCAGTCCTGCTTCTCCTGAGTGGGCCTGGCATTGCTAGTCTAGGCTGAGATAATTTGCCACTTTTCCCATTTTTACAGGTAGGCAGGCTTGGTACTCCAAGTAGGGCAATTCTCCTGGGATGTCCACTTCTTTCTTGCCCCTTTGAGTCAAGTTACTCCCTGCCTCATATTTCCCAGACCACTGCGCTTGGTGTTGAGATGCGCTTTCTGCTGTGAAGGCCTGTGAATCCAATTACAGCTTTCATCCAGAGTTCCAGCTGCTTTCCTTTATATTCCAGAAATACAATGGATCAGTCCACTGTTTTAGACTTTCCAAACTTCACTAGGTCACGTTGCCAGTGCAATGCTCTTACTACCATTGGGGAGTAGTAGGGAGTAGAATTGGTTTTGATGTGCCTTATGTTATGAATGGATGATCTGAGCTATTTGCAAAGATTTGCATAATCATTACATACATTATATACAATCAACCCACATATTCACTTATCCTAAAGCAAATTGAGCTGAAAACAGAACTTCAGTTTTGAACACTTTCTCTCCCTGCCCCCATTCCAGATCCTCTTATTTCGTGTCTGGGAATGCACCACTACACATTCATGTGCCCAAACCTGAAACTTGAGCATCTTTCCTATCTACTCCTTTCCCTTTATACTTCCCATCTAATCACTTACCAATCCCCATCCTTCTATTTCATTTCTCATATATATATATATATATATATATACATATTTTGCTACATCCTCAACACCTCATCTTATTCATTCATTCTTTCGTCTCTGAATTCCTAATACAGGCTCCTAAACAGGTCTCGCTGCTTGATAATCTCAGCCCCTTCCAACTCATATTCCACAATTCTTTCAGTGATCTTGTAAGAATATAGGTCTTATCGTGTCACTTCCTTCTCAAAGTCCAGTTTTGAGTCCTTCGTGTGTTCGGCATGTGATCTGGACTCTGACTTGGCATTTAAGGCACCATGTGATGTAGCTCCCATCTATGCTTCCAGTTCACCTCCCTCCCATTCTGTTCCCCTGCCATCTTTAATTACTAGCAGCCACCAAATGCACCAGGTGGTATCATGCCTCCTTGCTTTTGAGCAGTTTGCTTTTACTAGGATGCCCCCCTCCTGTACTATTTTTTCTAGTTTCTTAAAAACTCTTTGACTATTAGTTCTTCCCAAATGCATTTCCCATCTCACCTTCATCTATGCCTCCATTGCACTTATCTCCATAACTGCCTTTTGCTCCTATTAGATTATGAGTAGGGATTATGTTTTGTTTTGTTGTCTAACACATATGAATAACCCTAATTATAATGATTTCTTAGCACTTGCATGCTTTTTCACTCAGCCATGAAAATAATGGCTGCATAGTTGCCTCATATATTTAATTTAACATATTAAGTTATTCATTTTAACTCATACTTACCTTATCAGGTAAGCTACTGTTATTTTTATTTTCATTTTGTAAAATGAAGGTGCAGATTGCTTAGGAAGTTTCCCCAAGTTACACAGTTGCTAAGTGACAGAGCCAGGATTTGAACTGAGACATCTGACTCCAGAGGTCACTTTCTTGTTCATGCTGCTTGAGGGCTGCCCTGGGTGCTTGATAAATATCTCATTTGTGGACATTAAGATGGGAGTAAGAACTTTGGGAAGATACTCCTTACCCTTCTAGACCATTTGTACCTCTTAAAAGAGGCAAAATGTTTAAGCTGGTACTGGGACCTTTTCCCACTTATGGCTTTCTCCTCATGAGTCCATAGTGTAGTATGTACCTTCCTTTACTCTCTGACCCTTCGCATGATCAGTGTTTTCTTTCTTAGAACATAATCCAATACCCTTACAATCATGATAATGATGATGCGAGTTAACATTTCCAGGATGTTGACTGTATCATATTAAAAAATTTACCACTGACAGTAGAATAAAGCCCCTATAGACCTTGGTAAAGAAATTTTAAACAAAATTTGTTGTATGTATTCATGCCATAAAGGCAACAATCCCCACTGCTTGCATGCAAGCTGCCCTTTTTGGGATTTTAAGCTTCTTCCTGCTGTCATCGGGATGTAAAGGCTGACTTGATCCTTTTTTGACTAGCCCCAGCCTGCACCCCTCAGAAACCTGACTTAATTTTCTCTCCTACCACCACTCAGTCCCACACCTGGGGAAGCCACAATGCAATTAATAGTTGCATTACTTAGGGAAATTATTCAATCTTGCTGAGCCACAGTTTCTGTCTCAGTTTTTTTTCTGTTGTTGTTTGTTTTGTTTTTTTGAGATAGGGTCTCATTCTGTCACCCAGGCTGGAATGCAATTGCATGATTATAGCTCACTGCAGACTCGATTTCCCAGACTCAAGAGATCCTCTTGCCTCAGCTCCTGAGTAGCTAAGACTACAGGTGCATGCTTCCATGCCTGGATAAACTTATAAAATTTTTTGTAGTGATATGGTCTCACTATATTACCCAGTTTGGTCTGGAAATCCTGGCCTCAAGTGATCTTCCTGCCTCAGCCTCCCAAAGTTCTGGGATTACAGGTGTGAGCCACCCGCTCTGGCACTTACCTCTTTCAAATGAGAGTAACAATTATTCCTGCTTCATAGAGTCACCTCCTCTGGTCTGTCTTCCCTGACCCTGTCATCTCAGGAAAGAATTAACCTCCTCTTCATTTTAGTGCTTATCTACTTTGCTCGGACCAATGTGTGCGTCACACTCTACTGTAATTGTTTGTTTATTTGTCTGCCCCACCTACTGAATAGTTAATATCTCAAGGACAGGGACAATATCATAGTTTTGAGTCCCTTATCCCTAGATCACCTGTTGGACTGAATTTCCACAACTACCACCCACCTTTCTCGAGAGTCTCTCAATTGTAGCTGCTTTACATCCATAAAGCCACCCACATCATCCACTTGGATTTCAAATCACTTGAGTAAAACTGAGGGGGTAACATACTAGGGATCCTACTCACCTTAGACAGGAGAACACAGAAATGCTTCTGGTCATGGTATTCAAGCTTTGTCCCATCAAACCATACTAACCAGGCCATCCTAAGTCTAAGGGATGGACAAGAACTTCTGCTGATGATTCAGCCAAAATATCTATGACATCTTACAAGAGGTTTCCATTTCTACACCAGAATTTAGACAGGAGGTGAACTGTGAGTTGATTTCCGGAAGAGTGGCTCTGAATGGGGGGCGGGGTTGTTGGAGACATGCTGTCGAGAGGTGTCTGAGTCTGCAGAATTTGTGATGATAGCCGGTTCCTTGGATAGTACTCTTCCTCATCCTCTTCCAAATCTCATGGTCTATTACAGCTTAGGTGTCCAGAGATTCGTTTGTGCTGAATATTATTTGGAACATTGAATCAAGCATACATCTTTTTAATAGTTAGGGTTATCCCTCTCTCCGGGGATAATTTCACCTGGGACATTGAGGAAATGGAGCTTGGAGTATGTGCACTTCCTGTCATCAAAGAGAGGAGGAGAGGGCGAGCACATTCCGAGTGTGAGCAAGCGGAACCCCTCCTACAGATGTGCCTTTCACTCTCATTTCCTGCTCCAGACCAACCCTTCGGAGATTATTTTCAGGGAGATCTCCCTCTTCTTGTGAGGCCAGAGACTTTTCTAGTTATAAGGCTGGTGCATGTGACGTGTCTGGGCAAGCATACAGCAAAACCACAGAGAAACCAGGGATTAAAGAAATGAAACTGGGCAAACTAAAAAACGCCTTTTGCAGAACTTCTCTTAAGCTTGAGATAAACACCTCCACCTTCCCTCCTCCCTCTTCAAGTTCACAGTTTATTTTTCACTGTGTTCAGCTTGTGGCAGTAACCTCTACTAGAGAGAAGGGAAAATGAGTTGTCCTAATGAGGTGGCTTCCCTAAGCAGCACAATCCTCTGAGTTCAGGACTGAAAGAAAGTGAGAAGAATCCCTCCTGGGATGAGATCTTAAAAGGCAAGGAAACAACGGCCTCAGTCATTTGAGGATGAGTGCATTTTCCCAGTGGGTGCATTGAGAACCATCTTCCTTCAGGCATACTCTGTGGACTTGTGATTTCGGCACTGGCCCAGTCTAAGTCACAAAGAGCAGACAACTCTGTCCCCTTTTCCAGAAATATCAGACTTATGGGAAGATTTCTTCTGCAGATTCCTGTCTTCTTTCTCTTACCTGTAATGAATCATATCTGAATGATGCTTCCACCGGCCAAGTTCCAAGTGCCATCTTTTCCTTCAAGGAAAAGGCCCATAAGTCCTCTCAAGCGATTCTCAGCCTTGGCATATGCAGTGGCTTCATTCAGATTCCAGCAAAAAGGAATTGGCAGGGCATGAATAAGGGCAGAAGGTAATTGAGGAGCCGGGGCTGGTTTTAAGGCAGTACAGAGCCCAGCTCCACGAGCTGAGCTGGAAGGAATTTGCTGTCTGTGCCAGAGGTCATAAAGAGCTGCTGAGCTAGTTGAGCTTTCTAGTGCTCAGAAGCAAATCGATCAGATGAGCTGCAACTGTGGCTCTGCCACAGACCATGAGCTAATGCAGGCTGTACCCAGTGAGCCAGTGCCGCGGGCACTGGAGCCGGCAGTGGGAGAGGGTGAGCCGACATAGCTAATGCCTAACGCCAGGAGGGAGAGACAAAGGGGCCTCTTCTTTAACACTGTGAATAGCCCCAGAGTGAATACAGCCTTCGACAGCTGTGGTTTCATTCTCATCACCGCTGGGCGAGTTGGGGGTGCTAATTGTGAAGCTGGAGAGCTGTTAAAATCAGACCAGATTTGTTAAAGGAGAGGAGTAAGATGATACTTCAGACCAGTATCTGCAGTGGCACAGGCACAAAAGCCCTATCTCAGGAGAAGGAATGAAAGGAAGGCAAAAAGGCCGTGAGAAAATGAAAGAAGCTGGTTGATTGACCCCTCCTCTGTGTCGCCTCAGCAACTTGTCCATATCATTGTTACAGCACTTACCACACAGTTGTAAGACGGTAAGGAAGATTTCTCATTTATTGAGCTTTTACTATATGCCAAGCACTGTTAAAGGAGTTTAACATACATCATTTCATTTAATCCAAATTCAGAGAGGTTAAGTGACTTTCCCAAAGATGTGTGTACACACACACACACGCACGCATATATATGTGTATGTGCACATTTATGTGTGTGTGTGTGTGTTTGCATGAGCATAGCTATTGAGTTAGTCAGGTTCCAAATCTAGTTTTCCATGACTTCAGAACTAAACTCTCCCCCATTATTACCATTTAGCCTCTTATTTCCAAAGCAGGTACTTTATAATACTTTGTGGATTAATAAGCTATAGTACTGATGGTCAAGAGAATAAGATTAATCAAAGTCATCCAGTTTGGAAATTAAAAAGAGGAACTTTCCTGGGAGTCAAAGAGAAGGACACACATTGGACATATGGTCGCAGATTGAAGTTTTCCGTTTTCTCTCTCTGTAATAGCCCTGGCAGACAGCTAATAAGGAAAACATATTGCAGAAAGAATCTTCTCTTCTCTCAGCTCATGTGATGCAGATTTCTGGTAGCAGCAGAGTTTGCTGAAAACAAATAATAATCTGACAATAGGTAAATTCTGCCCCTTTCATCCCAGTGGAATAAATATGCCAAGGGATCCCCAAATTTATCCCTTTGAGGATGCACTGTATTTAAAGAAAGAATTGAGGAAGGCAGCAAGGAGAGAGTGATTGTCATCCTCAGCAACTGTGAGTTCATGGGATGCCACTTCCCTCCCACCATGCTCAGCTTGTTCAATTGATGAAATGATTTCAGATTGTTTTACAAAGGCAGATGATCATTCATGCCAATTATATAAGGATAGAGGGATCACTGTTACATTTTTATTATAAAACTTCCAACAAGAAAATATTCAAGCTAGCCTATGGAAAAGAATTCATCTTTGAACACAAACAATGGGCAAAACTATTCCTGACAATAGAAAACTCCAGGCCTCTACATTCCTTTTGCCTCTCTGTTTTGTTCAATTTAAATCAAGATAAAAAGATGGAAAGCACAACTCCTTAGGGTGGTATGAAATCCACAGAGGCTTTTAACAAAGCTGTCTAACAACAAGTCAGTTCAGATATTCCAGCCTTTTTGGTATTCCTCACCAAAGAAAGAGCACAAGCAGCTGTTTTTGCTCAATTCTGTGGGATCTGCATGCCAACGCTTCTGCTGAGAAATGAACAGCGTTCATAGGAACACTTCTCCTTGCCTCTTCTCTCTTCTGTGGGCCTTTTCTTCTTTGAACCAGTGAGCTGCAAGCACTTGCATAGTGTTTAACAAGTCATTTAAAAATAATTCGGAAATATCAAAGTTTGTGTATCATTTACTCGCAAAAAGTGAATTTTAACATTTCAAAAGTTACCTTTTAAAAAATTGCTCTCCCTCATAAAATTAAACTGAGTTATCATATGACCCAGAATTCTACTTGTAGGTACATATCGGAGAGAATTGAAAACATATGTTCACATAACAACTTGTATACAAATACTCACAGCATTATTCATAATAGCCACAAAGTAGAAGCAAACCAAATGTCCAACAATGGGTGAATGGATAAACAAATTGTGATATAACCAGGCAATGGACTATTATTCTGTAATTTAAAAAACGAAGCACTGATTCAAGCTACAACATGGATGAACGTCGAAAACATTATGCCAAGTAAAAGAAGTGAGACACAAAAGGTGATATTTTGTATGATTCCATTTAAATGAAATATCTGGAATAGATAAATCTATAGAGATAAAAAGTAGATTACTGGTTGCCTAGGGCTGGATGGGATGGGGCTATGGGGAGTGACTGCTAATAGGTACAGGACTTCTTTTTAGGGTAATACAAATATCCTGGCATTTGGTAGTGATAATAGTTGCACAACCTTGTGAGTATATTAAAAACTGCTGAACTGTATGCTTCATTAAAATTTTTTTTATTTTTTTGAGACTGAGTCTCATTCTGTCACTCAGGCTGGGGTGCAGTGGTGCAATCTTGGCTCACTGCAACCTCTGCCTCCTGGGTTCAAATAATTCTCATGCCTCAGCCTCCCGAGTAGCTGGGACTACAGGCGTGTGCCACTACATCTGGCTAGTTTTTGTATTTTTAGTAGAGCTGAGGTTTCGCCATGTTACCCAGGCTGATCTTGAACTCCTGACCTTAAGTGATCTTCCTGCCTCAGCCTCCCAAAGTGCTGAGTTTACAGGCATGAGCCAACACACCTGGCCTGAACTGTACACTGTAAAAGGGTAAATTTTATGGTATGTGAGTAATATCTTAATTTTTTTAAGTGAAGGGGAGGGGAAAGAAAAAATATTCTAGAATAATAGTAATATAATAAAATGTATTTAATAATAAAATGTTAAATAAAATATTATAGAAATTTCCATGTACCTTACAATTTATGAACCGCAGAGAAGTGTAGCCCATGACCAAATATCTTGTATAATCGACCCTCGTCATTCAATGAGGCAGCATAGCATTGAGATGTTGAGGTTAAGAATATAATCCCTGAAGCCAGGCTGCCCGGGTTCAAACTCTGAACTTACACCTGCTAGCTGTGTGAGCAAGTTATTTAACTTCCCTGGAGGTCTGCTTCCTTATCTGCAAAATGGAGATTCTAATAGCTGCATCATAGAGGTGCGTTTGATGATTAAGTGAGCTAATATGTGAATAGTGGAATAGTGCAGTTTTTTTCTATCATCGTCATCATCATCATATCATTATCATCTTGAGCAGCACAGTGTAAACAATGTGGTGACCTATTTTCTATATTGCATCCAACCTAAATTATACAATTAGCATTTATGTTTAGTCACATATCACTTTATGATTTATATTTAATTTTATGTATGAACCACATCTCTCTAGCATGGTTGTAAGTTATTTGAAAGCAGGAGCCCACATCCATTCTTTCCACTTGTTCTCCATTCCCCAGCATTCGGCCCTGCAGTGGCCCCATACTCAGCTCCTCAGATGCACCAGCTCACTTTTCCCCAGGGTCTGGGTTAGTGGTTAGTTGGTCCCAAGACTACTATTATGGTATGATGTGTACTTCCACCACTGACCACCAAAAGACTGCCAAGCTGACTGTGCAGCAGGTTACAGGAATTTGTACTGCTCTAAGAACCATGGCTAGCGAGTACACTTTAAGTTCCGACCACACGGTGCTAAAGCTGGAGTTTGTATATTGTTCTGGGTCCAAAGAACTATTTGCTGGTGGTGCCTAGGGACTGTGATTTATGAAGCTGGCTAAATTAGTTATTATTTTGGTGCTGAGAGTCCTTCATTGTCACCAAATTCCAGGATTGGAAACAGCAATGTGACATGGAAAATCACAACCACTCTATTAAGGCAAAAATCTTTATATGAGCAGCTCTGATGCAAGAACAAGAAACACACATGTCTGCACTCAGGGCATTCCCTAACTGGCTGATCTGCAGCGGTTAACCTGCAAGACGGCTGCCTCTACTTCCCTCTCTTGGCCAACATAGGCTTTAAAACCCGAGGGTCTGGAATGGTGATTGTTTCCTAAACAACAAACCCAGGGGTTTAGATTGCATTCCAAGAGAGGGAATCTCTGTTTTCTTCCTTACCGTGTTATTTTATTATTACTACTGTTGAAGTCATTTCAGCTACTGTTTCCTGTTTGTTGTAATAAATCAGGTTTGGGCGCTTGGAAAAATAACATGACCAGGAATCTAGTGACAGCTCTCCAGCACCTTGGGAAGACCATAAGGCTGATTGTTAGTGGAGTCTTCCAAAGAATTTGGAGTCTTCCAAACTTTATTTTCAAAAATGGCCCTCCTTTTTCTTTTTCTTTTTTTCTTTGAGACGGAGTCTCGCTCTTGTCACCCAGGCTGGAGCTATCTCAGCTCACTGCAACCTCTGCCTCCCAGGTTCAAGTGATTCCCCTGCCTCAGCCTCCAGAGTAGCTGGGATTACAGGCGCCTGCCAGCACGCCCAGCTAATGTTTTGTATTTTTAGTAGAGACAGGGTTTCACCATGTTGGTCAGGCTGGTCTTGAACTCCTGACCTCAGGTGATCTGCCCGCCTAGGCCTCCCAAAATGTTGGGACTATGGCCATGAGCCACCGCACCGGCTGGCCCTACTTTCTATTCCCAAAATGGATTCCCTTTCTACTCCAAAAATGGCCCTACATGGGCCCACTCCAAGAGCAGGAGGCTGTTGAGAAAGTTTTATTGAGAGCTAAAGCCCAACATTGCAAGGTGCACTTGTTTAGAATTCTTTCCCCCAAATTATTCTGGGCTGATTTGGAGATTCTCTTGCTTCCCTCTGTGTCCTAGACTCTTCTGACTATAGGACAAAAGCCACAGTGCAGGGTGTGTGGCTGAGATGTGCATGATTGTGGAGGGCACTGATTTGAGAATGCTATGCCAATGAGGGGATAGTCTCAGGGTGTGTCCTGTGATCCTGAATGGAAGCCTCAGTAAGAGACAATGAAGGGATTCATCTCTCTACTGCCACATACAATGGTGCTTTTCAGCTTTGTGGCCTTAATTAGCAGTAGCTAATTAATGCTCAAACACCTTGGTGGGGATTGGGAGAGAGGAAACTGAACTAGAGAACAAAGTGGTTGTCTAAAGCCCCTAAGGGAGTAGGGAGGGGATTATGTCCCAAGGTTTCTGGCTTCCTGCTGCTCCCTGTGAGACAGTGTCCCTAATTCCTGCATGGTGGCTTTGGTACAAGTCCTACTGTCTTATTCAAGTCCCTGTAATAAAGTTGTGTTCTGGAGGGGAAAAGCATGGCTTTTATATTTCTCTCTGTTTGCTCTCATGTCAAGCCAGGAGCACTGGAGCAGCCATACTACTCAGGAAATCCTTCTTTTGCTCAGCAACTGAGAACACATTTGGTATGCTTGCCTTTTCTCCTTGTTTATTTTCAGGGTAGTGATAAAAGCACGGAAAAAAAACATGAGGGAAAATCAGTAAATTTCAGTACTATTTCAATACATCTGCAAAGGGCAAACTGTTTAGAATTTCTCTTGCCCCGTCTGAAGTTGGAAACTCTCACCACAGCGGGAAACACAACTATTTTGACTTGGCAAACCAAACCAGACAGCATGCACCTGCAACTATGCGTCCCTGACGCGAGTAGCTGTGGCCAGAGGGTCAGTCTGTTCTCAGTTTTTCATCCAGAAACCACATTCTGCAAATGGAGAGAAAACCACTGTTGGATTAAAGGAAATCCTTGCCATAGAGACTAAGCACACAACTTTAATTAACTCATCATTTTCTAATTAGCATCCCCAGAGCCCTGTGCCTGGGCAGCTTATGTTGCAGAATGTGCCATCAAGCTTTTCCAAACAGCTTTATAAAATAAAGTTTTGTTTTCACAAACATTTCTTTTAAAAAGTTTGGAAAATGGAGGAAAACATTTGAGAAAAGGGTAAACCACCCAAAAGTCATTCATATAAAATCACTTAATGATTTTGGTCTATTTGTTTAGAGTCATTGTATGTATTTTAACTCAACATAGTTGAGACTATATCATATAGAGAAGGGCCTTTCTCTATTTTTTCATTTAATATCTTGTGCAGGCATTCATTTTAGTACAAAATTGTTATCAGTAATAACAATTACTGATATATCAGCATATTGTACTTAGTAGAAGTACTGTAACATTTAACCATTGTTGCTACTTACATTCAAAGTGAACTTTAGAATTAAGTTTCTAGAATTCCTTATAACATTTTAACTTAGAAATTTCATTCAACTTAGGAACTTAACGTTAACCAGTTAATTTCACCACTAAAAAACACACAGACTGTCACATCACAGATTCATTTTTTTTCTATTAACATTATCACCTTGTCTTGCTTATTGTTTTTAAGTGCATAGATACGTGACTTTATTCTCATTTTTAAAAAATGGCTTAAGAAAGAAAAACACTATTTATGCCAGTAAATTCTCCTCTGGCAGACATTTAGGTCAATTTAAAATTTTTACTATGATAAAAAATGGTACCAAAAATTTGTGAAGATACCTTTACACTTATTTGCAAGTATTTCTCCAAGATAAGCTCATGGAATGTGGATGAAAGGGTATCCATAATTTCAATTTTGATAGTTCCTGCCAAGTTGTCCTTAAGTAAGACTGCACCAGTTTACACTTCTATTAACAGTGAATGATAAATTTCTGTTTTCTCACACTGGATGCTATGAAAATTTAAAATATTTGCCAGTCTGGTGAAAAGTACAATTTCAATGCTGTTTTAATTTGTATTTCCCTAATTACAGTGAAGTGGAACATATTTTCCAATGTTTGTGACCATGTGTATTTCTTCTTTGAATTGCCTCTTCGTACTCATTTCTTAATTTTAAGTTGAGCCTACTTTACTTTATATCTTTATATATTGTATATATTAAGCCTTTGTCTGCTATATGCTGTGCAAATGTTTTCTCTCAAGCTCTTCCTTCTCTTTTAACATTGTTTTACCATCTTGCCTTGTTAAGAGGTTATTCACTTTTATGTGGTACTATCATAGTTTTCATTTTTATCTTCTGATTTTCCTCTAATTTTCTATTCTGTAACAATATAGATTAACAACGTTTAAACTTTTAATCTATGTAGAATTTAACTTTTCTGTATGGTGGAGGGAAACATCTTAAGTTTTTTTTTTTTCTATAGAGTATCCTGTTGTCCCAGTTCTAATAAATGAATTGTCTATTACTGTCTAGAAATGTCTTCATGGCCATATCCTAGAACTGTGTGTGTGTGTGTGTGTGTGTGTGTATGTGTGCACATATATACATATTCTTAAACTTTATTTTGTCCAAGATCTAATGTAACATTGTATTTATTACTGTTTATATAATGCTCTGATAACTGGTAGGGAAAATCTATTTTAACTATTATTTTTCAAAAATTTCACAGCCAATCTTTTGTTTTTTCTCTTTCAAATGAACAGTATAATTGGCTCATAGAGCTCCTTTAAAAATATTTCTTTTGAGATTTGGATTGGGGTGTTCCGTATTTTATGTTATTTTTGGGGAAATTGACCTCTTTATAATATTGTCTTTCCATCAAGGCACATAGTGTGTCTTTTCACTAGTCAGGTCATCTTCAAGTTCCCACAATAAAGTTTTATATTTCTCTTCATACAGGTCTTGCATACTTCTCATTAGATTTATTTCTAGGTATGTTAAAGTTCTATAGTGATAATGAATTACATCTTGTTTTTTCATGTCTTTTAAAAATTGCATATTGTTTGTGCATTGACACTGTGACATGGACCTTGCATTGGATTTGGAGAGAGACATCTAATAATTTTTCAGTTGATTCTTTCAAAATTTTGATAGATCATCATACACTTGAATGTAACGTTAAATTAGTTCCTTTAATTGCTTTCTCATTCTTTTTATTTTCTTATTGCATTTGCTAGTTTGCTAGCATAATGTCAATTTATAATAGTAATAGCAGGCAACTTTGCTTTTATTGATACTTCAAGGAAGATTATAAACAAATACGATGATAATGCTTGCTTTAGATTTCTGGTAATTATATGTATTAGGATATAGATGTAATTGCTATAATAGAAAAATCCCAAATAATAGTGTTTCACATTAACAGCCTGGGAGTAAGCAGTGCTGGGTGGTCTAGTAGCTTACCTATGCCATTATCAGGGTCTCAGTATCTTTCTATCTTGCTGCTGTGTTCTAGAAAATACAGAGCTTCTATTTCATGACCTCATAGGGCCATTCCAGCTACCACCATCATTTCTGTGTTTCAGACATCAGGAAGAAAGAAATACAAAAGGAGGGTACAGTCCTTCTTTTTAAGGGCACAGCCCAGAATTTGCACTCATCACTTTTACTCACATCCTATTGAACAGAACCTAATTTCATGGGAACACTTCTGTGCAAGGGAGGCTAGGAAATGTGATTTTCTGTTGAGCAACAAATGTGATTTTTAGTCTTATGTTTGGCTAAAAATCTTCCCACCATGGAAGGGAGGGAGAATAGACACTGGGGAAATTAACAATTGTTATCACATTATATTTATTCATTTTAGGGAATCTTTCTTCTATTCCTCAGACAGTGAGAGC
The DNA here is from genome assembly GCF_000001405.40 of Homo sapiens. Classification (NCBI taxonomy): domain Eukaryota; kingdom Metazoa; phylum Chordata; class Mammalia; order Primates; family Hominidae; genus Homo; species Homo sapiens. The sequence continues at coordinate 56,006,803 of NC_000018.10, forward strand.
TTTTACTGGAAATTTATCAAATACATTTTTTAGTATTTACTAAGATTATCATAATTTTCCCTCTCAAAATCTGTCAATATTGACTTATAGGTGGAGAAATCATAATTAAAACATTTAGTTTGGGATAAAATACTATTAGAAGATGACTTTTATATATCATTCTTTCAAAGACATGTCATATTTGACATTCATTCTTTTATTTCTTTTCTTTCTTTTTAAAATTCAAGCTATTTTTCTATCCAGGCATCTACTTAAAGGTAAATTATTGTCCATTTATTATCAGTTATTTAAAGTTTGGTAGAACAAAATCCTAAAACTGCTTAGGCTGATATCCTTTTCAAGGAGAGAACTTTGTCAAATTTTTTCATTATTTCCCCTCTCTGTTTAATGGATTATTTAGTGTTTTCACCTCATTTTAGTTAATTAGATAATTGATATTTTCTATTTTCTTATAGTCAAATAGGCCAATGTTTTCCATAATTTTCTGACTTTATTATCTTATTTTGAAAGCGCAACCCTTGCTTAAGTAGTCAACAATGCATGTGTGTATGAGCATTCACTTTTAACACTTTAATTCTTCTGAGATTTATTTTGGTGCATGAGTAACCTAGAAATTTTAATTTTCTTCTAAATGGCTACCTAACTGTGACAATGGCATACATTGATTAATCCATCATTTGCAACTGAATTCAAATTCCTAATTTAATTTATGTTAATTTCTTATATCTCTACATTAGTTTATTTCAAAAAGACTATTTGATCTGTTTCATTGATCTATTCTAGGATGAAAGTTACATATTAAATACTCTTAAATCTTATAGTTTTATAATTTACTTTATAATCTGACAGGGCAAATCCTTTAAAAACTTCTTGGCTCTAACAAGTTTATTTTTCTAGATTAACTTTAGGATAAGTTGGCCAATTAAAATATTCTAAGAGGTTTTGATTAGAACTGCATAAAAATCAAACATTAAATTTGTGGAAAAACAGACATTTTTATAATATTGAATGCTCCAACCCAGGAATATGGGTTCCTGGATTGAATCTCACCATCTCTTTAGGCCTGTGCTATGTACCTCAATAAAGTATTACAATTTTTCTCATAGAGGGCCTGCGTTTTTTGGTTAATTTAATTTCTAGGTTACATATATGTATGTCTAAAGTAAATGGAATACTTTTTCATTATATTTAATTGGGATATTTAGTATTTCTTACATTAAAGCCATCAATATTTGTATATTTTGGGACCAGCCACCTTACTAAGAGGCCTTAGTAGTTTTTCTAGTTTTCTTCTTGAGATTTCCAAGCGGGCAGCAGCATTTTTCTTGTGATGTATTATATTAGATTTTCATTCTTCCTTTCCTTGAATAAGCCAGGTTCTTTAGTTTACAATTATGATTATTTAAAGCAAAACAGAGTTCATTTACAGCATCAAAGACTAGAGATAGGCCAGGACCATGATGAGTCAAGTGAAGCAGTTTCCTCAGATGCCAAATTTAAGGGATGTCAAAAAGCTCACTAATCAAGATAAATAATGTTTTAATGCAATAGTTTGTGTTTTAAATGAATGTGAAAAAAATCCATGATGAAGCAAATACCAAAAATTTAAATATGGGTAAGTTTAGCTAGGAGAACTGGGCTCAGAAAAGCCAGGAGCCAGCAGATGTGGAGATGTCAGTAGCAGCTCTCAGTGACAACTGTACTTATACATGCTGCCCATGGGATGAATCAGCTTTGAGAATGAGAGTGATTGGCATCCTTGGCTAAGGAGAGGGCAGGATTCTTTGATTAACTGTCCCAGACTCCACATGTTAGGGGAAGGTGATTTTCCAAAAGGAAACAGGCTCACAGTTGTCAAAAACAATGATTGTCTACCATGTTGCAGTCCCACGATGCATTTTCTACATTGACCCCATCTCCAGCTCCAACTGCTGTCCTCCACATGTTAGGGCCACACCTCTGAAGAGGCCACATGCCAATGTGCCAACTCTCCTTTGCTTCCTGCTATACTTTTTACTCAAAGCTGCAACCTTCATATGGAGACAGCATAAAAGATATTGATGAAGAAACTCTGGTGGCTTCAAAGAGCACTCTCTGTTGAAAAGGAAATGGCAGTCAAAGCCCTGTTTTGAAAAAACACTAGGTGTCCGTACTTGGGAGGGGACCTCATGGAAAGGCTGGAAACTCTTTCTGAAGAGATTGTTCTGCCTCAAGAGAAGTATGTTTTGGCCACTGATTGTTTCTCAGGCAAATTTAATAGGCTGCATTAGACTGATGAGAATGCTTCCCAAAAGAATTAACTACTCAAACTTAACTTATATATCTTCACAGGCATTTAATGAAAATTTAAATGAATTATATTTGATACAATTATTGATAAGATAGGTTTTACATCTACTATTTAAAATTTGTTTTCTATGTCTTTTATGTCTTTTTTGTTCATCTATTCTTTCATTACTGCCTTCTTTTGTGTTAAATAGATATTTTCTGATATACCCTATTATCTTATTTCTTTTGCTCTATATTTTAAATTTACTTTCTTACTGGTTGTCCTGAGGCCTACCATTAACATTTTAACTTAAGACAATTAGTTTGAATTAATACTTAATTTCAATTGTATACAAAAGTTTGCTCAGGACTCAGGACTCAGCTGTGAATCTCATTAGGGATCCCTTGTCCCTGATGAGATGCTTTTCTCTTGCTTCTTTCATTCTCTTTGTCTTTGGACAGTTTGACTGTGGGTTGGTTGCCTAGATATAAATCTCTTTAGATGTATCCTACTTAAAGTTCATTCAGTTTTTCCTCGGTTTTGCCTGTCATGTAGAACCCTGCCCTGACTCTCCCTCACTCACTAATACTGCCTAGAGGCAGATTTCCCTCCTATGACTTCAGCAATGCTTTGCTTCTGAGAAATGCATTCTTTGGCAATTTTACTGTTGTATGATCATAGATTGTATTCCAAACCTAGATGGTGTAGCCTACCACACACTTGGGATATATGGTATAGCCTACTATTTCTAGGCTAGAGATCCATATAGCCTGTTACTGTATTGAATACTACATTAGTCCATTTTCATGCTGCTGATAAAGACATGCCTGAGACTGGGTAATTTAGAAAGGAAACAGGTTTAATTGACTCACAATTCCACGTGGCTGGGGAGGCCTCACAATCATGGCAGGAGGCAAGGAGGAGCAAAGTAATGTCTTTCATGGATGGTGGAAGGCAAAGAGAGAGTTTGTGTAGAGGAACTCTCCCTTATAAAACCATCAGATCTCATAAGACTTATTCACTACCATGAGAACAGCACGGGAAAGACCTGCCCCCATGATTGAATTAACTCCCACCCCGTCCCTCCCACAGCATGTGGGAATTCAAGATGAGAATTGGGTGGGGACACAGCCAAACCATATCGAATACTGTAGGCAATTTCAACACATATTTGAGTATCTAAATATAGAAAAGATACAGTAAAAATGTGGTATAAAAGATTAAAAAATGATAAAGCTATATAGAGCAATTACCATGAATGGAGCCTGCAGGATGGAAGTTGCCTGGGTGAGTCAATGAGTGAGTGATGAAGGGCTAGGACATTACTGTGCACTACTGTAGACTTTATAAACATTGTGCACTTAGGCTACACTAATTTATAGAAAAACTTTTCTTCAATAATAAATTAATCTTAGCTTATTGTAATGTTTTACTTTATAATTTTTTTAAATTTCTATTGTTTTTTTTTTGAAAGAAAGAAGTAAAACTGTTTTTATTTTATTTGTATTATACTTTAAGTTCTGGGGTACACGTGCAGAACATTCAGGTTTGTTACATAGGTATACATCTGCCATGGTAGATTGCTGCACCCATCAACCTGTCATCTGCATTAGGTATTTCTCCTAATGCTGTCCCTCCCCTCGCCCCCCATCCCCTGACAGGCCCCGGTGTGAGATGTTCCCCTCGCTGTGCCCATATGTTCTCATTGGTCAACTCCCACTTAGGAGTGAGAACATGTGGTGTTTGGTTTTCTGTTCTTGTGTTAGTTTGCTGAGAATGATGGTTTCCAGCTTCATCCATGTCCCTGCAAAGGACATGAACTCATTCTTTTTTATGGCTGCATAGTATTCCATGGTGTATATGTACCACATTTTCTTTATCCAGTCTAACATTGTTGGGCATTTGAGATGGTTCCAAGTCTTTGCTATTGTGAATAGTGCTGCAGTAAACATACGTGTGCATGTGTCTTTATAGTAGAATGATTTATAATCCTTTGGGTATATACCCAGTAATGGGATTGCTGGGTCAAACAGTATTTACAGTTCTAGATCCTTGAGAAATCACTACACTGTCTTCCACAATGGTTGAACTAATTTATATTTTCACCAACAGTGAAAAAGCATTCCTATTTCTCCACATCCTTTCCAGCATCTGTTTTTTCTTGACTTTTTAATGATCACCATTCTAACTGGTGTGAGATGGTATCTCATTGTGGTTTTGATTTGCATTTGTCTAATGACCAACGATGATGAGCTTTTTTTCATATGTTTGTTGGCTGCATAAATGTCTTCTTTTGAAAAGTGTCTGTTTATATCCCTCACCCACTTTTTGATGAGGTTGTTTGCTTTTTTCTTGTAAATTTGTTTAAGTTCCTTGTAGATTCTGGATATTAGCCTTTTGTCAGATGGATGGATTGCAAAAATGTTCTCCCATTCTGTAGGTTGGCTGTTCACTCTGATGACAATTTCTTTCACTGTGCAGAAGCTCTTTAGTTTAATTAGATTCATTTGTCCTTTTTGAATTTTGTTGCAATTGCTTTTGGTGTTTTAGTCATGAAGTCTTTGCCCATGCCTACGTCCTGAATGGTATTGGCTAGGTTTTCTTCTAGGGTTTTTTATGGTTTTAGGTCTTATGTTTAAGTCTTTAATCCATCTTGAGTTAATTTTCGTGTAAGCTAGAAGGAAGGTGTCCAGTTTCAGTTTTCTGGATGTGGCTAGCCAGTTTTCCCAACACCATTTATTAAATAGGGAATCCTTTCCCCATTGCTTGTTTTTGTCAGGTTTGTCAAAGGTCGGATGGTTGAAGATGTGTGGTATTATTTCTGAGGCCTCTGTTCTGTTCCATTGGCCTATATGTCTGTTTTGGTACTAGTACCATGCTGTTTTGGTTATGGTAGCCTTGTAGTATAGTTTGAAGTCAAGTAGCATGATGCCTCCAGCTTTGTTCTTTTTGCTTAGGAATGTCTTGGCCATATGGGCTCTTTTTTGGTTCCATATGAAATTTAAAGTAGTTTTATCTAATTCAGTGAAGAAAGCCAATGGTAACTTGATGGGAATAGCATTGAATCTATTAATTACTTTGGGCAGTATGGTCATTTTCATGATACTGATTATTCCTATCCAAGAGCATGTAATGTTTTTCCATTTGTTTGTGTCCTCTCTTATTTCCTTGAGCAGTGGTTTGTAGTTCTTGAAGAGGTCCTTCACATCCCTTGTAAGTTGTATTCCTGGGTGTTTTATTCTCTTTGTAGCAATTGTGAATGGGAGTTTGCTCATGATTTGGCTCTCTGTTTTCCTATTATTGGTGTATAGGAATCCTTGTGATTTTTGTACATTGATTTTGTATCCTGAGACTTTGCTGAATTTGCTTATTAGCTTAAGGAGTTTTTGGGCTGAGACAATGGGGTTTTCTAAATATACAATCATGACATCTGCAAACAAAGACAATTTGACTTCTTCTCTCCCTATTTGAATACCTTTATTTCTTTCTCTTGCCTGATTGCCCTGGCCAGAACTTCCAATTCTGTGTTGAATAGGAGTGGTGAGAGAGGGCATCCTTGTTTTTTGCCAGTTTTCAAAGGGAATGCTTCCAGATTTTGCCCATTCAGTATGATATCGGCTGTGGGTTTGTCATAAATAGCTCTTATTGTTTTGAGATACGTTCCATCGATACCTAGTTTATTGAGTGTTTTTAGCATGAAGGGGTATTGAATTTTATTGGAGGTTTTTTCTGCATCTATTGAGATAATCATGTGGTTTTTGTCATTGGTTCTGTTTATGTGATGGATTACATTTATTGATTTGCGTATGTTGAACCAGCCTTGCATCCCAGGAATGAAGCCAACTTGATTGTGGTGAATAAGCTTTTTAATGTGCTGCTGGATTTGGTATGCCAGTATTTTATTGAGGATTTTCGCATCGACGTTCATCAGGGATATCAGCCTGAAATTTTCTTGTTTTGTTGTGTCTCTGCCAGGTTTTGGTATTAGGATGATGCTGGCCTCATAAAATGAGTTAGGGAGGAGTCCCTCATTTTGGATTGTTTGTAATAGTTTCAGACGGAATGGTACCAGCTCCTCTTTGTACTTCTGGTAGAATTCGGCTGTGAATCCATCTGGTCCTAGGCTTTTTTTGGTTGGTAAAATATTAATTACTGTGTCAATTTCAGAACTTGTTATTGGTCTGTTCAGGGATTTGATTTCTTCCTGGTTTAGTCTTGGGAGGGTTTATGGGTTGAGGAATTTATCCATTGCTTCTAGAATTTCTAGTTTATTTGCATAGAGGTGTTTATAGTATTTTCTGATGGTAGTTTGTATTTCTGTGGGATCAGAGGTGATCTCCCCTTTATCACTTTTTATTGTATCTATTTGATTCTTCTCTCTTTTCTTCTTTATTAGTCTGGCTAGTGGTCTAACTATTTTGTTAATCGTTTCAAAAAACCAGCTCCTGGATTCATTGATTTTTTTTTGAAGGATTTTTCGTGTCTCTGTCTCCTTCAGTTCTGCTCTAATCTTAGTTATTTCTTGTCTTCTGCTAGCTTTTGAATGTGTTTGTTCTTGCTTCCCTATTTCTAATTGTGATTGGGTGTTGATTTTAGCTCTTTCCCGCTTTCTTCTGTGGGCATTTAGTGCTATTAATTCCCCGCTAAACACTGCTTTAGCTTTGTCCCAGAGATTCTGGCACATTGTGTCTTGCTTCTCATTGGTTTCAAAGAACTTATTTATTTCCGTCTTAATTTTGTAATTGACCCAGTAGTCATTCAGGAGCAGGTTGTTTAGTTTCCATGTAGTTGTATGGTTTTGAGTGAGTTTCTTAATCCTGAGTTCTAATTTGATTGCACTGTGGTTTGAGAGACTGTTTATTATGATTTCTATTCTTTCTCATTGGCTGAAGAATGTTTTACTTCCAATTATGTGGTTGATTTTATGTGGTGCCAAGAAGAATGTATATTTTGTTTATTTGGAGTGGAGAGTTCTGTAGATGTCTATTAGGTCCACTTGGTCCAGAGCTGAATTGAAATCCTGAATATCTGTGTTAATTTTCTGTCTCATTGATCTGTCTAATATTGATAGTGGGGTGTTAAAGTCTCCCACTATTATTGTGTGGGAGTCTAAGTCTCTTTATAGTTCTCTAAGAACTTGCTTTATGAATCTGGGTGCTCCTGTATTAGGTGCATGTATATTTAACATAGTTAGCTCTTTTTGTTGTATTGATCCCTTTACCATTATGCAATGCCCTTCTTTGTCTTTTTTGATCTTTGTTGGTTTAAAGTCTGTTTTATCAGAGACTAGAATTGCAACCCCTGCTTTTTTTTGCTTTGTGTTTGCTTGGTAAATCTTCCTCCATCCCTTTATTTTGAGCCTATGTGTGTCTTTGCATGTGAGATGGGTCTCCTGAATACAGCACACCAGTGGGTCTTGACTCTATCCAATTTGCCAGTCTGTGCCTTTTAATTGGGGCATTTTGCCCATTTACATTTAAGGTTAATATTGTTATATGTGAATTTGAATTTGATCCTGTCATTATGATGCTAGCTGGTTATTTTGCCCATTAGTTAATGCAGTTTCTTCATAGTGTTGATGGTCTTTACATTTTGGTTTGCTTTTGCAGTGGCTGGTACCGGTTTTTCCTTTCCACATTTAGTGCTTCCTTTAGGAGCTCTTGTAAGGCAGGCCTGATGGTGACAAAATCCCTCAGCATTTGTTTGTCTGTAAAAGATTTTATTTCTCCTTCACTTATGAAGCTTAGTTTGGCTGGATATGAAATTCTGGGTTGAAAATTCTTTTCTTTAAGAATGTTGAATATTGGCCCCCACTCTATTCTGGCTTGTAGGGTTTCTTCAGAGAGATCTACTGTTAGTCTGATGGGCTTCCTTTTGTGGGTAACCCGACCTTTCTCTCTGGCTGCCTTTAACATTTTTTCCTTCATTTCAGCCTTGGTGAATCTGATGATTATGTGTCTTGGGGTTGCTCTTCTCAAGGAGTATCTTTGTGGTGTTCTCTGTATTTCCTGAATTTGAATGTTGGCCTGTCTTGCTATGTTGGGAAAATTCTCCTTGATAATAACCTGAAGAGTGTTTTCCAACTTGGTTCCATTCTCCCTGTCACTTTCAGGTACACCAGTCAAATGTAGGTTTGGTCTTTTCACATAGTCCCATATTTCTTGGAGTCTTTGCTCGTTCCTTTTCATTGTTTTTTCTCTAATCTTGCGTTCACACTTTAATTCATTAATTTGATCTTCAATCTCTGATATCCTTTCTTCCACTTGATTGATTCAGGTATTGATACTTGTGTATGCTTCATGAAGTTCTTGTGCTGTTTTTCAGCTCCATCAGGTCATTTATGTTCTTCTCTAAACTGGCTATTCTAGTTAGCAATTCCTCTAACCTTTTATGAAGGTTCTTACTTTCCTTGCATTGGGTTAGAACATGCTCTTTTAGCTCAGAGGGATTTGTTATTACCCACCTTCTGAAGCCTACTTCTGTCAATTGGTCAAACTCCTTCTCCATCCAATTTTGTTCCCTTGCTGGTGAGGAGTTGTGATCCTTTGGAGGAGAAGAGGCATTCTGCTTTTTGGAATTTTCAGCCTTTTTGCACCGGTTTTTCCTCATCTTCGTGGATTTATCTATCTTTGGTCTTTGCTGTTGGTGACCTTTGGATGGAGGTTTTGTGTGGTCATCCTTTTTGTTGATGTTGATGCTATTGCTTTCTGTTTGTTGGTTTTCCTTCTAACAGTCAGGCCCCTCTTCTTCAGGTCTGCTGGAGTTTGCTGGGGCTCCACTCCAGACCCTGTTTGCCTAGGTATCACCAGTGGAGGCTGCAGAACAGCAAAGATTGCTGCCTGCTCCTTCCTCTGGAAGATTTGTCCCAGAGGGGCACCCACCAGCTGCCAGCCAGAGCTCTCCTGTATGAGGTGTCTGTCGACCAATGCTGGGAGGTGTCTCCCTGTCAGGAGGCATGGGGGTCAGGGACCCACTACAGGAGTCAGTCTGCCCCTTAGCAGAGCTCAAGCACTGTGCTGGGAGATCCGCTACTCTCTTCCTAATTTCTATTGGTTTTGGGGCAATGGGTGGTGTTTGGTTGCATGAGTAAGTTCTTTACTGTTGATTTGTGAGATTTTGGTACACCCATCACACAAGCAGTATACACTGAACTCAGTTTATAGGCTTTTACCCATCACCCTCCCCCACCCTTCCCCCAAATCCATAAAGTACATTATATGATTCTTATGCATTTGCATCCTCATAGCTTAGCTCCCACTTACGAGTGAGAATGTATGATGTTTGGTTTTCCATTCCTGAGTTACTTCACTTAGAATAACGGTCTCCAATTCCATCCAGGTTGCTGTGAATGCCATTGTTTCATTCCTTTTATGGCTGAATAGTATTCCATGGTGCATATATATATATATATATATTCCACAATTTCTTTATCCACTCATTGACTCATGGGCATTTGGGCTATTTATTTATTTTTTTTACTTTTTGACTCTTTTGTAATAACGCTTAGCTTAAAACAAAAACACATGGTACAGCTGTGCAAAATATTTCTTTTTATCCTTGTTCTACATATTTTTCTATTAAAAATGTATTTATTTAAAAATTTTTTTTTTTTGTTAAAGACTGGGACACAAACACACACATTAGCCAAGGTCTACTCAGAGTCAGGGTCACCAGTATCACTGTTTTCTACCTCCACATCTTGTCCCACTGGGTCTTTAGCAGCAATAACATGCATGGAGCTGCCTTCTCTAAAATAAAGATTAAAATATAATATAGTAAATATGTAGACCAGTATTATCAAGTATTATGTACTGTACATAATTGTATGTGCTATGCTTTTACACAACTGGCAGTGCAGTAGTTTATTTATACCAGCATCACCACGGTCAATTGGGTAAGGTGTTGCACCATGACACTATAATGACTACAGTGTTTTTCAGCTTCATTATAATCTTATGAGAATGTGTAATGTGGTCAATTCTTGATGGAAACCTCTAAGGATAAAGAGGCAGAATACAACTGTGTTTCACGTATGCTTCTTGATAAAGTATTATTTGATATATAATGGTTTATGACTCATACACCTGATATAAAAATTATAATTTTTATCAGTATAAAGTTACCCTATTATTCTTATTCTGTGACTTTTCTCCTTTAAGACTGACATTTCCACTCTGACTCTCTTTTTCTTAGCCTTTTCTTGGGAATATCTCAGCTTTCCTTTAATTTCCAGTGTACCCAATCTATTTTGCTTTGTGTGTGTGTCTTTGGTGGAGAGAATATAATGGGGTTTTATTTTTATTACAACATGAATATTATGCCTTTCATTAGGAAATTCAATCCACTTTCAAGTGTTGAATTTATTTGTGTGTTTGCCACTGTAAGAGTGATTGTCTCATTGGAGACACTCAACAAATAAATATTAAATGAATGAACAATTTTTGATACTTTGATTTCCCTACTTTCTCTCTCTTCTATTAGTATAAATACATTTTAAATTTGCTCTTGTCTTATGAAGACATCTTGTTTATAATTTTACTATATATAGTAGTTAATTGTAGGTTTTAAAAATATATTTTATTTATGTGTATGTTCCTGAGGTTTATAAGTGCCTAGTCTTTAACCACAATTCTGAAATGTTTGATTGATTTTCAAGCCCACAACAGCCTATGAAGAATAACTAGAGGTCTTCATATCAGAGGCAGAAGGTAAGAATCTGCTGAATACAGCAGCAAAAGCCAGGATAGGTCATCTGTAAGGGTCTTATCTTTTAGCAATACAACTGGAGTTTATAAAACTAGCTTATCAAGAATAATCCATACAGGTTGGGCACGGTGGCTCACACCTGTAATCCCAGCACTTTGGGAGTCTGAAGTGGGTGAATCATTTGAGCCCAGGAGTTCAAGACCAGCCCAGTCAACATGGTGAAACCCCATCTCCACTAAAAATACAAAAATTAGCCAGGTGTGGTGGTGTGTGCCTGTAGTCTCAGCTACTTGGGAGGCTAAGGGAAGAGTGTGACCTAAGCCTGGGAGGCGGAGGCTGCATCGAGCTGAGATTGTGCCACTGCACTCCAGCCTGGGCAACAGAGCCAGACCTTGCCTCAAAAAAACAAAACAAACAAAACAAAAACAAAAAGAATAATCCATATAGTATGTTAGCAATGAAGGAATAATTGCATTGAGAATTTGCTTCCAAAATAAAATTTGAATGAAATATTTGGGAAGTTAAATGTGTCAGATACAATGATCTCAGTCATTCATTATGTAGAGTCCCTAATGTCTTTTTATACTATTTAAGTTACCTGTTTAGGTATCATTATTAGCTCCATGTGGACAGAAACTTGTTTTATACTAAGACATAAGTGACCTGATTCAGGCTGTATTATAATACATATTTCTAAACTACATCTTTTGCACCTACAAAAAATAGGGAGAATGTGAATACCTAGCAGAGTACTAATGTGGATTGTGATAAAAATTAAATGAAATAATCCATGTAAAAGCATTTGGCACAGGGCTTGGCATTCATCACCTCCACCACTTACTAGGTATGTGACCTCAAGACAGTTTCTTAACCTCTCAATGCCTCAGATTTATCATCCCTAGTATACGAATTATCATAGTACTTACCTCAGAGATTTAATATAAAGACCTTAGAGCAAAGCATGGTATAACTTAAGTTCCCAGTAAATGTGAGCTACTATTAGTATTTCAATGCAGGAAGGACCGCATTTATACTCTGGCAGAAACCATCAGAAAATAGTGTTCTTTTTGGACACAAATCAAGAAAACAATAGTTATAATGTGGCCCAAAGCAGGGAGATGGGATTGGGGCAGAAGACTGGTGTGCAGTCTGGGCCTACTCCTTGCCTGTGGAAACTTGGGTAGTCTTCAGTTTCTCATTTTGTATCACAGGGAAAAACACCTAATGCAGATTTGATATGCAAAACTTAAGAGTTACTGTGTATGAAAATGTTCTATAATGCGCTATATCAATGCTATTTAGTAGGAACTATTTTTGATCATTTTGATCATTTGACTGTTTTTATCATATTAGCACCTCCAATCCCATTAGCTTTCCTAACCCCATCAGCATTCAGAAATGGATTCTGTATCTTTGTCAGCATAACCATGATTTCCTTACTTTGCTATTCCTTGGATATATGTCATTAACCAGTCTGGGTACAATTAGTGCAAGGAGTAGAAATGAGACTATATTCTGTGAATTTCTAACTCTCCATTTTGGCAGAACAACTCTGGACCAGCCACTATAGCTGTCAGGGTGATTTATGATTGTTCTTCACCAAGCTGACAGCCGGTGGAGAAAAAGCTTCATGCAAGAAAAATTCCTTATATTTATTCTACCTAGTTTAATACCTGATGAACCACGTTATAAGAACAATTCTTAAAATAGCCTTGAGGAGAGCACCTCCACATTGCCCAGACATACAATTTATTATAGAAATACTGGTGGAGAATGGAGGGGAGATGGTGGTCATGCTGTGAACTTGACTGGCTTACGGACAAGACATTGGTTGGAAAGCTGGCAATAAAAAAAGCAGCCCAATGTACTTTAAATGCTAACTGGCACTCTTCTAGTTGCTCTCAATTTTTTTCTTACAGTAAGCCTTCCTCTTAGGTAATACTATTATCACATCAACATGATTATAAATAAGAATGGAGAATCAATCCAAGAAAGACACAGCATGACTACCTCCAAAGCCACTTAATTTGGAAATAGAAATGAAGAGGTGTACAGTTCATCCTCAGTAGGGTTGCCTATGCTTTGTGCCTTCCTGAAACTTTTAATCACTGGAGGCTGTCATAATCTTCCACATCCACACCGTCCATAAAGCATTTGTTACATATTGACTTATTTTGTATTGCTCTTTAAGGATATGCTATTTGTTCATCTTTTCTTCTCAACTAGATACGGTCTTTAACCTCTCCTATCTCTTCCTCTCAGCCTATAAATATACAAAAGTCTCATCAAAGAACAAACTGACCAACCAAACAAAACCATTCCCTTCACTTCCTGTCTGCTGTATTTACTTCCTTATCTGGTTGAGCCCTCCATTTCCTGAAAGAGCAGGTTACACTCATTGTCTCCGCTTGGCACTCTCTGTTCTCCTGGCTTTGAGGGCACCACTCTCTCTTGCTTCTATTCTACGCTGTCTCCTTTTGTTTTCGACATTTCTGACAATACCTTTTCAGCTTCCTTCTTTGGCTTTTCTCTCATCTCTCTTCCTTTTCCTAGGGCTCACCTATTAACATTCCCTGAGATTCTTCATTTACTCCAATATCTTAAATATGATAACAGGTCTCGAATGCATATTTATATTTTATTTTTTGAGACAGAATCTTGCTCTGTCACCTAGGCTGAAATGCCATGGCATGATCATGGCTCACTGCAGCCTTGGTCTCCCAGGCTCAAGCAATCTTCCCGCCTCAGGCTCCCAAGTAGCTGGGACTACAGGCAGGCACCACCATACCTGGCTGATGTTTTTGAATTTTCAGTAGATACAAGGTCTCACTATGTTTCCCAGGCTGGTCTCGAATTCCTAAGCTCAAGCAGTACTCCCACCTCAGCCTCCTAAAGTGCTGAGAGCAACCACACCCAACTCAAATACATATTTCTAATGAGACATGTTACTAAAACTCAGAATTATGTCTCCAACTGCCTACTGAGCACTTCAAATACAACATATCAACAACAGAACTTACTTTCCCCCCAAACACTCTTTTTTATTCAGCTTCTTGATTGGGAGACCTCTGGAAATTATACTTAATTCTTTCTTTTCTTTCATTTGCTTCTGTGGCCCATTTGATTCTACTCCTATTTCTTGAACACACTGAATTATTTCCATTCCACTTTCCATGTCCTCATTATTGTTCTCATTGCCTTTCCCTTGAACTACCAGAACTCTCCTCATAATGTCTCTAGCCTTCATATTCACCCACCTTCAATGTAATCCTCACCTAGCCCATTTGTCATTAAGGTGGACTCTGAAAGCAAAATGACACAACACTTAACAAAGGGGAAAATCCCTTAATTATGTCATTTTGCAGTTAAAAATCCTCAAATGGCACTCCATTGATTTCAAAGCAAAGTGTCAATTATTTGGGCAAAGTCAGGCACTTTTTTGCCTTGACTCTTGTTTGCCCTTCCAGTGGAATCTGCATGATTCCTCCAATGCATTCTTTGATCCACATTTATGCCCTTTATTGTCACCAAACTTTACATGCACATGTAATTTCCTCTTCCTAGAGTGGCTTCCCCTTATTGTTTGGCCTGGAAATATCCAGGCATATTCTCCCTCAAAACTGCATTTAAGCATTATTCCTTCTAGGAAGACCTCCCAAACCCAGTGTAGTATGAGACAAAACCACAGTATGTGAAATCTTAGGAAACCCTAACTAGATGCCAAAATGATCAGTTTAGTCTAAATTTATTTGCAAACATTAGCTACTAGTAGATAATGAAATAAATCAAGTTATTCTTTATCTATGAAGATATCATTTTTTGAATAAGTCCCCCAAATATGGAGTTAGATGACTCATCAGAGCAGGGTGTGAGTGTTCAGGAAAGCCTGTGCATACTTAGGTCATCTATATGAGTTAGGAATGCAGATGCATAATAAATTGGTTGGGATTTATTAATACATGCACCTGCATTTCTGCTTAAGAAGCTATTGTTTGATCTAACGATGTCCTATAGAACAAGCCCAAAACAAACCAAAGATATTTTCAAGGCTCAAGTATATCGGGCATATGGGAAGCATGTAAATGTTCAAAGAGGATGTCCAGTAATGAGGAATCCAACATTTATCCCAATAGCAACATGTTAAATGCTCCCACTCCCTTCTGACCATTGCTGCTCAAGTGTTTCCTTCTGAGATAATTCCTTGAAAGTGTGTGTACATGACCAGTCTCCATGGCTAACACATACACATGCATGGAACCTAGAAGCATTAAGGAACAACTCTGAGGTCATTAGAAGCTAAAAATACTGAACCTTCACACTTGCCCTTGAGCAAGTATTCTTTAGCAGAAAAGCCAAAGGGATTATAATAAAATGAACAAACAACAAGCCTACTCATAAAGCATGTTATGCTTTATGGATAGCGCCCCCCCATTAAAAAAAAACAAAAACAACAAAAAAGCCCAGGATGATTGCCTTTTACTATTGGAAGGGAGGGGGAATTTTGCAAAAAGCTGCTATTTGTATAAACCTGTGGACCCACCACCCTCAATAATATACAAAATAGAAAGAACTATTTGTTTCAAGATGGTCTTGTTTTTTATTTGTTTAATAATAGCTTTATTGAGGTAAAATTCCTATACTATAAAATTTACCATTTAAAGTATATAATTAAATGATTTTTAGATATTTACTATGTTGTGCAAGTATTACCACTATGTAATTTTTAAAAATCTTTAGCACCCCCCAAAAGAAACCCTGTTATGCAAATAATCATACAGAGTTATTTGCAAATATGCAAATGCTGAATATTTGCATCTCCCCAAATTTCATATTTTGAAGCCCTAATCCACAATGTGATATTATTTGAAGCTAGCACTTTTAGGAGGTAATAAGATTAAATCAGGTCATAAGAGTGGAGTCCTAATCCCATAAGACTGGAAGCCCTATAAGAAGAGAAAGAGAGTCAGATCTTTCTCTCTCTTTCCATGCACACGCACCACTGAGGAAAGGCTATGTGAGCATGCAATGAGAAGGCGGCCATCCGCAAGCTAGGAAGAGAGCCCTCACCAGGAATCAAATCAGTTGGCACCTTGATTTTGGACTTCCTAGCCTTCAGCACTGTGAGAAATAAATTTTCGTTTTTTAAGTCATTCAGTTTTTGGTATTCTGTTACAGCAGCTTGAATTACCAATATAAACCCATACCCATTAGCAATCACTCCCCATGCTCCCCTTCCTCAGTTCCTAAAAGCCACCACTCTACTTTCTATGGATTTGCCCATTTGGGCACTTCATATAAATGGAATCATCTAATATGTGGCCTTTTGTGACAGGCTTCTTTCACTTAGCATATTTCCAGGTTCCATTCATGATGTAGCATTTATTGGTACTTCACTACTTTTTATTGCTAAATAATATTACATTGTAAGGGTACAACACATTTTGTTTATACATTCATCAATTCATGAACATTTGGGTTGTTTTTACTCTGGGACTATTATGAATAATGCTGCCATGAACATTCATGTGCAGGTTTTTGTGTGAACATATGTCATCGGTTCTATTGTTTATATACCTAGAACTGGAATTGCTATGCCATGTAACTCTATGTTTTAACATTTCCAGGTACTGCAAGCTTACTTTCCAACGTGGCTGCATCGTTTCACATTCCCACCAGCAGTATGAGGTTTCCAATTTCTCTGCATCCTCATCAAAACTTGTTATTATCTGTCTTTTTTATTTTAGACGTTCTAGAAGGTGTGGAGTGGTATCTCATTGTGGTATTGATTTGCATTTCCTTAAGGACTAATGCTTTTGAACATTTTTTCATGTGCTTATTGGCCATTTGTATATCTTCTCTGGAGAAATGTTTATTCAAATCCTTTGTCCATTTTTTAATTGGATTGTCTTTTTATTGTTGCATGGTATAAGTTCTCTATATATTCTGGACACAAGTCTCTTATTAGTTATACCATTTGCAAATATTTTCTCCCATTCTGTGCGTTGTCTTTTAACCTTTCTAATGTGTCCATTGAAACACAAAAGTTTTTAATTTTCACAAAGTTCAATTTATCTACTTTTTTCTTTTGTCACTTATTTGTATCATATCTGAGAAACCATTACCTAATCCAAGGTCAGGAAGGATTACTCCTATGTTCTCTTTTGAGAGTTTTATTGTTTTTACTCTTATATTTAAGTTGAATATCCATTTTGAGTTAGTTAATTTTTGTATATAGTATGACATAGGATCGAGAGGATCTTGTTAATCACTTTTTCCTGATATACATCAGCTTCAAATGTGAAGCTATAAATCTCCCTGTAGGTTTCCTGAAAGCCCTCATTATATAAAGCAACTTCTGTGACAAATTTGACTTGATTAATTAATTAATTAGAGACACAGTCTTGCTCTGTCCCCCAGACTGGAGTGCAGTGGTGCCATCTTGGATCACAGCAACCTTCAACTCTCAGGTTCAA
This sequence comes from Homo sapiens, assembly GCF_000001405.40. Taxonomy (NCBI): domain Eukaryota; kingdom Metazoa; phylum Chordata; class Mammalia; order Primates; family Hominidae; genus Homo; species Homo sapiens. The sequence goes on from NC_000018.10 coordinate 56,024,251, forward strand.
GCAATTCTAGTGCCTCAGCTTCCCAAGTAGCTAGGATCACAGGTGTGCACCAGCATGCCTGGCTACTTTTTGTATTTTTAGTAGAGGCATGTTTTTGCCATGTTAGCCAGACTGGTCTCTAACTCCTGGCCTCAAGTCTTCCCCTGCCTTGGCCAACCAAAGTGCTGGGATTACTGGTGTGAACCACCGTGCCTAGTCATGATAATTTATTGAGTGGAGTTCTGTTCAAGATGATGGAGGGCTAACAGCAGCAAAAGCCAGGCTCACTGGCTCTTGCCTGTAATCCTAGCACTTTGGGAGGCCTAGTTGGTTAGGTAGATCACCTGAGCTCAGGAGTTCGAGACCAGCCTAGCCAACATGGCGAAACCCTGTCTCTACTAAAAATACAAAAATTAGCCGGGCATAGTGGTGGATGCTAATAATCCCAGCTACTCTGGAGGCTGAGACAGGAGAATTGCTTGAACCTGGGGGCGGAGGTTGCAGTGAGCTGAGATTGCGCCACTTCACTTCAGCCTGAGTGACAGAGTGAAATTCCATCTTAAAAGAAAAAAAAAAAAAAAAGGAAAGAAAGCAGCAAAGAGAATTTTTTGGCAAGATTATGAGCCAATTTTAAGAGCTTTTATTACATTTCAAATGTGATTTTAAATTCTCAAAGTTGGACAGATAGCAGGGAAAGAATGGTCACAGACTTTTCCCTAATATTTTAAGTTGCTTCAAACCAGTTATTAAATCTTATATGTATTTTTTAAAGACTTATTCCACAGGGGTTTGATTAATTTACACAGACTTCTTCCAAAACTGTATCTAAACCACATTGTTGATATCTAAGAAACTCTATGAGCTTCTTCAAAAGCCCTCTTAAAAATACAACAAAATCATGTTAGCAACTCCAGATTCCAAGTTGAAATCCTCCCGCTTTAGTATAAGAACCATCAGTTTTGAATGAGTCTGGATACGAAAACCTATTTTCCCATTTTGAGGAGAAAATCCCTTTTTAGAGACTCTTTCTTGAATGGATATTTGTTATAACATATTTGGGCTTAGGGCTAAAACCTTTGGTTTGTAAGCTGAGGTTTTCATTTGCACTTACCATCAACAGCGTATAAGTTGAAAAGAATCTCAGGTCTGGTTGCTGTCCTGAGCTACTGCAAAGAAGAAACCACTGAGAATAAGAGCATTTCAATTATTGTACATCACATTTGCTATTTGCTGCCGTTATTCTTCTATTAAAGGAGGATAATCAACTGATATGATATTGTAGATCTCAGTGCCTAGTGCATTGTAGGTCCTCAATATATGTTGATTCTTCTTTTCTTTACATATTTTTGAGGTACAGAAAGAAGTTCTTAAAATGGTTTTTAACTGTAATCATTTTGGAAAATTAGCTATGAAGATGGAAATTTGTGAACAAAGGAGAACTTGCAAATGCCATTTTACTGAGCATGTTACTGAATGGTTATATAAGGAGTAAATATTCTCTCAGCCTTAGTAAGTAAATATGAACCAATAAGAACACAGGTGAGGACTCTTTTCCTAACCAGAATAGATGGCTAAGGTTTACAGGGCAATAAATTAGACTATTTGTATCCAAAGCAATATTGTTGTCACCACCAATTGTAATAAGCATTTTTATAATTTATGCCTTTAATGTGTTTATTATGAAAAAGCTTCTAAGTATATTGCACAAGTGGTAATCTGCTCCAGAACTGGAAATTTGGGAGACTTGGTTTTTGGACTCAGCCTATTCACTATTATTTGGTTGATAGGTTTATTATTATTATTATTATTATTTTTTAAAGGCCTGAGACAGTAGAGACTTTCTAATAAAATATGCTGCAGTGATGAAAATTACGCCATGTCTTTTGTCTTAATATCTATAAGAACACTGAAAATTGGCCTGACAATGAATTATAGGATAATTTGTAAAAATGCATAGTGGTTTTACTATAAATATAGTTTATTTCAAAACCACAGAGATTGCTCACAATCATTGCTCTATGTAACTAGGCAAAGCAATTTTGCAGCAAATAGATGACAAGAGTCATGAAAAATATTTTTTGGACTTGTTAAGTGAGAGCAAAGAACAAGCAGGGGGGATTTAAGTGAGTTAAGAAATGGTTTTCCAGTTCTTACATTAATTTATTCAGGATATGAAAGTGAAAAAGCATTCAAAACGTTTGCATCTAAATCTTAATCTGGTGAAATTTCTTCTTTCAATTACAGTTCAAAGGCAGTTATTAACTACTCATTGTGTGAGGGACACAGGAAAAAGAGTATACAATCCTTAATGGGAATAAGCTTCCATTTTACTTTGGAGGCAAAAATATGCAGAAACACTTTAAGTACAAGTCTCCTAAGGATAAAAATGAATACAATATTTCCTAACATGAAGTTGTCAGGAAACAACTGATTCCAAGTATTACCTACCCGTCCCAGGTGTCATGTGAGGTCACACTTCCTTTGATGCCCAAATCACATAAGACTGAACTTCCACTATACCTCACCAAAGGATGCACAGGACCCCTCCTCCACATGTTTCTAAGGATCCCCAGGGAGTGCTTTCGGGATTCTGTTTTTTGCTGGATTTTGCTGTTTTTAAATTAATTCATTTGTTTATTTTGGTTGGGTGCACTTCCCTTTAGCACAATCCACTGGAACAGCATAATATATGACATCAATACATAACCCTAAATCTAGGTTATTCAGGATTCCAGAACACTGCAGAAGGACTTTAGCAGAACAGCAAGGGTTGCTTCCAGGCATCCCAGCAAGGACAGTGCCTCCACCATAATATAAACTGGTAAATATATGCTTCCATGTCACAACTACAGCCTTCCAGTAACTATCAGACAGGGAGTGTTTAGAAAAGAACAAATATACATCTCCCAAGAAAAAAACTAATATTTAGAAAACATCTTTCCAGAAAGGAATGATCCATGGAGATGCAATTCTACCCACCAAACCAAACAAAACAAAACAAAAACAAAAAACCTATCTTTTACACAATATGTGTAAAGAGTAAGACCTTTCAATTTTACTTTTGATGGACAAAAATGCCTATCAAATGATTTCCCACAAACCAAATAGCAGTTACCCCAAAGGTTAATTCAGATCTCTCCTTCTGGAGAAACTGAAACGAGCCTTAAAATGTGAATCTTCCTTTTTGATCTTGCAGTAATCAAGGTTTAAAAAGTATTAGGGTTCAGATTCATCCAGAATATGCCATTCCCCAAGAAAACAAAGGGGTAGACACTCTAGAGGAAGATGGAAAGGACTGTATCAGATGAGCAGGGTTAATCCCTTCCCAAGCCATTAACAATCTCTGTTGGTCTGTGAATATCGCTCCACCGACCCCCAATTTCTCCACCTGTACTTTAATAATAATAAATCTTATTTTACAGTGTTTTATAAAAATTAAATGAGAAGAATGCATGTGAAAATGCCTAACATGGTGTTTGGCACTGTATCAGTCTGTTTTCACGCTGTTGATAAAGACATACCCAAGACTGAGCAATTTACAAAAGAAGAAAGTTTAACTGGACTCACAGTTCCACGTGGCTGGGGAGGCCTCACAATCATGGCAGAAGGCGATGGACGAGCAAGTCACATCTTAAGTGGATGGCAGCAGGCAGAGAGAGCTCATGCAGAGAAACTCCTGTTTTCAAAAACCATCAGATCTTGTGAGACCCATTTACTATCAGAAGACCAGCACAGGAAAGACCAGCCCCCATGATTCAATCATCTCCCACCGGGTCCCTCCCACAAAACCTGGGAATTATGGGTGCTACAAGATGAGATTTGGGTGGGGACATAGAGCCAAACCATATCAGGCACATAGCTGATACACTCCTTCTTTAAGAGGGTAGAATATGGTATATATTGCATTATTCAGTACTAAAAGAGCTCAGAATGACATTGTTTAACCCGTGGTATTTGCCACCTCCAATCCAAGGAGCCATATTCCAGAGTTACAAGAGAAAGAGAAAACATTTCAAGTTGATGCCTGCGTTTCTAGGTAGAATCACATGATGACTTCCTTCCCGTTATTATAGCCCTGGCTCCCTGTTAGTCAGGGAAGATGAACCTAGAGGAAGTAGAAGGAAGAAGAGTGACATGCAGGAAGCTTCCCTAGAAACATTCTCATTAGCCTTCCTTGGGTCTGTGCCTCGATACACCAGCCCATCATCATCATGATCATCAACACCATTATCATCATCATTGTGCTCTGTAGCAGCCACAGACCTGGCAGTTCTCAATGGCCATTTACAGAATGCCCACATGTGCTGGGCTCTGTGAGAGACTATACAGACACTGGACAATCAAGTGAAGAGTGATTCTGCTTGCAAATGGACAGTGAAGAGAGTGCTTCCCATCCCTTCGTATTTGCCTTTGATGACTAAGAATGAGGCACATTGTTGCCTGTGGAGTTAGGAAAACAACTTTCCAATGACCCACTTTCCCATATCTCTTAGCTATTGCAGCTCATACAATCTCAGGGCTGGAAAAGATCCTAGAAATGATCAGACTCACTTTGCAAAAGGACATGAAAGTCCAGAGAAGCTGTGACTCACCTGAAGTCAGGGAACTCATCAATGAGAACAGGAACAGGAGCCTGGGTTACCTACTTTCAAGCTCAGCAGACTTTCCAGCATACCACCATGCCTCTCTTCTTGAATAATTTCCTGAAGTTCTAAGAAACATGAGTAGAATATACCTGATACTAAAACAATATGAGTATTTCTGGTAGAAGTAGTAAATTGCCTGTTTCTATATTAGAACAATGATTTTATAAAGATTATTATTACTAAGAAGACAAAGAGAATATTTCTGAAATGTTGACAGTTGGTATACTTTTCTGGAATTCCAATTTGCTTTCCTGGTTAAATTTTGGAGTCTCAAATTTTATTATTAAATTATCATATCTTTAACTATTAAATGGTATCTAATTTCATGATTGAAGACAGTAAAGGTGCTAGGTATAAAAAGACAGCATAATCTTTCTAACAGTGCCGTGGAAGGGCCCTTTTGAAGCCAAAGTCTTCAAATGTAATTCAGCCAGAATATACTATGGTATTATGTGTGCCTTTTCTTGATTTTTTTTCCCATTAAAGAATGTTGAATTTGAATGTTTTGTTTTAGACACTCCCAATTTTGGTGTGGGAGCATAGGACTTGAACAGACTGGCTCTAATTCTTTATAAGAAAAAGTAATGTATAACCTAGTAGAGAGCATAGGCTTTAGAGTCCAAAGATTTGAGTTCAAATTCCAAATTATTCAGTTTCTCTAAACTTTAGTGTGCCGTATGATAAATGGTGATGAGAATTGTTTCTGTGGATACTATCTGGGATTAGTACATGTAAAGTGTCTGGGACACATGGGCTGTCATTAAATGGCAGCTAATTTTAAAGCTGCTAAAGGAACATTTTACGTAGACCAAATGCTTCTGATATATTGTCTCACTTCACCTCACGGTTCCACTGCAAGGAAACTCGGGCTGAGAGAATTTGGGCCATTGGCCCAGAGGATCCCTCGGGACCAGGTCATAAAATGGCAGGGACTAAATTAAGATGGGCCTGACTCTCAAATCTTGGGTATTTGTACTATTTTTGGAAACACTGAAATGGCTAAGGGGATGGGAAGAGGAGGTATGGTAGTGAATGTCTGTAGGCCTTTAGCTTTGCAAAGACACAATCCCCTTCCTCCCCCATTCTTTTGTAATTCCAAGATAGAATACTTTGGAAATCTTTGTTCATCCAATGTGCATCCGCTTTTCCATATGACTCTGTATTTCTGAGCAGACTGTAAGTAACTCATTCCAAGCTCAAACCACACACCCCGAGAACAGCACTAAGAAGAATTCAATTGATTCTTGGGGACAGGGGTAGTCTTCCTGCTAACAGCCCCTCTCCCCTACCTTCCTGCCTGCTTGCTGGCTGTTAGCATGTTTGTCTTTTGCACAAGGCATCCAAGTTGACAGGTTGGTGAGGTAATCAATAGGAGAGAGAGCAGATGATTATCACGGGCACAGAAGGCAAAGGTTATCACTACATGTTTTAACTTCTGTTAAAATTTTATGGGACCTGTAGGAGGAATGGTGAGTACAAAATAATTTGCTGGAAAATCCAGAACTAATTAATCTATTACCATATTCCATTATAATACATTTAAACAAGGCACCTACTTCCGTTTCTAAAAGTCATGCATCCAATTCTAACAAGCTGTTTTCCCCTTTGCAATGTGAAAAAATTTTCTTTCTACTATGCTGAAAATTAAATTGGCCATGTGTACAAAAAAACAGACAATAAAGGCCTATGGCACTAAAATCTCATTAAGATTTTTTTTGGTGACAGTGCACAAAATATTATAAAATAATGTGAAATCCAAGTATTCTTAAATAATCTAAAACTGAATGAGATGGAATAGACTCTTTCAGTACCAGAATTATATTTCCTTCAGAAATCCTCTGTTATGGTTAAATTTAGGACCAGGTTTGCTGCACATGTTGATCTAGGTTATATAGTATAGTTTGTGGAGCGTTCATTCAGTCATAAGAAATACAAAGCTATGTCAGCTTTCAGATAATACTAGTAACATTCAGAATATTGTCTCAAACAGTTAAATATCACTACAGAGTCTTCCAAAAAGACTTTTTTCCCTTGATTTATGCGACTCAAATGTTAAGAGCCCTAATGAGCCTTAGCCACATTTATTTGGCTACTTAAAATACTCAGCTTGGTGAATGATTTGGGAGTGTTAACAAGATAAGAAATCAGAATTTTGTTTCACATTAACATTCAAAGATTTGCCTTAAGGTCATCAATCTGATTTATTAAATTTCTTCATGAGAAAACCCAAGGCAATTCCACCTGCCATGCAGAATTGGTCTTACTCTTAGGCAGAGTCAATTTTTGCTATGAAATGATTTTTAAGTTAAGATGTTAGTTTTGCTAACATGGCAGGTGCTCCTCAGGCCTGTGGGCTTATGGGTTTATAGCTAAGATATCATCTTGATGAGCATCAGTTGTTTTGGGGACACGTTGAGGCTTAAGTTTGGAATGCAGAGAAGAAGAAAGGTTTCTTTGGAGACTAAAGTAGAGATCTGTTCTGCTCATCCAGAATCTATCCTTGGCCCTCTGGTAACAGCTCCGCTGTCCCCCTTTTGGGGATTTCGCTCCCCCATTGCAAATACTCCTGGTGAAACTGTAAATTGAGATGTTCTGCCCTCATCAGGCCAGGAATGGGCAAATAACATTAGCCAACATATAAGCCTCTTTCTGGAATTTGAACTTTAAGCCGCATGACAATAATTTTTTAAAATTATTGCTATTGATTCATCCCAGTGGTGGCATACTGAAAAGACTGTCCCTTAGTTCCTGCCACTTAGATCTCTAGAGCTATTCATCATTCCAAGGTCTATTTTCTCCATATTTTATTTTATTTTATTTTAGGAACTACCCCATACCTTATCCATCAATTAAATTTCTCTCATTTAGAAGTAGTCACAGTTATTTGCTGTTGCTAACAACAAAGAATTGTAACCAGCACAGATATTCCTAAGGAGATGTAAACAGTATGGGTCATTGAGAGCCTGGGAAGAAGCTCTACCCAGACAAGGGCAAGAGGTGCACAGTGAGGTGGCTGAAGACAGCAATATACAGCCTTCAGCCCTGCACAGGCTGGTCTACCTTTGATGAAGGTAAAGCCACTCTAATAACATAGACTTCTACTTTTTCACAATGTCCAGTGCCTTCTATAAACTTATCTTTTCTCATTTTTTTTAGAAAAGCCATAGACCATTTTTAAAGTCTACAGTGGAAATATTTCCTTTCTCAGAGACCTTGAAAGCCCAAATAAAATGAGTTTGAGTGTTCTGAATCTTCCCAACTATGAGGGTCTGGAGGCAGGAAAAAGAGAAAAGACTTCATCTTCCCCATAACCTTAATCTTCCCAATTCCTAGGTAAATGTGTATCTATGGTAAATCTCAGGAGCTCTCTTAGATGTCCTGTCACCAGGAAAGTGATCCAGCTAAAACCTTGGGATAGTGTGTGTATTAGTCCTTCTCACGCTGCTATTAAAAAATACCCAAGACTGGGTAATTTATAAAGGAAAGAGGTTTAATTGATTCACAGTTCCACAGGGCTAGGGAGGCCTAGAGAAACTTACAATCATGGCAGAAGGGGAAGCAAACACATGGGGCAGCAGGAGAGAAAAGTGCTGAACAAAAGGGGGAAAAGTCCCTCATAAAACCATCTGATCTCATCAGAACTCACTATCATGAGAACAGCCACATGGGGTAACTGTCCCCATGATTCAATTACCTCCCACCAGGCCCCTCCCATGACACATGAGGATTATGGGAACTAAAATTCAAGATGAGATTTGGGTGGGGACACAGCCCAATCATATTCCACCCTGGCCCCTCCCAAATCTCATGTCCTCATATTTGAAAACACAATCATACCTTCCTAACAGTCCCTCAAAGTCTTAACTCATTCCAGCATTAACCCAAAAGTCCAAGTCCAAAGTCTCGTCTAAGACAAGGCAAATTCCTTCTGCCTCTAAGCCTGTAAAATTGAAAGTAAGTTAGTTACTTCCTAGATACAATGGGGATACAGGCATTAGGTAAATACACCCATTCCAAAGGGGAGACCTTGGTCAAAACAAAGGGGCTACAGGCACCATCCAAGTCCAAAATCCAGTGGGGCAATCATTAAACCTTAAAGTTACAGAATGATCTCTTTGACTCCATGTCTCATATCCATGGCACCCTGATGCAAGAGGTGGGGTCCCATGGCCTTGGGAAGCTCTGGTCCTTCACCTTTGCAGAGTACAGCCCCACTCCCAGCTTCTTTCATGGGCTGGTGTTGAGTGCCTGTGGCTTTTCTAGGCTCATGGTGCAAGCTGTCAGTGGATCTACCATTGTGGAGCCTGGAGGATGGTGGCTCTATTCTCACAGCTCCACTTGGCAGTACCCCAGTGGGAACTCTCTGTAGGGGCTCCAACCCCACATTTGTCTTCTGCACTGCCCTACCAGAGGTTCTTCATGAAGGCTCTGCCCCTGTGGCAAACTTCTGCCTGGACATCCAGGCATTTCCATACATCCTCTGAAAGCTAGGCAGAAGTTTGCAAACCTCAATTCCTGCAGGACCAACACCACATGGAAGCTGCCAAGGCTTGGGACTTGCAACCTCTGAAGCAATGGCTCAAGCTGTATGTTGGCCCATTTTAGCCATCGCTGGATCTGAAGCAGCAGGGACACGGGGCACCATGTCCTGAGGCTGCACAGAGCAGAGGGGCCCTAGGCCCAGTACACAAAAGCATTTTTTCCTCCTAGGTCTCCAGGCCTGTGGTGGAAGGGGCTGCTATGAAGGTGTCTGACATGCCCTGGAGACATTTTCCCCATTGTCTTGGTGATTAACATTTAGCCCCTTATTACTGGCACAAACTTCTGCAGCTGGCTTGAATTTTTCTCTGGAAAATGGGCTTTTCTTTTCTATCACACGTCAGGCTGCAAATTTTCTGAACTTTTATTCTCTGCTTCCTCTTTAACACTTTGCCACTTAGAAGTTTCTTCTTCCAGATACCCTAAATCATCTCCCTCAAGTTCAAAGCTCCACAGATCTCTAGGGCAGGGGCAAAATGCCACCAGTCCCTTTGCACAGCAAGAGTGACCTGTACTCCAGTTCCCAACAAGTTTCTCATATTATTATTATTGTCCATTTTAGTCCAAGCTATTCAACAAGTCTTTAGGAAGTTCCAAACTTTCCCTCATCTTCCTGTCTTCTGAGCCCTCCAAGTCTCTAGGAATTCCAAACTTTCCCACATTTTTCTGTCTTCTTCTGAGCCCTCTAAACTGTTCCAACCTCTGCTTGTTACCCAGTTCCAAAGTCGCTTCCACATTTTTGTGGAATATATCTTAAGAGCAGGGCCCCACTCTCTATGGTACCAATTTACTGTATTAGCCTGTTCTCACACTGCTAATAAAGACATAACTGAGAGTGGGCAATTTACAAAGGAAAGAGATTTAATAGACTCACAGTTCCATAGGGCTGTGAAGGCAACAGGAAACTTACAATCATGGCAGAAGGGGAAGCAAACATGTCCTTTTTCACATGGAGGTAGGAGAGAGAAGTGCTGAGCAAAAGTGGGGAAGGCCCCTTATAAAACCATCAGATCTTTTGAGAATGAATTCACTATCAGGAGAACAGCAGCATGGGGGTGCCCCCATGGTTCAATTACCTCCCACCAGGTTCCTCCTGCGACACATAAGGATTATGGGAACTACAATTCAAGATGAGATTTGGGTGGAGACACAGCCAAACTATATCAGTGTGGCTCAGTGTTTCCCAGACATTAGACTTCACATGCCAGTAAAGCTTAAAAAAAATTAGACTGACTTGCAATTGCTATTTTTTTGTTATACCATATAAGAATATTAAACTAGAAGAAATCACCAAATACCATCACCACTGATACTTAAAGATAAATTTAAAAATAAAAAGCAAGCAGTATATACATTTACACACACACACACACACACACACACACACATACGCACGCACACACCACACAAAATCAACTAAATGAGCTCTAGGAAAATCCTAATTTATATTGTCCTTATTTCCCTAAGTTCACTGTAGAAAAACAAGCCCTGGTTCAAGAAATGGCCAATAGTTGCATGCCTCTGAGCAGCACCCTGGAGGCAGAGGTCTCTCACTTTGAGATTAACCAGATGATACACAAAGGTTTAGCTTTCTTCTTTTCAGACACACCTTTTCTGGAGACCAACGACAACTACCATCACTGATCCAAGGGCTGAGAAAGATTTTGTTTATGTAAACACGTTGTCATGCTGGACTGATTAGGGACTGAACTGGCTTGGTGTTCTTAACAGAAACTTCCACACCCAAAGGCAAAACCATGAGCATATTACACAATGCCCTGGGGTCAAGGCTGTAGAGTCCCTGGGAAACTCTCTTGGCCCCCTTTTCCAGCTCCTTCTGGCCTCTGGTCTCTAGTTTCTCCTTCATACCTGACCTTCACCCCTCTGCTCAGTGTGTTTAAATAGGTGCTTGGTTTTATCCCTAGATAGAGCCCCAAGCCATGGTTCTATCTGCTGTAGATCTTTAGCCAACTCAGCAATACCCTTAACCCTATCCTAAGTTCCAGGAACCTCTGCCCATTTCTGTTATACCCAGGCCTACATTTTCAGAAGGGATTTTGGACAATCAACTTGATCCCTTCTGGCCATGACAGATTGTGAGCTCAATTTGATTGTCTTAGTCCATTTGGGTTGCTATAACAAAATACCATAGACCGAGTAATTTATAAACAACAAAAATTTATTGCTAACAGTTCTGGAGCCTGGGAAGTCCAAGGCACTGGCAGATTCAGTATCTGGTAAGGGCTTTGCAGATGGTGACTTGTTGTTGTGGTCTCACATGGGGGAAGGGAAAGGCAGCTCCTGGAATCTCTTTTATAAGGGATTAGTGCTTTCCCCTCATAACTTAGTCACCTCCCAAAGCCTTACATCTTGATAACTTCAGCTTGGTGGTTAAGATTTCAACATATGAATTTAGGGGGAACACACACATTCAGACATAGCAATGACCATACTATCACCATGCTCTATTCGTGTATTCTAGTGTAAGTCAGCAAATCCTTCATATTACGTCTCTGAATCCTTTCCTTATGGGAGTCAGGAGGGAAAAAGACTGCTAAGCAAGTACTGGAAGCATGCATAGGTGGTCACACAGGTAGGAGAAAAGGTATACACCACTAGCTTTAAATTCAAGAGTAATGGCAGATGAACGCTTGTTGCAAACTTCTGTAGGTCAATTCAAGGAAGCACGGGCAAGTGGAAGAGAAGAGTCAAGAGTAGCAGAAACTAGCAGAAACTAAAGACCAACCCTTTTATCATTACTTGTTCAGAATACTGGGTTGCCAGTGCCTATGTTAAAGTAGTCAGAATTAAAAGGTCCACATTATCTTAAACATGAGTTACGATTTATATTAGCCATCTTAAATTATTCTGCAGTAATAAATTATCCCCTAATCTTTGTGGCTGACAACACTAACAGTTTAGTTCTTCTCCTGTTACATCGTCATTACAGGTTGGCTGCCGCTCTGCTTTACATGTCTTCATTCCAGGACCCAGACTGATACAGCAGCCCCTATCTGGTATATTATTGGTCTCATGGCAGAAGGAACATGGAAGAATCACACAGCGGCTTTTAAAGCTCATGCTGGGAATTGGCATGTGACACTTCCACTCACATTTCATTGGCCAACCACATCACATGGCCAAGCCTAATGTCAATGAGGTAGGGTCAAAGCATGTTTTGAATAATACAATAGACCCCATGAGTACTCTGTTTTATCTTTCTCATTAAATATCTCCTAACAAGTACAAGTGCCAACAGTCTGTACAAATCCTATTACTCTGAAATTATCAGTAGCACGATATCCAGACCACAGTCTTCATAACTCCTTAAGTCTCCAAATCTCTTCCAAGTATACTGCCAATCCTTCAGTGCTCCTCTGTTCTTCAGGGGAGCCTGCTTACAAAATGGCAGACATGCTCACATGTCTGTCAGTGTTTAGAGTTGATAATGCAAGCACAGCATTTCACCACAGCCCTGGTGGCTGAGTTGCAAAATTATTTATGGCTTTCCCATTTATGGCATGCTGCTCAGTTTCCCATGAGTTGCTAGGAAAAATTCCTGATAGCTACTATGAGCCATTGAAACCTATGAGACTTCATTTATTATGGCATAATATACACATTACCTCACTTGTGTTAGACCATATGGAGAGCTCTCTGTTGAATTTGGCATAGTTCCTGGGGTGAAACGGGAACGGATTCTGTTCCTAGTCCTCTTCAATTATGCTGTATGTTGGATCAGGCAGCCAACTTCAACAGATCATCTGGGCATAGCAATCAGTCCTCAGGACAACATCACTGGCTTCACCTATGCCAATGAAGAATAATAAATGTGACATTGAAGAGTGTCTGAGTGGCAGAGAATAGCAAGATCCCAAGAGTGGATCAATAGGGTGCCCTGCTGAAAGTGAGTTTGTGTGTGGGAGTTGAAGGAGAAGCAGGGCATCCCTTTTTCACTCATTCTGGAACAGGATTTGGAAGGAGAGGCAAGAAGCTCAAGAGAACCTGAAAAGCATAGCTAGTTCTAAGCCCAAATGAGCAACTAGCCACAACGCCTTAAATGGAGAAAGGTCCACCCATGGGTAAAGCCGCAGTACACAATCTGCCATGCCAATTTTCCTCTGCTTAAATAAAGGAACAAATGAACACTTGGTCTCTGTAGGCATTGAGGGAGGGAATGTTAATCCCCATAATGTAGATTTAAGGAGAAAAGTGGCCAATATGTGGGTATTTTGGTAAATCTGGGGCTGGTTTATATGATCCAAAGTAGGCTTTGTTTGTTTTGTTGTACACATGATTGGAATTCCTTTGGGAGGCCTTTTCTACTTGGATGGTAGGGGGAACACTAACCGTTTTAGTAATTGATCAGACATTTTACTAATTATTACAATGATTTATCTAATGTAAAAGCAACCACATAAAAACTGGTCTGGAAATTAATATGATAACCTGAGAAAACAATCCTAATAATTTTCTCCTTTTACAATTAAAATTTTAAAAATTGTTCTGCACTTTTCCTGTTTACATTGCCACTCCATCTGTCTATGTCTGTGAATCTCTCTGCCTTTTGCTCTCTCTTTCTCCCTCAAACACACACATTGACCTAAAAGGCAAAGCAAAACTCTTCAATAAGTAAGAAGAGTTAGCAAGTACTCTAAGAGACTTAGTGTGTAACCACAATCCTTCCCCATCTTTCTTTTTCCGCATGGCATCTCCTATGCTTCTCATCTTTATTGAAATGGAACATTAATACTTGAAGAGTTCCCATTGCAAGATATTATCACTAATAATGAGCTGTGGGTGAAACAGACCACTCGCTTCCAAAGACAGTTCTAACTTTGCTGATGGTTGGGTATTTGAAATAAAACCAAAAGATTGGTGCCCATCCCCCCAAAAAAGTCTAATTAGTGTTCGTCTATTGGAGAGGAAGCTGAGCATGCTGCTCCACCACTGCCAAATGAAATTAAGGCCCAATTATTGATAAATGAAGAGTGGTTTGTGCTGGAGCCTGGCCTGGAGTCGCGGAAATACATCTGTCATTTGGCCTGCGCAGGAGTCATTCATGTGTGACATAGCATCCTGTGCATTTATCATGCATCTGTAGATTTTTGTTTTAATTCAGTTAGCTGTCTAACTAGATTCAGTGCTGGATGCCTCGAATGGAGTCAGGATTTGGACTGACAGATGCAATTCTAGTCTGAAATGGTGTGTGACAGGACTAGCTATCCTGCATATTAATTATTATTGAAACCATTATAGGCAGAGCTTTTGCACAAATGGTCGATTCGGTTATCTGTTTTGTGGCTTCTATAGTTAACAATTGCCCAGTTGCTCCAGGGCAGGTAGGAGACATGCTGGATCAATGAACCATTGTTGTTAAGTGCACTTACTATTACCATGAAAATTAGAATGGAGGTGCTTGAAAGGCAGGAATGAAAATGCCCCTGCCTTACCATTATGCAAATTACAAATTCTATAAATGAGATAAGTGGGGAGAGAAACACTTTTCATAAATCTTAACTAGGTAAAAGAGTTTATTAAGTCCATTGTCAAAAACAAATTGAAAACAAACATTTGTTAAATTGATTAAAAAAAAGAAAAAAAGGAAAGCAAGAAAAGAAATGTCTGCCGGGCTGTTCCCAACCTAACCCCTCTACACAATGCTTAGTTTGGTAGCATGCTAAGGTTTAATTTAAAGTTCTTGTCATTTTATCATTCAGTTGCATAAAATGTTGAAAATAACCATTATCTTCAAAAAGAAGCCAGTAATGCAATTCTTATCCAAAGTTCTGAGAAAATATTTTCTGAGGAGGACTTTAATGAGACCAGTTCCAAGGAAGGACAACCATCCTGTCTCAACCTCCGTGGTTCTCCTTTGTTTTTTACATATTTGACATATATCCTAGTTATTCCCCCAACTCTTTCTTATTTCAATCATCCAGTGAACTTTGGTGAGCCCTGCAAAAAACATTCCCATCACAGAGGATTGATTGAGGTAAATGTTGCTGAAACTTACGGTGTTCCTTGCCATTTGCTTATCAACCTCATGTATATGAATTATGTGATCGCAAACTGTGAGTTCTGTTTCTGGCACAGCACAAATTACACACTTTCACTCCTTAAAGAATTTATAAAGTTGCTGAGGATTTTGATACAGCAAAATACAAAATGGTAACACAATGAAATGTACTATTTTGCATTAAAGAGAAAATTCATGGCGGAGTTAAACTAAGAATGATGAATTTGCATCTTTTAAAAAAAATCATATTTGTTAAGGGACATTTCATTTTGGTATTTCAGGTCCAAAGAAGCTTCTACTCTCTTAAATAATTAAAAATTTGCATCTTAGAATAAATGCTTTTTCATCTGATGTTTAAAAATGAGGTGCTTAAAAAGAACCCGGCTTCAATTTAAAAGTTCAATGGCTTGATTATGATATTGGGTTACAAGATTTTCGCTGTTAAAGATCATCTTGAATAAAAGAGCAAATTAGAAAGCAATGATATATCTTGGTATTAATAGATCTTAAAATATTAATAGTCACAATATTCAGGAAATATAAGTAAATTTTGACTACAGTTTGGAAGCTATTATCATTTTTGCGTGATTAGCTACTGCAACTTATAATGTTTGCTTCACTGCTTTATTTCTTTCAATAGCTTTTTTTTTTAATGAGACTCCAAAAACTTAATTATGGCTTATGCAAATATCATTTGAGGGAAAAGAGGGTAATATTAAATCTTTAAAAGCTTTGTTAGGTTAAATGCTAGGAAATTCGTTGTAGGTATTAATGGCATTCAGAGGAAAAATTGAATGGAAGTGAGGGGGGCTTCTGGAGAGCTTCCTCATCCTTCCTTAAAATCACCTATGTGGATCAGTTCTTTCCAACTTTTTTTTTTTTTTTTTTTTTTTTTTTTGAGACGGAGTCTTCCTCTGTCACCTAGGCTGGAGTGCAGTGACGCGGTATTAGCTCACTGCAAGCTCCGCCTCGTGGGTTCACGCCATTCTCCTGCCTCAGCCTCCCAAGTAGCTGGGACTATAGGTGCCAGCCACCGAGCTCGGCTGATTTTTTTTTTTTTGTATTTTTAGTAGAGACGGGGTTTCACCGTGGTCTCGATCTCTTGACCTTGTGATCCGCCCGCCTCCGCCTCCCAAAGTGCTGAGATTACAGGCGTGAGCCACCGCGCCCGGTCAGTTCTTTCCAACTTTTTAATCAAAGATGAGTATTTTCCAAACCTGGAGGGAAAAAAAGAGTTAAAAGAGAGTTTTTGCCTGTGACTTATGTACAGATCAGAAGTCAAATTAAGCCCATTCTTTGCCAAAACTGCTGTAAATGAACACTTGAAGTATGTGGCTACTCTCTTAATAGGCATAATGCAAAACTTCTATTTTTTTATTGAATCATCTACTTTTTTTCTATATTGACTGGATCTCCAATAGTGTGTAAAACCTACAGAAAAATAAACAGGTGAATTAGAGTAACCATCAGGTTTAACTAAGATGCTAAAATTAAAATGTTTTTCTGGGAAGATATGAAGTTAAAAATACGCTACATATTTTTAAAGTACCCATAGCCTACTGAGCACTGCACTTGAAGAATGCTTAATATCATGAAGTTGCCAAATGATACAAACAAAAGTAATGTTTGAGAAGGATGGGAATAAAATGGCAGGAAGAAGGGGAGGACAGGGTCAGAAAAGAAGCAGACAGAAAAGGACAGATTGGATTATATGCCTCTAGAGCAGTGATTCCCAGCTGTCTGACTTTGGACCACTACTAGCCTATGAACATTCACTAGCCTGCTGCTAAAAGAAATAAAAGTTTGGAGAAGGAAAACCTTTTTCTCTACTTTCTTAAGTTCAGTACCTGGAGGCCTGTGAATTAAACTTACAAAAGACAAGTTAATAGGAGAAAAAGAACACAGTTTGTATTAATATTTACACCCATGAGAGTTCACATACAAAAAGATAAAATGCAAACAAGTGATTAGACTTGGGGGCTTATACACCATTTTAACAAAGGAAAGGAGCGTGAGCATCAAGTGACATTAAGTTGTGGAGAAGTGACTAGGAAACATGGGGAGGAACTAATGGAAGATAAGATTTTAGTAAGATCTGTTTATGTAAACTCACCTTAATGTTAACTCTGGTCTTTCATGTTAAGAGCTGCTATTCTTTCTCTTGGGTAAGAGAGAACCTTCTTCAAAGGGAAATTTATGTACAGCTTTTTAGGCAGAAAAGGAGAGGACAGTAAACTCTTCCTGCATTTCTTGATTCTTAATTGGCTTCAGCTCACAATAATCCTTATGCCAAAGTGGCATATTTGAGGGTGAGATATTCTGATCTCCTTCAGAATATAATACTCTGTTTTAAAAAATGATGATACATACTTTCAGTTAACTTAGCTGTCTTTTAGTCTCAGAGTTTGTTTTCTACATTTTCAGCTTTTAAAAAAACTTTCTGTCATGGAAACGTGTTTGTAATCAGTGGTATTCTTTTTCTCTAATGTCTCTACTAGGCAAGGTAAAACCCTGGTGACTTTAATACATTCCTTTGATTGATTTTATTTTATTTTATTTTTTGTTTCAATAGTCCATGATTTCTCAAACAGTTGGTGCAATAGTTTAAATGTTTGTCCTCTCCCTAACACACGTTAAAATTTAATTGCCATTGTCACAGTATTAAGAGGAAGGACCTTTAAGAAGTGATTAGGCCATGGTGGTTCTTCCCTCATGAATAGATCAATGCTATTATCGTGGAAGTGGGCTTGTTATTGCAGGAGTAGGTTCCTTACAAAAGGATGAGTTCAGCCTCCTTTTGCCTCTTTCTCTCCCTCATTCTCTTTTTGCCCTTCTTTCATGGGATGATGCAGCAAGAAGGCCCTTGCCAGATGCCAGCAACTTGATATTGAACTTCTCATCCTCCAGAATGGTGAGCCAATAAATTCCTGTTCATTATGAATTACTCAGCCTGTGGTATTCTAACAGCACAAAATGGATGAAGGCACCTGGAAACAGTGTTCTAAGGCAGTGCCTCCAGAGGAAATATTAATAATAGCCATCTTTATTGAGTCCTTGCTATGCTTCAGACAATATGCAGAGAGTTCCGTGTATTCTCTTTAACATTAATACTGATCCTAACAGATAGACAGTGTTGTCCTGATTTAATAAATGAAGAAAGCAACTTAACAGAAGTTAAGTTGCTTGCCCATGGTGACATAACCATAGGATGACCTTATCATCTACCATTTAAACTGTACACATTTTAAAGTGAAAGACGGCAATATTAACAATTACACCAGGATAACAGATACAGCAAGGTCTTTCCAGGACAACATAGACCATAGAGTCATCCTACAGAACTACTGTATAAGCCAGAATTTAAATCAGATTGCATCTAAAGCCCATAATGCTCTTCCCATGTTTTAAGCTGCCTCTGGAAGTTTCTGTATTTAAATAAAAAAATAAAGAGATCTATTTTGAAGAAACTGAATTCATAGAACTTTATGATACCAAGATACACAAAATAATAATTCAGTCAACAATCCAAGATGATTTGTACCACAGGACGTCTACCACCAATGGTGGTTTTATGAGTGGTGTAAGGATGAAAAGGAGATAATGTGTGTGGGACACGGGCTTGTATCAGAGCTATGTGTTAATGCCTGCTCTTAAGAGAGGAATTCATTTTCCATATGCAGAAGTTAAATGAGTGTAATGGTTTTGTGAGATTCTGACTTCATCTAATGGTGCAGCCAGGACAAAGATAGGGAGAGATTCCCTGGTGGTGAGTTACAGCAGCCAGCAACACAACCCCAGAAATGGGTCTGAGACTAAAAGAGTCTAGCACTATCAAAAAGAAATAGAAAGTCTGGCAATTATTTGCCTTGAATAGGAGCCCTAATATATACTGTAGTTAATAGTGTGTTCTTAACTTTCCCTCTGTTATCTGTGAAAAATGCAGGCAAAAACTGTGTGTCCCAAATAGATCAAGATGATTGTTGGGAACAGAGCTTAATTCCACTAAATCAAAATGATGCCTCATCACTTCCATCTCCCCAATGTTGTAATGAATGAGTGCCATTAAACTTTGAGGTCTACTCCCAATTCTCCCACCTGCACTGTGACCTATAACTTTTTAATTTTGAGAGAAAGGCTCTTCCCTTGCCAGAAAGTGCTTTCTGTTTGTGAAAGAGTATGTAAAACAGCACCAGGTGAAGAATGACTTTTTCACCCAGTCTTGAAACCATCACAAAGAGACAAATTTTGCTGCTTTTGCTTCGTGTGTGAATTTTTTTTTTTCTACACAGCTCTATTCATTGCCTAAAACAATGGGGCCAGTGTTGGCCAGCAAAGAATAGTGCTATTCATGCGCCCTGTACCCTGCACAGTGCCTACACTTGTTAGTCTTGGCTGCCCTGTGAGGCTGGCTGCTGGCAAGAAAGTCGGGTCTATGTTGTTGGATGGTGTAGCAGATCAGAGAACGAACACTGGCAGCCAGATTCCCAGATAACCTCAGCTCCTCTAGAAAACTCTTGTTGACATAAGCCTGTGCTTTGAGGGGTGTCTTGGAATTCCAAGAACTTGGGCCAGGTGTGAGGCCAGGTGGTTGTGGTCCCATTCCAGCCATTCCCATCCTCCTGCTACAACCAAAGCAATTTCGTTAGGGGTCAAATGCCTGGTTTAGGAATCAGACACCTGACTTGAATTCTGGCTCCAGGGCTGACTGGCAATAGGACCATAAGCAAGTCTCTTAACTTCTCTGAATCTCTATTCCATCATCTATAGAGAGGGCATATCAATGCCACCTACCTCATGGGGTATCGTGAAATTCAATGACATAGTATTATGCTATGATTTACATGGAATAAATGTTAGCTATTATTGTCATTAATAAGAGACTGATGTAGTGATTACTGTCACTAATGAAAGATTGGTTTAGGGCATCCTCTCTCGGTAGAAAATTAACCACTGTGAAATCATGGGCAACATCATTGAAGTGATGAGTGACTGGAGGGAGGGGAGAAAGAGGACAAGCCTCAGAACCAGGCTGTGCTTGTAGTGCCAAAGTAAAATGTTTTACACAGGGAAGAAAGTGTACACTGGCAGAGGCCACTCTGTTTGTCTCAAGGATTGAACAGAAGACTAATTTGCTTTCATGTGGCTTATTCCAAAGGACAGTTCCATAAATGTATGCTAGAGATGGTCTCATCAGCCTCTTCTCTAGCTCTCCAACCTAGAGTGAGTGCAGCAGAAAACCTGGACCCTATCCTTAATGTGTGTGTGTGTGTGTGTGTGTGTGTGTGTGTGTGTGTGTGTTTTAAGTGAGAAAGTCTCATAGCTCCTGTTTGATTTCTGTGGGGAAGCAAACTGCCAAATTCAGGCAACCTGTGGAAAACTTGCAGAGGCTCTGGTAGATTCTGGGATCGTCAAGGGCAGGATGCCTGCCTACCGTTCTCTAGAATCACCCCAGTGCAGAGCCTGGCAGACTGCTGGAATTGAAATGTGTTATCAAGATTAGTGCTGCAAAGGAACTGCAATTCCAAATCAAATAAAGTCTAAGAGGGATGTAGGGCTGGAAAGAGACCATCTTTCAAGTTCTTTCCAACCCAAGATGTTGTGATTTTTGAAGCTTTCCTTGCAATAGATGTTGTTTAACTACCTTGTGTCTTCTGTGAAGTTGCCACCATGAAAGCTGGACATGTTTGGCACCCACTTCCCTTGGCACAGTTTATATACTTGTACACTTGTTATAGTATCAGCGCTCTAGATTCTGTTAATGCATGACAGGAAGCATAAAGAGTACTAATCACAAGGGCAATTTTCCAGGTTGTATGTACTATAGAGAAAAGATCATATATACTTGGTAATTATCTTTTCTCCATAGCACATATAACCTGGAAAATATATACTTGGTAATTTAAAATGTATACTTGGTAATTTTAGACATTTTAACCATTACTTCTATGAACAGCAGACTTCACTTGTTATAATCACATAATTAGAAGACATTATTGCAGTTCATAAATGAAATTAATTATAATTTTAATTAAATTTTCAAAGGACAATCTAATAAAAGTAGGATTGATTAGAAAATTATCAATGAATTTACAGATTCATTTAAGACATTTATCTCTGTCACTTTTAAATTTCATTGAAATCTGTTAAAAGTGATGGTAGGTATGCCCACAGTAAGATTTCAATAGTCACCATATTGTTTCAAGAGGTAAACAATACCTAAGATGTGTCTTGGTATCTTTCACTGAGTAGTGAATTTTATCAGTCAACTCCTTTGAACATTGTCTTGAAATAAATTGACAGAAAAATATGACCTGTCCAGCGTTCATTTTGAAATCAAAGTCTTGTCTATTTGGCCAGTTACATTTTTCTTGAAAATGGATTTGGATTTCAGATCAAATGTGTGGCTGAGATAAATTTATTGATGGCCTATTTGAGGGTCATTCATGAAACTGATATAGAGCAATTCTAAGTCCTAGCAGAAGCTGAAAAATGTGTGCAACATTTGTGTCTAAAATAAAAGCTTTGGGGCAGGAAGAAGACCTAGTACACATGCTGGATCTGTTGCTTACAAAATGTGGTTAATATTATTTACATTAGACCCACTTTAGTGGTAGCAGCAAAACCTGCGTAGTTTTCATAGTGTTTGATAATTTTCATTTCACAAATGGAAATGACATCATCAAGAAGGAGGGCCTGTAAATCATGCATTCATTCATTCACTCATTCATTTATTCCACGAATACAAAGCTAGACCCTCTATGCAGGATTTGGTTATAAAAGTTATGAAATAGAGTGATACAGTCAGCAGATCCATTCAACTCTACCCTCAAAGTAAATCCAGGATGCAACCCCTTCTTCTCACCACCTCTGCACTTGCTATTCCAGTCTACAGTGTTTTATCTGCCTAAACAATTGCATTAGCTTGCTAGTTTGCCACTCTGCTTCCACTCTTGTTACAACATAGCAACCGGAGATAGTCTTTTTTTTTTCCTTTTGAGACAGAGGTTTGCTCTGTCGTGCAGGCTGGAGTGCAGTGGCAGAGATAGTCTTTTGAAATGTAAGCAAGATCATTTAAACCTTTCAGTGGCATCAAACCTCACTCATAATAATATCCCAGAGTCTTTCCAGAGGCTGGAAAGTCCTTGTGTCATGCTGCCTGGCCCCGTCTCTGAGCCAACTGCCCACTCTGCTCTCATTCCCTCCTTCCCAAACCCAGTGCATACTTCACTGAAGGTGTCTGTGTCCTTCTCCAAAGATACAACCAAGGCTTGCTCACTTATCCCACTCAGGTTTCCAGTCAAGTCATCAGAACTGAGAGGCCTTCCTGGCCCACCTTTTCTCATTTAGGCCCTCTTCCTTACATAGTTCTCCTTCCTCTCACCACTTTTTTTTCCAGAGCATTTATCATCACTTATATGTATTATTCACACTGTATATTTGTTTATTTTCTGTCTTCCCTGTCTAGAATGTAAGCTTTGGGAGAGCAGTGGCTTTGTGTATTTTATGTATTGCTGTATCCTTAGGGCTCAATAAATATTTGTTAATAAATGAAGGAATCATCCTGCTCTGATCCTTTTAATTTTACCTGGAAAGAAAGAAAGGCAACAAATAATTCCAATAAAGCATGGTAAGAGTTATCATAGGAGAAGCAAAGAGTCATGGGAACAGTAAGAAGAACTAATTGGTTTTCTGGAGGAGGTACTGTTTCAGTTGAGACCTGAGGGGTGAAGTAAGCCCAGGAAGAGAGTTCCAGGAAGGAGCAACAACACCTTCCTCTTTCCCTCCCTTCCCCACCTCCTTCCCTCCCTTCCTCCCTCCTCCATCCCTCTTTTTCTCCCTTCCTTCCTTTTTTTTTGTTCCTCTTTCTTTCTCTCTATTTATTTTATTTAGTTGTAGTCATATCTTCTTGTTCTTGTCATTTTAATTCTTGAGGATGTGATGTGTGCTTCTGGGAATAATTTGGATTGGATAATTTGAACAAGTTCACCTAGGCAAGGTAGGAAAAGTATTTATAAACATGTTAAATATACAGCTGAGTCCTTAATGAAATAAGGAGAGTAAGAGAATCCTCAACCCAAATTAGAAGTACTAAACAAGTGTGACATTGCTGTTATCCTGGGGTGGGGAGGAGCTGAAAATGAGTGCCCAACCCAGGATTATGCAACACAGGAAGACATAATCCATGATGAATGACAGTTATCCGATACAAAAAATAAACAAAAGGATTAGAACCCAAAGAGTTTCAAGTAATAGATTATTAGAGGGATATTATAAAATAATATGTTAAAAATGATTAAAGAAAAAAATTAACAAGTCAGAAAAGCATAAGACATATGAGTAAGAAATAGGAAGCTTTGAAAATAACAATTAAATTTCTAAAATTGAAAAATATAAACATGGAAGGGAAAAGCACAATGGATAGTTTAACCAGATATTCAACATTCAAACAGTTGAATAAAGATTTTCCTAAAGGGTAGCAGAGAGCAATTAAATATTTAAAAGTGGTTAATACACATTGAGGGGAGAAAGAGTGTTTTAATGAGAGTGCCTGAAGGAAAGAATAGAAGAGGAGGAAATATGTGAAGAGATAAGACCTAGAGTTCTCCAGATTTTTTTGTTTGATGGGGTGGGGGTCAGGGGCAGGGTGGACAGTGTCTTACTCTGTTGCCCAGGCTGGAGTGCAGTGTTGCAATCTTGGCTCTCTGTAACCTGTGCCTTCCAGGCTCAAGCGATCCTCCTGCCTCATCCCCTGGAGTAGCTGCGATTACCAGCACCCACCACCATGCCTGGCTATTTTTTGTATTTTTAGTAGAAACAGGGTTTCACCATGTTGGCCAAGCTGGTCTCAAACTCCTGACCTCAAGTGATCCACCCGCCTCAGCCTCCGGAAGTGCTGGGATTATGTGAGCCCCTGCACCTGGCCAAATCCTCCAGATTTGATGAAACACATGAAACGTCAGGATTTGGAGGCCCAAGTGAGATAAGACAACACACAGATACATCTTATGGAAATACCAGAGACCAATATAAAATCTTAAGAGGAAGAAGAAAGAAAGAAAAGACAACCTGTAACAGAACAACCACACTAACTGTAACCTTCTCAGTAATGACAGAAAAAACCAGAAGACAACAGAATAATATCTTCAAAGGGGTAGGGGAAATAACTGTAAACCTATATTTTTATACCCAACCACACTATCATTCATAAATAAGAGTGAAATAAAGAGATTTAGCAGATAAAGGCTGAGTGCTTACCACTATCAGAGCCATGTTGGGAGCAGAAAATAAGGTATATCCATGTGCAATCATAATATGTCTTATGCTTTTCTGACATGTTAATTTTTTTCTTTTAAACATTATTTTATAGTATCCCTCTAATAATCAATAACTTGAAGCTCTTTGGATTCTAATCCTTTGTTTATTTTTTACATCTGATAACTGTCACTCATCATGGATGATGTCTTCCTATGTTTTATAATCTTGGGTTGAGCACCATTTTCAGCTAATCCCCACCCCAGCATAACAGCAATGTCAAGAAGCAGGAATTTAAACTCCAAATGAAAGAATAGGAAGCAAGACGTAGGGATTTAAACTTCAAAGGAAACAATGGGATGCAAACTCATGAGCAAAGAAACCAGTAAATTGTGGGTTTATATAAACAATCAATGATTATATAAAACAACAATAATAATAATTCAAATGAATAATTTGATAAGATATAAAACTAAGATGACACTAAAATGTTGGACCAAATAGCATGTAAGAGGGAGGGGATGGTCAGAGTTAAAGTGCTCTAAGGTACTTGCCATATTAGAGCAGAATAAAAAGATCAGTTAAACTTAGATCTTGTTAGGTCAGGAGACATGTTAAAAAATTAGAAATAATAACTAAAATAATGGAAATAGAATGTATCTCTTCAAAACCAGCAGAGGAAAACATGATAATAAAGAAAACTCAATCACTTCAAAATAAGTTAGAAAAGAAAAAAGGAATAATATAATATGATAAGAATGCAAAAAATAAAGTAGAAAAATATGAAATACATGTGCAATTATAGTAAATCTAAACTGAGCAGTGACAGAAAAATATACTTAATCTGAAAAATTAGGGGATAGCTAGATTAGATAGTCAGCTAACGCAGTAGATTAGAAGGCCCCTGACAAGCGTAAAATTTATAATTATATTTTTATGTGTCTATATGAACATTTATATTAATATCTAATATTTGTTTATATATTTTATGCAAATTAAGCAGGCACTAGATGTTACCATTTCTCAGTGTGGGAAATCAATGTGTCCTAAGGATATGGGTCTGCAGAAAGATTAGCCCAGCAGTAAGTTGGCTCAGCCACCGGAAGAGGGTGCTTCAATGTAGAAATCAATGTAAAAAGAGTTTGAGTTGTTGACTAGGAGTACAACTTATTAGAACTGCACATTTTAAGAAACAGAAGAATAGGGAGATGAATCGAGGTCAAAGCAGTAAAACAAATAAACAAACAGACAAATAAATTAAGAAGTGCCTATAAAAGAGAGAGGAGTTTCACCTTCAGAAGAGCTCTGGGTAGAAAAAAGCATCAACAGTACCCTATATCTCTTTTTCCAATCCAGAGACATTTTGGAAATAACTTTGAAATCT
Organism: Homo sapiens; assembly: GCF_000001405.40. Lineage (NCBI taxonomy): Eukaryota > Metazoa > Chordata > Mammalia > Primates > Hominidae > Homo > Homo sapiens. The sequence continues at coordinate 56,050,070 of NC_000018.10, forward strand.
GTTTCCCCAGGTTTGTTTTTCCTCTCTGTCATACCTCAAGAGGAACACAAAGAGTGATGGCCTGTCACTCTGATGCCTCTCTCTACTCAAATGGCAGAAACCAACCAGGTGAGTTGTCATAACTTAGATGAGGCTGGGATAAAAATACACCTTGGAGAGCTAGCTTACTGATGACAGACTGAGAGTTGCTCTTTTTGATTTGAGTGAATTGGAGCTTAAATTCTGTGCCAGCCCATACGAGTGTCTCAAGATGCTTGGGTTAGAAAAGAGATTATATCAGGATTATAAGGTCTTTTGCCTGTCTTCCCTCAGAATTGTCTTTGATTGATAGATAAGTGACCCTCTCCAGCATACTGATTTAAAACTGTAAGTGAAAAAAACAAAACAAAACAAACAAAAAAACAGTTGAAACTTTCATTCAATATTCACTTTGGATTTACCTTTAAAAGCAGCTCAACCATTGCAGAGTTAAACATCCTAATTAATTACATCGTCTGAGAATGCAGCTATTACATGCATCAATGTATTTGTTTTTCATTAAAAGTCAAAAACCCTTCCTTGGTTTCAAAACATAACAATTTTAAAATCCTTAATCCTAAATCTCAAATCTTGATCTTCAATTGGAGTAACTTATACAAACTACTTTGTAGGGTGAGTCTCTCAGCCTAGCCTCTCCTAACCTGCTCAAAAAGGCCCTCCAGCAGGCAATTGGGGTATACTATAGAATCAACCAACAGAAACGCAAAGCTATCTCCACCGTGGCTACAAATGATATCACAATGAGGCGTGCATCTGCTTTGCTGAGGATACCTGTGATTGTTAATAAAGTAAGTGGTAGGAGTGGGGCAGTTTTTCTCTACCTTTTATGATATCTTTCAGTAATAATGACATTGAGCTCCTCACAGGTCATGTCTGTTCATGGCTGACATTTGTTGTTCTGTTCTGATTGGATGATACCTTTGTCTCGGTTTATAAAAGTTTTGAAAATCATCCTAGTCTGAGAAATATTGATGCAATACTATTGTTTTGTTTGTTTTTGATTTTTAGCAAAGCAACTATTGGAGTTTTATTTATAGCTTTATTTATTTATAGCTTCCCCTCACCCCAAGACCAAGGAGTGAGTCCATGGGATTGATTATAAAGTAGATTTGAGTGATTTAAAATCATTTCCTCCTGAAGTCATGAAACCTTTTACTTTCTTTTAATGGTGTTCAATGCATTGTTCTGATCTCATTCTTACCTTAGAATGAACAATTTCCCTGGATACTTTATATTTCCCACAACGGTGACTTTACTCAACATTTTGCCACATATACATAGCCATGTCTGTATCTCAGCTTTGGCTCAAGCAAAGACTTTGAAACATTAATGAAAAATATTAATAAGTGCCTATTGTATGCTGAGCACTTGCTATTTCATGTAATTCTTACATGACATCTTTTACAGGAGAATATCACACAGTGCTCAGATTCAAACTCAAGTCGAAGGCATCCAAAAGCCCAAGCACTGTCTTCACACTTTGTAGACAGATTCTCTCCTTCTTCTTGGATGAGGCTGTCAAAGAACTGGGGAGTAGGGGGATATTCAGACCACATCTTCATGTTCAGTAGAATATCTTCACGTTTTGGAGTGTTAAGTTGGATAGCATCACTTCTAGCCATGGAACTCTTCCAGAAGCTTGAGAACCTGTGAGATTCTTGAGCGACTTGGGACACTCAGAAGGGCCAGGATGAGGTTCAGGGTTGAGCCACTGAGAGCTGGCTGTTCTGAGCTTGATTTTAAGGGAAAGAAGGGGTTGAATTCAAGCTTGCCAAGACCTGGTTTCTTCTATATTCTATCTGCTTTCAACTTGTCCATCTTTATTTATGTAGTGACTAGAGTTATCCTTTTTAGAAACAAACATAATCATACTATTTTCACACTTAATGACTTCTTTTTGAACTCCTTACTCTGATCTTCAATGTTCAGCTGAACTGGCTCCTTTAGGTTTAGTCCCAGTCATTCTTCTTCCCCTCCAACCTCCAACATGCCTTCAGAACTCTGAACATATCTAGGACTTCCATGCCTTGGGGTCACTGCATGTGACATGTCTTCTGCACACCATTTTCCCCCACTATTCTGTCTCACCATATCATCCTGGACATTTTTTACACCATGTTTCTACAATGTATAATTGCTTGCTTATTTATTTTCCATCTCCTCCATCAACTGCAAGCTACGTAGGACAGAGACCATTACTCCTTAAATCATCATGCTTACCCAGAGGCTGCACTGTGCTCAGCACATAGTGAACACTCAGTAAAAACTTGTTGATTGTGTAAGTTAATGAGCTATGCTTAAGAACACTGGTGTCCACAGTTGGACCAAGGTGCAAGGGTCAAGCAGAATTGAGCTTTCCAAGTTTTCACAAACATGCCAATATTAATAAGTAAACTGATTTCCATTCTGAGTTTTATCTAATTTTTCATAAACCACTGCTCCCTGTTAATGCCTATCTATTCTGGAATTTATTGCCAGATGATATGTTATTTAATATGAAGTTGATTTTTTTTATCATAGGTATAATAAATGAATCAATATTAAAAACAATCCCATAGTGTTCCATAAAGACATGGCAACTTCTTTCTGTCCCTCCACCTGAAGAATTTTGAGAACTGCTGGCCTGTGTCACTCATCTGTTACTCCATCACTTCACATTTTACAATAGCTTAAGTGTTCATTCTTATTTTGTTTAAATTTTGTCTCATGGCCTTGAGCACACAACTTGATTGTAAGCATCTTGAAGTGAAAAGTCACAGCTAGCTTTTCTTCTGTCCTCTGAATCCCCCACAGTACCATCCCAGTATCTTGTCACGGAAGATGCTTCACGAATGGGCATTGATTGATTACTTCTCCTTTTCATAATCAGAACATTGTGGCTTGGCTGGGAAGCACAGTGGAACACCACCCTCTATCATTTTTTTTTTTTTTTTGTGAGGCAAAATTTATATGACATAAAATTAAAGATTTTAAAGATAGCAATGCAATGACTTTCAGCACATTCACAATGTTGTGTGATTATTACCTCCTTTCCCTTCCAAAACATTTCCATTATCCCAAAAGGAAACGCCTTGCCAATTACACAGTCACTCCCCTCAATTCTTGTCAACCACTAGTCTGCTTTCTGTCTCTGTGGATTTCCGTATTCTGGATACTTCAGGTAAATGGGGTCATACAGTATGTGACCTTTTGAGTCTGACTGCCTTCACTTAGCATAATGTCTTCAAGGTTTGTCCGCATTGTAGCAGGTGCCAATACTTCATTCATTGCTATGGCTGAATAATATTTCATTGTATGAATATACCGCATTTTGTTTATCCACTCATCTTGATGAACATTGGAGTTGCAGCCAGCTTTTGTCTATTTTGCACTTTCTGTCTTCATCCACTCTACTCTTTTCCATTTGTACTGGAGTTACCTCAGGGAGTAAAACTCTGCAGAAGTCTGGGAGCTATGAATGCTGTCTGCGAACAGACTTCAAATGCTTCCTGAAATTGTAGTGCTTTTTAATTATCAAAAATATAGTGCTTATCAATTTTAGTACTTATTCAGGCTGATACATTTCTGGAAAAGCAAGCCTAAGAAATGAGTTCATTAATGACTTCCACATATACTTTACTTTCATCTGTTTCTACGCTACCCCTAAAATAGTCCTAAGAGATGAAGTGGGTGTTACTATTGCATAGGTAACAACTCCCTAGAGTAAGGCCAGGCCTAAGGACAGTTAGTTAAACTTGGCCTCATGGGGACAGGCTGCACTGTCACATAAATAGACTTATATTCTGGAAATGTTCAAACATGCATACAAATATAAAGGCTAGTTCAATAGACTCCCACACATTTGTCACCTAGTTTCAATAATCCGCATCTGCTGCTCTTATTTTACCGAATATGCTGCTCTTATTTGCCCTACCATCACATTTAAAAAAATTGTATTTGTTGTTCTTATTTATTATTTATTTATTTATTTATTTATTTATTTATTTGTTGCTGGGGTATTTTAAAGATAATTCTAGACATAATATCGTTTCACTCATATGTATTTCAGTCTAAATATCATACGTATTTCAGTCTAAATATCATATGTATTTCAGTCTAAATATCTAGTTTTATTTTTTGAACATAATCACAAAATCATTATCAAGGCCTTCAAACCTCGACAATTCCCCAATATCATCAATTTGTGTTCATTTTTCATGATTGTCCCAATCGTATCTTTTTTAATTGTTGGTTTGTGCAGTTCAGAATCCAGACAAGATTCTAGGAATATTGCCTATGATTAACATGTTCTTATATTTCTTTTAACGCACAACTGTTTCCTCTCTTTGGTGCATTTATTGAAGAGATTGAGAAATGGGCCTATTGTCTTGTAGAATGATTGGATTTGCCTGATTATATCTTTTTAGTGTCATTTAATATGTTTCTCTATCCCTACAAAAATCAGTAGTTAGAACTAGAGGCCTGATTAGATTAAAGTTGATTTGGTGGTGTGGGGTAGAGGGATTTCATAGGTGGTATTGCCTCATATTCTAGTCTTCTCATATAAAGGCATATCAAGGATCGTGTATTTATCCCATTTTCCTTAATATTAAGATTACTCCATGATTTAGTGTTGTGGTAGGTTGAAAAATGGTCCCCCAAACCAAAAGATATCCACATTTTAATCCCCAAAATGTATAAACATTAACTTATATGGAGAAAAGGAGGCTGAGTCTTTGTAGTTGTGACTAAATTAAGGGTTTTGAGATGCAGAGATTATCCTGCATCATCTGGATACCAGATCTGGGACTCAGAGGCCATTACCTGTGTCCTTTGTGAAAGGAAAATATCTTGGGCCCCTTCAAGCTGGGAACCACACAGGGCAAATCTGCCTCCCATTCTACTCAAAGTCATCCCTCTGCTCACAGAGATAGATGCATATTCTGATTGCCTCTTTTGGAAAGACTTATAAGAAACTTAAAAGAATGCAACCATCTGTCTCTCACCTACCTGTGACCTGAAAGTCCCCAGTGGGGGGGCCTTGCTTTGAGTTGTCTCCACCTTTCTCGATGGAACTACTGTACTTCTTACATATATTGATTGATGTCTCATGTCTCCCTAAAATCTATAAAAACAAGCTGTGCCCCGACAACCTTGGGCACCTGTCGTCAGGACTTCCTGAGGCTGCATCATGGGCGTGTCCTCAACCTTGGCAAAATAAACTTTCTAAATTAACCGAGACCTGTCTCAGATTTTCTGGTTTTACAAGTTATAAGTGGGAGGCAGAGGGAGATTACAAAGACACATACAGAAGAGAAGACAGTGTGACCACTGAGGCAGAGATTACAGTTATGCAGCCACAAACGGAGGGAAGCCTGCAGCCAGCAGCAAATGAAAGAGTGGAGGGAACACCCAGAGGGAGTGCAGCCCTGTCAGCACCTTGATGAAGCTGAGTGAAACTGATCTTGGATGTCTGGCCTCCAGAACTGTGAGAAAATAAACTCTTGTTGTTCAAAGCCACCATGTCTGTGGTAATTTGTTATAGACGCTGTAGGAAGCTAGAGTTGACCCTTGAACAATGCAGGAGTTAGGGGCGCTAACCCCCCTGCACTTGAAAATCCAAGTCTACAACTTTTAACTCTGTAAATACTTAATTACTGAGCTGACTGTTGAAATTATTAAGAACTCATATTAAGAACTCAAATATGTAAATAGCCCATTAACACATATTTTGTATGTTACATGTATTATATACTCTATTCTTATAGTAAAGACAATTTTATTATGAAAATGATAAGAAAGCAAAAATGTATTTACTGTTCATTAAGTGGAAATGGATCATCATGAAGGTCTTCATCCTCGTTGTCTTCATGTGGAGTAGGCGAGGAGGAGGACAGGGGAGAGGAGGAATTGGTCTTGCTGTCTCAGGGTTGGCAGAGGCAGAAGAAAATCTTAGTATAAGTAAACCTGCACAGTTCAAATCTGTGTTATTCAAGAGTCACCTTAATAAAAGTATGAGCTAACTGCCTGATTCATCCATTAAAATGTCCCCATCAAGTTTTTCAATACAACAGTACTCCCCAACCCCGCCCCACAACTTATTCTCTGGGGATATGTTCCAAGACCCACAGTGGGTGCCTGAAGCTGTGGATAGTACCGAACTCTATATATACTATGTCTTTTCCTGTGAATACATACCTTTGATAAAGTTTAATTAGTAAATTAGACACAGTAAGAGATTAACAACAATAGGACAATTATAATAATATACTTGTAAGTAAAGTTATGTGAATGTAAGGGGGGCATGGTGGCTCACGCCTGTAATCCCAGCACTTTGGGATGCCAAGACGGTCAGATTGCTTGAGCCCAGGAGTTTGAGACCAGCCTGGGCAATATGGCGAAACCCTGTCTCTACAAAAAAATACAAAAGTTAGCCAGGTGTGATGGCACGCACCTGCAGTCCCAGCTACTCGGGAGATTAAGGTAGGAGGATCAACTGAGGCTGGGAAGTCAAGGCTGCAGTGAGCTATGATTGGGCCACTGCACTCCAGCCAGGGCAACAGAGTAAGACCCTGTTTCAAAAAAAAAAAAGTTATGTGAATGTGGTCTCTCTCTCAAAATATCTTATTGTACTGTGTGCATGGGTAACTGAAATTTACAAAGCAAAACTGCAGGTAAGGGGGGACTACTGTAATAATTTTAGCTGCCATTGATTACTGTTGTCTAGGTTCATTATTTCATTAGCTAGTGGAAAATAGTGATTTTCTAATTCTTTAATTTTTTCTGCATTTATTATGCATGATTCTTCTATATAAAGAACAACTGTATTCCTCATCAACTAGCTGATTAGCCTGAGTTCTAGTCCAAATAGGGAAAGACAAGAGGAATGCTTGAGATTTTTCCCTTAATTGATACACTTTCAGAATAATGAGTTGGTTCCCTAGCAACCTCCAAGGTGATCAATGAGATTTTTTGTTTGTTTATTTTTGAAGTATCATTATGAACTCATCAGTTTTCATATATTTGACAAGTTTCAATTCATTATAGTCATTATCATTTTTGATGCTTAAACTGTCCTATCTGTAATCTCAGGGGAGACCCTCCAGGCTTGATCTGCTTTAGAAAAGTCGAATAATGGCCGGGCGCGGTGGCTCATGCCTGTAATCCCAGCACTTTGGGAGGCCAAGGCGGGCGGATCAAGAGGTCAGGAGATCAAGACCATCCTGGCTAACACGGTGAAACCCCGTCTGTACAAAAAAAAAAAATCCAAAAAATTAGCCGGGCGTGGTGGCGGGCGCCTGTAGTCCCAGCTACTCGGGAGGCTGAGGCAAGAGAAAGGCGTGAATCCGAGAGGCGGAGCTTGCAGTGAGCTGAGATCGCGCCACGGCACTCCAGCCTGGGCAAGGGAGTGAGACTCCATCTCAAGAAAAAAAAAAAAAAAGAAAAGTCGAATAGCCCTGGCAACTGAGTAAAGATGGGGCACTGTGGATTTGAAGGGTAACAATCGATGATGGAATGCTGATCTTCTTCCTGGTCTCCTTTGTGTGAGTCTCATACACACTCTAAAAAAAAAATCAACTATGAAGATACTTAGTAAATCTAACATCTTCCCATTTCTTAATATGGTGACTCTCAACCCTAACTTCACAGTAGAATCCTCTGGGGAACTTCTTTTTTTTTTTTTTTTTTTTTTTGAGACGGAGTCTTGCTCTGTCGCCCAGGCTGGAGTGCAGTGGCACGATCTCGGCTCACTGCAGGCTCCGCCCCCTGGGGTTCACGCCATTCTCCTGCCTCAGCCTCCCGAGTAGCTGGGACTACAGGCGCCCGCTACCACGCCCGGCTAATTTTTTGTATTTTTAGTAGAGACGGGGTTTCACCGTGTTAGCCAGGATGGTCTCGATCTCCTGACCTCGTGATCCGCCCGCCTCGGCCTCCCAAAGTGCTGGGATTACAGGCGTGAGCCACCGCGCCCGGCCTCCTCTGGGGAACTTCTAAAAAATACTTCTGTCGGGAATCCACCCCATGAGGTTGAGATTCACTCCTTTAGGTTAGGGCATTGATATGCTTCAAAAACTGCCCAGGTGATTCTAGTGTGTAGCCAGGACTGAAAACCACTGTCTAATGCATCTAGCATACCTCTGAGATGTTTACTTTTTTAAAAAAACAAGCCCTGGTCTTTTGCCTTCTGCAGGTAAGAGCCTAACATTGATCGCACATGGAGCAAGATTAAAAGGGTGCCTCATCATATGTTTTCTTGCCTCCATATTCAACGAGGATTCTGCCATTAACCACATTACCAGAACTGAATTAAAAAGCAAAACTGGCCAAGTGTGGTGGCTCGTGCCTGTAACCCCAGCACTTTGGGAGGGTGAGGTGGGTGGATCACTTGAGGTCAGAAGTTCGAGACCAGCCTGGCCAACATGGTGAAACCCTATCTATGCTAAAAATAGAAAAATTAGCCAGACATGGGGGCATGGTAGCACATGTCTGTAATTCCAGCTACTTGGGAAGATGAGGCAGGAGAACAGGAGAATCACTTGAACCCAGGAAGCAGAGGTTGCAGTTAGCCAAGATCACTAGAGACACTGTCTCAACAACAACAAAAAAGCAAAGCTACCATCCTACCCTAACTCTAATGCCTTTGTTTGTTATCTGTAGTCCACATCCAGCCTTACCTTCCTGGCCTTGCTTCCTTCTCCAGACTTTGTCTACCACTTTATAACATTTGTCTACAGGAAAATCTCCCTCAATAGATTGTATTTGGGGTTGCGTCTTATCCACCCTTGTAGTCTTACATTCTCATAATGAAATGGAATAGAGATTTAAATACAGTTAACATTTAGTAAAGTTTTCTTTGGTGCAAGAAAATTACCAGGATAATTCTGTTTTATTTTCTACTCTTCCCCTTCATCCCTTCAGCCTGTTGAAGTCTACTGGATAAGTAAATAATTTATAAATTTCCATGCTTTTTATCTGCATATGATTTATATAAATATTCATTTTGCTTCAGTTTGTTCAGTAAAGGCCTCTGGGTAAAGAATTCCAAATTGTATAAAGACGTATAAGATTTAACATGCATCTCAACTTTTAAAAGTTTCTCTTTTTGAATATATCTAGTGATGATAAAGGTAAACAGGTGTTTGAAAACATACTGTTGTGAAGTACCAACCTGGCAGAAAACCTGTAGCATTTATAACGAGAACATAATCCAATTGAATCTGTAATTAGCACTTTTGAAATGTGCTCATTATTATTGTTATGATTAGCTGCAAAATGATGCAGCTTTGGCTCACACCCATTGGAATTTTAGGGTGTGATTCTCGCCCAAAAGCAGTCAGTATAGAACCCAATAAAAGAACTACGTTGCAGATTTTCTAGAAGTCTTTTCATGTTAAATATCCAATGGGGGCTATCAATTAGATGTAAATTATTTACTGTGTCAAAGAAAATTTTCACTTTTGGAGATGCAGATTTTTATGAGACATAACCTAATGATTTGAGAAAAGTTAATACACCCATGCATGGAATCTACTCGGGAAGTAATCCTGGAAAAAAGGAATAGTCATGGTTGAAGAGACATATCACAATGGAGTGGAGAGAATTTTAGAATTCAGAGACTTGTTTTTATTGAACTTCTAAAGGAAGCTACTCCCAGCACTTCTCAGGCCATAGAAGGGTCTGACTGACTTTATCCCTGGTAACTCCCACGGGAAAAGATTTGATTCCCAACCAGCTTGTAGTTCCCTTCATTAACAAACATTTATTGAATCACAGTGCGCTGCATTCAGGGCTGCTGAAGAAATAGGAATGATTTAGTAAATTGGATATATAAAAATAGGAGGGGATCTTGGAGACAATTACAAAGCAACATGTTAAGAGAAAAAGCAATAATTGTGAGCTCAGTGCTAATTATTAAGGGAAGGACCCAGAAAAGGTAATAAGGTATGGGCCAGCTAGTGAGGAAGAGATTTATGGAGAAGGTTCATTTTGATTCAGATTCAAAATAACACCTTTACCTTATTGGTAGGATGGTTAGGAGATGCTCTTTCAATAAGAGAACTGACACAAGTAAGGCATGGACCTGTTACCATTTGAGCCTTGGGTAGGGATGTCCAACCTGTTGATTTGATTAGAAAAGAAGAACTTGCTAGGCACTGTGCTTGGCACATGGTCAATAAGTGTTTGTAGGTGCCCAATAATAGTAGATACTCAAAAAGTATTTGAAGGTGCTCAATAAATATTAGAGAGTCAATGACTTTGACTTTCCTGTCACTCATATGCCAGGAGGGTGTATAAATAACACACTAAGAAAATCTGACTTAAAGCTTCACAATGATTTAGTCCAACTCCAGACAAGATGTACCCGTTTAGTTGCAGTCCTCCATGGACCTTACTCCAGTCCAACTCTGCTCACTTATATTACCTAGTTGACTCTGTATGTCTTTGATTGTATGATTCTGGTCTGGGTAGAGTAGACAGAATGTATGATCTAAGCTTACCCATATGATCATAAGCCTAGATGTTGGGAAGACAATGACAGTTTCAAAAGAAAAGAAAATAAGCAGTTATGGAGGCCGCCTTGCCTTTCAGATAACCTCTTGAAACCAACCCAATAGTCCCATAGGCAGTTTTTTTCTTTTCCTATAGTAACATAGAAATGGACTCTTCTGGTCTTAAAGCTTGAAACTCACATTGGTTTTATCTGAGTTTCTTTGTAAGGAAAGGGCCCTCAGGCCTTTCAAAAAGTGTCAAAGAACAGAAACTCATCATGTAACCACATCCAGCCAATGGGATGTCAGACCCCTCATTCATCATGATTGCCTCATGACCCCTCCCTAATTCCTGTTTTCCCATGCATAGTCACATTTCTTCCCTGCTGTAGAAACCTCTATTTTTAGTTGTTCAGGGAGATGGATTTGAAACTGATCTTCCATTTCCTTGGCTGCAGCACTCGATGAAAGCCTTCTTCTTTGGCAATACTCATTGTGTCAGTCATTGGCTTTCTGTGTCAGGGAACAGCAGGACCTAGATCGAACCCCTGGCATTTCAGGCACACTCTTGCCTCAGTCTCAGAGGTGGTCTCCTGCATGCTGTATCTCTGCAGAGTGATTTTTGTCTCTCATCTGACCCACCATAGTTCTTTTCTTTCTTCAACAAACAGTTATTGAACTCCTATTTACCAAGTGCATTCCTAGAAAATAAACAAGACAATGGAAGCTTCAGGGATCTCAGAGTTTTAAGAGGTGAGCCAGTGGAGGGATCAGGTCTGTGAAGAGCTTGCTTGTACACAGATCTCTCCCCAGAGATTCTGATTTAATTGGCCTGATGTGGGGCAGGCTGCTTACATTTGTTCCCCATAGCAGGTAATTATAATTTGCAGCCACAGTAGAGAATCACTGTGGTTCTCAAGAGTGGTCTTCAGACCAGCAGCAACAGCATCTCCTGATAACTTGTTAGAAATGGAGATTCTCAGGCCCCACCCCAGCCCTACTGAATCAGAAGCTCTGGTGCAGCAGAGGAAATAAAAAACAGTGCTATGTATTTCAAGAGGCCTTGCAGGTGATTCTGTTGAACACTGAAGTTTCAGGATTACTGAGCTAGGGAAATTGGCTCTGTATTGAGATACTAAAGAAAACTTCCAGGTATCCTCTCTCATACCATTTTCTCCATGAAATCCTAATCTTATTCCTTACTATTTTAATGATCTCTTTAGAACATAATTTATTTCCTATTTTTTTCCCTCTTATTTATTTCCATACTATACATATATTAAGGGCCTGTAGGATGCCAACTTAATTCAATCCCAACTCACCAAGTATTCATGTATGAACCCAATCGTGTCATAGGCACATTATGGGACTGTGGTTACTGAAGGCTGAGAAGGGTAGGAGAGAGGGAAGGATAGAATGAGGCTGGTTAAAAGACACATAATTACAGCTAGATAGGGAGAAAAAGCTTTAGGGTTCTATAGCACTGTAAGGTGACTATGGTTAACAATAATTTATTGTATATTTTCACATAGCTAGAAGAGAGGATTTAGAATGTTCCCAGTGCAAAACAATGATAAATATTTGAGGTGATAGAAAGGCTAATTATCCTGATTTGATTGTTACACATTGTGTGTATCAAAATACTACTCTGTAGCCCATAAATATTTGCAATTATTTTATGTCAATTAAAAATATTTTTAAAAGAAAGCTCAAAAAAGTGAAAGTACAACACAGAGTTCCTGGAGCCTTTGAGGAGCTAGGAAATGGAAACCAGGGCACTGTCACAGGCAATGTGCTGGTAGGCACTGCAGGAGCTCCAGGGAAGAATGGAAACTCTATGGGAAATATGGGAAAAGCAATCCTGGACAGCTTCAAGGAGCAAGGCAAACTTGAGCTCAGCCTTCAAGCATGGGTAGAATTTGGACTCAAGGAAGGACACAGGGAATATTAAAAGCAAAGAAGCTCTTTATGACTACCAATGAAGACATTAACCTGACCAGAGAGGAGGATACAGAGCTGAGAGATGGATCGGCCTTCCCCGTGGAGCACTCTGAGACATGTCATAGCTCATTGACATCTCGCAATACAGGTCAAAAAGGTAGATTTTTATTTCACTTACTGTAAATGTGAGTTAGAGCAAATAGGCTCCTGATGGTTAGCTGGGCTGGCTACTTTAGCCTTGCAGGAGGCAGTGTATTACAATGGCAGTAGATGTTTGGGAGTCAGGTGTATAATTTTGGCTTCACTACCTACTGGGTGTGAGGCTTAACCTCTCTGAGTTTTAGTTTCCTCTTCTGTACAGTAGGGTTAATACATTTTCCCTAGGTCATTTCTAACTTTTATATAAGCTCACAAATGTAAAACAAAAAACTGTATGGTAGGATATTTCTAGGCAAATCAATGTATGTTATGGTCCCTCTTGCTTTTCTTTGACTTAAATGGAATCAATCATTGCATTGGATAAGAAGGGAAGCAGTACTGGTTGAGTGAACACTGTGAATTTGGAGGACGTGTGCTGGACCTCAGCCATACCTCTAACACATTGGGTAACCTTGGACACACAACGTGACCTCACAGAACTCCAGTTCCCTCTGTCATAATCTGGAATGATGATATCAATCAAGTGAAGCAGCTATCACAGGGTCTGGAACATAGTAAGTCCTCAATAAGTTCTAGCAATTATTAAAAAAGGAAAGGCTGTCTGCAAACAGGTGATCTCAGAAGGGGGTTTGTGCCTCTCTAGGAAGGAAGCCTCATTGTGGACATCTGGGAGCAGGTCAAGTTCTTCACCTCTGCTTCTTTTGAAGCACCCCACCCCCATGCTTCCCATTAGAAACTTTGCAATCTGTTTTTCAGAAGAGTGGTCAATTATTGACTCAATATTAGAAATGCTGCTCAGAGTACATAATGGCTGACCTGGGAATATCTCTTTAGTTAAATTAACACCTACAAAAGGCTCCAGGCTTGCCGCCAAACCAATGCTTTAATTTTCTTCCTAACACCCAGGTCTGTGAAAAAGGAAAATGGTCAGAAGTCAAAAAATAAATCTCATCTCCAAACTTTCCCCTCTTTCCACCCACCCCCAAATCCCTCCTATAGCCCCAATCCTCATTTCGATTATATCCAAAACCTTAAATGGAAGAATCCAATTAGCTGTCATATTTTCAGCTAATTTACAAATCTCTTAAAAGTTCCAAGTTTAGCTTTCACATTGTTCCGTGGACACCATAAAAATAAAGGCACTGAGAAGCCTTTGGATCCTTGCTCTGCTGAAGCACTTCCTTTCCATATTTTTTGCTTCTCATTTTACTCATTACTTTACACGAAGCTGCAGCTCTCAGGACGACTGCACACCCACTGTAAACCTCTATTATTGATCATGTACTTACATGGTTGGTGGCGTTTTATGTAAGAGGAATAAATGATATAGTTGTTTCTATCCATTAAACTATACTGTTATCAAGGGATTGAGAAACTGCCCTGAACATGGCAATTATTTTCGGAGGTTCTGTAATGTTTAAATATAATTGCCTAGTAATCTTATATTTACTGTGTGGTGGCAAAGTACAGCTAGCTTCATGTTTGCACCTTATAAAACGTAAGGACATTTAGCGTGCTTAATTCTCCGTTGTCTTCCTTCTCCTGGCCTTTCTCTTTCCCAATGCTATATCCCCAGGCATTGGACTATGAGACTTCTAGATAATTCCCAAGTACTGTAATTTTTTTTCCATACTACCTCATCCTTGGAGATCAGTAATTTCCTACTTAGTATGATGTGGGGCTTCCCAGGCTCTGGCCATGGGGAAAGGAGAGATGGGGTCTCTGAGGCACAAAAGACTTTGCATGATTAGTAGAGCTCTGAGAATCAAGGAAATACGCCTGGCAAGCAAACACCCCAGCCCAGAAGAAGCTTAATTATAGTCAAGGGAAACTAGTCCTTCCTTAGTGGCAGTCGCCTCTGCCCACGTGCTTGCACATGCGTGTGCACACGCAAGCACGAGCAAACTCTCATGCATCGTCCATATGTGAATTCTTTTTGGAAGCTCATTTGCTTCTTCTCACTTCCTCCCCTTACTGGGTCCTAACACGGGCACATTTAAACCCTATCCTTTCTATCTTCAGCTCCCCAGACGAGCCTAATCTGACCTTGCTTTAATTTTTTAAGCCATTGGTGGAGAAAGCCTTGAAACTTTTCAAGACCAAATGATACAAATAAAATAACTGGGAGCTTGCTAAAATGAGGCCAGGAGGCTTTTAAACTTTTTACTGAAGTAGAATAGAGCCCAGGATTTTTAGACGTTTTCTGTTTCTCTTTGAAGTTGCCAGGAATTTGCCAGTGAGGTTTTAAATGCGCTTCTACTACTGACTTGCAGGAAGAGATTTCTAGGCTTCTCATGCTACCTCTGATGATTGCAATATAGAATCCAAATGTTTGATTCTTTCTTTCTATAGGATTTGACTTTTCCAACCTGTGAAGGAGGAAAAAAACGGGAATAATATCTTGTTCTATTCCCATAAACAAGATACACAAGGGGAACCCAGAAGATTTGGTTTGGCTTAGGAGAAAGTCGGTTTAGGCTTCAGTGCATTTTAGAGCATCCTAAGGGTGCAGTCTTGTGCCTGCTTTTCCTCATTTGAGATTCAAGGTGTTCTGCCTGGCTGGCTTTCCAGCCCCTGGGAGGCCGTCTGCTGCTGTTGGCCCACAGTCAGAGCACATATACCTTCATTAGCCAAATCTTTGTTCCCCTTTGTGCTTCTCTTCCTCCAACTTAGTAGAAAGCAGCTTTGGAATTTGCTTCTGTTTTTCACATGCTGACTTACAGGAGCAAGGCAGGGTCCTGGGTAAGCATATGGACTCTGGAGTCAGCTGCTTGGGTTCCCGACCCCAGCTCCTTTTTTTTTTTTTTTTTTTGAGACGGAGTATAACTTCACTCTGTCGCCCAGTCTGGAGTGCAGTGGTGTGATCTTGGCTCACTGCAATCTCTGCCTCCTGGGTTCAAGCAATTCACTTGCCTCAGTCTCCCAAGTAGCTGGGATTACAGGTGTGCACCACCATGCCTGGTTAATTTTTGTATTTTTAGTAGAGACAGGGTTTTGCCATGTTGGCCAGGCTGGTCTCAAACTCCTGACCTCAGGCTCCTTTCTTTACTGAACATTTTATTGTAGAAAAGCCCCTTATCTTCTCTGTGTCTTAGCTTTCCCATTTGAATGTTGAGGGTCCTGAAAACAGTGACTTCTAAGGGCTATTTCTTGTGTGAGTTGATTGAATCAATGTGTGGGAAATGCTCAGAACACCACTTGCTCTGATTCCTGAAGGTCTTCTTTAGACTGTCCTTGGCTCACCACATCTAGATGGATTCTATCTCCACTTATCCATTCTTTTGATCTTGGTGACTGCCTCTCTTTATAAGCCTTATCTTCTCTGTGCTAAAACAATTGATTGATTGAATCATAATAATGACAAGCATAAAAGCAGTGAAGCCTTCTCCCTTAGCATTGGGGAGGTGGAGGGGCCAAGCCAAGTGGTCACTTGCTTGCATTTTTCACATTATTAGTGATCTTACATGGATTTGCGTTGGTTTTTCAGGGTTGCCTTTCCTAGATACTACTCAGTTTTCTTTTTTTTCCTTATGCAACCGTACCCCATAAGGAGCTTCTTACCATGAAGCTCCATTACAGTAGGGCAGACCTGGAAACACATGCTTTTGTTCAACACTCCCCCACTTTTATTTTTGCTTTCAGAGAGTCTATGAACATTTTCCAGGCGAATCCACCCACCCTGGTAGAGACCCTCAAGGGACCAGGAACACAGGATCCAAGGATAGGGCAGGAAAATTCCACCTCAATCCCTCTCCCAAAGTTCCCTATTTCTCCTCCCCTATATTCTAACCGTAGGCCTGCTGAGGCCCCAGGGGTGGGATACTGCACTTAAAGCCTTTAAACCCATCAAGATTAAGGTGTTTTTTTTTTGCTGGTCAGCTGAATTTTTCTTATTCTGTTTATTGGGTGGGGGGTGGGGGAAAGAGGCTGTTTTCTAAAGGAATGAAGGAATAAAAGAACAAGAGTGGGTATGGGAGAGTAAGGATAATTTCACTGTTGTCTCAGAGAGTTGAGTCTCAGGGCTGGTAAATTCTCAGATTCGACACTGTATTATGACATAGATCAGCTGTTATTTTTTCAGTCTCAGAGGAAACCTTGAGGAATCTCATTCCTGCAATTGTATTAAATTATCTGCCAATATTGTCTTTTCCACTCAAAGTACTTTCATTGAAACATTTGGCATGGAGTGCAGAAACAGCAAAATCTCTTTAAAAGCTATTGTTTCTTTGAATGTTTGGTTTACCTTTTGGTTCCACAGTAAAATAACTTAATAAATGAAGGATGAGTGGAATTGTTACTATAGCAATCCCCATAGTAACATCAAAATGCCACACACACTCGTGCTGCAAGCCCTGGGCTTTCTCCTAGTCCTCCCACATTTCAGGTTCAGCTTCCCAGGTTAAGCTCTGATGGCTTAAGATGTAAGGATATTATATTAAATCCATTTTATTTCCATCCCCAAGAGTTAATAGACTCACAAAATACCAAGAATTTTTATCCACTTCTATCCTTTGCAGAAAAGTCAGAAGTGAATTTTCTATGAGCTTGACAGTATGTACAAACTGCTTGCATTTGAGTTGCTCTTCCAATTTTAGGTCTGTCCTTAAAAACAATAACAACAATAAACCCAGTCAAGGCATGAATTGCTCTTTGTTGATTTCCATAGTCTTACATAACTTACATGGGGCAGGACTAGGAGAGGAAACATCTTCAGAATGCAGCACTGTGGGAACACACATGTTTTTAATCTCCTATTTTCCAGAAGATAGCCAGAAGGGATCCCCAAGAGGTCACTTGGAAAAGCCTTTTGCCACCTGGTAGAGTTATAAATCGATACTCTGATTAAGATTGCTGTTATTAGGTTGAATGAATGACTGAGAGGCTACGGAAAAATTTAATGGGAGGCAAAAGCTGATTTTGAACATCATGTCGTATCTTTATATAATAGGTGGTCATGCATACATGTAAATATGTATATCACTGTTTGTGCATATTTAGCACAAATTTATAAACCAGATGCTGAATATCAAGTAGTAGATCTGTGTATCCTGTTTCTTAGCTCGTTGTATCTTGAATATTAATACTCTTACCCTAAAGGCAGAAACTACAATTGGAAAGCGATTGTGTTAAATTCAGAACCGGTGGGGCTATAAAGTTTTGCAGCCCGGAAAACTCAGTGAGCTTATTTCCCAAGAAGAAAACTTCACTAGATAGAGAGGAAGAAAATAAAAAATAAAGCACAAGCCATAAAGAACAGACAATTCATAATAGAAGAAATATGATCATTAGTAAACATGTGAAAAACATCCAATGTTACTACTAAGCAAAGAAATAGAAATAAAAACAAGCATAGTAGGATGTGGAGGGGGGCTTCTACTGCTGCTCTGGAGTCAGCACTAGGCCCACAGCCAAAAACAACAGGTGCTAAGTGCTCAACATGTAAAAGAACAGCCAGACCCCAACCCCGCATCATCATTATATAAGCAGAGGCCTGGAAAGGAGGCATGAGGGACAGGATCAACCCTGGGAGTGGTCAGGCAGTGTGGAACTGTTACTCACCCGGGGTCACTCCCTTTTCTCCCAGTGGGCAAGGGAGAGGCTGCCCACTCTCCCCCAGCAGAGGAGCTTCACAGATAGTCACCCATTGAGGTTGAAGTTGCAGACTGGTATTCACTTTCCTGGCTAGAACTCTGCTTCTGGATGAACAGGCTTTCTGATCTGCTGCTGTGCCTATCTAATTAGGGATGAGAAATGCAAGAAAGTTACAAGATGGGGTGGTCAAGGAGCAGCCTGCACTTCCACCAATGGGTATCCCCAAGGATGCATACATTTCTAGTGAGTCATAAGGACACCAGAAACTGTAGCTAGTATTCACATGCTCAAAAAGCCTGCCCAGTGGGTGAGATGATTCCAGTGATGGAGACTGAGAGGAGATACAGAGATTGAGATTAAGCCTGATTTCCCAGAGCAGGAAAGTGTGTCAATGGGAGCTCTAAAAGACCAAAAAGACTACATCACTCCTTGGAAGAACCAGAACCTCAATGCCTGCCATGCAGAGATATCAATGTCTGCTTAGTCTAAATAAGAAAAGTAGTAACACCCCACAGGAAAAATATTGCTATTGTGTCCATATAAGTAGAATGTACTGGCCGTATTCCCTCACACTCCCTTTCTCTGATACAATTGCTTCATGGATATACCTACGTTGAATTGAGATTGCTCAACTAACCTGTCATATAATGATGAGGTATTGTTTGCCTACTGAGCTGTCGTTAACTCTTTAAATACCTAGATTTGTGAGGATGTAGTGAAGGAAGACACACCCGCTGGTTCAAGTATACCTTGGTTCATCGGTTCTGGAGGGAATTTTGTCAGTTACATATTTAAAAACTCTTAAAATTTGGCATGCTATTTGATGTAGTGACTCCTCTTCTATGAATATTCACTAAAGATCTAATCAGAAGCACAAATATATTTAAACAAAAAATATTCATTGCATCCTTATTTATAAGAGTAAAAAGAGGAAACCTGAATTTCAAGTTGGAAATGACTACATAAGTTGTGATGTATCCAAATAGTAAAATACATGCTACCATTAAAATTGTACTTCAAAGACCATTTAATATTTTTGTGCAATGCTCATAGAGTGTTTAGTAAAAATCAAATAGGATAAAATCTGTCATACATAAGAAATAGAAAGGAAGAGTAAAAACATATCTAGTAGCAGAAGACATGTATATATCTGGAAATCCCAAAAAACTCAATGGAAAAAGTACCACAAGTGATAGAAGAATTTAGTAAAGTAGTAGATAGAAAAAAAAATTATCATAAACAACCTTCATATATACAAACTAAAAGTAGTTAGAGGATATATAGAAGATTTATTTAAGATAGTAGTAATGATAAACCTAAGCATAAAAAGAAACAAAAATTGTACAAAATCTATGTGAAGAAAACTAAAAACACTCCTGAAAAATGTAAATGTTGACTTGAAGAAATGGAAAGTCATACCACTTTTGTGGATAGACAACAGTCAGTTCTCCTTTAGTTAATTTATAAATGTAACATCATTCAAAAATACCATTTAGAAGAAAAAATAAGCTAGAGTAGTCAGGAATTCTTGCAAAAGAAGAGCAACGAGTTTGGGAAGGGTTGGCTATATCAGATATTTAAGTACATTATAAAGCCTTTATAATTAATACAGAAGGATATACACACACGAATAGATAGATCAATGAATAGAAATTCCAGAAATAGACCCAATTGCATATGGAAATTTAATACACAATAAAGGTGACATTTCAGATTGGTGGTGAAAAGATGGACTTTTAAATAAGTGGTGTTGGGATAAGTGAATAGCCATATGGAAAAAGATAAAATTGGATCCATTTCTCACATTGTAAGCCAGGATAAATTCCAAAAGACTCGGAGATCTAAATGTGAAATAAATGAAACTATACATGTTTGAAGAGAAGACATGGATATTTTCCTCCAATAGCTAGGATGAGGAGAACTGTCTCAACTACTTATCAAAATCCAGAAGCATTAAGGAAAAAGTTAAACTTGATGGCATTAAAAAAAATACGTTTGCAAGGAGAAAATACTCTAAGCAACGTAAAGAAAAATGACGAATGGGAAAAACTGCAACTTTTATCACAAAGGTTGAACATGTCTAATATATAAAGAGCTTCTAAAAATAGAGAAGAAAAAGACTGCAACTTGGTAGATAAATGGGCTAGGGAAATGAACAGACTGTTTCTTAAAAAAGAAAAGCAAATGGCTCCTAATTATAATATGCTCAGCCTTGCTCCTAATAAGAGAAAAGCAAAATATAATATCCTGTCCATTTCTCACATACCAGATTGGCAAAAATCCAGAAGTTTGGAAAATATACTCAGTTGGCAAAGTTGTGGGAGAGCAGGCACTCTCTTACACTGCTAGTGGGAAGCAAAATGATACCACATCTGTGGAAGGGAATTTGGCAATATCTAACCAACTTACATTTACTCACTTCTAAGACTCCATCATAAGGACACACTGGCAGACGTGAAAAGAGAAATGTCGCCCAGATGCATTCTATATTCACTGCAGCCCAACTGTAATAGTAAAATATCAGAAATAAACCAAATATTCACCCAGAGGGATCTGTTTAAGTAAATGACTGGTAAATCCACGTGATAAAATACTATGCAGTTGTAAAGAAGATTTAAAAATCTCTACAAAACTGCATTGGAACAATCCCAAGGAAAAAGCAAGGAGGAGAAAGTGTTTATGTTATAAAACCATTTATCAAAAAAAGAGGAAATGCTAATATAGACACATATTTGAATAATTGTATTTAAGAAAATTATGAGAGAATAAACTTTAAAAGGTATTTATCTATAAGGAAAGTAAGCGAACAAGGTAGAGGTGGCTGGACATGAGCTTGGCTTATCTGATTATATCTTGTTTTGTTAAGGGGGACTTTTGGAAACTTAAAATATTTTTACACAATTATAGAGAAGTGTTTTTAAAAAGTGATCATTAAAAATCTGAAGCAAAAGAAATTGTTTTTGAGTTGGTAGCCTAAATATACCAAAAGGAATTATTACAAATGATATTAAAACTCAAGAATGTATTTGGTCATCCTTAGGGTGATACTGTTCGAGAACAAGAAGAACAGCAGAAGAATGTTAAACTGTTTTATGTAATTATGTTAGTGATGATAACATTGATACTATTTTTCTGCGACTGTATTTTGTGTGCTTACAGGATAAAGTATGCTATTGACCAAATTATTGTTGCTGTATCTTCTCTTAAAAATATTTTCCAGGTCTGTATGATAAAAAGTACTAGAAGTAATGTCAACACAATAGCAATTGGTACCCTTAACACACAGATTGTGGTTTCTAAATATCATACTGAAATAAACAGAACACGATTTCATGTCTAGGGTAGAAAATAAACAGTATGGATCTGGAACATTTTGTCATTCTGGAGAGCAATGATGCTATCAAGGATAATGGTCATGTTAAAAGGACTCAGGAGACAACTTCAAGAGATTCCTCTGGCCAAACATGGGGCAGTTTAGTATCACTAAGAATAATAGGTGCAACCCATTGAAAACACACAAAACTGTATTTACATTTATAAGTTCACAATGATATTAAACACAAAACAGAAGAAAACAAAAATTCATTGGAATCCCCCTTTGGAGGATTCTATGGAGTCAGCTCAATATGTTGAAAACTGAAAAATGAAAGGAAAGAATCAAGCATTTATCTTGCTTTCCTAAATGAAATTCATCTCAAAGTCATTAGATAGTTGATTAGAATGTTTTCTTTTAAAGAAGCATTTAAACTATATATATAAAAGAAATTATAAAATTAGAATATCACCATTTTGTAACCATTAATGGATTGGGCAATGATCATCAATGGTCACTAATATTACAAAAACAAATAAAGAGAAACAAGACATTATATGCCTCTCCATAAGAGTGCTGCACAATTCTTCCTATAAAGTGTTTTAGACAAAAATCAGAACTCACATAGGATCAAGACTCAGGGATTCTTCACTCTTTTGTGCTCCAAAGGGCTTGGGCAGGCTAGTGAGTCCAATTGAACCCCTTTTGATAATAATATTTTAAAGACATAAAATAAAACACAAAAGTTGGTAAGTGTATTAGTCCATTTCACACTGCTAAAAGGAATATTCAAAACTGGGTAATGTACAAAAGGAAGAGGTTTAATTGACTCACAGTTCCATCTGAGTGGGGAGGCCTCAGGAAACTTACGATCATGACAGAAGGTGAGGAAGAAGCAAGTACCTTCTTCACAAGGTAGCAGGAAAGAGAGAGAGAGAGAGAGTTTCTTCACAAGGTAGCAGGAAAGAGAGAGAGAGAGAGAAGGAGGAACTACCAAACACTATAAAACCATCAGATCTCATGAGAACTCACTCAGTATCATGAGAACAGGATGGGGGAATCTTCCCCCATGATCCAATCACCTCCCACCAGGTCCCACCCTCGACACCTGGGGATTATGGGGATTACAATTTGAGATGAGATTTGGGTGGGAACACAGAGCCAGACCCTGTCAGTAACTAAACTCAATTATGTTAAATACAGTTACTCAAATAATAGAAAAAAATATGTATGTGTATGTGTACACACCTATATATATGATACACACACACACACAATATGTTGGGGCTTCTTCATCAACACGTTCAATAATCAGATCTAAAGGCAGGTCCAATAGCTGCAATAATTTTGAAGTCATGGTAAGATGAAATGATATTTAGGTATATCTTGCAACAGTTGGAATATGATAGGAAAATATGATTTCTATTGATGGCAAAGTCACATATACTATTAAAATTACTGTTGTTTTTTGGCTAATTTTTTAATTGAAGAGCATACTAAATTTTAGTTGGAAGTTAGTAAAAATAAATATGTCATTTTTTCCCCAAGTGTGTCCCTGAATTATATTCATGAATTGTTTGGGGTCTGCAGACCACAGATAATTAGGTCTAACTGCAAATTTACTGGAAATACAGGGGATAGCAGAACATGTTAAATGATACCCTGATTATTTAATTTATCAAAATCCAAGCTGTGGGAAACTATGACGGGCAAATAATCTGGTTTCTTCAACAAATACATCGTAAGGGAAAACTACTAATGGATACAAAAGCTTAGAGATTAAAAGAGACTTAGTGAAATACAACCAGTTGTAATCTAAGAACATTATTAAGATCTTGATACAAGCAAACACACTGTAAAAGATTACAAAACAATTGATAATATTTAAACACTAACTAGATATGAATAATACAATTACAATTTTGTTAATTTTTTTTTTGAACTGGAGTCTTGCTCTCTTGCCCAGGCTGGAGTGCAGTGGTGTGATCTTTGCTCACTGCAACGTCTGCCTCCTGGGTTCAAGCAATCCTCCTGCCTCAGACTCCCGAGTAGCTGGGACTACAGGTGCACCACCACATCTGGCTAATTTTTGTATTTTTAGTAGAGACGGGGTTCTGCCATGTTGGCCAGGCTGGTCTCGAACTCCTGACCTCAGGTAATCTGCCCGCCTTGGCCTTCCAAAGTGCTGGGATTACAGGTGTGAGCCACCATGCCCGGCCTTAATTTTGTTAGTTTTTAAAAATTGTGATAGTGGTATTTTAAAAGTGTTATTACATTTTAAAGACACATACTGAAATATGTAAAGATGAAATTACATAATGTCGGAGAACAGGGATAGGGTTCTAATTTTTTTATGTTGTTCTTTTTTTGTGTGTGTTTTGCAAATTTCCCATACCGATTGAGTAGTCTTTTATGATCATAAAAATGATTATATATATTAAAGCCTGTGTGTATATGTGTGTGTGTATATATATGTATATGATATATATATGTATATGATATATATGTATATGATATATATATGATCTTAGTTCATGCCTTTGAGATGTATATGTATGTGTATGTATATATACACATACATATACATCTCAAAGGCATGAACTAAGGTCATAACAATATATAATTTAAACTTTTGGTAACCTCCAGACATGCAACTAAATGTAGCAGGGAGAAGTGAGGGAACTCTTGAGAGAGAACTTAACCTAGTGGAAGATGGAATCAGAAAAAAAGCCTGGCTCTTGGAGAGATAAGGTTTCCATGTGGAGACAGCATGAATGTTGTGACTCAGATTTGTATTTGTCTGTGGTCCAACTCAGTATGGATCCATGTCTGAGTCCTGTGGGATGGAAGGTGATTAAGGAGAGTGGAAGTAAGATGAGGTGTAGTTAGGTGGACTGAAAATTCCAGAGAACATGGCACCTGCCATTTTGGACCCTCAAAGATGCCAGTGCTTCTACAGCATTGGAATCTGTAAGGAAACTTGAGGGAGATAGCTGCAGGCTGTGAACTCTGGAGGATGCACTGTGAAAATTGTGAGAGATGGGCAATGAGAAATCAAGAGGAAGCCCCCATGTAGTAGCCAAGAAAACTTGTCTATGAGCATATGCAAGATCTTGTCTGGGTGAGAACTTTGCAACAATGAGAGGTTTTGTAATTGAAGGTGAGTGTGATGAGAGGTCTATAGATAAGATCTCATGGCAGATGAGAGGACTTGTGTGTGCTTTAATGCTCTTATGACATATAGATTGTAACTTTCAATGCTGTAATTAATCTGCAAACTTATTGAATTACATAGAAAGTAGAAAATCCCTTTGTTTAAATCAGCTGGGTCTGCCATAACAAAATTCCACAGACTGAGTAACTTAACAGAAATTTATTTCTCATAGCTCTGGAGGTGGAGAAGTCCAAGTGTCGGCCAACTTGGTTTTGGGTGAGGGCTTTCTTCCTAGCTTGTAGACAGCTGCCTTCTTGCTGCGTCTTCACATTTCAGTAAGAGAGAGCTCTGATGTTCATTCCTCTTCTTACAAGGAACCAGCCCTGTGGGATTGGGGTTCTACCATTATGACCTCATTTAACTGCAATTACCTCCTAAAGGATTATCTCCAAATACAGTTACATTAGGGGTTAGGGCTTTAACATGGGAAGAGATACAATTCAGTCCAAGTACCCTTCAAGAGCTCAGCATACAGCAAGTGAATAATAAGTGCAAATGGTAAATTTTTACTTATTCATGGCAAAGTCATATCACCCACATAACAAGGGAGTTTGCCCCAAAGAAATATGACAAGGGCCCAATGCAGTGGCTCATGTCTATGATCTCATCACTTTGGGAGGCCAAAGTAGGTGGATTGTTTGAACCCAGGAGTTCGAGACCAGCCTGAACAATATAGTGAGACCCTATCTCTACAAAAAAAAAAAAAAAATTAGCTGGGCGTGATGGCACATGCCTGTGGTCCCAGTTACTTGGGAAGCTGAGGTGTGAGGACCACTTGAGCCCAAGAGGCCAAGGCTGCAGTGAGCCATTATTGTGCTACTGTACACAAGCCTGGGTGACTGGGTGACAGAGCAAGACTATGTCTCAAAAAAAAGAAAAAAGTATGACAAGAAACAGAGGCTTAGAGAAACTCAGTTATAAGGAGGAATCCTTGAAATAGGGGATGGAGAAAAACTGCATAGAACAACATGAGTTCTAATCCCAAATAGCCTGCCTAATGCCTCCTAAAAACTCTGGAGAGAAATTTGGGTTCTGGGTGGGTTATGATACATAAAAGGGAAAAATTTCTAAATTTAAAAATATCATTAGCAGCCACAAAATCAACAACTCCATCACCTCAAAGGCATCCTTGCTAAAACAAGCTAAGATCCTTATGCAAAATACTACCAATTGCCTGTAAGTAAATAATCAGTCCTCTACATGGCAGAGGTGTGATTTCTCTGAAATAATAGACTCTCCTCTGGAAGTGGTCAGGAGCAGGATCACTGGGAATAGAGGCCCACGTCATAGAACTAGATGGGTACTTGGTGACTTTCTGCCCAGCAATGGAGCTTCTGCTTCTTCTGTTGGTTTCTTCTGGGGTTGAAATCACTGGCTGCTTAGAGGGCAAAGTAGAGACTGGGATAGATTGGGCTGGGGAGGGGAGTAACAAAGGTATGAGAAGCAGGACAGAGATACATGATGCTCTATATCCAGAAACACTAGCACTCATATCACAGCATATTAAAGTGTTAAATGGACCTAGTTTAACAAGTATTTATGGAGTGCTTCCCTTATGCCAAGCCCTGTTCTAGGCTCCAGGGATGTAGTGATGAGCAATACAGCCAAAAATTCTCATCCTTCTGGTGCTTACCTTCTAGACTACTTCTTTACTGTTTAGTTATAATGTTGCTACCAAGTCTTGGAAATATGCTAGAACTCAACCCAATTACCCATGAGGCTCACCTGAGGACTGCAATTGCTTCTTTGGTGACATAATCACAAAAGTGTGACAAAATACTAAATTAGGATTAAAATGCTCCAGAACTTAAAGTTGGCCCCATAGCAAATAGCTGACTTTTTTGGCTCCAACCTCGTAAGTCAAGCATCAGTCATCATTAGCCACATTCACTTTGTAAACTTGTCAGTTTCCAATTTATACACGTGCAAAACCAACATTCTCATAGGCATAGGTTGTGTGCATTTTGTTTGTTTGTTAACCTTGCCTACATTGGGAAGGGGTCAAGCTGATCATTTTCCAACCTGTTTACATACACTCCTGTGCTGGGATGCAACATGCCAAGTCCCATCCAGTATCAGATGCTCACAAAGCCCCCTGGGAATCCAGAGTCCTGTGTTTATAACAGGAAGCATTGACCGCAAATACACTGAAGTCACACTACAAACATCCTCAGAGCTGTGCTCAGGGTTCTTGTTAGAGCTTTTGTATAAAGGAGAATGCCTTATAATTATCTCCTTTACTTCCAGAAATAATCATGAGGCCCAAAACACTTCCTGAATGAAAGAGAACCTGCATTGAATTTTGTTCTGTGGTGAATGGTATGGTTGCAGTATATTAGGATCTTGCAGAAATTGCAGAATTTATTGCCTATTTTTGTTTTGCTGCTTAATGGGATGTTTTGCACATAATAGGTTGAGTCAAAGAATCCATAAATATAGTAGATTCTTATTATTCATGATAGTTATAAAGTCCAAGTCATTGGTCTTTGCTCTTGGGGAAATACAGGGTCATTCTCTTAGGGGAAATACAGGGTTAGATTCCTGCAAGCTACTGTTTACAACATTTTTGTCCACCAGTCAATACATAACGTTGTTTCATGTGTGTTTCTGTTTAAAGACACCTTATTTAATATATGTTGTTGATTCATTAATATTGAACACATGGCCAAAATCATTATAACTCATTCCTAAATGATGCTTATCTAACACATATTTTCTTCATTAGGTACATCCCAGCCTTCTTGCACATAGAAACACTACACAGCACTTCAGCTGTATGTTTGGGGGCCATTTTAAACAGCAAAATCATCAACAGGAAGCAGAAAATTGTAAAAATTGTGGCACTAAATAGACCATGTAAAGGACACATGTTTGCAATAAGAAAGCTGAAACAAGAAGGGGGAGTGTCACCTTATTTGATCCAGCTAGAAACGTGAGTGTGAGAATTCAAATTTTTCACTGCTCTGACCATGTTCATGAGTAATTGCAAAAGTACCTCCAGTATTGATTTTGGGATTAGAAATAAATTTTAGCAAGTAGGCAAATCCCCAAATAGGAAATCCCTGATTCATGAGGATCAGCTGCCTGTAAATGTAGGTGACTTATACCTCACAACACTTAAGGGCAAGGAATGGCACACGTGGAGTTTCTAGTCCTTATTAAATTAAATTTGCTCTGAGCACCCACGTATCTGACTAGTGAAACTAGTTTCATTAACCCTTTAAAAAGATATTGATTTTGTGTGTGTGCTGGGAGAAAAATTGAGGGACATTTCCTTCCTTAGAGTCACCATTATTTCTGTTGTCCCTTTAGTCAGGTGCTGGTATTCCAGCAACACTCAGGCGGCTGCTCCAGGAGGCTGCAGAGGGGTCCTTTTTAGCCGTCAACAAAACTGGCTATGGTCACGCCCATTGGGAAACTCATTGCTGCCTTCAAGGTCAGTGCTGTGCATGTGTCCAGTGTCTCCCTCCCAGCACCCCATAGCAGTTCCTCACTGGAGCGTGGCCCACAATGTGGCCCATTGCTGGAAAGTCTATGGCTTCTCTGTGCTGGAGGAATTCTAAGGAATCTCTGTCTTTCTGGTGGATCCAGTTGTTCCTACGTCTTCACCCCCAAATCGCCAAAGTTCTGCCTCTCCTTACCCAACTTAATGACACTCAAAGTCCGAAGGAGAGTGGGATGAGGAGGATAAAGTCATGAAAGGAAGTTTCCATTTCCCCTACAGACATGGGAGTAAGGACAACTTGAACATTTAGAGATACAGTGCTAACTTCTACCCAGAATGGGAGTAGGGAAAGAAAATGCTTATGCCAATTACTTTTCTTCTTGATAACTCATCCTGGTGTAATTAATGAATGTTAGAAATTGCTTATTTTTAACTTGGTAAAATGTTTCCATGTTTGAGCTCTTAGGTGGAAGTTAAAGTCATCACAGTTCTTTCATGAAAGGAGAAAACTTCTACATAGAAGATGAGAAGCTTCTTTGGGGCAGAGACTATAGTTAGTATTTCTTTAGCACTGTTCATAATGTTAGGATAGGAATAAGCAGAGGTGGTATGCAATAGATGCATTTATCAACACCCAAATACTCTCTAAAGTATCTTCTCGTTTATGTGATGCATCCCAGAAAAATGACATGACCATAACATTTTTGAGAATTGTATCATATAAGATGGGGAATTGGCTATTCAGATGAAGAATGAATGATTTAATCAGTAATCTTTCATTATTTCTATCTTTTATTAGTTTAAATTTCATTATATGTCCTCTACTTTTAATATAAACTATTAAAATGATGAGCAAGTCAGGGAATATTTTCAGATCTGAGAGAAAACTAGTAACAATTACTCTGATCATTGAATTATTCACATGGTCTAATTTTATGTTTTTGGAACACGTCGCTCAAACTATGATCTTCAGTTTTGTCTTCTGAGAGATAAGAATAATAATACCTACTCAAAGGGCAGTTGTGATGATAGATCAGCTATTATACATGAAATTTCATGATAAATTACAAAATAGTATCTAAATATAAAGAGTTGCTGTGAATGTTATTCTTCCCTCCTTTAATTCTTTCTTTTAGTTTTATTTTATACTAGACAAATTTCCTGCATGGTCTGTCTCCTCTGTCATTGTCCACAGGACTCAGAAGCTGTAGGAATATTCAGGCACAGACACCAGACCCAGCTTCATCTCTAACTTGTGGCAAAGGACAGTACATCCTGGGATGGGACCCTATGCTCCCCTATGCCATTTAGACAGAGCCTGGGGAGAGTGACTTCCCAGGGTATCCATGTTGGAATCTCTCATTTGATTCTTATTCAAATGTAAGTCATTCTCCGAGGCCCATATAAAGTCAACCTCATCCTTGAAGCTTTGGGTTTTATTTCTTTAATGTGCTTTGTGTATACATTAATACTTAAAATTGAAATCTGGACAAAAGAAACTGTGTCTCTCGTAATGTAGTGATTCACATATAATAGGTTCTTGGTACTTACTGAATGACGAATGATTGAATCAATTAGCAGATGGATGGATGGATGGACGGATGGATAGATATGTTGTCATCATTCTGTTCATCCAGCTGTCTCAGCATGGCTAAAATTTACCTGCATGTCAGGAGCCTGATATTTCCCTTTTCTTCACTATCCAAATGAAATGGCTCAAGCCTCTACCCATGTCCTCCACACTCTTCCTGAAACCTTTGAGCATTCCCAAGGGAAGGCTGTTGTTCTCCAGGGTCAGTCATTGGGCAGCCTGCCCTAAATTATCTATCTCAGCTCCCATAACCAACATCCTCTTTCTACACTACTTTGACCCAGACTTAAGCACTGCTCTACTCTCTCCCAACACTCAACACATCTCTGGGCAGATCTTAACTAAAGCTTTAAAGATAGAAGTGAATGGTTTCAGCACAGCTCAGAATAGGAAACATTGACAACTGAATATTAATCACCACTACTCTTAAAAGCCCCTCAGTTATCCACTCCACCTGGATGTCTGCATGGCTGTCTTTTCTTTCTAGGCTTCTTGCCAGCCTCTTGCCAAGTTGCTCAGCCCTCTCCAACCACCAGTGAGGCATCAGTGACCAGTTCCCAAAGTCCAGTTAACTTTTTATGTAGTGCAGCTTAGCTCTCTCTCTCTCTCTTTTTTCATCCTATCTTTTAAGATAGCAGGGGCATCGTTTACAAAAAAAAAAAAAAAAAAAAAAAAAAAAGCATATCAGAATATTTTCCTAAACAAAAAGCTATCTCCTCTGAGATCAATATTTTCACTTCTCTGCCAGGCAAAAGTAATGGAAAGTCAGTGTTTTGTTTGAAATAGTAAATATTTCCTGAATTTGTCATTTTTAAAGTTTTTTTCACTTGAGATTTCCAGAATCATGGAAGTTAAACTTATCTCCTCAGTAGCCTTCTCTCTGGTAATAGAATACCCTCAGGACTATTCATTCCATCTACTTCCAGAAGCCATCACCAAAAATTAACTTCTCACCTTCTCGGAATGCCACATTTTAATGAACATTAACAATGGCATAACGTTTGTTCCGTCTTAAACATATTCAGTAACTTATTAATGCATACCGGACACTTGAGTGCAGACTTTTTTTCACATCATAAACATTGATTATAAGAAAAGCTTGAATTATCACCAAACTTTGAGCTTACCAGTTAGTCTCCATCTGTTATTGTTATTTAGGCTTTAGGACAAGAAGTTCAGCAATGTATATGTTGGGTCTACCAAGTCTTCAATCTTAAACTGCTTATTTTTTCCTCATTTTCTGCTTTCTAGATGATCCAGCTCCTCCATTGTCTTTCATGTGAAGTTTTGTCTTGTAACTAATCCCACAGCCCTTTTTCCTTGAAATTGAATGCCCTATCTGCCTATATGCAGTTACTACCATTCTACTCCAGATTTTACAATGCCTCTGCTATGTGATATCCTGGCTCCACAAACAAATTATACAATTTTTATTGGTGGGAGGCAAGTCTCACATTTATTTATGAATCCATCCTGGTGCCTACCCCTGTGCTAAGCACCATAGAAAATACTCAGCAAACACTGTTGAACATTTAAATAAAATAAAGAATTGCTAAAAGTCTTTTTACCATGTAAGAGTTCAATATAGAAGCTTAAAGCAGGAAGAAACTTAGACCTCCCTCTTATGCCAAGTAGAGAATTTGATTAACTTGGTCATTAGTCAATGAATATTGAGCTCTATTGGCAAACAGCTGTCTGTTAAGCACTATGGGAGACACATATGGTAGATAAAGCAAGTTCTTGCTCTCATGAAAGTTAAGATTTCTATTAAACATTTTCCTTTTGCTTCATTGAAAAGACATTTAATTTGTCATACATTTATAAGATATGGGTCAGGAAACACCAACACATTTAAACTCAGGTAACTATATGGTAAACAAAGGTGGAAAAAAGAGGTAGCTTCCATTGAAACATCTAATAATTACTAGCTCTTTCAAGGCTAAAAACAGTTTGTCTCCATGAAGTCACTTTAATCTAGTCCAATTGTTAGACAAAAACATTTTACAATGCAGACATTTTTGGAAGGCAATTGACCATGTATAAAAAACATCTGTATTTTTCAAGCAAGATAGTGGAGTGTTAAATTTTCTGTTGAGGTCAGCTCTCCAGCAGTGTATTTGATGATTTCATTGACATCCTGCTGCAGTTTCTTTTAAGGACTGGTAATTTGAAGTTTTTGGTTTCTCTTTTTAAATTTTCATCACTTCTGTTAGAGACAAAAATATGGGTTCCCCTTACAAGTGATTGTTTAAAAATGTGAAAGTCAAACAAACAATTAGTGTCCTACCAGATTGTCAATACTAATGGTTATGAGAATTGGAATGGTGACCCCAGGACAAGCAGTCTTTTTGGAAACATTTGCAGTGATGGCCTGGAAAATGTGAGGTTAAGAGAATATGAGAGGTAATCTTCTATGGCAGGAGAGCCTGCTTGGAATCTTCCTAAAAAAATAAGCAAAATCAAAGGCCAATCCTGTAAAATTTCCAAAACCCTTCACTGGAGTGGAATATTGCAATCATGAAGAAAGTCGCAGTAGAGAAAAAAAACAAACAAACATAAAGCATCAAATCTTATCCAACTTTTTGACAGCTAATCACAGCCATGTTAAATGTTACTGGGACTAAGAGCTTGAATGGTGTCATTAATGTTTTGGCCTATGAAATGTTGGCAGATAATTTATGTATTTCATGTGTAATGAAGCAAACCATCATACCACCCTACCTAAGGACGTTCTTCTATGAAATCACCTAAGAATTAGATGCAGACGACGCCAAGGCTTTCTGGATACTGGCAGAATCAAGTTTTTTTCTATGCAATGTCTGTCCTCCCAGTCTTGCCCCACAGTAAACACTTCAGCCTCACTTAGGTATAAGCCAGTCAGGGTTAATCCAACTATCCCAAGGAGGGCACAGTAAAAAAATGCCTCATTTGCCAACTTCTGCCCTCATTTGGTTTATTTTGAGCACTTCATTAAAAATAAAATGTATTATCACCTCTTCATTTATCTTCCCTATCCAGAAGGTTTGGCTGAAAGATTGATCTGATTCCAGATACTAAGGAAGTATCACTTTGCAGCCAATCACTCTGGGTTTTCTGGTATCCTAACCCAATGCTTTTAATAGAGATGTGTTTTCCAATGCAGACTCTCCAAATGCTATTTCCTACCAGTGTGCAGAGAGAGGCAATGCTGACAATATTTCTACTCATCTTTTAAGTTACTGGAAGGTGATTCTATAGCATATGGCTGTTAAGTTTAACAAAAGTAGGGGGAGGAGGAGAAAGGCCTGGCCATGAACATTCAGGAAGCTGGACCAGCGCCACCTGAAGGAGCCAGGAGGCCAGGAGGCCGGATGTGCACAGATCCCTGGGAGGAAAAAGAAGCCAGAACAGCTTAAATGGTCAAAGAATCAAATGTAAAGTGAGCTGCAAGGGTCAGATCTGGATGGAAGCCCAAATTCTGAGTCTCCGCATCCGTCCGGGGATAAACTTGGCTCCCAATCAGGGCTGACAATTAGGCCGTACAGTTAATATTTTTACAGCTGTTTTATTAATAACACATACAGTGCATCCAGCCAGGATTTGTTGGAGACACCTCAGGAAAACGAATGATGTAAATAACAGATGGATGTAGAATATCCCTACAAACAGGCATAAAGATATTCCCTTCTTGTTTAAAAAGAATTTAAATAGACAGATTGTAGATAAACAGGCAGACAGAAAGGGGGAGAGAGAGGATTTATGATATTTGAGGTGGTGGTTGCATGCGTTCACATGGCGAAAGACATGGACGTAAACATATACACTCTCTACATGGGAGGAGATGCTCAAAGCTTTGGCTTCTGGAAAAAAAAAATGTTTCATAGTGCAAGGGCTGAGCACCACAGCCTGGGGGCCCACAGAAGCAGGTATGCTGATGTGGCTCCTCAAATAGCTCCTCTGATACGTGGTTCAAGTCCGGAGACAACTTGCATGGCTTGTCCAGGCATGCCTGAGCCCAGCCTTGACCCCCAGGCTGTCCTGGGGCATCCTTTCCTCTTTCTCCTTGTCAATATGCCATTTGAAGACCCAGTGCACTCTTTTCAATTTTGCATCAGAACTAGGAGCAGTGGTATTTCAATCTGAAAAGAGAAATTAAAAATTCAGGATCTTCATGTCTTTTGTTTTCACTCCTACTATTTTTTTTTTTTGTACTGCTTTTTCATGTGCCTGCTGCACTGTGCTCCTACCATACTTTGCAACCAGATGGCTCAGGAACGAAGAACAAAGGCCACTAAAAAGTGGGCGGGGAGAAAAGGAGAAAGAAGCAGAGGACTGAAAGTCAAGGCGAAATCAGAGATGGGAGCAAAGCTCAATTGCTTTAATCACTGATACATTTTGGTTGAATTATGAACCTAGAACAGACACTCTTCCCAGTGATCCTGTATGTGTGCTGTGTGTGCATTGTGGTGTGTGTGCCTGTACCACACGCAGCCACATCTCCAGTCTTTTATTTCACTGGTAGGCATTAAAGCCAGAATGTATTCTTTGATGTATCTCTGTGTTCCCTGACATGTGTCAAAAGTGGCATGAGATGTCTTTTTCCAGAGAGAGAATGGTTGAGCTCAGATCTGGGCACTGAGAATGAGCCCATCTGCCTGGGAAGAAAGTGTGGTTGATTCAGAAGGGCTCAGGAGTTGTATGACCTGCCATTTCACAGTGGGTGACCTCGGTCGAGTCACATCCCTTCTCTCCTTAGTTTCCTCCTCCAGAAATATCTACCCCAAGGGATGCTGGGAGTGTTAAATAGAATAACATGTTATAAACTGGGAAGCACTGTATGAAAAGATTGTGATTATTCTGGAGTATTGCAACTTCTTGCAAAATTTTACAAGTGGCTAAGAGTTGTCTTCGATGCTTTTCTGTGACCCTCCCGACTGTATTTCATGCTTTACTTAGACCCCCAACCAAGCTTGTCTCTCCAGATCATGCTGTACACTGTGAATCTTACCCATGGTTCCCAATTGAACTTACTGTTTGTGTATCATTGGAATTTTATTCAATTATAGAATGACCTAATTGTCATTTAGGCGATTAATTATTTTGCTCGTGAACCATAGAAAGGTTTAATTTTTAATCAGGAATTTCTGCAGTCCCAAAGCCTTCAAGCAAAAGGAATGACTATCTAATGGTGAAATTTCACATAGATCAATGGGACTCAATAACTTTAGAAAGAAAATATTTGTTTTACTTCTAGTCAAGAATACACACAGAAGCCTATTCTGACTCCTGATAAAGTTAAGCCAGCATCCATGCATTAAAGGGGGTATGAGCTAAGAAAGAAGAAAGACTTCATGTGGGGTTCATGAGCGCTTCTGCTGAAACCTTACTTGTACCTTTACATCCTCCAATTGAGCTGAAATTTTCTTCTCACTGCAGTGTGCATAGCTACACTCTTCTTTTCAGCCTCAGACAGTGTGGGGATACTTGTGAAAATGACACTGCTTGATATTTTCATTTTAAATGAAGCCACGTGTACAGATTATGCCTTCTCTGATACTCGTGAGGACTCTGGAAGACACTGAGGGAAATTTGATTTACAGATGAGTAAAATGAAATGCAAAGAGATAAAACGACCCCCTTATCTCCCCGGGCTAGGCAGGCTTTTGAAATGCACAATGCACCTTCCCCTAGTCAAGAGGAAGAGAAATGATTGGTCATCCTCCTTCACATGGAAATTCAGGCAAAAGACCTGCGCCCATCTGTACCAGAGGCCCAGTTACTAACTGATGCTCACAATCTCACGTGTTTGGCAGCAAATCATAAGAAAAATTAAAGACTTGGGAGTCAGCCTGTAAGTTTCAAATCTTGGCTCTCCTGCTAACTCTATGTTCTGAACCTCTCCAAGATTGCTTAATTTCCTCAGTCTTTGTAAAACAGCATCATGATTACCTAACACATAGGGTTGTTGGGAGTGTTCAATGAGATGATGCATGGAAAGCAATTGACACGGTGCCTGGAAACGTAGTAAGTGCTAAAAAATGTTACATGAGAGTATTATCATTACGGCTCAGTGAGCAGGTCCCTTCTATCTTTGGGAATCATAGAATATTAGAGCTGGACAGAAACTTAAGAGGGGTGTTTTTTAAGCCTCTTGACCAAAATCTTTATTAAGAAAAACACTTTATTGTATAACCTAGTACAGAAAAATATATTACTTGCCAGCAAAATGGAAAGTTAATGTTTTTCAGAAATTGTTAAAAACTGGGGCTTGTTTGTGATTGCTTCCGGCATTTACCTCTTTATATTTTTTTCATTTTTAAAAGTTAATAAGCATGTTATAGAGGAACAAAACAATTTCAATACACACACGTATTGAAACAGAAATTTCCTAAAACAAGGCCTATTTTCGCTACTTGTAATACACTCTGATATTTTCTCTTTGGTTGGATTCTGTTTTGTTTTCTTCTAAAATATTGGTATGACCCACTAAATTGTCTTTAAAACCTCTTAATGAGTCACTGCTAATGGTTTGACAAAGCATTTCTTTTCATAGATAAAAGGCTAAGGCTCAATGTGGTTTGTCCAATATCTCTTATATGACTAGGCGCAGAAGTTGGTCTTGGACCAAGGTCTCTGGGCTTCCAATCTTGAGAGACCTAGAGTCACTAAAGGGCACCAAGATGCAAGGACTTGCTTTTGATGCTTTTGTATCCTGAAAGTCTGGAGCAAGAGCTTCTCCGTGAATTCACTGCCACTCAGAACATCCCAACAGATGTGTGTGGGTCACTCTGACACACTTGAAAATTTCCCGAACCTTAAGAAAGATCTGTTTTCCTCACTGCATTGGCAACACAGTTGGAAAGTTACTTGAATGTTTTTCAAAAATTGTTTATAGATTTGAAAACTGTTTTGGATTTGTGATTGCTTCTGTTGTTTGCCTCTTTGTATCATCTCGTTTTTGAAAATTTAATAAACACTTTGCAGAGGAGCAAAATAATTGGTCACACACTTGTGGGTTCCCAGATTTGTTTTACATGTGTATGCAATACAGAGTAACTCAAAACATGTTCAAACCCAATGCATCAAATCATTTCTGATGCTGTGGTCAAGACCAAAGCAGAATGTGAGTGAGCATCCACGGCCCTAGACCACATCACTCACTGGGCCTCTGACCGCAGTGCTTAGGGGACAGATCCTAGCCCCATTGACGCATGTGGCACCATTACAGCCCACGGCTGAAAGCTGGCGTGAAAGGCTCCCTCTGAAAGCTGGAGCACAGTCTGGGGTGCCTTATTGTTGGAGGATTTGCCCAATTTGTGACATCGAAGGAAGCAGCAGCCACTCTAGGAAGCTCCGCAAGGTGGGAACATCTCCACTCGACTCCATTCACTCAGCTTAGCCTCATCCACAAGGGGCTGCTAAGCAGGGGCTGTCTGTTTGTAAAGCAGGTGGAGGTTGATGGATCACCTTTCCTTCTTTGTCTGGCATCTCCAGGAGCTTCTTCCTGTATCTTGCAAACCCTATGAGCCCCATTGTTCATAGGAAGAGGGTTGAAAGCCCTGTGGGTTTACCGTTCCTTCCAAGTCCTTTGTAGAGCATTCTGTATAGAGATCATTGATCTGCTCTTGCTATCTTGGATTACTCAGGTCTTGAATGCTGACATTTGTAAGATGATTTCAGAACAACCTTCTACTTCCATCCCACCTCACTTTCCTTGCAACAATTTGTACCTAATAAGACCTAGTTAACTTGAAGGCATTTTCATTGCTTTTACTTTCCCATGAAGAAGAAATCAGTTGAGAAGGTTTTGTGAAAATTCTAACAGACCTTTAAGTGGTGACAATCTGGTTCTCAGAGAAGCCAAGAGATATGTAAGCAGCCTGAATGTAGGATCAATGTAGGCAAAGCATTTGAGTCATTTAAGCTCCAAATCTGGATTTACCTGAAATCTGTAACAAAAATGGATCAGATATTCATTTTCTAAATCATTCATCTATACATTTATGTCAGATATTTTACTTAACAACACAGTTTAAGTTTTCACTGTACTTCACACTAGACTCAGATTCAGGTTTACACTGATAAAGTGGATTAGCCTGAGATATTTCCAGTTCACATGGGGATATCTGTATGGCTTTGCCACAGAGCAAATGTTCAGAAATCCAAGTCCTGTTGCTCACGGTGTCTATCAGTTGTCCATGGGGAATCATGGCAGCAGATATTTTCTTCATCTTATACTAGGCTGGAAGATTTTGTACACACGGCTAGCTAAAAGCTTGATGTGCAACATCTCCGAAACAGTGTCAAATGAAGAAAAAAAGTTTATCAGTTTGGTACAAATAAACTTTTAAACCAATTTGGCTACATTGGTTTGGTTAATGGTTTGATTATCTTAGTCCATGGCTATAGTTATGTACATATAGGCACTGTGTGAATGGTTTGGCCACACATGCTCCTTACATGTAACTGCCAACTCCTTCATCCCTCACTCGTTGTGCAGTGATTTAGTTACTGTCTCTCATTCCAAACCTGGCCTTCTATGATCTGTTCTGTGATACTGCAACCAGGACTCTGAAAACTAGTTTTCCTTTATTTCCAGTTAGGTTCTGTCAATAGAAGATACTAAAGAAAGAAAGCCAGGAGAAGAAAAGGGACTTCTTTCTTCAAGGTCTAAGCTGTTCTAATAGCATTATTCTGGGAATGGCATCTTCCACTCCTCCTAGTACAAAGAACCTGCTTCCTCATACCCCGTCAAGGAACTGCAGCATCCAGGTACTTTCTCTGCCTCAAAGGTCTGCATCCCATTCTCCATTTGGCCCCTCCTTTGAACTACCAGATCTCCGGCTGGATTGCCTTTTTGTTCTGGAATTTTCTAAATTTCTTTATTAAATTTCCCAGTTGAAATTCCCAATGTGGTTTTTATTTCTCTCATGGACCCTGAATGTACAGTACTTATATCAGGAGTAGTCCCAGAAGAGAGGTCCTCCAAATGGAGTTATGGGATTGGTTTAAATCCCTGGGCTTGAGTGCAATGCTGCACCCTGCTAATGGAAATGAAATAGTAGTATTTTATGGCATGCAGTGGCATCTTGACTAATTGTGACTAATTGTGATAAAGTGCCAATTGAACCAGTGTCTTAGGGGACCAAATAGCTGCTGAACTTGGCCTTCAAGGAAGTAGTAAAGGCAGTGATGATGATTTCAAGAACTATGAGGTATGAGGGCTGCTTTGAATGAACTGGGGGACTTATTGGAGGACAATGACAAGTTCAAGGCTTTAAACTCTCTGCTCAAATTATAGTAAGAGAACTAGAAAGCTTTTGCTCTGGCGATTCCTAAAGATTCTCTTCCTATAACCATAGAGCTGACCTAATTGAGAATCAAACTCAGATTCTTATGTGGATTGCAAAGTCGCACAGACTCACCAACCTTCTTATGTGAAATTTAGGGTATTGACTGGGGAGAAGTGGGACCTTGACTCTTTGGATGTGGCATCTGGATCAATTGAGTCAAAGCTGAGAATCTTGAATCCCCAAATGGCTATGAGCCTCCCTTCCCAGTAGAAGCAGCTCATTCCCCTCTGTTCGAGAAGACTAGTTTCCCTTTGCTTGAAGACCCTGTAATAACCTCACTTGGGGCAGCTGCCTTGCAAGAGAATGCCTATTCTCCTTAAAACTTACCCCAACTACCACTTACTATCTCTACACCTATAACCAGGATCATTTCTTAGCAAGTGCCGGGGGTACAAAATCTGATCTGGGAAGAGCTAGCTTCCACAAAACAAAAACAAGTAAAATTTTGTTAATTTATAATGATAGAAGCCTAGCATGTGTGTGGGAATGACTTCTAAGGGTTAGATGATGGAATGTAACGTTGGATTGAATTGAATTTCTTGATATGAATGCACTTAACAGAGAGTCTGGATTTGCAAATGTTCAGTCGTCTTTCGGTGCCGTTTATACTGTCTTACTTCACTTCCCTCTTACTCTCACTTCCCTCTTACTTGATATAGATTCACCACCAGCACTACTCTATTTTTCTTCTTGAGAAAGAGAAAGAGAGGTCTCTTTAAGTCAGCTCTATGGTTATAGGAAGAGAATCTTTAGGAGCCACCTTAGCAAAAGCTTTCTAGTTCTCTTACTATAATTTGAGCAGAGAGTTTAAAGCCCTGAACTTGTCATTGTCTTCCAATAAATCCCCCAGTTCATTCAAAGCAGCCCTCATACCTCATAGTTCTTGAAATCATCATCACTGCCATCACTACTACCATGAAGGCCAAGTTCAGCAGCTATTTGGTCCCCTAAGGCACTGGTTCATGTGCATCCTCAATTTCTCCAACTACCACCTCCATCTTGTCTTGTTCCTCAACTCACCACAGACTCTTCTACTTGACCATGTTTTTATCCATTTCTCTTTCTCTTCCTCTTCCTTGCTTTCCCTCTCCTTCTCTTTCTCAAGAAGAAAAATACTTAGAGTAGTGATGGTGGTGAATCTATATCAAGAGAAAGGGGATTTATATACTTTAAAGGGAAATTAAACAAAATAAAAGCCCACATCATCAAATTCCAAGTGCATTCATGCACCCTAAACTCCCCCTTCAGATTTCCCACCACAATTTCCATTTACTTCCTTATTCTCATCTTATTTGGATCTTAGGGACAGCTAGGATCTTTCACAAATAAGATAACTGAGGGCTAGAAATGTTCAATCGTCTTCGTGGTGTCATTTATACTATCTTCTATGGTACTTTTCTTCTTTAGCATTACAAATATATAATATTTTATTTCCATGAAAGGTTTGATTTTTATTTATATGTTTGTTTTTTGTTAATAACCTGGAATAGATGCATTGTTTTGGTAGCACAATTTTGGGATAAAATAAATTCAAAGTGGCAAATTAACAATTTCAAAGGGAATTTTCAAATGGAACCTATTTTTAAGCTGAATATTGCCTGTATAATCCTTCAGATAAGAAATGAGGAAGGAAACCAGTAATTAGACTAAATAGTTAAGATCATAGACTTTGGGGTCCGACTGCCTGGGTTCAGATCTCAGCTCTGCCACTTACTAGCTGTGAGACTTTAAGCAAATTATAAGAAACCTCTCTAAGTCTGGGTTTCTTCATTTGTAAAATAGGATCAAGCACATAGTGTTGTTGCGAGAATTAAATGAGCTAATAGGTGTAAAAAGTAGAACAGTACTTGGCACATAGTAAGCTATATATGTGTGAGCTTTGTTCTTAATAGCCTGCTGAGGCCTTTTTTAATCCTGATTTTATAGATAGGACACTTAAAGGTATCAACTAACATGCTCCAACAGCATGGCTGGTAAATGAAAGAGCTGAGGTTTGAAACCCCTCCATTGGATTCTAAAGCCCATGCCCTATCTCTTACACCACGTGGCTTTGCTTTTAATAGTCAAACATACAGGAATGCATGCACCACATCATAGAACCCACAGACTAAATAACTTCCAATGTATGAGAGTTTCATTCACAAAAGTAGCTTTTTTTTTTTTTTTTTTAATTTGGAAGGCATTTTTCTAATCACTAAAGGTGTAAATAAGATTAAATAGTTTTGGACAAAAAAAGATTGAGCTATTGACTGTATATAAGAAAAGAAGAAGAAAAGTGACAAAGTCGGCCTTTCTTCTAGGATGATCCTCCCAAATAAGCCACAAAACTTCCTGATGTAATCTCATCCTTTTTCACTTTTAGTCTCAGAAGTGGTCCCTTGCTGATGTTCTAATCTCTGCCATTTCATCTCATGTTTTGGGGAAAGAGGAAAAAACTCCATTCTTCCATCTAATTTATAACTTATACAAAAAAGAAAGCTTTAAATGTTATGAATTTTTAATTTTTGTTTCATTTAGTTCATTCTCTTGCTGAGAAAAGTGACTGCCAAAGAACTGTGCCTAGTATGAGCAATAAACATCAACACTATCTGCTGCATTAATAATTTAAGCATAAATAATCAAACAAAATAATCTGGCAGGTCCCACAGGTGAATCATACAGAGTTTAAAAAATGTTGGTATGTTTAAACCAGGCAACTTTTAAATGAAAATTTACTCCAGTGTGGACAGAGGTGTGTTAGAGGGGCCACTGATAACATCCATTGATCTTATGTTTTTTACCAGAATACATTCATACCTAACACCTCAATAGATGACATGTTATCCATGGAATCGAGTTCAAAGCCCTCTGTAACGTGGCTATATCCCATCTACTCTGAGCTGATGTTCAGCAGGTACTTTTGATTGGTTGGGCATTCATTCTGACTGGTCAGTAGCCATACCTTATTTTTTTATTAATTGTTTTAAATACCATTATACTTGTTTCCTGTTGCTGCAGTAAGACATTGTCAAAAGCTTAGTGGCTCCAAGCAACACACAGTGAGTATCTTACAGTTCTATAGGTATGAAGTCGAACACAGATCTCCTTGGGCTAAAATCATGGTTTGGGCAGAGAGGTGTTCCCTACGGAGGCTACAGGGAAGTAAGAATCCATTTCCTGCCCTGTTTCTATTTTAGAAGCTGCTCACATTTCTCATTTTGTGGTGCCATTCCTCCATCCTCAAAGCCAGAGCTGCAAAGCAAAGCTTCAAAGCATGTCGCTGCAAGCTTCTCTTTTGCCTCCTCTTCTACTTATAGAACCCTTGTGACACATTGGGCCCAACAGCATAAACTAGGATAATCCCTCTATTTTAAGGTCATTTGGTTAGCAATCTTAATTCCTCTTTGTCTTGTATTCTAACATATTCATAGATCCTGGAGATTAGGACACACACTCCTTTACGGGCCATTATTCTGCCTACTACAGCTATTCATGCAATTCTCCCTGCATGCTTTCTACCGATCTCCCAAACATGTCCTTTTCTGACATCAAGCTGAGCTCCTTTTTGATCCTCAAGGTGAATGTTTTTTTCCATCTCTATGCCTTACCTAATTCACTTCTTCTTTCCAAGTCCTTTTCCTTTTCTTCAAAGCCTGTCCACACGTTTAGGTCCAGCTCAAGTTTCACCTCCTACGTGGAGCTTTTCCCATTGCAGAGTGCTCATCTTGTTTTTGTTTCTGTTTTTCCCTTCTTTTCTTATGTTCCATTAGAATTCCATTACACTAACCCACATGAAATTGCCAATAGTTTTTTTAACTTATGAAAAGAGAAATTGCATATGATTTAACCTAATACTTAATTGTCCACTACTTATCACTTAGTTGTTCCTGAATTAATTTCTATCCATATTTGTTTTTTCTTTCTATTTGAATTGCAATCTCTTTTAAACCAGAACTATGTCTCATGCTTTTTTGAATTACCTTCTACCTTCCAATTCTCACTTGCTCAGAAGATAGTTAGTTGTTCATTCAGTGTTGATGTAGCTGAGCAATGTTTTACCTGCTATGGTTACTTTGTTGAAAGCCACAGAATAACAATCTGGCCGAATTTAAGGGAAAGGATTAACTTGTTAGAAAGATAGTGAACTTAAAACTTCCACAATTAAAGTAATAGTCAAGCAA
This sequence comes from Homo sapiens, assembly GCF_000001405.40. Taxonomy (NCBI): domain Eukaryota; kingdom Metazoa; phylum Chordata; class Mammalia; order Primates; family Hominidae; genus Homo; species Homo sapiens. Next base: position 56,093,325 of record NC_000018.10, read on the forward strand.
CAGAACATAGAGAGCTAAAATCGCTTCTGAGATACGTATAATATTGACTATGAGTGAGTTAGTATCAGTAGATCTGGTCCTGTGACAAAATTCTAGAATAGAGATTATCCTGGCTTAGGGCATGTCATGTCCCTACTTTGTGAATGGAAGACGTAGCTAGCAGGACACTGTGATTGACAAGTCCATTAGGAGGACCGCATAAAACGTAGGGATAGTAATTTCTCAAAAGACAGCTAGAATGCTCATACCAAAGAAAAGATGTAGAAATACTGGGTAGACAAAATGACCAATGCACATGAATGAAATCTAAAATGAAATTTCTATGCTAAGTGGTATTGTCAATACAAATCCAATAAAGGCAATAGTAAAAAGGGTAAAACAAAACATGAGTAAGGATAGCTTTTAATTTGCTATAGGCTACATCAAAACACTGAACTGTTAAAAAATCGTCCTTATGTAGTAGCAACACCAACAGCCAATAATTATGGAGCATATATTATAACTCAGGCACTGTGCTAAAATGGTGCATGCATTTTCTCATTGAATCCTTGTTGTAACAAGTCCCTGGGTTGAGTTCTGTTCTGTTACTCTTCTTATTTAATGATAAAGGAAGTGAAGCATAGAGAAATTATGCAAGTTACCCACCTTTTATATCTACTAACTGCAAAGGAGAAGCAGTAATGAGGTGAGGCAGAAGAGGTACAAAGGGAGAGATACACCTATATTATTTGGACATCAGTGACACTTGAGACAACCAGGGTTAAGGGAGAGGTTTCAATTGATGATGCATGTAACTAGGCACTGTGTCAGCCTGTGCTGGAGGCCAGAAAGGAGCAGAGGAAAGAATGTCTACTGTCTGGTTGAGAAGGCTGACACTTGGACAAATAATTCCAATTCAATGTAAGAAGCCCTACACTAGAATTCCCTATAATGGTTCAGAAAGAACTCAGAGCGACCCATGACTCAGGGGACAATAGAAAGGAGAAGACGGGGAGAGTTTCTCCGAGAGGAGGTAGATCTTGAAGAATACACGTAAAAAGGTCAAGTTCAAGAAAGCAATCCTCAGGAAATGCATCGAGATGAATGAAAATCCAGAATATTTAGGGAGCTACCAGCAGTGAAGGATGATTTAAGTTATGCAAGTCATGATGAGAATTTGGGAATGAGAGTGATGGGAGACGAGACTGAAAACATAGGTTAGAGCCAGTTTTTAAAGAGCTTTGAGTGCCATACAAGACATCTGCTTTTTAAACCGCAAGCAACGGAGAAGCCCTGGACGTGTTTAAAGCCTCTGTGTTAATGATAAGATCAGATTTGCTTGGGAGAGGAGAGGCAGTTGAAAGCTGAATTGGAGTTGGGGAGGACTTGTGGGTTTCTGATTTAGGTAACTGGGCAAATAAAGTGCCATTGAATTCAGGACAGGATTCTTGAAGGAGGAAAAAATTTGAGGGGAAATAAAATGGGTTTGCTTTGGGAACTTCCTCATGGCAGTGTCCAGCAAACATGTGAAAATGTAAGACAGAACCCAGGAGGCATCAACATTTGTAGAACAGGAACTCATAATAATTAGAAGATTAGAGAGAGAATAGTGGATGAGATAAGCCAAAGAGAGTATGTAAAATAAGAAGAGGGATAAGAACAGGAATTCTGGAGGCACCAACATTTAAAGGGAGGAGGAGGAGGAAGATAAACCAGGCAAGAAGACTCAGAAAGAATCAAAGGGTTAAGAGAAATACAAAGGAACAGTTGTAATAAATCAGGAGAGAAGAAAGTATCAAGAATGCAAGTTGTGACACAGCCTTCATGTAAGAGGAGAACTCAATATTTCCCTTAGGATTTGGCTATTGAAAGGTTATTCATGATCCCACTGGTTAAACTGGGTATGGCATGGTGCAGCCAAAGTCAGATTGCAGAGAGTTGAGTGTAAAAGGCAGTGGAAACCTAGGGGCATGAGGGTGTTTTAATGTGAATAAAGAAGAGACATAGGTGGTATTGGGTTGATGAGGAGTCAGATTTTTAGTGTGCAAGAGGGAAAGAAAGAAGTGGAGAAAAGAGGTTGGAATGTGAATGAAGGGAGAAGTTGCTGTCCCAGTGGGAAGGGACAGATAAAGGCCCAGGTGGAATTCTGTAAGAGGTGTCATAGCTCTTTCCTTGAGTCAGAAATATTCATTTAGCTTCCCCATCATCCTTTCTTCTTCTCTCTTTTTCTTAACTTCTGTAGCCTTTTAAAATTCAATCCTAATATGGGGATTGGAACTGAAATTGGTATACAAAGCACCTGGCACTGTACTGGTTACATAATAGAAGCTTAAAAAATGTTATATCCCTCTCTCCTTTATTTTCCCCTCTTTGGGTTGGACAGTTCCCCTTTCCATTCTCCCTTTGCTCATGAAGAGGATGAATCTTCCCAGAACTCAGCTGCTGAGACTGACATATCAAATAGCTGTGGCACACTGATTGAAAGAAAGGCTTAAGAAATCTTTGGCTACAGCTCCTAAATTTCACCTGTGACAATGAACTCCTATGGAAAACATCTTCATCATGGGGTACACAGAGTTAGCCTGACCACCAGATATTTTCCTTCTCTCTTCTGCAGTCCCATTGTTTCAGGTCAGAAGTGAACAGACAGTGGGTGAGACATGAAGCTCTAGCCAGAAAGGGCTAATGTAAGTACAGGCCAACCTCTGATGAAATAAATGAGGACTGTAATTCTGAGTTGGTCTGTTCCATTTGCCTTTCTCCAATCCCAGGTGATGGCCACAGTGGCAGAACCTAGGAAGCCAAGAAGAAACCAGAGAATGGAGACACATGGCAGCAATGGCAAGTCATCAGACCCAGGATTTCCCAAAGAACACTGGTCCAGGAAGATGCTCTGTGAAAAAGTGTTCCCTGGTCGGAGAAATTTGTGAAACACTTTGCATAATACTTAAAAGAATGTATGGCACATCAAAGGTAATATGCAATAAAAGAATTCATTTTTTTAAAACCAAGCATATGCACAACTTATTTAACTATGGATTCGATTTTTAGATTCATATTTTTTGACCCACATTTGTGGAGCCACATCCATAGAACAGATTTGACCATGCTTATGGTTATCATTAAAAAATTTTTTTAAATTCAGATTGATTTTGGAATTGGTTTCCCATCATAGTTCAAGTAGATACTGTCCCAAACAATCTGAAATCAAGAAATTAGCAAATGGGCTTGTTGTTTGTGGATTTGAATGGATTGAATTCCTACAGCATTGAAGAAAGATATATTTTAAAGCCTATTTTTGGAAAAATACTCTTAGTTGGGTATTTCATTTGATTTGGTACACAGTAGTCATAAATTGCCATCTTTTTCTGCTGTACTTTATCCTAAATATATTCCATGGTATGTTTTCATAATTAACATGCAAATAGATGTATAGTTTATAATTAATTTCAACTGGGCACAGTGAAAATCTTGAAAACCTCAGCATGGAGGCATCTTTGTTGGTAGAAATTCAATGAAATCCCCAAACATCTTTGGTTTTGCAATCCATAATTTGCAGATTATTAATACAATAAATCCTTGTTGTCTGTGAGAGTTGGCATCGTACCCATGAACTCCTGTGTAGAAAGCCTACAAACTAAAAGTCCAAATGGAAAGAAAAAATCACGTGGTTTCTGTGTATGCTCATTACCTGCTTCTGAAACCATAATATCTCGGCCTTTTATAGATCTTATAACAGTCTCCGCAGGAAGCAGCTGCAGTCATTAGCCATAGGACAGACTAAACACACAATCTGCATGGAAGGAGGCCTGGATCAGCTTGGTCTTTCAGATCTCTAATCTCAGGCACAGGAAAGCACCATCAACAGCACCCTTTGTATATATACATAAAGGTAACATATTTTATCATTTAAAGGGATTTGAGAAATTGAAGAGGCCCAACTCTTTTTCTGCCTTCTTTGGTTTGAGGCTTAGATTGCTTAAGGGGCTTGCCCAGGATCACATATCTTGTAAGAGACAGAGCAAGGATTCAAAGCCAGTGCTGGCTTCTGTGTCTCCATTCTTTCCATTCTCCTCCAGTGGCTCTTTTGGGAAGCTGAGGGAGGAACAGCAGCAGAATTGGGTGGCACCTGCCCATGCCCATCATGCACTGAGCATCTTCAGGTCTGGCCATGGACCCCTTAATTCCTAATCCAGAATTCCTCCCATCACTCTTTGCTGAGAAAAGCACTAAAATGGAGATATTTGTTCCAAAATCCCAAATTTTAATTCCATAGAGCAAAGTGTCTTTATTTTTAAATCATCCAACTCATCATAAATTCAGCTGGATTCATTAGAGTTAAAGAATTGACAACACCAAACATTTTGTAACAGAAGTTACTGCTGCTTAAGGAGTTAGGGTTCACCTTTTCCAGAGCTCTTCAGTGCCAACCCAGCACCAATATCCCAGCGTCGCTGGAGGGAATGATGGCGCCCTGCATTTCAGAGAAGATTTAAAACCGAGATCCTAACTGCTCATCATCATTAAAAATCTCCAGGCAGTTTTCATAAGAGCAAGGGGGTGGTTGCCTGAGGTTTTGGCTGACAGTCAACCCAACTAATTACATTCTGTCTACTGTGTCCTCCCGCAGTTTCAATTGGATATGTTTTTTTTTTTATTTCCTGTCCTAATCTGAATGTAGGGTTGCTATGTGTTCTTAAGCAGATGCTGCTGTTCTTGCTGGTAGAAGAGGCTTTTCAGATTTGTTTTTTTCCTCACAGAAAGTTTTTGAGACTTTAAATAAAATAATTCTTCTAAATGTTCCTAAGATCCTGGCACCAAATACATTCTAAATGCAATGTGTGCAGGTAAGAATCTATTTATATTGTTATTTTCCCTCATCAAGTATTGACATGAGCAGACATGCTTAACCCTGAGGTGATAATGTCCTACTTATAGACAGTCAGGTCACAGCAGTGCCCCTTAGCATTCTCATCTCCTCTTCTTACTGATTACACGTTCTCCTGTTGCTCCTATTACTGGTGGATTTCATGAACAACTCACACATTCTGTGGCATAGTTGCAATGAGAAAGTCTTAAGTTAGTGTTCTATCTATCTACCTATCTATCTATCTATCTATCTATCTATCTATCATCTATCTATCTATCTATCTATCATCATCTATCTATCTATCATCTATCTATCTATCATCTATCTATCTATCTATCATCATCTATCTATCTATATCTATATCTCTATCTATCTATGGTGCTGGAAGTCTAATAAAGAAGAAGGAGAAAAATTGTTAATATGATATTTTCTGGTCAAATTCCTCTGTGAATTTCATCAGATGTGGCCATCAATAGCGCAAGATAGAGTTCTTTGGTGGAAAGTCAGGAATCCAGAGGCATGAATTTTATTTCTGCCCTCCCACCCACCTTGACTTCAGCTCTGTGACCTTCAACATGGGCTCCCACCTTCCTGAGACACACAGTGAGGAGAAAAAAGAGGATCTCTAAAACTCTTGGAACCTATAATTTTATATAACTTCACCCATGTTTGAGAGAGAGACGATATGAGCTTGCACATAAAACATTCAAAACAAAGTTTAATGATGGGCTTTCTTTTTGCTAAAATAATTACCAAAAGTTGTCAGATTTTTTTAGTTGATCAGATTAGAAAACAGTGATAATGTTTTGAAAGGCTTGTGCTATATACCAGGCATGGATCTGGGCCTTTTATTTCTGTTAACACATCTGATCCTCTCTATAACCCTTGTTTGTATTCTCATTAGTCTCACATTAAAGATGAAGGAACAGAGACATAAAAACGGTGATTACCCCAACGTAAGAAGTGAGAGAGCCAGGATTCACAACCCAGCAGTCCAATTCAAGAGTCCACACTCTTCACAGTTCTGCAGCACTGCCTCTGTGGGGGACAGGCACTTTATAAATTTCACCTTGCTTCACACATTCATTCATTGTCACAGAAGTAAAAAATGTGGTTCCTTCCCACCTTCATCCTCAAAGATTTAAAAGAGAGAAAAATAGAATGTCTTCTGAAAGTTAAATTCTAAATCTACACTTCAAGAAACAAAGCAAAGATATTCAGAGTAATTAAAAAAAAAAGGAGATGTCCAAATTTGCTCTTTTCAGTCCAGCATGGACCTGATATTTTTAATCACTCTCCCACTTTTCAGCAGGACATTGGTCAAGACTTGAGTCTCCTTTGCCTTAGGGTTCACCCACATTCTCTCTGCTTCCTGGGTGGGATGCCAGGAGAGAATTAACTATCTAAAGGCTAACTTATCTTAAGAAAAAAAAATGCATCATTCAGAAGAGGTTTTGTTGACTTTCAGAAACATTGAAGGTGTGTCCTTGAGTCAAATGTCACCAGAATCCAAGCCAAAGGGGAGGATCGTAAGGGGCAGAATTCCACTTGGTTGTTATGGGTGGCGTGTGTGTCCCTGTCAAGGGAATGCATGTCTTGGGCTTTTTGGCTGGAAAGCAGTCCATCTTTAGACCATATATCTATTTCCCTTCACACTTTCTTCAAGTCTATTAAATTCCCTTCTGATGACTACCTAGCCTGTTACAGCAATGCCGATGGGGGATAAGATGCTGCCCTGCCGACTGCTCCGCTTCTCCTTGCAAACAAGTTATAGGCATAGCCTCGGGAGCTGCAGACACATGAGTCTGTCTCTGACACCACTCCCCATGAGTGTGATTGCAAAGCTCAAATCCTGATCCCCAATACTGAGGGCCACACCTGACCCCATAGTAGGTCCATTATGCAAATGCCCCCTCTCAAAAGTTTCTTTGGTTTCTCTTGATGCTACACCTCTGTCTGTTGGAAATTCACACATTTGTCTTTAAGCCCACTCATCAATGTTATGAAATTTTCTAGGACTCCAGTAGAAAGTTACCACAGGTGTGTTTCTCAATCACAGCTTTACACCCTCAGTACAATGAGCTGCAGTTTTCAGTTGGGAAGAGCATAGTCATGCACATTTATTCCCATGGGTGCATCTTGGTGTTTAGATTCACGTGCGTGCCCCTATTTGCAAGATAAAAACAAGTATAAAATATGAAATTGCAGCAAAATTCAGAGTGTGGAATTTCTATTTATCAGAATGTGATAAATGTCAGGATAATAAGCCTCTCGAGGGAACAAACAGTTTCCTTGAGCACTGCTGCGAGGGCTATTATGAACAGACACTGCCAGGCCATGTGTGAGGCACAGAGCAAAATCCCCCGCCTCTCCTTAGGCTGAGCATCACTAGTGATTTAAAATTCAGAACATCATGACACCAGTGACAAAGGGATCGCTAGAAAGAAGTCCTCAGTGCATTTGAGATATTTCCAGTTCATTGTAAAGAAGAAAATGAATAGATGGCAATTAAAACCAAACTTTATATATCCCAGCTATTGTGTGAAGTATGTACGGAATTGTGATCAGAGAAAAGACAAAAATAACCCCAGCTTGAATTATGTTATGTATTTTAAGAAAAGGATGTGTTTTGAAGTAATTGACATTTCAAAGCTTAGCAGGAATAATTAGTCTTGATGTCACCTTTATTTAAATCAATTTTAGTACAAATCAGAAATTAAAATATTAACCAACTAGCTTGATTGTCTGTTTTGAGTTAAGCAATAAGTATTTAAGTGAAGTCTGAGGATCAAGCACTGTGCTGGTGGGTGAGTGGGTGGTGTATAAAGGTGGTCCCTGCCTGCGAATTCTTAGAGTCTAATAAAATAGATAAAGTTTACACACAAGAAAGTGCTAGAATAAGCAACTTTCATATCCAATATCAGGTTACATCAGTGATTCTCAGTCAGGGGCCATCATGCCTTCAAGGGGACATTTGGCAAGATCTGGAGACATTTTTGGGTGTTTCAGCTGAGGGTGTGCTGTTGGCATCTAGTGGGTAGAGGCCAGGCTTGCCGCTAAACATCCTACAATGCACACGACAGAATTATCCACATCCACTTAACTGGCATCAAATGGCAGTTGGGCTGGGGCCACATGCACGTACCCTACACTACTCCAGCATTGATTTGTACTAGAGAAACAGAGCAAAACATATGTCAGCTGTGGTTCGTTGGTAAAGTCCCCAAAGAGTTGGGGCTTGAAGCTGGGAAGACCAAAACTGTCCATGCTTGTGGGGCCAGAAAGTCCCCTTGTTTGACCACCAGAATTCCCAGCTGCTGCTGGACTCATGGCACTCAGCCTTCGGCTGAGCCTCCTCTTCCTGTTTTGTACTGCCGGGTACATATCAAGGCTTTATTAACATTTAATTAAGCATTTATTATGTGCCAGGCCTGTGTAACCACTTTACAGGTTTTAAATCACTTAGTACTTCTAACAATTTTTAAAGCAGATTCTATTATTATCCCCATTTTAAAGATGAGACAACTGTGGCCCAGGAGACTAAGCAGGTTTTTCTTGTATCATACAACCGGTAGATGCAGAGTTGTTTAAATGCAGGTAGTTTAACCTCAACAACTATGCTATACCGCTTCTCTGTCATATGACTTTTTACCTCTACTAGCAGTAGTGATCCAATTTCTTTCAGATTCCTTTCATAATAAAGTGTGCACCCACAGAAACTCATACTCAGAAGTATGCAGACAGGCAGCACATGCACCCGGAAAATCCTGAGAGTAGATGTGTGCACCCTCCTGTCTTCTGGCTCCAGGAATCTCCCTTGTAATCTCAAGGAAAACTGTTGGCTGGAGGGAAGGCTCTTCTCTCTTCATACCTGAGCTAAATTCTTGATAGGAAGAACTGGACTATTATATTTGAAATCATAGAGCTTGAAATATAGTTGATAAAGCAAATTTCAGATTGTTAAAATAAATTACATACTATTCTACAGTGGAGTTATTTTTAAGCAGTTATATGTGGAATGTGTCCACATCACATTGTTCATTAAAAACCAAAACGATTGTACACCAGTGCATATAATATAATCTTGTTTTTATTAGGGTAAAATTATGCTATTATATGTATAAAAATAAGTCAAGAAGAATCCATGCCAATCTGTCAACAGCAATGGTAGAATTGCAACCTTAGGAGGTGAATTAAAAGAAATTAAAGAACATAAAAAGCAAAAAACTTCTTTCCCGAGTCCCAGAGGAAAGTTGACTAAGATACCATAATCTAAGGGTAGAGATCATTTCCTTGGAGAGCATGCTCAAAGCCAGTCCAGGGCAGAACTGAGGAGTGCAGAAAAATGTGTCTCCATGGAGCTCAGCTTTGACTTCACTGCCTGTTTCGCTACTGACAATACTTCCTCCACCCAGCACCAAACGCTTCCCATCACACTGCAGCAGTAAGAAAGAGGGTATAGCAATTCCATCCTCTCTTACATCTATCTCAAAGAAACTAGTATCATTATTTTTTACCTTGTGGTATATTTGAATTAATGAAGATTCCTTTTCCAAGAATGTTTTCAGGTTTAAACTCTATCTCTCATTGTAGCATGAAGGAATTGCAAAGATAGCAAGTAGATAAAAGACGTACTTCACAGGAGCATCCAGCCTCCTATAGGTAACGATTTTCCTATATTATCCTTTTTATTCAGGTAGATTCAATTAAAATCACACACATTTATTTTCTTTATATACCTAACACCAAACAGTATTCAGGATACCAAAGGGAATATAGAGATATGAAATTCTAGGTTCTGCCATTAAGCAGTTTTCTGTTTGTTTGTTTGTTTTTGAGATGGAGTCTCACTCTGTCACCCAGGCTGGAATGCAGTGGTGCAATCTCAACTCACTGCAACCTCTACCTCCCAGGTTCCAGTGAATCTCCTGCCTCAGACTCCCAAGTACCTGGGATTACAGGCACATGTCACAACGCCCTGCTAATTTTTGTATTTTTAGTAGAGATGGGGTTTCACCATGTTGGCCAGGCTGGTCTCGAACTCCTGACCTCAGGTGATCTGCCTGCCTTGACCTCCCAAAGTGCTGGGATTACAAGCATGAGCCACTGTGCCTGGCCTCATTAAGCAGTTTTTAAAAGTTAGTTGGAGAATAAGCAGATGTGTAAATGAGCTACTCTAGGTGCTATAGTCAAGGGGAGGAGGAGAAGGAGAGAGGTCAGAGGAAGGAGGGTTTATACCTCCTTCAGAGAGTCAATGTTGGCTTCATGACGAAAGAGGTATTGGAGGTGGACTTTGATGGAGGGTAGAATTTTAACAGGTGGGGAGTAGCAGGTGAGGCCAACTTAAATAGTGGCAGCAAGCAGGAAGCCTCTGAAGCAGGACATCATGGGGCATATTCTAGAAAAACCCAGAGAGCAGGATGGCTGTGGCACACGGTATTGTACAAGAAGAGTAGGAGATCAGTTTGAGAAGGGTCAGTAGCATGGTTGTTTACCAGGGTGTCTGAGAAATGCCTGCCTAAAACTGAGTACACATATATAATATTTGCTTCAAGCAACAGAGGAGGGAATATTGCCTGAATAACCTGCCTCTATAACAGACATTTATTTTAAGCCATAACTAACTGATAGGAAGGAAAGAAGGAAGGAAAATATGAGGAAGGAAACAAAGAAGGAAGGAGGAGGGAAGGAGGGGAGGGGGAGAGAAAGGAAGTAATGGAAACTGTAGATACCGAAATGAAGAAGGAATTAAAAACTAGAGTATTTGAGGGGAGTAACTGGTGGAGGTATTGAATTTAGTAACCTTAAAGTTTGAAACCCTCAAGAAATTAACATAAAATTCAGACACAGCCTGGTAAAACTGCTTGGGCACCAAGAAGAAGTAAATTCAAAAACTCTCCAAAAGGACACACCATCTAACCAGGTACAGACAAATCCCTGCTGAAGAAGAGCTTACAACTCAAAATTGTAAAAGTGAGCAAACAATCCTATATGAGGGTGAGTAAAAAGACAGAGGAAACAGTAGGATTAGAACCCCAAGAACATCAGATAACAAGTATTTGATAGACACTATAAAATAAGTATGTTTAAATGATTAAAGACCAAAAAAGAAAGGAAAAGAAAACTATACAAAAAAGATACTATGGAAGAAAAAAGAAAATGTTGATAAAGAACCAAATGGAAGTTGTAGAATTAAAAAATTTTAATCCTTGACATTAAAAATCAAATAAATTAAACAACGGGATTAGATACTGCTAAAGAGAAAATTAATGAACTAGAAGATAGAGCAGAATCTATTTTCTGGACTACCACAACAGAGAGATAAAGAAGTGGAAAATATGATAGAGAGGTTATGAGACTTGGAGGAAAGCATACATCTATGATGAGTCCTAGAAAGGGACAATAGGGTTATTGGAAGAATAGTAATATTTGAAGAAATAATGGCTGTGAATTCTCTTGTGTAAATGGGAAAGACAAATCATCAAATTCAAATGCACATAGATGATATGTCCTAGATGCCTCTCTTCCGACTCTAGCATGAACCAGAATGAAACATGAGGGTTTATTCTGCAAGTTTGACCACAGTATAAGAAAATGATTCAAATAGGAAGTGATGGTATCTGCAGATGAACTGGCTTCTGCCCTTGAGGATTTCCACTTTGTCAGCTTTGATCCTGCCTCTTCCCTTCTCCACTCCCTGTGCTTGAGCTTTGGTGTTTTGTTTGTTTGTTTTTCCACCATACCTGGCTTTTGGAGATACGTGGATTCAAGCCTTCTTTTCATTATGATTAAATACTCATGTCTTTAATTTCAACTGAGACTATATAAGAATTGACAAATGGAAAAAAAATTTTAAACACACCAATACTCCCCGTATTACCAAATCACACAATGCAAAAACAATTTTTTTAATTCAAATTTGGGTGAAGGACAGTTTCAATGGACTTGTCTGGCACAGCTTTTGGGTACTCCATCTTCAAATTATTTTATTCTTTCCTCCACTTCTAAAGTATGTTCTAAATATCCATGTATGACAAATTGTGGAAACAATCCTGGTTTGAAGGTCACAAAAGTTCAGGGCTTAGCTCTGTCACTGTTCTGACCTTGGGAAATCTCCTGACCTAATAACAAGTGTGTTATGGTTTAATTATGCCACCCAAAAAGCATGTGTTGAAACTTAATCCCCAATGCAACCAGTGTTGAAAGGTTGGACCTTTAAGAGGTGACTAGGACATGAGGGGTCTTCCCTCATGAATGGATCAATGCTGTTATCGATAGAGTGTTTTCGTGATAAAAGGGTGAGTTTGACCCCCTTTCCTTTTCTTGCTCTCTTGCTCTCTCACACTCACTTGCCTTTTTATTTTCCTCCATGAGATGATGCAGAATGAAAGCCCTTGCCAGATGTTGGTGCCATGCTCTTGAACTTCCCAGACTCCAGATCTGTGAGCCAAATAAACATCCATTAATTATAAATTACCCAGGCCATGGTATTCTGCTACAGATGCACTAAGCAGACTAAAATGAATGGCAACCTGCTCTGAATGCATGCTGTGAATCAGGCACCATGCCAGATGCCTCATATGCATGTTCTCACTTAATCCTTACAAGAGCACCATGAGGTAGGTTCTCTTAGTAACTCCATTTATAGCTGAAGCCATTGAGGTCACCTGCCCATAGCCAAGTGATTAGAAAAAGGAGAGGCCCTCTGACTGCAGAGCCCAGGTCCTTTAACTGCAAACTCTTTTGGAAATCTCAACCACTTTGACCTCCAGCCTCATTGGCCACTGGTCTTTTGTTTTCTCCTATCTCAAATGAGGCCACCATTACATTAACATTCTATAATGAGTTTGTGTGTGTGTGCCTGTGAGTGTGTGTGAAATTTAAGTTCCAGTGAAGACAATAAGGAATTTGCATCTGCTTCTAGGGAAAATAAACAAAGATACTATTCTACCATAGTTGGAGATAATGGCTGATCATTTATACATAAACATGGTTTTCAAAATTAAAAAATAAAAGCTGTTATTGTGCAGATTTTATTATTTCTACAAATTACCAAAATATTAGTATCTATTAAAAAAGTCAATCAGCTTAGTAAATAAGCCTTACCAATCCAATCAGTTTGAAATTCTACATTAGAAAATTAAGACGTTAGCCCACAGAGAGCTGCCAACTCAGGGATATTGGGCCTCCCTGCAAAGAAAGAATGCTAAAAACATGTACATAGCAGTTTGCAATCTGAATCTTCTACATAGCAAGGTTTTTAAATCACTTGCCAACTCCCCCCAAAACACCCCATAGCCTTCTCATTTACTTCTTTTTGTTTACTTCTTTCTCTTTCTTATTCTTGATGCCTGCCTAAACCCTACTTGTTTGATTTTTGGGATGTAAGACACAGTTCTTATTCTCCTTCTCCTAAGTCTCTCCCTCAGTTGACCAACCCAGTCTGTGGGATATGTAAGCTTCCTCTTCCAAAGTCTTTGGAGTCTATGCAGTGGTTTCCTTTCACTGAGCACTCATTCTTCACTGCCTGTTTTGTTAATTGAGAGTCATATGAATGTAGGAATCAACTCTTTGTATTTGCCACTGTTTTAAACTTATTTTCTTGCATATAGCATCAATCATCTATGAATATGAGTGATATCTACATGTGCATAAATATAGGGCAAATATAGTTGCATGCTCCATATAATTATGTGTACATTTTCTTAGTATTTATTTGGGTTCAAGAAACAGAAATCTACTCTACTTAATTTAAGACCAGAGGGATTTGTTATAACGATACAGGGATATCACATAGAACCTTAGTGCAGGAAGTACAGCCAGTCCTCTGAAGACTGAACTGGGGCCCGGAAAATCATCAGGAGCTAACCAGCTACTTTCTCAGTCTCTTTTTTCTCTCTGGGGCCACATGATCTACCATCTGCTCCATTCTCTTGCTTTTCTCAGCAGACAGTCTCTCTCTGCACCAAGTTTTCATGGGCCAGGGAGCACCATGACCTCTAGTCTCTTGCCTCATGGTTCATATTCTTAAGAGAAAGAATCTGAATGGCCCAGGTCATAGGTCAGGTTTGCAGCCCTGGTCCCCCATCAACTGTAGCCAAAGAGGAGTAAAATCTCATGACAAGACAAGGCAGGAGAGGCCCAGACCTTCAGCAGTGGCAAGGAGTTGGTAGGGGTGCTGTTCGAAAGACAGGAATATGTAGACATATTGCTTTCTTTTAAAAACAATGTTGATCATATACAGTGTGTGTGTGTGTGTGTGTGTGTGTAAAATGAACAAGTGAGCTAGTTAATACTTAAAAATTTTGCTTGTAAGTTTTATGCTAAAGAAAAATGAGAAACGAGTTTTTTTTCTAATGGGAAAATAAAAGAGATTAAGTTGTTAGAGGCTTGTAAGGACAGAGAGATGAAAATAGGATATAAAATTCAATAGAAAAGCACTCTTTTTGAAAATGTTATTTAAGAAAGAAAATTCTGACATCTACATGCAGGGTAGGAAGGCTCTGGAAACAACAGTGGGCAGGCAGCCCATTTGGAGTTTAAATTTTATAATCTTCTGTTCATAATATAGAACCAGACCACAAAGGTTTAAAGAGTGTGGGCTAAGTGTCCCTCACTCAGCAGACAGCAACTCGTTGTAGATATTTAAAGATTAAAAGCAGAGGCAGTTAGTCAACTGTGTAATATTTACTGATTTGAGCAGCTCTACCATACAGACATCTTACACATAAATTTAACTCTTATTATTGTGTTGCCCTTTTCCAAGAAAGGGTAAAGTGGATTTGTAGGAGCACTTAACACATGTAAATTCCCCACTCTTTAAACCAAAGCGCCTTGTATTAAAGAGCTACATAAATTTTACAAGTATTCTGTCCTTTTGAGATCATAGATCTATTCTTTCCTGTACCACAATTAAAGCGATGCCTCTTTGTAAGCCAGTTCCATGAAACTTGTTGGAAGATATCTCACAAAAGACACCGCTTTTGCTAAGTGCATAATTGCACCGAGGATATAAGGATGTGCAGAGGTTCCAGGCTGGGGCATTCTCAAGCCTCTGTCAGCAAAGAGCTCACTGTTTCATTGGCCACTGCAGCCTTCTTTGAACTTTATTTACTCATTTAATGTGCTTCTCCACTTTTCTTAAAACTAGCTTTAAAAAATGATTTAAAGCATGACTTCCTTCACACAGCTAATAGTCCATGAAACAGCTTAGTACTTATAAAGGAATGCTCAAATTGATAGCGAAAGAATCTGAAATGCTATATTTTTCCACTGATAAGATACAACCTAGCCAGAGATCATGTGATTTTTATCTATCTCATCAACAGTATGTTTTCCCAAACTTTGTTCCAAAGGAAGCAAAAGTTGTATTTTAAATTGAAAGTGGTCAGTGCCAAATGATTTGATGGATCAGCTGGAATGATTAAAAATGTATTTTGTGAAAGAGATTAATAACAATTATTTTGACCAAATTCTTGGAAAATCATATAGTGACTGCATACATTTCTACCGGAAAAATAGCAAGTAAGAGATTTAACAGTTTTATCTAATCAGGCTTAGATAGTATTTATGAGAAAAGTTGGTTTCGGTTTGGCAAAGTCAGGTTTGAATTTCAACTGTTTCTAGACTCAATGATTTCAACTTGTGCTATGTGATATCTCCCAAGAGACTAGATATAAAATCATGAGCTTTGAAATATGTTTCCTAAATAATATTCCATAACAGAATTTTTGTTGAGTACACAGTGTTTCATCATATGGTTCTTTGTCTTAATTTATTATTATTATTTATTTAGCTCATCCCTGATTGTTAGACATTTTTATATTTGCTAATCTTTCCCTTATTATAAATAATTCTGTAGTGGACATCCTTGTAGATAAGTAATGTCCTTTAAACTTGTGCCCCTGGCTCCTCTCTCCCTCGGCTGCAGTCAATCTATTCCACGCCCCTGACTTATTAATCATGAAGATCATTCTTCTGGAAACAACATTTTGTTGAAAACAGGATGGTCAGATATTCTGGCTGTGCCCAGAGCCTCCACAATGTAGTTTTAACCTCCTGTTTCTTCATGATTGCCTGGTGATTTCCCAAGGTTCTGCTACTTGAAGTTTGGCTACAACTACCAGCTAATTTTTACACTACAATCCAAACCACTTTTTCTCAGAGGGAGAGGGATTTGTTGGGAGAAGGGAGTCCACCAGAGTCCTTCCTGGAGATCTTTGGAAGAGAAGACCATGAAAGAAAAACTGTTCTCTCTCCAGAGAGAGAACAGTGAGGATGTAATATGTAAACTTTGACAACTTAAGCAGCCATGTTTTCTGCCAGGTGAACACTGGAAGAGGAGAAAGTTTGCCTGCAGATGGAGAAGAACGAGCACAGGTAGAGAGGAGTGTGTGTGTGTGTAGGGTGAGATACAGAGACAGAGACATTCTGATAAACATTCTAACAGAGATGAAAAGAAAGAGAAAGATGAATTGAAGTGGCCCTTCCCTGGATGAATACAAGGAGAGAGGAGCAGCAGGGATGTGGGAGGGGAAATTCAACTCCTGGGAAGTAGTGGAATGAGAAAATTAGATCTGCTCACCTCTTTACTGCTGCCCTGCACACCAAGATCAGAGTTGGACTGAGAAGTGGACCACTCAAACGGGTACATGGTACACCAATGCACAAATGCATTTAAGTGCTCTTAGGAATATCTTACTGACACTGGAAAATCCCCAGGGGTATTCCAATGACACCAGAAATGTCGCAAGATGGAGCAAACTGCATTTCTAATACTCCTCTCAGGGAGACTCTGACATGCGGAGGGAAGGGATTCTTTGGTGAGCTGCTTGGAAGGCAGATGCGTTCCCCTATGAGACATGCTTGAGGTCAACAGATGGTCTTTAAGTAACCTTCAAACGAGACTGGGTCATCTTAAAATCAGGGTTCTCATGGAGCTTGGGGCCAAAGCTGAATTTATTTGGGAAGGAAGATCTTTGAGTGCTGCCACCCACTGCCTTTTCTCTGCCCTTCCCTTCATATAACATCCTATTCTTGTTCTTTTCTGAACATATTTAGAGACCATCAATTTGAAGGCGTGCAGAATTAAAAGCCTGCCTAGAGCCCCCCTCTTTTATCCTCTGGAGGACACCCACATGTCTGGCCTTGAGTGATTGTTTCCTCTTCTATATTTTTTCTTAGGCTCTTCTCTTATCTCTGCATGATGCTTTTTTCAAGGACTAGTTTACATTCTATATATGTTAGCCCAGTGGTTCCATCTAAGCCACCACGGACACCAACCTTGAACCCTCTGCAGAAGAGCTAATGAGAACTAGAGAGGCAACAAATCTGTACTCTAGATGTGATTCCTGCAAAGGCTAGTTGGCACAAGGGCATCCATGCTATTAGCTGGCAGTGAAAAGCAGGTGTATCTCCTGTGGAGTAAGGTGTCATATGAACAGACAACATCTATGGCCACAGGACACTTTACTTCCTCTGGAAGACCCAGACCAGAAAGTTTGCACAAGACGTCTACATTGTCACAATCAGGTGCCATTCTTATTATTTAAATCAACTTCTAAATGGCCACTTGAGTTTTGACAGAAATCTGTTCTAGAATTTAGCAAATGCAGAGAATGAAAAGAAATTCTGTCGCAGAGCCCAGTCTCTAAAGGCAGCAGGTGGGAGCCAGTTGAATGGTAGACACCCCCTAATTCTGGGCTGTGCCCATGCTGCCAACTCCTCAATATTATCATGAAGAGGGCGAAAAGAAGAAAATACATTTGGCAGTTTAAATCAGATAATTATTTTTTAAAAAGGTATGCTGAATATAACTCCCAGGTTTGATCCATCTGTTTAAACTTAAGTAAAAGAGCGTCACTCCTCAACTGACCATGCTACGTGATGAATATGCTCTTGAAATGAATGCTTTCAGATGGTTTCCTTTTATGAAACGTGCACAAAGATGTGTACTGTGGTGGTGGAGTTGGCCTTGTAAGACATCTGGCTACAACATGTGCCTCATTAAGTTACACCTGTAAGTGTGGGGTCATTTTTTATGCCAGTAATATTAATAATAAAGGGTTCATTGAATAGGATTATTAATGGTGCCAGGTGGAGGATGTAGTATTACTTACAGCCTGGTAGGGGATTGGCTAACGTCTCCTCCCACCAACGTTTCTGGTTTCATGTTTATAGACAGAGCCCTCCAGATGATGGCTGGCAATGTAGCCATTGAGAAAATGAATTCTCCGTTTCCCATCAGCAAGAGCATGTACAACAGTTGGTAGAGAATTTGAATGAATCTATTTTCTAATTTTGAATGTATAATCTTGTGGAAGAGCACGTAAGATATTTACCAATTAATTCAAGAAATTAAAAAGTCACTTTCAAAGTTTCACTTTCCCCTAACTTAAATGGAAACTTTTCAGCCCTAGCCATCTCCTATCATTTCTTATTTCAAGAGACATTCATCTCTGCATTTTCCCTTTGTGGTCACAAACTGCAAATCAAAAGGAAAAAAACTGAGAAGAAATCTAAAACCTTTCCTTCCTTCTGTGGAATGTTTGCCTTTGCTGTTTTACAATGCAAGACTTGTAACAGAAGGAAATGGAGGCTCAAGATAGGGCACTTTTTAATGTGCATTATTACAGGTGTTATAACATGTCTGGTAAATTCAAAGTATTGTTTGATTTGACAACCAGATCCCAAGACTTAGAATACCAACTCATGTTTTAGCTTCAGATCACATGCAACTAGAATAAATTTTTAAATTTAACAAGGCAGTTGTTGAATGTTAATTAAATTGCATTTGAGTAATAAAATCCAATTGATTGCTAAGAGTATGCTAAGGCATAATAGAAAAATTGTCTTTTACATATCTTTAGCCATTCATAAATACACACTCACATATCTATTTGTGCAGAAACAATAAACTAATGAAAACAGTTAAAAATCTATTTGTATCGCACTTTACAGTTTAGAACTGATCTTTTTTACATACATTATATTAACAGCTCTGTGAGGTAGGTGGTGGTGTTATCTTCATTTTGCAGAGAAGAAAACTGAAGTTCAGAGACTGATATTCTCAAGATACACACTTAGCAAGTGGTCTCTGCAAAACTGAAACCCTCCCTCATTGAATCTAAACTTTTATGTTGTTCCACTCCACCATCTGTTTCCCCTTTCCCAGCCAATTAACTCCCCTCGAGAAAAATCCTAAAATCCAGGAACGACTTCCACTGCCACCTCATTTTAGTATAAAGACATTTACATAATCTGGATGAATCTCATCGAGTTAATGATGAGTGGAGAAAGACAGCCACAAAGAATACATACGGTACAGTTTCATTTCTGGGAAGTTGAAGTCAGTCAAAACTAACCCAAGGTGACAGAAGTCAGAACAGTGGTTACCTCTAGGGAGAGGGTATTGACTAAGAGCACGAGGGTGCCTTCTGGGGTGTGAGAATATTCTGTATCTTGATATGAGTGGTGATGACTCACATGTATGCATGTAAAAGCTTAGCAGAACACAAGATTTGTAAAGTTTGTTGTAACTCTATCATATATCAATAAAAAATTAATTTTAAAAAGAGCTTATTGCATCAAATATGTACTAAATGTCCCTGAAATGTGTCCCCTTATATTTTTTATTTTGGGAAAAAGAATCATACCCTATTCTAGATTCCCTAGGCTTTCTCATGCCTCTACTATCTGTTCTTATTGTGCCTAGCTATTTCTTCTATCATTAATCATAGTATTTTATAATTGTCTGAATACATGGCTGTCTGTTTCTCAATGGGCAGAGAGCACTTGTTCCTTGTGTCCATGTTCCCAGCATCTAGCACAGTATCTGGCATGAAATATTTACTCAATAAATCCTTCTCGAGCAGTGAAAAAATGGATGAATGGATGGGCCAAATGACTTTTCATTTTGTTGTTTTATAACTCAGACCTAGGATATGGGTTATATTAGGATGTACTGTAAGATCAGGAAATAGGACATCAGATGGGGCTTTCCAAAAAGTCTTGGGTCATTGCCTTTCAAAGCTGGCTATAGTTAAACCACCATCACCACACCACCAATCCAGAGATATAAGCTCTAATGAGACCATTTCCACTGTTGGGATCTGATTGCCTCCTTTCTAGACCTTTCTATTACATGGCTTCCCCTGCTTATGACAAAGAGGAGCCCTCAACTCTATTCTTTTCTGTATTTATTCCTGCCTAGCTCCCAGCCCTTTGTCCAATTCTCTTCTAAATTTCTTTGTAGGGGAAAGTTTGTTCACACCCCGCCCAAAACAAAGAGGAAACCAGACTCCTGCATCCAGCACTCCAGCTTCATTTTTATCAGTAGCTTTCATCAGCCTTTTTTATTTATCTGAGTTCCAAGTTTAGAATGAGTAAATGTCACCATTATCCTAATTTTGAATAGTAGCCTCTCCTGTTGAAGGTTTCCAATTTCTGCTCTGCTTTGTGTTTGCTTCCTAGGTTTGTGGTTTTCCTTCTATCGAGACTGGCCTTTAACATAACTGTGAAGAAAGCAGCTTGTCCTGGGTACCTCCTTTCTTTTCCTTTTCTCCAACTGTTTTATTCTGTGAGTTGCAGATTATGTCAAAAGCACGCCAAATGAGCCTGCCCAATTCCAGGAGAATACTTGGGTTAGGTGGTGCTCTAGTAAGAGAATAGTTGGACTGTGCATTTTATCTTCTTGGCTCAAGCCTACTCAGTTGACTTGTTTACCATTGTCATCTCTACAACCTGCTCTTCACTTGGAGTGAAAATTCTCTAGATTATGTTTCTTTTGAGGGTCTGGTATGAAGGCTCTGTTGCTGTTTTGGAGCAAATAAACAGCCATCAACAAGTACTAGCATTCACCTGTCTGGTAAATGCTTCTGAAGATGGTGATTCTCCAAGGCCATGCCTCCTAAAACACTGTGCTTTTGTTCTGCTCTGATAGTCTCCATGAAGTTGCTCGGGTTGTGTATATATTCAGCACTTTATGGGGTTTGTACTCTTTGTGCTCTGGGCAGAAATACCAGGCAGTCAAATGCAGAAATCATAAAAATGCCCTGGAGGGTCATAGAAGTGATGGGATTTGGGGACTGAGGATAAACCTATCTGCTCTTCTTTTTCCATTTATACTCTTTAATGACTTATCTGGGCACTACAATGGGGGTAAAGAAGGACAGAAAAAAGCAAGTAGGAGGTAAATTAGCACAGAAAAGAGAAGGAAGATATACTTCAAATATAAATGTCACAATTTTGTGTGGTGCTCGTTCCAGAGTCTGGTTAGCCCAGAGAGCATGTTGGGTTTGCTCCCTCCACTCCATTTAAGCAAAACCCTCAATATTTGTCCCACACATCTGAGCTAGGGCACCCTGTGAAGACTGAAGACTATAGTGTCAAATAATCAAGTGCAGGATTGAGAGTCAGAGGGGATTGTATTCAAGTTCTGACAACTTCTTCCTCTCTAAGCCCCAACTTCCTCATCGTAAAATTAGAATAATAATATAAAAGTCACCACAAACCTGTTTTTAAGTGTCAGTTGAGATGTTATTTAAGAAAAAGTACTATAAATGGAAAAACATCTTCAAATATTAATTGTGATTATCCTGCCTCTTGCTGGCTGCTTACAGTAATTCGGAAAATTACTAAGAATTTTCCTTTCACTGGTCAGGCATATGCGAGAATGATTCCAAGCCAGGAAATTATTCTGCCTAGTTAAATGTGGTTGAATGTGTAGGCTGGTGGGGTAGTCAGAGATGGGGGCTTGGGGGTTACAGACAGTGGTATTAAATGAGGTAGTCTAGTATTTTCTCTACTCTGGGGCTAAGGGGTTTCCTTGCCAGTCATTAGGCATAGATCCATTTTCTAGACACCGGGATATTTAGTCACTCTGTGATTCTTCAAAATTGATGGCGGCTAATTCTTAAAATAACACTTTAATGGGTTAACAGCCAATGAAGGAGAGCTATGTTGATTAAACCTCCCTTACAAACATGTTTGATGATTATGAGAGTAAGGCACTGGGTAGATTGCCTTTAGGGTATTGTTAAATCTAAAATGTGTGAAACGTTGTCTGAAAGAGGAACCCAGTGCATTCTCCCTGCTCTGTGCTCCTCCAGCCCTGACTTGAAATGAGACATGGCTTGATTGTTATGGTGGCTGCACAGTCTTTCAGCACATCTTCTACCCTAAAGATGGAGGCAGCAGGAACCCCAGAATGTCAAACCAGGAAACCAAATCCAGCTTGAAGCCATTCTGTTATCAAAGTGATGCTTCCTTGCTCACAAGAATGCCTCCAGGCCAGCAACGCAGATCTTAAGCAGAGGTGAAACCACATCCTCCCAACTTCTGCTTGTCCGGTGGGATCAGTGCACAGCTGAATAGGGTGAGTATGAGAGGATAAAGATGCACAAAGAAAAGAGAGTAGGGTCTGGTAGGTGCTCCAGGATAAGCACTAGAGGAGACTCTATGACTGGAGGGGGCCTGATGAGCCTGCCTCAACTTGCTTCTTCCCTTTGGAAAGTACAGCAAAGAGGAACAGGGAAGAGAAAGGTTAAAAAATCCATTTGTGGATGGATTTTTAAAAAATATTGGGGAGTGAGTCAAAGATGATCTTAGGAACAGAGATTACTTCCTTCTTTTAGCTACATTTTCTAAAAGTCAGGGGGCGGAAGAAAAGGGAAGGAACATTTATTATGTGCCAACTTGGTGCCAGACATTCTGCTTGCACTTTTAACTTTACCTCATTTAAACTTCCTAGGAATCATAGTAGGTTTTTTAATCCCCCTGTTTCCATATGAAGAAACCAAGGTCCGTGGAGTTTCAGTTACCTAAAGTCACATGTGCTGCAGCCAGGTCCTACCAGATGTGCCTGCCTGCAAGGCACTCTACCATATTGCCCCTCCGTGCTTATGACTTCCCTGGTATTTCCAAAGGTCTAGAAATAGGGCTAGGAACATATGCTTTGATATGTTGTTCCTTAGGATTTTCAGGGACTAAAAAAGGGCAAACCAAACATTCATAAATGCAAATTATTTATGTAGATAAACCAAATGCATTTTTGTGAAAATCAATTAAAATTCTACAAGGCAATGCTTTTCTGAACAGTAGTGTGTAACTAACAACTGCTAAAAAAAACTGATCGTATAAATTAAAACCTAGCCCTCAAATTGGGCTGACTTCTAACAGCTTCAAGGTGGCCCCAGGATTTACAAATCGAGTGACCAGGTTTCAGAGACCTCTTCAGGTTCAAATAAGATTTACACCCAGACTTAACACATAACTTATGCCTGGAGATAGAATCTCATTTGGGGTGGGGGATGGGAAATGTGTGTGCACAAAAATTATATTTCATTCTGGGTTTACCCTAGAGGCAATTTTTGGAGTTAAACTACCTTAATATATTTAGAAGAAATTTAACTCTACTCCTGTACAAGTCCCAGCTTTGCTGAATACCATCTTCAAGCGTAACCTCAGTTGTGGGAAACTAAATACGTAAGTGACCAATGGCTAGACCATATATAAAATTAGAACTTTGATCCACAATCTGGAGCAAGCTCTCCAGGAAACCAACCTTTTATCTACTATAAACAACCTAGAAAGCCAGCCTGCTAGAAGTCAGACTTGCAGGAAGCCAGTCTGCTGTCTCTAGTGACAATCTAGGAAGCTATACAATAACTTCTGTAGCAATCAGCTCCAAGTGGCCAGAATTTGTTTAATAACTGGCAGCTTTCCTATTTTTTGTCCCTGTTTCCAACTTAGGACCAATAAGAGGAAGCCAAATATGCACCTCTAATTAATCACATAGCACACCCCACTTCTAGTTAGGCTGCTTCCAACTTTTCCATTTCAACAGGCTCTAATCAGGGCATACCTGAAGCTTTCCCTGTTTTCCACTCTAAAGCTTTCCCATTCCTGCCTGCCTTCGAGTCTCTGCCAAAATTCAGGTGCTTGTGGATGACCCCCTTGCTGTAGCACGCTCTCAATAAAGAGCCTTTGCTTTTCTCTTCTTGTTGCTTTTCTCTTTTTGTTACAACTTGCACAGTTGCATCATCCCATCTTCACGTGGAGCAGCTCCTTTGATATAGGAAAGACTGAAGACATACATTGCACATTGCAGATGAGGAAACTGAGGTCCAAGGAGGTCAGTGATTCTCTTTGAGTAGAACATGGTATAGTCAGGAGCCCACCCCAGAATCACAGGTGTCCTGACTCCTGCCCATTATTTCCCCACTACTCTCTGCTGCCTCCCAGCTGAGCTTTTAAGGAGGTGGGAGGAGGAGTCGATGAGAAATTGGAGTATGAATAGTGATTCTGCGGAAGATAACGCTGTGGTTCCATTCACCACATTTCTAAAATGGGGTGAAAAGACCTCTTTGTTGGAGAGAACAGAACCCAAAAAGTAATCCCCCCTCCTCTTCCCCTGGCAGAGAAAATGTAGAAGTGTCTCTTGGGGTTTATACGTCTTCTAGGCCTGCAAGCCAAAGCTGGTTCTCCACCCTGCAACCAATTTTCAAGAGCAAAATATTTCTTTCCTGTTTGCTTGTTTGTTTATTTGCCTCTTAAAAAGACAAACAAGCAAACAGGAATGAAAAAGAAATCCTAAATTCCTGCTTTTAGGTTAGCCCTGAAATGCATTAATCTCTTTCACTTGATGTAGCTCACTTTCATTCTTCCATTTTAATATCTTAGGGGGAAAAAACCCAAATAACCAATAACAGTTTACAGCTTTGACGCAGAGCACTAAAGTTGTTTTTCTATGAATATAGATTATTACATTTTTTTGCAAAGCAAGTAAACAGATGCATAAAAATGCATTATTTCAGGAGCATAAGAAAACCTGCAATAAGTATAGTGCTTTTAATTTGTTTTTATGATTACTTGTAATTAATTAGCATCAAAAGTAAATTATCAACATTTGAAATTGTACTATGAGATGTGAGCAGGGTACTCCATGAATGATTGACTGGTTCATCTTTATATCAAGGCAGGGAAAAGAATGATCTTTTCTTTGAATTTTTTTTTAAACTATGCTTAAATGAAAGTGCCAAAAGCCAGTAGCAGCACAGAGGAAGAAATTTTAAAACAACTGATAAGGAAGGCCCAGTTTGTCAAATGAAAAATGATGTCAAGGGTTAAAAATGATACACATTACCAGCCTCATAACAGGATTAGGGTTGTCTAAGAATGAAAATTTCTCTTTTAGAAAATATGAATAAAAATGGAATAGCTCTGCTAATTGAAGGAGGTTCACATACTTTCTCCAAACCATCACTTTCAGCCATAAAAAGGAAGACATTTTACAGATGTTGGTTTTTTTTTTTTTAACCAACTCTGGTTGTTTGTCACCATCCCTTTTCCTTTTAAGATTAATGATGAAATTACTTGCTGTAGCTTTGGTCAACTCAAAACTAACCAATAGGTTCCAAGGAGTGATACACTTGACCTCTTTCTGCACCCTCTGACATTTGCTGCCCCAGCGCACTCTGCCCTGAGCTGGTTCTTCCTGAGAGAGTGCCAACAAGAAAGAAAAATGGATATTTAGTAAGCAGACTGTTTTTTTCATCTGAGAAGAATATGTGCAGGGATTTAGAGGACTCACCCATGTCTCTTTTATTAACAAGAACGTACTTGAACTGAGAATTCAATCTCTGCAATACAAATAGAATTCACCAACAGAAGGGAAGGGAGGGGAAAAAATAAGATTAAAAACCCACAGTCTTCCTTCTTGCTTAGCAGCCCTCCTAAGAGTTAGGGGCTTTCACAATGGGATTATGGAGCTTCGAACAAAATTAAATAAAATAAATAGATTCACTTCTAACAAGTTTCATTCCATGGCAGACCCTCAAAAGACACACATTTTTAAAATTATTATTTTGAGAAAGTTATCTGAAATGAAACTCTGGCTGTATTTTTCTAAATAATCCACTGGGAAGAATAAAAAGCGTTCCACGTTCATAGGGAGCTGGGGATAGATTTACACTTATGGTTACTTCAATATTGATAAGAGAATATAAAGTAAACTGCTTCCCAATGAAGACATAGTCAAAGACTCAGGGTCATTCTTGATTATCTTGTCGTCTTCCTCTAGGGATTCTAGTCCAGGTAACTATTCTGTTACTGGTGACCTATGGTGGTTACTAAGGAACAACATCAGAGTTAACAATCCCCAAAGGCAAAGTGTTAAATCAAACCAAGGATATCTGCATTGCAGTTACTGTACTAGAAAAATTCTCTACTAAATCCCACTAAAATAACAAATATTAATCAAAGTTCAAGCTATATCAACAGCATTCTTGCTTAATTGTTGAAATTAATAGTTTATCACAAGCATTGAATTGCTCTAGTCTCTCTCATCCACCACTGCTGGAAGTGGGAATTGGAGAAAACTGAAGAATCCATAAAATTCCTAGCCAGATGATTTTTACACTGAGATTTTCCATTCTGTGTTACCAACAGTGAACACACATTCCCTTTTCCCCAAGATTGCTACCTGCCAAATCTGTCTTTGGGAGGTCACAGCACCCTTTCTCAAATACAGCGTTCAGGGGCACATACTGAGAAGATACTGGTTATTATTTTCAGTGATTGGAGGAAAGTGGAAATGTTATTCAAGGAAAAAACAAGGAGAAAAAACAACGCCATGATTTGTTGAGGAAGTGTGTCCACGTGCCAGGCAGCATTCACTGAAGTCACCAAAAAGGGGGAAAGCCCCTGTTTTACTTCCTATCATTATTTCTATTTTGGAATGTGGGTTCCCGGTAAGAGCATATCTAGGCATTACATTATAAAGCTCTTCTCCTACAGATCCAGTGGGGCCATTTAGCTCATTGGTCACTGGATGCACATCTCTTTTTAGCTATTGGTCCTTGACTATTATTTCTTATACAAATATGTGTGTGGGAGTGGGAGGTGATGGTGGAGTGAATAACTCAAGTCTTGACCTCCTAGATCCACCTGAATATCAGACCCCAATGATGGGTCAACTTTCCTAGCTACAAGGCAGTGTCCAAGCATTCAGTCTACTTCAAGGCCTTTATGATACTTCAGTAGTAGGGTATGTTTGCATGAGGACTAAGACAGACCAAATTATCCTTGATTTATAGTGACTAAGATTAGAATAAGGTTCCAGAAAGCCTAGCAGGGACATCCCTGGAGAATATTATTAAAAAGGCAAACTGTATTTATCACTCCATACTCTTCTACTGGGCCCTCCCCTGCAAATGCTCTGTGCCCTAAGGAAGCCGCATCTGAGGTCCAGGATTCTGGCTTTTTCCTCTCTGAGCAATTCACTCAAGTCTGTAACTCTTGAAATATTCTTCCTCTGTAAAATGGCTCTATCCTTTTACTATACCCTCTGGATTCTGCACAAAAATTTCCAGGTTTACCTAAGATTTTAACTAGATCAACTTAATGCAATAATAGATCATTTTTGTATTGTTGTGTTGCCTGCATGGGTAGCTGATATGTATTCTAGCAGGAGCTGTCTAAATATATTTTAATTTAAAAAAGTGGTCCTCACAGGTGCTAATTCTAATTCAGAAAGGGAGTTATTTGGGGTAGATGAGCTCTTTTAGTGCCCCGTCAACTACACTGGGATAAGTCAGTGATTACATACTCTGAATCTACAAAGTCTTGCCCTACCGGTTGATGCTCTATTAATGTAAGATGCATGATTTCTCAGATAATTGCTTTTATCCACCACTTGATATTTGCCATAGAGGCATGGTCTCAAGAATTGCTTTGAGCAACTGTCTTGTTTAAAACCAACATTGCTTTAAATCTACATATTTTAAAAAGCATAAAAGCATACGAGTCATATTTTACCCATTTCCGATTTATGAAGTGCCTGGAGGCACTTTTTACCATAAAGATTTTTGCAATACAGATATACAAGCTTCCTTCTCCTACTTTAGAATAAATGACTGGTGGCTGAGACTTTCTTCCAAATACTTTTACATAAGCATTTTATAATCCTTTTAAATGTTCCTTTTTACAAAATTTCTTTCTAAGTTACACTTCTCCTTCTTAATCGTATATGAACCTCAATATGAACATTTGAATACTTTTTTCCTTGCTCTTCAATTTTCATACTTCAACTGGTAATTTCCTATACCTTTCTGCTTTCTCCTCTCTTTTCTCCTTTTCTTCTTTTGATGACTTCTGAAAGACACTGATGATAATCTTTCTCATTTCTCCAAACAGTGTTCTTTCCTTGGTGTTAAATTGTAGATAGTTGAGGTATCACAACTTGCTTGACATTGCATCCTTTGCTCTAAGGAATACTAGAGACAGAGAGAATGGTGATAGAGCTTAGGGCTCCATTGGGGAGAAAAATGAAGAACATTTTAGAAAGAGTGTGTGATCTGTTAAAATATGTAGCACTGAAACACATATTTTGAGAGTTAGGAAGATTAATGTCTTTCAATACTAGATACGCAAACTGTCAAAGAACACTTACGGTTCTTCCAGCCTTGATCCTTATGGTTTTGATTGATTGGGGTCATAGATGGCTTCCTTGACAAAATCCTAAAATCATGTCTAGCAAACAAAACAACAATCTGGCAAGGGAATATCACAAGGTATAAATGGATTCGAAGGGCTTCAGCTTCAAAATGCAACTTGATGTGATGGTAAAAGAACTTCCAAGAATTTTAAGTGTGGTTTCCTTGGAGTAGTATTAACCAGTTGCTAGAGGCAAGCTGACTGGGTCTGCTTTGCACCAGAAGTCATAAAATTTGTTCAGGGCTCAGCATGCTATCTGCTGAAGGGTAAGAACCTTTTTCTTCCATTATCCTAAAGAGAAATCTCTGGCATTAAAATTCAGACAGTCATTTACTCATGGTACAATTTTTTTACTTATTCTGATTTAGATAAAGACCTTAATGATATATTTCCATGTTTTTACTGGTATGTTCTTAATTTTGTTTTCCTTTGTTCTAAAGACTAAACCTTCAGTTTCTTTTGTTTTAGTCATTTCAACATTAATGAATATCATCTGGATTAATGACACTATTTAATTGTCTAAGATAGGAATCCTGGACTCATTCTTGCTTAAAACTAATTTATTAAATCTTATAACCTTTTTTTCCACCAGTTAAACTTCTTGTTTGTTCTACATTAAGCAATACCTGAATAGGAGTAATCCATTGGATGCTGTATGTCATCTACAAATTCTGCCCATTGACACCTTTGAGCGTTCTGTCTTCTGGGGCTACAGTGTGATGACATCAAAATCCCTCTTCTGTTGATTTAGGCACATCCAATTCCATGCTCATCAATTGTAGAAGTCAATCCTCATTAGTCAGTTGATTATCAGCTCTTGCCCTTGCAAGGAAATTGGTGAGCCATCATCATCTAGGCTAGTCCTATCAAATGGTGTTGGGTAATTGGTAACCATAGAACCATTCAATTCTAAATTTCAAACATAGATAACTGCATTTTGCTTTCATTCTGAGGATTCAAGGGAACATAATAGATACCATAGCAATCAAAAGCTGTCTTTTAGACAGGATCAAGAACTAAAGGCAAATATTCTAATTTGGTAATCATCCTTATGACCTTTAACAATATTTATTCACAAAAGATTTGTTTTAGGAGACTAATTTATTGTCATTTTGCATTTTAAGGTTTTTTGTGGTGGTGGTGGTGGTATTATTTAGCAACTGGACAATTTAACTTTGGTAACTGTAAGAGCAAGCTGGTGAAAGTGATTTTAGTTAATGTCAGTAGGGCATTATAAATTAAGGGTTTATTACTCTTAGTCCTAACCTGATTCCTTTAAATGAGCAACTTGGATGGTTGATACGAATAAAGAGGAAAGAACACAGGTTTTGTGTCTGTGATATATGTAGATTCAAATTAAGATTCTGCCCCTAACTCCCTGAATTAGTCTCACCTATAAAAGTGAATATTCAAACCTGTATCTCAGAGTTAAACAGTCACAGGTGCATGATAGGAGATCAAGGATAGCTTTCATTATCATTATTGTGATTTCTCCTTCTGTATAATTTCACCAATAAGAAGCCTAGGACTTCATCAGCAGACTAATCTGTACTTGAAATCTCTTGAACCCAGGAGCCAAAAGACTCATACTGTCAAGGTGACATAGGGGTTTGCTGATTCATAATCATCATAAGACCTAAAAGGGATAGTTTAATTTTGATAGGCTATTTTTCTAAGGGTGGCTATTGGCTCACATTATTAGATAATCATGGTTCAATACTGTTCAATTGCTACCTATCAGAGTCATTCTTTCATATACATATGTTGTATTTCTTACTACGTGCCAGACACTGTTTTAGCCATTGAGAAACATTAAGAAGCAGTTTACTTTCATTTTAAATGAACACTTTTCTATAGAAGTTACTGTTTATTCTTGTTTGGTTTTTATCCCTTCTTTATTTACCATTTTCAGGAATAAAGATGTGAGGGTTACAAGTAAAAATATTCCATGAAATTTGCATTTTCTTCAAGTTTAACTGTTTTAAAAACTGTGATGGAAAAACTGGGAGTTCAGGAGGATTGAACCAGAGGCAAGAGCTCTGTGAACACATAATGACCTCCATGATTCAAACACACAAGTCTATCTGTCACCCAAGAGAAATGTTTAGACAGATTAGATACAAATGTGCCATGAATGCACCTTGTGTAGGCAAATGGTAAGACTGATTTTCCCTTTTTTCTTGATTGGTAAAGCCTAGAGAAGTTATCAATAGAACTTCATCTCAAAGGAAGTAATATTTTTACACAGACATACATTGCAGCAAATCCTGAACCTTGCTACTGAGGCACACAACAGTTGCAGATTTGGACACCTCTCTTGTTCAATGCTTGGCTCTGAGTGAGCAACTTCTCTGATGTTATAGGCCCATAGTTTTAAAGAAAATTAGAAACATATAATAAGTCACAGGAAGAGGAAGAAAATTTAACCCAGTGGTCTCTAAGTCCTCCTCTAAGAACTATACCCTAATCTTGCATAAAGATTTACTTCTAATTAACTTGCCAGTTAAGAGACATTCTCCCTTTTTGGCAAAAATCTGACCAAACAATCAGCTGGATATCCTGTCTAGACTTGACTCCAGCTTCTACCCTCAAAAAGGTCTGTCCAGATGCTCCTGACCTAACATGTGCCTGATGAACAAAAATACTTTAGCACAATTGTAGTTCTGTTGACCATTGTCGGTAATGGAGCTAATCAAGAGAACCAGGGGACTCATTAAAACTTTCTGCTGTATATTCATAGGCTGATTCATTTAAGAGAATTTTTGGAGGAGTAATAGGTAGATGAAAGGCTTTAGAAATATGCAGATGACTCAAGTCTCATAACCCTGGGAGTCAGACATGCACGCACAAATTCATAATGTGAAATAGCATGTCTAATGGAAGAACATTCATTAGTTAAGTTCAAAGGAAAGACTCAGATTTCACTTGGAAGAATGAGGGAAGACTTTGTATTTGCTGCTTTTCATTGTGAGCTGAAGAGTTGCCCCAGGAACCTGAGACTTTGAGCCCTTACCCAGGGATGTGAAGTCTGCATGGTACACACAGGTACCTGGGCCTCGTAGAGGGGAAGGGGGGCACATGGGGGTTTTCTGAGATTCATTCCATGCTCCACTCCGTTAACCATGTGCCCTGGCAGGAAGGGCTGTCCACCTGAAGAAAAGGCCATGGAACCATGCAGCCCTAGGGTTTCTAAGTTGGCTCTCCCTTCTGGGCAACTTTTTAAAAATTAAGTTTTGGGGTACATGTGCAGGATGTGCAGGTTTTTTACATAAGTAAACATGTGCCATGGTGGTCTGCTACACCTATCAACCTGTCACTTAGGTATTAAGCCCAACATGCATCAGCTCTTTTCCCTAATGCTCTCCCACCCCTGCTCTCCCCCAATAGGCCCCAGTAAGTGTTGTTCCCCTCCTTGTGTCCATGTGTTCTCATTGTTCAGCTTCCACTTATAAGTGAGAACATGTGGTATTTGGTTTTCTGTTCCTGCATTAGTTTGCTGCGGATAATGGCTTCTAGTTAAAGAAAATGTACATGTATACCATGGGATACTATGCAGCCATAAAAAGTAATGAGATCATGTCCTTTGCAGGGACATAGATGAAGCTGGGCAACATTTTCTAATTCACACAAAGGTACACCGATGCCCTCCTGGAGTTGTAGTATCTGTTACAAAGAGGGATGATCTGAAAGGCTACTTTTGCTTTGGGGAGAAGCCAGATCGAAAGCCAACAGGCTGCTCACAGGAATTTTCCATCTAGAAGTCCCAGAGAAAGAATTGAGATACCAGGCCCTGAAACTGAAGCCAGATAGGAGCATACAGGTTTAAAGCTGTGGATAGAAGGTAGAAGGGGTGAATTCTCTGAACTGATTGCTGAGCTGTGACTATAATGGGTGTAGGTGGCCTAGTTTGTGGGTGGGATGGGAGGTATCAGAGAGCCAGCTCAGTGGGGTCAGGTATAAAAGAGGGGCTAAATTTGGACTGTGTGATGGAGGAAGAAAATGAGGAGAGAGAATTTCACGCAGAGGGTTCACCTCTGCAAAAACTCCATGGGATGGAAGGCTATGGCTTGATGAGTGCACACCAAGACTTATGCAATAGCTGGGACATAGGGCACATGGATGAGGAGGGTCAGGAGCTCAGGAGTGAAGATGAAGAGGGAGAGGAAGGTCAGCTCCTGAAGACAATGCCCATCCTGGTGTTCAAATCTCTCAAATGATTATCAGGATTATTATTTTCTCTTAGAGTGAGATATTTGTTTCCTGTGTGCTTCCTTTTATTAAATAATTGAATCTGTGCAACAAACCAGTTTCCCTTTTTGCTTTGGTTGTTATGATGCTCTGGGCTCTGTGGTAGACAGACCATAATGTGGCTTGCCATGTTTCATTACTATTAGGTTGGTGCAAAAGTCATTGCAGTTTTTGCCATTACTTTCAATGGATCTTGTATTATTGCCCTTGACCTAATGCGATTCCAAGGCATCCATTGTCCTGTGTGTTAAATCACCACTAATCCCTTTTAAAAAGTTGTCAAAATATGAGTGATACATAGAAATAATATATAATAATATCTTCTAGTTGACAACCAAACAGCAAATGGTTCTTGAACACCTCTGATAACTGACTCTATTACTTCGAGAAGTCAGAAGCACAAGATTTAGTTTCAACATTCAATTACCAGCTTGTGACCTACCTGAGAATATGCCATGTGCAGATAACATGTTAAGTAGTAGTACAAGGCATTATATGCAGGGTTAATATTTAACTTATTTCTACTGCTACAAGGTTACTTGCAATTAAAACATTTTAGTTCGTCTCCTTTGGGTGGTATATAACTTGTGCCTGAAGCCAGCTGAGTACCCAGCTTGCCCCTCACATCCCTTCCAACTCTCCCTGAAACACCCACCTCCATTCCCTACAATCTAGCAACTGAGGGGTTAATGCAGGGCACAGCAGGAACCTCTATTCCCAGGACCAGGACCATCATTTGCTCTGGTGAGATGAAGTCTACTATGCTCAGACTTCTATTAAACATTTTGAACATCACTCTTGAGTAAATGTTAGGTGCTAAGTGATCTGTCTCCTTGTTATCATTGCAATAAATAATAAGGGCTACTATTAGCTAATCACTTTCTATGTTCCAATTTAACATTTATAATTAGCCACTAAGATAATCTTTACTAATCTCATTTTACAATTGAAGCAACAGGCTCACGGAGTAGAAATCACTCCATCCAGAGAGGGCACCTAGTAAGCAGAGAATCCAAGTTCCCAACCCAGCTCAGTAGGACACACTCCATGTTTGGGAGAAGGCTTTGTTATCCTGCCTGGGACAGCAGAGAAGCAGCATGGAAAAGAGGGAGGAGATGGCTTAAAGGGTTTGGCCAAGCGGTGTGGCTGGAAGGACAGGGGACCTAAGGCACGTTAGGTGGGTAGTTGAATCTGGCTTACACCCTCTTAACATGTGTTTCTGGGTTCTTCCTTTTTCAGTTGCCCTTAGTCTATCATAAATAAGAATTCAGGAAGTTGCATCCACTTTTTTTTTAGGTCACTAATATACTTTATAGTAAGTTCAGCTACAGCAGAATAAATTGGGGCTTCTTGGTCCCAATAGGCACCATCTGGTTTATGAAACAACAGTGTATGCCCTCTGGATCATTTTCCCTTAGGAAATTCCTCCTTATCTGCTGCCTGGCTGCTAACTTAAGGACAATTTTCATACTTTCTATTCTAATAATTTTGTGCTGTGGATTTTCAGTTTATTTTGTTTCTATTAAGAAGGGGGAAAATAACCTCTTGTAAAACACACACGGGTTTAGTCTGGCAACAAAAAAACATTCTCAGGGCAAGAGAAAGTGAGTATTTCACAGCTAAGGGAAGAATTGAGCAACTCAGATTACAATTGAAAGCTAATGGGAGACTCATGTTGGAAGCAAAGAGGTTTGAAACAGAAGGAACAATCAAAGAGAAAATAGATGCTTTTGTTACCTATGCTTGTTTTTAGTTGTCACCTCTCCTAAAAGAAGTGATGAGCAGGCTGTAATCTGTAGGCATAACATTAAAGCTGAGAAAGCTTTAGGGAAGGGTAGGAATGGTGGGTTATGAGATCTATAAGACTTTAGATTGAAGGGTTGAAATGACAAAGATACTTACCAGTGTTATTCGATGCTGTGGTTTCATAAGTGTCTCTGGTAATTCTGAAAATACCCTCCCTACCCCAACACCCAGGTAAAAGGTCAGTCTATGGCCTTACGAAAATGTTATCATTCACTGCCTCTGGTGGACACAGTTTGTTCTCTTTCTCACTCATATGTGAAAAATCCCGACGCCCTCCCATCCTCCACCTCTTGTTGCCACCCACCAGCCCTTATGTCAGTCCAGAGGCACAAACAACATCATTAAAGGTGAGGAAAAGAAAAATCCAGTACAGATTGGCTGGCTCCCTGGCCTGGGCTGGTTTAGGCAGCTCTTGGCTTAGACACCCTGCCTTCCAAACACAATCTGTTTTCAAGATTCCTGGGGAATTTCAGGTCCAAGAGAAGGTTTGGTGTTAACTTCCCCAAACTCAGTCTCCTTCCTCTCTTTCCACTCCACTAAGGCATAGGGGAGACCCACTTGCCCAGACTCAGTTTTCAGCTTGTGGGACAAAGCTGTGTTCTTGGCTCTAGAAGAAGCTTCTGTTCTCTCCAAGCTCTGTGTTGTTTCCTTTCCTTCATAACTTTGCTCCGCCAATGGGCCAAGCATGGCTCCATTCTGCTCTACCCCCAGAGGCTTTTGGAAATGGAAAAATACAAAAGATGCTGAGAGGTCACATTTAAAGAAGACAGCCACTCTTAATAGGATATACAATCAGAAGTTCCAGAATGCAGGCAGAAGCTATTCCTTTTTAGGCCCCACGATAGCACCAAGTTCTTTCTAGTGTGGATCCTGCAATTGGCAAAGTGCCAGAAAGTGCAAAAAAATAAAAAATAAAATGATAGATGCAATGTAGTTTTTGAAGCACTCTGAAAAGTATTTATCTAAATGAGAAGCATTGCTCCCTTTTTTGTGCATGGCACCATCCTATATGAAGAAGCATCTTACAGCTTTCTGTCTAGTTGGGTGGAAAACTTGTTTAAAAGTAATACATTAGTTTCCTCTGAGATAGGAGAATTACTTGGACTC
Organism: Homo sapiens; assembly: GCF_000001405.40. Classification (NCBI taxonomy): domain Eukaryota; kingdom Metazoa; phylum Chordata; class Mammalia; order Primates; family Hominidae; genus Homo; species Homo sapiens. Next base: position 56,128,828 of record NC_000018.10, read on the forward strand.
GGGGTGGGGAGGTTGCAGTTAGCCGAGATCGTGCCATTGCACTCCAGCCTGGGCAACAAGAGTGAAACTCTGTCTCAAAAAAAAAAAAAAAAGTTTCTTGTTCTGTGGTTTCCATTACCCATAGTCAACTGCAGTTCAAGAATATTATCAATATAAGTAAGTAAATCAATAAGATATTTGTAAGAGATCACATTCATATAACTTTATATTGCAGTATAATGTTATTTTATTAGTAGTAGTGGTTTTCAATATCTTATTGTGCCTAATTCATAAATTAGACTTTATCATAGGTATGTATATACAGGAAAAACATAGTATATTTAGAGTTCAGTACTGTTCATAGTTTCAGGCATCCACTGAAGATGTATACCCCACAGAAATATATCCCCCACAGAGAAGGGATGACTACTGTGTATACCTCTTTTTTTGACAGAGTCTCACTCTGTTGCTCAAGCTGGAGAGCAGTGGCACAATCTTGGCTCACTGCAAACTCCGCCTCCCAGGTTCAAGCAATTCTTCTGCCTCAGCCTCCCAAGCAGTTGGGACTACAGGCGTGCACCATCATACCTGGCTAATTTTTGTATTTTTAGTAGAAATGGGGTTTCACCATGCTGGCCAGTCTGGTCTCAAACTCCTGACCTCATGATCTGCCTGCCTCAGCCTCCCAAAGTGCTGGGATTACAGACAAGAGCCACCACGCCCAGCCTATACCTCTTTTTTTAGGTCAGTGTTTTTGAATATGATTCTAATATCTCACTGGGCAGCCCTAGAAACATCATTTTCTGGGTTCTTCTGTAATAGAGGGATGCCCTCAAAGGATACAACAGACCCATTGGTCCCCACCCTAAATTACCCGAGGATGCTGGTCTTTTTCAATAGTCTTGTGGCTTCTCTCATTGCCAGATTCCTTTAATACATTGTTCTGCTTCTTAAACACAGTTCTCAAGGTAAGAGTAGTACCATTTTTTTTTACCTTAATAAACTTGGTTTCTTTACAAGTCAAGATCTTGTAAAACAGTTCTCTTCAATTTTAAGAATGATGGCTGTATTCAGAATGGTTGAGATTTCCAGAAGTTGGATCTTGAGACAAGCAGTGATTTTCAGTATTACCATTCTGGCTTCCAAAAATGATGCTACAGCCACATTCTAAAGTAATATAGTAATAATATTAATATTACTATATAAATATAAACATATATTTATATAAAATATAAATATACATTATATTTATATTTTAATAATTTATATTTACAAATATAAATATAATTTATATTTTATATTTTATATAAAATATAAATACATATTTATATAAAATATAAATATAATTTGCGAATACTAACTCCTTGTTGGTTATTGTGCCAGTTATTTTTTATTATTATTAATTGCTTCTAATGATTATCCAATACTTAAATTAGTTCATTTGGTCTTCACCACAGTCCTCTGAGATATGCATCCTTTCATCTCCATTTAACAGATGAGGTAGCTAGAGCTTACAAGGGTCAAGATCATTATTAAGTCATGCAGCTGGTAAGTGAAGGAGATTTCATTCAAACTCAAACTCAGGTCAGCTGGAACTCAATGGTCCTGGTCCTAACTACTTGCATAGAATAGAAGGCTGGACCAAAAATATGGCTAGTTCTAAAAACAAACAAACAAACAAACAAACAAAACAGCTAAAGATTAATTATCAGAGAAAAAATCATCAGCTTTTTATCAGATCCTCAATAATGACTTAGAAATCCATTAGGAACAATTGACCTAAGTGGATTTATCAGGAACTCTAGTCTGGGAAAAGCAAATTGGTTTCAATTTCCCTATGGGGCAACCCTGACCATAGAGTAGGGGTCATCTGGAGTGCGGTGTTGAGAAAGTTTCTGAAGTAATTGCTAGATCAGTAGGAAAAAGTCATGCATTAGAAATATCTGCTGTGACCTCATTTGGTTGATGGTTTGAACAATCTATTTTATAAAATCATGAGACATCAGGGATTTGAATATTGAATATTAGATGATATTAAAGAATTGTTAATTTTTTAAATGTGATCGTGATATTGTTATTACATTTTGTGAAAGATAAAAAATCAACACCCTAACATCACAATTAAAAGAACTAGAGAAGCAAGAGCAAACAAATTCAAAAGCTAGCAGAAGAAAAGAAATAACTAACAGAGCAAAACTGAAGGAGAAAGAGACACGAAACACCCTTAAAAAAATCCATGAATCCAGGAGCTGGTGTTCTGAAAAGATTAACAAAATATACCACTAGCCAGACTAATAAGAAAAGAGAGAAGAATCAAATAGGTACAATAAAAAATGATAAACGGGAGATCATCACTGATCCCACAGAAATGCAAACTACCATCAGAGAATACTATAAACACCTCTACTCAAATAAACTGGAAAATCTTGAAGAAATGGATAAATTCCTGGACACATACACCCTCCCAAGACTAAACCACGAAGAGATCGAATCCCTAAATAGACCAATACCAAGTTCTGAAATTGAGGCAGTAATTAATAGCCTACCAACCAAAAAAAGCCCAAGACCAGATGGATTCACAGCCAAATTCTACCAGAGGTCCAAAGAGGAGCTGGTACCATTCCTTCTGAAACTGTTCCAAACAATAGAAAAAGAGGGACTCCTCCCTAACTCATTTTATGAGGCCATTATCCTGATACCAAAATCTAGCAGAGACACAATAAAAAAGAGAAAATTTCAGGCCAATGTCCCTGATGAACATCGATGTGAAAATCCTCAATAAAATGCTGGCGAACTGAATCCAGCAGCTCATTAAAAAGCTTATCCACCATGATCAAGTCGCCTTCATCTCTGGGATGCGAGGCTGGTTCAACATACACAAATCCATAAATGTAATCCATCACATAAACAGAACTAATGACAAAAACCACATGATTATCTCAATAGATGCAGAAAAAACCTTCAATAAAATTTAACACCCATTCATGCTAAAAACACTCAATAAACTAGGTATTGATGGAACATATCTCAAAATAATAAGAGCTATTTATGACAGACCCACAGCCAATATCATACTGAATGGGCAAAAGCTGGAAGCATTCCCTTTGAAAACTGGCACAAGGCAAGAATGTCCTCTCTCACCACTCCTATTCAACATAGGTATTGGAAGTTCTGGCCAGGGCAATCAGGCAAGAGAAAGAAATAAAAGTATTCAAATAGGAAGAGAGGAAGTCCAATTGTCTCTGTTTGCAGATGACATGATTGTATATTTAGAAAACCCCATCGTCTCCGCCCAAAAATTCCTTAAGCTGATAAGCAACTTCAGCAAAGTCTCAGGATATAAAATCAATGTGCAAAAATCACAAGGATTCCTATACACCAATAATAGACCAATAATAGACAAACAGAGAACCAAATCACAGTGAACTCCCATTCACAATTACTACAAAGAGAATAAAATACCTAGGAATACAACTTACAAGGGATGTGAAGGATCTCTTCAAGGAGAACTACAAACCGCTGCTTAAGGAAATAAGAGAGGACACAAACAAATGGAAAAATATTCCATGCTCATGGATAGGAAGAATCAATATCATGAAAATGGCCACACTGCCCAAAGTAATTGATAGATTCAATGCTATTCCCATCAAGCTACCATTGACTTTCTTCACAGAATTAGAAAAAAACTACTTTAAATTTCATATGGAATCAAAAAAGAGCTTGTATAGCCAAGACAATCTTAAGCAAAAAGAACAAAGCTGGAGGCTTTGTGTTACCTGATTTCACACTATACTACAAGGCTACAGTAAATAGCATGGTACTGGTACCAAAACCGATATGTACACCAATGGAACAGAACAGAGGCCTCAGAAATAACATCACACATCCACAACCATCTGATCTTTGACAAACCTGACAAAAACAAGTAATTGGGAAAGGATTCACTATTTAATAAATGGTGTTGGGAAAATTGGCTAGCCATATGCAGAAAACTGAAACTGGACTCCTTCCTTACACCTTATACAAAAATTAACTCAAGATGGATTAAAGACTTAAATGTAAGACCTGAAACCATAAAAACCCTAGAAGAAAATCTAGGCAATACCATTCAGGACATAGGCATGGGCAAAGACTTCATGACTAAAACACCAAAAGCAATTGCAACAAAAGCCAAAATTGACAAATGAGATCTAATTATACTAAAGAGCTTCTGTACAGCAAAAGAAACTACCATCAGAGTGAACAGGCAACCTACAGAATGGGAGAAAATTTTTGCAATCTATCCATCTGACCAAGGGCTAATACCCAGGATCTACAAAGAACTTAAACAAATGTACAAGAAAAAAAAAAACAACCCCATCAAAAAGTGGGCAGAGGATATGAACAGATACTTTTCAAAAGACACATTTATGTGGCCCACAAACATATGAAAAAAAGCTCATCATCACTGATCATTAGAGAAATGCAAATCAGAACCACAATGAGATGCCATCTCATGCCAGTTAGAATGGTGATCATTAAAAAGTCAGGAAACAACAGATGCTGGAGAGGATGTGGAAAAATAGGAATACTTTTACACTGTTGGTGGAAGTGTAAATTACTTCAACCATTGTGGAAGACAGTGTGGCGATTCCTCAAGGATCTATAAGCAGAAATACCATTTGACACAGCAATCCCATTATTGGGTATATACCCAAAAGATTATAAATCATTCTACTATAAAGACACATGCACACATATATTTATTGCAGCACTATTCAGAATAGCAAATACTTGGAATCAACCCAAATGTCCAGCAATGATGGACTGGATAAAGAAAATATGGCATATATACACCATGGAATACCATGCAGCCATAAAAAAGAATGAGCTTATGTCCTTTGCGGGGACATGGACGAAGCTGGAAACCATCATTCTCAGCAAACTAACACAGGAACAGAAAACCAAACATTGCATGTTCTCACTCATAAGTGGGAGTTGAACAATGAGAACGTATGGGCACAGGGACGGGAACATCACACACCAGGGCCTGTCAGGGGGTCGGGGCTAAGGGGTGGGATAGCATTAGGAGAAATACCTAATGTGGATGACAGGTTGATGGGTGCAGCAAACTGCCATGGCACATGTATACCTATGTAACAAACCTGTGCATTCGGCACATGTATCCCAGAACTTAAAGTATAATTTAAAAAATGGGGAAATCAAAAATGTGTTTAAAGGAAAATTAAAAACTGTATATATCTACTATGGTTGTAGGGTAAGAGGTAAATTTGGAAGGGCAGTGAAGATGGAGAGGTGATGTCTTACTGCATGCTAAGAGCTAGCTCTATTATAACCTCATCATAGAGCTTACAAATCAAGTCAAGACTCAAAGTAGAAAGTGGCTTGCTCAAAATCACATGGCTAGAAAATAGAAGTGTTTAGTTAGTGTCTGGGTCTTTAAGCCTAACAGATCTTCCACAATACCCACTGACACACTCACAGTTGTAATGGCTCACAGTGAGAGCATAAAGCATATTGAAACACCCTTTATGCTCCTCTGGGTCCAAGGTGTCCTCAAGAATTATGTAAACAATTTAATACTAACTAATCACAAGGGTCTTTTTAAAAACAGTTTAATTGTATTTTAACTACAGTTTTGTGTATTGTAGTTTAATTTTGAGATTAAGTGTAGATGCACATATAGTTCTAAGAAACATTGCAGAGAGAACCTGTGTACCTTTTACTCCCTTTCCCATGATGGTATCACCTTGCATAACTATAGTAGAATATCACAACCAGGAAATTAGCTTTGATACAGTCCACTGATCTTATATGGATTTCATGAGTTTTACATGGCACTAATATGCACGTGTGTGTATGTCTTTAGTTCTATGCCATTTTATCATGCATGTATATTCCTACAATCACCTCCATAGTCAAGATACAAAATAGTTCACCACAAGAGTCCTCACTAAGGGGTGCCTTAACATATTATTTCACTGAACATGAACTACATCACCAGAGAAATTATTGCTGACCTCTGAATACTTTATTTCCTACCTGGATGTGGATTTGAGTAATGAAGAGAATCAGGCTAACCAAAACCAGAATCTGAATCAAAGAAGATGAAAGTAAATTGGTCTAGGTGTATCAATGGCAAAGGAACCTATTTTAAAAAGTCAAGAATACTTTTAAGATGGTATTTTATAAAGATGCATATAATAATAAACTTAAACTTTCACATCTTCAAATAATCAGGTTTGACTTTATTTTTTCCTTGAACAGGTAATTTAACTTCTCTGAGATGGAGTTTTTCATCTGTAAAATATGGATAATCATACCTACTTATGGGGCAACTTTTGAAGATGAAATAAAGTAATATGTTTAAAAGGCACTTTAAAAATGGTAAAGTACTACTACTACTAAAAGGGTTATAATGATTTCCATGAAGAGGAAAACAAGTAATAAATAATTAAGCTGACATCAATAAATGATTTTTGAAGAGAACCTTCCAGGATATACTGTATGGTCAATATTAGCTTATCCAATCTACTATACATTCTACTCCTCAGGCCTACAAAATGGCCATGGATGCTGTTCATGATAATTCAGCAAAGCTGAAAAATTCCTAAACATCTTGTATCTCATCCAAGGAAGAGTCCCCTGAAAGTTTTTAAAACTTGGAGATTGGTCAATTTATGAATGAATATGCTGACACCCAGAGCTATAAAGTGACTTTTGAGCCTAGTATTGGTATTTTTCTCTATTTAAAATCTCTGACATAAGGTCCCAAATACATAGTAATTGTGAGTTTTAGCTTTAATATTTAATTGACCAAGATAGAAGAAAATTGGTGCCCCACAGAATTAGGAACGTGGTAAAGTGTGGAAGCACTGGAATCATGAACCAAAGTTATGAGTCTCAGAACTGGCCTAGCTCTTTCATAAAGCCAATTCACTTAGCACTAGTCTCATGAGGGGCAAATAGGGTTAGCTCTTCCAATTCCTTGGCTGCATACATTTCTATATTACTACTACTTTTAATGGCAAAAACCACAATTACTTTTGCGCCAACCTAATACTAAGTATTTAAACTCTCCTTAGTTGATCTTACACATCATCAACTCCCAGGAAAGTGGAACACTGAATCAAATACACTTCTTGTTCATAAAGGTATATTTGATTTCTACCATGTAATGGAGTTTCATCTTTTAAAACAACTATTATGAATCACTCTCTTCTCAAAAACCTTCCCTCGCCTCCAAACAGAAACCACTCTGAAAGAAGCAGATCTTAGTGAATTTTTGGAAGCTGTGGCCTTGTCTGATAGACTCTGTTTAAACACCACTTTTACATTAAATGCCAAATCCTCAGCTCTATGCACTGCCTCATTAGTTATTAATGAGGCAACATATTTGTTCAAAATTTATGGTTGTTGATTTGCTCCCATCACTGTATGAAATATTAACATAGCATTTGTACTTGCAACCATTTGCAGACATTAGATTGTGCATTTGCATATTCATGAACACTCATAAATGTTTAAGGAGACAGCATAGAAAGCATGGGCGCTGTCAGACAGACAGTAAAAAGGCATATTTACAGCGTTAATAAGTATTTGAGTTTATAGGCCAAAATGATGAGCAACAAATTAAGTGAAATTCTGGTTTGCCTATTGCAGAGACCTAGGGATTTTGCTATTTTTTAAAGCTTGTAAACTTGAAATTCATTTCATAGATGCTGAATAAACGCTTATTGTTTAGTCACAAAATATATGCACTCTGTGCAAAGAACTTCCTAAGAGTATCAGGCTCTTGGAGATTTCATCTCACTCTTTCTGAGATGCAGTTTTTGTCTGCCTTGGGGTTCCCTTCTATCAAAGTAATGTGGGAAGGCAAATGTGTCATATACTTAACCAGAATTATTTTCTGTTTTGGTTCCACAGAGGAACTTGGACAAATGATATGTTTGGTGTAACAACAACAGCCAATGTACTTGACTCAGTCTGTCAATTTATACAAACTAAGTCCTGGCAATGAAAAGGTTCAAGCATGGAGCACTAATGGACAATATGAGGGAGAGGCATAAACCATCCAACTAACAAACAAACGCTTGATTTACAAATAATCCATGCATACGAATGTCTGCCAACATCCCACCAAACCCATTCCACTATAAGAAATCTCACCCCTTGCCACATTCCTAAGAGTCATGGTGAAAAATCTAGACCCTTTTGGAAGTTTTATGGGTAAATGATGGAGAAAGTATTACATTAAATCTCTACCTCACACTATATACAAAAATTAATTCCAAATATTTTAAGAGAATTGATGATGAAAGGAAAAGCTATAAAACTTATATTATGTAAAACAAATATAGGAAAATAATCTTCCTGACCTCAGGGCAATGGGAAAAAAGGAATTAAGCCATCCTGTGGGCAGTATCACTACCTGTGCCATGCCATTGTTAAATGTCTCAAATATCATCTCTGGGTGAATGAATGTGTGAGATAGCTCACCATATCCTTGTACCAGCAGGAGAGGGAGGTCATAGATTGGAACATGGGTTGTAGTTGGCTTCTGTTGCCATGGCCTAATTGTTCTGCTGGTCACTTCTTGCCCCCTTGGCATTACTGCTGAAATCTGCAACTAGTAGATCCATGGTCTTTTCTTTCTTGGCACAGCAAGGATATTCTTTTCCTCTCTGGTGACACGCTGTGCTGCAACTTTTGCTCATTCTATTCATCTATGAGGTCTGAAAGTTCTTTTCATTTATTCTTTAGCCTAGGCAACCTCCTCAACAGGCCATGGCAACAAGGCCACTTCACCATCCCTGCAGTGATTCCTCAGTAATTCACCACCAGAAGCACCATCACCTTCCTTCTGTGTCCCTCCACAAAGCCAGTTGGGACTTCTAGATATTTTTGAAGGCATATTGAACTAGATGGTGTTCTAGGGTACTAATTTCAAGCTGTTGTTCTCCTAACCATGCCACCATAGCAGCAATTTTATTCTGATGCATAGATTTGTATAGAGAGGGTAAGAAATTATTCCATGAAGTGATCCCTTCTCAGAATTTTAAATAAGAAATGGAAAAACTTTCTGTACTCTCAGAGTTTTCATAATTTCCCCTGGGGTAGGAGGGCAGGTGCAGAAGGTGAGTCCAACATGTTTGTATCTGATCTCGTCTCTTTCTGACCCCCTTCCCTTCCATACAATCATCTTGTACCAAGAGGGATGTGCTTTTCCTTCCTCTTTTCTGTGCAGCAATATCCTCTCTTACATCCTATTCTCTTTCCAGAAATACATTGACTCTGCTCCTTTCACTAGGGCTATGGTGGCAGAAAGGATACAGGGAAAAACACACTGACTTTTTGAGAAGAGAATAAAATCTAACCTCCTATGCACACAGCCTTTGATGAGTCAGAAACAACACACATTACACACAGACATACACACACAGATTCACACACACACAGATACACACACACATGTTAACTTCTACTAATGGGAAGAAATTTATTTATTAATTCAACACACATTTGTTGTGACTCCATGTAAGCACAGTGACTCTCATGCAAACACAGTGGTGCACAAACAGGAAGCTATTTTTAAAAATAAAGCTGTATTCTACACTTCAAGGAAAGAAATAAGTAATAAACAAAATAAATAATACTGAATATATCAAGTTATTATAAAATGCTAAAAAGAAATAAGGCCAGGTAAGACCATAGAGAATGATAGATGAATGGAAAAATGCTTTATTGGATGTGGTGACTAGGGAAGGCCTTTATCATAAGATAACATTTAAGCAGGGAACGGAACAAAGATAAAGAAACAGCCACGTGGACGTGTGGTGGAAGATCGTTTGAAGGAGGAGAAGAGCAAGTCAAAGGCCCTGAGGCAAGAGCACACTGGGCATGTTCAAGGTTGGTCATGAAAGCCACTACAGTGGGAGTGCAGGGATGAGTGGGAAGGGAGTGGGAGGTAAGATCAGAGGGACGGTGAGAGGATGGATCATAAGCTTAGATCACAAATTTGGATCTGCATGATTTGGGAAGCCACTGAAGAATTTCTAGCAGAAAGATTATACGATTTCATTTACATTTTCAAGGAAGCCATCTGGCTACTATGTTGGGAACAAATTTAGGTGGCACAAGTGTGGAAGCTGAGAGACCAGCTAGGAGGTGACTACAATATTCCAGGTGGGACAGGCTCAGACTGAGGAATTAGCTGGGAAGGAGAGAGAAATAGTAACATTCCGGGGGAATGTGAGATTTGCATATGGGGTGTAAGAAAAAGAATCACAGTTACTCTATGGTCTGGGACCTGAGCAACCAGAATTATACTGATATGAAGCCAACAGTAGGAGGAGCAATTTGGGGGTGGGGATCAGAGCTCAGTTTTGGGCAGGTTCAGGAGGCAGATCTCAACTGAAGGGAGGCCAAACAAGCAGCTGCATTCTAGAGTTCAAGGAGTAGGTCCAGGCCAGATCAGCAACTAAGACAGTAACTAGCATACAGATGACATTTAAGGCCATATACTAGGTGGGATCTCCCAGGGTGGGATTTTAGACAGAAGAGAAAACAGGGTGGATCTTGATCTCTGGAGCACTCTGATGTTTGGAGGTCATGGGTCTGAGGAGAAACTAGCAAAAGAGACAGAGCAGTTACTGGGGCAGAAGGAAAAGAGAAGAATGTTGAAATAAAGAAGTGTCCAAGGAGGAGAGACTGTGTTGAGTACAGCCTGTCAGTGGGGTGGGAGGAGGAAGAAGAACTGGCTGTTGGCCCTGGAATGTGGGAGCATTGGTGCCTGGGGAGGTCAGTGTCCACTGGGCCTTACCATGGTGGCTCATAGGAGAAAGAAGAGGAGAAAAAAGTTTTGAGAGTAAGTGAATTTTGATAGAGATAACTTTGAGCTTTACTCTTTGGCTCAGTAAGATGGGTTCCTTGGGAGGACAGAACAAAATGGAGAAACCATCTTCTCTTCCTCCCTGAAAAGGGCCTGCCCTGAACAATCGTGTACAGGGAGTACAAGTCCCTCATTCCTCTGCAGCAGCAGGAAATGGGCTCTGTCCAGGCCACTGGACTCCACTGATGTGCTGAATAAGTGGAACTCGTCTTTTTGAAATGAATGCCTCGGGTACGTCCTGTTCCCAGCTCCTTCTCCAGCACCCGCAGCCCCTCGGCTGACATTTCAGAAACACAGCCCAAGCTGAAATGGGCAGCCTGCCCATGGAAGAGATGGGGCAGAGGGAGACTGTGGCCTGTTCACACAGTTTGGTGGAAAGTGAAGACTGAAGGGGCTTGTAAGTAGCACAACTAATAAAGCTCCTATTTATCTAAACCCACATTCCACAGAGCTTCACAGATCTTAGAGACATGAGCTCATTCCTTCTTCTCGCTCTGAGGTAGTGAGTCAGGTTCCTTGAGCTTTATTTTACTTATGAATAAAATAATGTGACGAACCGAGAATCCTAGCAACCTCAGGACCATGGATTTTTCAGCATTTTCAGAGCGCTCTCTGTAGCTGAGAAGCTCACCAGGGCAAAGGAACCCCATTAGTGTATGTTTGAATAAGGGAGACAAGACAAGAATGTTTAACCAAGCAATCTAAGTCCAAATATGGAAATGGGAGACCGGACTGAGCTTTGCATAATGGGTCAGTCCCGGGTTCTGTGAGGATTTAGCCCCTTGGCCTCTCATTCTGACTCCACGTGGGGCAATTTAATTTCTCTCTGCTTCAGCTTCTTTCCCTGGACAACGGAGATCAAAATAGAACCACCTGAGGATACAGTGACATAGTACACATGGGAGACTTAGAGTAGAGCTTGGCACAGGGATGGGCATGGTGGCTCATGCCTATAATCCCAGCACTTTGGGAGGCTGAGGTGGGTGGATTGCCTGAGACTAGCCTGGCCAACATGGTGAAATCCTTTATCTACTAAAAATACAAAAATTAGCCAGGTGTGGTGGTGCACACCTGTAGTCCCAGCTACTTGGGAGGCTGAGGCAGGAGAATCACTTGAACCCAGGAGGTGGAGGTTGCAGTGAGCAGAGATCATGCCACTGCACTCCAGCCTGGGTGACAGAGTGAGACCCTCATTAAAGATATTTGTTAAAATATTTTTATTATTATCATTATAACTATTGTTATTATTATTTAAAGAGGATAAGAGAATATCAATAAAAGAATGAAAACCTTCCTGGCTCATTCAAGCTAGGGAAGAAAAGAATTTTATCTAGAAATTTGGTAACACCAAACAGAAAACTGTTGCTTTAGTTATGGTAACTCCAGCTATTTTAAGAAGTAAAGCCCAAAATTTCAGTGGCTTAACACACTAGAAGATGATTTTTTGATCACATAGTAGCACTGGGCAGGCGAGCTGATTGACAGCCCTCTTCCACACAGTGGTTCAGGGACCCAGCCTGGTGCCATTTTCAATATGAAGCTTTCAAGGCAACTCTGGATGTCATTTCTGTTCCAGAAGGGGGAAAATGCATGGAGGAGGATAAGTCGAGGCATGTGTGAGGAAGAAAGCTAATATACATCAAGCCTAGAAATGAAACATTATTTTCTCTTTCATTCCATTGAGTAGACTTCTCTCAATGTGTATCTCTCAGAATTCTGAGAATTCTCTCAGAATGCGTATCTCAACAAAGGGGGATAGATATCAAATAAGCTGTTGGATATAAGAGTCTAGAATCCAGAGAATAGGTACAGACTAGAGCTGCAAATGAGAGAACAAAACCCTGCCAACGGAAGGTGGAATGCTAGAAAATATAAACCCTGGGTCAGAAGCCACTTCCCAGCCACATGTCTATGCTGTGGAAGCAGAAGTGCAAGTGTTAAGATCCCACACATTCTGGGTGTACCTAAGCATGTAGATCAGAGGAAGATAGCTTTCTTGGTAAGAAAATTCTATATTGTCACCACTTCTCAGCCTTTTGGCTAAGATCAAGTGGAGAAAATTCCTTTTCGGGGTTCCAGGATACAAAAATTAGGGCTTCAACCTAATATGGATTGGGACTTAAATCAAAGTTAATTTGCAAAACAAAGTAATAAGGAAGTAGCTTCTTGCACTGGCCAACTGAAGCAAAAAGGAGTTGGGGGCCTGGGAGTGGGGAGAGATGGAGAGATAGCTGGTGAGACTGAAGCGGGGCAGCTATGGTGGCCTCCTGAAAATAATGGCCTTTGGAGCTTGCGAATGGAAGGGACAGTCTAGGGACTGCACACTGCTGACTTGTAGTGGCTGTGCTCTGCTCACACAGCAGTCTTTCTCTCTCCTCCCCAAGGGTAGATCTAGGCCCTGGGTGACCTGACACTTGTACAATTTGGGAGGCCCTCTGTAAGAGTACAAAATTACAAATACTAAATTTAGTCACAAAAGTGAATATTTATTTAGAACAAGAAAAAGAATCACAACAAATTACACATTTTAAAGGTGACAAATTCCACAGACATCATGAAATCCAGACAAATGACACAATATTTGTATTAAGTAATGGACTGAATCACTTCTATAATACATTTTTTTTCTACATCGTTTGGCTCATCCACCTCAATTTCCATTTCTACGGTTTTATAATACAATTTTTCTAGAGAGAAAGGATAATTTAATCATTCCTCTAGGATACTTGATTAAAATGCATTTTTATTGTTGGTAATTTTAAAATGTGTTTGTCAGATTCACAACTAGTTATTGAAAATATGATGTATATTTTTAGGATCATTTTCAAATTTAGAAAAATTTTTATCAAGTTTCTTGTATGAGCTGTTATAGACGTAATTCCTATCTATAGAACTACTACATGCTTATTCCCTACAAGCACAAGGATTGTAATATAGTCTATTCTGCACAATTCCCATTGAGAAAAGAAGAAAAAATTACAGTGCATTTATAATTTTAGGTGCTGAAAAATTGAGTACAGTTCTGAAAGATCACTTCTGTTTTGATCAGTCATCAATGAGAACTGAATCCTCCACTTCCAATTACGCATATCTGGTCATTTGAAGATATCACACAAACTAGCTTCTGGCTTCATACTCTTTATTGTTTTTCTTTTGTCGACCATATCTTTGCAGCATCGGGTGCTATGGGATACCTGCATTTCACTGTACAACCTTGGACTCTCCCTCCCTCCATGAGCAATAGGAGAACTCCTAGGAACAAGTCTAACACTAGGACTTCCAGCAATCTTGAGACTAAAGCCAGAGGTCACGTGAACTACATAAACTAAATTCCTCCAAATACAAACCAAGCTTCCCACCCCAACTCTCCTTAGCTGAAAGGGTGCTCACAGGTACTCCAACACCTCCTGAAGTGTGTTGGAAGTGTGCCCAAGTGGAAAGCATCAATATACTTCATCAATTGCTAAGAAGATATCATATTGTAATGTTATTAGTAATTCAATTATTAAAATGTATTAGTGTTACTTCATTTAAAAATATGACTATGGGTGGGGCGCAGTGGCTCATGCCTGTAATCCCAGCACTTTGGGAGGCCGAGGCAGGTGGATCACGAGGTCAGGAGATCAAGACCATCCTGGCTAATATGGTGAAACCCCGTCTCTACTAAAAATACAAAAAATTAGCTGGGCATGGTGGCGGGCACCTGTAGTCCCAGCTACTAGGGAGGCTGAGGCAGGAGAATGGCATGAACCCGGGAGGCAGAGGTTGCAGTGAGCCGAGATCGTACCACTGCACTCCAGCCTGGGCAACACAGCAAGACTCCGTCTCAAAAAAAAAAAAAAATATGACTATGGGTGTACCTTGCCTTGACAGAGCTAAGTAGGTGAGGGGTTCCCAGAGCACAAGTGTCATTGGCTTCCTGGTAAAACACTTCTGGTTAACTCCACACTCTCAAATGAAGGGGCATTCAGCACACAGCCTTAGTTAGCACTTTCTTGTTTTGTTGGTTCCCCAGGGCTGCTGTAATAAGTTGTCATAAACTGGGGGGCTTAAAATGACAGAAATCAATTATCCTATTGTTTTGGAAGCTAGAAGTCCAAAACCAAGATATCCTCGGGGTCCTGCTCCTTTTGATGACTCTAGGGAAGAATCCTGGCTTGACTCTTCCAGCTTCTGGTGGCTCCTGGCAATCACTGGCATTCCTGGGTTTGCAGCTGCCTCACTGCAATCTCTCCCTCTGCCTTCATATGGCCTCCTTCTCTGTGTTTCTGTGTGTCCTTTGCTGTCTTATTTAAGGAAATCCAGAGTGAATTTAGGCTCACCCTAATCCAGTATGATCTCAACTCAATCCTTACCTTAATTACATTTGTAGAGATGCTATTTCCAAATAGCATCAAATTCTGAGGTTTTGGGTGTAACACAATTTTTTTTGGGGGGGGCATTATTCAACCTCTTCTAGTTGGGAAGTGAGATGGGAGAATTGACCTCGGTGGCAGGCTGGGGAGAGTTAAAGCTGTACACACAGAAGGGAACACTCCCAGATATCAAAACTGAAGATTGAGGCTCAGAAGTGACCCTAGAGCATTAAGTGTACCTTGCAAGTCTTGGGCATGGTGCTGAACTTCCCAGTCACTGGCAGGGGTATTGACATTGAAGCCTGGAGGACTTGATAGCCTGTGCGTGGCTGGCACCCTGGGCTACCATTCAGTTGCATGGGTGTGTATATTATGAGTCCTATCTGAAATCTGGCTCTGTCCACACTTATCATATCTTTTCTGTTGAACCAGTTCAACCTGCCATCTCCGGAATTTACAGACATGATACAAGACATTTTGTACATCTGAACAAGCTGCACAAAAGACCATTGTCTTTGCTTAGGCCTGTCTGCCCTTGGATCCATTCTTCTCCTGTCTTCTAGGGAGGCATGGGAAGGCTGATCTTTGAAGACTTGGTGATATGTTTAGGCTTTGTGTCCCCACCCAAATCTCATCTTGAATTGTAATCCCCATAATCCCTACATGTCAAGGGAGAGACCAAGTGGAGGTAATTGAACAATGGGGGCAGTTTCTCCCATGCTGTATTTGTGATAGTGAGTGAGTTCTCCCAAGATCTGATGGTCTTATAAGGGGCTCTCCTCCTTCGCCCAGCACTTCTCCTTCCTGCCACCTTGGGAACAAGGTGCCTTGCTTCCTCTTCACCTTCTTCCATGATTGTAAGTTTCCTGAGGCCTCCCCAGCCATGCTGAACTGTGAGTCAATTAAACCTCTTTCCTTTATAAATTACTTAGTCTTGGGCAGTTCTTTATACCAGTATGAAAATGGACTCTTTATCCAGGCTCCATGTGAGAGAGCTCCCAGCTTCCAGGGGGAAGCACTGGTGGGGAATTATAAGGTGGGAGGGCGAAAGGGAGAAGTCAGAAGTCAGAGTATGTCCCTACCATTCCCCAACTTCATGCAGTGACTCTGATCACAGATGTGTCTCCATCTTGACCCCAGATCCACAGACAGGCCTATCTGGTCAAGCTCCACTGATAGGTCCAGCCCCTGGGATCTTCTTTTCTCCTCTAGCCATGGGGTGGTAGGGGCTTCCTGCTGTTGTTAATCCCTCATTCCCCACCAGCACTCCTCGGCTCTTCTGTCACTCCAGTAACCAATTCTCGCATTAAAATCCCTCAATTTTTTTTTTTTCAAGATGGAGTCTCGCTCTGTCACCCAGGCTGGAGTGCAGTGGCGTGATCTCGGCTCACTGCAAGCTCTGCCTCCCAAGTTCACGCCATTCTCCTGCCTCAGCCTGCCGAGTAGCTGGGACTACAGGCACCCACCACCACGCCTGGCTATTTTTTTTGTATTTTTAGTAGAGACAGGGTTTCACCGTGTTAGCCAGGATAGTCTCGATCTCCTGACCTCGTGATCTGCCCGCTTCGGCCTCCCAAAGTGCTGGGTAAAATCCCTCAGTTTTATGCACTGAGATTGGATCCTGTTTCCCTGGCTGAAGCCTAACTAATCGAACTACAAATGTTAAAAGAGGGAATGAAATTTTAATTAATATAAATCATTTTATCGGTTACATTAATAAACAGTTTAAGTCAGTATATTAGTTCATGTTGACAGATATATGCTAACACATATATACATACATGTATGTATGTACGTATATATGCATGCATGCCTGCATGTATCTATGTATGCATGCATGTATGTATGTTTTTGAAGAAAAAAAGGAGGAAGCGGGTTAACTTCCGATGAGAAATAATTGCCGATTTCACTTTTGAGAACTCAATAACTTGTCATATTGATTTCATAAAGGTTAACAATTATGATTTATGAAGAAAACACTTGATTGTTAATCAATTATCCACCATAAAGGATGGTGGCTGATTGGGACCGTGCAGATCAATCCAGCACCAAGAGCATCCTTTCTGTGACAAGTGACCATGGGGCTGGCCGCTAAAGGTGTAGTTTGTCAGAGTTACTCCAAGGTAAAAACTCAGGGCTTTTAAGTACCAAGTTCTTCTTTTCATGTATCATCAAAATATACAATTGATGAAATTTTCCTCTCATTGACTCTTGTGTGTCACATCTTGGTCTGGTTGTCACTCCTCAGCAAACTGCTATCCCCAGTACGTATGGTTTGCAGGGTTTACCCTGACAAAACTATGTGGAAGTCTCAGCTCCTCATCAATGTCCTGGCCTGTCTCCTGCTATCTCCCTGGGGCTTTTCCAGAGCCTTCCTTTCTTTCCTCCTTTTCTAGGCTTCAGTCTGCTGCCTTGGCCTTGATCTTCCATCTGTAGGGGAAGATCTCATCAATAATGTTAATATGACTTAATGCCTCCTTTCCCAGAACTATTGACATGCTTTTTGTGTTTCCAGACAAACAACAACAAAGCAAACAAGCAAGCAAAAAAACTCTAAAGCAAAGGAGATCCAAAAGGAAAATTCCAAATGCCTTGGCATCTGGGTAGGGCAATATTTTGCAGCAAGAAGTCTCTATCATCTCTGAGTCACCATTCATAGGAAACAGCTCAGCCCCTTCGGTAAAAGAACCTAGCCCTTCCCAAACTGAAATGCTAATAACTTCAGCATTTAAAAAACACAGTGTGGTATAGACACTGATATCTCACACCAGTTAAGGATTCATCATTCCTGACACCAGATGGTATTTGAGACATGGGATTCCCCCATCTTGCTCCTTTAGTACTATTCTTTCTTGCAAACAAAAAGCTTTTTAAATGGTGAGTAATTTGTAAAGCATAAATTGGATCATAAATGGATATTTATTTTTACGTAAATCTTGGCAAACTGAGGCAGCTACTTTACAGAGGTGATTAAAATTTAAAAGGCAGCATTGCAAGAAGAAGATAATAAAGGGTCATTATTTACAATGACCATATTTACAATAAAATGCTAAATTTATTTTAATAAATACTAATTTTATATTTATGAACAGTCATTCATAGACAAGACAATAAAAACTTTCATTCCTGCTTACTGGATTTTTCTGTACAGCATATAAATCAAATCCTTCATTCAACACTGCATTCATACTTTGAGCTTGCTATGTTTTATCAGAGTAGTCAAGTCTGTTGTTTCTTAAATCTGTTTTCTTTATAATAAATGACTATTGATTTGGTTAGCACTCAGCTCCAAATAGAGCAGAATAATGCTAATAGTCCAAGAAAGAGAGGAAAATGAGAGAGTATTTTATCAGCATGTTTCAGAATCACAGGTAAAAACCATGGTGGTTAGCAATTTCTTTGTACAGTAACCACTTACAAAGACCTTGAATAAGCGGCTGTTAATAGGAGAATCTAAGTCACCACATTTTCTTCAAGTTCTGACTTTGGGTGACTTCTTTTTTAATTTAGCAAGTTTTTTTACTTGATTATTTTTTTAATAACCTTAACTGATGACAAAGGGAAAGTTTTCCTTTAGGAAAAATTGTTGTGTGGTTGGAAATGTTCCAAAGTTCTGTCCCATTCTTTCTTAAAATAAGGCCTATCCTAATTTTAATCCCAGAGACAATCTTGTCAACGTAGGTTTAAAGAGTTTTTTAAAAACTCACTAGTTTGAACCAATGAGAAAAGTCAATATATGCTGAGATATTATGCCTAGTGTTTCAAGTATTCAGTCAAGAATTATTTGTTGAGCACTCATTATGCACCAGCATAACTATATAACAACATAGCTCGGCCCTAGTTTCTACAGTTAGAACAAGTTGTCAGGAAGGTGGCCTGTCCCTAGGAAATAGCGGAGGACAAAGCCAAGTCAGCAAGCATTTACTGAAGTGCTTAATAGACAATGCAAAAGAATATTTATATCTGTAGACTTAAAGAATGGGTAGGAATAATCAAGACACCAAAAAGCAAACTCTTTCTGATGGGAAGTGGGTAAAGGCAATGGAACTTTGATGCACTTGACCAGAACTCCTGTTTTAACAACTTCTGATTATCGGAACACAGTTGGACCTTAAAGTTAACTCTGTAAACTGAATGAGAATCACGTGGTCCTTAGGGATGAACCTAGGATGCCTGACTCCTGTCTTGTGCTTTCTCTAGCATCAAAAAAACACAGTTTATGAACTGTCACAACCAAATATGAGATAGTACCAATAAACCATGAACTCCTTACCTCAACTTAACTGTTTTCATGGCTAAACAATGACTAAACCTTAGATCTATCCACATTTCAAGAAGACACTATGAATATATCCTTGAAATTAAGCTCAAGCAGGGTTTGTTTCTGAAAAGGCACCATGAATCCAAAGTGTATTAGGCTGTGGCTCCCAATGACTCACATCTCCCAGTAGTCAAGCCCTGTGTGGTCCCCTCCCACATTGACTCTGACTTTGGCCAATGGGGTATTAGCAAACACAATGTCTACAGAAGATGGGTAAGTGTTTGCTCATCACCACTTGCCCTCTTGGAATGCTCATTCTTGGAATCCAGCTGCCAAATAAGGAGGCCAAAACTAGCCATGCTCATGTGGAGAGAGGGAGGGGGAAGAGAGAGAGAGAAAGGGAGAATGAGTATGAAAGAAAGGTTCTAACATTCTAGTCATCTTCTCCAAGGCCACAGATGTATGAGCAGAGTTATCTGGGATATTCCAACTCCAGAAGCCTTCTGACTACAACCATATAAGGGACACTATGTTAGGACCAGCAGAAGAATCACCTTGTTGAGCTTCAGCCAGCTCACAAGGTCATGAGAAAAGGCTATTATTTTAAGTCATCGAAAATTTTATTTTAATCACCAAGATTTGGGGTAGTTGTCACATAGTAACAAATACCTGAAACATCAAGGGACCTTGAATAAATGTGAAGAAGGAGAAGAGGAAGAAGAAGGAAGAGGGGAAGAAGAAGGAAGAGGAGAAGAAAAAGGAAGAGGAGAAGAAAAAGGAGGAAGAGAAGCAGGAGGAAAGGGGAATAGGAGAAGGAAAAAACAAAATTTAGTTCCATACATCTAAAGGTTTATACCCAACAAACAAGTAAACACAGCTTGCTGAGAGATTTTCAGATATTAACAATTTCCTTGGTTTATATTTAACTTTTTAAATTAATTATATTGTTACTGCCCAGTATATGTCTTTACAGATAGGAAATTCCAGAATCAGCCTTCCAGTGGAAAATTCACCCATGCAGATGATCAACTGTGAAATCTGTGTGCAACTTTGTGAAAGAAAATCAAATTTAGAATCAACGGCAGGGCTTTTGGACGTAACTATTCCATCTCAAGGCCCATATTAACTGAAAATTGCTCTGGTGGAGTTATAAGCTGACATCTGCAAAGAATTTTCAGCAACGACTGTTATCTAACACCTGCCTCTCCAATTAAGGATACTGACCTTTTTGAAGTTTTAAGGAAGGGTGGTTTTTTAAATTTGTTTCTCTTTGGTTATTTTAAAATTGATCTTTATATCGTCCTTGGACATCCAACCCTAAATCACAGAGTACACGCTCTCAATTTAATCACATTGAGATGAGTCAAGTAGTCAAGGAAAGGTTGTCAGAAATAGCTTACAAAGAAAGGCCTGGGGTAATGAAGTGTAGGCGAACTAAGAAGCTATCTGAAAGTTGTGCTCCCCTTGGCTTGTTAGCAAATCCTCTACAGTTTCTCTTCTTAATAGAGAACTAACGATGCCTCATGTCTGTATTTCTCAGGGGATTCTGGGAGTTGGAAGAGGCCAACTTTTCCTACCTGCAGTTTGAAGATTAAGGACTTAGAGATTTGTTGAGAGGCTGCTTCCGAGAGGTTACTGATACACTGAGGACAGGAACTACTGACTACTCTGAATGAGGGAAAAACATCCAGTTTGGGGTGATCCTGTTTTGCAATGGCAGCTGTCAGCCATAACATGGTGGGAAATAACGGTAAATAAACCTCCTGTGATTGGCAAGAATATAAAAAAAGGTCGTGAATTGTGAATTCTTAGGTCTACTTGAGAGAAGACATATTTAGAAAAACATCAAATCATTAAACAACCTGCTTTTGAATAAAATCTAAATGAACCAAACTCTTTAGCAAATGTCCATTTTGAAAATTTAGCTTTTTGGTTAATTGTATATTTATAAGTTATATTAGCTTCCTATTCTGCTGTCACAAATCACCACAAAGTGAGTGCCTTAAAAGAACACGAATTTACTATCTTATAGTCTGAAGGTCAGAAGTCCAGAATGGATCTTACGGGGCTAGAATCAAGGTGCTAGCAGGACTGGTTTCTTCAGGAAACTCTAGAAGATAATCTGTTTCTTGCTTTGTCCCACTTCCAAAGGCTACTGGCCTTGGTTTGTGGCCCCATCACGCCCACCTCTGCTTCTTGTCATTATATTACCTTGTCTTCTGATTCTGACACCTCCTGTATCCCTTTTATAAGGACCCTTGTGATTACATCAGGCCCAACTGACTAATCCAGAATAATCTCCCCACTCAAAATCCTTAACACATTTGCAAAGTCCCATTTGTCATGTAAAATAACACTTATGATTCTAGGGTTTAGGATGTGGGACATCTTTGGGGAGCTCTTATTCAGCCTATGAAACAAGTCAACTCTTCCTTTTTTAGCCATGTGGTTCTAAATCTTTCTGATTAAATAATTCAACTTTCCTGACTCATGAATTAAGTACTATGTTGCAAAATATGGAGTCTTTTTTGTCATCCAAGGATTTCCATTGCCCAGAGTGATTAATTTGAACAGTGAGTTTTCACTGTGGAGTATTAAAGATGCAAATGGTGCAAAGCTGTGCTCTAACCAGGAAGGAAAAGCCTCCGATGGCAGGGACAACCTCAGAAGAGAGTGGCCTATGGCAGAGAGCTGCCTAGTGCTGTCTTCCAGTGGGAAGGAAAACTTGGGGCCCAGAAAGCAGGGCTGGGCTTGTCTGGGAGGGGTGTCATCATGGGGAGATTCACTCTTGTAAAATTTCCTCTCAGTTCCACCAAAGCACATCCTAAGACAGACTGCATCCAGAGTAATCACAAGATGTTAGGTGAGGCTTTAAAAATCATGATGTCTAGGCCTCTCACTTTGCTGATGAGGAAACTCAGTTCTGGAGAAGTGAGGAGACTTTCTCAGGGTTTCTAAGCAGGACTGGCAGAGCCAGGACTGGAACCCAGCTCTCCCACCTTGCCACACCATGTTCTTTGCATTCCATGATGGTACTGTCTACATAAAAGAGGAACATATCATTCAGCCAAGACCCAGGGACTCAAGATTCTTATATTCTGATCTTTGATTATGAAAGATTAAAGATTCAAATTTCCTATACCATTTCCTTTAAGTACATGCTGCAGTTTACCTAAAACTGTTCTGCTCACAGCCTGAAAGCAAGGGTCAGTCGTATGGCCAGTGTCTCTTCCCTTCAGACTTAATGAGGGTGGGAGGATGGACACCTTCACTGTCCCATTTTTGTTTTCTTTTGTAGTTATTGCAGCTCAAGAGACCAAGGGAATGCTGACTATTTGACTTGGAGGTTTCAGGAGTCAAATGTGCTTTGATCAGTGTGATACCTTATCTCCAGACATGCAGTTTCACACAATCATCAAATTAATTATCAGGGATTCCAGCTTTTCCTATTGAATCTTCACCAAATTTTAGTGGCTCAATCCCTGCAGGTTGCAATGTCCAGCTCTTCAGCAGTGAGTAAAGACCATCCAGTGGAGAAAGAAGGAAAAATGTAGTTAGTGTTCTAATTGATAGAGCATTTACTTCCTCTGGCCTGGTTCACCTAAACATACTTGTAGTCAGAAACTCATCACTCCCCTAACTAATCCACATATCTATTTGCCAGGCACCTTTTGTACAGCACTCTTAAATCCCAAGAGCTTTTGTGATGGGGATGCTTTTTAAGGAATCCGTCAAGAATTGGAGAGGGGTCTTAATGCTTCCAAAGTCAGCAGCCCATTGTTGAAGACGATTGAAGAGTCCCATCCCACATTCCTGACTTCCATATGCATTCTGACAGTGACATTATTCATGCCAAGGTGAGGTCAGTGGCCGCACACCCCCAGCCATGGCAGTAGAGAGTGGCATTAACTTTGAACTTCACCCTCCCAGCTCAGAGCCAGGGCTACCCTGAAAGCTGTATCTCAGAAGGCTGCACAAAGCGGCAGGTGTTTAAAGAAGCAAAGAGGCAAAGCATGTTGTTAGGAAAAATTGTCCCCAAGCCCTGAATTGGCCTTTTATCACCATCACTCTGGCTTAAAAACCCCTGTAATGTGTGGCTTTCAAAAAGGGGGAGCTAAGTTTAGTGGCTGATGCCCTGCCAAGAGCTTTATAATGCATAGAATAAAAAAAGATGAAACGTTTCTCCAGCTACATTGCTTTCCCCCCCCACCCTGATTCCCTTCCCTGGGGGGAGAATCATAAACACAGACAGCAGAATGACGCCCCTTTATTATTCCTCTGAGCTCTTTCTCTGCAGATGACCTATAGAAGTGATTTAACATAGAACTGTTGGAGTTCCCACACTTCCGCGTGTTCCTCCGGCCGAGGCTGGTTGATTTCTTTGGGGTGTTATAACTATGACCTGCTCCATTAAGTAGCAAACAAAGTCCAGCTGGATATATCAAGCTCAGCTGGACTCTTTGCTTTCACACAACCTGCTTGATTAGGAGAATCGCTGTGCCCTTGTCACACGGCGCCTCGTGCAGTCTGCAAAGATTGGGCTGCCATTGATTTCTGCATAATATGGATTCACACTGCCTTTCCACAACAGCGTGGCTTTCACACCCCACAATAACCTGGCAAGGATTGTTTTTTCTTTCCAATCTTCTGCTGCTTCAGACTTACACTGGAGTTTAGTTCTAAAAATTTGTCCCTCCTAGAGGTAATGTGTGGCTTATTACCCAGCACTTTACGACGCATTAATTGCAGCTTGATTTAGACATTTCCCATTTGGTGACTTAGTTACAATTGTACAAACATGTCATGCTCTAAGTCAATAACGTGGGGGCAGAAAAAGAGCAAAACAACTGTGAATGCCTTGTTCTTCTCATGGGAAGGACCAGGGCAATTGTTACAGTAACATGATGCTATTTGTTTACTGGGAAGGGGTGTTTATCTAGCTCCTTTCCTTAGAGTTGTTATTCACCCTGGACCAGTTGTCTTCAGTAGCCTTACCTTTCATTTCTACGCCTATTTCCTTGTTAGAGAAAAACCCACAAAGCTTAAAAATTAGTTCAGCAAGGTAGAGAAGTTTTATTAAACACGCCAAGATATTTCACATAATATGCCAATCAAGGGGACAAAATATGGCATTTGGTTAGCCAACTCTTACCTTGATTCCATTATGATTTTAATTTAAGGCACCTTTCTTACATGATTAAGGAAGAATGAGTCAGAGTCATTTCAGTGTTATGTACATAGTGATTATTAGTGCCTATAATGAAAAATTGAAAAATAACATAAACTACTGGAATATCCACTGTAGAAATCCAACAATGAAGTTGTAATAAATAAATTATGGCTTATTCATACTGTGGAACAATATTCAGTCATTAAAATGATTTAAAATTATATTTTATTAGATGTTATATTATTTAGTGAGAAAAGTTACAGAACAAGTTTATATTATAATGCCATCCTTTCCCTGAACAACAACAAAAAAATACTCTAAAGCCGAAGGTGGTGGTACACACCTATAGTCCCAGCTATTCAGAAGGCTGAGGTGAAGGCAGAAATAAAGATGTTCTTTGAAACCAATGAGAACAAAGACACAACATACCAGAATGTCTGGGACACATTTAAAGCAGTGTGTAGAGGAAAATTTATAGCACTAAATGCCCACAAGAGAAAGCAGGAAAGATCTAAAATTGACAACCTAACATCACAATTAAAAGAACTAGAGAAGCAAGAGCAAACAAATTCAAAAGCTAGCGGAAGGCAAGAAATAACCAAGATCAGAGCAGAACTGAAGGAGATAGAGACACAAAAAGCCCTTCAAAAAATCAATGAATCCAGGAGCTGGTTTTTTGAAAAGATCAACAAAATTGATAGACTGCTAGCAAGACTAATAAAGAAGAAAAGAGAGAAGAATCAAATAGATGCAATAAAAAATGATAAAGGGGATATCACCACCGATCCCACAGAAATACAAATTACCATCAGAGAATACTATAAACACCTCTATGCAAATAAACTAGAAAATCTAGAAGAAATGGATAAATTCCTGGACACATACACCCTCCCAAGACTAAACCAGGAAGAAGTTGAATCCCTGAATAGACCAATAACAGGCTCTGAAATTGAGGCAAAAATTAATAGCCTAACAACCAAAAAAAGTCCAGGACCAGATGGATTCACAGCCGAATTCTACCAGAGGTACAAGGAGGAGCTGGTACCGTTCCTTCCGAAACTATTCCAATCAATAGAAAAAGAGGGAATCCTCCCTAACTCATTTTATGAGGCCAGCATCATGCTGATACCAAAGCCTGGCAGAGACACAACAAAAAAAGAGAATTTTAGACCAACATCCCTGATGAACATCGATGCAAAAATCCTCAGTAAAATACTGGCAAACCAAATCCAGCAGCACATCAAAAAGCTTATCCACCATGATCAAGTGGGCTTCATCCCTGGGATGCAAGGCTGGTTCAACATACGCAAATCAATAAACATAATCCAGCATACAAACAGAACCAATGACAAAAACCACATGATTATCTCAATAGATGCAGAGAAGGCCTTTGACAAAATTCAACAACCCTTCATGCTAAAAACTCTCAATAAATTAGGTCTTGATGGGACGTATCTAAAAATAATAAGAGCTACTTATGAGAAACCCACAGCCAATATCATACTGAATGGGCAAAAACTGGAAGCATTCCCTTTGAAAATGGCACAAGACAGGGATGCCCTCTCTCACCACTCCTATTCAACATAGTATTGGAAGTTCTGGCCAGGGCAATCCGGCAGGAGAAAGCAAGAAAGGATATTCAATTAGGAAAAGAGGAAGTCAAATTGTCCCTGTTTGCAGATGACATCATTGTATATCTAGAAAACCCCATCGTCTCAGCCCAAAATCTCCTTAAGCTGATAAGTAACTTCAGCAAAGTCTCAGGATACAAAATCAATGTGCAAAAATCACAAGCATTCTTATACACCAATAGCAGACAAACAGCCAAATCATGAGTGAACTCCCATTCACAATTGCTTCAAAGAGAATAAAATACCTAGGAATCCAACTTACAAGGGATGTGAAGGACCTCTTCAAGGAGAACTACAAACCACTGCTCAGCGAAATAAAAGAGGACACAAACAAATGGAAGAACATTCCATGCTCATGGATAGGAAGAATCAATATCATGAAAATGGCCACACTGCTCAAAGTAATTTAGAGATTCAATGCCATCCCCATAAACCTACCAATGACTTTCTTCACAAAATTGGAAAAACTACTTTAAAGTTCATATGGAACCAAAAAAGAGCCCTCATTGCCAAGTCAATCCTAAACCAAAAGAACAAAGCTGGAGGCATCATGCTACCTGGCTTCAAACTATACTACAAGGCCACAGTAACCAAAACAGCATGGTACTGGTACCAAAACAGACATATAGAACAATGGAACAGAACAGAGCCCTCAGAAATAATACCACACATCTACAACCATCTGATCTTTGACAAACCTGACAAAAACAAGAAATGGGGAAAGGATTCCCTATTTAATAAATGGTGCTGGGAAAACTGGCTAGCCATATGTAGAAAGCTGAAACTGGATCCCTTCTTTACACCTTATACAAAAATTAATTCAAGATGGATTGAAGACTTAAATGTTAGACCTAAAACCATAAAAACCCTAGAAGAAAACCTAGGCAATACCATTCAGGACATAGGCATGGGCAAGGACTTCATGACTAAAACACCAAAAGCAATGGCAACAAAAGCCAAAATTGAGAAAAGGGATCTAATGAAACTAAAGAGCTTCTGCACAGCAAAAGAAACTACCATCAGAGTGAACAGGCAACCTACAGAATGGGAGAAAATTTTTGCAATCTACTCATCTGACAAAGGGCTAATATCCAGAGTCTACAAGAAACTCAAATAAATTTACAAGAAAAAAACAAACAACCCCATCAAAAAGTGGGTGAAGGATATAAACAGACACTTCTCAAAAGAAGACATTTATGCAGCCAGCAGACACATGAAAAAATGCTCATCATCACTGGCCATCAGAGAAATGCAAATCAAAACCACGATGAGATATCATCTCACACCAGTTAGAATGGCGATCATTAAAAAGTCAGGAAACAACAGGTGCTGGAGAGGATGTGGAGAAATAGGAACACTTTTACACTGTTGGTGGGACTGTAAACTAGTTCAACCATTGTGGAAGACAGTGTGGCAATTCCTCAAGGATCTAGAACTAGAAATACCATTTGACCCAGCCATCCCAATACTGGGTATATACCCAAAGGATTATAAATCATGCTGCTATCAAGACATATGCACACGTATGTTTGTTGCGGCACTATTCACAATAGCAAAGACTCGGAACCAACACAAATGTCCATCAATGATAGACTGGATTAAGAAAATGTGGCACATATACACCATGGAATACTATGTAGCCATAAAAAAGGATGAGTTCATGTCCTTTGTAGGGCCATGGATGAAGCTGGAAACCATAATTCTCAGGAAACTATCACAAGGACAAAAAACCAAACACCACATCTTCTCACTCATAGGTGGGAATTGAACAATGAGAACACTTGGACACAGGAAGGGGACCATCACACACAGATGCCTGTCGTGGGGTGGGGGGAGAGGGGAGGGATAGCATTAGGAGATATACCTAATGTAAATGACTAGTTAATGGGTGCAGCACACCAACATGGCACATGTATACATATGTAACAAATCTGCATGTTATGCACATGTACCCTAGAACTTAAAGAATAAAATAAATAAATAAATAAATAAATTTCAAAAAAAAGAAGGCTGAGGCAGAAGGGTTGCTTCAGCCAGGAGTTTGAGTCCAGCCTGAGCAACATAGCAGGACTCTATCTGTAAAAAATAAAAATAAAAACAAATAAAATAAAATAAAAACTCTAAATATGCATGTTTTCCAGAAATATATATCAAAAGAGTTTTAGGAAAGTGTATTCCAAAATGTTGCTAAATGTTATCTCTGAGTGAAGAAACCATTAATATTACTTTTAGTAGCTTGAACTGTATAAAATTGCTAAAAGTCTACCACTTTGCCCTCAAAAATGTCATTGTCACATAGTTAAATGTAATTTGTTTCATTGTACTTCTCTGCATTGTATTTTTTAAATCAGTTTTTACTCTTATAATAAGGAAAGTTCGAGGATATCAGGACTCTTTGGTTTAAAATGGCAGAAATCCAACTGAAACTTATTTAAATGAGAAAAGAATGTATGGGCTCTCATAATGAGAAATCTGAAGGATAGAGCTTCAGGTACAGCAGGATCTAGGGACTTATTAATGTTACCAGTGATTAGGGACTTATTAATGTCATCAGTAATTTATTTCTGGAAACTGTCTTTTTCTATCCCTTCTTTTGGCTCCACTTTCTCTATGTTGGCTTCATTCCCCCAAAAGCCTCTCTCCATATGGCTGCAAAGATGTGCCCCCTGCAGTTCTAGCCTCACAAGTGCTTTAGGGTTTAAGAACTCAGAAGAAGCAGGGCTCTCTCATTTCTATCTGTATTGATCAATCCAAAAATTTCTGACCTGACCTCTTTGAGTCATGTGCTCACTTCTGTGGGAGTTGTCAATAGCAGACATCAATAAATTTTTTTTTAATGAATAAGTACCTAATCTCCATAGATTAAACAATTTTGTTTAATGAATAAAAATACCAATCTCCATAGATTCACCTACATTTGACCAACCCACACACCATTTGAAAAAGTAAGAAGGTGTCCTGAGTCCGCTGGAGATTGTCAGGGCTTAACACGCCTGTGCAAGATGATGGTGTTTAGCGGGAATTCACCTGAAACTGTTGATCTGTAAACTTCCAATGTTTGTCTGACTAGTTTTGTTCACTACCTGTCTTCTCTTGAGGAAAGTGGTACCACCAATACTAGAAATTATATTTTGTTATTGTTAATGTTTTAGTGTATACTTTTTGCTTTTAAAGACGTGATCTAGCTAGCAATTTGATAATTATGCAATACTGCTAAATAATAATCCTTGTTCTACGCAGAGAGGTACCAAAATAGATACTCAAATCCTCACAGTGTATAACACATCTACACATTCTGAATAATACAGCTCATTTTAGTCATTAAAAACAATTATAACAATGTTTATGCCAGAATGCTAATAAAGTCTCCAAAACAACAGATTTGAATTGTGCTTTTTCTTTTATTTCCTCATCCATATTTTGAGAGGTCTAAGTGAAAGGAAGGTAGGTATCAGAGAGAAAGAGAGAGAAGAACAGAGGGAGAAAGGAAGAAAAGAAAGAAGGAATGAAGAAAAGGAGAGAGAAAAGGAACGAGGGGAAGAAGGAGAGATAGATGAAGAGAAGCAAAATGAAATCACAATAAGAAGACAAGATGATTCTATGTAATTAAATAATTAAACCTCACTCACCAAGATTTCCCTGAATTGATACATTCCACATTGTCTACAGAGGCTGTCTAAATATTTACATATCTTCAGAAGTTTTTCTAGAAAAAGCAGTTGATACACTAGATTTAGAAGACCAAAAGGAATCTAACTTGTTGGAATGAATAGCATGAATAGCATGAATAAGGCTGGAATTACCCAGGAAGTAAACTACCTAAACCAAATGAGAGGTACTGAGCAGGGACCAATGGGAAAATGAGGCAAAATTGTGTGGGAGGATAAACAGCCTGTCTTGAAGACCATAGTGGGAATTGTGAGCTCAAGAAGACTTTTAAGGAATAAAGTAATAGCATCAGAGATTACTTCTTTAGAGGCAGTAAGAATTAACTGTACATAGGGAAGTCATCAACAAATTGAGTAAAAATTCGGTCATCGTACGTGCTCACTCATAAGTGGGAGCTAAGCTATGGTGATGCAAATTCATAAGGATGACACAATGCACTTTGGGGCCTCACGGGAAAGGGTGGGAAGGAGGTGAGGGATAAAAGACTACAAATTGGGTGCAGTGTATACTGCTTGGGTGATGGGTGCACCAAAATCTCACAAACCACTAAAGAATTTACTCATGGGCAGGTGCGGTGGCTCATGCCTGTAATCCCAGCACTTTGGGAGGTCGAGGACAGAGGGTCACCTGAGGTCAGGAGTTCGAGACCATCCTGGCCAACGTGGTGAAGCACCGTCTCTACTAAAAATACAAAAATTAGCCAGGCGCGGTGGCGGGTGCCTGTAATCCCAGCTACTCAGGATGCTGAGACAGGAGAATCGCTTGAACCTGGGAGGCAGAGATTGCAGTGAGCCGAGATCACAGAACTGCACTCCAGCCTGGGTGACAAGAGCAAGACTCCAACCAAAAAAAAAAAAAAAACTTATTCAGGTAACCAAACCAAATACTACCTGCTCCCCAATAACCTATGGAAATAAAAACATTTTAAAAAGTTGACTGTGATGGCAGAGTTGGGGACATGTAGTAAGTAGTATGGGCAAAGGTGAAAGGACCAGATAGTTTAAAATAGAATAGATATTGAACTTTGTAAACTGAATCTTAAGGAAAATACATATTGCAAAGTAATACAGAAACAACTGGACTGTTTCAAAACCTGGAGCACAATGGACCAGTAGTTCAACCAGTTTTCTCTTTCCGGTTGTAAGTTGCTTGGTGTTTCACAGGAAGACAATGGGCACCTAGCAGGAAATGTTGAAGAAGCAACGCCATGTTTGCATCATTCCCTTCTGAACATACACTGAAATGAAGACTGACTTAAAGACGTGGTGACACGTTTGTGCTATTTGTCTTCTGATGATGTAAATTCTCCCTCGGAGCTTTACCCTAGTTTGCCAATAGGAGCCATTTTGATTGTGAGTTCTGTCAGTTCCTGTTGGTTTCTGACAACTGTAGGTTGTATGGGACTTCATATAAACCCCTGTGCCTTCCCATATTTTGAGTGAGTAAGTCCAGAAATAAATAGGAGGCAACGTAAAAACCTGAGGTGAAAGAATAACTGGGAAATTTAATAAAGAAGAAATGACACGTTCCATTTGAGACTGAAATTGCTTTATCAGAACAAAATCCGATAACATTGAAGCCCGCAGCCTTCAATGCTAACAGTGCCTAACTTCCTTAGATAGGAAGAAATCTACTATCTATTCTGAGCTGGAGTGTTAAAAGAGTTCTATTCATTAAAAAACAAAGCAAAACAAACCAAAACAACTATTTGTCTTAAGGCAACAAATCATTTGATGCCAAAAAACTTTAAAAGGAGTGTTTTTTTTCTCTTAAACTTTATTAAAATTATTTTTTACATCACAAACCTGAATGCTGTTCATTGAGCAAGTATTCTGACCATCCCTTTTAGATTCCCTGGTTTGCAGCTAAATCAATATTTTCTTGAAATGAAAATATAAGTTGAATTCTCCAGAGATCAAAAGTATTCTGAGGAAAAATACCTGTTGTAATTGCAACTCACTAGTCTGATGCCAAAATCAATGGTAGTAACTTTTCTCAGGGCAGGATTCCATTTAGCATGGAGTTACCCTGTCTTCTTTCCAAGAGTAGATGAGGCTCATTTAATCCATGATCAAGGCCAGCTACTATGCAAGGAACAATAAGATTTTACATTAGGCATTTATAGTTTACTAAGTTCTTCACACCCTTGCTGTCATTTATTCAGTAAAATAATGCTATAAATGCCTTGAAAGAGGAAAAACATGGCATAATCTTTTGAACATCACCACAGCAGAGCCCAGTGCATGGATGACATTCAAAAAATATTTGCTGACTCAATCAAGTAAATATTACTAGCCCCACTTTAGAGGTGAGGATATTAAGATCTAGAGAAAATAAGGAGCGCGTCCAAGATCTTATAACAAGTGAAAGGCAGAACCAAGAATCATCCAGCTGTTCTGACTTCAAATTTTAGTATTTTCTTAGTAGAATATGCTGCTCCAAGATTTCCTACACCATCGATTTTGCTGCCTAAGATGAGATGCAAAGATTCATATTCAATTCTATAGAAATAGGTAATATGGTAAACTAATCAGTCTTTTTGAAGACTGTGAGGCTACATTAATGAAAAATGTAAAATAGTCTCCATAGATTCACCTACATTTGACCAACCCACACACCATTTAATTTTAGACTTATTTGATAGGAGTACAATTGATGTTAAGAGTTGATTAATAAGGTGAGATTCTTACAGAGTTTTTGAGAAACACTTTTCTTGAAGAGATGATGGCTATTATTGGGATCCTGACCCATAGAGTACCACTTTCCAGCTTTGCAGGAATAATAAATCCATATTGTTTGGTTTCAGGAAGCTCTATCTCTGCTACAAAATATGCTGCATCATATTTTTAAGGTTTGTTTCAAAACGTTCTGCAATGTCTATAAAAACTTCCCAACTTAGGTAACAATAAGAAAAAGACTCTCAGGCAGGGTTTCTTAAAGTTCAGTGCCTGGGCCAGCAGTGTCACCTTTGTTACAAATACAGATTCTGTTTGTGGCCACACTCAAACCTACTGAATCACAGACTCCGGGAAGTGGAGCCCAACCCCCTGGGTAATACTGATGCACTTTCAAGTTTAAGAACCACTGTTCTACAATACAAAGTACAACTTTTTGGATCCAAGGCTGAAAAAAAAAAGGTTAAAAAAAAAATCTTCCTAGGAAAAAAAACATTCCAAATGGAGAGTGAGAGAAAGAGTGGGGGAATATTGTTCTCAGAGGGAATTACCAAGTGCCCCCAGAGGTTAAATTCCAGGGCTTACATTTCTTGCTAAATATTTCTTTGAGGGCCTAATAAAATATCTCTTTAATGAGTCCTTTTAAGATTCAACATTTAGTATGTAGCGTCGTGCTGATACTATCTTAAGCGATGTATCTGTATCACTAATGTCAGGTGAAATTTTTTCTT
Source organism: Homo sapiens (assembly GCF_000001405.40). Classification (NCBI taxonomy): domain Eukaryota; kingdom Metazoa; phylum Chordata; class Mammalia; order Primates; family Hominidae; genus Homo; species Homo sapiens. Next base: position 56,162,190 of record NC_000018.10, read on the forward strand.
TTACGTAAGTTGTCCCTGTTAAAATTTAAAACAACCATTTTTACACATCTAGCATGTTTTAACATTTTGAGTCATATGTTGGCAAAAATGGCTCTTTCAGAAATTGCTATAATTTGATAGAGCTTTAGTAACTGTATTAATTTCTGATGGGAAAATTACAAATGTAAATAAATTATAATAGACTGCTTTACTATTCAGGAGAAATTCTTTACATTCAAACAGTAACTTTATAATGTCAAAATAACCAGTAGTTATTAATCAGTATCTGGACTATGTAAATATTTGCTTGTTTCCATAGTGATTGGCAAGCCCAGATACAGAAAAAAAAAAAAAACCCACACATGTTATCACTTCCTAATAATATGATCATAAAAACACGACTCAGGCCAGACTGAGAGGAGAATAAACAGTATTAATTAAAAGATTTATAAAATGGAGGAGGTGACAAGTGAAGTATTGAGTGTAAAAATTCACAAAGGAGGTAAAATATATCTTTTTCAATTCTGAAAGAAACTTGAGCAACCCTTAATTATCTTTCAAAATGCTATTTAGAATTTTCCAAAAATAAAACATCTGACAACTGCTCAAAGCACACCGCACCCCCACCCACAAAACATACACTTTTAAAGTGGATATACAGCCATGGCTGTGAAGCGTGTTTGAAAAAAGTGAGACTGTTGGCATTTCACTTGAAATCAACTGAGAAGTTCTTTACTAAAGAAGTGAGAAGCTCAAAGCTGTTTTCCAAAGCTTTAGGGGAGTACGGCATATTATGAAGCAGGAGCATTTGGTCAAAGAGTAAATTAGTAGTGTGGTTCACACATTGCACAAGAAATCTACACAGGAACCACAGTTGTCTTAAATAATCAGTCCTGTTAACAGGCCTTTGGTTATGAAATTTCTTCACAAAGCAGTCACCAGCGCAAAGGCTGTTTTTAGAAACACTTTGTTCTTCTGATATCTGCTGGGATAAAGCAGCACCTTTTTTTTTCCCCCTGGAATGATTTCTAAAAATAAAAACAAACACAAAAAGCACAAACACACCATCAAGTAGCAAGAGAAGAAATGAACATGCCACATAAGGTTATTTCAATAGGTGCTTAGTTAAATAGACACTCAAGGGGAAATTGCTGACCCAAGTTCATAAATGGAGAAAAAGTCCACAAGGAGAACTACTCTGAAAGATCATTTTCTGAGCACTTGGCAAGACCAAACCTAAAGCACTGTATTAGGATGGTGGAAAAGTAATTGCGGACTTTGCCATTGAAAGATGATAGTAAGAGAAATCGAAGCAATCACACAGTTATTAGATACTATCTTATGCTATATACATGCGAATATACAAATTGATAAAATATTTAAATGTCATAAAAACAAACTATATAACACATAAAAGAAAGTTCCTCTTAAGGGTAGTGAAGAATTCTAAGAAAATTCCAGCTGGGCGTGGTGGCTCACACCTGTTATTCCAGCACTTTGGGAGGCCGAGGCAGGTGGATCATGAGGTCAGGAGATGGAGACCATCCTGGCTAACATGATGAAACCCCATCTCTACTAAAGTATAAAAATTAGCCAGGCATGGTGATGGGCGCCTGTAGTCCCAGCTACTTGGGAGGCTGAGGCAGGAGAATGGCATGAACCCGTAAATCGGAGGTTGCAGTGAGCCGAGATCGCGCCACTGCACTTTAGCCTGGGTGACAGAGCGAGACTCTGTCTCAAAAAAAAAAAAAAAAAAAAAAGAAAATTCCAATACCAAGAAGCCTTAAAGGAAATCATTAGCAGATTTGACCCTGTAAATCAATATAAATCTTTGTAGAGAAAACTTGAGAAGCAAAGTAAAGACAAGCAGCAGACTGGAAAAAAATATGTGCAAATTTTATAATAGACAAAAGTTTTCTATCCTTAATATATAAAGAACTCTTGTAAATAAATATGGAAAATGCAAATCAGGAAAGATAAAACAATTTAATCTTAAAGATTAAGAATATCCAGTATTGGCTAGGATGTGAAGACATAGGCTCATTTGTAGATTGTTGATACCAATGAGAAGCATTTTTAAAGAACACTTTTGTACCATCTTTCACAATTTAAAATGTACACTGTATTTGGTAGTAATTGGAAACAGGAAACAAACACTCATTAAAAAAGGAATGTCTAGAGTTTATGGTTTATTTATGCAAAGTAAACCTTAATTCAGAGTCATCAAGAATCAGAATACTAAGCCATTTTTAAAACTCTGAGATATATTATTAACTGATAAAGCAAAGCAAACTATTGTAGAAATTACTTCTTAAGAAGAGAATATGATTAAGGAATGGAGGGAAGAAGTTAAGGGAAACTTCTAATTTTTAGTGTGTTTACTTTGCAATCTTTTATAAAAAAATTTAAACTGTGGTAAAATATACATAGCATGAAATTCACCACTGTAACCATTTTAAGGTGTGCAGTTTCGTGGCACTAGGTATGCTGTATTCTCATTATTGTGCAACCATCACCACCATCTATCTCCAGAATTTGTTTCATCTTCCCAAACTGAAACTCCATACCCATTAAACACTAAGTCCCCATTTCCTCTCCTCTAGCCCCTGGCCACCACCATTCTATTCTTTGTCTCTACAAATTTGATTTCCCTAGGTACTTCACAGAAGTGGAATCATACAATTCTTTTTTTCCAGGCTTTTTCATTTAGCATAATATCTTCAAAGTTCATCCGTATTGTGGTATGTGTCAGAATTTCCCTTCTTTTTGAGATGGTTTGGCTGTGTCCCCACCCAAATCTCATCTTGAATTGCAGCTCCCATAATTCCCATGTGTCATGGGAGGGACCCAGTGGGAGGTAATTGAATCATGGTGGTGGGTCTTTCCCATGCTGTTTTCATGACAGTGAATAAGTGTCATGAGAGCTGATGTTTTTATAAAGGGCAGTTCCCCTGCACACGCTCTCTTGCCTGTCACTATGTAAGACGTGCCTTTGCTCCTCCTTCACCTTCCACAGTGATTGTGAGGCCTCCCCAGCCATGTGGAACTGTGAGTCCATTAAACCTTTTTCCTTTATAAATTACCTAGTCACAGGTATGTCTTTATTAGCAGCGTGAAAACAGACTAATACACTTTTTAAGACTGAATAATACTTCACTGTATGCATTCTACAGTCACTTTTAGCAATAAATAGAAACTGCAAATACTTGTGTCAAAATATTTTTTGGCAACAACAAAAATAAATTCCAAGGAAATTAAGTTTTGATTGGAGATATATTTCTCCCATCAGAAAATATTTACTTCCTTGTTTTCACTTACCTGAGTTTGGACTGAACTATACTATTTGGTGTGGATTAAGAATTAAGGGAGGGAGGAGAGAGAAAGAGAGGAGGAGGTGCCAGGAAGACCCCTCAAAAAGGTAACATTGACCCCCAGCCTTGAAGGATGATAGGCATAGCTAGGTGAAGAGTGAGGAGAAAAGGAGAGCGTCTCTGGCCAAGGGAACAGTTTAGGCAAATGTCCTGAGGTCAGAAAGAGGATATAGATTAGAGAACTTTGGAAAGGCTTTGTCCAGCTGAGCAAACAGGAGAGTGGAACAAACTAGTCAGGGACCACATGAAGTGTGGGTTTGTAAGCCATGCGAGGAATCAGGTTGAGTGCTCCAGGCAAGGGGAAGTCAGGGCCATGATTTGAGTGAGCTGATGTGATCCAACTTGCAAGCCAAAAAGAATGATCGTGGCTGCTATATGGAGCAGGGATTCAATAGCACCAGAATAAAAGAAGGAAGAGGTCTCTGGGGGGTCCTGTGAGAGAGACAGGACTGTGAACTCAGGTGATAGCAGTGAAGGTCAAGGAACATCTGAGAGACATTTTTGAGATGACAAATACTTATGTCCTTCCCCTCATGTCCTTATAATAAATCTCTGCTTTTTTTTTTTAAATCAAGGTGTTTATTCTGTTATTTACCACAAAAAGATTCTTGACTAATGATCAGTCTATGCTTTGTCAGTCATCCAAGCCTTGGACTGTGTTGCTCCTACTGCTTGGAATGCTAATGACCCTTTTAAGGTGGAAATTTTCCCGATAAGTCCCTATTACCTTTCCAGGAATTGATCACTGTCTCTATTAATTCACCATCGCACTATACATGCACCTCTGTTTATTGCATTATATTCCTTAGTTGGTCTACTTAGCCCCTTGCAATGCCTGGTACAGATGTTTACTCAATAAATGTTTGAATGAAATAAGGATGCAAGGCTATAGGAAGAGAGGGAAGGGGGAAAGAAGGCAGGAAGGTAGAAGAAAATTGGCTTTTCCTGGTCGCTCCAGCTTTGTGGGCACCAAAGATGGTAGTGGGAACAAATTGGAGATCCCTCTTTAACTGACTGGTTTCATCTGCAGAGGTGACCTTTTAATCAGGAAGATAGGGCACATCAGGGACTCACTCCTCTTGAGGCTCCTCTCCGTTCCTGGGGACTCGGCTGCTTCTCAGACATGGACATGATGCAGGTATGTCTTCACGGAATGACAAGTCCCTCTCACCTCCTCCATGGAATGTTATTCCTTACTGAGAAGTTAGGGGCTCCAACTGAAGCCTCAGACTAGCCTGGAGTCCTTATTCCTTTTCAAGTACAGTCTGTGTCTGCCCCCAGCTTGAAAAGCCTTGCAGGGCACCCATTTGTACCCAGGGCTATTCATCAGAGGCACTAGGTGGGTGAGAGGTTCTCAATGACAAGTGTCATTTACCACACAAGGCCCACCCTGAATGAGTGTGGAGCCTCAGCAGCAGCAGGCAGGGAGTGCACACACCTCCTGGGGCCACTCAAATGAGATTAGGAGAAAGGTAAGTTGGAATCTGCACTCTCACTCACAGAGTGGCATAAACACAAAGAAAGCTTCCAAATGCAACCATAACTAGGGTAAGACTATTGGCATAAACAAGCCAGGCCCTTTCCATCAGGGTTAGACCACAAGCACCCAGCTATTTGGCATCATAGGAGATCAAATATTTGGACACCAGCTGGATTTTTTTCCTTTTGATTGATGTTCTATAGTCAAGGTCATTGCCTATTTTCTCTTCCAAAAGTCAGGAGAAACAAGAGAAGATTAACTGCCCCTGGAGAAATCTGCAGGAAAGGAAATATCTCTGTGCCACTTGGTCAAAGTGTCAAACTTAATATAATGCATTTTATATTATAAATATAGAATTTATTTGTGCTTTTAAGGAGCTCCCCATTGGGTATATACTTTCTGCTCTGTCATCTTTCGTAATTAAAAGGCCACATATATCCAGTGAACAGAGGCCCACGCTAAGACAAATTACAAGTAAACTTGTGTTTTTAAGCCAATGTTGACTCTTAAGGTCCAGCTTGAAGGCTACAATCCCCCATTTCTCTTAGCATGAGAGCAGAACCAAAGGATTACAAGCCACGCTGTTGCACAAGTTTATAACCAGACCCTACAGCTGAGAGTTTTCAAAGAAAAATTACTTTAACAAATATTTCTGAGAACGAAAAGATTCATTTTCTTTTTCCCTAAAAGAACTAGAACAAAATTGGGAGGGGGATGTCCAGGCAGAGGAAATTTGACATCAAAAAAATTCTGCAAAGTAACCACATAGTTTGGGTGTTTTGTGGAGGGCAGGAAAAGAAAAATAGACACAATTCTCTCTCTCCGGGAACTTGCCCTCTTAAACAAAGCAAAAAAAAATATTGATACAGACTCACAACAAAAAGACACACAGACAACTGCACAAACATTAAAAAAATAATTAAACAAGATACCAAAATATTGACAGAAATGGTCCCTTAGACTTGTACAATTTGTTTCTACTCCAAATTTATTTTTCTCACTTTGCTTTTAGGCCAAAGAGATGTGTGGCTGAGAAAGTGCAGAGAATGGCAGAACAAAGAATGGCTGGAGATAGCAGTGACCCCAGGTCAAGGAAAGGGCGGATGCAGGCCCTTCGTGGAGCAAGGCAGCAGAAATGGGCACAGCCCCAATGCCAGAGAAGAACTGAGTAGGAATCCTGGCTCTGCCAATAATTTCTAAAACTTGAGTTTCAGTGCCCTTAATCTGAATAATGGGAGTACTAACAGGCCACTCTGGTTATTTCACAAGATGTTGGATGATAAAAGGAGGCAATAGGTGAGAACATGCTTTAAGCAACCACATAAAGACCTGTGGGAGGTTTACCTTTGGAGCTGGAGGGAAGGCTTGTTCTTTAAGCACTAGCTATTCTCTCCACACAAAGCTGCAGGGTTCTAACATTGTTTTATGTTATGTTCACAATAAGCCCAAACACATCCAGAAGGGAAAGAGCCCAGTCGTATTTTAAAAAAATAAAAAAGCATAAGGCTGTAAAAATTGCTGAAACTTTGCTCAGCAAAGAAGCTATTTATTCAAAGTAAATGACTCACTGACGAGAAAGGAGGAAGGAGCTTCGGAGAAGAAGATTAGTTAGCTGTGAATATAACCCTCCCAGGCTCTCTCCCAACCTTTCTCCCTAAAAGGTATTCTAGCAGGAATGTGTAGTCACTAAGAATGTGAAAGGGGTGGTGGGGTGGTAATCCAGGGCACTGGAAAAGCTTGAAAAATCCCCTAAAGAGAGAATATTGCCTGGTGCATCGGGGACAGGCATCCCTTTTCTTGAAGAAAAAAGGAAACAGAATGCTATGTTCCTTTGGAAAAAGGTAGAAGTCGAGGGGAGAGATCAGAGCCACAATGGCAGGAGTTTTGGGGTCCAGTGACTACTATTTATATCCTCCCTATTACACATTAGCTGTGTGACTCTGGGTAACTAGTTTAACTTCTCTGAGCCTATGGGAACTTGGGGGAAGTAATATAATGTCTCTCATAGGGCTTCAGTGAAGGGTAAATGAGATATCATCTGTAATGTTTATCACACATAGTAGACACTCAAATGGCATTTTTTTAATCAGAAGAGGACTGCAGGATCAGGAATTTTCATGTATGCATGAATTTTTTATTGATAACCATTGGTGAAACATAGCCTCTTATTTTAAATGTGCATAAATATTTCAAAGGTTGTTCAATCAGACTTATACAAAAATACAATTATACCTATAAGTGTAATTGCTAGACAAGAGTCAGTTTGGGAAGCAAGTCAATTAAAATAATATTATTTGGCAAATTGAATTATTCTCTATCATCAAATGTCCCAGGAAAATAGTCTGACTTTTTAAACCATGAAAATAGACTTTACACCAAAATGTATAATGCTGCCAGTGAAGAATTTGAGAACTTTGGACTCACATGGAAACATTGGATTCATTTGTACAGATGTAGCACCTGCAAAAAATAAAAATAAGGTGGGAGATTGGAGGGAATATTACAACAATTTAAATCAAAAGAGAAAGCTCCTGGGTCCTACTCCCAACTTATCATCCACTGTGACAGTTTGTGCTTTGATCTTTTTACATCTTGTTTCTGACTCTGGGTTTGAACCACCGAAGGAAGCACCTGGCTTTTATTTTAGTGGCTTCATTTAAAAGATTATGATCCAAATGTTGGCCTGAATTTACCCACAAGGCCAGAAATGTCAGGATGGCTCTGGGGTCCATAGAGTATCTCCTTGGTGATCCTTGATAGGCTGAACCGACTGAACTGTGCGGAAGAGCAGCTTCACGAAATTTCATTCATCAGTATTAGTTGGGCACTTACTATATGGCATGGATTGCTCTAAGTACTGAAACTCTGCTTCCCCTGAAGCTGGTTCTCCAAAGGCAGCAACAAAAACTTAAAACATGATTCATATATATGACTGTTTGTGAATCTCTTTGAAATACATCTACTTTAAATGACTACACACAAATATAATTGGCGATTTCATTGATTCTAGGGAAGACAACAATGAGAAATGGAGGTAAAATGTGAAATTCAGTTGCCAAACTACCCAGTGGAATTCTCAGTACCTACACACTCTTAAACAAATCACTAAGGCTTATACTTTTATCTTACAGTTTCAAGTTCAGAATATTCAGATGTTTTTCCATATCTGTAAGAAACTGCATTCTTATGTGCTTTAGTGTATTAGTCTGTATTTCATGCTGCTGATGAAGACATACCCAAGACTGGGTAATTTATAAAGAAAAAGAAGTTTAATGGACTCACTATTCCATGTGACTGTGGAGGCCTCACAATCATGGCAGAAGGTGAAAGTCATGTCTTACATGGCGGCAGGCAAGAGAGAATGAAAGCCAAGTGAAAGGGGAAACCCCATAAAAAACCATCAGATCTCTTGAGATTTATTCACTACCATGAGAACAGTATGGGGGAAACCACCCCCATGATTCAATTATCTCCCACCGGGTCCCTTCCACAACACGTGGGAATTATGGGGGCTACAATTCAAGATGAGATTTGAGTGGGGACACATCCAAACCATATAATATGGAGCGCATGAAAAGTTCTATGTTTTAGAGCCCTTGATTCTAATAAAGCAGCCCAGCAAATTGCTTCAATAAGATGTTTGACCAAACTCTGTGGCCACATTTTATTAAATAAAATTCTTAAGTCTCCAATTCTTCCCAAATAGACAAGGGATCCCAAATACAAATGACGTGGGTTGGTTACCTTCACACAGCATATTGTTACCTGGTGCACCCCATTCATCACACAGCCACCGGCCTCATGGGCCAGCACCAGTGCCGCCCCCAGGGCCCTTTGCACAGAAGCCCCTGTGCTTGTGATTTACTACTCTCCAGTTGTTGCCATGAGATTTTTAATAACTTTGTCTCTGAATACATGTTTTGTAACTGGAGTAAAATAAGATGGTGGTGCCTGGGGTTGGGGAGGGGGAAAGGAAATGGGGAACTTGGAGCCTTGGCTCATTCGAGGCCCACCTCCTACAGTCTCCTTGCATTGGCCAGGACAGGCCCTCACCTGCGAGGTGCCCTACACTCCTGGTGCACCCAGCCTCACTTGGCCTCACTCTCCCCACTCCCTGCATGTGATAATGTGGCTCCCTTCTGACCACTTCTGCCACCCTCAGGAGGCCTAGGAGGGTGAGGGTGGGGCATGACAGGGCCACAGCACATTCTGTGGGTAACTGGGCAGGGTGAACGTTTTGCTTACCCCCAATCAGGGGACCTAGTGCATCCCTGGGCTTGGCGTTTGTCATTTGCCATGGGTTGGGGCAGCAAGTCTATGGGTAAGGGGGATTCCTGGCTTCACTTTCCACACTTGCTGGGGCCCAGCATGTAAATCTAGTCCCTGGCAGGAGATGGAACCCAGCAGTTCTCAGCCTGAGTGCCCTCAGTTTCCCTGACTTGCAAGGCAGGGGCTCCCAGGTGCCTCTGGGATCCATACTTACCCTAAGAGTATTCTAGCAGGAGGGAATGCTCCCTCAGGCAACTTGGTACTTTGGGTGCCTCTCTTCCTCCTTAGAACGTTTCTAAATCTGGCCTATTTCTGCCCATTTGTTTGGGGGGACTGGGTCTTGCTTTGTCACTCAGGCTGGAGTACAGTGGCATGATCATGGCTTACTGCAGCCTTGACCTCGCAGCCTTGACCTCTTAGGCTCAGGTGATCCTCCTGCTTCAGCCTCCTGAGTAGGTGGTACCACAGGCACATGCCACCATGCCCAGTTAATTTTTAAATTATTTGTAGAGTCAGGGTCTCCCTACATTGCCCAGGCTGGTCTCAAACTCCTGGCCTCAAGCGATCCTCCCACCTTGGCCCCACAAAGTGCTGAGATCACAGGTGTGAGCCACCATGCCCAACCTGTTTTTGCCTTTTCTGGCCAGCTTTAGAGACCTGCCAGAGAGAAGTCACGAAAAAAAAAAACTGAAAAAGTTTAGAGATTTCACATAGGAGTTAAATGCTCTGACATTTGCATTTACAACTGGGATTGCACAATATAAGGATAAACAATAAAATCTATATGACAAGCTGAGAGACAGACAGAAAAAGAAAGGAAAAAGCTTTATATCTTACTACCTTTAATGGTAATTTTTTCTTACTTTTTAAACAAAGTTCCTCATGTTTTAATCTATCACTAGGTCCTGCAAATTGTGTAGCTGGCCCTGCTACCACTGTCCAGGTAAAAGCTGTGGATGAAGAGTTAGATAAGAGACATTGCCTAAAACAATCACTTCTCAGTTGTTTGCTAAATTTTCGTGAGGACTCAGATCTCTTCTCATGAAGATTTCTGTTTCCTTCCATTTCCAGACAATTACCTAAATTTGTTATAGATCCCAGGGCCAGGTCTTCTTCCCTTCCATTTTTCTGTCTCATATGAACTATTTTATGTGTGAACTTTTCTCTTTCCAGCGTTCCTATGTAGTTGGAACATAACTACTCATAGAAAACGATGACATACTTTTCCCTAATAAAATATATACTCTGCAACTTAAAAAAAACTTATAAATGTTAACACTTATAAAATTATCACCCAAATAGTTTATTCCAAGAATGATCAAAGAAACAGAGTTACTTAAGAAGAAATAAAATTCAAAATATCTTAAATTCTTTACTTGGGCTTTTCCCATTCAATGAAGAGGCTCACGGAAATTCTTGAAATTCCATATGTTCCTTCCATCTACTTCTCTCTTGCACCAAATTCATCCTGCTAGTAAGTGATGGAGATCTAAACCCAAGTAGTTAATCCAAAAGTCATGCTCTTTGCCACTGTACTTGTGTCAATGTTTCTCAAATTTTAGTGTGTAGCATCCAGAATCCAGAATCACTTGGATGTCTCATAAAGACAGATGAATAGGCCCCGCCCTCAGTGTCAGATGCATTAGGTGTGAGATTTTTGCATTTCTAACAAGTTCCCAGGTAATGCTGATGCTGCTGGGCTGAGACCACACTTTGAGAACCACTGACTATGTAGTAGTTTAAATTTTGATGTTAGGTGAATTGCAGGAAGAAATTTCCTCTTCTGGGTGCCCTCTCTTACACAAAGGGTACTTATGCTTGTGATCTTCCTTGCACAAAAGAAAGATATCTGCCTGCAAGTAATTTTCTGTAAATCTTCAAGCATATTTCAGAGCTGATTTAAAATCTCATCTGAGGCCGCATTTCACAGATCATGAGGAGCAAAAGCTGTCAACTCCACCATAGGGAGTGACTTTGGACCATTGCTCCTTTCATGGGTGGCTAAATTTGCCCAGTGCTGCCAAGACCAGGCTTCCTAAAGGTATCAGTTACCTGTCAAGCTGATGTGCTCTATGTGGAGGTGTAGAAAGCAGCCTATGCATTCTTCACCCATTTACCTACTCATTCTTTACCCTTAATCCAATCAAAAGACGACCCACTCTCATAATCAAATCAATCCAGTCAAAAGATGACCCATCTCATTGGGGATGACAATTTACTTTGAAATCCTTTGATGTCATAGAAGTTATTGAGTAATATCAGTCTACTTGGAATCTCCAGTTATACAGAACAATCAGAATTACCAATTGCACTTCCAGAAACTTTCCTGCTTTTTGCTCCAAGAGAATTTACTGTAGTAAATTCTTACTTTAAAGAATGCTCATTAAAAAATAATTTTAAAAGTTTACAGGCAATTTGGAAAAGAAGAGGTAAATGACTCATAATCTCACCACTCTAACAAAACCAATATTGGCATTCTGGTTTATTTCCTTCCAGTCTTATTCCTATTCATCTATTTAACATGGTCATAATTTGTAATTACATTTTCAATAACTCTCTTTTCACTTATGATTATAGAGCATAATAACCTTTGTAATTACTTAGTCTCTAAACATCCACAGCATTTCTACCAGGCAGCAAGAGGAGATACTCAACAGCCATGTTTAAGAGAGAACTCAAACTTTTATATAGATTCCAGGGATTTTTCTGTTTGTTGTTTTTGCTTTGCAGTGTTTATTCAGATGGTTCAGTGCTTAACCCAAGAGGAAGGACCCTTCTTAAGCTCCAGTTAGATATTTCCAAGTTCATAGATCAAAACTAGTGACCTGTCCTTTGATAAGAGTCCAGCTCACTCCTTGAGTTTCACATTCTACTCCTTCACTTTGGTTTCTGTCTTCATAGAACTGGGCAGCAATGCAGTTTCCTGCATTTATTTCAGGGAAGAAATGTACTTTTCTTACTAGAATTACTTCACATTCCTATTCATCCATGTAAGTCCTATCCATCCTCCAGGCCACAGTGATATGGTCTGCATCTGACCCCATCTAGACAAGGTTGAAGCCTCTCACAGGGCACAAATCCTCATCTTCTTGCTGTACCCCATCCTCTTGTTCTTGCTGTAGGTTCTATTGCCCCCATGGAATCTGGAGAACTTCTCTCAACGATCTTTGTCTTCTAGTCTCTGCATTGTCCTGCAGACTGTGCAGTTAATACAAAAACAGGCCTTGGGACTGATCAGGGCATTGAGTGCCCTTTAATAATCTTTAATAATCACCACTCCATTTTTTTTTTTTTTTGAGATGAAGTCTTCTCCTGTCACCCAGGCTGGAGTGCAATGGCACAATCTCGGCTCACTGCAACCTCCATCTCCCAGGTTCAAGCGATTCTCCTGCCTCAGCCTCCCGAGTAGCTGGGATGACAGGCACCCACCACCACGCCTGGCTAATTTTTGTATTTTTAGTAGAGAAGGGGTTTCACCATGTTGGCCAGGCTGGTCTTGAATTCCTGACCTCAAGTGATCCGCCCACCTCAGCCTCCCAAAGTGCTGGGATTACAGGTGTGAGCCACCATGCCCGGCCAATCACCACTCGATTTTAAGAGGTTTTCTGTTAAAAAATTAAATAATTTATTATGTTTAAAAAAATGAAATACTGAGTAGCAAAGGAATGAGTTCAAATAATAAAGATAATAAAGATTAACATTAGCAAACAATAATCACAAAATAACAGAGGACAGCACCCTCACTCCTGTCTTTTCAGAAAAGAGCCTTTGTGAATAAACACACATACCCCTCTTTGCTTTGGCAGTTAATTGCTCCGTCTAGGTGAAAGTGGTAGCATTCTGGATAGAGAATTGTGCACCAACTAGGATGAGCAGTAAAGCTTCATGAAGAAACTGAGAAACTCATTAGCAGTCTGGAAATCCTCTTTCTCTGACTCTGACCTTTCTTTCACTTCTACGTGTTTTCGACACACACACAAACACACACACACACACACACACACACACACATTTTTTGATCTGGCAAGAACTTAGAAAGTCTTTAAAATTCACGCATCCCACCATTTCATGGGAAACATCAGGTTTTCAGTACAATAGCGGGGAACATAAAAATTTGTGGAGAATAATTGAGTAAAATGAACTTTCTAAAAGGCAGATATTAAATTAGTCACTCAGACTGAGTTTATATGTTGCAAAAGTTAAGTTGAGCTATTAAGCAATATTTCAATACTTGTAACTCATAGCAAACTCAAGTTTTCCTAACTGCAGTTTAAGCTGTTTGTCTGTCATCTACATACTTGAATCTGCTGCATTTTTAACTATGAAGACATATTCCAAATTAGCTTTATTTTCTACCATTTGTGGGGGAGGGGGAACAGCCTTATATAAAACAAAGAAAGACAAATTCCGCCTTCAGATATTCACCCATAAGTCCCTCTAATTTCATGTCAACATGCACACATTTTTCTGAGCAAGGAATTTGGCCGAGACCAACCAAATGCTAATTTAACGTTCTTGTCAGATTTAACAAATTATGTGTAACTTGGCGCATATGCTCATCAAGTTTTTAGAGATGAAGAGCATATTTACCCTAGTCAATATTCATATCTTTGAGAGAAGTTCTTTTTTTTATGTATTGTGCTTTGATGTGAGCTCAATATCTCTGCTTATTTATTCTAACGGGATAGCCTTAATTTGACCATCAGAAAATAGCAAAGATTTGCTATCTCATTATGATGTCTCCTTAATCATACCTGAACTTGGAGTAGCGACCTTGATTGGTTAGCTCTCCATTGCAATCTATAACAACCAGAAAATACATATGGGTTGCATGAATTTGAAATCTCATCTGACATCTGAGTAATGTTGATCTTGTTTATATGACAACCTCATTATGGCGCATAATTGCTCAGCAATCTTCTAGCAAATACTGGGTTAAAAACGCCTGGAAGATGCTTGTTCTTCTTGTTATTAATTAGCACGTGTCCACTTCACCAGATCCAGTGCCCAAACTTCATTTGTTATGTTCAGCCAAATGCATGAATAGCTTTGGAGTAATTATTTTCTAACATCAACTAATACCTCTCTGCACATCAATTAAAAATCCTCTTAACAAGGAACTGCATTTTGTTTGAGATCAAATGCCTGGTCCAAAGCTATATCAATCATGTAGAGCTAATTAGTGGCTCTGCTTTATATCATTTGTTTTACTTTATTATTTCATTGTACACTTCCTAATGAAACCAATTGAACAATTTAAAAATCTTTGTTCAATTAATTGAAGGCTTAAAGGCCAGCTACCTAGTCAGCCTTTCTTCTCTTTGAAAAGAAATACATGTGACAGTGGGGAGAGAGGGGGAACCCCATAGATGTGTTATTATACCTATTTACCTTCTGAAGTGCCTGCCGTATAGATGCAAGTTTTAAAAGGTTTATCACCATGCTTATACTGCTTACTAATAATTCATTGCTGACCATACCTTTACGGCATCTCTCTACTTGGTGAGCCATTTCAGAAGGATGAGTTGAAACAATAATGGGAGATGTAGGGCAGTTATTCTTGAAGACTGCGAATGGAAGCTCGCTAAATTATTGTGTATTTCTGTCAGCATTTTATAAACTTGTTGTCCAGCTTTCCTCCTTAGTGCAAAAAAATGCTGAGCTGTGAAAACTGTTTAGTAGCACTCCTTTGGGTCTGGATAGAGCTGTGGATTCCAATACAAATATGAATGGATTAAATGCATACTAACTACCCAAAGTGGGAAACTATAATGAGGGGAAGGGCAAATTCTAGCTCTTTAGAATTTCTGTCTGTTCCTCAGAACCAGGCCTCAGTTCCGGCTGAGCAGGACGGCAGGTGCGGGAGAGGAGCCCCATTTCCCCAGGTGTACAGCATCCCAGCCGGTGACCTCTGTCACACCCAGCCTTCCTTTGGGTATTTATTTTGATTTATGAAATCTTCCAGTGCCCCAAATCTTTGTGCAGAGGTGGTTTCCCCAGACACAAAGCATATCACAATTAATGCAAAATCAAGGGAGTTAATGTTGGTAAAAGTAGAATTTATTTTCTCCAGCGCTGTCGCCTTTCAGTGGCCCCCGTCCTCACAAACACGAATACGTTTTAACTAAACAAAACTGACACATCAGCAGATGTCGGGACTTTCAACAAATGGGCTGTGGTTCTCTCTTTGGTCTGTGCCAGAAGGGAAAAAATCAGGACCAAATTTTCTGAATAGTTAGGCTGGATTAAAAATTACTACAGAGTTGTACTAGCATATAAACTTATGGCATGTATTTACACATTTATTACTTTGAAAATAAACTGATGGGAAGAATTCTATCCAAGAACAGGAAGGATGCGATTTTTTAAAGCTCTTCCAAGGTTTGAAAATACTCTAGAATCACTCGGGGGTAAAGATTAAAAGACTTGGGAATCCCCTAATTTACTCCTTCTTCACCCAGACGTCAGTTCTTTACAATGATTAAGTTACTAACCTTTATTCGTCGGTAATAATTGAATTTTACACCAATTATTACCAAATGAACTGCACTGCCGCAATTTTAAATAGCCCTTTTTGCAAATTATCTCCCATGATTTATATTAATCCTATAGGGAAGGCAGAAAAAAAATGTACGGGGATGGACGGTTTGAATTCAATGTAAATGGATAAAATTGAGTGATAGCTTCTTCTGATTCTGCCAATGAATTTAACAGATACCTTTTCAGCTCTGACATTCATTTAAAAATCTGAGTGGCAAGTCCAAATGTAAATCTTCAAAAGCCTTAGAGGTTAGACCATGGTGCACTCTATTCTAAGAAAAGATAGAGAGGTGGATATTTTACATAAGGTCATTTTAATTTCATTATCCAGAAAAATTTGTGATTTAGAGGGTCAAATACCTCTGTAAAACACCCCTTTTGCAGCTATCCCAGGAACTCATTCACTCACTTTTCCAGCTGATATGGATCTAAGCTTAGGTCCTATTTCTTCCAAGAAGGCTTCCCCAAAGCACTTGCCCTCTGAATTTTCTGCCTAATTTCTGCCTGTCTTTTAATGTTTTTCTCATGTTCCAGCAACTCCTGAAATATTTCCTTATTACTCAAGCTTGTGGTTTCCCAAACACCAGTGATGACAGAAATCACCTGGGAAATGCAGACTCCTAGGTGATTCTCCTGAGATTCTGAATTAATAAATTTGAGGTGGGTCCCCCTGGAAATCTGAAAGAAAGTTCTAAAAACACACTGAGGGAGCAGATGGGTCACCTCCTCTGAATACTTAAGCAATTGTAACATACACCATGCATTTCTGTTCATGATTTTTATTGCTACGTATTATTCTATGATTATTTTATTTATATCTCCCCTGGGAAATTACAAATACCTTGAATGTGGAAAACACTTTATTTTGAACATTTCTACTCCACCGTATCTTCCTAGGAAAGCAAGAATACCTTGTAAATTCTTGATAAGAAATCATTAAATTTAATTTTGAGAAAGGCTGCAGGGGGTACAGCAGGGGACATGAGGGAAGCAGAAGGAGAAAGAAGAAAAGGAAGTATTTTCTGCCTTGTGAAGGTAAGATGTTTATCACACGGTTCTCATAAGACCAAAGACATTTATCGATTTTTTTCTGATGGCCACATCAGAGATTACAATTTGCAGAAATTTCAGAAAACATGGAAAAGCACAACTTTTTTTAAAAAAGAGTCACCAGTATAAGCACCAAGAAATAACCATTGTTCATATTTTGGTGTCTCTCTAATAAATCTAGTTCTCCAACTTGCAAATTACAATTTGCTTCATGGGAAAAGTCCCATGCAGAGTTAGTGAATTTGACCTTTGCCCATGATGGGGGCAGTCAGAGAACTTTATCTCATTTGTGCCTTTAGAGCTTACAGTTTTGGGACCCATAAGCCTGGTTCTAAAATCAAGCCCTGGAAAGCAAACAAGAACAGTGTTATTGTCTGAATGTTTCTGTCCCCCCAAAATTTAGATGATGAAACCTAATTACCAATGTGACGGTATTAGGATGGAGCCTTTTGGAGGTGATTAGGTCATAGTGGCAGAGCACCCATGAATGGGATTAGGGCCCTTATAAAAGAGGCCCAGACAGATTCCTTATCTCTTCCACCATGTGAGGACACAGCTAGAAGGTGCCATCTATGAACCAGAAAGAGAGCCCTCATCAGACACTGAGTCTGCTGGCATCCTCACCTTGGACTTCCCAGTCTCCAGAACTGTGAGAAATCGATCTCTGTTGGTTTCTGTTTATAAGCCACCCAGTTTATGGTATTTTGTTATAGCATCCTAAACAGACTCAGACAAACAACAAATAAATTGTTGCTAAAACCAAAAGGATTAAGAGAATATTCAAAGCCAAAGCAGTTAGTGAATCCTGCGACTTGAGAAGACAACAATGGGCAAGGAATTAAATAGCCAACATGTGGGAATAGTTTGAAAAACTGCTCAAAATTGAGGTAACAGGGGCGAATGTTGGTATGAAAGGCAGGCACATGGGAAACAGTATTAGTTCATACATTAACTTGAGGATGGATTGAAGAGGATTTAAAACTTAAGGGGAAAATAAAATCAGAATTCAAATTTCAAAAGTACCCACTACGAGAAAGCTGAAAAAGTGTTCGTAGTCATAAAGTATTTTTTATATAAAGAGATGAAAGGAAAAATTTTAATCATAGAGATGTTGATGATAAATTGAACTGTTCAGCACTTACATATATATTTGATATTGGATACACTCAACCACATTTTAAAGACAGTACCTATCCTTCCTCCTGCATTCTTAATATAACAGCTTCACAGTTTCCCATAGAGGAACATTATTTCATCAATAATATGCTTGCTTTTGATATGAAGCTTATAATGTCTTCATAATTAAAATATGCTGAGAAGTTGTCAAAGTCTTTGATTTGTATGTGTATGTATGTGTGTTTATTTTAAAAATACATTTAGTCATAGTTCAAATATTAGTTCTCTTTGAAGTTCTCTTGGAACTTGTGGGTCAGAGGGGAAAATCATGGATTCATCTACTAATCAGTGTGTCTCCCTGAATATCAGAGAATGTTTCAAAATCTAAATCTGCACATAAATAAAGGTTTTAACTGTGAGAAAAAGCTGAAGGTATACAAAAAGAAGAAAAACATACCTAAATGTTTTGTCTAGTATTTGTAGTGCTAAAAGGTAATTGTCATTATTTTCTTCATTCTTAAACATTTCAGAGTTCACCGAAAATTTTAAAAGTTTAAGGCAGTGTTTCTCAGATTATTTTAGGTTACCAGTCATGAAAGATTCTGCAGTAAAAAGGGCTCTGAGTTCAAATAAACTAAGGAAGTTCTCCCTCCTATCAGTCACTAAGTTATTCACTTGGAACTTTCCAAATCACATTAGTACATTTAAAGTCTCTGTTAAGTCCTGTAACAAAGACATGTGCTTGCTTCGTCTTATTATTTGGTTCCCCCACATAATTATCCTTTTGGATACATATTTTGACTATCAGTCTGGGTGTTCTTTTTATGAAACACCAGAGATGATATCCTAACTATATAACAACAAATATAGCAGGGAAATGATCACTTAGAAGGGACACTGGCTGTAAACAACCTGTATCACCATATGACTGCATCCTGGCAGCATACTAGAGCTGATCATTCCTATTAAGAACGCCATGAAACTGTTAATTTAATTCATTTGGGGATACACTAGCCAAAAAGACACTAAAATTAGATTTTTCCAATATTACATATTAAATATTAAATTTTGCCTCTACACTAAATAAAAATAAAGGCAATATTGATTTAAATTTTTTTTATTTTTATAGTACTTATGGAACTTCATAGACTATAGATGGATCCTGGTTTAAAATGGTAGGTTAAAACTCTATTAGAGAATCTCTCACCTTTGATATACAAGGATATGATTATTCATACAAATAAAGAGACATAATGAAATAAGCATCAATGAGTAGTTACCATGGAAGTAAGCAGAAGATTCTGGAGAGTGAAACAGAGGCTGGGCATAGTTCAGCTCCAAACTCTGCCCTTACCTTTTAGAGACTACGTTAGTGAGTCCACAAATCCTTAGTAGGGTCTCTAACATCCACCATTCTGGAGAGAAACACACAGAATAGGTATCTGCAATTTTCATTCTTCTGACCGGTGGTGGAACCAGCCTGTAGGAAGAAATGGAAAAAGGTGTCGTGGGTCTGACTCTCAGATGAAGTGAAGGCTTCAGGGCTACACAAGGAATTGCAAGAGCAAGCTGCACCCTAACAGTAATGGTACATGCCCCCTAAATATGTAGATAAAATTCTGATAAAGAATAATATCTCCACTTGGTCGAAGAATACAAAATTTCAGTTAGGAGGAATAATTTCAAGAGCGCTATTGTACAACATGGTGATTATAGTTAATAACAATGTACTGAGTACTTGAAAATTGCTGAGAATAGACTTTAAATGTTCTCACCACAAATAAATATGTGAGGTAATGCATATGTTAATTAACTTGATTTAGCCATTCAACAGCATGTATGTACATATTTCAAAACATTGCATTGTACATCATAAATATATACAATTTTTACATGTCAATTTAAAAATATATATATTTTTAAGTTAAGAAAAGGAATAATATCTCTGAGGGAGCACAGCTCAGTTATTCTAACAAGGACATCTTTTGCATCAGCTAAAGGCTCTAACTTTGCTATCTGTATTCATCCATTTTCATACTTCTATGAAGAAATATCTGTGACTGGGTAATTTATAAAGAAAAAGAGGCTGAATGGGCTCACAGTTCCACATGGCTTGGGAGGCCTCACAATCATGGTGGAAGGTGAAGGAAGAGCAAAGTCACGTTTTTCATGGCTGCAGGCAAGAGGGCATGTGCAGAGGAACTGCCCTTTATGAAACCATCGGATCTCATGAGACTTACTCATTATCACGAGAACAGCATGGGAAAAACCCACCCCCATGATTCAATTACCTCCCGCTGGGTCCCTCCCACAGCATGTGGGGATTATGGAAGCTACAATTCAAGATGAGTTTTTGGTGGGGACACAACCAAACCATATCACTATCCCTCAGACTGCTAAGAAATCAATAGAACAGAGTATTGATTAGGAATTGCCTTCAACTATAGGCAACAGAGGCCTGATTACAGTGGCTTAAAAATCAAAAGCTTAATATTTTACATGGAAGAATTCCAAAGGCAGGTAATCCAGGGTTAGGATAGTAAAACCATAAATTTATAATGCACTCAAGTTTCTTCTTTCTTTTCTGTCATCAGTAGCATGTGACATTTATTCTCAAAGTTTCAGTATGGTTGCTGAAGATCCAGCCATCACATTTACACTCCAGGAAGGAAGGAGGTAAAGAGCAAGAAAAAAAAAATCTCCTATCTAAGTTGTATCTTTTAATAAAATTTCCCAGAAGCCTTATTTAATTACTTGCAAATATATCTCAGTGACGACTACTAGCTACAAATCAAGCTGGGAAATATAATTGTATCTATCAGAGCACATTGCTCCATGGGGAAAAAGAAATCAATGGTCCCTTACTAAGGAAAAGGAGGATAGATATAAGTAGACAACTAGTAATGTTTACTACAAATTATAAGTAACCAGCAATCAAACTGTATCTGTGAGGGAAAAACAAACTGGTCTCAGATTCAGTGGAAATAAAACCCAAATTCTCCAAACAGTACATCAGACTCAATACAATTTCTAAAACTAGGTAAAAATACCATAGCCAAACAAGAACAAAAACAAAACAAAACAAAAAGATGGAAAAGAAAGAAAGGAGAATATAAAGATAAATCAGAAGAAGGAAATTATCGGGCAACATTCAGGAAAAAGTCTCAATCTAGAACAAAAATTTGGATTTATTTGTTTCTGTTTCCTTCCAATGTTATAGTGATGGCTTTTTAAATTTAAATTTTGTTTCATGCTTATGTAAAATACTTACAAAGTATTTTGACTTGGGAAGTCAAAACCATAAATAAAAGGTATATTCAGATAAGTCAAACTTCTATCCCTCTTTCACTTTTTAGGTAATTGATATGGTTTGGTTCTGTGTCCCCAGTCAAATCTCATGTTGAATTGTAATAATACCCATATGTTATGGGAGGGACCTGGTGGGAGGTAACTGAATCATGGGGGCAGGTTTTTCCCATGCCATTCTTGTGATAGTAAATAAGTCTCACAAGATCTGATGGTTTTATAAAGAACGGTTCTCCTACACATGCTCTCTTGCCTGCTGCCATGTAAGATGTGACTTTGCTCCTCATTCACCTTTAGCCATGATTGTGAGGTCTCCTCAGCCAAGTGGAACTGTGGGCCCATTAAACCTCTTTCTTTTATAAATTACAGTCTTGGTAATTCTTTAATAATGACATGAGAACAGACTAATATGGCAATTTAAAAAAATGATTGTCTTCTGTTTTTCAAATAGTTCACTTTATGTCAATATTTAGAAATATTACTCTCTTGTGTGGATGCACCATGCTTTTAGTCAATCTAATACTGTTGATGGACATTTGGGTTGTTTCAAGTCTTCATTATTACATATAATGCTGGAATCAGTAGGCTATAATAAACATCTCTTCAGTTTTTGACAGTGTATCTTTGTGATAGTTTTCTAAAAGTGGGATTTGAAGATCAGAGCTTATGGGCGCATACTTTTTCTAGACATTGTCAAATTCCCTTCCACAAGTTGGTACCGTCTTATATTCCTATCAGGAGAGGGCTGTTTCTCCACAGCTTTCCTAATGCAGTGTGCTATGAAAGTTTGGAATTTTGCCGATTTGAGACACGAGAGATAATATCTTAATGTAATTTTATTTTTTTTAACTTCATTTTCTTTCCAACTTTTATTTTAGTTTCAGGTGTACATGTGCAGGTTTGTACATGTGTAAATTGCATGTCTCAGGGGTTTGCTGTACAGATTATTTTGTCACCCAGGTGATAAAAATAGTACCCAATAGGTAGTTTTTCAATCCTCACCCTCTTCCCAACCTCCACCCTCAAGCAGGCCCCGGTGCCTGTTGTTCATTTCTTTATGCCCATTTGTACTCAGTGTTTAGCTCCTACTTATAAGTGAGAACACACAGTATTTGGTTTTCTGTTCCTGTGTTAATTTGCTTAGGATAATGGCCTTCAGCTCCAACCATATTGCTGCAAAGAACATGATCTCATTCTTTTTTATGATTGAATAGTATTCCATGGTGTATATCTACCACATTTTGTACAACATTTTCTTTATCCAGTCTACAATTGATGGGCATTGAGGTTGATTTCATGCCTTTGGTACTGTAAGAACATATGCCTGTGTATGTCTTTATGGTAGAATGATTTATATTCCTTTGGGTATATATCCAGTAATAGGATTGCTGGGTTGAATGGTAGTTCTGTTTTAAGTTCCTTAGGAAATCTCCAAATTGCTTTCTACAGTGACAGAACTAATTTCCATGCCCGCTAGCAGTATATAAGCATTCTCTTTTTCCCCAACCTTGGCAGCATCTGTTTTGTTCTTTGTTTTTTGGGTTTTTTTACTTTTTAATAATAGTCACTTAATGTAATTTTATTTTGCATTTCTCTTATGAAGAGGAAGGTCAAGCACTTTTTCATAAGTTCAAGAGCCATTTACATCTTTTTTTCCATGAACTATTTCTTCATTTCTTTAGCTCATCCTTCTAGGGTTATTGGTTCCTTTGTTCTTTAATTTGAGAAACTATTCATATATTGGGGACAATACCTTTTGCAATGTCAGTTGTCAACAGACGTAAGTTTTCCCTAAGCCTACAAAAAGGCTGGTGTGGCTTTGACCAGGGTTGAAGCAATGGAGGTGGGAGTAGGGGTGGAATTCTGGAAAACCTTTGAAAACAGAGCCAAGACAATGTCCTGATAGGTTAAAGGTGGGGTGTGTGTGACAGACAGAAAAGTCAAAAATGACTTCAACGTTTTGATTTAAGCATCGGGAAGCCTAGAGATGAAATGACGAATGCTGTGGGCGCAGCAGATTTTACAGGGAAGATTACAAGTTTAATCTTAGGCCTGCGAAGTTTGACATGTTCATCAGACCTCCATGTGGGGGTGTCAAGTAGGTTCAGCTGGAGATTAAAATTTGGAAAATTTCTCAACACAGAGATGGTATTTAAAATCTTGAGACTGGCTAAAATAACCCACTAAGTAAGGTAGAATAAAAAAGAGAAAGGGTCCAAGTACTGAGCTCCAGGGCCTTCGCACAGTAAGAGGCCAGGGAGAAGTGGAGGTGACATCAAAGAAGACTATGCACTTGTGGGGTAGGGAGAGAACCAATAGAAGGTAGAACAAATAAGAAAGTGTGTCCTCATCTGTGTCTCAAAGACATACTCCCACACTATTTCGCATTTACTTGATAGCTTCTCCTTGCACATTTAGATTTTTAACCTATCATGCACTCATCTTTATAAATAGTCTTAGGTAGGGATGCTGGCTTATATTTTTTTCTTCTGCATATGGCAAGCCAGTGTTGCCAACACTACTAGATAATCTCTTCTTTGCCCCAGTGATTTACAGCACTAATCATACTATACAATCATTTCCTGTATATTCATGGACATGTTTTTGAGCTCTCCACTCTATTCCATTGGTGTATTTGTCTGTTCTTGTGCCAGTGCGATGCTGTTTTGATAAACATGGCTTTGTAGTTTATCTTAACATCAGGTAGAGAAAGTTTCCCCTCTTTGTTCTTTTTCAAAGTTGATTTAGGTATCTCTGGATCTTTATTCTTCCAAAGGTTTATGAGGAAGTTTATCAAATTACTCCCCAAAAATTCAATTTGAAAAGAATTGACATCTTTTTACATTTTTGTTTCAATCAGGAGCATGGAAAACTGTTATATTGCATAAGATTATGGTCCATGTATTTTATTAGTCTTAAGTTTTGGTATAAAAAGAATTTTTTGATTAATTCTTGTACATTTTATCCATTTTTTCTATTGCAAATTATATTTTACTTTGTATTACTTTTTTTGCTTGAATATGTAAGTTGACCTTGTACATGGCAACACTGCTCTTTTTTTTAAAATTGTGGTAAAAAGCACATAATATAGCATTTACTATCTCAACCATTTTTAAGTATCCAATTCAACGGTCTTACAATATTCAAATAGTTGTGCACCACATCTCTAGAACTTTTTCATCTTGCAATACTGAAACTGTATACCCGTTGAACAACTCCCCATTTTCCCCTCCCCTAGCTACAATTCCACTTTCTGTTTCTATGTGTTTGACTACTTTAGATACCTTATATAAGTAAAATCATGTAGTATTTGTCTCTTTGTGGCTGACTTATTTCACATAGCATAATGTCCTCAAAGATATGAATACTAATGTCCAGCAAGTTCATCCATGCTGCATCATGTTAAGGATAAGGCATGGAAGAAACCCTACCCATTGGCTGGGTCTAACAACACCTGGCTAGCACAGTAAGTTATATCTGACGGAAAAGAAGATGACTAGAAAAATGGAAGAAGCATCTAGAGCAAAGCAGTCTAATAGAACTTTCTGCAATAATGAAAATTATCTGTAGCAGGTGCTATCCAATATGGTAGCCACTAGACGCAGATAGCTATCACTTAGCACGTGGTTAATGCAACTGTGAAATTAACTCAGTATCAGTTAAGTTTTATTAATTTGTATTTAAAATTAAATAGCCACCCATGTCTGGTGTCTAGCATATTGGACAGCACACTTCAAGAAGAAGCTCTGTATACTGATGAGCTCTGTATACTGTGAGGGCCTGTCTCTGGAAAGGTGGCTGAACACAGGATCACTGCAGGGATCCCCCAGTGAGGCTGCCACAGTTCAAAGAAAAGGTGTGAGTTTACACTTTGTTGATTCCAGAGGAAATAACCCAGAATAGCAAAATTTATTTGGGGGCTGGAATAAAAGGTCTGATCTGTCTACCTGTATAGATCAATCCCCTAAGTCATAGGAGATGAACTGCGCTTAGATCAAAACCATCTTCTTTCTGGAGCTTGTATTATTCTCCCAGGTAGAGCTGGATTCTCTCTTCTCTGTGTAGCAGTGCAGACCTCTACAGCTACATTTATTGCATAGCACCAGAGTAAACAATTTCTTTGGCTGCCTTCCTTTAAGTTCCTTGAGGGCAGGGTCTGTTTTTATATCCCCAGAGACATAAACAATATAAGTGATTTATCAATGTATATGACAGAAAAAGCAGAGGAAAATGTAAAGAAGGAGATATAGATGAAAAGAGGAAGGTAGAATGAAAGGAAGGGAGGGACAGATATCTCTGTAGGATTGCATAAAAATACTCTGGTATTAAAGATAGAACCTCCAGATTCTTACCTGTGTTCATTCCTCTATGTCATGTTAGAATCTTCTATTAAAGATCCTAAAAGGACTCTTAGGACATGACCACAGTGTCACTGTTTTGAGTTATGGAACATCATTTGACCACAAGATTTTCCTTTTCTTCAGTAGCTCAGAAATTTATCTCTAACAGCACACATAGTTGGAACATCAGGAAGTTGTGTCTTAAAACATAGGTGTAGCTAAAGAACAAAGAGATAAAGCCGATTTCTCTGAAGTGATCACCCAGTACTGAAGTGACCCATCATTAAGATCAAAAAGCTGGATACTCAAGTGAAAATTAAATGGTCTAAAGTCTGGAGGACTCTGTGAAGCTGATGAACACGTCTAATAGTGGTAAAAGACTGAGATGAGAAGACAAAGAGACAGGCAGAGGTTTCAGAGATTGAACAGGGCTGAGTGTGGCCAGAAAAGTGTGCCACTGAAACAAAAACAGGGCAAACATATTCTGGAGTTGTCAGAGGAAAAATGAGTATAGAAGGCGATTAGAGGAATTATCTGAAATACACTGAGGATGCCTATTATGACGGTTAGTAGAAATTAAAAGCACAAGTCAGAAAGCAAATCCTGTGGTGTGGGGGATAGAGTGGTGATGACTTACCAGATAACAATAAGGCATAGTGTAGAAGATAATCCGGAAGGACGCAGTACTTCTCCAAACAGATGGAGATTTTCTGCAAGGGTAGAAGAATAATGAGAGTGGCAATGAAGGTCAAAGAACATGCTGCGGTCCTCTCTTTTCCTCTCCTAAGTCACTTGGGCTCCAGGGAGTGAACAACCTCTGCTCTTTCCAGCCCCAGGAGAATCTGTGGCCCCAGGGAAAGCCAAACTTCAGTTAATGCAAGGAGTGTAGTGAGTATTCTTAGAAGACATCCAGGCAGAAGAGGAGGAAATGGAAGAAAGCCCAGTCGAGGTTGGAAATAAGAATGGTGAAGATGGGTTCAAGGAACAAAGGGCAAAGAGTTTTGTAAAGTGGAGCTCCTGTCATGGAGCAGGAGGAAATGCATCTGGACAGATAGTCTGATGACGGTGCCTGGGCAGCCTTGAACTCTGAGTTGAATTCTACAGCCAGCAATGAGCACTCTTCCGGCAGCCTCCAAGTAGGTGATTAATGTGGCAAAAGCTGATGTTTCAAAAAAAAAAAAAAAAAAAAAAGGTTTGGAGTGCTGGGCAGGATGAATGAAATAAGAAAGAAATTTGAATCGAGGATTTGTCCCTCCTGGGGCCTGTGAAAACCCCATTTGACCTCGTACACCAGATTTACAAAAGAAGAGCCTATGGAGCTGTTATCTTTAACATCTTCAATACACTAGATGTGGCTTGAGAAGGCATTGGTTAGGCTCCTCTGAATGGAATCAATTGTTTCTGACCATCTGAGTGGTTGAGGGCAGAGCAGTAGATCATCCAGTGAAGTGATCCGTCAACCCAGACAGCTTAACATCTGAATTACGATGCATGGCCTGATGGGTCACTGCAGTCATTGTCCAGCACGCAACCTTCTAACAGCCAAGTTAACACAGCACATAGCCATGGCATCTGCCTTAAAAGCCTGGAGTGGAGAAAAGGAGTCCTGGCACAGGTCAGTGTCGAGGTGAAACCTTTTATCTTCATCCTGTCACATTATTTGTCATTTCCATATGGGCCACTGACAGCTGTCAGTCAAGTAAAGCTTACCCTGCCGCTGGCAATCTCAAGGCATACAAAAAAGAGACTAACGAAAGCCTGTCTTAATTAGGTGATAATTAAACATTCCAGCCAGAAACCTCCAATCAGTCTGACAGAACACACCCGTTCAAAACATGGTTTTGCAGCGATATTCCAACAGACTGATAAGGTTTTGCCTCTCTGGGAATTAAAAAAAAAAAAAAAAGTTCAAGGTTCATCAAGTATTTTGCAGATTTGACGTGAGGATTAAGCAGGAATAAATATACCTAAAGGGAATCAAGAAACGGGGAGCGTCCCTAGGGAACTGCATTCCTCTCCTCCTGCGAAGACAGTCAGGTTACAACCAGCACCCAGAGGCGCAGTCTCAAAGGTGGAAAAGAAGCGAGAAAGGGCCTGCGTTCTGACAGTGCTGCGCATGCTCACGCCGTGCGCATGCTCAGAACGAATTACAATAGACGCGTTTCTCCCACGTTGCCTCGCTAATGGCGTGGATGGGTACAAGGAGCACTGCGTGTGTACCTGTGAGCCTCAGCTCCTTCTAATTTAGTGACAGAGCTACCATTCTCATCTCCACATAGTATCTCCTGAGTAACTGTCCAGTTCTCAGGCGGCTTAACTCCCACTAAGCCCCGAAGAGATAGATTTTCTATTTTTTAAAACGCAAGCCCCTATAAAGGGATAGACGGTGCTTCTTTTAAAGAGCTTTTAAATATTATTAAACTCAAATTTTCCTCTCTAGCAGGTTCATGGCATGTAGAGTTAAATATAGAAAGAGCGTTTGCACAAAGCCTGTATTTGATTAGTTCCCTTCTTAACTGATATAATTAAATATTGAATTGACCCAGAGTGCTGAATATTACTTTCTGGTGGGACCTGTGCCACCAAATACCTAAAAGCCTTTAGTTGTTTCTTTGCTGCAATGGATCAAATTAAGCTGCAGTTCCCCAGGCCTCATTTGACCTAAAACTGTTTTAATGCTGAAATGCTTTTCCAGGTATCTTGCCAGTTGCCGTTGATCTAAGACTTAATAAGACATCACTTGGGGTTCCAGCAGCAGCCTGTATGGGGCTGAACAGTCTAACAGTGGGGCACTTCTGGAAAAAATTCCTAAGTTCTATTTCTATTTTATAGCTATCACCAATACACAAACACACATGCCCCACCACCCCCAAGAGGGAGGCATTACTTGTAGTACTGGTGTTATTCCTTAGAAATCTTACTACAAGGAACTTAGACATTTTATCTTTACAGCTAAACTCTAACATTAAGAGGCAAATTAAAAAGAGGAAAACTAAAGCCTCTGATGAGCTGGGAGTCAAGGACATCAAGATAGGAGATCCATTAGACTAGAAGTTTCCCATACCATTCAACTCAGGCAGTTTCTGTAGAACCACTCACAAAGATTTAACAATTTTCACCAACCTTATGAAGAGTTGCATAACTCCACTTCTTCCTCTTCATGTTCAGTTTTTCAGGGTCTCCTCCTTTGTTTCTTCTGAGATAAGAACCCAATATCCAATTCTTTAATTTGCCATTCTCAAACAAAAGCAACCACATTTTCAGTCAACTTCAAAAGTATTTTGATGTCACTGTTACGACTCAGTGTGTTTTCCTCTCTTCATGTGATTGAAATCCCTTTGTAAACTCTGAGAAAACTTGTTCTGAATTTTTTAAGAGGTTCAGCATGTTCAACCAGAAAACTTGTTCGTGCAGAACAGGAGTACATACCTCGAAGCTTCTGTTTCTAAGAGTTTATTGCTGGCTGAAGTAAAGGTTCTGATGGCCAGGATCAAATCATTCACCAAGGACACTGAGTGGTTTCTATTGCTGAATCTTGCACTTTGCTTCCCAAATAAAGTGTTTCCACCCGAAAGACCATTTTTAAGGGGCTGCTTCACTGTCTCTTCCTCCCACGCTAATTAATTTTTGGTTTCTAAGTCCTTAGTGTTTCTGCATTTGAATACTTCACTAAAAAACAATTAATCTGCTTGTGTGAAGAAGTGCGGGTCTAAGTACACTCAGATTAATTATTTGCCAAAGACTCTTTCAAATTATCTCTATCCCTGGTCCCAGGTAGTTACTTATCTATAGGGGAGGTGGCATACCTAATTGTAATCCTGATAAATAAATATATGGTTTTGAAGTTTGCTGTTTGTACTGGTCATTTGCCTGTTGGCTGTCAGATCCATTCACACTTCCTTCCCTCGTTCTGCTCTGTAGAGAGCTAATCTCTACAAGTTATAATTCCCAGATGCTCTTGCTCACTGGCTTCCATTAAGGTTAAATCAATGGGCAGCACTGGTGGAAACTGGAGGGTGGGAGGGGAGAGCGGCCCACCTCCTCATCCCTCACGTAGTACCTCCAACAGCTCCATCGTAGTTGCAGCCCATGTCGTGGTCCCAGCTCCCACCAGACTTTCTTCGTAGTTCTAGCTCCCACCTGTTAGTCAATCTGGACTCCCATCTTTTCCCTTTATGACCCTAAGAGTAGCAGCACCTCACCTATTTTCAGCCCCTCCAGCAACTCTATAGTGAATTACTTTTATTAAATTCCTTCAATTGAAATATCTGGCTTGTGCTCTCTTTGGAACATTAGTAATAGAGTTTTATTAATTCCACAATTTAAAAATGTTTTAATAGTTACAATTTAGAAAGCAGGTATAGAGTAAAAAATAGAAATCAATACCACTAAACACATACAGAGAAACATTTCCCTGTGCAGCAGGAAGGAGTAAATTATGCCATGAGGAAACACAAGCAATGTGGATGAGCTGGCCATCTTTGTTTGTAAACGAGGAACACAGGCTGAGAATGCCCAGCCACACATGCCATCAGCAGTGGCACCAGTGAGAGAGCCCAGATCTTCTCCAGCTCTAGCTGATGGGTACTTTGATTATAAAAAGTATGTCCACATTGAGAGCACAATGGAGAATTCAGATAAGTTTCCTGATAACCTAGTCATTAGAGCCTTTGTTCCGGTCATTTCATTGATGACCAAATGTTAGTAACCAACTATAATTTTATAGGCTAGAGTTTTCTAAATTCAGCCACAAAGTGCAACCACATTGATATATAATCTCTGGATTATGCATCCAGGGAGCCTATTTTCCTGGGAGTTACTAGATATTTCTTTCTTCCTCTCTGCTAAAATTAATACCATATCTGAAACAGAGAAGGGGATTAAAAATCACTTGCCTTAATTTTTAAATTTTTAATTATGACTTTAAAAACACATAAAATTTATTATCTTAACCATTTTAAGTGTACTTAACTGTACACTTAAATAGTGTTCAGTATGTGTTATCAGATATATAATTCAGTATATCTTATCAGATATATACTTCAGTAGTGTTAAGTATGTTCACATTTTTGTGCAAGCAAGTTCCAGAACTCTTTATCTTGAAAAGCTGAAACTCTGTACCATCAAACAATTCACCATTCCCTGCCTCCCCCTAGCCTCTAGTAACCACCATTCTAATTTCTCTTTATGAATTTTTCTATTTTAGGTACTTCATATAGGTAGAGTCATACCATATTTTTTTGTGTGTGACTGGTTTATTTCACTTAGCATAATGTCCTCAAGGTTAATCTATGTTGTAACATTTGTCAGAATATCCTTCCTTTCTCGAAGCTAAATGGTATTCCATTGTATGTATATACGACTTTTTGATTATCCATTGATATTGTTTGGATGTGTGTCCCTTTCAAATCTCATGTTAAAATGTAATCGCCAATGTTGAAGATGGGGCCCAGCGTAAGGTGTTTGGGTTATGAGGGTGAATCCCTCATGAATGTCTTGGTGTGTTCTCGTGACAATGAGTGAGTTCTCACTCTGAGTTCACATGAGATCTGATTGTTTAAAAGAGTGTGGCACCTCCCTTTATTGCTCCTGCTCTTGCCATGTGACATGCTTACTCCCCAACTGGCCTTCTGCCATGATTGTATGCTTCCTGAGGCCCTCACCAGAAGCCAAGCAGATGTTGGTGCCATACTCGTACAGCCTGCAGAACCACGAGCCAATTAAACCTCTTTTCTTTATAGAGTACCCAGTCTCAGGTATTTCTTTACAGCAACACAAGAACAGGTTAACACATCCTCTATGCATCAATGGATATAAATGGGTTCCTTATACCTCTTGGCTATTGTTAATAGTGTTGCAACAAACACAGGCATTCAAATATCTCTTTGAAACCCTGATTTTAATTCTTTAGGTATGCATCCAGAAGTTGAGTTGTTAGAACATATGGTAATTCTATTTTTGATTTTTTGAGGAATTTCTATGCTGTTTTCCATAGTGGCTGCAAAATTTTACATTCCCATCAATAGTGCACAAGGGATCCAGTTTCTTCATATCCTCACCAACACTGTTTTTCTCTGTTTTGTTTTTGCTTTTTGATGGTATCCATCCTAAGGGGTATGAGGTGCTATCTCATTACAGTTTTACATTTTTGTTTCTCTAATAATTAGTGATGGTGAACATCTTCTGGTATGGTTCTTGGCCAGTTGTATATTTTCTTTGGAGAAATATGTCTGTTCAAGTCCTTTGCCTACGGTTTAATTTGCTGTTTGTTTTTTTTTTTTTGCTGTTGTTCAGTTGTAGGAGTACTTTATATATTATGGATATTAACCCCTTATCAGATATATGATTTGTAAATATTTTCTCCCATTCCATGAGTTGCCTCTGTTGATAGTGGAGCCGTTTTTATGTGAGGTGTGTTGTTGTTGTTGTTGTTGTTGTTGTTGTTTTTAAACCCTAGTAGCTGGGATTACAAGTGTGTGCCACCGCGCCCGGCTAATTTGTGTATGTTTAGTAAAGATGGTGTTTCACCATGTTGCCCAGGCTGGTCTCAGACTCCTGAGCTCAAGTGATCCTCCTGCCTCAGCATCCCAAAGTGCTGGGATTACAGGCATGAGCCACCATGCCCAGCCAGTGGTGCAGTTTTTATGTTTTTATGTGATCTTATTATCTGTTTTTTCTTTGATGCCTGCGATTTTGGTGCCATATCTTAGAAATCATCACCAAATTCAATGTTTTGAAGCTGTTTCCTACATTTTTGTTCCAAATTTTATAGTGTTAGCTTTCATATTTAGGTCTTTGATCCATTTTCCTTTCTTTCCTTCCTTTCTTTCTTTCTCCCTCCCTCCCTCCCTCCTTCCTTTCCTCCCTCCTTCCTTCCCTCCTTCCCTTCCCTTCCCTTCCCTTCCTTATTTTTTTTTAATTAAAAAAATTTTTTTTTTTTGCTGACAGGGTCTTGCTCTGTCATCCAGGCTGGAGTCCAGTGGTGTGACCATAGTTCACCCTAGCCTCAAACTCCTGGGCTCAAGTGATCCTTTTGCCTCAACCTCCTGAGTAGCTGAGATTACAGTTGTGAACCACTGTGCCCAGCCTGTTTTGCATTTATTTTGTAGATGATGTAAGGTGTGGGTCTAATTTTAATCTTTTACATGTAGATATCTAGTGTTCACAGCCCCATTTGTTGAAAAGACAGTCTTTCCCGAATAAATGGCCTCGACATCTTGTCAAAAGTCTCTTGGACATAAAAGTTAGCATTTACTTCTGGGCTCTGTATTTTATATTTTATTCTATTTATTTATATATCTATCTTTATGCCAGTTCCACACTATTTTGATCACTGCATCTTTGTAATAAGTTTTGAAATCAGGAAATGTGAGACATGAAACTTTGTTTTTATTTGTTAAAATTATTTTGGCTATGCAGTGTCCCTTGAGATTCCATATGAATTTTAGAATGTTTTTCTCTATGTCTGCAAAAATACCATTGGGCCTTGCCTTAATTTATCGCTTACTATTAAAATTATTAAACACTGTTCAAAATCCAGCTTTAATCCACCACCTTCAGAAGCTTTTCATGACCTTCCAACCTTCTGAAACTGTGATAATATTGTATTAATATATTTTGCCTTAGCTGTTGCACAGGCAAATCAATGATTTAACACAAAAGTTTATCTCTGGCTCACATCACAGTCTAAGGCAGTGTCTTAGTCCATTTTCTATTGCTATAGCAGAATAGCTGACACTGAATAATTTGTAAAGAAAATATTTTATTTAGCTCATGGGTTTGGAGGCTGGGAAGTACAAGATTGGGTGGTTGCATCTGTTCAGCTTCTGGTGAGGGCCTTCTGCTGCATCATAACATGGCAGAAAGCATCACAGGACATGAAAGCTGTTTGAGAGACAAGCTGGATTTTATAACAAACCCACTCTAGTGATAACTAACCCACTCCCATGATAACTCATTAATCAATTAATTCAGGAATGGGTTAATTCATTAATAAGGGCTCTGCCAACCATCTCTTAGATGCCCCACCTCTTAATAGTGTTACATGGGGAATTCAGTTTCAACACACGTTTCAAAGGAGGCAAATATTCAAACCATAGCAGGTAAGTTGAGGGCCTTTACAGGGCCCCACTCCTCCAAGTGTTGACTCAGACATTCAGGATGCTTCTATCTCATTAGGTATGCAATTAAGGACACATGATCACCCAGTTTGCCCCAGCGGAGGAAGAGCAAGATAGAGACACACTGGTTATTAAAGCCTCCACCTGGATGATACACACAAAACTCTATTCACATTTTACTGACTAACAGTAGTCACTTGGCCCCTTAACTGCAGGGGAAGCTGAGGAATGTGTAAGAGTGTTTCATTTGGTGAATACTGTTGCTGACACAAGCACAGACTGTGGTACCTCTAATTGGATACTTTCTATACTTTTGAAAGACATCTCTTGTATTATTGGCTTGTCTTCCTATTTAGTCTTGTGTCTGTCATGGCTCCCAGTTCTACTGTAAGTACTTTGAGAATAGAAACAATATGTCATGCATCTTTGTGTCTCCCTTCTTATGCAGCAAAATGGCTCTTGTATAATTGGTTCATTCAACATTCAGTCAATAAATACTTATTGAGTTCCCATATTGTGCACTGTTTTAGGAACTGGGAGTACCTTGGTGTGAAAATACACTGAATTCTCCATACCTAATTTACAGAATCAATCAAATATTCACACAAATGAATGTAAAATTATAACTATGCTGAATGTTTGAAATTAAAAGCACATCATGTTTTAAAAAATGCTCTCATAACTAAATTTGAAAACAATGAGCCTGTGGAATAAACTAAAAAAGAAAAACCCAAACTCTTAAATGGACTGTGGAAAATCTTGTCCTATGGAGATTCCAATCAGGGAGAGCAATAGAATGAGGAGAAGGCAAATACAATGGTGTCAGGCAATTAGCAGGTGCTTCTGAACTCCCTGGAGGAGTGAGGTTTTCAAACAGCATTCCCCAGTCTCCTGTACTGTGCCTGGTGTGATAGACAACATGTCAGGAGTAATAAAGAAAAATGACAGTGTAACTACAAACAGAAGAAACACATCTTTGGTACATTTCCATCCTGTCAGCAGTTTTCTGTCATAACCTAATGGGATCATATGAATAATTTTGTTTTCTCTAATAGGAACCAAATATATATATATATAATCTCATCAGGTTGTTTTTATATCATACTATGAAAAAATGAATACTAACATGATGAAAAGAAGAGATAAGCAATAGAAATACAAGTAAAATGGAATATTTGTGGGCATGATTATTTTAGATATTCATATGGCATCTGTGATAAGAATGTTGTTTCTGCTCACTCCTCTGTGCTTGATAAACTATGAGTAGTTATCCGAGAATGGCAGGCATCTTTGTCTTCCTATGTTTTTTTACTGGGAAAGGAATGTCTCTTTGACTTACATATGTTTATTTATTTATTTATTTATTTATTTATTTTGTTCTATCATGTGCTTTTGAGCTTTCAGTCTGCTCCCATGGCATAATCCAAATGACTTGGACAATTTGTTATTGTCAGCTTTGGAGATGAGAACATGAAGACACCCTGTGGCCCTAAAAACATATCAATTCGAACTCAAAAGATAGTCATGTAAAATTATTTCAGCAAAGCCTCCTCCATTTTCCCCAGAATTGTTTGGACAATTTTATTTGTTTTTTGTCTGAGTTATTAGACAAGTTGCTCAACTTCTTACTTACTTGTAGGCTGGGTTGAAATCCAAAACTGGATCAACCCGAATTCACATACTACAGTGAATGCACATAATACGCATTACTAAACGGTGGTTGAAATTAAGTCAGTTGAATTGAACTGAACTGAACTGAAAAATTAAAGACTTGTGTGGTTCAGCAAATTAGAACATTCTGTTAAAAATGGACAATCCAATCTCTTGCCCTACAGTGACATGCTCTGCCTCCACATAGAGTGTAGGTGTATGAATAACCACGTGCTTAGCCAGTCGTGTATTCAAGCACTGAAAGCAGGTTATTTTTGTTGCATAATGTCATTGTGAATTTCCTGTCTTTGTAACTCAAAAAATATGGGCCTGTCACAAACCAAGAAAGAAGAAATGAATTATTCAACAATGGTGTTGGAAAAAATGGCTATTTGAAAAACATAAAATCCTCAAGTTAGATTGTCACCTCAGACCATATAACAAAATAACTTTCATCTGAAATTAAAAAGTGAAGTGTAAACAGTAGAATTATAAAAACTTGAAAGAGCATATGTGGACAGGGATGGGTGGAAGGTGGCAAGAGGGGCACAAAGCAATTTCTTCTTTTACTTTATGCATCTCTTTTGTCTTTTAAAAACAACAAGCAATAATGTCATGCATGCTTTTCAAAATGAGGATAAAATATAATATTTTCTTGACCAATATTTTATTGATCTCAGGGTGATGAAGGACTTTCAAAAGCAATGGAAGAAACACCAAAAGAAGATAAATACATCTGGACAACTTCTGCAAATCAATAAAGACATCATAATTTAAGAGATGGATAAAAAATTGGGGGAACATTTGAGACACATATTACAAATGTTAATATCTTTAACATATGAAGAACAATTCCAGCTTAATAAGAAAAACATGTACCATGAATTGGAAAAAAAGATAAAATAGATGTTGTGTGGAAAATAATTTTTTAAACCTGATAAAGTAATAAGTAAGCATATGACAGTTGTACCAGGATATTCATCAGAGTTTTGTTTGTAATATTTTAAAAATGAGGACCAATCTTAACATGTAATAAAAGAATACTAAGTGGGCTATTATTTGAATACTATAATAATGTAGGGATATTATAGAAAATGTATCAAAAGGGATATTGTAGAAAATGTATCAAAAATAGTAGTAGTGCTTATCACTTGATAGTAAGATTATTGTCATTTTAATTGTTTTCTTATACTGTCCTTATTGTTTTTCTAAAAGGAGTGTGTGGTATTATTTTATAATGAGAAAAAAAGAAACATTTATTTTAAAGCACAGGTCTTCTTTCCTTTTTTTAAAAAAGTTCATATATTAGGTGTAACGTCTTTACCTAGATGAAATGCTGTGGAAACTTTGAATGAAAGACTGAACATTATTTCTGTGCATCTAACTTTCATGGATTGCCAGTTTAACATACAGCATAAAAGACAGTGAATTAATTTAACTTTAACCTGACCCATTTAATATTAATATCTATGCCCACACTCTCCCTTGTTTCATTGTCATCTTCTTTCCTACCGGTTGGCTTATTTTTCACTAACGTGCTAGCTAACATAGGACACCTTGAGAGTGTAAATTGCACTTTCAAAATAGATCTTGTCTCTGTTCATGTCCCTTGGAAATTTTTAAGTGGAGTAAGTGAAACAAATAGCTGAAAGGTAGGCCCTTAGGGATGTTTGCTGACTTCTTCCTTTCAGAGATGTAGAGTGGGCCCACATTGTGAATTTTTTCTCATCATTTGGACAAGTCCTTCACCATTAATTGTGTTCTTTCTGCTCCAGGTGCAAAGCATCTAGATTATTCCCAAATAAACACAAGTCATCTTCATGCCTTTAGACACTTAATATCTTTCTTTAAGATGTTCACTTCTTGTCTTCCTGGTCCCTCTTTTCCATTGTTGGCTTCCAGTTTTTGTTTGTTTGTTATGTTTTTTTTTTTTAAGTAGAGCAGAAATGTGGCTGTGAAGTATAAATAAAAAGGGAGATGAAAAGTACAAAATTAAGAAAAGACAATTCTCAGTCCTATACTTCATGATTGGTTTTGTAAGCAAAGCAGTTAGCCATCTAATCAGGGTGGGACCTATTCTGAATAAACATTCTCTCTCTTTGCAGGGCCTAAAATTTGATCACTACTGAATGATCCTTTGCAATCATCATTGCCCTTTCCTGATAGCCTCCTCAAAAATTTAAATGCTCCTGAAAAGGACTAAAATTACTAGCACTTTGACATGAATAACTTTTAATAAATTCTCTTCCTACTCACACAAGAGATGGATGTTCTTCAAGATTTCATTCGTGATCAGCAAAACTGTGTGGGCCTGGAAGCTGGGAGTTCTAAAATTAGAGGATGAGGAAACAAAGGAGAAACTTTATAATATTGTACTGGGCGAGCCCCACGCTCATTCTGACCATGTGCCCAGTAAACTCACGCCCACCTATGTCCCACCATCAGGGTGAAAAGAGAAGAGCCAATTCATGATGACAGCTGCAAGGGGGTCAGTGGTAACTCTCAATGCCCACTGCTTCTTTACCATTAATTCCAGGGATATCCCATGGAAGCTGGGAATCTATAGAGCAGCCAGACATTTGCCTCAGGTTCAACTTCCTTATCAGAACAGGAAAATAATCACAATGAGACGCCTAGTGAAAAAGTCACACCGTGACTGCCCTGGCCCTGCCTCAGCTTAAACAATAAAATATGAATTGCAGAACATGACCCAATAACAGGAAACAGGACCAGCGCAGAGGGTGCTTTGGTAAACAGCAGCAGTTTCTCCCACCAAGATCTTGATTAATGCCCTTCCCAAATCTAGAGAAAGGAATAAAGTTTCCATGTCAGAAGGGCTGACCACACACTCATGTAATGTCTATCTCTGACATCTCTTTCCAAGCCGTGCACTTGTGCCAGAATCATATACCCTGTCCTAGGACAGGTAATGAAATGTAATGACAGTCTTTCCTGGCTCCACTTCCAGCTGCTTCACAATGGCTGCTAATAAAGACATATGGCTATATGTTGTCCATCTGTGTTCCAAAAGCAAACATGCAATTGTGTTTTCCTCTTAGGTCTGCTCTCAGCCTAGAGGAATGTAGCCTGAGAAAGATGAGTCAATCTTGAGCTGACCTCTCACTGCTTCCTAGGCTACACTTCAATACTTCCGACAATGCTTCCAGATCTCTTGCTTCCACATAACATATTTATTTGTTTATTTATTTTTTTGAGACAGGGTTTTGCTCTGTTGTCCAGGCTGGAATGTAGTGGTGCCATCATAGCTCACTGCAGCCTGTTTATTTTCAAAGAACAACAGAACTGTAGTAGTCCTGTGAGCAATTCAACAGAATTAATCCTTGTTCACAGGAAGCACTTGGATTCCAGTGTGTATGATTTTACTCTGTGCTGTTTATTTTTCATTTAATCCAAGAGACCCCAGAGGGTTAGTCAAAGAACTGAAAGCAGGGTTTGAAAAGAACTTGAAGAAGTTTTGCTATGGAAGCTCATGCAAAAATTAGAGATTAGAGCACAATGTTATTATTTTGAGCATTTATGAGGGCTGGTGGTTGAACATATTCATTCTCTCAGGCTTTCATGGCCTAACAATTTGGCATTAATGTTTTTGGGAACTTTTAAACTAAGTAACAGTACTGATACCTAATACTACCAAAGCAAATAGCATAGATAGATGGGCTTTCTGTTCCTTCTTTTCAGAGGCAGTTGAGTCAAGTCAATTTCTACCAAGAATTTTGGACAGAGAAATGTAGAAGATACAGTTGACTCTCAGTAGGTGCCCCCTCTCCCCTACCATGGAGGCAGCTACATGAATAATATTTAAGGCGAAATAATCCAGTCACTTGTGACACCAGAAGGGGATCCTCAGTGCTTGGTGGGCTGTGACAAGGCCACTGTGCAGACAATGATGGAATATAGGACTAACTAAAGCTGAAGAGAGGGTGACTGCAATACACAAGTAGCAGCGATAGGCAAAGGATGCTGGTTGGAGCACACACAGTACAGACATAAAAACCATGTCTCCATATACAAATAGCATTGGTAGGTGTCCCATATATAGAAACAGGTGTTGCCAAAAAGCTGAAGAGGTAACTCTTTCAGCTTTTTCAAAGTGGAAAAAATATCTAGAGCTCTCCAGAGCCACCAAAGTCATAGACTTTGCTTTAGAAAAGCAATGCAAACACTCCCTCCCCAGGTAAAGGTGGTATGCTGTTCTCAATTTCCCTTGTAGTTATAAATTCACAAAAATGTCACAGTTGAAAGAGACCATAGATACCTCCAGGCCAGCTTCATGGAGGCATAAAACCAAGGTCCCAATGTCTGAAGCTTTCTCAAGGACGTTTGAGTGAGTCTCATTTGTTTTGATTACAAACCCTTAGAATCCTACATTTGGCTTACTAAGGGCCAGCCTCCTTTATTTAGGGAAAGTTTTATAATCTTTAAATATTTTCCTATTTTTGGCAGGGCTTTTTGTGTATTTATAATACCTATACACACTTGCAAGTGGATTGGTGTACACATACACATACACACACATAATCTGTAACATCAATACACACACAATCTGTAACATCAATACACTTGCATGTGCGTATAAGTATTATGAACACTGAATATATGTATAAGTATACATATACACATCTGTACACGTATAAGTTTATCAGCCTGTATCCTCTCAGAGAGAGTACATAAGAAGAGTTCATAAACTTCTTTAGTCGTATGTCACCTTTCCTGCTCATTTCATTCCTGTTTCTTCAAACCTACCTCTCTCTATAGCTACTGGAAAGGAAGAATAAAGTTCCTTATGATGAGACTGCAGTGCAATTTGAATTGAGTTTTCATTGCTAAATTACATCAGGCAAGGCAGAGGCATTGTCAGTGCCCATGGTACTGTCATTTAATCCCTCTGTGCCTCAGTTTCCTTGTCTTTAAACAGAGGATAATAATAGTACATAAACCATCTGATAAGTTTGTGAGGATCAGATGAGATAATACATGAAAAACACTTCGGATAGTGTCTGACACATACTCAACACTTAAAATATTGTACTATTATTAGCGTACAATGCCATAATTATACAAGTGATGAATTACCAATGAATCAGGTCAGAATTCAAAACAAATCAATAAATATGCATTACCTACTATGTGGAATCACTGTTGTAGAAAATACATGTTTATTAGTGGACCCTCAGTTCATAATCTGTTAAACATTTACTGGTTATCTGAGTGGACCACAAAAAAAATCAGGATTAGCTGATTATTCTGCTTTCAGTAGGCTGGAACTGGGATAATTTCAGCAGGAAAAATGCACTCATTCCAACTGGGACCTGTCCAGAACATGTGGCTAAACAAACCTATTAATAAATTGTGACTTCAGTAATTAAAGGTACACACACAGACATCATGCATACTAAAATGACATTTTGTTAATAGACTGTCCTGGCAGGTTGGGGTGTTCTTTTAAGCTTTTTAGCAGCAACAAGCTGCTTCCTAGTCAGGAATCTTAAAATAACTATGTCATTACATAAACATTCGACATCCACCTTATGCCAACCCATGTTCTATTTCTTTTGGAAGAGAATGAAATAAGATGAATCGACGTGACCCAGGAGTCTGTGTTACAGAATGCTAATGTTCTTTGAGATGGTGGACATTCTAAAAGTTGTGAAAAAGGACCAGTGTTACAGGTATGGCTGACCTCTGCAAGATTATTTTATTGCAAAGGTTCTTTGGTTTTATAAGCTGACATGCCAGAGTCAACATAAATAAGGTGCTAGGGGAATATTGCTACAGAGGTAAGAGCATTAACTTATGTATCTACTTCAGCATAGCCAACTGGGCCCTGGGGAGGGGACCCAGGGACTCCGCTCAACTAAATAAATAGCAAATATGGCCTAACAACTCAAAGAGCACCAGATTTATTGTCCTCAGAATTAAATTGTATTAGGAATAAACCAGAAATAGTGATAACCCCACTCAGACTGATACAAGATTTAGGCAACTTCAGCCTCTGAGCAAAGCTCCTGCATTATTGGAACTCAGGCAACAGTGAGACAGGTCAGACTGATGATTGGGTACAAGTCAAATAGATCCCATAGGGAGATATCAGACTTTTTGGTGAATAAGAGGAAGCCAAGCAAGTAGGGAGGCAGCATGGAGAGAGACAGGGAAAGAGGAAAATACCCAAGGATGGTTTAGGCTGCTTGCATGAAAGAAAAAACTTGGTGGTATATGGTGGTAACCAACTAGAGGCACTGAGGTAAAGCGGCAGAGACCAGCAACTGAATCTGATATCTAGGAAGGATTGAGTCACAGAAAGTAAGTTAAGAGACCAGAGACTAGAACTGGAACCAACAGACAGACAAACTAAATGCTGAGCCACTTGTGTGATCCCCTCATAAATTAGGGATTTATTCATAGAATAAACTTTATTTGTGGAAGTAAACTTGTTTAATATGTTTAATAGCTAGTCCCTGAAGTTGAGCCCCAGTGAACCATAGCCTTACCACATTGAATTTGGGTTGTCCCTGTGACACATTTTAACCAATAGCATCTGACAGATGTGACACTGTTTATCTTTGGAGCTGGGCCTTAAGATTTGCAGCTTTCAGTTTTGCTGAATTCCACTTAGAGTGCTTTCTCTTGAAACTTAGCTGCCATGCCATGAGAAGCCCAAATTTTCTAAAGAGGTCATACAGAAGAGAACAGAGGCCCTCTGCCCAACAGCTCCAACAGAATTCTCAGCAAAGCTAGCACCAGCTGCCAGCTATGTAAAGAAGCTATCTTGGATGTCCAGCTAAGTCAAGGCTCCATCCAGCCCACATCCATGAAGCAGAAGAACCACACAGCTGAGCCCAGTCAACTCACAGAATCATAAGAGATAATAAAATAAGCATTGTTTCAACAACTAAGTTTTGGGACATTTGTTACATAGCAACAGAAAATGGAATCTGTGAAGACTACAAAGGATATAAAAGCAATAAAAAAAAAACCTAAGCCTTAATTTCATCAGAGAACATTTGAAATTATGAACTTCAGTCTTTTAAAAAAATTTATTTTATTCAGCGTACTCTCTTTAGTAAGATAGGCATTTGTATAATATATTTAAGAGGTTCCATTAAAAAAAGTTAAAACACACAATGTTTTATAATTGAAAGGCAAACTTAACTAAATATTTTACTTCTTGTTGTGTTACACTGATTCAATTAAAAGTAATATGGGGTGAAGCAGAGAGGTTTGAAAGAAAATTCCAGATTTCCCAGGCCCTTTCAAACACACTATCACAACCACCAACTTTTGAGACAGTCTCACTCCATCACCCAGGCTGGAGTGCAGTGACGCGATCTCGGCTCACTGCAACTTCTGCCTTCCTGGTTCAAGCGATTTTCCCGCCTCAGCCTCCCGAGTAGCTGGGATTACAGGCATGTGCCACCATGTCCCGCTAATTTTTGTATTTTTTGGTAGAGACAGGGTGTCACCATGTTGGCTAGGCTGGTCTCAAACTACAAACCTAAAGTGATCCTCAGGCCTCAGCCTCCCAAAGTGCTGGGATTACAGGCGTGAGCCACCGAACCTGGCCAAACTTAATAAAAATTTTAAAATCCATCAATTTAAATGTTGATCTTATCCAAAAATATGCCATCCCTGAAAGATCTGGAATAATGTTTGACTCAGTCCCTGGCACCATGGTCCACCTAAATTGACATGTAAAATTAACTATCGCATCTACCTTGACATATTCAGAGTTTTTCACAACTGTAAGCATCATATCTTCTCAAGATGTGGCTGTACTTGAATTTGCTCCTAAAGCTAAACATGATTTTTTGCACTGAACTTCTCAACCTTAAGTAAGCCTTCTGCTCAATATGGTTATGGCTTATATGAAATGACTTCTGTGTTTGCTCCAGAGGCCAACATCTTACAAAATATCACACTGAGCATAAATGTCAGAGGATAGGGGAAGACCAGAAGAATGGGTCAGATTTGGGAAGGAGCTAGAAAGGGGGCCCACCTCCTAAATCAGCACCCTGAGAGTTAGTGTTACAGCACTTGCCAATACATCAAAATGGGCCACAGCAGGCCAAGATGAGCCAAGTCCTAGAAGACAGAAAATCAAGGAGAAGTCAGCATTTCCCTGGTTACCTAAGGTCAATAGTCAGTCAAGGATCAGGAAGCCTTGACACCAAATAAGGAAAGATTTAGCTATCAGATCTCAGAGACCAAGCCTGCCAGGGTCTGAAATCTAGAAATGATGGAGATCAATCCAATTACCCCAGCAGTCGGAACTCAAAAGTGAACTTGCTACTTTTATACTCTTTTAAATGGTGACCAGAAGAGGACAGTCCACAGCCCATAGATATTTGCAGAACTAAATCCTTTTATCTTGCAATTAAAATAATCAGACAGTTTCTCAAATAGAGGATGACATGATGTTGAAGTACCATCACTTTTTAGTCTCTAGGACTTTTAAAGTTTGGAAAGAATAGTACTTAAATAATCTCATTATATTTGTGCTCACTACTTGGCACTGTCTGACTAGACAGAGCAATCACAGTTGGCACAGAACACCTAACATTGTGGGGGAAGTTGTCTTCCCTTTGTGACATGATCATGACAGACATAGACAGATTTGGCTACACTGTTGTCTTTGATTGCTTTCAACATTGTGTGATTTCAGGAAGTAGGGCAATTGCCTTGAATTATGAATTAAATCATGAATTGCATCATGGATTAAAAGTCTCTTATTCCTTTACTATCTGCTTCTCAAAGGAGCTACTAGATGAAAATAAACATCCACTTGAGGTGCAATATTTCTCAAGAATCATGATCAAAAAGACACTTTGATTGGACCAAATATTGACTGTGTTCAGCATGATGAATTTCCCACCGCAGATCCACATCTCAAGTGACAGCTTTAGAAGACATGAAGACATGGCTGGTATCATTGTGAAGTTTTCTATGATCAGTGGGGCACCCAAATGGACACATTGGTGGTCTATTTCTATGAGGGGATTATGACTTAGTCAAATGCTGAACCATGAATACTTCTGCAGAATATAATGGAACAAATATGTCCCTCTCTTTCAGAAACTTTATCCAGTGAAACCTAGTTCAGCAGCCAGAACAAGAACTACCACGTTTTCAAGAGATCTTCATGGCTGATCACAGGTCTAGAAATGGCATGTCTTCAGGTGGTAGTATCATAAATTGTCTTAAATTAATACCAAAGGGAAGGATGACTAATTTGTAAAAGTTGGAATATTTTTAAAGAAATTAAACTTACAGATTTCAAATGCATAGAGTAGCTCTGGTCTAACAAAATACTGACATGAGAAACTCCTTAGGGATCTGCTTTAATGAATAGAGGGATTAATTTTTAATTAGTATATTAGTTGTTTACTTGTAAAGGGCAACAACATTCTAGCCCATAAACTCCAAATTAGCATAATCCAAATACTGTTTTAATTTAAATAATTCTATAGTATCCAATTTAACAAACTTGTTGAGAATCAACTTTACTAGGCTCTGTGGTAGATACTACAGTAGCAAAGATTAATCAGACATGG
The DNA here is from genome assembly GCF_000001405.40 of Homo sapiens. NCBI lineage: Eukaryota > Metazoa > Chordata > Mammalia > Primates > Hominidae > Homo > Homo sapiens. The sequence continues at coordinate 56,206,980 of NC_000018.10, forward strand.
TCTCTGCCTCAAGGAGTTGACAGTATAGTGGGAGGGAGAAGGATGCAATTAGTTATTCTATAATATGATAAATGCTATGCTTTTGTGATGAACAGTATGCTTTCAGAGGACAAGAGTGGGGGATGAGATTGATTTTACTGGGGAAACGCATACATATTTCATGGGGGAAATAATAGTGAATTTGGGCTTTTCCATTTGGTGAAGTTAAGTGACAACTCATCAAATGGAGAGGAGTCAGAAATGCACCATAGTGGAGGAATAGCCTGAAAATAGCCATGATGGTAAGATGGGGTAAGGCATCTTTTGGAAATACTGTGGCTGCAGCAAGTAGAGCCTGGGAGAGAGGCAGACGATGAGGCTCGAAAAGAAGTAAGGCTAGATCACTAATGCACTAAATCCATTATGGAGTTGGGACTTCCTCCTATAGACGATTGGAAGCCAGAGAGTGATTTGAACAGATACCCATGTGTGGAGATAATAAATGAAGCAGAGGCCCCCGTTGCTTGAGAGAATTAGGGTTTATATAGCAAGAAAGCAACAAGAAAGAACCTATTTAAGCCTTCAAATTCCAAAACAATAGTGAAAGTCACTGCTTTTAATTTTCAAAAACCAAGACTTTGAGAGGAAAAAAGCTTTTGCAAGTCACAAGGCAAAGCCCTGAGAGAGCTGGCAGAATGTATGAAAATGCAGTAAATTACTAATTACTGCATCATCCCTGAGCCTGTATCCCCACCACTCACATGGCTTAAGACCAATGACTTGCTATTCCTGCATACCATTCTTTTATCAATCTAGAGTCTCACTGAGATGGTGCTGAAATAACAAGGAAGAGATCGAAGGTTGGGTTAAGTCTAGAACTTCTACTATACTCATAGAGAAACCTAGGAGTTTATCCATAAACAATAGACTGAGAAGAGAATTCATGAAGAAGTAGAAGAAAATGCATTGTGTTGCCCACCTAGGCATTTAACAAAATGTGCAGGGTGCCAGGGGACCAGTAGGAACCTTGCACCGAAAGGAACGTCTTGGAGAAGTGGGCAACACCGAGAGATGGCCCAGCCTCTGAGTGAGCAACTCCAATGGCCAGAACCAGGGAATTTTGAGGGAGTTCAGCTGGCCTCCTCTGATTGTCTCTCTTTGAGCTAACATCACTAGTGTCTACTGCCTGAGGAGCCCCTTGAGGTGTCCCTTGAGGACCTCTCATCAACAGCTGCCTGTACTCTGAAGCAGTGAACCATGCCCAGGCCTTCAGACTGCTTGGCTCAGCCAGATGCTCCCCGCGGAAGAGGTCTTCTTCAAAAATCTAGGACATTTTTAAGCCTCAAAAGGGAAATATGAAGCCTTGACACCCATAGGTAGTACAAGTGCCATGGAAGAGAGGGTATGTCTGCATTTCAACTTGGAGCGGCAGGGTGGGTGGTGGTATTTGAACAAGGCCAGCTTGTGATTTCATCTCAGCTATGACAGTGGAGAAAACACTTCTGTACAATATCACATTAATGTTGTTTTTTGTTTTTTTTCTTGAGATGGAGTCTCGCTCTGTCACCCAGGCTGGAGGGCAGTGGCACGATCTCGGCTCACTGCAACCTCCACCACCCAGGTTCAAGCAATTCTTCTGCCTCAGCCTCCAGAGTAGCTGGGACTACAGGTGCCTGCCACCATACCTGGATAATTTTTGTATTTTTAGTAGAGATGGGGTTTCACCACATGGCCAGCCTGATCTCGAACTCCTGACCTCGTGATCCACCCACGTTGGCCTCCCAAAGTGCTGGGATTACAGGTGTGAGCCACCGTGCCTGGCCCACATTATTGTATTTTAAGACATATCCCCTTGTATCCCTGTCCTGAGTATATTATAATTCCACAAAGAATTTCTATTTGTCTCTACCACCACAACAGAGCAGGGCTTCTGATGGTAACTAGTTCTCCCAGAAGGCCTTTATGGATACTGACACGTCACAGTTGTTTGTGGAAAAAGCAACTGGGTCCTAGGGAAAGTGTTATTTCATCCAGATAGGCATGTACCTCAAGGCAATGGATAACAACATGCAGGTCATATGAAGGCAGTTCTTCTTTGCACTCATCAGTCATGGATATTTGAAGACACTCATTCCCCGTGCTCAGTCCTGAAGATCACTGACTCCCTAGCAAAGGTTCAAGGCATGTGGAGTACTAAGTACTAATGTTTTAACGTTTGGATCAGGGCACAACCATACACATACATCCTTTACTAGATTTCTTTACTTTTACCAAAATGGAGGAATGTGACAAAAGGTAATAGTGTCTAATTCCAATTTTATAAAATGGATTCTCAGTCTGTCAGCAGCAGATGAGCACTGAACACCTAGATTTTCTTCTGACATTTTTTGGGTACTAATGCCTACAAAAAAAGGAAAAACAAAGACATAAGCCATGATCCTTGTTCTGTCCTCTAGGACTGTATAATCTTATAGGATTTTCCAAATTAAACCCTAGGGATGTTGATTTTATAAACTCCCTGGTATCTAAGGCATAGAAGAGCCTGGGAAGAACTCCAGGCTAAGGGAAGGATATTTTCATCTGCATGAATGGGACATAGATTATGTTTAAGGAGAGTAATTTATGAAAAAACTGAATAACTCTTGACCTTTCTGGAGGAAGGCCACAGAGAGGAAAGTATCTAAATCGAGAGAAAATGTATCCCGATACAATAAGAATGACTGACCACTGTGTAATCCCTGACTTTCTATCTCCATCATCCTCATGGCCTAAAACTAGTAAGTCTTGAGCCCTACATACCATTCTTCCATCAATCTAAACCCTATCTGAGATGATGCTAAAAAAAAAGGCAGGCAGGAGAAATGATTGGGTTAAGTGTAGAAATGTTAGTATACCCATAGGGTAACCTAAGTTAACAACCTTTCATAAACTGGGGGTGAGTTTTATGGCTGTCCTCCTAAGGGGATATCAAACCCCTTCTGTTAAGTACCCCCACCACAAGTAAATGTGCTGAAGGTCTTTCCCATTCACACTACCATCTTTAGTCTCTCGTATCACAAGGCCTCACTCTCTACTTGGGGAGATATGCTTGCCCTGCTAGGAAGATGGAACACACAGGGCAGTTAGGGTGGGCTCAATAAAATCTCAAAGCATAGGTGGGGATCAATCCTGATGTGCACAGAGGGCCCTGAGGCTCCTGGCTCTTCTGAACTTGAGATAAAACCAGGGGTAACCAAGAAGAGGATTAGGGCTCAGAAAACCTAAGACCATTATGCCAGCAGAAATGGCCTCCAGATCTGGAAAGACCACTCATAAGCCCCAAGTCAGGTAGCAAGATACTCACCCAATACCCAGCTTCATTAACCGCTAGTGTGGGACCCTGAGGAACACATCACCCTCACTGTCATGCACAGCCCTGCCTGTGGGAAGGTCCTTTCTGAAAGCAGAGGTGCAAGTCAGACCCCAGTTCTCACCACTCTGGACTCTAGGGGAGAGGGAGCTTGGAGCTCTTCTAGGATTCTGAAAGAAAATAAAAATTCTCTGTGAGGGCATCAAAGATCTGCATGGGAGAAAAATTCAAATACCTGAAACATTGGATAGTCTCACACCATAAATGGGTTTCATCACAGACCCAGTGGAAGGAAAACCTCAAACTGTCTCTGTTCACATCCCCTTGCTCCAGCAAAATCACTGGGGACTTTCTGTCCACAGCACCTGCATCCCCTCCAGATGTCCCGGGCCTCAAGCTTTGCTTTGTGAGGTTTGCAGATGTCCTGACCATTAACTACAGGCTTTTCCACATGGGAATTTGGCTGGGCTGTCCCTGACCTGGGGTCATGACAGCTGCAAGACCAACAAGGGATGGGCAGATGGGTGTTGAGGGGATAAGAAAGCACATTAATCTTTTAAGGCCTTCCTCCATATCATCGAGAAAGATGAGTCCGCACAGAGCTGAGTAGGGGGTGGATTGGAGGTAGGAGAGGCCAGATACAGGGCAGTGCAAGAGTGAGCGCCTTGGATGGGCAATGGAAGTGGGAACAGAGAGCACTTCTCAGATGTGGCAGGTTGAGAGTGGGAGACCCTAAAATAAGGTGAACAAGATGAGGGAGGAGACTAGGATGACTTCCAGGTTTTAGCTTGGGTGGTAATAGGTGGCAATGTCGTGTTCTAAAATAAGAAATAACTTTGCAAGGAAGAAAATAATTTGAGATTCTGGAGACAAAAGCCAGATTGCATTGGAATGAAGAATGAATGTAATTTAAGGAAATGGAGGTTTGCACTACTAATTCAAAAGTGAGGATATGAAGGCAAGGTGAGAGATGTGGCACACTATCCAGAGAAATTGACTCTGGTGCTCCCCAGTCTATTCCCCTGTTCCATCATCTGACAGTTGGAGAGGCATACTAAGATCCAGGAGACCCTTCATTAACCTCCTAAGTTATATCCCTACCCTGTCCTGTGCTTTCATTAAGGGAAGCAGGTTACCTTCCTTCCTCCCTACACACACACACACACACACACACACACACACACACACACACACACATTTTGGACTCAGTAGATATTTTCTACTGCTGCAATTTTCTTCTTCTACCTTCAGTAGAAAAGAGAAGCAGCTGATCACCATTCTCTATAGAATAACCCTCCTTGAAAATCAAAGTTAATTAACATTTACTGAACCTTTTCTGGACATATGGCACAGTGCCAAATTCCTAAAGGGAAATGAGAATGGATGTGTAGGTGTGGTACTAAAAACAAACTAGAAGATAAAATGCAAGCCAATGTAACAGGTTAAGCCAAGTTTAGCACTTTTTCCTGTCGTGGCTACAAGATCAATAAACAAACCCACTCATAGTAGAAAGCATTTGCATTCATAAATACGTGGCATTTAGAAGTTCTTAAAATCAATTCACAAGCTCAAGTACTGAGCCATCTCTAATCACCTTCCTGTAAATAACAAAATAATATCAGTAAAATGTTTAAAAGCCTTTGTATACTATTATCTGTGAGTCTTAACTAGTCTCTTAGAGGCCACAGCACTGGGAGGTGATTCATTTGTAGATATACCCTAAACAACTGAGCATAAAAGCTTTTATCTCACATTCATTGGCTTCCCTTTGCTTTGACACCAGTTCTCAACCCAGGTTTCCAACTAGTATGATCAGGTGCTTAAAAATAAATATGTGCCTAGGTTTATATCTATGGACATTGGGCCCACTTAGTGATATCTTTGTTATCTCCCAAGAGAATTCTAATATGCAATCCAGTGGGATGTGCTCTATGTCTAGGACTATCAATCAAACTGGATTCCCATCAGCTTTTCCAAATCTGCCTCTGACCTCTCCCTACAAATTCACAAGTCTCTGAGGCAATGGCCTGAATATCCCTGCTGCCCTCCTTGCTCATGCTGTGCACCTAGGACACACCCTTGCTTTTTCCCCATTATCACAAGGCCCAATTCAACCTAAGCAGAAAAGCGAACCTGTTTCTAAACATGTATATCCTGGTGCCCAGGCTGTCTTAGCATTTCCGTTTACTGTCACTTGGGAAGCAAACTGTGTGACCAGAGTCACTGCTCAAAGAGCTGCTTCTAATGGGGAAAGAGCCAAGTTAGTCCATCACTGTCTAGGTTGGGATGTGGGGATAGATTCCCTATTCATATTGTATACAATTCAAAGACATCCACTACATGGTTAGTCCCCAAATTTAAGCTTCTGTCTCATAGTTTGAAGTTTTATGTTGACATCTGTCTGCACTCAACTTCATTCCCACTGGAAGCATGTTTAAGGCCCTTCAAATTGAATACTTCCCCCAGAGGACGGCTTGAATTAATGTATAACCCAAGAGAAGTATCAGTCACTGGTCCTTGGGCCAGATAAAGCAGCAGCGGAATTGGGATAGAGGAATTAGGGAAAACCTCAGAAGGGGTCTGCTCATCTGATGGTTTCACCAAAGACCCAGATCTAGGAGGGTTTTCCTGTTTTTGCCATTGTTTTATTTTATTTTTGACTTGAAAAAAAGAGAACAAAAGGATTATACTTTTATCTGGTCTCTTATCTGAGGAACATATATAGTAGACACAATTGGCCAATTTTCAGCAAAATCTCCCTCCTACAGTGTTAAGATCCAGCCTGCTCTCTGGGTGGAGACTGTTCTGGAAAGAATGTCTCTGGCTGCTGGCTGCTGGATATACACCCTATTCCAACGAACAGCATCTAGGCCAGGTTTCTGCCCTGTAGTTTTGAAGTTCTGGATGAACTAGGCATGGGGAGTTAAGAAAGAAACACAGATCCTAAAATGGTCAAGCCCACCTTACTGTTTCACAGGATCTCTGTGCTTAATCCTGGATGAAACAGAGAAAGGAAGAACCTGTTGGAGTCAGAATTCTTGGCAGAAGAGCCTCTGGGTGGGCGTTGGGGCAGGGCTTATAAATATGGCCCATGTCAGAAGGGAGAGGTCCTCTGTCTGCCTTTGTCTCAAGTTCAAATACCAAGCTTATAAAAGTCACAGCCACCTTGGTAACAGGCATTGGAGATAAAAATAATAGAAACAAGTTTCTGATGTCAATTCCTCTCTGGAGATTTTTTTTTCTGTCATTGAAATGGCCAAGTGTCTGAGCACCTGTAGACTGAGTATGTTTTCGCCCTGTGGTAGAAAAACAGTCATGTTTTAAAAGTTCCCTTTCTGTAAGGCATAGGTTAGTCCTCACGGCATCATTATTCCTGAGGACTTTGGTTATACAAGCTGCCAGCACATGTTCTCAGACAGCAGACTTGGTTTGGTTCTCCTGATGATTTCAGGAACTTGCTTTGGGGAATGTGAAGAGGGAATAGGGAGAGACATAAAGCTATCAAGAGCTACAATCTGAAAGCCTAAAAAGCCAATTAAAATGCTCTGCATGAAATTTGAAAGGAAACCATTGCAAGAGGATAGAACTTTATTAGCATCAGACCTTCTGCCTGCATTCTCTCTCTCTCTCTCTCTCTCTGTCTCTGTCTCTCTCTCTCTCTCTCCCCCTCTCTCCCAAACCTCATATTAAATTGTAATCCCCAGTATTGGAGGTGGAGCCTGGTGGGGGTGGGAGGGAATTGGATTGTGAAGCTGAATTTCTCATGAATGGTTTAGTACCATCCTCTTGGTGCTGTCTTTGCAATAGTGAATGAATTCTCTCAAGATCAGGTTGTTGCAAAGTGTGGCACCTCCCCAACTCACTCTCTCTCTCTTGCTCCTGCTCTAGCCATATGAGATGCCAGCTCCACCTTTGCCTTCGACCATGATTGAAACCTCCCTGAGATTTCACCAGAAGCTGAATAGATGCCATCACTGTGCTTCCCTTAAAGCCTGCAGAACCATGAGCCAATTAAACCTCAAACCTCTTTTCTTTATAAATTACCCAGCCTTAGGTATTTATTTTTGTTTTGTTTTGTGTTTGTTTGTTTTTGAGACGGAGTCTCACTCTGTCACCAGGCTGGAGTGCAGTGGCACAATCTTGGCTCACTGCACCTCCTCCCCCTGGGTTCAAGTGATTCTCCTGCCTCAGCCTCCCAAGTAGCTGGGACTACAGGTGCACACCACCACGCCCAGCTAATTTTTGTATTTTTAGTACAGACGGGATTTCACCATGTTGGCCGGATGGTCTTGATCTCTTGACCTCATGATCCTCCCACCTCGGCTTCCCAAAGTGCTGGGATTACAGGCATGAGCCACCACGCCCAGCCTGGTATTTCTTTATAGCAATGTAAGAACAGCCTAACACACACACATTTTATCTCTCTCTCTCTTTCTCTCTCTCTCTCACACACACACACACACACGAGTAGATTTTATTCACTCTCATTTTGCAGCTGAGGAAATTGAAGCCAGACAGGTAATGTCAAGGTCATAGCTAGTTACTGGCAGAGATAAGATTCCAACCTAGCCATGTGCACATCTGTGTTATCTCTACTTGCAGAATTGCTGACACTTCCTTGGTGAGCCTGTGTCTTTCCCCTGCATGAAAGCACCCACTGGCCCCCCTGTTTAAACCAGGAAGAAGTGGAGTGAACAAGATAAGAGAGAAGGTTCTAGGGCCAGGAATGCATCAGTTCAACATCCAGCTTCTCCCTTTCTAGCTGTGTGATCTCAAGCATGTTACTTCATCTCCCCACACTTCAGTTTCCTCATCTGTAAAATGGGGATGAAGATAATGCTGTCTACTCCATAGGTCACCAGAAAGATTACAGAAGACAATACAGGTGAAACACTGAGAGCAGTACCTGGTACAAATAAGCTCTCATTAAATGCTAGCTATTTCCTATGATGATTAGATTCATTATAGCTTGACTCCTGCCTCATTTTAAGCCTCATACTGGCCTCGACTCCTCTCAGCCATCTTCCTCCAGGATAATGCCACACACTCTCTCAGCTTCACAGGCTCCTCATTCTGTCTACAACAGCCTCCCCCATATTATACTGCTGATGAATTCCTATTTCTGCTTTAATCTTTTCCTCCTGGAAACCATCCTTGACCCTTATTAAAGAGAGTTTATTATTCTCTTAGGTCAAACCACCTTCATAAAGATCACACTTGCATTGTGGAAGTTACCACACACTCTGTTGCAATTTATTTATCCATTTAGTTCTTCTATATGACATGAGCCACTTGAGGACAAAACAAGGTCACTTAATCTTATTATTCAGTGCACATAACACATTGCCTAGCACAAAGCGTATGTGTCATAGATGATGCTTTGTGTTTACCGAAACCTGTTTCTAACTCTTCCTTCCCAGGCAACTGTGCTTCCAAGGCCCCTTGAAGTTAGGAGGGGCTGCACGACTAATTATTACCAATGAAATTTGCACAGAAATGATGGTGCTACTTCCAGCCTAGGGCAGTGAGAGAGCCCACTGTAATTCTCCAGTCTTCCTATTCCCTTGCTACAGAAAATGTGGAGGCCTCGTAAAGAAATGGCAGAGTCACAGGACCCAAGCAGCCAAAATTATTGATTCATTGCATTAAGGGCTGTTGCCCTGGATCATCACCCAGACCCACAGTAGAGTTATGGCAAGACAACCGTAGGCAAGACATAAACTTTTACTGGGTTAAGCCACTGTGATTTTGGAGTTGTCTGTTTTTGCAGCATTGCCTAGCCTCTCATGACCAATACAGCTCAATAAATGACAGTTAAATTAACTTTGATTGAGTCATTAGGCATAAAAGTTATGTAGCAAGAACGATTGCTAAAGAAGACTGTGGTTTTTTTTTTTTGTTGTTGTTGTTTTTGCTTTTGTTGTGTCCCCAAAGTCAACCAACTCTCCTATAAGGATTACTTTCAGTTGTGTTCTAAAGATCAGATTCCTTCTGATGAATAGTGTTATCAATCTGTAAATATGTTCTTCTATCATCAATATAGCAACACACCACAGAGCACATAAGCTTAAGAAATGATTTTTTTTCTCTTATTTCCACCTAGGAATTTTAGTAGTTGATGCTAATTGATCCTAGTTTTTAAAATAGCCTGTAGTGCACACAAGTCTTCTATTTTTAAACCCTCTTAAAAATATAATGCCTCTAAAGGCAAGACAATGAAGATATCTGAAACTAAATAAATAATAAATTCCCAAGAAGTCCATTTTCAATAAAGGATGAGAATATGAAAAGTGAGAAAATCTGTGTTGGGAATTCCCATCTGAAATGACAGCCTCATTTTAATTTCCATGAATGTGCCTCACTTACAAATTCCAACATCCCAAACTAGAAGAGAGACTGCCAGCTCTAACCCTAGGTTTATATTGTTTCTTGGTTGAATTCAGGGAGTTGAAAGCATAACACTTTCTCTAGCATGCAGTTGGCTGTTATAGAGTTATTTCTCTCAGCTCTTTGAAGGAGGGAAAACCTAAATGAGAAATTCGTCAGATACTAGTCAGGATGAAAAGAGACCCACCATGCTGCCTGCAAAAGGATTTGTGACATGGGTCTTACCATTGTGACTCATTACAAACCATAGTAAACCTCTGTGAAGATATGACACAATGAACTTTTAAAAATGCATATCAGTTGCCCACCCATCCATTTCACATAAATACATAATTAACTTTCTGAACGTGGGTATTTTTGGCATTTAAAAATGTATATTAATTACTTGATATTCTGCCCATTTCAGGCTGTTTATGTAAATACTGAGTTGAGAGACTTCTTAAAATGCACAGAATTTACTTGGCCATCTACAATAGTAATTGACTAAATACATAATTAGAGTATTTTTAAAACAGGTATTTTAGACTCAGTAATCTTTAATGACCTCTTGCATCATTCTAACCTAAGGTGTCAAGACTTAATTAGAATTTGAAATTCATGGATCATTGACCAAGCACCATAATTGGCTCGGGCATATGCACTATTGCAGATCGTCAGTGAACCAACTCCTTCAAACAACTACTCAGAATGCCGTGTTAAAGGTGCACTGATTTATCCACTTGGAATATTTCTCACAAAGAATTAACCATTTTAAATCCTTAAAGAAGGCAATTTAATTTATCCTCAGTTATGGGAAAGCTCCTCTTTACAAATGAATGCCAGATACTTAATGTAGAAGGAATGATAGAAAAAAATTTAAATCACCATTTTGCAATCTGCACTCCCCCTCCCAGCCCTATGAAAGCATTGACTCAGACAAGGATAGTCACCGTGAACCAAAAACATTGGATAACATGTTGTGGAAAGACCATTCCCAAGGTGTCATGTGTCATTTCATACATAATTTGCTAATTGCAAAGAAAAACAATCTGTACAATGGAGGACTCTGAGTGTCTCATTTTAACATTGCTAATAGTGGAACTCTCTGAATGATGTTCTGGCTTGCAAGATGTAGTATCCAGCAACACTTAGGAGGTCTTCTTGCTATGAGGCGTCTTGCTAACTGGCTTCTTGTTTAACCTTCTTCTTTCTAATCAAGCTTTTAGACCTAACCTGCAGTTTGCAGGAAATAGAAGAACGACGTTAATAACTCCAACAGGAAACTATCAGGATAATCCAGGAGGAGGAAAAATCCAAGACAATAGTCTAGCTCCTGCAAAAAGTCAATGTAACAAACTTTAAAAAGTGAGGAACTGTTACAGATTAAAAGAAACAGGAGAACCACAGCAATGTGTGAAATCTGGATTCTAGTTTGATAGAAACATAGCAGACATGTTGGGAACAAAGATGGACATTTAAATTTGAATCTGTTATTCAATTCTTTAGGTAATTATTTTCTTAGATCATAATGATCTTGTAGTTAGAAGCATATCTTCATGATGAACGTAATTGACTTTCTTTGTTTTTGTTTGTTTTGTTTTGTTTTTGAGACGGAGTCTCATTCTGTCACCCAGGCTTGAGTGAGTGTAGTGGTACAATCTCGGCTCCCTGCAACCTCCACCTCCTGGTTTCAAGTGATTCCCCTGCCTCAGCTTTCCAAGTAGCTGGGACTACAGGTACACACCACCATGACCGGTTAAGTTTTTGTATTTCTTTGTAGAGATGGGGTTTCACCATGTGGGCCAGGCTGGTCTTGAACTCCTGACCTCAAGTGATCCACCTGCCTCGGCCTCCCAAAGTGCTGAGAAAGACCAGTGTGGCTGGAACAGAAAGAATAAGGGAGACAGGGGTGCTGATTTGACTGAGGGGTAAAGAGAGGCCCAATCACCAAATGCCACCAGACCATATAGAGGATGCTGATCTTTATCTAAAGAATATTGGATAGTTATAAGTGTGAAAGTGATACGATCTGATTAACATTGAAAAAGATCTCTCAGGCTATGACATAGTGAATCAATTGGAGGGGACTCAGTGTAGAAGAGTAATTTACAGGTGATTGTGAAAGTCCAGGGGAGAGACAACAGTGGCTTCAGGCAGGGTGGTGGCAATAGACATGGAGAAAAGCCAATGGAGTCAAAGAAGACTTAGTAGATAAAATTGACAGGATCTGTGATTGATCAAATAAGAGTAGAGAATGAAAGAGGCATCAAGGACTGCTCTTGGGGCTCTGCTTTGACCTATAGAGTAGAGAGCTCTAAAGGGCAAATAAGTTTATTTAGAATGATTACAAGGCTGGATGCCATGGTTCACACCCGTAATCCCAACACTTTGGAACAGCAAGACGGGAGGATTGCTTGAGGCCAGGAGTTTGAGACTAGCCTGGGCAATGTAAAGAGATCCTCATCTCTACAAAAAATAAAATTAAAAATTAGCCAGGCATGCTGGTGTTCACCTGTAGTCCCAGCTACTTGGAAGGCTGAGGAGGGAGGATCATGTGAGATCAGGAGTTGTAGGTTACAGTGAGCTATGAAAATGCCCCCGCACTCCAGCCAGGGTGACAGAGTGAGACTCTGCCTTGAAAAAAGAAGAAAAGAAAAAGAAAAGTGAATGATTACAAGCTGAGTTTTAGATATGCTGCTTTATAGGGATCTTCAAGCTATCAGTGTTAGCACATAGTCCAATGGGACATTGCCTAATTTTAGATATTCAAAATGTAGCATTTCCAAATGAGGATTCTACTTTGAATAGTTAGTCTGAAAAAGAACGCACTATGCCAACAATCGTGTCATTGCTCAAAACTCATCTAAGGTTTCTCCTTGAAAATTTCGCTGAGAGCCAGTTTGCAGCTTCTCTACCATCAGCCTTGGATTCAAAAGGTGCTTTTCAGATATCCTCTAAGCTCCTCTGTGTATACCAACCACAGCACTCACTCTTGGCATTGCATTGTCATTTTATTTGCTGTATCTCTAGAACCTGAGCTCTTTTAGTTTGCTCACCCCTGGATTCTGGTGATGTATACAGCAGGCTCTTGATAAATATTTACTAATTAAGCTTAGAAAAGTGATCTTGTTACTTTACCACCTCACCACAATTTTATCCAATGTGGTCCAGCATCTTTGACTAACTTGTTTCCTAAAGTGGCCTCTGAACAACTTGCTACAATTTCCAAAATAACAAAATCAACTCACAAACGACCAGAAAAAGTAGAGAAGGAAGAGAAAAGGAATGAGGGATAGAGGAAGAAAGGAAGAAAAAGGAGGAGAAAAAGGAGAAACGACTCCACATGAAAAAAAAAAATGTTGCAGGCTCTGAGAGTTATTCTTTCAGATATGTTCTCTAACGGATACTGGGATCATTGTAGAGCTCCCTAGAGTCACTATTTTGAAAAGGACTTGTCCCACTTAAATACTCAAAGCCAGATATAGTAAAGACAACTAGTCTACACACATCCCATACACAACATAGTGAAGATAATAAGTAACAGTACATTAAATAGCCCAACCCATATCACACAACTCTGAAAGTTCACCAGAAAACCTGGACCGGCTATTTTATAAATTTATTGTGCATCATCTGCACTTGAGGCATTTCTTAAAAGTGCTGATTTCTGAAGCCTATTGAGTTAGAAACTTTGTATATACTCTGATGCCTGTGTAGCTGAATGAAACACAGATAGAAATTTTTGGAAGCCTGTGCTCTCTGAGTTCTGGTTGTGGCTCTGTCTCTTAATATTTGATGACCTCGAGAATGTCACCTAACTCCTCTGGCCTCAGAATCTCTGCAAAGATGGAAGTAGTTAGCTGATTTCTAAAGTACTTTCTAGCTCTCGGATTCTATGTTAAACTCTGCTGCTTTTGCTCTCAGTCTGGCACAGCACACTGAACACTATTCTTAGTCCACGTGTGTAGATGCTGAACTGTGCTCTGATTGGCTGGGCAGCCTGGGCTCCGACCTCACATTCATTCTCATGATTAGGATAATTGTTAAATGACTGATCTGGTCTAATTTTCCATCTTGCACTGTGTTGTCCCACACCTCAAAATTTGATAATGATTTCACAAACTAAAAGGTCATGTCAGCTGGGACCATATACTTCAGGTGGGTCTCTACAGGTAAGTAGGAGACACATAAGCGAGAAGGGAAGGGGTACTTGAGGCAAGGACAAGAGCATGAGCAAAAGCATGAAAATAGGAGTGGGCAAAGGATGCCTAGGGATCACTTCACCATGATCAGAGTGCATGCACCCAAGAGTTGCTGGATCCAAGAGCAGTATTTCAGACTTCTGAACAAAGTTTAGTTTTGTGTATTTCCAAAATCAGAGCCAGACAGGAAGAGAGGGCTCCATAAAGAATTGTGCAAGTTGGAAAGAGTGGGCTACAATAGTATGTTAGAGTAAGGTTTTCTCATAAAAATATAATAGAAACTGTTAAACTCACACTTTGCATGTGCCATTTAAAAATGAATCTTACACATTGGCAAACATAAACATCCATGAATGCACAAAGGTAACTAATTGGGGAAGTGATTGTGTGCTTCCAGAGACCACTCTCTTTCAGAGGTGAGTAGAGAATTAGATTGTGCAGGCAGGAGACATTTGGTTGGGACAAGGCTTCTCTGCCAACTCAGCTTCTGCCCTGTCATGAGTCACAGAACTGGCAGGCTCTGAGTACACGTGCGGTCTTAAGACCCTCTATGCTTGCCAGTTCTACTGGGTAGATGGTACCCAACCAATGCTCACTTCTTGGGGGAGGAGTGTTTTGAGTGAAATTTTTCCCTTGGGAAAAATAAAGCATACACAAACATCCCTTATAATAGATTGATAAAATGTCCCCAAAATTCAGAAGGGGAAGAGTCTACTCCATCGATGGCTGGGTTTTTCCTTTATGCAAGATAATGTGGACTGAAAAGAAGTTCATTGGCTGCCAAGGCTCCCAGGACAGGCTGCTGGCAGCAGGTTCTTTGAGAAAGGCAGCAGATGGCCTCTGGGGGCCATGGGGAGTTGGCCAAGGTTTCCCTGGAGAATCACTGGATTTATGTCCCAGTTACTTTAGGCACACAACCCCCTAGGCATTAAGCAAGCTCAACACCTCTTTAGATTTTAAAACCTGGAGTTTGTGTGTGTTGCAAACCACAGAAGACAATGGTTCCACCCATAAAAGAGGAAAGCATTCCTCTACCCAAAGTCAGCCTAGATAATATCACTTCTACGTGAAACCTTGAGCCACAATAAAACCATTTTAGTCGACCTTGTAAATAGTTTTAAGGGCCTCAGAACTTATTCACCTGCCCTCCTCATCTCAAGTTGGTTAATTAGTTTTCTAACTTGAATTACACCATTTGCTAATATTTACAACATTTTCTAACTTGAACTAAAGTGCCATGAGTTTGATTAAATTGGATAATGTTTCCAGTTGCAGTTTTATATTTCTAGAGGGAGTTCACAAAAATGAGGAAGGCCTTCAGTAGCCTAGACTTCAGCTAAATTCCATTTTAACTTTGAGTGAATTCACATTCATGGGATATTCATTCCTGTAAGGTACCTACCCTGCTAGGATGAAGCAAAAGCAAACAAACCAGAACACGCACAAAAAATGAAGCATGGTGGCAGCTGTTTTTTAAAATGTCACCACTAAATGAGTATTGATAAGTACCAATTCTGCTCAACATCATACTTCAAGCTATCAAGTGAAGGGAAAGGGTGTGTACTCAAGGATGCTTTAATCTAGCAGGAGAAATAGGACTCACACATGAAATATTATAATAGGAAACAAGACAAACCACAGTTGGATAGATTGGTGCAGTTGCCTTGCAATAAACAAAATATTGTTTCGTAAACTTTCCACTATGATGTATGTGCTTTATTGTGGGATTTTGATTGAGGTTTGACACAGTTGGCTACGCCCTCAACAAAAGCCTTCCATATCCAACCTAAGGAGTGTAGACACCTGTTGGAGAGGTTGGATGCCATAGAGGGAATCATTTGTCCCTCCCTCAAGACAGGAACTGTTACTCATCTTAGCTGAGCACTTTAGGAACAGTGCAATGCCAAGATGTTCCAATCTGGGCTGTCAAATCATTCATTTTGGAAAGCTTCATACGTACTGCTCTTTGCTTGATAAATATGTATACATTTTACATTTTAAGTTTTTATTTTCTTTATTGCTCTTCTATTTTTTAAAACATCTTTCTAGGGTAGGCAAAGAGATCACATAACAAGGACAAGAAGTAAAGGAGAACAAGGACCTGATATCTCCAGTATGTGTCTTGCATGTGCCTGGCTTTTTACCTAGTCATATTGCTCCCTCTGCCTCTATTGCCCAAGTGTCCACCTCTGGATATCCAAACCTTATTAGCAACTCAATGCACATCAGATGCCACTTCTAGGATGCCCTCCAAAATCTTCATCTTGAGCAAGTGTGATCTCTCCTAGAATACTTGCTGATTCTCTCATAGCGTTTAGCACTTTCTTCCATATATAAATATTTACATATACTGGCTCCTACTATATATATACCATGCATATCTGACATACTTTAATATGCCCTACTGCACCGCAAATCTATTACAGCATCTTATAAGCAGTCCACATTCAGTAAATACTTGTTGGAAATGTTTGCCGGATGAATAAATTAATTGATCAATGCAGAAGAGATGCTCCCAAAGAACCTAATACATTTATCCAATCAGGACACGAAAATGGAGATAAAGTCATGTATACAATTTAGGCAGATATACATCCTAGGTAAAAAGTAGTCAACACATCAAATCAGTGGTCAGTTCCATTGGCATAGTCTATCTCTTTCCAGGCATAGAGATTTGGCTAAAGTCAAACAAGGAATCAGCATACAAGCTGAGGGCCTCATTTTGGACAATCTGTCTCAAGATTCTGCTTCTGGAATAAGCACATTTTCCTTTCTTTCCCTTAGAATTGAGGGGATAATTGGGGAACTGCCCTACATAAAATGTAAACATTTGTTGGGAATTACTGTTGGCAAGGCTCTTATTCTTCCTGACTTGAAAGTGAAACCCACCTCTACTAGTGAATTTTAAAATGAGAAAATGTAAACTATCAGCAAAGCAGTACTTCCCCACAAAATATTAAAAATAAATTAAAGCGGATGTTAATATTATATGAGAGAAAAGACACAGGAACATAATCCACCAGTAGATTGGCAGAATAGCATGAGCATTCACTGGAATGAATTTTTTCCCTTCATGACCAAGTTTAGGCTAAATATCATAACAACCATTTCTTGAGAATCACTTCATGCCAGGCAAGTGGAAATTAGATTTTATATGTTATCTAATTAATTTATAACACTCCTTCAAAGTCAATATTATTGTTCCCATTTTACAGATGAGGAAACTCAATGCTCAGGGAGACTAAAAAAACCCTGCCCAATCTATCGTAACTACGATTGTATCATAGCTGCTGTAATTCACCACCTTCTGCTGTGAAAGCAAATCATAAGATTCTCCATTTCTTCAACACACACAGGCTTCGACACACACATATCCTAGCTCTGTCTCAAACCAACCCTTTTCTTAATTAGGCCTAACTTCAAAGGACAACTTGTGGGGCTGTAACCAAAAAGTGGAGAAAGGCCCAAGAGCTGCTGAAGATAATGCACAAAGTAAATTACCTACATCAAGGTGTTGTATTGTCAGTTGTAGTGTTTATTAATATTCCTGATTCCAATTATCTCTTCTACTATGCCAAAGCTGTTTTTATACTACATGAAAAAGAAAAATGCAATCAAGATGCGCATTTACTATCTGTATATTAAGATCTTCCCACTATTCAAGAATTCCTAGACTTTGTTCTTTTCCATCTCCACTGCCATCAAATTGCCCCTCTCTGTGCCCCATCCCACAGCAAAGAGCCCCCAGCATTTGGCCCTGAATAACCCTAGGAACCCGGAGGCTTGAAGCTGTCTTGCGAAAACTCCAGTTGAGTTTGTAGTCTAAAAAGGGATGAATCTGGAAAAGCTTCAGCTAAGCATTCAAATTTCCTGCTCTTTTATCTGCTGTGAGTTTTGATGTCTCACCCATTGTCCCAGCTGCTTTGAAAATAGCATAAATGCACCATAAATCTCGTTGTTGGGTGACATCCCCCACACAAAAGGCTGGTGGGAACAGCAGCCCCTCTACACCCTCAGTGCTCTGTGCTGCCTGCTGGTTGCTTACAACGCCCCTGGAGCAAGGGAAGGAGGATTACTTCACGGACAGCGGCAATCACTTCAGCTTCCAAGAGCTCCGTCTCCAGAACCTAGAGGTTCCTAAAAAGGACACTGGAGCAGCTGGAAAGGATATGAGCTCCATTATCACAACATTTAAGTTTTTGCCTTTTGAACCAAGCTACTTTGCAATAAACTGTTTTGCTCAACAATATCTCCAAAGCATGTTTCCTTGTCTTTTTGGACATATAGTCATAGCCACTTCCTATGGCCCAAATAAAGTTCTAAATATGATATTTCAACAACAACATCAGCAAAGCAAGAGGTAGTACATCTCTGGGTGTTCAACTTTGTCTTTCAACATAAGAAGCAAGATTTATCGGGACTTCAGTGGGCAAGGATTAATAGAATGAATCACCTCTTTTCCCCTAAAGGTTTGACATAGTGTGTGATTTGTGCCTGCTAAGCTAGTATAATGATGAACAACCTCTTTTATTAATGTAGCTAAAAATGGAAACTGTGTTAAGACCTTACATAACCAGAAATGACACATGGCAACTGAGGGTCACTTCTCCCACAAGGTCTTGGTGCCTGAGTTACGTTGGCATCAAATGAAAAGAATTGCAAATGTGGAAGCATTTATTCTACATCTGTACTGTGCCTTTATCTAAGTTAGATCTTACAGCTTTAATAGTATAAGAAAAAATATAAACACAACTTGAAATCAGGTTATATTAGATAAACATTTTTAACACAGAGATGCTATGTATTATCTTCGCCATTGTTAGAAATAATAACAGTTAATTTGTAAGACGTTTCTCACTTTAAATACCCACATTTTAAAATATTAAATAATGTTACTTATAGAAAAAGTTTAAATAGACATTATGCTGTGGGACGTTATTGTTTTAGATTCTCTCAGACCAGAAAGTTACAAAAAGCAAAGTGAAGAGAAATTATTATATATCATAAAAATTATGGGCTTATATCTAAGTCTAGGGAAAAATATATTTATGAATATATACAAATCTCATTTCAGTTACCTCTGCTCATTTAGAAGGTAAGATGTCTTTTGGTTCTGAAATCTCTGAATGTGTTGTCTCATTCCATGACATTTTAGAAAAGATATTTTTAAAGCCAGAGTCTAGTCAAACGGTTTATTTTGAAATACTTGAAACTTGGTTATGATGTAGTTGCTTGATTGAATCTGACTGATGATTTTCAAAATATCCGCTGGCTAAATTAAAGCTGTAAATTTTACAAACAAATTTCTATGTCTAGGCCAAAGGTTGTACATCCGGTCTGTAGTCATGTTTTGCCTGTTCAGCACAATTTTTTTTTTTTAAAGTTAATTAGATGCTAACTTTTAAAAATCGAGAGATTTTCGTTTTTAAAATTCTAACTTCTTGACTTCTTTGAAACAAAATTCTACATCTGGCAATCCTGGACCTAGATTTCTGCAACAGGAAGGGTTTGAGTATCAGGTGCCTGCTTTAGATGGAACATGGATCTTAAATTCATCATTGCTCCTGCCAGCCTGTTCACCAACATACATCTGCTACCTGGGCCCTCTAAGCAGTTCAGTTTACAGCCCCCAGTGTAGACACAGCTTGCACAGCTTGAATGTCTTACCGTACTTAGAAGTCTTGCACAAACAGTCTCTGTCACACCTAGGAAGCATGCATGTATGTGCCCTGAATGAAGACAATCATGCAGCTCCCCTGCAGGTTCTTGTTATCTGTCTGATACGGTTTGGCTGTGTCCCCACCCAAATCTCATCTTGAATTGTAGTTCCCATAATTCCCTCATGGTGTGGGAGGGACCCAGTGGGAGATAATTGAATCATGGGGGCAGTTTCCCCCACACTGTTCTCGTGGTAGTGAATAAATCTCAGGAGATCTGATGGTTTTATAAGGGGAAAGCTCTTTTGCTTGGCTCTCATTCTCTTCTCTGGTCTGCCACCATGTGAGATGTGCCTTTCACCTTCCGCCATGATTGTGAGGCCTCCTCAGCCATGTAAAACTATAAGTCTATTAAACCTCTTTCTTTTGCAAATTGCCCAGTCTTGGGTATGTCTTTATCAGTAGCGTGAACATTTTCAAACTAATACACTTCCTCTTTTCTCTCTCTATCTCTCTCTCTCTCTCTCATTATTGAACCTAGACTTATACTTCATTAGGACCATCACAGAGTACATCACAGTGTACAACACATGAATTGAGTTGATACCATAAGGGAAAGACTTTGGGATGAGAAAATATATTTATTCCACAGGTATTTTCTGAATGTTCACTTTATACCCAGGCACTGATTAAGGTACTGGAGATACATCAGTACACTAAACAAGCCAAAAGTTTGCCCTCATGGAGCTCATATTCCAGAATCACCCATGCTTTACTGTGGTGAGTTTGCCTTCTCCAATAACCTAAGACAGTCTCTAGATCCTTTCCTCTTTCCAATCAATACAATCTCAACAAATCCAGGGAGGTTAAAATTGTATCTGCAGGATGGTGAACAGACTTCCTCTTATTTTCCAACTGTAAATAACTGACAGGAGATTCTTCAATAACTCCCAGCCCACATCTAGCCTTGCTGGCAATGAGAGGCATGGTGGGGCAACCGCTGGCCAGTAGGGAGCATGGAGACCGACTGGTGTGAATTTGTTGACCCTCAGTCCTGACTACCCCCTTTTAAAATGAAAACAGTGAGGTTTACCAGGGCTAAGTGACTTGCTCAAGGTCACACAGTTTCAGAACAAATAGAAGTAACTAGTCCCTACCTAGTCCCAGTTTTCCCTTAGACTTCCTATGTCTGTCTTGTCCCTGAACCCAGTCCAAAGTATAATTTCAGCAAGTCCACTTAGCTCTATTAGTGACCCAGAGGGGGCTGCAATCCCGGGAATATTGGGTCTTGAGTGACTTCATGCCTTAACTATTTGAAATGACTTCTTTGATGTCTTCCTCTGGAGGAAAATGGAGTTTACAATCCTTTAAGAATTAATTAATTGTTTAAACCATGCCAAGTATACACTAACGACAATAAAACTTAAATTAAAAAAAAGCAGAATAATCTCAACTGAAAAGCAAATCATTCATTCATTGCTTTTACAATAGAAATGGATGGTTTATCATGAGTCAAGCATTGATCTAAGTAAAAAAACATTGAAAAGGTCACTAATCTCTTCTAATGGAAAGACAGAATAATAAGGCAAATAACCAAGTGAAAAATAAAAGCCTAGTTAGTGACATGAATAAAAAAAAAAAAAACTGGCTGGCCACCTCTAATGAGGTTTCACTTAAATTGAGACCTAGATGACATAAATATCTGGGGGAGAAGCATTCCAGACTGAGAGAATAGCTGATGCCGACTTCAAGGCTGATAATAAGATTGGGGTAGGAAGGGAGTAGAATGGTCAGTTGGCTTGGCACAAGATGAGTTACGTACAGAGTTGTTCAAGATGATGTCTGCAAGCTCAGCAAGGGGCATTCTATGTGGGTTATTAGCAATTTGAATTTTATTCTAAGAGTAATGGGAAATCCTTAGTCGATCCTAAACAAGAGAGTAGCATTAAATAATTTGTAGCTTATAAAGCTTACTCTGAATGTTACATGAAAAATTATTGAGGGCTAGTAGGGAACAGAAGCTGGGAGATGTATTAAAAGTCTATTGCTGTGTATAAGACATTTATGTGGTTTGGCTCTGTGTCCCCACCCAAATATCATCTTGAACTGTAATCCCCACATATGGAAGGAAAGACCTAGTGGGAAGAGATTGAATCATGGGGGTGCTTTCCCCCATGCTGTTCTTGTGATAGTGAGTGAGTTCTCATGAGATCTGATGGTTTTATAAGGGGCTCTTCCCCCTTTGCTCTCTCCCCATCTCCTGCTACCCTGTGAAGAAGGTGCATTGTTTCCTTTTCACCTTCCACCATGATTGTAAGTTTCCTGAGGCCTCCCCAGCCAGATGAAACTGAGTCAATTAAACCTCTTTTCTTTCTATTTATTTATTTATTTTTCATTTTTATTTTTATTTTACTTTAATTTCCAGGATACATATGCAGAGCATGCAGGTTTGTTACATAGGTATACGTGTGTCATGGTGGTTTGTTGCAACTGTTAGTCTGTCCTCTAAGTTCTCTCCTCATGCCCCCCACCTCCCAACAGGCCCTGGTGTGTGTTGTTCCTTTCGCTGTGTCCATGTGTTCTCATTGTTCAACTCCCACTTATGAGTGAGAACATGTGGTGTTTGTAAACCTCTTTTCTTTATAAATGACCCAGTCTCAGGGAGGTTCTTTATAGCAGTGTGAAAACAAACTAATACAGACACGATAGTGGCTTGGAGGAAGGCAATGCTTTCCAGCTTAGATGCATACAAGGACCACCTAGAGAACTTAAAAAGAGGAAAGAAAAACTAAATAAGGCTCCGTCCCTGTCTTAGAGATTGCAATTCAATTGTTTTGAGGTAAGGCCTAAACAAATTTTAAAAACTTGTTTGCCAGGGTTGAGAATCACTGATATAATGTGAATGCAGTGGAGATGGAGTGAAAGAAACACAGTTAGGTTATGTTTTCAGGGTAGATTCAACAAGACTTGATGATGAGTTAGGTGTAGGCAGGAAAGGAAAGAAAAGTTATAAGAAGTACTTTTCCACTTTGGGCCTGAGAAACTAGGTTAATGGTGGTTCTCTTTTGTGAAATGCTAATATCTAAGAGAACATCAAGCTTAGGCA
Source organism: Homo sapiens (assembly GCF_000001405.40). Classification (NCBI taxonomy): domain Eukaryota; kingdom Metazoa; phylum Chordata; class Mammalia; order Primates; family Hominidae; genus Homo; species Homo sapiens. The sequence goes on from NC_000018.10 coordinate 56,229,639, forward strand.
GGAGAAATAAGGGTTCTGTTTCAAATGTTAAATTTCAGATGCCTAACGAATGAAGAGATCTAGTAGTCAGTTGGATATTCAACTCTGGAAATCAGAAAAGGGGCCAGAAATGGGTATGTGTATATATGGGGGTGTGTGTGTGTGTGTGTGTGTGTGTGTACATGATTCATACATACATGGTATTTAAAGCATTGAAGACTGGAAGAAATTATTTACAAGAAGAGTGTTTTGAGAAAAGAGGAGAAACCAGTACTGAACCCTAGGAATACTCCAATATTCAGAGTCCTACAGAGGAGAAGGAGTTAGCCGGAGAAGAAGCAGCCAGAGAGATAGTTGGAAAATCAGCATGCAGTGTCTCTATGAGGGAAAAATTTCATATGTTCAAGAAGGAAGAAGTGGTCACTTTTTTCAAATGTGGTTGAAATGTCACTTAAGATAAGGACAAAAGGAGGACAGCTGAATTTCACAGTATTAAAGTTATTGGGCATATTGACAACAGCATTTAATGGAGAGCAGTGAGGAAGGGAGCTAATGGGAGAGAAAAAGAAGAGAGTTCACTGAGACAATGGCCACAGGAAAAATTTGTTGGGAAGGACAACAGAGACATGTAGCAGTAGCACTTGCGCAAAGACTCATTCATATATCTATTGAAGCAGGAAAGATAGCCAAGGGACGAAGCTTAGGAATGGATGCTGGTAGATATGTAGGTTAGTTACCTGCTGCTTGATTTGGCTTTCTGAATAAAGTAAGTACTGAAGTCATAAGGTGATGAAGAGGCAGAGTTGGAGGTAAGGCAGTCTGCAAAGAGAGGGGAAAATGTGGAGCAGTTGTTTTAGAGAATGGTACAGCAACCACATCAGGGAAGCATCACAGAAATTCTGGTTGGGTGCCCATTGGAGGTCTGTGTTATGGAATTTTAAGTAAGAACTGGCAGCACAAGTGTGTTTTCTTTTTTCCCTACAATGTTCAGTTGTTTGGGTGCAGGGACACAATAGGTTGGTAATTGAATTTCATGAGAATCGGAGTTTGCCAATGAAATATGACAAAGTGAGAAATGGGACGAGTAAAAATGTTTGCAAGAGGTCAACTTGGACCAAAGCAAGGAGGGAGGAAAGTAAGAACATCACTGGGATGTAATAGGATGAGGGAGAATGGCAAAGTAGCAAGGTCAAGGGGTGAATGTCTTCATTAGTGATATGGTTTGGATCTGTGTCCCCACCCAAATCTCATGTCGAATTGCAATCCCCAATGTTGGAGGTGAGGCCTGGAGGGAGATGATTAGATCATGGAGATATTCCTCATGAATGGTTCAGCACCATCCTCTTTGTGCTGTTCTCATGATAGTGAGTGAGTTCTTGCAAGATCTGGTTGTTTAAAAGCGTGTGGCGCCTTCACCATCTCTCTCTTGCTCCAGCTCTGGCCATATGATGTGTGCTCCTGCTTTGCCTTCCAGCATATTGTAAGTTTCCTGAGGCCTCCCCAGAAGTCAAGCAGATGCCAGCATCATGCTTCCTGTATAGCCAGTGGAACTGGCAGACAACTAAACCTCTTTTCTTTATAAGTTACCCAGTCTCAGGTATTTCTTTATAGCAGTAGGATCTAACACAATTAGTACATGGAAAACAGAGCCAAGGATTTTTCAAAAATATATCACAAAGCAATAAAGAGATAGAAAGTTGCAAAAAGAAAGGGCACTCTGAGTAGTGGCCAGAATAAAACATTGTTATGCACACTTGGGCAAATGGTGGACACAGCACAGTAAGTATGAGGAAACAACCTAAAGTGATCCAGAATGAAAAAAAGAACTCCCCTGCAAAAGAAAAAGAAAGATTGACATTTGATTCCTCATTGCTGCTACTGGATTCAAGAGGACAATGACATGAGATTTTCAAAATGACTTTCATCATTGTATTTTAAAAGTACGCAGTGAGCCGAGATCGTGCCATTGCACTCCAGCCTGGGCGACAGAGAGAGATTCCATCTCAAAAAAAAAAGAAAAAATGGAACTCCCACAACAAAAGACAATAATAAGCAGGAAGGCAGAAGAAAACCTATTGGAGTTTGGGACTAGAAATAGTTAGGATTGTCCATTCTCCTGTGGGATAGGGAGGAATGAATCTCCTTGCAATGAAGACAGGTGACTAGATGCCTGATGAATGGTTTAAACCTTTAGGCAGTGGAGATCTAACCCTGCAATAAATGCATTCTTAAAAATAGCAACATAATTCGGGGCTGGCAACCTTTTTGCATTGCTGTCTGAGCTGTAAGGAGAAGCAGATAGCGAGGGAAGGAGGACCTGGGCCATACTGCCTACTAGCTTGGAAACTAGATCTGTGATATTAATGTAAGGTGAGGGTCCCAAAATAAGACATGCTTCTCCATAATGGAGGTTTGTAGGAATGTAATTTTGAAATGGCCAGACATAGTAGGGAATGAACAGTAAACAAGGAAGTAAGAAGAAGAAAGAGGAGAAGGAGGAAGAGGAGAAAAAGAAGATAGAGTAAGAGGGGTGAACAAAAGGAGGAGGAAGAGGATGAAGGAAAAGAAGAGAGAAGAAGGAAGAAGAACAAGAGTAGCAGTGGTAGTTAGAATTAGTCTCTCTTCAAGATGAGCTTGCGTACTGTAATTCAGAGCATAGAAAGAAAACTAACAACAAAAGATAGACAAAGAATGTAACTACAAGAGAATTCACTCACAGAAAACACAAATAGTTCAATTATCTGAAAAAAAGTTTCATAGTAAATGTGTTTACAACCCTCAATGAGGTAAGGAAGGAAGGACATCCACAAAGAAAGAAGAAATTATGAAATAAAACTCATTGTCATGAGTGAAAAATAGGAGGAGATTTTAATAAATACACAATAAAAAACTGGGACATAAAAAATATAGCCATTGATATGAAAAACTAGATGAAATAAATACAAGGCTGAACACAAAGAGAACTAGAAGGTAAGACTGAGGGATGAACACAGAATTTTACCCAGGGAAATAAAGTAATTTTTTTAAAATATGAAAGAGAATTTAAGACATTTATGTGGGCTGAAGAAGTTACATCATACGCATAAATAGAGACCTAGAAGCAGAGGATTGAAGAAATAGGAGAAAAGCAGTATTTGAAAAGATAATGGCTGTGATTTTTTCTGAATTTGAGAATTTCCTAAAGTCTTTGTGTAAACTGAATAAAGAATGTGATAAAAAAAAAACAATATCTAGTTATAGTTTTTAGTGAAATGCTAAAACATTAATACAAATTATTAAAAGTTGCCAGGAGAAAACACAGTTTACCTGCAAAGGCACTACAACTAGGCCAAAAGCAAAATTATTTTCAGCAGCAATAGATGCCAGGGACAAATGAATTATAACTTCAAGTGTTAAAAAAATTCAATTTAGAATTCTAACAAAAAATAATTCATGGGTAAGGGTAAAGTAAAGACATTTTTATACATACAAAGGCTATATCCTACCTTAATTGAAAGAACTACTTGAGGATATTCTACAACAGCAAGAAAAATAAACACATAAGGAGAAAAAATAGTGAGCGAAGAGAACAGTAAAGCATGTGAGTGAATCCAAATGTCTATTAAATGCAAAAATAACTTATTTTATTGTGTTTATAAATTATATAAGTATTTTAATTCTTACCCCAATTTAATCTACAAGTGCAACACATTTGCACTAAAACTCTAAGATTTTTTATGAAATTAAACAACAGAATTTTAAATTTATGAAAAGAAAATGTTTAAGAACTACCAAATAATTCTTAAAAAGAAGAAAAAAGTAGAAAGGAGTTGTTTAAGGAAAATTAGATTTTTTTTTAACATATTTAGGATCTTTCAGGGATCCTTCAAGGAGAGTAATTAAAATGTTCTTCCCAAAACAGTCTTTGATGCTACAAACAGAGCACATAGGCAGAATAAGTGAACTCTTTTTCTGACCCAGGAGAAGTTAAATTTCCATGTTTACTTATAGAACTCAGTCAGATTAGCCAGTAGCCAATAATTAAAATATCAACATCTACAATTGAACTACTACTATATTCAAACATTGTCTATCCTATAGAGGCTTATTGATAATGAAGAAATGAAGAAAGACCTTGGCAGCTATTTCTGTAACATTTTCTCCATGATTCAGCAGTGAGTCTCAGCCCTGGCTGCGTAGGAGAAGCACCCAGGGAGTTTCAGGAAAATATCATTGCCAGAGATTCTGATTCATTTGGTCTGGGATAGAGCCAGAGTACTGGTTTTTTTTTTTTTTCTTTTTTTTTTAATTCCAAGTTATTCTAATGGGTAGCCACGGCTGAGAAAACAGATTTATAGGACCATTCACTGAAGACTGAGATTTATCATTAAAACCTTAAATAATGTTAATTCTAATCCATATAATATACCTTGTGAAGAGGTCAGAGGGCAAGAGAAAGGCTCAATTAGAAGTCTTTAAGTGATTATTTCCAGTAATTGAGGTAAATATCTAAAGTCAACCATGAAAATCCAACTAAGCAGTCCTCGTTGTCTCTACCCTATATGAGAATACCAAATTGAACTGATTTTCCAAGGCCACCACATTGAGAGTTCATACAGAGAGAGCATTTCTTGATTGCATCAGCATACCTGACATCACCTTATATAAGGGAAGAGTTTTTATAAATACAGTTATTTATTGATGTGGAAATCTTGAACAATTAAAGGACCAATTTACTCCAGTGTGGTAAAGAAATCAATGCCAGAATTCATATTTTTATAAACATGAAAAGTATAACTTTTCTTTCTACTTTTTCTTTTCTTATAAGCACAATTTCTCTCTGCTTGGGTTTTAAATGGTAGAGGGCACTTAGCAATTAATTGCCAAACATACATATAAACCAGATGTTGTGAATGGTGAACAATAAGCAGTCCAGGGAAGGAAGTACACCTCACAGTGTGCTACCCATAGCAATGTTTTCCATGAGCCAGGACATTTATTGAGCACTTAATGGAGTAGAGACCTTGTGTGGGACATAAATTCTGTAAAAGCCATCCTCCTGACCCCAAGAAGAGTATAATATAGTTGGGAGACAAAATGTAAATCTAGAAGAAAAAAGTAATTAAAACCATGGGGTGGAGTATTCAATTAGTGCTAATGAGGAGCCCATTCTACTCAAGCCCATTCTGACAAGGGCTTTGCTCTACAGAGCTTGCATCCCAGGGGGCTTGTGTAACCACCCCCCCGGCCCCCTGCCCGCCCTCACAGAAATGATTTTAAAATGCCAGACTCTAGTTTAGCGTCTGAACCATCCCGAGGACAGGAGTTTCAGATTCAACTACTATTTACTTTGCAATTATGATGGCCAAAGTGACCTGGGAGAATTTTCGTAGGTTATCTCTTCCAATCCTCATAGCCACTCTGAATTAGATGGAATCCCCATCTTAAAGATAAGGAAGCAGAGGCTCAAAGAGGTGAAGTGACTACTTCCTCAAGGTGGTACAGATAGTAGATGGGAAAGTGGGGCATTTTTAATGCCAGGTTTTTACTACTTATCATTATACGTATAATACATGATCACTTGACTTACAAAATAGGGTAAAGGGGAAGAAATCAAAAGATGTGGCTGGAGGAGGAAGTGGAACTTGGTGGGGTTGTAAAAGATGCGTAGAATTTACATGAGGCCGAGATGTGAGGAGGGTGTACATTCAAAATGGGGCACAGTAAGAGGAAAACTAGATGGGAACGCACCAACTGTGTTCGAGGATGCAGCACAGGCCTGTGTGGATGCAGAGCAGGTCTTGCTCCGCAACACACAGGAGCAAACAAATGACCCCTGGAGCCAGGAGCAGATGAATTCTTATTTGTAGAAACATTGCATTTAGTGGCCGCAGCACAATCCCGAGGAAATGAATGGGAGTTTTCTCCCTGCTGTCAGGGGCATTCTCCTGGATGATTAATTGACAGTTCTCCAGCCAAGCCCCTGTTCCTTCTGGAGGCCATGCCCCTTGGTGTGCACCTGCCACCGCAGAACCAAAGCAAGAAAATGTATTGTCTTCCTCTTTTTCTTCTGAGAGCTGCAGCTGCTGGCCTGCTTTAAGGAAACCTTCTTTACCTAGAGTATAAACTTGAACTTCTCCGATTTGCAGGGTGAAAACTTTACACTTTCAACAGATTCAGGGAAGTGGTTCTTTTAGAGGGGTTGATTTGAAAAAGCCCCATTCCTCACATGGTACTTAAGGGCTGTTCCCTTCTTCTTGCCTTCCTGAGACCCTTTTTTCATTTAGCGGCTTTCTGACCACATTCCTCAATGCCACACGATGCTTTGTGACAGCTGCTGCAGTTGCCTGGAATCTTGAGGCGGCTGATGGGGCCTCTCACATTCAGGAGCAGAGAGCCGTTGCTCTAAAGGAAAAGCAAACCGAACTTCTGGTGCATAAACGCATGATTTGTTCATTCATTCCAAACAGTTCCAGAAAGACAAGGCCAATATGGTAATTCTGCCTTTTTAGAAAGATTTTTATGGCTTTCAAAGAATTAAAGTTTACTTTCTAGCCAAAGAAACACTTAAAGTTAAGTTTCCTGGGGCTTGTTAGCAACATTTGTGCTATCCTCAAATTTGGACTGAAGGATTGGGCATGAAGAAGTCTAGAAGTCAGAGATAGTCAGGAATTAGAAATAAGAGTGAACATTGCATGAGCACTTCCTATGTGCCAGGCAATGTCTTAAGTGTTGGGCACAAATCGTTGCTGTTCATTGCATTTTATCTTAACAGCAACACTTTTCAGTCATTCATCAAATTATCTATTAAGTACCAAATTATCTATTAAGTGTTATGTCCAAGGCATACTGTTCAAGTGGCTGAAGACTGAAAATAAATATAATAAATAAGTATGACATATTATGTAGTAAGGTAGAAGGTGACAAGAGCTAGAAAATAATTGATTAAAGAGGTTCAGGAATCCTGGAGTGTGGCAAGAATAGGTCTGAAGATCTCATTGAAAGAGTGACACTTTAACAAACACAAGGAGAGCAAGAGGGACCTGCCATATCTTGGGGGAAATGATCCAGGCAGAAGTAACCAACACTAAAAGGTTCACATAAACAGAGAAAATAAAAATAAGGTATTGGAAGAATATTAGAGAGTTGACTGAGCCTAAGAAAAAGTGGAAATTAGATATTATTATTGTGATAAACAAGATAATATCCCCCTCTTTAGAGATAAGCATGTCTTTTTTTTTTTTTTTTTTTTTTTTTTTTTTTTTTTTTTTAAAGACAGAGTCTCTCTCTGTCACCCAGGCTGGAGTGCCATGGTGTGATCTCGGCTCACTGTAACCTCCATCTCCCGGGTTCAAATGATTCTCCTGCCTCAGCCTCCTGAGTAGCTGGGATTACCGGTGTCCGCCACCACACCTGGCTAATTTTTGTATTTTTAGTAGAGACAGGTTCTCACCATATTGGCTAAGCTGGTCTTGAACTCCTGACCTCAATTATCCACCCACCTCCCCCTCCCAAAGTGCTGGGATTACAGGCATGAGTCACTCCGCCAGGCAGACCGTGTCTTAATCCCAGGATGCTATAACTAGGTTAGGTTATATGCCAAGTGGGAATTAAGGTGGCAGATGGATTAAGGTTGCTAATCGTCTGACCTTAAAATAGAGAGAGCAACCTGGATTATGCAGGTGGACTCAGTGTAATCATTGAGATCCTTAAAGGTGTAAGAGGGAGACAGGAGAGAGAATCACAGAAACAGCAGTATGGGGAGGACTCAGTCCTGCATTCCTGGGTTTGAAGAAGGAGGAAGGGGCCATGAGCCAAAAAGTGTGGAAGCCTCCAGCAAATGAGAAGGACAAGGAAATGATTCCTCCCCAAGGGCCCCCAGAAAGGAACAGAGCCCTGCCCATGCATTGATTTTAGCCCAGGAAGACTTCAGAACTTAAGATATTCAATTTGTATTGTGTTGTTTCCTTCTTTTTTTTTTTTTTCTTTTTTTTGAGACAGAGTCTCACTCTGTCACCCAGGCTGGAGTGCAGTGGCCCTATCTTGGCTCACTGCAACCTCCACCTCCCAGGTTCAAGTGATTCTGCTTCTCCCACCTCCCAAGTAGCTGGGTCATAGGCATGGGCCACCACGCCTGGTTAATTTTTGTTTTTTCAGTAAAGACGGGGTTGGCCAGGCTGGTCTCAAACTCTTGGCCTCAAGTGATCCACCTGCCTTGGCCTCCCAAAGTGCTGGGAATCAGGCATAAGCCACAACACCCAGCCCAATTTGTATTGTTTCAAGACACTAAGTTTGTGGCAGTTTGTACTACAGCTTGAGGAAACTAAGACAAGCATTTTTGCAAAAATCCCCCCAAAGATTCATCGACCTCAGGCCTCTGGACAGACAGGCCCCAGGGAAGAAGGTGGTCTCTTCAGATCCCACAGTATGAGCCAGCTTCAACCATCTCCCTGACTTGGGTCACAGCTCTCTAGCTTCCGATTGTGCCTGGCCTGCTTAAAAAGCATCAGGGTGAGTGTGGATGGAGCCAAGTGAGCATGAGCAGACTGGAGGATGATGGGGTCGGAGGTCAGACGGAGGAACCACAGCTTGCCAGGCCTCAGAGTTAGTCGGGACACACACAGGTAGGGCATCCCTAATCCAAAAATCTGAAATCCACAATGTTCAAAAACCTGAAACTTTTTGAGCACTGATGTGATGTCACATGTGGAAAATTCCACACCTGACTTCACATGACAGGTTGCAGTCAAAACTATTTTTCATGCACAAAATTATTGAAAATATTGTATAAAATTACCTTTAGGCTTTGTGTATAAAATATATATGAAACATACATAAATTTTCCATTTAGATTTGGGTCTCATCCCCAAGACATTTCATGATGTTTATAGAAATATTCCAACATATGAAAAAATACAAAATCCGAACCGTCTGATCTCAAGCATTTTGATCAGAGATACTCAACCTACGCTCAATTGGTAGCTATAAAAATCCCAAATTGACAGAGGAAATAGTGATTAAATAACCCTCTTAAGTTTAAACAAGTGAGATTTGACTCAAGACCTCCTTGCCTCTAAAGCTCTTGGTTTTATCAGCTCACCCAAACTGAAGATGAAACACTGGCTCCTCGTGATGCTGTTGCAACACAGATGTGTCACCAGGTCCCCAAGATGATATGTTAAGATGGCTCCATTTGTTGATGCCCAGTGGTAGTCAAGAGCATTGCACCTTCCAGAAAAACATGGAAGAACAGTTTTTTTGTTTGTTTGTTTTCCAGAATTTTAAGTAGAGCCAGGCCTCACGATGGCACACACTTCATTCCCTCTCATTCTCTTCCTCCCTGTTTCTCCCTCCCTCCGCTTCAGTCCTGCTTTTTTTCTGTTACTGGGGACCAAGGGGATCCTTTTGACATTGCAGCTACAGGGTTTGTTTAATGAAATAAGGAATTTCTACATGAGTTAGTCAGACTTGCTCATGGTCTTATTGCTTTTTAACCACCCTAGTCTCCATGTTTTTTCCTGTCCTTTGAGATTCAAGTTAAGCCACTCTCTGTGCATATAGGTAGTCAGCCATCTGTCATCTTCGCCTGCCAGTGTCCCTACACCCTTATCTTGCTACAAGTGTCCTAATTTTACTGTGGGAAACCACCCCACCCCTTGTGCATCCAGTTTTGGTAGCTTTGTTGGTCAAGGCACCACATCATCTCCTGGCCAATGGGTGGGCACTAGATCCAAGTTTAGTTGGTCAGGCTTCCTGGAAATTTGAATCTAGAGAGCAGTGACCCAAATACGGAAAATGTACAAATCTAGTTCATTCTGGAGAATCTAAAGAGAGCAACATATTCCCCAGTGAATGTCTTTCCTGATGTCATGAATTCTTGGGGAGTTTTCTGTAGATATGATCATCTGTAATTTTTACTTTTTCTTGGATTCAGTAAGCTACTGTAAATTTATCTTCCAATGAATTATTTTTAAAATTTTCCCTGCTTATGTTAACCCACGTCAGTGTTGTTTACTTGCAATTTAAAAACAACAAACAACTTTAACTGATAACATCTTGCCTCTTGAATAACTAGCTTAATTTACTTAAGCTTTAATATTCTGTACTTCAAAGGCTCTGTGTAACTAAATATTCTACCCTTCATTAAGCTGTAGATTTTGCTACTTAACGTAGAGTGTATTTTTCTCTACATGTGTGCTTTTTTCCAATCATAAACCCCAAGACTGGAATAAAGCAATTCATCTTGCAATTATTCAAAAACCACCATCTTACCTATATTTAGCCATTTTTTTTTTAGGAGTGAGCAAATAGAGATTTGGTCCAAAAGTTCAAGCCAGGATCTCTGTCTTGTGTGCTTTAATGTTACAGAAAATTCCCCAAAGTTTCATCTACCTGAAATAGTTCTTTCACCTATTTGTATGGTGTCTGCATAAAAATAAAATTCTGGAGTGAAGGTGCTATGAATCCAAGAGGTCTAATGAAAATCAAAGTGGTACTTGGAGAAGATAGTTTATTACATGTTGCTATCCTTTCATAGTAACACTTTCAGTGGGATTTTTTCATCATAATAGTGGTATAACATAGTCAAAGATTAAGCTCTGGCCAATGACACATAAGTAGATGTACCACATGACTCCCATGTACTCCTTCTTCCTGTAGAATGGATTGTGCATATGATGGCTGCAGTCCAGGTAGCTATCTTGTGCCGTATGATGGAAACTACACCCTGAGATGTGTGGAGCAGCAAGAGAGAAGGAACCTGCATCCAGAGAACTTCATGAAGCTGCTCTGCCAGGCTTGGGCTTCCAAACTTTTTTAATACGTAAAAGGAAAGTAAATTTCTATCGTGCTTAAACTTTTGCTACTTGGATCTTCTGTCAGTTGCAAACACCATCTTCCTGAACTCTAAGTGATGTAGCTAGGTTTATACCAAATAGGGTACTTTTCTGTTACTACTCCTGCCTCTCAACATCTGTGCATACCTTCCTCAGCCTCCTTGGGTGATCTTAAATACTGTACAGGATGAATCATGCTTAACTAACACAAACTACCATTAAATACACGTAATAAACATGAACATTACATCTGGTTGCTGAGTGTTCCTAGATAGGGGCAGAATTAAGCTTCACCTCACCCACACCTACCTAAGCTCTATCCTTCTCTGACCTTCAAGGCAAGCTCTCAGGCTGGCCTAGCCTCTCTATTCCTGCCATGCTGTTTTATGGGTTTCTCAGAACTCTCTAGAAGGCTGCCACTTTGGTCTTCTTCAAGGACATACAATTTGGATCCTGCTTTCACCATTTATCTGCTCTTTGGTCTTGGATGACTGATTGAACCTGTTACTATCTCAGTTTCTTCAACTATAAAATGGGAATAATCTCTTGGAGTTGTCGTGAGGATTAAATAAAGTAATACAAGTAAAGCTTTTGGTGCCTGGCCCACTGTAAATCCTCAAACAGTATTAATTTTTATTTTTTAGTGTTGAACAAATTTAATAATGAAAATAATATAGCTTTACTGGGTATTGTTACATTTTCATTGTGGTGTAACAATGTTCAAGGATTACATCTTTATTTCCATCATATGGCACTGCCTATTTTTCAGTAATATACCCAGGCTCATGTGCAGCTGGTAGACCCAGGACAGACACACCAGTTGTTGGGCAGTGCCCATGATATACTGTTATTAAATATGTTGAAATACCTCTGAATATACCATTTCTTAGAAATTTTTTTTTTAAGACAGGGTCTCACTCCAGCCCCCTGGGATGGGGTGCAGTGGGGCCTTCATAGCTTACTTCAGCCTCGAAGATATCCTCCCTCCTCAACCTCCCAAGTAGTTGGGAGTACAGTTGCATGCCACTACATCTGGTTAACTTCTAAAATTTTTTTGGAGAAACAGGATCTTGCTATGTTGCCCAGGTTAGTCTCAAACTCCCAGCCTCAAATGATTCCCACACTCGGCTCCCAAAGTTCTAGGATTATAGGCATGAGCCACCACACTTGGCCCCAGAAATTATTCTTTTTTTAAAAAAAATTCATTCTTTTTTTTATTTTTTTATTATTATTTTACTTTAAGTTTTAGGGTACATGTGCACAATGTGCAGGTTAGTTACTTATGTATACATGTGCCATGCTGGTGTGCTGCACCCATTAACTCATCATTTAGCATTAGGTATATCTCCTAATGCTATCCCTCCCCCCTCCCCGCACCCCACAACAGTCCCCAGAGTGTGATGTTCCCCTTCCTGTGTCCATGTGTTCTCATTGTTCAATTCCCATCTATGAGTGAGAACATGTGGTATTTGGTTTTTTGTCCTTGTGATAGTTTACTGAGAATGATGATTTCCAATTTCATCCATGTCCCTACAAAGGACATGAACTCATCATTTTTTATGGCTGCATAGTATTCCATGGTGTATATGTGCCACATTTTCTTAATCCAGTCTATCATTGTTGGACATTTGGCTTGGTTCCAAGTCTTTGCTATTGGGAATAGTGCCACAATAAACATACGTGTGCATGTGTCTTTATAGCAGCATGATTTATAGTCATTTGGGTATATACCCAGTAATGAGATGGCTGGGTCAAATGGTATTTCTAGTTCTAGATCCCTGAGGTATCGCCACACTGACTTCCACAATGGTTGAACTAGTTTACAGTCCCACCAACAATGTAAAAGTGTTCCTATTTCTCCACATCCTCTCCAGCACCTGTTTTTTCCTGACTTTTTAATGATTGCCATTCTAACTGGTGTGAGATGGTATCTCATTGTGGTTTTGATTTGCATTTCTCTGATGGCCAGTGATGATGAGCATTTTTTCATGTGTCTTTTGGCTGCATAAATGTCTTCTTTTGAGAAGTGTCTGTTCATATCCTTTGCCCACTTTTTGATGGGGTTGTTTGTCTTTTTCTTGTAAATTTGTTTGAGTTCATTGTAGATTCTGGATATTAGCCCTTTGTCAGATGAGTAGGTTGCAAAAATCTTCTCCCATTTTGTAGGTTGCCTGTTCACTCTGATGGTAGTTTCTTTTGCTGTGCAGAAGCTCTTTAGTTTAAGTAGATTGCATTTGTCAATTTTGGCTTTTGTTGCCATTGCTTTTGGTGTTTTAGACATGAAGTCCTTGCCCATGCCTATGTCCTGAATGGTAATGCCTAGGTTTTCTTCTAGGGTTTTTATGGTTTTAGGTCTAACGTTTAAGTCTTTAATCCATCTTGAATTAATTTTTGTATAAGGTGTCAGGAAGGGATCCAGTTTCAGCTTTCCACATATGACTAGCCAGTTTTCCCAGCACCATTTATTAAATAGTGAATCCTTTCCCCATTTCTTGTTTTTCTCAGGTTTGTCAAAGATCAGATAGTTGTAGATATGCGGCGTTATTTCTGAGGGCTCTATTCTGTTCCATTGATCTATATCTGTTTTGGTACCAGTACCATGCTGTTTTGGTTGCTGTGGCCTTGTAGTATAGTTTGAAGTCAGGTAGCGTGATGCCTCCAGCTTTGTTCTTTTGGTTTAGGATTGACTTGACAATGAGGGCTCTTTTTTGGTTCCATATGAACTTTAAAGTAGTTTTTTCCAATTCTGTGAAGAAAGGCATTGGTAGCTTGATGGGGATGGCATTGAATCTGTAAATTACCTTGGGCAGTATGGCCATTTTCATGATATTGATTCTTCCTACCCATGAGCATGGAATGTTCTTCCGTTTGTTTGTATCCTCTTTTATTTCCTTGAGCAGTGGTTTGTAGTTCCCCTTGAAGAGGTCCTTCACGTCCCTTGTAAGCTGGATTCCTAAGTATTTTATTCTCTTTGAAGCAATTGTGAATGGGAGTTCACTCATGATTTGGCTGTCTGTTTGTCTGTTATTGGTGTATAAGAATGCTTGTGATTTTTGTACATTGATTTTGTATCCTGAGACTTTGCTGAAGTTGCTTATCAGCTTAAGGAGATTTTGGGCTGAGACGATGGGGTTTTCTAGATATAAAATCATGTCATCTGCAAACAGGGACAATTTGACTTCCTCTTTTCCTAATTGAATACCCTTTATTTCCTTCTCCTGCCTAATTGCCCTGGCCAGAACTTCCAACACTATGTTGAATAGGAGTGGTGAGAGAGGGCATCCCTGTCTTGTGCCATTTTCAAAGGGAATGCTTCCAGTTTTTGCCCATTCAGTATGATATTGGCTGTGGGTCTGTCATAGATAGCTCTTATTATTTTTAGATACGTCCCATCAATACCTAATTTATTGAGAGTTTTTAGCATGAAGGGTTGTTGAATTTTGTCAAAGGCCTTTTCTGCAAAAAGACAGCAGTAACCTCTGCAGACTTAAATGTCCCTGTCTGACAGCTTTGAAGAGAGCAGTGGTTCTCCCAGCACACAGCTGGAGATCTGAGAACGGGCAGACTGCCTCCTCAAGTGGGTCCCGAACCCCTGACCCCTGAGCAGCCTAACTGGGAGGCACCCCCCAGTAGGGGCAGACTGACACCTCACATGGCCGGGTACTCCTCTGAGACAAAAGTTCCAGAGGAACGATCAGACAGCAGCATTCACGGCTCATGAAAATCTGCAGTTCTGCAGACACCGCTGCTGATACCCAGGCAAACAGGGTCTGGAGTGGACCTCTAGCAAACTCCAACAGACCTGCAGCTGAGGGTCCTGTCTGTTAAAAGGAAAACTAGCAAACAGAAAGGACATCCACACCAAAAACCCATCTTTATATTACCGTCATCAAAGACCAAAAGTAGATAAAACCACAAAGATGGGGAAAAAACAGAGCAGAAAAACTGGAAGCTCTCAAACAGTATTAATTGAAATCATGACTGTTATTTCACTCCAAAAGAGAAGATTTAAAAGTCGTAAAGACCTTGACAAAGAAAAACTCTGCTGTTTGAGGAGGTGAGTAGGCAGTGGCCTGGGTAGACACTGCCTTTCTAACTATCACCACAAAGCAAGCTCCTCTTTCACCATAGGAATAAGGGCTATTAGGAACAAAGGTATGTATCAGCTCCATTTCTCATCCATTTAATTTAAAGTAGCTTGCATCTACCTTAGGGTCCAGGGTACACAGCAAGGAGCGACACAGAAAATTGAAGAGCTTGTTCATTTCCTTTGCCTCTATTCCACCATGGTTGCTCTGCTCCCAGGTCCCCAGACTCTCCCATGTTCTCATGTCTCATTCAACGTCTGACTGTAAACCATAAAAAAGAATGAAATCATGTCTTTTGCAGCAGCATGGATGGAACTGGAGGCCAATATCTTAAGTGAAACAACTTCGAAACAGAAAATCAAATACCGCATGTTTTCACTTATAAGTGGGTGCTAAATAATATGTACACATGGACATACAGTGTGGAATAATAGACACTGGAGACTCAGCAGGGTAGGAGGATGGGAGGGGAGTGAAGGATGAGAAATTACTTCATGGGCACAATGTACATTATTCAGGTGATGGTTACATTAAAAGTCCAGACTTTGCCATTATGCAATGTATCCATGTGACGAAACAGCACTCTTAACTCTTAGAGTTAGACAAATTGACACAAATCTCCCTACCCAAGTGTCCAGGGAGAAACTCTCAGCCTTCAAGGACACCTTAGGCTTCCTGAAATGAATTTTCCTACAATGTTTTACTAATGGGTAACATCTTTAAAACAGAATTGTTCGGCCAGTCGCGGTGGCTCACGCCTGTAATCCTAGCACTTTGGGAGGCTGAGGTGGGTGGATCACCTGAGGTTGGGAGTTCGAGACCAGCCTGACCAACATGGAGAAACCCTGTCTCTACTAAAAGTACAAAATTAGCTGGGCGTGGTGGCGCATGCCTGTTATCCCAGCTACTCAGGAGCCTGAGGCAGAAGAATCGCTTGAACCCGAGAGGCAGAGGTTGTGGTGAGCCAGGGTCACGCCATTGCACTCCAGCATGGGCAACAAGAACAAAACTCTGTCTCAAAAAAAGAAAAAAAAAAACAACCCAGAATTGTTCTTAAATTCATTTCACCACTTTATGAAATAATCTGCAGAGATTTATCTTATCACAGATTTCTTTAAAGTGTTTCTTTTTCACAATAAATCACCTGTAAAACTATACATAAGCCATGGCAAATAACTCTTGGTAAAACTATTTTCTTTCTAATTAATACAAAATTATGATGGTAAAGAAGTGAGAATTTGAAAGATTTGAGCTCTATGACTTTTTTTTTCTTAAGGAAAACACAATGCAGCCCTCATTTAACAATGCGTTTTGGTGTTTTTGAACCAGTTCCTTCTCAGTGTTATCTGATTTTGGCAAACATACCGGAAAGACAAGATTACAGTCCCCACACTCTCTCCTTTCCAATCTTTCTGGAACCTTATTTGTATCTCTATGTCAACAGAGTGAAGAAAAGATAGTGTTTTATTTGAGCAGCCCACAGCTACTGGCATACTTCTTAATTAGTGTCTGTGACCAGTTAGCATTGTTTAGATTTCATTCAACACACTTCCCCAGAAACACAGTGCTTCGTGGCGGCTGCGGTATGCACCAGCTGTCTTTAATCTCTCAGGACCCAATTCACAGACCAAAAATTCTGTTATGAGCACAAATCTCTGAGTGGGCATTTGTTTATTTTCTGCTTAGGAGACAACTTCCATATATCTCTGCCATTAAAAATAAATCAGTACATAAAATAAATACTCAAACAAATACAACAGATCAAAAGCTGAGTAACTCACTTCCAACTAAACTGAACTAAAGGCTTGGCTCATGGAAGTGCCACCTCTGTTTGGTCAAGAAAATACTGCTCTTCTCTTAGAAATAATAAACTCATCCTTAAAAGCCAGTTTGAAGACTAAACATACCCATGACAAAGAAAAAGGACAAACAAACTTATGGCTTCAGGCAAAAACGTCATTATTTCCATTGGCCAAGCCATGTACATTCCATTTCTTTTAGAAGTGTTCTACTGAATGGCATCTTAATTTATCTCTTTTTTTTTTTTTTTTTTTTGAGACAGAGTCCCGCTGTGTAGCCCAGGCTGGAGCACAGTGGCATGATCTCGGCTCACTGCAACCTCCACCTCCCGGGTCCCAGTTCAAGCAATTCTCCTGCCTCAGCCTCCCAAGTAGCTGGGATTACAGGCATGCACCACCTTGCCCAGCTTACTTTTGTATTTTTAGTAGAGGGGGGGTTTCACCATGTTGGCCTGGCTGGTCTTGAACTCCTGACCTCATGATCTGCCCACCTCGGCCTCACAAAGTGCTGGGCATCTCCTCTTTTCCTAAATGTGCAAACAGAAATGTCTGCAGACAATGCTTGCTCATGGACACCTGGATGAGTTCTCCTCATTCTAACACTTGGAACAACAGAACACATGACCACCTTGTCAAGATTATGTGGAAGTTAACGGCAGCAGTGAGGAGATCCCACACCCCACTGTGTGTCCTGACTCTTCTCCCTCAGGAACTTACACACATCATTTATGTGACTTCATCATTTTCTTATCCCAGCACCCAGTACAGTTTCTGGCATGCAGTGGGTTGTCAACAAATGATTGTTTAACTAATACTAGGAAGTAGCACTTACATACATGTTTATTATTTGCCAGGCACTATTCCAAGAGCCTTGCAAGTATTAACTGCTTAATCTGCGCAACAGCCCCATGGAATAGCTGCTATTATTGCTCTATTTTACAGATGAGGAAACTTGAACATACAGAGGCAAAGCAACTGGCCCTTCAATAGCAGAGATGGGATTTAAACCCAGGAATTCAGGTTCAAAAGACATAGTCTTGATTACCACACTACACTTTCTCTGCCCACATCCCAGCCTCCAGGCCTTAATTTCCTCATGTAACTAGATGGTCTCTGAGGTTCCTTCGAGTTGTGTAGAGTGCGATTCTAGTCTATAATTCTTGGATAACCAGTGGGGCATAGAGAATCCTCTATTACCTATTCATCCCCTCAGAACATTCCCAAGCCTTAAACTCCTGCTAAGATTACATAAGACAGCATGGAGCCATGGTTTGCCCTTTTCCTAAAAGAAGAAGCTTTCTGTGAAAATACAACTATTAGGGCAACAAGAAAACTTCTCATGGGCCCAATTCTTTCAATATCATTTTAATAGACAAATAGGTGATAGACATGATAATGATTCCTAGAATCCCATTCAATAGCTGCACAAGATGAACCAGCACAAAGAGCTGGGACCTATGACAGCACAAAGGGTCTCTAATGCAATGTGGGATACCAGAAAGTGTAAGGCCAGTCCCAAGCTGGTCACCTAGGAAGGCATTAGGAAGCCATGAGATGAGAGTGAGGAAGTCAAGGCTATAAATGCGTGTGTGTGTGTGTGTGTGTGTGTGTGTGTGTCCCAAGAAACTAGACTATAAAGGAAAGCGGAAAGGGACAATGGCAACAACTGGAACACAAAGAGGAAGACAGATTTTTTTAAAGATAAGAAAAACATGTCTATAGTTTCCAAAGAAGTAATCTGTTGATAGTGAGAGGTAGAAAACACCAGACAGAGAGAGAATGGATCATGGATAAAATATGAGTCTGGTCAAGTTAGAGAGGTGGGTGTGAAATGGAGAAAATAATCTTGAAAAGCAGGAAAGGCACCTTTTCTCTTCACGAAGCTGAAATGAGAATGGGTCCCCACGTGGCCTCTACTGATTCTCTCCTCAGACTGGAATCTTAAGGTAGCTGGGCATAGGAAATTTAAACTATCCTTGGGGGCTCTGCTGACACCAAAAATAGCTTCTCTACGAAAAGCAAAGGAAAAGCTAGTTGCCAAATGTTAGTGGCTACTGTTGGGGGTATTAAAATTGAGTGCCAATAACTATTAACAGGTATTCACAGGTAGAAACAGAGAAGTCTGGGGCATGGGGGCCCCAAACAGCCAATGTTGCCCCCAACCAACTGTCCAGGTCCCTAAAGAAAATATATGTGGGAAAAAGAAAGCAATGCTAAATGACACTTTCTTTTTTTATTCCACAAATGTGTATTAAATACACTATGCACCAGGCACAGGTGCTAGGGATATAGCGATGAAAAAAACAGAGGCCTGCTCTTAAGGGATTTACATTCTATCTCCAAATTCATTAAGAGAAGTTTGACCTCAGATTGTCAGCCCCAGTTGCCTGTGTGGCCTGCCTCCGACTCAGAGACCACCCTGCCATGTTAGAATGGCTACACCTGCCAGCAAGGCACAAAAGAAAGTGAAAGAGACAGAACGTTTGCCCCAAAAGTGAAAGCAGAACTGGTGAAGGCCACCTGCCACAGCAAGGGAGAGAGGAGAAAGCTGCCCAAGACCTGGGGTGGGGGTGGAGGGGGGCAGGGGGAAGAGTGGGGGAAGACACAGAAGAAAGGATGCTTCTGGGCCTCATCCCCTGGGCAGTAGCCCTGACACTAGTGTCCTTTCTGGCCTCAGAAACCCCAGAGGGAGCCATAAGAGTCCACACCCAAGCATGCTAGGACCTAACTCAGCACAGTGGTAGTGGAAGCCTCACTGGGGAATATGAGATTCCCCATATTTTACCCTATCCTTAGGGATGATTCCCAAATCAACATTTAAAGGAAATGAAATCGGTCTTCAATGCTGTTAATAATCCTGACCCAATCTCTCTCTTTGATCTATTATTTGTCCTATGTACACTTTGTACACAGTGGTTTTCTCATTGGCTCCAGACTCTGCCTTGACCTGTGTATTCCCTTTGCCTTTGCTTCAAAAGTATAATCTCCCACCTGATCTGGCCTCTCTTCCTTTGATAGCTATTTACATGGTCTCTTCTTCTATCCCAACTATTCTGTGCACTTTCCCCACCAACCTCAGCCCATGTGGCTCTCTCCTTTCCCTGAGCTCTTCGGATGCCCACTATCTGTGGCTCTCCCTAAGATTTAGCATTTACCACCATGTTTATATGTCTTGTTCCCTTTCATCAATTATAATTCCATAAAGAAATCCTTGACAACCCCAAAACACCTAATCCATCACATTGCATATGTTTAGTATGCAATAACCGTTTTAATTTTTAAAACTACTTACACTGTGCTTACCTTACAGAGGATTTAAACAGGTGGTTTCAGTATACTTTGGTTGATGGATGGATGGATCAACTGACTGATTAAAGGTATTGCTTACCTTTATATATATTACGTATATATCATATATATCATATATATATAAAGTGAGGTTCACACAGTATGAAAGGTCCTCAGTAAATGAAGGAGATCACCATCGCCAACCTGCTTGATGGTGGGATGTAAGTTGTCTTTAAGTAAATTACAATAAGCATATACCTTTTGGCTGTGCAGGTGTGAAATCCAGGGTTAAATTTCCTCCTGCACCTACAACATACATAACGAAACAAATGTAGAAACAAATAATAGGGAAGTAAGTTATAGATGGTCCTTTAGAAGTCAATTTCATCTGCGCATCTAACCATAAAAGCAGCATCTGCTCTGCTAAATACAGGTGTTTTATATCCTTGTCATTAATTGGAGGGGACATTATGTCATCATACATCAACAGTTAAGGTTGGTGAAAGTGCCACTTATCTCAGGTGCTGTCATTAATCAGGTTCTTTTCAGCTTGGTGACTCCAGAGGCTCGTCTCGAAGCTGCTCTATGTGAATGGGTTTTCCCTGTAGGTTTGAGGTGTCCTTTTATTATCATTTTGAATGAAAACCTTGGGACCCAGACGTAAGAGGCCATTAAGGGAGCTGTTTCGATGCTTCAGAGAAGAGAGACATTTTCCTCCATCACCTTCATTGCCCCCACTCTCTGTGTCTCCACCAAGCAGCCACGGTGGAGAGGAAGGCAAAGCAGCACAAGCTGTTGTCTCATCACGGTTTAACCCATTACTGAATTTCAACAAACCAGTGCAGCTGGTGCTTCAACAGAGCTGGAAAGCAGCAGAGTCCTAGAAGGAAGCACTGTCTCTTTCTATCTGACACCGATGTCATCTAGGTGCCTTCTTGGCTACCTCAAACCCACAGTATGGTGTCCCTTCCAGACAGGCTTCTGGGACACATTCTTCCTTGTCTCTGCTTTCATTGAAAATATCTGTCCTTAAAATGTCTGCCCTTTATCCCATTCCTGCAAAGCCACTGGAAGTGGCGTAAGTTGTCAGGAGCAATAATGGCAGCCTATTTAAGTAATGATGTTATAATTTCAGCACCTTGAGCCTAAGAATTAAAGCAAATATGTTCAGGTAGCAACTTGCAAATTAATATGGGGAGTCAAGTCATTTGATCCATATCAAATTCTTACTCAGGGAGCTTCTACTCGGCTCTGAAAATAGAATCTCCTACCTATCCCACCTTGGTACCTGATTGTTTCAACATGTGCAGGAGACTGAAAGAATAAGGTGGGGAGTGTGCTTATGATTCATCTATTCAATAGATATGTGTTGAGTGTGAGGCACTGTGCAGGGAGAAGATACAGTGGTGTTCATGATCAGACACCATCCTTGCTCTCAAGGCTTTACAGTGTGGATGGATGTGATAGAAATGAACCAAATAGCAATCAAAAAATGTAAACTCTAAAGTGATAACTGTGATTAGTTCTCTAGAGGACAGCATTGTATATCTGGGCAAATATATGAACATACCATGATCTGGAGTAGGAATAGAAGTTGATCAAGGGAGGTGTGGGGAGGGATGAAGAGTGTCCCTAGAAAGGGAACAGCAAACACCAAGTGCTGTGCTAGGAGGAAGCATGAAGAACCCCAGAATTTGAAATGCCCTGGTGGTAGGCAAAATTCTAAGATCCTGCCAGGCTCCGTGGCTCATGCCTGTAATCCCAGCACTTTGGGAGGCTGAGGTGGGGGGATTGCTTGAGGCCAGGAGTTGGAGATCAGCCTGGCTAACATGGCAAAACACTGTCTCTACTAAAAATACATAAATTAGCCGGGTGTGGTGGCACTCACCTATAATCCCAGCTACTCAGGAGGCTGAGGCAGGAGAATTGCTTGAACCTCGGGAGGCAGAGTTTGCAGTGAGCTGAGACTGCGCCACTGCACTACAGCCAGGGTGACAGTGCAAAGTTCTGTCTCAAAAAAAAAAAAAAAAAAAAAAAGAATTATAATATCCCCCTAGGTCCCCAGTTTCTGGGACTGTGAATATGACGGATTTTACTCCCGAGGTTAGGTCATATATGATATGACACAGTGAGCATTTAGAAGGAAAGACTATCCAGGTAGTTCTGACATCATCCCAAAAGCCTTTAAATCTGAGTCTAGAAGTCAGAGGCTGAGGAAGTCAAAGATTCTGAGGACAAGAAGATTCAAATGGTTTCTGGCTTAAAGATGGAAGGAACCGCCTGGCAAGAAATATGGGCCACCTCTCACAGCCGAGAGAGACCCCAGTTGGCAGCCAGCAAGGAAATGGGAGTTTTCAGCCCTACAAGTGCAAGAATGCAAGAAACTGCATTCTGAATAGAAGAATGACTTTGTGTATCCATTTCTTAAGGCTGCCGTACCAAGGCACCACAGACTGGATGGCTTAAACAACTGAAATTTATTCTCATTGTTTTGAAAGCTAGAAGTCTGAGATTGAATGGTTGGCAGGACTTTTTGCCCTTAAAAGAGGGAAGTGTCTTTTCCAGGACTTTCTCCTTGGCTTGCAGATAGTCTATATCATCTCATCATAATCTGTCTCTTCACATCATCTACCCTCTAAGCATTTAGGAATTTGTGTCATAATTTGCCCGTTTTGTAAGGACCAGTCATGTTGGATTGGAGCTCATTTGATGAACTCATTTTAACTTGATGGCCTCTACAAAGACCATATCTCCAAATAAGGTCACATTCTGAGGTCTTCGGGGTTATGACTTCAACATATGAATTTGAGGTGGGGGCATAATTCAATCTGTAATTAAAGTGGATTCTTTTCTCAGAGCCTACAGATGAGAATTCAGGCTGGTCAGTTCCTTGATTCAGCTTTGTGATACCCTAAACAGAGCAGCCAGCCATGCCACGCCTGCACTTCTGACCTACTGTGAAGCTAATAAATGGGTGTTGTTTTAAGCTGCAAAGTTTGTGGTAATTTGTTGGGTAGCAATCAAAAAACATAGCACAGAAAAGGTTGGCAGGGCCAGGCCACACAGGGTCATGAAAGCAGGGGCAAAAAATTTTGTCTTTATCCTGAGAACAATGAGAAGCCACCAAAGGCATTAGGAATGTCATGCTCACATTCTGTTTCTCTTTTGGGCTTCTCTTTTTGCTCTTTGTCCTCTTTCCAAATAAAAATCCCAAAGGAGTGGGTGGCTGCAGAGAAAAATGGGAAGTTCCTTGTCCCACCTTAATCCTTAGGGCATATTATTAAAAAAAAAAAAAGGGAAAGAAGAGGAGAACAAGATGGAGATAAATTCCATTTTTTAAGGGCACATTCTGAGTCCAGTTACTATTCTGAAGCTTTCAGTGCATTTTCAGATTTAATTCTCACTATAAGCCTCTTCTAACCCCTATTGTAGTAACATGCCCAAGGTTATCAGCTAGGGGGAGTGTAATTGGAACTTGAATCCAGGCCTGCTGGCTCCAAAGCTCATTTTTAAAGCTCATTACTTTAAAACCATCCCCCTACCCTGTCTCACCAGTATTATTTTAATACAGCGTGATATATCATATCCAAGTCTTAGAAGAGTGCACAGATTACGCAGAACAGGTATGAGTACAAAGAATGAGAATGCCATGGTGGTAAGGGTCAGACAGATGGGCCCAGTTGAAAATGAGCAGCAGAACTTGTACAAGAGCCCGGTCACCTTTCTGTCTGGTCCCTTTTATTCTCCTTCCTTTTCTTGCCTAAATAAAGTTCATGTCTGAGGACTGGAGTGGCATAGGTAATAATAATTCTTCCCTTGGGCTTTAGGGAGAGGTAAAGTGTTTTCATTTATTATTTATTTTTATTTTTGTAGAGATGGGGGTCTTGCTATGTTACCCAGGCTGGTCTCGAACTCCTGGCCTTAGGGAATCCTCTCACCTTGGCTTTCCAAGGTGTTGAGATTATGGGCGTGAGCCATCACACCCAGTCTAGAGTGTTTTTAAAACCCTTCTTAAGAACAACCAAGCTCTGAATGGTCCTTAGCATCCCTGGGGGGCATTGCGCGTTTCAGCTGGCCAGCACCGAGGAATGCGAGATGCAGAGCTAGGAAGAGATCTGCTGATCCATCTCAGGGCACTTGTGAAGATTTGAAGAATACATACTGGTTACCCATCAACCTATCTGTAGTCACTCCCTGAAACAAGGGTAATTTAAACCTTATCAAAAACCCTTAAGGCAACAGTGAATATTCTATTTTTTTCTTTCAGTGAATTACAAGTAGTACCTAGCTTATTATATTCCCTAGATAACTATTACATTTTATATTCTTTACCTTCTTTTAAAAAGAAGGATGCACTAGTTTTCTAGCATTCATTTACATGCCTTTGATAAATTACTGTAACCAGATTAGGGAGATAAAATAACCAGTCTATTAATTACAGTGATTATTATTTAATGGAAAATGGGATTCTAGGCAAAGTGTGTAGTGAGAAGAAAGCTTAGCAATGCATTATACAGATGTGGTATTTTATCTTAAAGAGTAAGATAAGTGTCCAGTCTGCTTCACAATCTAGAGAATATGTTCATTAGCTCTGCAAGATTTATATGTATAATTGACCATAATATTTTAACACTATTTGCTTGATTTGGAGGTACAAGAAGAACAAGGAAAAACTGTAACTTCAATTAAATTGAATAAATTCCTCAATGAACATATTAAAGGCCAGATCTACCCAGCAATGTGGGAAGCAGAGGGCTGAACAAGAGTTCAAAACTTTTTTTTTAATTAAACAATACATTATTCTAACTTGAAGTCATTGGGAGTTTATATTTAAAAGGATAGGGGTTGAAAGGAGAGCTTCCCCCACATCAATTATCCTCATAATTAACTTCAAAAATAACCAAAAAGGTAACATTTGGAGAAATGTTGGTACTTTCTAAAAAAGAAACAGCATTATGGCCAAATCCCGAATGAATCACCAAGCGACATTTGATCTTGTCTCACTCCCATCAACTATGAAAAAGAGAATAAGATTGCACCTACCATCGTGGAGTTACATGAATTAAAGTAGGCTTCTATCTACAAACTCTGGCCAAATCTAGCCAACTGCTGTTTTTGTGTGGCCCTCGACCTATGAATGGCTTTTATATTTTTAAATGTTTGGGAAAAGAAAATCAAAATAACAATACTCTTTTGTGATGTGAAAATTTTATGAAATTCAAATTTCAGTGTTCATAAATAAAGTTTTATTGGAACACAGCTATCCTCACTCACATATTGTCTGTGGCTGCTTTAGTGCTATAATAGCAGAATTGAGTATTTGTGACAGAGACCATATGGCCAACAAAGGCTAAAATATTTATCATCTGGCCTTTTATAGAAAAAGTTTGCCGACCCCTGAACAAAAGGAGTAACACACAAATTCTCAATATTCATTACACATCACCTGGGGAGCTTTAAAAAAACCCATTTGCCCATGTTACACACCAGACCAATTAAATAAGAATCTCTGGGAGTAGACTCCAGGCATCAATAATTTAAAAACTTCCCAGGAAATTCCAATGTCCAGCCAGATACGAGAACCAGCAGACTTACATGCTATGTATGGTGTATAAACTTAACACATAGTAAGACCTCGGTAATTGTTAGCTGGCTCGATAAAATAAATCCTCCTTTTTAATTCCTCATTGTATTTCAGTAAAATGTTATTAAATATGCACTGGGTGCAAAATGTTTTGTTTTTCTTCCCTCACTCTTTCCTCCCTGCCTACCTCTATTCTGACCTGCATGTAAGAGTTAAAACAAGAAGAAACACTAAGTTTCCCTATAGGACTTTAATTTCTAAACATTCACACGCTCAGTATTTTATGTTTTCATTTATTCATTCCACAGATTTTTAATGTGTAATATCAAGTTTTACACAATACTTATGGCACGTAAGTGCTCCCAAGATGTGGTTTCAAGGTTCTGGAAAATGCCCAGGGTTCTTGTAAACAGCCCTTTGAATCTTCTAGGGTTCTTGTAAATAATCCTTGATATGGTTTGGCTGTGTCCCCACCCAAATCTCATCTTGAATTGTAGCTCCCATAATTCCCATGTGTTGTGGGAGAGACCCAGTGGGAAGTAATTGAATCATGGGGGTGAGTCTTTCCTGTGTTGTTCTCCTGATAGTGAATAAGTCTCGCAGATCTGATGGTTTTATAAAGGGGATGCACATGCTCTCCTGCCTGCTGCCATGTGAGATGTGACTTTGCTCCTCCTTCTCCTTCTGCCATGATTGTGAGGCCTCCCCAGCCATGTGGAACTGTGAGTCAATTAAACCTCTTTCCTTCATAAAATACCCAATCTTGGGTATGTCTTTATTAGAAGTGTGAGAACAGACTAATACAGTCCTATATAATCTGACTGGCTTAATAGTAGGCTTAAATTAACAAATGCATGGCATCTTCAATAGGCAATAACTAAAAAGAGCTCTTAAATGTATGTGTAGTAAACCAACCAAAATAATTGATTGGCCGGGTATGTCCACTCCACGTGTATAAAACCCAAGAGTAGTTTACTTTTTTGTCACAATCTAAATCCTCTAAAATGAGAACACCCTCTAAGTCTTCCCAAACAAGAAATGGATATGGACAGAGATAGAGCTACAAGTAGGACAGAGAGATTAAGTACATGGATTTTTGAATTCACACCACCAAGTTCAATTCCAGCTTCATTGGACACTAGCTTCATGATCTTAGGGCAATCACTTACCTCTCATGGCCTCGATTTTCTCAGCTGGAAAATGGGAATAACAATTCCAATCTCGTAGAAATGAGGAAATTATTTTCTAAACACATTTTTTTAAATTGTGGGGGTTTCCCCTAATTCTTAGACTGCGAGGCTGAAAGACGGTCTTAGAGCCTGGTGAACAGGGATCAACCCCTCTATGCCCGGCACTTGGCACTCCTCATCTGAGGTCCTCACTTTTTTGTTTTGTTTTGTTTTTTTGAGACAGAGCCTCACTCTGTCACCCAGGTTAGAGTGCAGTGCCACAACCTTGGCTCACTGCAACCTCCGCCTTCTGAGTTCAAGTAATTCTTGTACCTCAGCCTCCCGAGTAGCTGGGACAACAGGCACGTGCCACCATACCCAGCTAGTTTTTCTATTTTTAATAGAGACAGGGTTTCACAACGTTGGCCAGGCCTTAAGTGATCCACCCACCTTGGCCTCCCAAAGTGCTGAGATTACAGGCATGAGCCACCGCTCCTGGCTGAGCATTGTTCTTTATGGCCAAATATGAACTCCTTGAAGGAAGGGATTATAATTATACAGACACTCCCCAAATTACATCACAGTCCCATTCAAGAAGGCCTTGCAAAGCATGGATTTGATGTACGTTGAAAATACAGACTTCACAAAGACCTTTAAATTACCCATAGCTCTTTGGAGAAATTAGAAGACTAACAGCTCCTATTTGCATTTTTTCAGGACATTGGCCTCAAGGTCAAGTATATCTTTCACAGCCTTCAATACTGGAGTTGCTTTTAACTCTCGAAAATATATATTCTTAGGGGCATGTTTTCTCTACAGTCAATCTCTTTTCATTCATATAAGACTTTCTGAAGACTTTCTGTGCTGTGTCATCTCCTGTATTTCTTTTTAATATTCCCACTTTTTTTCTTGCTTTTTGTGTCTATTCCAGCAGTCTCAACATGCATTTTTTTATCATGTAAATTCCGACATGACCCACTAGTAGCCTCATACTGCAAGAGTTCACAGTACTTTCTCTTTCCTTTTTCTGACTTCAAGACTTTGCTTAGACGGTCATTAGGCTAAGTGACAAGCATTTTAAACTATGACTCATCATCTTCCTTGTAAGTCAGTCCTCTATTTCTATGAGTAACTTTTTCTCCTGAACCCTGCTTTGTGAACCCTGTAAGTTCCAAAGATGCAAAACATTTTTCATGCTTTTTTATTTTTTTTTCTTTTTTAGGTGGAGTTTCGCTCTTGTCGCACAGGCTGGCGTGCAATGGTGCGATCTCAGCTCACTGCAACCTCTGCCTCCCAGGTTCAAGTGATTCTCCTGCCTCAGTCTCCCGAGTAGCTGGGATTACAGGCGCCTGCCACCATGCCCAGCTAATTTTTGTATTTTTAGTAGAGACGGGGTTTCACCATGTTGGCCAGGCTGGTCTCGAACTCCTGACCTCAGATGATCCGTCAGCCTTAGCCTCCCAAAGTATTGGGATTACAGGCATGAGGCACCATCCCCAGCCCATCTTTCATGCTTTTTATCCATAAATTACCATAATTTAAAAAATATTTCCCAAATGAAGTTCATGAAATTTAGACTGTGGATGCCTTTGGTTTTTTAACATTTTTATTTTCTATTATAAATTCCTCTTCTTAAATTAGAAACTGATCCTCTCTTCTTGCTCTTACTTTGCCAATTTTTAGTCCTGAATAAAATAAAGCAAAGGGGAGAATAAAACTA
The DNA here is from genome assembly GCF_000001405.40 of Homo sapiens. Lineage (NCBI taxonomy): Eukaryota > Metazoa > Chordata > Mammalia > Primates > Hominidae > Homo > Homo sapiens. The sequence goes on from NC_000018.10 coordinate 56,258,080, forward strand.
ATAAACTAAAATAACACAAGATAATGCAATGAGAATACACATGGTACCAGAAACCACATGGGATTGAACAGAAGGGCCTTCCCTCTCATGTGAGTGCCTTCTGCCTTTCCCTCTCTATTCCCAATATTCGTCTCTGCCTGAGATAGTTTACATTTCCATATATCACACTAATATTTTCACATCTCTAAAACTATATTCTCTCCCTTATAGAACAACTTACAAAAGGTTGATGTTATGCAAATCAAGAGTTGCACAATCTAAGAGTCTCTGACTTCTGCTTTACACAATTTTTTTTTTTTAGTTTAGGAGCAAAGTTTTAATAGGCAAGAGAGAGAGAAAGAGAAAGGAAAACAGCTCTCTCTCTAGTGACAGAGAGGGGACTTCTGAGAGGAAAGGCCCGCTTTGCACATTTTATTTATTTAGTTGGTGTTAGTTGATTGATTTCTCTGTAACAACAGAGCTCAGGGACCTTAATACCTGACCGCACAAACCAAATAGAAAGCGTTGACAAATGTCTAAGAGACCCAATCATCTACTATATTAGTTGACTATTGCTGTATAACAATTACCCCCAAAATTAGTTTTTTGAAACAGAAAACACAAATTATGTCACAGTCTCTGTGGGGCAAGAATTCAGGTGCAACTTAGCAGGGTGCCCTTGGTTCAACGTCTCTCACAAATCAAAGTGTTGGCTGGGCATGCCGTCCTATCTGAAGGCTTTTCTGATGGGTATCTGTCTCCAAGCTCACTCAACTGGTTGCTAGCAGGATCTAATTCCTTGTGCCACATGATGTATGTAGTATGTGCATGTCTCCATAGCACATACGGAAAGGTGTAGGCTCTTTGAAAAGACCAGTAAGATAAACAACGCTCTGGCCAGTCCAAAGATAAAAGAGAGAGAGAGACAGAAAAGGATAGCATTAATGATGAGAAAGTATATATAGCAACAGATATGATTACTTTAAAAATTATCAGGGAACTATATGTTATTCTATTTTACTAAATCGAAAATCTCAGTCAATGGATTATTTTCTAGAAAAATATAAATTACAAGACTTACTCAAGAAGAAATAGAAAACTCAAATAAACCAAAATTATTAAAGAAATGAAAAGCAATTATTAAAATATGATCCACACAAAAACCCTATACTTTTGTCTGCGGAAGTTCTAACCACCTTCAAGAAACAGAAAATCCCTACATCATTTAAATTTTGCAAGCATAAAAAGATGGAAACATACCAATTTCTGTTACAAAATTAGCACAATAGTAACTAATCCCACACTTATGCCTAATAGATACAAAAAAATGCTAAATGAAACCTTAGTATACTAAATTCAGATGTATAACACAAAGGTTATGCATCATAACCAAGTAGGGTTTATTCCAGGAATGCAATGGCGCTCCAACTTGGAAAATGGATTGATATATGTTACAACATCAATTGGACAAAATAAACAATTCATATAACCATCCTGATAGAAAGTAAAGCATGGGATAAAATTCACTATCAGTTTCTAATTTTTAAAAAAACTATTAATAAAATAGAATATAAGAGTTTCCCTTACCATTATTTACAGTAATCTCTCTCCCTGACCAACTTTTCCAGTACAGTCAGGAGCAATATAAGGAAGTCAATCATCACCACTTCTATTTAAGATTGTGCTCCAATTTCAATATATGCAATTAAACCTGAAAACAAAATATTGTGAAGGAGAAAGAAAAATGACCAGGAATTATAGATGTTATGGTTGCTTACCTATGAAAGATATTGGAAAAAGGAGATTTACCTGAAAAAGTATTAGAACTGACATCCCGGTTAGTATTCAGCTGCTATGTCATAGAAAGTTTGTACAAACTGTTCACACCTGGTATCTGAGCCGATTGGTTCTTTCTCAGACTGCATCACTATCATTTTGATTTGTGGCTTCTAATAAGATATATCATTAAGAAGGCTGGCAATAAAACAATAGGTAAATCAGCAGCTTTCCTACTTATCAACAGTGAACAGTTTAAAAAAAAACATAAAGGCAAGATGATCCTATTCATAGTAGTAAAAAGACATAAAATATCTAGAAATAAGCTGGACAAAAATTATGCAAGATCTTAATAAAAATGATTAAATTTTACTGAGGGCCATATAAAAAGACTTGCATATTGACAAATTGTATTCCTGTAGTAAGAATAGCTAATATCATACAAATTCTCTGCAAATTAACCTACAAATGTAACTCAATCCTGCTGAAAATCTAATGGATTTTCTTTTCAGCGCTTGACAAAATTCTGGGAGAATAAACACGCAAACATGTTCTCAAAAAGAAGAATAATGAGTTGGGGTTTTCCTTTGCAGATATCCAAATGTGTTATAAAGCCACAATATGTACAGTAATTTGACATAGGTGCCAACATAGACACATCAGTGAAATCAAGTAGAAAATCCGAAAGCAGACCTACGTATATTTAAGAATTTAGTGAATGATAAAGATGCCATTTCAAATCTGTGGGGAAAAGATAAATTATTCAATTAATAGCTGAGGGAAATATGGTGACTAGTTTTATAATCTTGAGGTTGGAAAGGCCTTTCTGAACATGACACTGCAGGATGAAATCATAAAGGAAAATAAAGACACTTTTGACTTCCAAAAAAATTATACTGACAAAAACTAATATTGGCCATTAAATAAATCAGAAAATAACTTTTTTTTAAGGCAAGATTTTCTTGTTTATCCTTCTATCCCAGATCCTGCAACAGTGTGTGCCACATAGTAGGCATTTGAATGAGTGGATACACAAACAGGTCTTGCAAGTCAGTAAGGGGAAAAATGAACACCTCCATTTTTACAATGAGCAAAAGACATGGATCAAAAAGAAGAAACACGAAAGGTCAGTAAAAAAGCTCAAATAGTATACATTACACCAGCAGTAAGGTAAATACAAACTAAAACCATAGTTCACCATTTTTTACCTATTACTATTTCTCTTTTTACACTGAAATGGACAACATATGGGCAAAGAAGCACTCATAAACTGCTGGTAGGAAAATTAAAATCTGTGCAATATAATTGAAAGTCTTTAAAACTGCAGACTCTCTGACCTAGTAATTCCACTCCTAGGAATTTTTTCTAACGAAATCATTAAACAAGCAGGCAAAGACATATATACAAGGATATTCATCAAGCACTCTTTACAAGAGTGACAACTAGAAACAAATGTTCACAAATAGCGAATGGGTTTCATAAACCTTGGTACACTTTTTCAATCGAATACCACGCAATAAGGATAAGTAATGATGCAACTACGTATTAGCTAATATCAAAAGATGTTCATCATATACTGTTAGTTCAGAAAGCCAGTTACAAAACAGCATATGTAAAAATCATATTTACATGCCTAGAAAAAATAGACAATAAATATTAAAATTTCAAGAGTGATTTTTATCATGGTAGCTTTATTTTCTTCTTCTTTTTTTTTTTTTTTTTTTTTTGAGACGGAGTCTTGCTCTGTTGCCTAGGCTGGAGTGCAGTGGCATGATCTCGGCTGACTTCAACCTCTGCCTCCCAAGTTCAAGCGACTCTCTTGCCTCAGGCTCCCAAGTAGCTGGGATTACAGGCATGCACCACCATGCCCAGCTAATTTTTTGTATTTTTAGTAGAGATGGGGTTTCACTGTGTTAGCCAGGATAGTCTCAATATCCCGACCTCATGATCTGCCCTCCTCAGCCTCCCAAAGTGCTGGGATTACAGGCGTGAGCCACCATGCCTGGCCTTATTTTCTTCTTAATGATCTTTTATGTGATCTAATTATTAACACTACCATGTGCTACTTCTATAATAAAAGTGTTGATTTTTAAAAACAATATAAAAGTAGTATTTGGTCTACGGAAATAAATCTTTTGTTGTCTTTTTTGATGTTTCCCCATCCCCTGAGCTTATTCTTTTTACTATGTGTATACACATATATAGATATATTATATATGTATATATACAGATGTATATATACATATATGTGTATATATGTACATATATACATATGTACACACACATGTGTATATCTGTACATATATACATATGTACACACACGTGTATATATGTATATATACAGATGTACATATACATATATGTGTATATATGTATATATACAGATGTACATATACATATATGTGTATATATGTATATATACAGATGTACATATACATATATGTGTATATACGTATATATACAGGTGTACATATACATATATGTGTATATACGTATATGTACACCTGTATATATACATATATGTGTATATACGTATACGTACACCTGTATATATACATATATGTGTATATACATATACGTACACCTGTATATATACATATATATGTATATACATATACGTACATCTGTATATATACATATGTGTATATACGTATATACATATGTATATACACACATAGGTATACAGATGTATATACACATATGTGTATATACGTATATACACATATATGTGTATATATGTGTATATATGTGTGTATATACACATATATGTGTATATATGTGTATATATGTGTGTATATACACATATATGTGTATATATGTGTATATATGTGTGTATATACACATATATGTGTATATATGTGTATATACGTGTGTATATACACACATATGTGTATATATGTGTATATACATATGTATATACACACATATGTGTATATATGTGTGTATATACACACATATGTGTATATATGTGTGTATATACATATGTATATACACATATATGTGTATATATGTGTGTATATACATATGTATATACACATATGTGTATATATGTGTATATACATATGTGTGTATGCATATATGTGTATATATGTGTATATGCATATGTGTGTATGCATATATGTGTATATATGTGTATATGCATATGTGTGTATGCATATATGTGTATATATGTGTATATGCATATGTGTGTATGCATATATGTGTATATATGTGTATATGCATGTGTGTATGCATATATGTGTGCATATGTGTCTATGCATGTGTGTATGCATATATGTGTATATGCATGTGTGTATGCATATGTGTCTATGCATATATGTGTATATATGTGTATATGCATGTGTGTATATATGTGTATATGCATATGTGTATATATGTATATATGTGTATATACATATATGTGTATGTATGTATATATGTGTATATACATATATGTGTATGTATATATGTATATACGTATATATACATATATAATATATCTATGTGTGTGTGTGTATATATATATATATATATAAAATTTGCAAGCATTTGTGAGAAGGTAACATTTGGAAATTACTAAATGGTAACCCCTAAATTTCCCTCCAACCTCCACTATCATATTCAGCTGCAAACTTCCACTCACTTTATCACATTACCCTGCCTTACTTTTAAAAAATTTTCTTCACAACCTTCTAGGTGAAGTCAGGTCATTTACACATTTGCATAATTGCTATTCATTTTTTTCCGCCAACTTGTAATCTCCATAAGATCAGGGACTTGAACTGTTTATGCACAAAGCTATATCCCAGTACCTAAGACAATGACTGATATATAGTTGAGGCTCAAATATATGTTGAATAAATGAGTGAGTGAATGAGTTTGTTTTGGCAGAGTTGGTTTACTTTTTGTGGTTATGCAAAGATTGATTGCCTCTTGAGAATCTTTTCGAATTAGGCCTACTAATTTTTTCTATTAAGCAGTGAGGCTGACCTTCCAGGCAGTGGTATATGATAGAAATCACTCAAGTCTAGAAGTCAGTAGAGCTGGACTCCAGTTCTGATCTTACCACACACAAGCTTCTTAAATAAATCAGTTTTGAAGTTCTTGCTACACAAGATTAGCCCTAATCAAAAGCTGAAAAGGTCAAGAGGCTGCTGCCCTCGCTCCCCGTGTGCTGTTTTATATCTTCAGCAGGGTCCGCATGCTCTCCTCCATGCCCATGCCCTCTCCTGCTTCACTCTCCCAGTTGATGGTAAGGCTGCCTGAGCCTCTGAGATGGTGAATTTATGTGTCAGCCTGACTGGGCTAGGGGCTGCCCAGATGGGTGGTAAAACATTGCTTCCGGATGTGTCTGTGAGGGTGTTTCTGGAAGAGATTGGCATTTGAATTGGGAGACTGAGTAAATAAAATCACCCTTACCAATGTGGATGAACATTATCCAATTACTGAGGGCTCACAGAACCAAAAGGCAGAGGAAGGGCGCATTCACTCTCTTCTTGAGCTGAGACATCCATCCTCTCCTCCCTTCAGACATTGGAACTCCTGGTTCTTCGGCCTTCAGACACGAACTGAATTATGCTTGCAGATGGCAGACAGTGACATTTCTCAGCCTCCATAATCACATGAGCCGGTTCCCATGTCAATCAATCAATCAGTCAATCAATCAATCTTCTATTGATTTTGCTGCTCTGCAGAGCCCTGACTAAAACAGCCTGTATGGGTTGCACTCTGCCCATCTCCAGGGGATACAGATTCATATCCTTGCACTTACGACCTTCCTCATTTGCATCTCATGGAAATACACTTTCAAGGTAGTATCCAAAAAACTCACATAGATTGTCCTATACCCTACCTGCTTACTCGTAAGTGCAAAATAATTTTGTTATCTGCAAAACAGAATCTCTGGGGCAGAATCACTGTCATCTTGTGATGTATAACACTCAAGTGACAAAAATATGCTAGATAATGACAAGGCACATTTACCAGTCACATATGTACAGCCCATGTATGATGGTATAAAAAAAATCACAATGTTTTCTAATACACAAAAACTTAATGACTAATAGATGTTATCACTAACTATGCATCCAACTCTTTAAATACCATCAGCCCTGCGGAAGGTAGAAAAAGTTGGGTCAACTCCTAGCTTGGTGGGCTTGAGATCTAAATTGTAAATGTGAGATACTATTATCTGAGCCTCCCAGGACTGCCTTGGCACCGGGAGGACTAGTACTGCACTCTTTAATTTAATCCTCCCCTGTTTTTTTCTTCCCAGATATTTATAATACAACTGTGGAAAGGTGCTCCTGACAGGAAGTTGGCATACAACCTCTCAGGCTGGGAGCAAATATCTGAATCAGATAGGAAGAAAACACTCCAAACGGATCAATTTGTTCAAATTTTAGAGTTGAAACTCAGGTCTAGAGACACTGAGTGATGTCAGGGAATAGATAATTTATCTGATAACCCAAATTTCAAGTCCCTGCTTTTTCTTCAATTTTCCAAGTAATACAAGCCAAAGCTGATTTCCTCTTATGTATGAAGTCAATGATCATATCAAAGTAGGCCTATTTCAAGATGCTGCATGAAAGACTCTACTATCAAGCATAGGCTTGACTTTCCAGAATCAGATTTTAAAAGCCTTTGGCACTTAAATAAAACATCTTCATTTTGTAACAGACCAGCCTTTTCTTTCCTTTTTGCAGGAGTGGGAAGTGAAATTACATACCATGTGGTTTTCATAATTTAAAAACATATCATAAGGATGCATTTTTAAGACTGTGGGAAAGATAATGAAGGTATTTATGGGACAGCCAGGTATGAGACTATCTGGGCTGGAGATAAAGTAAATGACTTGAGAATGGAAGACTTAACCATTCACTGGACTCAGAGAACACCAATCATCTTTGTTCTACAGGAGAAATCAGAGACTACGTTCTACCACTCAGGAAATGGCAATTAATGGAATAGCTTAAAAGAGAGAGCAGTCTTTGAAACATATGGAGATTGCACATCAGCTCCAGGTGGGCTGGAAGAAAGTAGGAGCACTACTGGCAACGATACATTCTCCACTCAGGCCACATAGCCAGACAGTGCTGCATCAACTCAGCAATGTTATGCAGCATCCCACGATTACTAAAGCGCTTAAGTAGACACCATCTCATCTGATCTTCACATTTATCCTTTGAGAGGAGCAGGCTAAAGCTAGGTTCTCTGGAACATAGGACCAGCTTAGAGACTGGCCCATGGATGTCTTCAAATAAGTTGAATCAGTTAGTAACATGGGCTGGAGTCAGGGTCAAGACTAGAAGGCCTAGGAATTTTAAGATTCTTATGGGCATATAACATTATGTGTATGCATTTCTGCAGCCTCCACTGCATCTACAGTAGTAGTTTACAGAAAAATTAATTGCTGCTTTGCTGCTAACTAGTAATATTTATTAAGCATTTGCAATTTGCCATTAATTTTCTAAGCATATCACATAGATTACCTTATTTTATTCTCACAATCACCCTAAAAGTCACTCAATAAATATCCATTGAATGAATGGCTGAACTTAAGTCAGTCAAACAACACTTGGTGATACTACTTTCTCCCTTTACAACCACAACATCATGACCTCCATTTGACTCTATTGGGAAGCACGTGGATACTAGAAAGGAAAGGGAATAAAAGATCACCTTCACGGCAGCACAGAGATTGCACTCATGGAAAACAGAATCCTTGGAAAAGGATGCCATGACTCAGATAAGAAATGACGAAGATCTAAACTAAGGATGTGATCATTGAGTTGAAGAGGAGACAGAATATTTAAGTGAACTAGTCTTGTTGCTGGACTGGATAGAAATAGGGAAAGAAAGCACGCCGTGATGGTCAGGAATCTGGTATGAACAACCTGAGAGAATGTAGTTCAATTCAAAGAAACAAAGGATGATGGTGCTTTGGAGGATGAGGATATTGATTCCTGTTTTGGATGAGTTGAATTTGAAGCACCTGCCAGGTATCCAGATGCTGAAGTCCAGTTGAGTAAAAAAAAAAAATTATGTCTGAAATTTCAGGACTGAGATCTGGGATGAAAATTATCAGCTTCCATCAGCCTGACTTGGGAATCATCCACCAAAAGAGTAATGAAGCCATGGAAATGCCTGTGCCCACCCAAGCTACATGGTTTGGACTTTGTCCTATAGTTAGGGAACCACTTTCCATCTACTTTTCAGGTTTCTCACACCTGGAGGGCCTCACTGCTGTTCACCATATCACAGTGGCACCCTGTCTTCTCCAGCTCTCTGCCTCTTCAGCCACCATCTGGGTGATTGCCACCATGCTTTAACAAACTCTGTTCTTACCCAGCTTTGTTCCTTGTCTTCTCCTCTTCATCACTTGAAGCATAAGCTCCCCACTGCCTTTACGGACTCCTGATGGGCACTGTGCCGTTTTCCACTCCCTGACTCCAGTCCAGCATCCACCCTTTGCTGGGGTTGACAGTAACATTTCAACCACTGCCCCTGCCACTCTGCCCCAGGTTCAGAAAGAACAGTGACTCCTCGACCAAGCAGAAATGAAGAGTGCCCTCCCCGGCCCCCTGCACTCTGTCTCACACCCACATTTGCATTCCTTCTCAGCTTGTTTCCACTCTGCCAGTTTTGTTTGCATGTCTGGCACTAGGGGTGGCTCCCAGGGCCTTTTGCAGCCCTCTTCTTCCACCCAGAAGGAAGGTGGACCAGTCTGACTCCAACGTGCTACCGAATGCCAACTGGCAGGTGGCTGGGTGACGGGAGGGTGATGACACTGCAGGGCACTCCCAGCAGGCAGGGAATCAGGGCACCAGATTGGCACCCACAGTTGCAGCTTCAAACCGTCAACAACAGCCAGAATCCTGGACGCTGAACCTTCCTGTCATTCCCACAATCTTGGAATCTTCTCAGAGTGGCTTGAATACTAATGTAAAGGAAATTTCTCAGAAACCACATTCAGTCTGGGAGTCAGGGAGCCAAAATTGGATCTCATCCTCTTCTAGGTGCGTACTGCATACAGACTCACTCCCAAAACCCGTCCTAATCTCCTCAAAGATGGGGGAGAGAGCAATCGCTAGACAAATGTAACCAATGTTCTTCTTCTGCAGACATACCAGCTTCTGCTTTGCTGTTCTCAAATTTGGGGATATAGTGTCATATTGCTTTTGCAGCTTCAGGGTAGCATGCCTTCTCCTGTTACTGATTTCTAAGAATTTCTACCAGAGAATGCATGGAAACCATCAGCGTCCCAGCTTGAAACTAAACTTTATTCCTAAATGGGCTTCTTTCCAGCTTTCATGCTCACTCTCAGAAATTCACCTTCTCCTTCTTGAGAAAAGAAGGCTTTTTCCTCTCTGCACCCACCACTGCTCAACAACTGCACAACCCTTCCAGGTTATCTCTTTCATGCACACACCACAGCAGCTTTCATTTCTACTCCATTTAATCAGATCTCACCATGCCCCACGGGCAACCTTACGACCAAAGGGCAACAGTTCATTTGGGTTAGGATGTGTTCTAGATATTTCTTGTTATCCTTTCCAGATCCACTCTCCACCCTTTTCTACCCTGCTCTGTATCTTGGGAGGCCAACTCCTGAGAACTGTAGCAGTAGACTCCCATGCCTGCTAGCAATGGGAGTTTAGCCAATGAGACACCTCAGCAGGAGATCAGAGGGTGAGAGGAGAGTGAGGTGAGGGTTTATTGCCCCAGCTCCATCTCTTCAAAGAACTGCCAATTGGATGTGTCTCTCTACTACAGGTTACAGCTCCTGTTAGAAGGCTCTTTCCTTATAGCCCCTCTTTCTGAGCTCCCCATAGCTGCTCCACCACTTGTCCCTTCAGGTCTGGGGGTGGTAAAGGCTACCTGCTGGTGCGAGCCCCAGGGTATTGCGATATTCCTCCCTGGCTTGCTGAAACCCTTCCCACACCTTTGTAAGTCTCTCTTTGATGAACCTCTCCTCAAACACCCATATTAAGTATGCTGTCTGTCTCTGGCCTGGACCCTGAATGAAACAGGAGATTGTTACTATATTATGATGGAGGATTTTTGCTAATTTAGCTCAATTTAAGTTAACAAATATCATCTAAGTGCCTAGGACGTGTCAGGTCCTATTCTGTGCATTTGGGTTATAGCAGCAAATAAAAGAGAAAAATTTCTGCCTTCATAAAGATTATATTCTAATGGGAGAGATAAATAATAATTTTTAAAATGAGCAAATTATATAATCTATTAGCAGGTGACTCATGCTATGAAGAAAAAATAAATCAAATAAATGGGACAGGGAGTCAGAGGTTGGGAGGCATGCAATTTTATATAGAGTGGCCAAAGATGGTCTCACAGAGAAGAGATTTGAATGAGAGTGCAGTGAGGGCACAATGAAGTATAGTATGTACATGGAAGGTTTCCCTCAAAGAGTTTACACCCAAGTTAGGAAGATGAGATGGACACACAGGAAATTACACATGCCACAAGACGATAAGTCAAGAGATGTTAAATGGCAGTAGATGATTAAATGCCAGCAAAAAATGTTTACGATAGTAAGTTCTTCCATTGTCGTAGGTTATGTATTTTTGCAAAACAGGCTTTGAAATGAAGCTTAGTTTGTGGTGTGTTTATTAGAAAGTGCCCTGGGCAACAATGTCTATAGAAAGAAGGAGAAGGAATCAGAGTTGGGTGCAAGGAGAAGTCAAACTGCAATGTAGGCCTGACAGTTTCGGCTAGACATTCAGGAAGCTCTACAGCTAAAATGGCTCATCAGAGTTGTACTGTGTTGGACTGAAATGGCAGAGCCTTTAGATGCTCATCTTGATCCGTCACTGGATGTGGGTCAGCACCTGGGAGGGTATGACCTTGGGCTAGTCAGCTTTCTGAAGCTAAAACAATCCTTGCAGGAGCTGAGAGCTACAGGCTAGAGCAAAAAATCTTTCTTTGAAGGGGGATCTGGACAGCACATCTCTGTGTGCACCTAAACAATTGGTAAAAATACTTGAAAATGAGATTGTTGAACCATTATCTATATATCATTGAAGAATTCTAGTTACTAGAGATGTGCAAATACAAATCTTATTTTTGGTTCTGCATAGTACATATCTATCATCTTGAGGTTGATCTTGAGGAAGATTCTAGGATGAATTGTTAAAGTAAAGGTCTGTAGACTCTTAGAAAATGTGGTAAAAATCTAAGACACATGTTCCCTAAGAACAACTCCTGCCAAATGTATCTCACTTTCTTTGAAAATGTTATTAAATTAGTCCATCAGGGGATTTGATAGACAGAGTATGTCTAGATTTCAGAGAAATTATAATGATGTTCTTGTCAGAATGGCATGCTAGACTACATGCCTGCCATATCAATTCAACCTCGCCTTCCAGTTTCATCAGCTTAATCATCTCTGTAAGATGCAGACCTTCTTACTAAATGATTTCACTCTCCCTATTCCTCACCCTCAGTCAATAGGACAGGCTTGACCAAGGAAACCAATCTGCCACCAGGTCAATAACCAGATTCTGTCCTTCCAGAATTTGAATAGTAAAAAAAGAGAAAGAAAGAAAGAAAGAAAGAAAGAAAGAAAGAGAAAGAGAGAGAGAGAGAGAAAGAGAGAAAGAAAGAGGAAGGAAGGAAGGAAGGAAGGAAGGAAGGAAGGAAGGAAAGGGAAGGAAAGGAAAGGGAGGGGAGGAGAGGGGAGGGAAGGGGAGGGAGGGAGGGAGGAGGGGAGGAGAGCAGAGGGGAGGGCAGGGGAGGAGAGGGAAGGGGAGGGGAGGGGAAGGGAGGGGAAGGGAAGGGGTAAGGAAAGAAGGGAAGGAAAGAAGGGAAGGGAAGGAAAGAAGGGAAGGGAAGAAGGAAGGAAATGGAAGAGGGGAAGGGAAGGGAAGGGAAAGGAAAGGGAAGGGAAGGGAAGGGAAGGGGGAAGGAAAGAAGAGAAGGAAAGGAAGAAGGGAAGGGAAGGGAAGGCAAGGCCAGGGAAGGCAAGGCCAGGAAAGGGAAGGCTAGGGGAGGGAAGAAAGAGCAGGCAGATGGCATTGATTCCCAGAACAGTATGTTCATGTGAAATGGTGCCAGGGTGCCATGGAAAGTCAAAACTAAGGGGAGGTGAAGCCAAGAACCTCACTGAATCAATCAAGAAGTAAGAAAAATGGAGAAGATGTGTAGACCCAAACAGGAGAGTTTGTGTAGAGAGTATGTGTAGACCCAAACAGGAGAAATGGAGAAATTAGCTGACTAATGGTTTTCCAATTCCATGGGTTCCAGCATTATTTCCTACAAGTGAATTATATCAGAATTCCTTGAGTCCTTAGAAGTCTATTTTTACTTAAGCCACTTTAAATGTGTTTGTATTACTTGCAACCCGATAATGCCTAAAATGACTTTCTAATCATATTCTTATAAATTGGATAATATACTGGTTAATGAACCAGATGGCAATATATTAGATGGGTTATTAATTGGTTAGAAAAATATCTAGAAAAAAACTGCTTAATTAGTTGATAGATACATAGAAGGGGTTCCAAATGGCTTCTATAGTGCTGTATCCTCATTGCTGAGGCATTCAAAAGTTTTGTCAGTGACTAGAATGTATGCTGCCTGAAAGTAGGTATTATGAACACCTCACAAAGTGCCATGTTTAGGACAGAGCACAGTGTTGACAGACAGCAGGTGTTCAGTAGAAAAGCTAAGTATATAAAAATACAGATTTTGCAGATAACATGAATCAAAGAAAGATAGTGATTTTGATGGATGAGAGAATTAAAAATCAGCATGGGAAAATAATTATATCTTATAAGAGTAACTGCAAAGTTCTGGAAATGGGTTCAAAAGATAAAAAGTGTATCTTAGGGGCATATTGAGTAAAGAAATGTAGAGTTTTCCTAGATAGGGGCTAAAGAGGAGCAGCAAAGTGAAGTACTTGTAAAAGAATTGATGTAGGTTTAGGCTGTGCTCATGGAGGCATCGTATCTGAAGAAGAGGCTGGTCCTGTGGAAGCATACACCAGTCAAACCACATGCAGAATATCTTGTTTGGTCCTGGGCACCACCTTCAGATAACAAAGCGTAAACAAGAGTGTAGTTAGAAGATGGGGATCAGAAGGGCAAAGTGACTCAAAAGCATTTCAGAAAGGCCCGGGGATGAATAACCTACAGAACTACAAACTTAGAGCAGACAGTGTGGTGAATTAAGGCAGCCTTCAAGCCTCTAAATAGTTGTCATCAGGATGAAGAATTGGCTCATTAAGTCTCTCTCTTTCAAGAGAGAAAAAAACTAAGACCCATGGGTGGAATCTATATTCTTTCTATCAGTGAAAAATCAATTGAGCAACTTAACTTCAACCAGTCATTGTCTTGGTACTGGCTACACTATACCGAACAAAGCAGACAGCTGCCTTCATGGAACTGATGGTCTAGCAGGGATACTCACGTTCATCAAAAGATCATGGCATAAATGCATAAGAAGGGCTATTGAGGATGAGTAGAAAATGCTATCAGAGTTCCCCGAAGTTAGAGGAATGGATTTGTTTTGATTTAATTTTTGCTTTGAATTATTTTGTTTTATTTAAGAGTTCAAGAAACTGAAAAGCAATATTGCTGAAACGTAGTGAACAAATAGGAGAACGGCATAAACTTTGGGAGAAAGAATTAAAATGTTAGAGCAAAAGACCAGGGAAGAGATATTAAGTCATAAACTAGACTAGGGTGGTGGCAATGCAAGTAGAGAGAAATTGTTGCATTTAAGGTTCATTTTGGAGGTAAAACCTAAATGACTTCAGGATATATTGGGCAGAGGTAAGTAAGACATTCATTAATTCAACTTGATATTTGTTATTATCTGGGTGAAAACTGACCTAAAATATTTTATACTCTTCATAAAGTGTTGAGTCAATGAAACAAATTTGGAAGTAAGGTACTTGGAAGGGTATGTTTAACCAGCTTCAGAGAATAAATATGTAAATATTTTTAAGGGCTTAGGTAAATGCCCTGTGAAAGTAAACTCACATGGTCTCTATAATTTGAAATAAATTTCCAAAGTTCAGGTTGCTCACAGATCCAAATCAGTCTTTATCCTTCAATCACTTATCTATTCAAAAATTTTTATTTAACATTTAAAATACACGAGAAGCTGTTTGAGTTGCAAAGATGAATCAGGAAAGGGCTTGTACAAAAGTAAGAGGAACACAGACTGTGTCCTACCTTAGGGCTTCTGAGACGCCTGCATAGCAAAGGATCTAGAGAAACAGTGAAGGTTTCATTTGTGCTGTGCCTTGGAAGGTGGGGCATTCAGCACAGATAGGCAGGCATTCTAAGAGGAATCAGCATGCCATGGCGGCAAGGGGATTGGGAACATGGGCTGGAACAGTAAAAATGTTAAAATAGTCTGGGGTGATGACTAGAAAGTGTTAGTAAAACATTTAATGAATGAAAAATGAAAATATTCCTCCCTAATGTACTTTATGCATCACAGATTCATCTAAACTTATAGGTGAAATGGAACTTTAGAGAGCAAATTCTTCAATCCCTTTAGCCTTCATGATTGTGTTGCTATGGCTTGACTGCTGAGCCAGGACCTAGGATTCCAGTGGTCTTTCTCCCATAGCAAAGAAACAAAAAAAATGTTGCTCTAACTTCCAGGTTTCTGATGATTAGATCCTGTTTTCTCTCCAATATTCTCCTAAACTCTGAGTGGCATTGTTGTTTTATAATTACGCTTCTAGGTCATCCACATGCCCCACTGATATGGTTTGGCTGTGGCTCCACCCAAATCTCATCTTGAATTGTAGCTCCATTAATTCCCATGTGTCATGAGAGGGACTCAGTGGGAGGTAATTGAATCATGGGGGAGGATTTTTCCTGTGGTGTTCTTGTGATAGTGAATAAGTCTCATGAGATCTGATGGTTTTATAAAGGGGAGTTCCCTTGCACATGCTCTCTCTTGCATGCAGCCATGTAAGATGTCCTTTTGTTCTTCCTTCATCTCCCACCCATGATTGTGAGGCCTCCCCAGCCATATGGAACTGTGAGTCAACTAAACCTCTTTCCTTTGTAAATTCCCCAATCTCGGGTATGTATTTATTAGCACTGTGAGAACAGACTAACACACCCACCAAGTCTGACTTCCATTTATAGGGCTCCAAGATACCAAGTAAGCCTGCAAGTCCTTATTTGGGGCACAAATGTTTGAGGCCCTCCTAAGGTACCTTGTGTCTGTTTTTCTCCTATAATCTCCATACAAGGCTGCACACTTCCAAGAAAGATGTGGGTGGAGCCAGCTCTCAAGACTGTATGCCTAAATGGAGTCAAGGAAACATAAGATTGATGGCTACTCACCCAAAAAATTAGCAGCAGACATAGATCTTGCTGCCAAAAGAGCTGATCTACATTTTTTTTGGCTGAGAAATATCGCAAATTTTTTAATAGACATTCTTCTATAATATGACATCTTTTCTTTACAAATGTCAATGCCTTTTATTAGTCAACTGCTAGTGGCTATTTATTTTTATCTATTTCTTCCAATAGTAGTCAAGGCAAAATAATCTAGCTATTCTCATTCGCCTTTTTGACTAATCCTACCCATTAAAAAAAAAAATGACTGGTCAGGATCAAGAACAAACTAAGACTAAACTTACACAGTATAAACTAAACTTTGACCTTACTATTACTCTACTAACCTGAGCTTCCCAGCCTCTATAATTAGGTAGTGACAGTTAAGAGCTTCAAATTATACACAGCAATCAGTTATTCCTGGCAGCCTCCCTCTTCATACCAAAGATGTCACCATTTGCTTGGTTCTAGGAAACTCAATGTCTGCATTTCCCTTGAGGGCCACCTAGGGAGTTTTTCATGTTGAAGGATGGTTTATTTAACTTATCACAGCTAGTGTTTCTGAAAGATGGTGAGGCTCACAACGTAATAACCACCTGTCATCTCTTATTAGTTAGATATTTCACACTGGAGATTTGTTATATTAAAGGGCACTAAAATTATTGACATCAGATAACTGAATTATAATTAAATTTTATGCAGATTATTAAAATACCATTGTTACTCTTATAGGGGAAAAATAATGGCAACGAGATAGGCTCATGACAGAATTCACTTATTTCTAGCACACCATGTCAGTACGTCATTAAGTGGAGGCTTTGTCAGACCTACTGGCAAAGTCTTACAGGCATTAGCCACTGTGTCCAGCCCTCCACTCTGCTAAGAGCCCCACTCCAAGTGAATGGAAAGAGCGGTCCCATGCTCACAACTGCCCGGTGGAGTGGTGAACTTGGAGAAGAGGTCTAATAGCTATGGCAGGCTCTGACCCAAAGAAAACCCATGTAAAAAAGACAGACTAATCACTCATGAAATATAAAGTAGAAAAAAAAAAACTATAAAAAGCTGAAAGGACTGTAAAAATAATTGTCCTAAAGTTTTTCTCCATATTAACGTCAATTCAAAATCCCCCAGTTCAAAATCCTCTGGAGAAAACAACGTGAGAAATGAAATCTTTGCCACATTTGAGTTGGCCTTCTCTCTGCTTTCCCGTTTCATGTCTTCCCAGAAAAGTCCGGCTTACAACTACACTCCCTCCTCTTAATTTCTGGAGCATATGTTGTGTGTACTGTTCATTATTACTTGGTGAACTTCTCTAGAAACTCTATGTGGAAGTATTATTTATCTCTTCTGACAAGATTTAACTTTCATATATTATTGACTTTTATTTTTAGTAAGAATATACGATTTGTGAGGTTAGGACCCTGGTTTTGTGCTTCTGGTTTACCCACAGAACCTATCATGTAGTACATAGGTGTACAATAAATACCTGTTGCTTCATTAGAAAAGAATGGTGTTGAAGGCCAGACATGGTGGCTCATGCCTGTAATCCCAGCACCTTAGGAGGCTGAGGTGGGAGAATCACTTGAAGCCAGGAGTTCGAGACCAGCCTGGGCAACATGGCAAAACCCTGTCTCTACTAAAAATATAAAAATTAGTCAGGTATGGTGGCACATGCCTGTAGTCCCAGCTACTCAGGAGGCTGAGGCATGAGGATTGCTTGAACCCAGGAGGCAGAGGTTGCAGTGAGCCCAGATCGTGCCCCTGCACTCCAGTGTGGGTGACAGAAGGAGATTCTGTCAACAACAACAAAAAAAAAGAAAGAAAGAAAAAAAAATAAAACAATGGTGTTGGAAAATCTCAAAAGAAACTTTATGTGGCATAGATTGTTGCCAAGCAAATGGAGTTCATATAATTGAATATGAGACAATTCTAAAAGTATAAATTAAAGCATATATCTCTCACTTTTAACTTCTTTATAGTAAATTCTAATGTCCTCAGAACCTGAAGAACTCAAGATTAATGTACTGAAAAGTCAGCGGAGGAGCCCAGTGAAGAGCTTGTGACTAGCACTAACTATCAAGAATGTTTCCTTGGTGAATATTTTTGATGTGCCTCCAGTACCTGCGGTCTCTGCCTTTCTGAAGGGCGTGTGATCCATGCTCCTGGTTCCCTTTCTCAGCTCTCAGACCCTAAGAGCTCCACATCTGGACTCAAGTGGAAATGCAAGGGCTAGAAACACAAAGAAAACCAGGGTGATTTTTTGTGGAATCTATCTGGTACTTCCAGGATGGGCTTATTAGTATTAACCAGAAAAGAAAATATTAAAGAAAACTAATAGAGCCTAATATGGCAGCTTTAAATGATCTTCAAGTTCAGGAAGAAATACTTTTTTGTACAATACTGGTTTGGTCGTCACTCCCATCCATCACTTCAGTTATCTGGTCAACACACGAGTCATCTTTGTATTAGTGACTGTACACATATGTGAACTTCACGGTTGGAGGTGAGTGTGATACAGGTCAAACTCACCACATCCCTTTAAAGAACTGCAATTTGAAGTTCTAGCCAACACCACCCTATTTCCACCCATGCCTGGCTTCACTTCCTCTGCCATCAGCCTGTGTTGAAGTCCTAAAATAGCTCCCTATTGAGTCTTCAGTGAGATTTCCATTTTAAAGGATGGTACTGTCTCAGCTGGGCTCTGCTGGCTAACTGTGCATGTTGAAGCTAGCAAAAGAAAGTCATGCCTCCTTTGCATTGTTTGATCTAAAGTCTTTGGAAAAGGCTTTGTAACATTCTTTTGTTGTAAAGCCCTAGTCAGAAAAGATAAAAGATAAATATAAATACTATATAAAGAGAAGAAGCATCTATGTACGGAACCTTTCAAATCATAATTAGGAAGGAGTATGAAACATTTAACTGGAAGGCAACATCCAGAAATTTATAAGCCCAATTGTGTACATTTGAAATCTGAATCTCTCATGTCATTTGGAACAATTTACTTATTTCCATTGTGCCTCACTTTTCTCATCTGTAAAACGAGGGTAACAGAAGCAACTACCCCATAATGATATTGGGAGGATTATAGAAAGTAATACATTGAAAGCATTTGGAACAATGCTTGCCTTGTGGTGAGTGGCAGTGTTAAAACATAAAAATATTCCTGATTGCCGGAAGGTACTGCCAGTTAATGGATATCACCTGATTTGTATAGAAAATTCTTACTGATCTCAAAATGTGCACTGTAAACAATTGTCATAGGTGGAATACGTTACGAATTGAACTTCCTATGTGGAAGTCCTAGCCCCTAGAATCTCAGAATGTGACCTTATTTGAGAACAGGTTCATTGCGAATATAATTAGCTAAGATAACGTCATACTGGAGTAGGATGGGTAATCTAATATGACTGGTGTCCTTAGAAAAAGGGCAAATTTGGAGACAGACACACACATAGAGAGATACCCTGTGGAGATGGAGATCAGAACAATGTGCCTGCAAACCTAGGAACACCAAAGATCGCCCGCAAACCACCAGAAACTAGGGGACAACGTGGAACAGCTCAGAAAGAACCAACCTAGTGACACCTTGATCTGAGAGTCTGGCCTCCAGACATGGGACAATCCATTTCTGTTGTTGAGGCCCCCCAGTTTGTGGTACTGTGTAACAGCAGCCTTAGCAAACAAATGCAAGTGCAGATTCAAATGTCAATTTTAGTTGAGCTCAGTAAAGCAAGAACTGCTTGCTTAACATCTCAGGAAAATTGTGGCAGGTCCTGAGAGGGAGAAAAACTCTCTAAGGCACAGTTCCTGGATTTCAGGACCGGCTCTTTAATGGAGGAGGCAAACACACACACACACACACACACACACACACACACACACACACACACACACAGAGACAATTCAGTGTGCTATCAGCATCTAATAAGTGACAGGACAATTCACATTACACAAATTCAGAGCTAGGTAGCCAGGAAAGGCTCCATCTAGAAATGCCAAAAATGCATTCCAACAATGGGTGGAAATAGTTAAATTCTAGCAAAATTTTTTAAAGCTAAAAAATCCATCCTCAAGGATCCCACATGCTCCTTTCATGCTGTCTCTAATTCTAGCTGCCTTTTTCTCAGCTCATCCTTTGGGGTGTATCTTTTCAATCCATAGTCATTCCCACACAAGTGTGAATTTCCTCCCCTTTTGTTCCTTCAACTTTCCTTGCAGAAGATGCTTTGCAGCAACAATCACATTAGCTTTACAAATGCTGTTTGGAAACCCAAGCAGAGCCATTGCTTTCTCAGAGGGTTGGGAACTTGGTACTCCAAATGATTTTTTATCCCAATTTCAGGGTCATGTTGCTTAGACATACAGAGTGGAAAGAGAAAGATGATTGGGAGAAAAATCCTCCCCCCACCCAACAGAAACACGCAGCTTTCCCTGGAAGGCACCAACGCCACAACAAACAAACAAATAAATAATAAATATTCTTTCACTAAAATGGTAAGTCTCACTTCAGTAAGCAACACATTATGCACCATACTGGTATAATAAAGCACACATCCCCCTGAATCATTCCCACTAATACAATGTATTCAGTGCTCATATGATTACACTTTTACAGCCTGTTAGCAAAAACACATACAATTGCAAAGTGCTGCTAATGCAATGTGACAGAATACTGTTATTACAAGAAGAAGTTGTCAGCACCGAGCAATTGATTTTCCTTCATCTCCTTCGTGCTTTTGCCCATCCTCCCTACCTCTCCTGGAGATGTTTATTACACGCTGAGTGCAGTCCTTTCTCTGAATCAATTCCGATATAGTGCAAAGGAAGGAATACAAAGACAAGAAAAGTTAACATTATTCCAGATATTCTAAGAGGGAAAGAAAATTTCCTTAGGGACATTTCCTTCCCAAAATGTTTATTAAAGCTTTAAGGAACCAGAGCTCCCTTCCCCCAGCAGAAAGATTTGGTCTTTTTGTTCTGTTATGCCATGACTGTTTATTTACCTCTTCTCTTCCCCTTCCTTCTTTTCATAAAATAAAAACCAGGATGGATTTAAAGTATTGGGCCACCTAGATTCCTGCTGATTCCCTTCCCTGCATCTTGAGGTGCAATAGAGGGAAGAAAAAAGTAATATAGGAAGCCAGAAGGATAATTATTTGGTTATTTGTTTCGTCAGTATTTTCCTTAGAAATGTTTACCTCCTTTCATGGGATGACAATAAATATACTAAACAAGGATGTTTTTCTGGAAATGAAAATAATTCTGTGACCAGCACCAGCAACCCAATCTAGAATATAGCATAGTACAATTCGATGGGATATAGAGACTATTGAGTCCAATGTAGTCATTTTACAGATGAGAAAATCCAGGCCCCAAGAGTTAGGGAATTTTTCTGATTTCTCACCACTTGTTAGTGTTGGAGCTGAATCTTGAAGCCAGTGTTTGTTGCTATATCATGCTAGACCTTTACATCGCATACACATATCAATATGTGTGTTACTGAATTACTAAATGGCCCTAATGCCTCATCTTTCTGTTTTTTTGTTATGATGGAATGGAAGAGTTCCACTTGCCAAAGTAGGTGCAAGAGAGAATAGAGAAGTCCACACAAATTGTTTCATGGTCTTTTGAAAGAGCAAGTGACCACAGGAAACATTAAAATATCCTAGCATATAGATATTGATATGGTTCGGCTGTATCCCCAACCAAATCTCATCTTAAATTGTAGTTCCCATAATCCCCATGTGTCTTGGGAGGGACCTGGTAGGAGGTAATTGAATTATGGGGGCGTTACCCCCATGCTGCTGTTCTCATGATAGTGAGTGAGCTCTCATGAGATCTGATGGTTTTTTTAAGGGGCTTTTCCTCTTTTGCTTAGCACTTCTCCTTCCTGCCACCATGTGAAGAAAGACATGTTTACTTCCCCTTCCACCACGATTGTAAGTTTCCTGAGGCCTCCCTAGCCATGTGGAACTGTGAGTCAATTAAAGCTCTTTCCTTTATAAATTACCCAGTATGTCTTCATTAGCAGCATGGGAATGGACTAATACAGATTTCATCTTGGGGTGTTGCACCTTCCTGCTGTACTAAAAAGTGCTATTTCTTTCCTACCCTATGTAAATGTATAACTCCCACATCTCCCCTTTCACACCCACCTCATTAAATGGAGGTACTCTTTGTTGATACCTAAGATACATGCTGACTCTTTCTCTTGCTCAGCAGGATCTTTTTATAAAATTCTCTTAAAATGCAAGAGTCACATGAACCAAGGGTTACATCAAGGTCCCGAAACATTATTGCCCATTAGTTTTAGAAAGTTAAAACCTGAATTAGTTGAGTTTGGCCTTTGGGGCAGTTGAATTTGTTTCTCTGATTAGACTTTGCATTTTTAAAAATTTACTGCAGAGGTGGGGATTTTTTCTCCTCAAGATGGCTTAAGGTACTCCCAAGTGTGAAAGTGGGTATAGACATAGGTTTTATTCATTTGTTTTTGGTTTGGATTATGATGCCAACTAGTAAATATTCATGAGTGAAAAGCATTTAGTTGGGACCAAGAATTATCTGGATGGAATAGGTACCTGTAGAGACGGCCTCTATTTGAGAAGAGCAACTCTCCCTCATGGCTCCACACCCTTGAGCTGCCCATATTAAGAAACAAAAATAGAAAAGAAAGGAGGATGTACCTGACATAATTTAGTGTAGCAACCTGCTGGAGGCCTTCACCTGCTGTGACAAGGGTGGCCTGAGGCAACTGTTTGGAGTTCAAGGAGATAATTTTGCAGTCTATGCATCAAGTCTTTAATAATCTCCTTCCTCCATTTAACTCAATTTTCTGATGCCCCTTCTTACAACCCCTACTGAAGCCTGACTCCTTTAAACAGTGTTCTTGGCTTTCCTCTTTCCACATCACAACTTCAATTTCCTATTTCTTCCTCTGCCCATAAATGTATTAATTCATGCTAAGCTATTAGGTAGAAACCACAATTTTTTAATCTTTTAAAATGACAATTTCCTAAAGTTCAACCTAATGCTAATGGGTAGCAGTTAAGACACCACTTCTCTCCAGTTTCTTTACTTTTTAAAAAAACTTCTTTTCACAAAAAGCTTCTTTAGACATAAATGTCTTTTTTCTTATATAATTTATTCATTTATTTATTTTTGTTTCTCAACTTTTATTTTAGAATCAGGGATACATGTGCAGCTTTGTTACAAAGATACGTTGCATGATGCTAAGGTTTGGGATGTGATTGAACCTATCACCCAAGTAAAGAGCATAATGCTCAATAGGTAGTTTTTCAGCCCGTACTCTTGACCTTCCCGCCTCCCATAGTAGTCCCTCATGTCTACTGTTCCCATCTTTATTTCCATGTGTACCCAATGTTTAGCTCCCACCTATAAGCGAGAACATGTGGTATTTGGTAATGGTGGGAATTTCAGGCCCAGCTGACATGCATCTAAGGGGACTGTGATACTCTCAGACATTCCACCAGACATCCAGCTAGTCCACACCTTAATTCTGCATCCAATAAAGGGAAGGTATAGGAAGGACTCCCTTCTTCCATCTTTCAGTTCATCTCATTTATCCATATTCACTGAGCATCCACATATGGCAGGCACAGCACTCAGTACGATGGAAAAAGGAAAGATGAAGAAAGACTAAGATGCAGTTTGGGGCATCCAGAAACTGATAATCTGGGTAGGGAGGACAAATTCATAAACAGAATGTGCCAAGTGGTAAATCTTGCCACTGTAAAATGTTTCCAGAGCCAGAATTGAAAAGGTAAACTCCTACTCAGAATGCCAATCAAGGCAATAGCAACAGGAGCACCCCCCTGGGCCGTCGTGGAAGGTGTCAACAGGTGGACCTTTGGGGCTACCAACAAGAAGCGCAATCAGTATTAACAATCAAGCAGGTTTCCTTCTAGGAGCTGGTTATGAAAGTGGATAGGAGGCCATCATGTCCTGCTGTTTGAATGAGGAATGCAGGCCAGCAGAAAAGCTGGGGAGGATGCTGTGCATATATTTGTATCTCTGTGTGTCCATTGATGGAGCACTTTAACTAACCAGCTATGACCTTCTCCGGAACATAGTTAAAATGCCAAAGAAAATATAAGACAATAATGGGAGGTGAAGGCAAAGTTGCTGGTTTTAGTATGTGCCTCTTTGTAGACAAATAGGCCATCATGTGACAATAATAAAATATGAAAAACTAATATTAAAAAGGTAAAAATCAGATAATTGCTGAAGCATCAGTTATTTATAAAATAATCGGTAATGACCTTTGATAAAGAAATCACATTGTGACATTGCTGACAGGACAACTTTCCATGAAGGCAATGGGGAGAAATGTAGCAGCTGGTTCTGAAAGCAGGGAAAACCTGAGTTAATGTGTTAGCCCAGGCAAGAAAACTCTGCTCATTTATTGTTACAAGGTTAAATGAGTACATGTTTTTAACTGCTGGGAATAGGCAAAGCTGGTTCAATACTGCTGTTCCTGGATAAGGTATGAGGTCATTACTAGTGCCCTGCCCATATTCCCAGGGGTCAGGTAGGGTTTCTGGGACATGCTGATGGCTTCCAGTGTCTCCCTGCCTGAGGGGTTCTCTAGCGATACTGTTCCATAGGCTGGACGTACGAACCACTAACACCCCAGGACGAAGCCTCAACAAATCAGGGACCTGAGTTGGTAGAAAATAACCCATATTCATCTCCTCTCAGTGGTACAACCCTGGCATGTATTCTAATCTGTCAGACGGTCCCCAGCAGGACTGAGTTTTAGTTTCCCACAGCCGTAGTTCATTCATTAGTATGACTTTTATTGGCTTTCCTGACTCTCTGTCTCAATTTTGCACTCTCTCTCTGGGCTCCTTGGTATCACCTCCAAAATAAACTACTTCTACCCAAATTGTTGTCTCAGGAACTGCTTGTTTCGGGGATCTGGGCAGAAGACAAGACTAAGACACATCACTTTTTCATATACTGATGTGTCAATGAACAAATATTTATTGAGTATCTATTATCTATATAACACAGTACTAGACTTAAACTATAATAAAGTTTAGGTTCTCAATTGCAAGGAACTCGTGGGCAATTAAAACATGGGTTCACTGAACATTAAATAATAAAAGCAGGAGGTATATGATGAGTACAAAATGAGCTAGCCAAGCAAAAATGGGAAATGCATAAATTTGAGTGGATGAGATGGAAGAGGAAGGACAATTCTGTTGGATGCAGAGATATGTACTGTCTCTGAGAAATTCTGAAATAAAGAAATCTACTAAAATATGATTAATCCAGTATTTCCCAAACATTTCTAATCCTGGAAACTTTTCTTCATGTAACATCTTGTAAAACTAATGCTCAAAGGAATGCACTTTGGGAAATGCTGTCTTGGAAATCAAGTTTCAGCTACTGGCTCTAGATTCCAATGCCTTCCTCCATTTAGCCCAGGGGTTTTCCACTTTCAACCCCACTGGCCAATTTAGATATGAAGTAACTCATTACTTCAAGCCAGTTTGGATGAAACAGATAGACTGAGCAGTCTTCCAAAATATTGGAGTTTTTCTGCATGATGCCAGGGTGGATGTATACCTTTCTAAGAACTATAACACTATTTAAATAAGGAGAAGGTAACACATAGTTGTAACACAATAAGGTAACACAATAAGGAGAAGTTAACACATAGTTGATCAATTCTTTAGAACTCTAACTGCCTTGAAGAGAAAATGATTAGTTTGTTCTCTGAGAGAATATTTAACTGGTCAGCTGTTATTATGAATACAACCTTGCCTGGGTTCAAATCCTAGGGAATCTTGGGAGAATCGCTTTACTTTTCTGTGCCTCACTCCCAGTATATTTACTTCATAAGGCTACTGTGAGGATACAATGAAATAATGCATTTAAAGGTCTTAGTATGATTTCTGGCCCATAGCAAGAGCTCAACAAATAGTAGCTGTGCCCACGATTACTACCACGATTAGCAACAGTAACATCATTACTTGGCTCTGTTTTACCTTTAGTGGATTTCTTTCCCCTGGGCCTAAGACCACCTTGACTAGAACACACCCACAAATTTGGCACCTCACAATGTCCATATAATGCCTAGATGAGCCAGATGCAATGCAGACAAGTTCTTAAAAAGACAACTTGATATTCTTTCAGAGGGAATTGTTGCCATTGAGATGCCCTTGGAAAATCTGAATTTAATATATGAAATTGACTCTACAAGTAACTTTCAGAAGAGAAATTGTTGCAAAGAGGTAGATTTTTATATGAATTTTGTCAGAGCTTTTTAGGATTTTTTTATGACTTTTTTCACTTGCCTACTTGCTTAAATGCATATAATTGCTCTCAAGAATGATGAGTCAGTGCCTGGGTTTGGCTTGCTAATAAAATCTTATGCACATGTAAGTCATCCCTAATATCAAAATATCATGAAGGGTTTGAATAAATAAGATTGGATCTTCATGGAATATTTTCTTTCTCCTTCCTTTCCGTCCTTCTCTTTCCCTTCTCCCCTCTGATCCCCCCATCTCTCTTCCCTTCTTTCTTTCTTTCTCCTTTTTTTCCTTCTTCTCTCTTCCTCATGTTTTCATTCTCTCCAATTCTCTGTGCATGTTGTTCAGATTGTCTCTCAGTCCCTCTCCAGTGCTGATCATAATCCCAAAGGACACAATCCAAATGTTAAAATTCCAAAAGCCATATCCTGGGGAAGGGATTAGCGTGGTTTTGGTTGCATGCTGGATAGTTGCATCACATCTCTCGCATCATGTTAGGTGGAATTATCACCTTGTTATTGTCTTTATTTGGAAATTAAGTGTGGTTTAAGGAGATGTGTATGAGTGCCAATTTGAAAACAGGTGGACATGTAGACTTAAATTTAGATATCAACTTGGTTGAATTCAGGAATACCTAGGCATCTAGTAAGGCATTATTTTGCATGTGTCTGTGAGTGTGCTTTCGGAAGAGACTAGCTTGTGGGTCTTAGTGGACTAAGAAGGGAAGACACAGACACCATCCTCAGTGCTGGCAGACACCATCCAATTGACCAGGAGCCCCAGAGAGAACAAATACAGAGGTGAATTTGTCTCTCTGAGAGCTGGGACAGACTTTTAATCTGCTGCCTTGGACATCAGAACTCCAGGCTCACCAGCCTTTGGACACTAGGACTTTCACACAGTGCCCCAGCCCGCAGGTCCTGAGGCTTTCATCCTTGGACTGAGAGTTACGCCATTGGCTACCCTGGTTCTGGGACCTGTGGACTTGGACTGAGCCATGCTATCCGCATCCCACGGTCTCCAGCTTGCAGACGGCCTGTCCTAGGACTCCTCAGCCACCGTAAGCTCATGAGTCAATTCCCCTAATAAATTCCCTCCTATGTATCTATATACACATCCTATTGGTTCTGTCTCTCTGGAGAACCCTGACTAATACAGATTCATCACCTGGGAAGCCAGATAGCATTGCTTCTTACTGTATTCCTTGCGACACCACGGAAGAGAACTGTGAAATCGTTCCCTTGCAAAAATGCTGTATTAAGTTCAGTATATAAGGTTACCTAATGGTGAAAGATAAAAGCTTAAAAGCTAATTATTATTGGTGCTGCGAAAGCAGAACATCACTTAATTGCAATGTCTGAACAATAACCAGACTTTCAACTGGACAGCATATACTTACAACATTTGTAGACCACAACCATTCTCCAAATACAAGTGCAGTGAGTGTTTCAGAGATCACAGAAGTGAAAACACAGGCAAAAAAATGCAAGAAATCTTTCCTGCCAAATTATTCAATCTTGTAGAACTTCTGCCCCTTCACACATGGCACCAATTCGCTATGACATGTATTTCATCTTCACATCATTTAGCACTGGGGGTATAAATTGTGTTAATACTTTTAGAGACTTCTAATTCATTGTACATATTTTTTTTTGCAAATTTGACACCATGAAAATGCATTATCACAATGTTGATTTTGTGTGTAAGTATTGTGTCTGTTTGTAAAAACATTGAAACTTTTTCAATAAATGAAGAGATACTCTTTTTGTACATTTGCATTTATAACAGATAAAATGTCTCAAGATCTTGGCTCTTTGGATGACTGCATATGCGATGATGGCCCATCACAGTTTTTGATCGATCTTGTCAAAAGACTTAGGTTGTCCATCATGATATTTCAGATGACGGCAATTATAAAGCTGGGTGCACACAATTACCAACCATAGTGATAAGCATTTATACATTTCACTTTTTGACATATTTCTTTCTGAACATGGTTTGTCTGCTCATAACTGTTATACTGGTGCGACTGTCGTTAGTGTAAGTATAACTGAGTGTTGATGTTTGCAACAATATGTATGATATCATTGCCTACTTTATTGTGTAAAGTCACGTATGCAGTGTTCTGTCATGTTTTTATCTATCTCAAATAAATCCCCTTTAAAGAATGTAACTACATGTGTTTTAAATAATTTATTACCTTTTTTCCAGAATTACATTTTTGGGATTTTGTTGTTTCTGGATTTCAACATGAGGAATTCTAGTCTTCAGGATTGTGTCTTTCGGGATTATGGCCCCAGTCCCCCGTCTCTCTCATTTCTCTAGGTCTGGCTCTCCATCTCTGTCTTTGGTATGTCTTTCTTCTTCTTAGGTATCTCTGTCTATCTATTTGATTCTTGTCCCTCTTTTTTTCTGGTTCTTCTGACTCTTTCTTGTGTCTCTCTATCTACTTCTTTTTCCATGTGTTTCTTTTTTTTCTCATCTCTCTGACTCTCTTTGTCTCTGATGCAACCAGACTCTGCATCCCACATTGTCCTCCAAGAGAGGCTTTCCTGATGTAAATGGAATATGCAACATTTAATGCTGCTGACAGCCTAATGAGTCACACAGTATCTGCAGACTTTAATGAATGTGTCAGAGTGGGGAGAAAACGACCCTCTCAAATCACTGCAAACACTGAAGCAGATGAACAAAGGAAATTAAACCAGTTGCATCCAACCGACTTCGAAACACACCCACAAACCTTCTCTGCCCCCTCCTCCATCAGCAGATCTTCACACGTTTGCTAATACCAGCTGGTTCATACACTCCAGAAGTATCACCCTTGCCAGTTACTGAAAGTGAGACTTTAAATATGGGTTAAATCCACTGGTCATTAGCCAGTCTTTCATCCATTTTTTCCCCTGGATTTTCCTCACCTTCATACTTGATACATCCGTCAAAGGAGGAAAAATACTCCACCAACTGGGATGAGGAAGGGAGGAAGGAGAAAATGGACAAATGTGGCTCAGAAATGCAGACTTTATCTGCTTTAAAAGCAAGCAAATGAATCAGGAGAATATTGCTAGTCCTGACTTGGTGGTACCTGAGTAAACGTGCTCCACAAATATAGAGAAATATCTGATATTTTTGTGGTATCTTTTGGCAAAGAGATCAAAGAATGTGACATTAACCAGTTGGTACTCATAATCTAGCCTGAGAATTTACACCAGTCTGGTCTCCGGTCTCTGCTCAAAAGCAAGCTGGGCAACTAGAGAAACTGAGGCACAGTTAAATATTGTGCCCTTTTCACCTCCTGACTGGGAGAACCATGAGGTTGACCCCTGATTGGCCTGGACAAAATCTAAGAGGTGAAGCTTGCTAATGGCACCATTCTCATCAGCTTTGGGACTCCAGATTTTATACACACCACACCACACACACACATACACAGAGACAGAGAGAGTATCCTGTTCCTTTTGCCACTCCACTTTCCAGTTGCAGGTCTCTGGCCAAACAATACCCATACAAGGTTAACATTTCTTTTGGATCCTGCCCTCTCTCCTTCTTGACAGTGGCTATTTATTGTTAGAATTTCATTTCCTCAGTGTCCTGTTCTCTCTCTTCTAAGAGTTAGTCTAGTTGATCTGGACTGAAATTAATCCATAAAAATGAGTTTAACGGGTTAATGTATTTCTCCTCTAAAAAGGCATTTGTTCAATGCAATACTGAAATAATTAATAATAAAATTCTAAGGGAGTCTAGCAGTGGGCATTTTAATATCATAATTGGCAGAGAGCAGAATCTTTGAGGGCAGAGTAGCTGTCTGCTCCTTCTTGAAGGGCTAAGTTTGGATGAGCCTTGAGGTTCTATGTTCTTCTTGATAAATTTCTCCATTTCATCATATGTTGATTGAGATACGCAAATCTCATGTGTGTGCTCCTAGCTGCCAGTCTCTCAGTTAGAGGCACAAATCTTTGTGCACCAGAATTTAACCAGGCAGACATTCATTATACCACAGAATTTTACTTGAAGCAAACACATCTTAGTACCAGCTTAAAAGATTCAAGTGCTCCAAAGGTTTTGTTAGAAGCTGGTATTACCTGAAAAGCAACACTAGGGCTTGGGTACCATCAACAGCGTTCTATAAGACGCCCAGTGACTTTTTTTTTTTGATAACTCTTTAGGTTGCAGCTTGAATGTCTTGGGCCCAGAGGCCATTTTGAAACTTCTAGAAGAAAGCAACGAAGTTCAAAGCAGAACAGAGTTAAGATAAATTAGCAAAGAGATACATTTTTACAGTTAAATTTTTTTTAAAAAAAGAAGAAACATTAGGCTAATGCACATCATCTTTATCTTAATATCTATAATAAAGATATCATGTCATCTTAATAACTATAATAAAAATGACTTACTCAACACTTAACAAATGTTCATTGATTGCCATGTGCCAAGCATGGTGCTAGGTATAAAGTTCTCAAGGCAAACAAGACAGACACAGTGGTCCCAGATCTCACAGAGGTTATTATTATCTAGCAGGAAAGGCAACCAAGCAAATACAAGAAGTATGGTAAATCTTATAATAGATGTGCAACAAGCTAATCAAGATGTATTAAGATGTGGCAGGGAAATCTAAATCCAAAAAATGAAGGTGGGGAAGGATAAACAGATGGGTCAAGGAAGGCCTTCAAGAATCTCTGGGAACTAAAAGCTTCAGTAGAGGTTAACATCTTGAGTGCAAAGTGGGTAGAGTGAAGAAATATGAGGGTGAAAAAGCAAAAGAGCCAGAGAGAAAAGGGTCATCTATGCTCTGTTAGAAGTTTTGACTTTATCCTAAGGGCCACAGG
Source organism: Homo sapiens (assembly GCF_000001405.40). NCBI lineage: Eukaryota > Metazoa > Chordata > Mammalia > Primates > Hominidae > Homo > Homo sapiens. Next base: position 56,289,244 of record NC_000018.10, read on the forward strand.
GAGTCATTGAAGGCTTTGGAACAAGCTATTAATGTGATCAGATGTGACTGTGAATGCATTACAAACAGTGCAAAAGGAGAGCCTACATTTTGCAGATATACCTGTTAACGTATATGGGGCTCTCAAGGTTGTTAAAATTATCTCAAGGAATATCTGGAAGGCATCAGATGCAAAACAGCCTGCTAGGCTACCTCAAAAGAAAAGCCAGACTCTTCTGCAGTTGGAGAGTTGAGACACGTGGAGTTCTGTCATCATCTGACTTCTCTCTTGGCAAAGGACATAATTTAGAAGCATAGAAGCTTGTCTAGATTTGAGGAAGTTCAGATTAATCTGGTTTAAAATACTCACTGTCCTGCATAACATAAGCCACTGGTCAGACCAATATTTTTCCATTCAGTCAGCAGACTCATAGCTGCATGATCCCTGGAAATGGGGCTACAGAAACAGATCATGAAATTCTTAGTGATCCTATTGTTGGATGGACTGCAATGTTGACAGATGAGCCCAGATAGCCATCGGAACATGGGCTCTGAGGGAAGGACTCACTTCTGGACTTTCTAGTGGTCCTTAGTGAATCCACACTGAAAGGTTTAGTGGCAGATGCAGCTTCTCTCTCTTTCTCTCTCTCTTTCTTTCTCTCTCTTTCTCTCTCTCTCTCAGTCTCTCTCTCTCCCTCTGTCTCTAAGCCATCCTCTTGTATACTGGCTCTGTTAACTTCATCTGACACAGTCTGCTCTGCCTTGTCCAGAAAAGTGGGGACCCAGGGTCAGGACATGCCTGTGCTTTCTGACCCCAAGTCTTCCACCCAAACCATAGGAGCTATATGACAACATTTGATAGAGCCATTGTTAATTGACTCTGTTTTCATTGTTTGTTTGATTTTATAGCTCGACTAGTCTCCAAGGAGTAAACTTTCTAGTCCACCATATGTACTATACAGTTAATTATAACACACTCCCTCTCTTACCCATGGACCCTGAACATAAGGATGTTTCTAGTCTACATATGGTGAACAATACTGTTCATGCATTCTACCCTCAATGCATTTCCTAGAGCCTTCACACAGTGGACATTAATGACTTCTTTGGGCCCCTTCTGGTTTCACCAGATGAACAAAAACGAAAATAAGCAGCTGTCATACTTTAACTTAAAAAAAAAAAAAGAAATTCATCAAGCCTACTCCAATTTGGAGAAGTATTTGGCTTAGAGAGAGAGGAATCAGCTGTACCATTGATGGCAAAAAGCTCACTTACTAATGCACCACTTCCTGACATTTAATTTGCACAATTTGTCTCTTATTATCTGGCAACTCTCAGAAGATTTTGGAAGGAGGAAAAAAAAGAAGGCAGAAACATAATAAGCATTAAGATTAAAAAGTAAGAACATAGGGGGCACCAAGTTAAGAGTCAGATAATAGTCAGACTGTGGTCTCCAGGCAAATCCACACCTGTTGACAAACCACTCCAACTAGATAACGGCCATAAAAAGGAACCAGATGGAAGGGTAACCAGAAGACAACACGCAATAATCCAGCAAAACTTATTTATGTTAGTTGCCCGGCACTTAGACACCAGAGTACTCATTCAAATCTAAACTTAGATGTGATATATCTGCGAATATTACCATACACCTAGATAGGGAAAATTGCATATTTTCCATCATAAAAAAATATCAAAATGTTTTATCTGTGCTTCTGCAATTCAAAAATGACTGAAGCTGTGAACTTCAAATTTGGCAAGATTGTAGTCCTCATTAAGGAAGGGAATGGAAGCCAATTTTGAAGAAAAATGGTTTCCTATTTTTGAGTGTAGAAGGTTTAAACAATGAGTGTTGAGCCTAAGATGAGGAACATTTACTCTGCTGTTTTAGCTTCCATTTGGATAAAGATGATTAACTGAAGAATAAAACTAGATGTGTCTCTTTTTGACTTAGAAATGAAAACACCTTTCTTGATTCCTTTTGTTTCTCTTCTGCCTTTCTAAGTCAAAGTTTAATTTGTTAATATGAAGTTAAGACATAAATTAAAGCACTTCAAAAATCAAATAATTCTGATAGTGGCTTTACGTTGGCCAGCTTAGGCCTGGAGTAGTCTATCCCCATGTGTTTTGGGAGTTAAACGGCTGTAGTGCAATATACAGGATGTGCAAGCGACTAAGAGGATACTGTTATAGGAAATGTGACTTTGGAATTTCCTGATTTGACGGCAAAGATTTCAGTCTTAACACTGTGTCAATATTGGTTTTAAATATATACATGTTTGTTTATTGGCACACACACACATACACACAGGAATCACATCCATAAAATGCACCCACATCTGTGGTTAAATACAGCAGCTGTTTAACAGCCCAGTATAACATTCTGAAAAAATTGGGACCTGAATTAAGAATCTCACATCAAGTCAAAGCTGCAGTGGGAACTGAGGTCCTATATTAGGAATGCTGTCTTGAGAGCTCTCCAAGCTTCCCCCTGACAGAATTCCTTTGCCAAATTCACAGCATGGTTCCTAAAATTTGGAATCGATAATGAAAGTCCCTGACTTTATTCCTTGCTCTAATAATTGTATTGTAATAAATAATACTTTGAAGGCCAGCTCAAAGTAGAACCGAGGAAATTTAAAGTCTGCTAAATGTGCACATTTACTCATCTCTGAAACAGCAATGAGCAAAAGAAGCAGAAACAATTCAAAGGTTCTGTTCACATAACCATAAAAGAAAAAGGCCACCCGTAAGCAAGTGGCCAACAGGTGACAGCACAGGAGCCAATGCGCACCTTTGTTAGCATTCCACACCATGGCACCTCCTTTGTCTGTGCTCCATGTATCCCATAGCCTAAGTAAAAATAATCTTGGAAATGATAGAGGAAACGTGCAACAAACCAAAATCACACCTATAAATCATCAGGACACACTAGAGCAGGTAATCTTGAAGGTAAGGCCACCCTACCCTCACTGAATGATTTTTGCCATTGACTGGGCTTATTGGAGAGCCTGCCAAGGGGTATACACACACACAAAAGCATGTAGCACTTCTGTCACCTAAAATTGCCCAAGTCTGCAGATGTGAAGATAAGACATTTCTATGACAAAACAAGTTTGCAGATTTTTGTCGCTGCTTTTCTCACTGAGGTTTCTTCTTCTCTCTGCTTATGTGCTTTATTCTTCTTCATTTTTTTTTTCTAATTTTACTTCTCAACATGTGAGTTGAATCAGTGCATCCTACCCTCACCCTACTACTGCATTTTTCTTCCAACAGCTGCACAATGAATTCCAATTTCCCTAGCCTGGCATTCGAGGTCCTCTATAATCTGATGTCATCCATTCATTATACAGGTATTCATCCATTCACATGTTCATTTATCTTTTCATTAAATTAGTATTCCTTAAGTCCAAAGTACAATAATAGGGACTAGAAATACATGAATAAGATACCCTAACTGCATCAAGGATCTTGGAGTCTAGCATGAAGCACACACAATAACGATTAATTACAATAAGGGGGAGGATAGAGCAGTGTACAAGACACCATGGAACAACAGGGAGCATTGAAGGCTGGGCGCGGTGGCTCACGTCTGTAATCCCAGCACTTTGGGAGGCCGAGGTGGGTGGATCACGAGGTCAGGAGATCGAGACCATCCTGGCTAACACGGTGAAACCCCGTCTCTACTAAAAATAAAAAAAAATTAGCCAGGCGTGGTGGCGGGCGCCTGTAGTCCCAGCTACTCGGGAGGCTGAGGCAGGAGAATGGCGTGAACCCGGTAGGCGGAGCTTGCAGTGAGCCGAGATCGCACCACGGCACTCCAGCCTGGGTGACAGAGTGAGATTCCGTCTCAAAAAAAAAAAAAACAGGGAGCATTGTGCCTAACTCTGCGGTAAAAGAGAAGCAATGTGTGAGCTAAGGTTCAAAGTCGAAGTATGAATTTACCAAAGGATATGCAAAATGAGGTGAGAGGGGCTATAACAAGAGGAGGAAACAATGTGAGTAAAGTCACTAGGTACAAAAGGAAAAGGGGGCAGGTGGGAATAGCCGGCATTTCAATATGGCGGGGCCCATGACAAGTGGAGCAGTGGTACCAGATTAATGTACAGGAGAGCAGAAAGATGGGCAGCAGCCAGCCCACACGAGGCCAGGAGAGCTCTTCTAGGAAGATTGCATTGTTTGATGGTTTGGTAGACCACTAATTTTAGTTGATTCTAGATCTTGTTAATCTAGAGAAGATTCTAGTTAACTTGTATTTTTGTAAAATCACTCATGTAGAGTCCGCAACATGGAAGATATACCTAAGGGATTCCATCCCCCTCATTTCCTACCATTCTGCCTTTTCCAAAACTTACTCTAGTTCAATTAATGCAGCAAGTAGGAACTGTTTCTCTAGCCCAGGTATGCAAGAAACAGGCCTGTCCAAATTTTCATACAAGCCCCTTTTCTTAGGGAATCCAGGTTTTCCCTCCTTTTTTCCCAAGTTTCTAAGCTTCTATAGGGTGAGTACCTGAAAAATCTGATCGTTTTTACATTTTATCTGCTCCCCACGTATGTAAGGAACCTATTCTGTGCCTTTATGGATCCCCTAAAGCACCAGACTCATAGCAGACAATGAAACTGATCTCTACTGAACGAAATTATAGCATTACTCTTCCTTCATAAAATCTTGCCCTCCACTGAAGGCTTTGCACTTAGTAATTTTGCAAGGCTTCTGGGCCAACACTTAGGATATTCATCACCTGGGGATCCTGTTAAATTCCAATTCTAATTCAATGGGCCTGAGCTTCAGCATTTATTTCTAACAAGCCCCCAAGTGATACCAATGCTGCTGGTCCATGGATCACACGTTGAGTAACAGAGATTTGCATGCTATCATGTTCTATCTCTCCTGAGATATGGCTTCTCTATTATTTGGGGAATTAAAAAAAATCATTTACTTACATAATTTAAGAATATTAGCTCTTTGAAAGCAAATAATATGTCTTTCACACCCTTGCATCTCCATGTAAAGGTTAGCTACTCAGTAACTGATAGTTTATTCCAATTGATTTGCTGACCATGTGTTCCATGCTATTTTTAAGCCCTTAACTGGCTCTCAGCTATCCTCAGAATTCAGTGCAAAAACCTTAGATCATGCCAAACATGATCATGCCAAAAACCTGAGCCTGTTCACCCTCCAGTCTGACCTCCTGCTGCAAGCCCACGTCCAGCCTTGTGTCCCTGCCATCATATGTGGGAGCCTCTCTCATTCAGACGGGGGCTCCAGGGTAAGGGTCTGACAATTATGGAAGATATGGCTCATGTAGGACTCTGAGGAGTTATAGGAAGGATGGAAAATATGTCCAACTTCATTTCTTTGCCCTCAGCTTCTAGTCTGGATAAAGGGTTATCTGTAACTGAGACACAGGCATAACCTCTCTAAGCCTCAGAAGCAATGGGAAGCTGAGCCCTGAACCACGAGGACTGGGTAGGCATTTTCCCCATTCTTGAGGTCCTTTATTCTCTCTTCCCCAATTTGCTTCATCTGTGTGCCCGCTAATTTTTGCTTTGGTTTTGTTCTTCCATCCTGTGGTCTAATTTCTAATTACTTTTCTCCCCTTATGTTTTCATCTTCAATAATTGTGGGTTTTTCTCTCAGCATATCCATTTTTGGCCTTTGTTTCTCTTCCTGCATTACTTTCTCTTTTAAGATTTCCGTTCCTATCTCTTGTAAGTGGCTTTCCTTTTGCCTCCTGTGTGCAACTGCCCTTGTGGTAATCTGGCGCATGGTTGACAAAGGCCAGCTTCCCTTTGCTGACGGGCCAAGGTGTGTTCTTAGAATTTGGCTTTTGGGTTTATTCCCCTTGTACCAGCTAACATTCTATAAAATTGGATTTTGCAATTTCATGGCCTCCCCCATGCACACCATTGAGCATGTCTTTATCTCTTTCTCCATCTTAATTAAAGCCTGTTACACTCACATGCACAAATTAAAATGAATTTTACATACATTCTCTTCATAGTTGCTGGCGATTTGCATGTGAGCCTGGAAGTGAATGCCGTAGCGGAGGACATTACAGCCTGCAGCTGCTACCTGCTCCAGACACCTACATGGAGTTTGCTGACAGGCAGCCCAAGTGGTCTCAAGGCTGGAATCCTGACAAGCACCGCACCTGCTAAGGGAATTGATTTGATCAGAGCTTGTTTAGAGGCAAAGTGACAATAATGAAGATCTCTTCCCTTATCAGGTTACAGATTGCTCTCCCATAAGCCACCGGAAATCTAAAGACTCATCAGAAACTTAAGGGAAATTCTCACCCAGCTGCTTTCTCTCCTAAATGACTTGTCTACTGTTAGACTGATGGCTTAGGGCTTGGCATGAGGATTTCATCCAGATGTGGTGGGCTTCAGGCCCCAGCACATTCTTCCGTTTAAGTGGTGGCCTGAAACCTGCCATTGGAAGACATGAGGCGAGAATGTTTCCAAGCTCTTCAGAAGATATTAGCATATTGCTCAAATGTCCTTTTGGGCAGATTTTTGTGTTCCTTATGCGTTAGATTAGCATGCTAAGAATATGCTTTCTCATGAAGACTGAGAAGAGTTGACACCTTAGACAGGAATGGCCAGGCTCTGTTAAAGAAAGATGTTTGATGAGGTAGCTCAGCATATTAGCCTGGTTCCCAATCACAGGCCCAAATAAATAAGATGGAACCCAAAGGAATTCGGCTGTTGTCTGCCAAGCAGTTTGTCAAGGCAGCAAGCTTTATTTTTCAACCACACTGTCCTCAGGTAGAGACCATGATGCTTAGTGCATGCACCATTGACCTGCAAGTGTGAGAAAACGGGGAAACATCTAGGCAAAACTGGGAAGATTGCTAGATTCAAGGGGAAGGACAGTAGGAGGAAATGCCACCATTCCTCTAGAATTTGGATGCTTGCTGTGGACTATCACTTTGGAAAGAATCTTGACAATTGTATTAATTTTATAATAGTTTTCTGATGCATTAAAACCACCTTATAATTCAACACACCACTTGCATGTAGAAATTAAAATGTATTGATCCACAACTTTCTTCATGTTTCAGTTTAAGAGTGATTAAAGGAAGGAGCTGCATTTTTTTCTTTTATATCACTTTCCTGCAAAACGGGGAGAAAACAAACACAGGTGCTTTAAAATTTTCAAGGTGCAAACTAAATTACACGATGCCCAGGAGTGTGCAGTAGCATTTCTTTGTTTGAGCATGGAATAAAAGACAGATAATTAGGAAATTGGGAGTCTATTAATTTTCCAAATTTACTCATGCAAGAACCACTGAGCTATGGTGATATTTGCTTACCTCGTCATTATGCAAAAATATATTAGCTAATTATTTTGACTAATGCAATTAAGATATGCATATTTAGCATAAACCATACAATAGAAATGTTACAGTCAGCAATTGCTGAGTTGCGCTCATGGGTAACAGAGAGGCAAAAGTCCCTGCTCAGTCTCCAATGGTAAGCCACAAGATTGCTACAACTCTGCCTGCACTGTTATTATTAGTTTGGTTGCAGTAATTAATTTTCTTTACAGCATGACTAGGTGGCACAGCTAGCAGTGGTATTAATTTTTGTTATGAGACACCTGAAGATGTCAGCTTTTGAGCAGCAATGTTTGCACCTTTAATTGCCTTAATCAGTGGAAATGCAGTATCTTTTTCAGGGATCCAATTAAGAACGCTATTGTTATTTTTCTTTTCTCTCTAACCCTTACTAATGAATACAGGAGCTAGTAAAAGTTAAGGTGATTGCAGTAACTAAGAGGGGCATCTTCTGTTCTTAATCCAGGGAACCCACTGAGCCTTGAGCTCCTGAAAGAGAGAGCAAGGCTTTCGCGGAAACTTGTTGGGCTCCATCATCCCATAAACCCTTGCAACTCAAAGTGTGGCTAGTGGACCAGGCTGGGCCCACCTTCAGACCCTCTGAATCAGAATCCGCATCTTAATAAGATGCCCAGGTGATTAGCATGCTGTAGAAAGAGATTAAGATTTTTCTCAGCTCTCATTGTACCCTGGGTCAGCTGAGGATACCAGAAAAATGAAACAGGAAAGATGCCAGAATGAAAAGGCAAAGAGAGGAAAAGGTTTGGGAAAACAGTATAATGAGGATGGGGCCCCTACCTCACAGATTTGCTCAGAGTTGGGCCCCACAAGAGTCTCTTCCTGGGCTCTGGCATGATCTTGTCTAAGAATGTCAGCCAAGGCTTCCTAACTGTATACCCCCAACTCATGCCTCATGGCACATTCTCCACAAACTCCACCAGTCGGACCTAGATCTCTGGCTGCTCTTTGCTTCTTTCTCCCTTTGTTCTTGCACATCAAGAGTTACATGGGTCATGTTTGTTACAGTCTCTGTGTTACCAAGATTTTTACTTCCAAGAACGTTTCTGTCTAACTGGCCTAGAACTTATCTTGACTGGCTCTTCTCTCTCTGTCCACCCACATTTCATGGCATCTTATCCTACTAGAAAACACTACAGGGATCTTTTATCTCCACTCCTGGCCATAAGCTGGCTCTTCAGGTTACAAACAGGTACACCTGAAATCAAGGCCCTTTCATTTGTATCTCCATCCCATGTTCAGCTCCTGAAATTTTGTGTCCGCAGAGTCAAGCTAGGCTTATTAGCTTCTAAAATTTCTTAGGCCAGCACAGCTTAGGAATAGATGAGATGGTCATTAGCAACAGTGGAAGACAGATGCCTTTGCCAGTAGAAACAGCAGGACTGGCCAGGCGCAGTGGCTCATGCCTGTAATCCCAGCACTTTGGGAGGCCGAGGTGGGTGGATAACGAGGTCAGGAGATCGAGACCATCCTGGCTAACACGGTGAAACCCCGTCTCTACTAAAAATACAAAAACAAAATTAGCCAGGTGTGGTGGCATGCGCCTGTAGTCCCAGCTACTCTGGAGGCTGAGGCAGGAGAATGGCGTGAACCTTGGAGGTGGAGCTTGCAGTGAGCCAAGATTGCACCACTGCACTCCAGCCTGGGCAACAGAGCCAGACTCTGTCTCAAAAAAAAAAAAAAAAGAAAAGAAAAGAAAAGAAAAAGAAACAGCAGGACCAACAACTGAAACAGAAGCACTCTAACTTAGAGTATAGAAATGATTACCTTAGAAGCTCCTGTAGGGGCTGAATTGTGTGCTCTCAAAAAATTCATGTTGAATTCTTAATCCAAGTACCTCAGAATGTCTCTTTATTTGAGACAGGTTCTTTACAGAGATGATTCAGTTGAAATGAGCTCATTAGGGTGGTCCCTAATCCAATATGACTGACTGGTGTCCTAACAAGAGGAAGTTTGAACACAGGCAAGTACAAGACAAGGGTGGACATGATGGGAAACACAGGGAGAAGAGGACAGCCATCTATAAGCCAAGGAGAGAGGCCTGGAGCAGATCCTTCCCTTACAGCCCACAGAAGGAACCAAACTTGCTGACACCTTCATCTTAGATTTCTGTCCCCTAGAACTGTGAGACCATGAGTGTATAAATTTGTTTAAGCCATCCAATCATGGCACTTTGTTAAGTGGGACTTAGAAACTCATACAGCTCCTTAAAAAAAAAACAAACATAAAATTTTGTCCATATATTTATCCCCTGATGGCATCTAACATCACAGCAGGTGTCACATAGTAGTTGCTCAATAAATATTCATTGAGTGAGTGAATAGATGAATAAATGGACACATGAATGAATGAATGATTTAAAGAACCATTCTCAGGTCTTTAAGTTAAGATCTGTCTTCTTTATTTGCGCCTGATTCTGTGGAATTTCTGTGATATGTGCCTTTCATTCCAAGGGGAAATGAAAGTTGATCCTTGAGCAAACACCCTAGAGAAAAGCACTGGTAGCCTTGGGCTTCTCTTTCCAGCCACAAGGGGCTTTTAGTTGGTCCTTCAAGGAGTTTCCAATGTCTCAAAGAGCATGAGTCAGCAGGGTGGCACACATATTTGTTTTCACATATTAGTCATATATTTGATAGAGTGTACAGCAAATGTATGTGATAACATAAAATATATTTTAAAATTACAAATTTGGACAGCTGTCATGACATTTGAAAGAGTACTTTAAAAATACTGCTACATCCATTTTTAAATGCCATGCCAAATGGCTAAATTTGTCAGCCTTTCCATATTTTTTATATTTGCTTGTTTGTTTTGATTTTTGAAAAGGAACTCACCAGGTAATTTCTGGGCAGCTGGTCAATAGTCATGAAAACCCTGCTTTGTAAAAGTTAAATAAAAAGTGAGTCTAAAATGAACCCTGCCCAACTCCACCCAGCGTGTCCTATTTAACAGACTACTTTGGGCAAAACGGCCAAGAAACTATCAGGAACTAAGTGGGAGATTTAGCAAACTTGAGGTTGGCAGAACAACGAGAAAGCACAATTTGGGGTTCAGGAATTGGCATTTCAAACCCTGTGTGCTTGTAATGAAGTTGACACATGCCCCATCCAAGGGAGGGACAGGGCTGCTTTGCTCCTGTCAATTTTTGCCGTGAAGAAGTACAGACCCAGACAAGGAAACCCAAAAATGCAAACTTTGAAAAAAAGTCCCATATTTTCAATTATAAATTTTTAAGAACACTGCACAAAGCCAAATGAAGCATGTCAAGAGGCCACATGTGGCCTATCACCTGTCATTTTTCAACCTTTGTACTACTCTATGTTCAAAAATATTTCAGGCCAAAGAGAAACCATACTGGTTTCTCACCACATACCTATTCTAAGGAATTTGGCTTTTGGAGCTTAGATGTGAAACTCCCTTATAAACTTATTACTTACACACACACACACACACACACACACACACGTATTTACTTGATATTATATACATATAAATGTATTTAAACAGTAAAATTGCCATAGTAGGAGAAACAAACATTGGCACAGATAATCTGCCATATTATGGGATTTTGTTTATTGTTGGTTTTTACCAGCAATTGCAAGATGTGTCTTTCTGATTTTATTCAGATCAAATGAAAGTCTTTAAATTGGTTTGCTTTGTCTGAGCTTCTAAGAGCAGAGAGGGAGGAGTTGAAGTCCACATGTGTGATGGTGGCAGAAGGAAGATTGCCCAGAACAGGAAATTTGCCTCGGATCACCAAGTGTCAACGGTAGAGTGGCAGCGTTAAGTTGTCCTTTGGAATTGAGCTAATCCTTAAACTTAGTGCATATCCAAAACATTAGCTATCTGCTGTCAGGCCTTTATGTGCCACATGCTGAGTTAATTAACACAGAGACACTTGATACTGGAACCCTCCAGAGGGGAAAACAGAAAGCAGCCCAGGCCTGAGAACAGACAGAGCCCTTGGGGGGATGGAAAACACGGGGGTCTGTTCAGGTTTTATTTCTTTCTGCTCTTGTGATACAAGGTCAATGGGTTAGTCAATCCCATTTCTGTTCCATTATTGTCTGTTGTAATTCCCAGGAAGACATCTTCTATGAATAATGAAGCCTTACTGCATTCTGAAAATTAAACATCAAAACTACCAACATTCCCTCCATGATGGTCAAAGAGAAAAGTTCGATGGAAAACCGACTTGCCCTATAAGACAGCAGCTCTCTCTTTAGAACCCATTACAAAAACAATGAGAGCAGTTTCTGCTCAAAATTTCATTCTTATAAATGTATTTATGTAGATCTATTTACATAATTCCATGGAAAACACACCCAACGTTTTCTATTTTTACACTGTGGTGAATGTGTGTGCACACACAAAGATTTCTTGTAGTCTTAGGGGCTAGATAATAGAGAAAAACATTCTATCATTCATCCACTTCTAGAATGCTGCAGGCAGGGTCTGTCTTGGAGGCTCATGCCTAGGAGTCATGGCGTAGTGTGGGATGAAATATCTTTACAGGAAAGACAAGTGGAGACTAATGGCAAGTACTTTAGTAATACTATGAAGGCAAAGAAACCTCGTCTTGACTAGCTAGTAGCAATGGGAATGGAGAAGAGGGGAATAGAAAGAGGATACCCTAAATGAGAAAGAAATAAGACTTAGAAAACAACAAAATACAAAGCCAATGTGTCGCTGAGGTTTCAGGCATGGATGCTGAGGATGTCAGTGCTGGGAGAGAGGGAGCAAGAGTGGCTGGTGGAAAAGAGATGGTCTCCCATGGTGGTTGGTCACCAGCTTTGGAATAAGACTAACAACTCTTGTTAGACATGCAACCCCAGGGAATTCCTTACACTCTTTAAACTGCTGATTCCTTAACTATATATACTATAAATGATGACATCTTCACAGGGTGGTCATAGAAGGATGAAAAGAGGAAAAGAACATATCAGAGGCACTAGAGTATAGCACTAAACAGCATTGATGGGAGTCGACAAATTTCTTTCCCCTTAATAATCATGTAGCCTTGGGAAAGTTATTCAGGGTCTCCAGGCCTCACTTTCCCCTTGTGTGAAATGAAAATGATAATAACAGTGCCTACTTCATTAGTTCGTTGTGGGGATGAAATAAGACAATATATGTAAATCACTCTAAACAGCGATTGGTATGTAGCAACTACTCAGCATGCATTAGCTATTATGAGGTAGCGTGCTTAGCACAGTACCTGGGACAAAATAAGAGCTCAATGAACAATAGTATGATCGTGCTGATGCTGACGGTGTACGTGGTTTTGACAAATAGAGCTGTAACAGGACATCAGGAAGAAAAAGGCCACTCAACCGAGATATGGAAATGAGGAAAGAGCCTCAGAATAGCAATGACAAACAACGTCCCATCCCATCCAGAGGCCTCCCAGTTCGGGAGACACAATTTGGATGGCCACACTTGTGCCATCACCCTCAGCCTTGGCACTTCTCAGACACAGGCTACAGACTGGGCATCCTAGAAACACATGAAGCACCACGGTGCAATAATGGAGAAGCAGCTCAGACTCCCCGCCACCTGCCCTGCGTGACATCACGGTGCTCACCTCTCCGCAGCCTTTCCTACAACTCACCCCACAACACCCCGTCATTGCTACTGCCATGATTTTGGCTAATTTTGCATTAGCCATGTGGACTGTCGGATGGTTTCTGCTGTATTTTGTTGCCCTTTCAAATATTTCTTAAATAGAAGATTGTACCATCTGGTGGGCAATCTGCCTGTGTGCTATCTCACCTATCCCAGCGTGGATTCCAGTCCTATTAGGGAAGGAGCGAGGGAGAGAGGAGAAGCTGTTTGCTAGCGAGCTGCCTCTGTCCGCCGGCAGCCCACTGTCACGGGTCTCCTCCCTCTCTCCTTGTGGCCTGGTTCTGCGTGCACAGCAGTCAGTTTCTGTTGCTGAGTATGTTTCTCCCACTCACTCCACACCCTGGCTATTACTCATGGGGCTGCAGGGAGCAGATGCCTCCATAGATAGACCTCTCCGACCTGTGCTGACATTTTACCTACCTAAGCATGGAATGGTGGTGCTGCTGCACTTCCAAAGTGGGAGGGAGAGTGGCCAGGACTCAGTTAAACTCCACACGCCTCCCTACATCTCTCCCTTACATCACACATCTCTACTCCACCAAGTCAAAAAATTGATTGAATGTGCTCAGAATTCTAATGGTACCTAAAGAATGAAAACACCCACAGGTATTTTATGAAAAAAAATATAGGGGTGTGTGTGTGTGTTTTTTATATATATATATCCCATACAATTTACAGAACTTAACAGAGGCTTACAGCATATTTAGCTTTTATTCTACCACAGGGAAGGGAACACCAATTGTGCATGGGGAAAATGCAGATTTGATGTTTTGGGTTTAGAAGATGATGCTATTAACAGTCACATCAAGATGTCAGAACATTATCTGGCAAACTTTTTTGGTGGGAACAAAAACAACTTCCTGCTTTTTTCCATCTGGGGGTGAGTAATAGGCTCATGGCAAATCTCAAATAATTGTCAAGTATGGCAATTGTTGAGTGGTCACCAATGGGAAAGCTATACCCCGGAGGCCTAGGGTTGGACTCCGCCCCTCCCTTCTACTACATGCGTGACCTTGGGCAAATTACATAACCTCAGTTTTCTCATCTGTAAAATGAGTGTAATAAGTAATCGTACCTACCTGACAGAGTTGTTTGATTCAAAAATCCTTATAGAGCTGCATCTATGCCAGAAACTCTTCTGAGTACCTTACAAATCAGCCAAATAGCTCCCCCTTCTCCTAAATGGAATCCTGGCACAGGCCCAGGGCCCATTCTGGAGAATGAGAGAAAGAAAGAAACTAAGAAAAAGTGACATCCAGAGAAAGCAAAAGGTCCAAAATAGCACAGAGGGAAAAAAGAGCAACCCATGGAATTATAATTAATCAGTTGGCCAATCATTCAAGTATCTCTGCAGAAGAGGTTCCCCTCGGTGGCAGACACTGTTGGTCCCTGTCTGTGTGCCCTCACCCCTAGCACTTCAGTGCAGTCCAGGCTGATTTCTAGCTGCCAACTCCTGGATTCTTTTATCAGGCCTTTTGGTGACACTATAGCCATTTTGCCTGCCCTTGCAGATGTCTGCAAGACCTAAGGAACCAACAACCCCAGGAGTGTGCTAACCAATGAGAGGCAGGATTTGGTGATTAAATACCAAGGGCACTCTCATTTCACTGACAGGTTAACTTTGAAAAATGTGTTTTTCACTGGCTCCCAGAGTTAACTGCTCCAGGTATACACAGTGGTACCTGGCTCAATAACACACCATCTATAATGCATCCTGTACTGGCTGCCTTCTTTTTATGTCTCGCCTTTGTGCTCTACTACCTTCACATCCCAAATAAATGACTTGCATGTGAATCCTTGACTCAGAGTTTAATTCTGTGGGAACTCAGAATAAGACACCCCTAACCCAATGGATAACTAATATTGGGCCAGATTGCTCTCAAATGCCAAATGTCAGAAAACCATAGTGCAACATTTCTGAATGTTTGAAGAGAATGATTTGGGACCCACGAATTTAATTTTCAGCCAAGATGTCATTCGCACGTGACAATAACAGAAATTCATTCCCAACTAAGATCTTTAAAGAGGTGAATCAAAAAAACTAAAAAATGAGGAATCTGTGATATTTGATGATTTCTAATCCTAACCAGACACCCTTCTCACTGTTCACATTTTTACTAATACTTTCTCATCTGGGAAATTTTTAAAAATCATTTTTCTTATGCTTCATGTTTTTGAACCCATTGTTCAAAGAATGACCTCCAGATTGGAATTCCTCATTTGAGCAGGTTGTGATGGTAATAAAAATAGGTGACCTATAACAAATGCTAAGAGCTAGTCACTGTGCTAAGGTGCTTCAAATGCAGTATCTCACTTAATTCTCACAATGATTTGATGAAGTGAATAGTAGTAATATCCCAAAGCAGGAAATGGAGTCACACACACATTAATTTCCCCAAGATGAAACAGCCTACAAGTGGCTAAATGAATTCAGACACTGCAGCCTGGCTTCACGATTCCTTCCCTTAATCATTATGCTCACCTATTATGATCCTTTAGGGGAATTCTCAAATAAAAGCTCCAGTTTACTCTCCTATTCTATCATGGAACATTACAAACGAGGACTGTGTTGGGGACCAGAAGATATTAGCAATTGTTTACCCCCATCTTTCATTTAAGTACTTCTAATACAATATAGGGGGAAGTTTGTGTTGACCAAAAAGATGATCTTATGCTGGGTTATAAGCTCTTTTCAAGAGGAACCTGAAAATGGCAGCCAGGCAGATGAGTGGCTCTCACTCTGGAACAGTGCTGTCCAATTGAACTTTCTGTGATGATAAAAATGTTCTAAGTCTACGCTGTCCACATGTACTGTTGAGTGCTTGAAATGTGCCTAGTGAAAACTGCAGACTTGAATGTTTAATTTACATAATTTTACTTGATAAAATTTAAATGCAAGAAGCACCATGTGGCTGAGGACGAGCAGTGTACACCACACAGCACAGCTCTAGAACCCTGAGGCTCAGGAAGGGCTTCCAAGCCCATCACCAGCATCCTCAATTTGCATGGCATCAACTACAGAAACTCTGACAGTAACAAAAGAGTGGGGCAGAAAAGTTGTTCCAACAATCATGAAATAGGAGGTGGACCCTCTCCAAAGTGCTTATGGCTTTTAGGAAACACACCCACACACTCCTGTCTCACCGATTTTCATAACTTTTCTCCCAAGATGATACTAGTGCTACCAGTAATATCTCTGGAAATGCCCCCAATGCAATGGTTTCCAAGCCACATTCTTCACCCTAGAGCCTGCCACAGTGTTTCAGAGGCTCTACAAACATTTAATTTGAATTGCACTTTTAAATATGTTTAGCCACTCTTAAACAGTAAACTAAAACATTCAAGTGATGTGAACAAATTTGATACTTCTACCTATAGCCTGATGCTATCAGGTTAATTTGTTTTTATGCCAACTTTATAGACCCTCTTCTGTGGTCATCTCCTGGGCAATGGAGAATATTCTAAAGTTACAAAGTAAAATGTCATTACAAAACAAAAACCTTACCATTTCCCTCTACTTACATGTATGAATCAGAATTTTCTCCATACTTTGTAACCAAAACAAACAAAAAAACATAAGTAGAGAGGGAGGAATTGGGTAATGAGGCTCTTATAATGTGGCAGCAGTTATCACAATTTCAACTTTTTTGTGCAACCAAACATCCTGAGAATTCTCTTTGAGTGCCTTTTAAATAAATTAATTTTAAAATTATACTTGCATAATTTGTAAATTACAAAACAAATTTGAGGTATTCAAATGTTGCTTTTGCTACTTTGTATACTTATGTGCCAAGTAATGTTTTATTTGGAAAATAAAATGTTTCATTGCTTAACGAAAGAGTTTGAAAACCAATAGGTATAAAGATGAGGTGTCCAGTAAATGCTAAGTGGACCACCTCACTTCTCTATTGAAGGATTCTTTCCATTCACCCCTCTTGAGGTATGTCTGTCCTGGTTGAGGTAGGATAGAGAAGTGATAATATATTAAATTTCAACCCCACTAGGAGACAGGCCATGTGATACTAATTAGCAACATCTTGTCAGTGATGCTGAATCCAAGCATGGAGGACTTTATTTGACCTTATAAAGAGTCTGACTGTGTGTGGCCATTCAGCATCTTCAGGAAGGGTGCATCTTAAATACTAGCAGACTATTACTAAAAATCAACAGCACCCACCCCATGGACAGAGTGCCGAAATGCCTGTGAGTTGTTGCTAGGAGAAGGACTTTGTCTAACGATGCCTCTCTCTCATCCTGCTTATTTCTACTTCCTTACCTTTAGAACTAATTTTCCTCTCGGGACCATACCCAATTTCAGTGCCTGCCTGAAATTTTTACATTGATGAATAACTGTGACAATTGTTGTTGCATTTTTAA
This sequence comes from Homo sapiens, assembly GCF_000001405.40. Classification (NCBI taxonomy): domain Eukaryota; kingdom Metazoa; phylum Chordata; class Mammalia; order Primates; family Hominidae; genus Homo; species Homo sapiens. Next base: position 56,306,585 of record NC_000018.10, read on the forward strand.
ACATACACAAAAAGTGAGGCCAGCAACATTGAGACTGCAGTTGGATATCAATATTTTAAAGTACTACACGTTCCAACCGGGACTTCATCTGGTGGATGTCTGTGAAAATCAAGAACTGATTGGAAAATGCCACTGGTAAAGAACTTGAGAGTGAGGATCCAGAAGGATGCAATAGAGACCCCCAGGAGGGAAATACACTTAACTATGGTTCATCTGTGTGAGCAAACCCTCCAACAGGATTATTTCTTCTGCTTATTTGATCCTTGTCCACACTTGCTTATTGTAGGATAATTTCTCTAACCACCTTTTCTCCCACAACGCCCTGAAAAAAAAGAAAAAGGGAAAAAAGCCTGCTTTATTTTACAGCTAATTTGCTGTAAGCACATAGCCCAGCTGCTCACAATGAAGTAAAAGAGGAAATGGGAACAGAGGGAACCTTCTAATGAAGGAGGGTGGGGGAGCAGCAAGGAGATGGAAGAATAGGCTAGGTGCTATTTGTATGATTAAAGGCAAGCAAAAAAACAGGCATAAGCAGATATGTTCATCTTGAGCCTAGGAAGAGAGAAAATAAAAAATAAAAATTACTGAAGAGCAAATAATTTGTTCAATATGGTGTTTTAACTGGCCAAAAGAAATCTCTCCCACCTTTCTGTTATATGAAGTTGTGTTTCGGATGTTGCTCTTGAATGTGTGTTATTATTGGTCCATTGTTTGTAGACAGGAGATAATTCTAAAATCAGATATTAAAATTTGCAATTCTGTAAGGAAGGAAAGTACAGAGAGGTGGATTTGATTGATACAATGCAGAAAGATTTAAATGAAATAATTTAGGGACCATTGGGAAAATGGCATCCTAAATTTCTGTGTTAGCAGGCTGCAAGCTTCGTTCTTACAAAATATTTATTTTTAAAAAATAGTAATGATCACATTCTTTATTGCATCCTCCATCCTCTCCTCTTTCTGCCAACTCAGCATTCACACCCTCCCCATCAGCAAGACCTCCCCTGACTCTTTCCCCTGGAGACCACATCAGAAGGGATCATGTTTTATACTTGTGTACTTTTTCAAGCTGCAGAATATGATATTCATATGGAAATGAATTTTCTGAAATTTTAGCCCTCGTTCTTTAATAGTGTAACCCGTTGTGGGGGGAGGGGAAGGACAGCTTATGAGCCAGAGGAGAAAATAAATAGGTTTAATATTCAGCTTTATATAAATGTACTGAATTGGTCTGTATGATAATAGTGCCAAAATAATTAATTTGAGTCTGGCCCTTCTCATTTGTTAGGGAGAGCAGGTTGCTGTGGTCTAAGGCCTCTGTGAAACCATAAAAGAATCGGCCCATCATCACTTTCAGCTCAGGGCTCCTCTTGTGTCTTCCCCTGGTGAAGGCTGAGGCCTCATTTCCTCTGGCCCAGCTGGGGGTTCTGTTTGGCTGGCCTCAGAATCCTCATTCTGAGAATTGTTTCAGCACCAAGGGAGCTTCTTGTCCCACCTCATATCCTGTAGCATTTTTTTTTTTTTTTTTTTGCCTGCTGATCTTCAGAAGAAACTAACATTTGTAGTTGCTATTTGATCACAGTGAAAAGGAATTCCTCATGCCTAGGTTTTAATTCCACTTAGTAACCTGGAATAATGTTTTAAACCTCATGGTTGCTGACAACTCTTGCAGAACACTAGTGAACAGAGCACTCACCTTGGCACAACGAGATAAGAAAAAGTCCCCTGAAATCTGAAAATAAATAATAGAAAACTAACATGGACTCTATAAAACTAATACAGCTTTGGGCAGCCTACATGCCCAAATAGACACTCGCAAATCGGCATACAGGACATCCCTAGATCCAAGTCCAGGAATGAGAAAATAATACAATAATTTTTAAAAAGCCAAAAATATACTTCTCTTAGATTTGAAAAACTTTGAGCTTTCACAATGGAAATTTATTTTTAAAGAACAGTCATTGATGGAGAAGAGGGAAAGACTAAAACTTGTTTTGGAGCTTAATAAAATGTAGATGGGGGGTCAGGAGAAGGATAAGTTATTCTGTTTTTTTAGTTTGCTGTCTATAATTTTCTTGTTTTGTTTCTTTTCTTTTCTTTTTTCTTTTCTTTTTTTCTTTTTTTTGAGACGGAGTTTCTCTCTGTTGCCCAGGCTGCAGTGAAGTGACACAATCTCAGCTCACTGCAACCTCTGCCTCCAGGTTTCAAGTGATTCCCTTGCCTCAGCCTCCTGAGTAGCTGGGACTACAGGTGCCAGCCACCACATTCAGCTGATTTTTGTGTTTTTGGTAGAGATGAGGTTTCACCATGTTGGCCAGGCTGGTCCCAAACTCTTGACCTCAGGTGATCCACCCGACTCGGACTCCCAAAGTGCTAGGATTACAGGCGTGAGCCACTGCACCTGGCTGCTGTCTAATTTTCTCAGCACTCGGGCACCTGAAACTCTCTCAGTGTACTTGCCCAAATGGTAATGGACCCCTTCTATATACATGAGCAGGAGAGCTGGAAAAATGCTACAATCTAATAAGGAAGGGGACAACAGAGCACTAGATAACTGTGAAAGGAATGAGGAATTGCTCTCTGTAATATCAGGGAGTGATCTCTAGGATATATTTTATTGAGTGAAAAAAGTTAAGTGAAGAAAAGGGCAGTTGGCGACTGTGTATCTAAGTAATGGGAAGAGGAAATGTAGCTATAAATAACTATACAGTCATGCATCACTTGATGACAGAGATGTGTTCTGAGAAACACATCATAGGCTATTTTGTCGTTGTGTGAACATCATAGAGTACACTTACACAAACCTAGATGGTATATATCTTTTTATGTGTATATATTTTTTCATATGGAAATCCAAATGTACTAGCACAATGGTGCTGAATATCAGTTATTTCCCCTAGCAATGCCAATATCAAGTGCCATGTATCAACTTGTTACATGTGTTCCCTTATACTCTTACGGGACTACCATCATATATGCAGTCCACTGTTGACCTCAACGCCATTATTCAGGACATGAGATTAATAAATGTACATATATGTGTAAATAAATATTATTGTCATCAGAGGTGATTTTGCCTCCCAGGGGATATTTGGCAATGTCTGGAGGCATTTTGAATTATCACCACTAAGGGAAGATACCTTAGTTGTGATACCTTGTGCTTATATCTTGTTTTGAAGGTTAGACTTTGAAATCATGTAAATATTTTACATAATTACCATGAAAATTAACTTGTAAACAGAAAAATCATAAACAAAATTAAACATATGAATCCATGTTTGACCAGGTAGCATAACCACATGGAGAGGAATCAGTGACTTTAAAACACAGATGTTGACCATACAGCCTAATGGGAAAAACTCTAAAGACAAAAGAGCTGCAAAATTATCTTAATCTCATTTCAGCCATACCTTTTATGACTGTCTTGGTATTTTGTTCTAAAACTGTTTTGTGTATATTACAGGATAAAATGACCAATTATTTGGTGTTATTGAAAATCAGGATGTAGGTATAAGAGAAAGAGATACAGACATAATAGAGAAGGTAAGTAAAAATACTTTAGTCCTGAATTTGCATTGGAAAAATCTGTATAAAAATCACAGTGTACTAAAAGATGTTTATTTTCTGCCTCTGCCCACTGAAAAGGCCTAGAAATTATAATAAGCATAGCACCAATGTGCATCCTTAGACATGCAAATTATGATCTCTAGATCCCATGTTCTGGGAGAAATAGGTGATTTCAGGTCTGAGGAAAAAATATACAAGATAAGGGTGGAACATTCTGTCATAGCAGAAATCAAGGAAGTTATTAAAGCTACTACTGTTATGTTAAAAAGTTCAAAAGCCAACTTGAAGAGCCTCCACTGGCCAACCTTGGCACAATTAGAACATAAATAATAGTTACAATAGATTGAAACATTTCAAAAATATTTAATTCCATGAATTTATATTTTGTCAAAATATGAACTTTGCAGAATACTAAAGAACCAAAGTATTATTGCTTCATTTCCTTTGCATAATACTAAAGAACCAATGAATCGCTCTGGAAACTAATAAATAGCAAAACATTAAGCATTCATACTGGTATTCCTATGTAAACGGCACATCTGGGTAGCCAAATAGTTCATGAAGTAAAGTTTCTCTCTGTAGATATATTTCAGATAATTATTAATTAACAAAGTAACATACAACTAGAATATTGTTGTCCCTAGTGAATCAATTATAATTACAGACAATTGAAAAACTTCAGCAGATATTTGAAGCTATTAAAGACATTCGTAATTCCTTAGGTTGATAATGATATTATTAGGTTTTTTTCTTTAAAAGTCCTCTATTTTAGAGTTTCATGCTAAAATGTTTATGGAAGAAATATGTGATGTTAGTGATTTGTTCAGAAATAATCCATTGAGGGGAATGGGTACACACAGTTGAAACAAACTTGGCCAATATTGATAATCACTGGAAGTCAGTGATGAGTATTTATGGGTTTGTTACACTTGTCTCTCCATTTTCATATAAAATTTGAAATTTTTATGATGAAATGTTCTTGAAAACTTAAAAATGAATAAAAGTTTTAAAAAGGAATGGATGTCCCTTAATTTCTCAATATATCAGGAATATTTTACAGCAGTCTTTCTGATGAAGATGTGATTGCAGAAAACATACTTTGGGAACATATTTTGTAAGAGTCTTAAGAACATTATCAAAGAAGTTAGCTTCCTCTCCACTCTGCAGACCTTATGCCCACCCATCCTAACCCCATAAAGAATCTTAGTAAGAAGTTATCTTCCTTCCCCATGCAGGTAACTTCCCATTCACCCTGGGAACATCTCATTCTGATGGATGCTACAAAGAAGATAATGTCAGCTAACACTTACTGAACACCTTTTATGTTTTAGGCCCTTTACATACATTTGTTTGAATCTTTACAACAGGGAGGGCATTACTACGCCCATTTCACAGATGAAGAAAGGAAGGCTTAATAATAAGTGAAATCACTTGCTCATGGCCACACAGCTAAGAATCTTTTTTTTTTTTTTTAAATGGAGTTTCACTCTTGTCACCTGGGCTGGAGTACAATGGCATAATCTCAGCTCACTGCAACCTCCACCTCCCAGGTTCAAGCGCGTCTCCTGCCTCAGCCTCCCGAGTAGCTGGGATTGATTACAGGCATGCGCCACCATGCTTGGCTAATTTTGTATTTTTAGTAGAGACGGGGTTTCTTCATGTTGGTCAGGCTGGTCTTGAACTCCCGACCTCAGGTGATCTGCCCGCCTCGGCCTCCCAAAGTGCTGGGAAAACAGGCATGAGCCACAGCACCCGGCCACTAAGAAGCATTTCATGCAGAATTTCCGCAGGGATCTTTCAGACTTCGAAGACTGCACTGCCACCTGCACCATAATGAACCCATACTTAATTGTGCTGTTTGGGCTAAATTTCTCCTGTCCCCAAGCCCATAAAACTATTTTATCATTTCCTATGCTGACAATCATGAAACTTAAGTGTGCATCAGAGTTACCCAGGGAGTTTGTAGATTCCTGGGCAGAATCAGAATCAGAATCAGAAGAGATTCTGACTTCATGGATCTAGAAACAGGGCCAAGGAGTCTGCATTTAGCAAGAGATTCTGATGGAGATGGTCTGAGAACAAAGCTTGGAAGAACACTCCTCAAACCCATCACACTCTTCAACTTCAAACATGTTATAATATGATCCTAGACTCTTTGGTTCCTGGGAATACATGACTTTAAATGAGTAGATAGTTACTCAACTTCTTCAGAAAGTCTTTTTGTCCCGTTCTCTCTTCCCCCAGAATAACATATAATCATCATTATCATCCTAGTAATAACGAGTGCACTAGAACCAATGTTCTGAGACATATAAAGGCCATGCCACCATTCACATGCCTTTCTTGAGACTGGCCACAATGAGTTGAATTTAAAATTACAGAAGCTCAGGGTTGTAATTTACCATTAAGATGGGCAGTTTAATCCTTTCAGTTCAGCTAAATATCTATCATAACTGAACGTTCCCCAAGTGCCAGGTATTGTAACACAAAGATGAACAGGACACAGGCCTTCCTTTGGAAACTTTGTTTAGAAGTTTCTCAGTGATCATGACCTAAGCTGAGCTTTGAAGTCAGCTACACAGTAGAGAGGGGAATTTCTCTGGTGAACACACAAAGCAGCAAAGCCCCAGAGAGGCCCGGTGACCTGCCCATGGTCATGCAGCTATCTTGTTTCAAGCAGCTCACTGTAAGAATGAGCTCAGTTTCTTAAAGATGTACAATGTCGAGGCCTGGAGGAATTAAATAATTTACCTGAGAGCCTTCAAGACTTCTGCAGCCTCCCCCAGGGACTCCAGTTTACAGTACATAACTCTTCCCACAATCCAATTCATTTTTGCTTAGGATTTATCAGCCACAAAAATGGGTTTAACCTTTTGAGCTTCAGTTTGGCACCTCCTGCATTTCCACCCTCAAATGCTGTCTCCCACCCCATCTGGCTGTGGCAAGACTCCTTCAAAGACCAGACATCTCTAAAATTAGGCATCGGCTGAGATTTATGCTGATTCTCTTGATTCAGTCCAGACTTGTCAACTTCCCTGGAAGCAAGCAGAATGTTCCATAAATTACTGCAGCCTTTTACCCACCAAACTATTTTTAAAGGGTGGTCTATATCAAATGCAATTAAATCTGAATTGTTGCCTCAATAACTCTGCCTTCTTTCTTTTCCCATTCGCTTATATGCTCAAGTGTATTCAGCTTGCAATACATTAAGAGCTCAGTTCATCACTTTTGTCAGCCTCTGGAGAAATGCTAACAGCAGTGGCACTTTCTGTCTCCCGTGGTGTGGAAACAAAGTCTCAGGACACCTCATCTTAACATGCACTCTGGTTACACATGTCACACTGATTCTGAGTCCAGAAAATGTTCTGGTGCTAATTAACAGAGATGCCCAAGGAATTAAACTCAGAGGAAGTTCTAGGACCCAAGGGCTCAACCAGGTCTTAATGTCTCCATCAGTTTCAAGGATACTCACTTGCACTCTGGTGAGTCCCCCATTACCCGACTATGATGTAGCTACTGGACTCCATGCCTGCCCTGAACTAAGCCTCGATTTCCCACCTCTCCGGAGTTCTTCCCTGCACAGGTAGAAGTGAGGCAATGCTGAAGGAGGGGTCCTGAAAGCCCTTTCCCCTTTCTCCCCTGCAATCATCCCAAAAGGCAGAGAATAACTAGGATTACATCTCAATGAGAGAGGATGTGTTTAAGGAGGCATCTGAGTCCATTTTTGTTGTTTGCTGGCAGCTTTTAAACTTCATGCCTCCCTCATCCAGTGGTGCCCCACATCTGAGCAAGCTGATAAGAAAGTTGGGGTGCTCCCTCTCTGGACTCCTGGGAACTCTCACCCCAGCCCCACCCATTAACCACAATAAAAACACAAGCCAGTCTCCTTTCCTTGCTCAATGACTTGGGAAGTCACTTCAGACTTCTCTGTGTTGCCTGCCTTGCTCTTCCAAGAGACCTCAATTATGTAAGTAATAAATTGTTCGTATCCTCTTGGTGTGCATGAGGCATCATCGATCTTGATATCCAGACCAAATTTTAGGCGGGGGCCCATCTGCTTCTGCAGGTAGCCAGAACAATATGTTTTTCCTCCCTGTTGAGACCACAGTCCCTCCAAAGCAGGTCAGTAAAAGAAGCAAAGACCCTGGGGCCTCCCTCACTATGGCTGGAAACCTGAACGCGTCCCCCCATCTGGCTGATGCCTGAAGAGGCCTTGGGACACTGTTGCTCCTGCAACACATTGGCCAGAGACCAAACTCTTGCCCTGGCTATAACCACTTCAGCAATTATCCACCTAAGTCCTGCCACTTAATTTTTCTCTAAGTTGGAAACCATCTATATACCACATCTCTCTCTCCTGCCACCTCCAGCCCAGCCCTGTGACTAGCTCAGTGTGAATTCATAAGATGTCCTTTCTTGAGATACTTTATTGCCATCTACCAGAAAAAAGTGGTAATAGCTATTGAAATCTGTGGTTATTGAAACACGAGTGGCTCCCCCTGGAGTTGTGCAATTCATAATCTACAAAACCATAAGCAGAGGCCCTGTTCCCACCAAAGCTATTCCTAGTCCTTTCCTGAATTTCAGCAGAAACATGAGCTCATCCCAAACAAGGCAGCCTGGCAGATTCCAGCTTTCTTGCCACGTCAATGTCAGCAGCCCTCATATTGGAGGAAGGTGGCTGATGGTATACCTTCTGCATCCCTTGACTGACAGTTCATCGTCCCTTAGTTCTTCTCCATGGAAACTACTGGTGTTTTCAGTGGGACAATTCTTTGTTGTATGTGACTGTCCCTTGCACTGTGGGACATTTGACACAGCAGCAACCAGGCACAAATACTAGGTGGCTAGGGAATGCCAGTTACTGTGGAAACCCAAAGCATCCCCTCACACATTGCCAAATGTGCATTAAGGTGATGGTGCCCCCTGCCCTAACAGTTGAGGAGCACATGGTAATCTCTTTGTATCTGCCTCTGCCTCTAGACTATGCTCTTTAGGAGGGCAGGCATTTTACTTTCCCCAAATCTACCTCCCTACTGCCTAAGCACAGTGCCTCACTAGAGTACCTGTCATTTTACCTGAATTGAAAAAGAGCCCTATAGGACTGGCCAGGAGAATTAGCAAATCAGGACATACACCTGTGTGGAGGGCAACTCACACTCTCCTCACCTCACTTGCTAGGAAACAGCCCAAGCTAGCTCACCTCTACCAAAACTCAGACTGCCTTGTTCTTTAAACTCTCCTCTTGACTGGAGTGCATCTGCCTATGCCCTTTGGTGTACTTGTCACCCACAGCAGAAGCGTTGATCACTATAGCCTCTCTCATTCTCTCAATAATTAGTAACAGGTTGCCTTTTCCTCATGCCTAGGGAATTGGATAGCAAGTGTCTCCTGCATGGAAAAGGAAGAATAAGATAAAGCATGTGCTGACAAATAGAAATAGTGAATCACTCATTTAAAAAAAATGTGGGGAGGTGCTGAATCAGGATTTCTGCCTTACATTCTATTGCAGTTGTACAAAGTTCTTCAAGGGATTTCTATATTTATTATCTCAAAAACCTGTGTTGAATAGGTAGGGCTGGCAGAGGAGGGTTATTTTTCTACCCATCATCCTCGTTCCTTGCTAACTGACCCTAGTTTTGTTCAGATGCCCATTCTCAAGAGAAATGACCCTATTCCTACCTCGGGGGTAAATCTAAGCCAGAGATTGTCCAAGTACAGCCCAAGGCCAAATCTTCTGCTGTGTCACCTGTTTTTGCATGGCCTGGAGCTAGGAATGTGTGATGGTTCATTTTATGTGTCAACTTGCCTGGGCCATGGTGCTCAGATATTTGGTCAAACATTTTTCTGGAGGTTTCGGTGCAGGTGTTTTTGGATGAGATTAATATTTAAATTAGTGGACTTTGAATAAAGCAGATTATCCTCCGTAATACAGGGGAGGCTTATGCAATCAGTTGAAGGCCCAAATAGAACAAAAGACTCCCCTCCCCTGAGCAAGAGGGAAATCCATCAGTAGACAGCCTTTGGAATTGGACTGCAACATGACTTCTTCCCTGGGTCTCCAGCCCGCCAATCCACCCTGCAGATTTTGGACATGCCAGCCCTCCACAACTGCATGAGCTAATTTTTAAAGTCTCTCTCTATATATAGACACATTGGCTTTGGTTCTCTGGAAAACACGGACACCAGAATGGTCTTTACATTTTAAAATGGTTATATTTTAAATGGTTACATAAGCACCCATATTAATGTCCTCAATTTTGTCTCATGGCCAGCAAAACCTAAACTATTTACCAGCTGGCCCTTTAAGAAAGTTTGCTGAAGTTGATGTCTGTTCAAAGCCAATCATCTCTGTTCTATTCTCTTTGCTAGTGATTAGCTTACAGATGGCATCTGTCTGGCCAGTCCGATAAGAGGGAAGTTCTTCTAGGGGGCTAGGGGAAAGGCTTATTTGCTTAGAAGAAGGAATAATAAGATATGAGGGTTGGTGCTGCTGCAGTCATTCTGCAGGCATGAGGTGAGCCTGAGCACATGGTCACCTCACTGGAGATACCAAACAGAAAGATGTAAAGGATTGCTGATGATATCATGGAGCTCTAGAATTAATACTCTGTCTCATTGCTTCTTATTGTGTCAAACAATGAACTGCCTTAGTGTTTCCATTTCCTTGAGGCAGAGTTCTTGTTACTTGCAGCTAAACACATCCTGATACTGCAGCTGGAAAGCGAGGGCCAAAGAGGTTTCACTCTTCTTGTTGGTTCCCCCAGATAGTGAGTGATAGACCTGGAACTAGAAGACTGGCTGCTCTAAACTGAGAACACTTAAGTTTCTGGTTAGACAAAGTGTAGTGTTTTATGAATGAACTGAGACTAGCTAGGTAGATTCAAGTGATTTCATTCTAGCTGGCGTTTTGAGGGAACTGTTTCATAACAAAGACTATACCCACCACCCACCTTTCTTGCATTTACTTTATTTTTTGTTAAATATTTAAGGGACCAATCATTGATATTTTCCCAAGAAAAAAGAGTCTTAGAAAAATACCAACAGTACAGTACACATACAAACAGGAGGAAATCTGTATCCCTGGCCCGGCCATTCTGGGTTTTTGTTGTAGTTGCTCTTTGTTTGTTTGTTTATTTTTTTTCATTACTAGGACAAAGAGTTTAATTTCACTAGCTACTACTGTGTGAATGTTCTAACAGGAGAGATTTTCTTCCTTGTTCTCTTATACTATGCAAATAGTCATTTTTATGCTACAAGGTCATACGCTTGCCAGCTGGTTAACCTTCACTGCGGCCCCTCTAGTGGTCCCTGTTCCTATTGTGCCCATTTCACAGATGGAACAAAAGAGGTTAAATGACTCTCCCCAGACTACAAAGTATAGCTCACTGCAGCCAATATCACATAGAGAATAGAGATGATTACTGCATCTCTCAAGCCGAAGCTCTCTTTTGGGTGCTGTTCCTCAGATAATTGCCTCCTGCCCCCCCAATATGTGTGTCTATAAGTGTGTCACCTCACTGAGGATACCAAACAGAAAGATAAACAGAAAGATGGAAAGGATCGCCCATGATATCATGGAGCTCTAGAATTAATACTCTGTCTCATTGCTTCTTGTTGTGTCAAACAATGAATTGCCTTAATGTTTCCAATACTTTGAGTGAGAGTTCTTGCTACTTGCAGCTAAACACATCCTGATACTGCAGCTGGAAAGCGAGGGCCAGAGAGGTTTCATTTTTCTTGTTGGTGTCCCCAGATAGTAAGTGATAGACCCGGAACAAGAATACTGGCTGCTTTAAACTAAGAACGCTTAAGTTTCTAGTTAGACAAAGTGTCTAACCCCTCACCAGCAGTGTAGGGATTCACTGCAGCTACTCTCTGCCTGTGGTCTTCTACATGTAAATCTGGGTTCCTCACACAGACTCACCTTTCCTTTGGGGATCTGATTAATTCTCAGACATTTTTAAAGCCCAGGAACTAATGGAGAACCAGAAAAATAATTACCATCTGCCCAGTTTACAGTCATGGTTTTGTTTTATTTCAATTCATCTCAGAATCCTGTGATTTTGAGTTGTGTTCAAATTAAATCTATTCTTTAGAATTATGGACCCACATGTAAAGAACCATAGACCTCAACATTAATCCTGTCCAATTACTCCATCTTTGCTTCAGAACATTCAGAGCTCATTGCCAGAAAACTCTTCCAAACACTGGGACAAAATTTTTCTTCCTGCCTCCTTTACCCATAGGTTGTAGTTCTGCCTGCTGGTGCCTTCCTGAACAAATACATTTCCTCTTTCACAAGCCAATCCCTCAGATATTTTAAGACTGCTACCTTGTAACCCAGAATTTTCTCTTCCCCCTGCTAAACATCCTCATTTCCCTTAGCTGTAAAGCCAGGAGCCTGGGTCCAAATCTGCTCAGGAATCTGACCAGTCTTCTCTATAAGTGGGCTCCAGGAATTATGAGAAACTTAATTGAACATGAATCTTCCCAAACTTCCCTCAAACTCATGTGTTTTGTAAATTTCCATTGAACAGCACTTTCTTTTTTGGGCTTATTCCCTATGACCCTTTGGAAAGATATGAACTTAATTGGGTTCCTATAATTCCATTTATTTGGGTCTTTTTTTCCTAGAAAATATTTGCTTCCCAGTAAAAATCAGAATAGGACCAATTTGCTACACCAAGGAGCCCAGTTTTCTTGCTAACATCATTAGCAATGGGGCTGTTTTGATAAAGGCCAATTTTATCTACAATTAACACCCAGCATCTGATTTCAGATGCAAGCTAAATGTTGTCACATCTATTTAAAAATACATGAATGTCCCATTAATATGTGTGAACCTCTTATGAGTAAACTCAAAATTTCCCTGTGGCAAAGGAAGGTGATCAAAAGCCTCAGAGAGCAATTTCAATCAATACCAAGAATGAATAATATTGCCTTAATCTTAAAAGAGTCCCTGTAACCAGAGTCACTGAAGGCACAGCCTCTTGGTGAAGATTTCAAACAATAACTAATCAATCAACAATAATTTTTGAGGACCTACTTTGTGCAATGCAAAATAATAACTTGGCCTGGACACAGAACATCAAGACTGACACAAGCCTACCCTGGATTTTGCCATCTGGTTGTGGAGCTAAGACAACACATCTGCCTTGGCACCAATGAGGCCACACCTACTAAGTACCAACACATGGAGCAGATCATCAGTGCAGAAGCCTTGTAGATGTCCCCATTTACAGCTAACATGTGAGTGCTTGCTATATGCTCACAGGGCTATGGACATTATTTCCTTTACACACTCCAGCAGCTTGACTTGGGAGAGAAGTGAGTCAATGCAAGATGGTGACTCTCCGTCAGATCTTCCTGGAATGGGAGAGGATAAGACCCCAAACCAAACTGTAGGGTGAAAAACTTCCCCTTGTGAGTAGCTCCCAGAGCTAAACAGATGACACTGAGCCCCAAACATCTGAGCAGAGTGGAGAAGGGAAAGGAGGAGAGGAGGCCCAGCAGGGTGCTGTGGGCAGAGGGACTGCGGTGGCATCAGGCTGGAAAGTGCCTGGGGGAGATGACCCCTGAGACTGTTGAAAGTGAGGGCAATGTCCTTGGCAGAATGGGAGGTCAGGGCCCTGCGCTCCCACTCCAAAAGTCATGCCCCCTCCCAATCCCATCCTTCTGAACTCCAGAACCAGAGTGAGAAGTGACCTTGATATTCTTCTACCAGCCCTCCATTTTGAAGCTGAGGACATCATAGTCCAAGAAAATGAAATAATGTGGGCATATCACCTTGATGCTTCTCACTTAGACTGGGATTAAGCGCAGGCTTCTAATTCTCAGTCCGATCCCTTTCCACTGAATCACACTCTCTCCCAAACCAGGTTTCTCTTCAGCATTTCCCATCTTCTCCTCCCCTTTCTCTCAGTTTCTCACATACAGGAGGGCTTGTGGTGCCCTGTCTACACACTGAAATCAATAGCACCTTACACAAAAGCCCGTTAGACTGCCATGACTCAAAACTTACATGGGAAGGGAAATAAGCTTTGTGCATAAGTAGCTATAAATAAAAGCCCAAAACTAGTGAAAGTTTCTAGATCTCCTTTTTATTTAAATGTTCCTCATTTATATGCAACCAATTCACAAAAGCCCACACACCAATCTGTAATGCACCTGGTATTGTGAGAAATTGCCAGTTTGGTAGTGTCATGTTTTTTCCCCCCACAATAAAAACTGCACAAGTTCATGTCCTTAGGGTGCAACAATCTCTTTTCCTTTTTTTTTAAATGACTCCCCAAAACAAGTAGGTTTACAAAATATAACAAATGAAATAGGTTCTAGTCCCAGTCTTCTACCAACACCCATCCAGGTATATTTTAGAGTGAGGATATCTAATAGCTCTCTCTGATGTGGCTTTGTACCACACTCGTACCAAACCACAATCTGTGTTAGCCTGCAAGAGCTGCCATAACAAAGTGCCAAAGACTGAGTGGCTTAAACACAGACATTTATTTTCTCATTGTTCTGGAGGCTGGAAGTCTGAAATTAAGGTGTCAGTAGGGATAGGATCTTCTGAGACCTCTCTCCTTGGCTTGTAGAGGGTTGTCTTCTCCCTGTGTCTTCAACTGGTCTTCTGTTTGTGTGCATCTGCATCCTAATCTTCTCTCCTTATAAGGGCACCAGTTATACTGGATTACAGCCTACCCTGCTGATCTTTTTCTAACTTAATTACCTCTTTAAAGACCCTATCTCCAAATACAGCCATATTCCGAGGTGCTGGGAGTTTGGACTTCAACATATGAATTTGAAAGGAGCACGCTTCAGCCCATAACACTCAGGCCTCTGACTACCCCCAAATTCATGTCCTCACATGCAAAATACATTCAACCCATACCAACAGCCCTGAATATCTTAACCCTTTTCACCATCAACTCAAAGGACTCTACCTAGAGCAGCTTTTAGGGCTGGCATTTGAAGAGGCAGAGAGGAATTAAAATAATGTGCCATTTCTCATCTGGGACTGGAGTTTAGGCCTGGCTTCCAGCACCAGGAGAGAGGCTTTGGCTAACAGGGTTATTTCCGCTGGAGAGATGTGGGACTGTCCTGTGGGGTTCTGCAACTCTGAACACTTTCAGAAAGGAGTCTGTTTCTCCTGAATCACTGCACAAAAGCTTCAAGGGTGAAGTGGTAAAACGTCTATGGAGAATGCATCTCCTATTGCCTCTTGTTCAAAAGGAACTGATCTTCTCTCTTCTAGGAAAGGAATACAGAGAGCTGATTCAGCTTACCAAGGGTAAAAATAGCTAAGTGGACAGCTTGAGCGAAACTTAGCAGTTCACCTGTTTTTCCTGTTATCGACTGCAGAAGAAAGTGTATCAAGGACTGCAAAGTTAGAAGCCACTGTAAAATCAGGGCTCTGTGTAAAAACCCTCTATCTGAAATTGAGAAGAGATGGCAGGCTGAAAATAGACAGCTGTTTCAGATGCTTCTCCTTGAACAGCTGCCAGGGGACCAGCAGTCAACAGGAAGCCTCGATGGCACTAGTTCGGGGAACGCACTGTAGCACGTGGCTGTCAGTGGGATTCCATCAGATCACACCCAAGGGGAAAAGGCTCGGGCTTCCCGTCATCATTTGCCAACTTTCCAAAGTTCAGTGTTATTTTCAGGCTAGGCCAAAGTGTAGTTGTGGGTCAAGTTCATTTTTGGTGGTGCAGGGCTGGGAACCTTTTCCATAAAGATCCACTTACTTAGACATCTATGACTTCTGAACTCTAACATTTGAATTTACAATTGAGTCCTTCAGCCCGGCTGACCATAGGCAAGCAGAACTTCCAGGAGGGTGAAAATAGAGAGATGAAGACAACCTTCATGAGCTGTGCCGCTGCAATGACAGTAAGCAGCGGGGGCTCACTCCTGTAATCCTAGCATTTTGGGAGGCCAAAGCGGAGGCTCGCTTGAGGCCAGGAGTTTGAGGCCAGCCTGGGCAACATAGCGAGACCCCATCTCTGCAAAAATATAAATTTTAAAAAAAGAAATGACAGTCTACAATCAGTTCTACTGAGGTGTGAAATAGCCATGTTAGGGATTTGATAAGGGAGGAGGGCTTTGGGGCTTAAGAAAAAAAATACACACACACACACACACACACACACACAAACACACACACACATTCCTTTTTAAAGAGAGACAAGAGACAACTTGAGACTAACAAACATGCCCCAGTTTGCCCATCCTCAAACATTATTAGATGAGTCTGTCATGTTGACAAATAGCCCCCACTAACAACAGGCCCAGCAGACAGCAAACACAGCAGTGTGTTCGATTCCCACTCCTCTCAAACGCAAATTGTGGAACACAGGAGGCCTGTACAGTGCACACATGTGGTCTAAAAATACCACGCCTGCCTTGTCTTTGTAGGGATTGCTTCCCAGGCGACAGAGGCCCTGAGGCCTAGGACCTACCCAGGGGAGGGGCAGGGGCCTCCGCCTGCACCAGAGCTAATTACTGGAGGACCTGGGCAGGCAGCTGCCGGGCCCTGCTCCCCATTTGTGAGCACGTTGCAAGGCAGTAGTTCTAACTTTAGAACCGCACTCTAAACTTTGATCTCCCATTGCGGCCTGGCTTTAGGCAAAACATAAACTTGAGAGCTGCAACATATTTTTTAAATCTTATTCCCTGGTACTTTAAGAACAAGGACAGGAATTATTTTCAAATGAGAATCTTTGACTGCATAACACAGGCTTCCAAAATTAAGCAGAAACACATGGCAGCTCTTATTATTAAATTTCCCTTGGAAAACAATGCTTTAAATTATGGGGAGGGGGGATAGTTTGATAAAACTTTGAAATGTGAAGCTTAAAGTTTAAAATAAAAAATGACTGTAGTGTTTTGTTTTCTTTAAAGATTATTATGGAGTTTTTCTAGCTTTGCCATTATTAATCAATTTCTACCAATGGTTAAAATTGAATGCTTGGGGTTCGAAATATAAATGACTATTTTTCAAGCTGAAATCAGGTGCTAAGGGGCTTTTTGAAGTACAGAGAGAAATTTGGACTGCCCAATTGAAGCATCTCTCCATAAAACATATTTCTAAGAAAATAATGAAGGTGAAATTTAACTGTATCATAGTCTTTACCTGATTCTGTGTAGAATTCAGCAAGAAACAGAAACCTTCTAAAAAAGCGTGCTTGTGCCACAATTAGGGCCAGCCACTGGCATCTTCTATTATCAAAATAAATCAAAACACAGCTTTCCTCTTCTCCCTAAGCCATTCTCAGAAAGGATTTGGGCAAGAAGATGTTCTTAGAAACTGCACTACCATCTCAGACCTCCCAGGCACTATTTAATTCTCCCTTCCCTTCAAGGACTAAATCAATTACTACCTTCTCAATGAAGCCTTTCTGATCACCTCATTTAAAAGTTTCCCATGTCCCAATCAGCCCACATCCTTACTGTGCGTAGTGCCCATTTGGAACTTATTATTTCCTGTTGGATGTGGTTAGTGATCTTAGGAGTGTGTCTCTTCCCTTCGCAGCTACCTTATAAACTCCATGGTGATAAGAATCAGCGCTTTCTCTTTTTTGCATACCCCGTTGGGCCTAGCTCAGTGCCCTGAACCAGTGGCTGGGTTCCTGCACCGAAGACTGCAGGGGATACAAGCAGTGCTTAGTAATGACAAGAAGTTATCTTCTAGCATCACCCAGGGGATGCCCTGGGGAACAAACACAAAGGAAGAAAAGAAACCCCAAACTACTTCCACTCCCCTTCCCACTCATGGCCTCTAACAGTGCCTGGCTGTGCTAATGGAGGTGAGGCAGCCTGCTGGGCTCACAGCAAAGTGGTAAATTCTACTATCAAGGCTCAGCTTGATGCAGAAATGAAAGGAGAGGAGGAAGAAATTGTCCCCACTCTGATTTTGCAAATGACTTTATTTTTTGACTTCTGTCAGTTTTCATAACTCTGCTCCACCTTCATGCCCTGGCCTGATTTTAAGCTTCTCTGATTAAAGGGATGATTTCTGTGCAGTGCATTACTGGCTGCAATAATATCCATCCCCCACCCCCACCCCCTACACACACCCACCAGTTCTCATGCCATCTTTGCAAAATTTTTGAAGCAGTATTAATACCAGTTGTAGAAAAATAAGAACATCATTCACAAAACTTGGTTTATACAACTGAATTCCAGTTTGGAGAGACTTCCTTTCTCTTTATAGGAAACTTCCCTTCTTCTTTCAAACAGCCAAACCAATAAATCTCTACCCAATTTTGGGTAGAGATTTCATTGCCTGAATCATGAAGAGACATCACAGGTTCAGAGGAGAGAACTTTGCCCAGGTGAATGTGGAAAAAATAGATGCCATCTGTGATTTAAGGCCTTGTTATTCACAGTGTGGTCCACAGACCAGTGTCATCACCTGGGAGCTTGTTAGAAATGTAAGAATATCAGTTTCCTCTCCAGATCTACTGAATCAAAATCTTCATTTTAACAGGATCCCCAGAGATTTCTATACACATTAATATGGATTAGAATATCTCATAAAAACTGTCTCCCCATCAAAAAGCCTTCTCTCTCCAATTTGTCATTCCTGGCCTGAAATGCTCATTGTAGAGATGAACAAGATGAGGGTGAGCCATGCTTCTGTCACCTTTAAATTGGAAGTTCACCCAAGAGAAATGATATATTAAGGCAAATCAGATACTGGTACTGAGGTGCTCCTTTCTATGGGAATCTGTGTTTGAAAGTGGGAAAAAAATGAGCGAATGCTCTGGACCCTCTAGGACAATATGTGCATGAGATTTGCCCTGGTCATGAGGATGCTAAGGCCATGAGAAATCCTCTGTCTAGATCCAGATGTGGAAGACAGAATCTGCACAGTGGTGGCCGGGCATGGTGGCTCACATCTGTAATCCCAGCACTTTGGGAGGCAGAGGCAGGTGGATTACCTGAGGTCAGGAGTTCAAGACCAGCCTGGCCAACATGGTGAAACCCCATGTCCACTAAAAATACAAAAATTAGCCAGGTGTGGTGGCGGGTGCCTGGAGTCCCAGCTACTAAGGAGGCTGAGGCAGGAGAATCACTTGAACCTGGGAGGAGGAGGCCGCAATGAGCCAAGATCATGCCACTGCACTCCAGCCTGGGCAACAGTGTGAGACTCTGTCTCAAAAAAGAAAAAGAAAAAAAGATAAGAGAATCCCTATGATGGCGGACTTTCAACAGTTAGAAAATAACCTTCCCACATGGGTAACCACATCCAGGAGGGCCTGAGGGCCAGAGAATAGAATGAGGACACCAGTGACAGTGAAATGGGCCACAGGGAGGGAGAACAGAGCCAAGACCCGAGATACTGGCTGTGGTTCCATGCTGGGGTACCTGGGGACAGGTGCTTCTGTAAACAGAATTCATCCAAAAAGCCCGGAAACAAAAAAGTCCTCAGTCTTCATCCATCTGCGGGTATATAAGGGGTCAGAGTTACACTAGTGATGGTTTCTACTACCTCACTAAACCCTGCTGGTTCCGCCAAACCATCCCTATTGTGAGTTCCTTCTGCCATCTTGCATTTTTCTGGGAGACTCCAGGAGCTATCTCAAATCTATGAGGCATCAGACTGTTTCTTGCTCTGCTCTAGGGTGCAGTGCCCTGTCCATCCTCCCAAAGACAGATGCTCATGTCCTTGTGGCTCAACAGCAACCCCATAAGCTACTTCTAAGACCAAAGGTAAAGGTCCAATCCACCCACCCCTTTGTGTATTGTTATGTTAGAGAGATACCTTAGCTGAGCTGTGGATAACAAGGGTAGAGCTCAGTGAAACCTCCCTTCTCCCCTCCCATCCTCAGACCCACCTATGGAGCCAGTCAGCTTCAAGTGTCCTCACAGGAGCCAGTCTCTCTCCTGGACTCTACGCTATGTTCATGTAATCTGTTATTCATCCCTCCCCGTTCCCACTCTGCCAGTTCACCAGACATGTCACTGTCTTCCTGTTTCTAATCATGGATATGGTCCGTGTTCTTTTTCCAATAAAAACAAGGATAGAATGGGGGATTGGACAGACATGGAACTGGGGATGAGAAGATAGTTGAAGGAGAGAGGTGCCACTGGACCCCTGCTCCTGACCCAGCCAAATCTCACCATGCACCACTGCAACACCCTGCTACAACTAATCAGTTTGTTAATAAACCAAGTGAAACAATTTTAAAATAAACTTCAAGGGGAACACAAAGTGACAGCAGCCCGAAGGAATAGCAGCAGTTCTACCCACTCTTGCTCATTTGTTCATTTATTCAGCACCTAAAACAGTGTCTGGCATAAAACAAGCCATAAATATTTGCAAATGAATGACCAAATGAATGCATGAATTTAGCAAATACAGGCTTAGTGCCTGAATGTGCAAGTCCTTATGTGAGACACTAGAATGCAGCAGTAAATCAGAATCCATCCCTGCCCTGACTGAGGATCCAAGGGAAGGAACAGATGATTCCCATTCCCATGTGTGATAAGTCATGCAAGCCAGAAACAAGGAGTAGCTGCAGGTGCACACAGGAGGGCCTGGGTGAGACCCCCACGAAGGTGGCCCAGCAGAAATGGGGCGGGGGGTGGGGGGTGAGCAGGTTATATACAGCCAAGGGCACATATGCTGAGTCACAGGGGTTTGGGGTGCCTGATAATGGAAGTGCCTTCTCTGACTTCTTGTGGCATCCCCCTGCAGGTAACAACTGTGAATATCATCAAGTCACAACCTGGGTCCCCAGCACTCTGGACTGGGTGGGGCTGGAGCTGGAGTTCCTTTATTCTGGGGATAGCTCAAGTCCACTGCCAATGGCTGACAGTCATTAATACACAGGCAGAAAAAAGAAATAAGCTGCTGTGTCTGCAGTTGGGAGGGGAGCACTGGGAAGGACAGAATGGAAGTTACTGTATCCAGATACCAGCGGCCTTTACATTTTAAACATGGAGAGGAAGGAACAGGCAGATTAAAAAGTGAAAAATGGCAGTTTACAGAGAAGGCCTAACTGTTGGAGAATGAGTACGAGATGAAGGGAAGCAGCTTTGATAGCAAACCAGGGGAATAAGGCAGTTATCTGCCAGTATCTACTGCTTCAAAGAGAAGCTCAAGCATCATCTAAGTAGTTTTACACAGGGAGTGAGACTGAGTTTGGTGGGGATTTCATTGAGTAATGGGATAAAAATTCAGGCACTGCTCATTCAGTTCCAAGGTTCTCTTGCAACCCAGTTTTGAGCTGGAGGGAATTGTGTTTTGGTACATATTTATGTTTGAATGCAAGCCAGCCCACATTCGACAGGCACGGAGCTCTTTCATGCTCAGAAAAGGGAAAAAAAAGTTCCTGTTCTTGTATATTCTTTCATCCTAAACCTGAGACACTTAACAAGAAGCCGGTGTTGGCAAAGGTGTGTGTGTGTGTGTGTGTCTGTGTGTGTGTGTCCTAACGAAATGCACATATTTGCTGCAGTGAAGGAGCCAGTTTTTCCATAAATGGCTAACAGGAATTTGATGAAGTGTTTGCAACATTAAATGTGTTGTGGGTCACGTTGTAACTTACATTGTTCCCCAGCCTCCACTTTTCCTTGTTTCCTAACCAACCTCCATCCCGCCCCACATGCCACATTCATCCAGGCCTTCAATAGGTCTGCTGTCAGTTCCCATAAACTGGCTCAGGTTGTAGAAATGGTTAGTGAAGTCGGGCATCTCAGCCATTCCCACCTCTTACTTCCCAAGGTGTCTCATGTCACCAAATTACAAATCATCCACAAGCAGAAGATCAAATCCAGGCTGACTAAAGCCATGTGGAATGTGGACACTTGGGGGCAGTTAAATACCTTACAGGTTTCTGCTGTAAGATTTGAAGCTTTGAAGGCAGAAATCAATGGCCAGATTTTCAAAGGAAAAGGTTACAGGTGTGTCCAGGTGAGCCCCAGACAGATGGATCTGTGAAAGCAAGTGCCTGTGCAGGTGCAGTGACTGCTCTGGCCATATGTCCTGTACAGACATGGGCTGCAGAGGAAGGAACAAGACTGTGAGTCAAAGAAGACAGGCCCGTGCAGCCATCCGTGCCTTACTTGTCTCCAGGTATATGGGGCAGATCTGTAAGTAGAGAATAAGAACAGCAGATGGGATTTTCCATGGGGACTCTACTTCCTACTCCAAGGCATTCAGAAACATGGCTAAAATGAAACCAGTGAATTTGGGGCCATAGAGCTAATCTCAAAACCAAGAGAATGAAACTGCCAGGATGCATGAAGAGGGATGGCGAAGGCAGGCAGTAAGGAGGGGAAACTGAGTGGGCTCTGAATGTCACCTGCACGGTGTAGGCCCTCACGGCATCTTTCTGACCTCTAAATGTTGGAACACCCCAACAGGCCTGGGTCCTGCCTCCCCTGTCCCCTCTGCCACACTCTCTCTGGGTGAGCTCACTCAGCCCCACGCCTTTACATCCCATTTATGCACTGATGGCTCCTAACTCTAAATCTCCACCCCGACCCTTCTCCTGAGCTCCCGATTCAAAATCTTATGGCCTGTTCATCCTCTTGGATATCTAATAGAGCTCCCAAAGTTAATGTGTCCAAACCTGAACCCCAGATTCGCCACTATGTTCCCAAATCCCACTATGGGTTAGTCTCCCCCATCTCAGAAAGTAACCCTCCATTTACCCAAGTGGTCTGGACAAAAGTTTGGGATTATCCTCAATTCTTTTCTTTATCTCACATCCCGCATCTAATCCATCAGCAAGTTTCGTCAGCTCTCCCTGTAAAATGCATCCCATTCCTACTTTTCATTGCTTCCACCACTACCAGCCCTGTTCAAAGCAACACCCTTTCTTTCCTTGATGACTGCAATGTTGTTGAGCTGACTGCCTTGATCCCATGCCTGCCACCTTGTGTCTTGTCTCCACACGGAAACTCAAGTGACTTTTTAAAAGTATAAATTAGATTAGCCTGCTTTCTTGCTCAAAAACTTCTGCTGGTATTTCCTACTTTTAAAATGAAGTTCAAAGTCCTAAAATAGCCTAACCTCTATTTACCACCCCCACCCCACCTCCTTCTATCTCCCTTTTGCCATTCCAGCCACACCAACCTCCTGATCACCCTTCAAAATACATCACCTTGTTCCCTCTGTGGCATCTTGATATTTGTTGCTGTATCCACCTGGAAATCTTTCACATTGCTCGTTCCCCTGATGCACTCAAAACTCTCTAATCCCACGTTCATCTTTGCAAAGAAGTCTTTCCTGACCACAGATTCTAAAGGAGACCAACCACCATCCAGCTCTTGGATCCTCCTCTTCTCTTCCCTTCTCCTGTTCCACGCATAGGGCACATTGATCATGGTTTTTGGCTACCCAGTGTATTTTAACATTCTTGTCCTATTTGAGAAAATTTGAGACTCCCCAAAGCAGAAGGCAGTATAGTGAGTTTAATAGTGTTTCCCCTGATGTACATCTACCCAGAGCCTCAGAATATGACCTTAATTGGAAATAGGTTCTTTGCAGCTATAATTAGTTAAGGAGTGGAAGATGAAGTCATCCTGAATTTAGGGTGGGCCCTAATTCCAATGACTGGCATCCTTATGAGATAATGGAGAAGGAGATTTGGACACAGACATGAAGACATGCAGGAAAGAAGGCCACCTAGTAATGGAGGCAGGGTGACTCATGGAGCCACAAGCCAACGGACATCAAGTACCACTGGCCCCCATCAAAAACTTTAAAAAGGCAGGGAAAGGTTCTTCTCTAGAGCCTCCAGAGGGAACAGGACTCTGTTAACACCTCAATCTCAGCCTTCCAGCCTCCAGACTGTGAGAGAATAAAGCCATCAAGTTTGTGGTTATTAGTTACAGCAGGCTTAGGAAACTAATACAGCCAAACATTTCTCTAGATGCTCAGTAACCAGGGCACAAGACAGAGACCCACACCCCCCAGTCAGATGATTCTGCATGAGACTTCCATTGTAGATCTGAGTGCATTGAGGAGCTCACCCCCAGCAGTTCCTATCATCCCAGCTCAGGCCTCAGACATCAAGAAGCAGGAGACAAGCCATCTCTGTGTGTCCTGTCCAAAACCCTGAGCCATAGACTTCATGGGCATAACAAAATGGTTTGTGTTTGAGCCCATAAAGTTGGAGTGCTTTGTTGTACAGCAATAGTAACTGCAACAAAAATCAAAATAATTCCTCTCTGATGGTGGGGCATGGGGAAGATGAAGGAAAGAGATATAGTGAATCACATCTTTGTCAGAAAGACAGTGGGTTCATTTGAGTAGTTGGATTATGTATTTCCCAGAGCCATCTCTCAGGATAAACCTAAGCTTCTTCAGGATACAAGGAAATTTCCTGGAATCCTAAACATTTAGAAAAACATTTCAAAAAACCTCGGTGTGGTACACTTGAAAGAATCTTCAGTTTCCTTGCCACGATAACAAATTAGCCACATATATCAACACTGCACCAGGCATCTCCATAGTCACAGTTTGATGCAAGTTTCCAAATACCTCTGCAAAGCAGGCATTACTGTTACTATTTTACAAATGATGCCTGGAGAATATAGAAATTTCAACTCATGCTTTGAATCCTGAAAACCACTTGAAGGCCCAAATTCGGATGGTCCATCTCCCAGAGTTGTCTCTAAATAACAACACTGTGTAGAATGAGAAGGCTGAAATGCCAAGTGATCTCAGTGACCCCCTTTCATGATATTTTAAGACTACTGCCAAGAACAATGTTGTCTTACAGGCAGCATAGGGTAGTTATCAATGTAAGAGAAAACTGCCAGGATGCCTGCAAAGCCCACAATCGGAAGTTCAGAGCGGCAGGTCATAAATTATTTTTATAAGAGAAAAGGCCAAGCAAGGGGCCGTTCTAACAGCCGTCTGGCATCCCTATCCTGCAACCTGGGCTGAGTTTGTACCGAATTTCTGCTTTGGGGCAGAAATTCATACCAGAAAAATGTTTCGTGATGCATTTTTGTTCAGTTGAATAGAGCCAAGAATTTGTTCTAATTTAAATTAGATGACCTCTGAGCTGATATACTATAAAAAATATTAATCAAGTAACCCCAGCAAATACTGATAGGGTATCACCAGGGACTCAATGATATCACCAGGATGAAAGAGAACGGTGGCCTTTTTGGCTGGTATGATCCATAATTCCCACATAATCCACGTCTATAAGTTAGAGAGAATTGTCAAGTACAGTTCAGTGCTAACCTGGAAACAAATAGCCCTTATAAGGCTGCTAATCCACTTAAAATAATCAGTTCCAGATTATTAATTTGGCACCCTCCCAAGGATACTACGAGGATCTGTCAGATTTCATGAACATATAGGCAACAATAGAACCAATACCCTAAACCCCAGAAATCTAGATATGAAAGCTATGTAGAATCATACCCTTTCTAGTCCCACTGCTTCATAATACAAATGACAAAAATTCAGCTCATGAGGATTAAGGGACTTTTCAGTGGGGCATCAGCTCACGGTTGCATACAGCTCAGTCTTTTTTTTTTTTTTGAGACAGGGTCTTACTCTGCTACCCAGGCCACAGTGCAGTGGGGCCATCTTGGCTCACTGCAGCCTCAACCTCCTGGGCTCAAGCAATCCTCCCACCTTAGCTTCCCAAATAGCTGAGATGACAGGTGCACACAACCATGCCTGGCTAATTTTTTATTTTTTGAAGAGATAGGGCCTCACTATGTTGCCCAGGCTGGAGCCCAGTCTTCAGAGATGGAAAGACATGCGTCTATGTCATTTACGAGTTTCATGGCCTGTGTCAAGCTAATTCTACCCCCTGAGCCTCAGCTTGTTTCTTCTTTTCAAAAATGAAGATGCCAGTGGTTCTCACCTCATATTGTTGCAAGGAATGGAACAATGGGTGTAGGGCACCTGGTGTAGAGTAGGTGCTCAGTCACATGTAGTTGCTGTTGTTCTTCCCCAGATTATACAAACAAATTCTTGCTAAGCCAGGATGAAAACCCAGGTTTCAGGACTCTCAGGCTGATACTCATACCATGCCACTCCATCAAAGAGAAGGGCATTTTCCACCTGTATCCCTGGGTCTGTGTTCCAATCATTCTAAACTCTGACCAGCGCCTCATAAGTTGAATGAAATATAAACGACTTCAATAAATCTCTTTTTTCCAAATAAATGAAGTTTATCAAGCTGTCCCATAACCCCGTGCTAAATCTATAAAACTGTAGGCAGCTTCCTTTGGGACCAACATTTCCTGGCTAATTAAAATGAATGTTGTATCGATGAAAGATTATTTTAAAATGGCACTGATAGTGTTTAGACATTGTCATAACATCAGCCGGTGGATCACTAATTTGCAAATTTTACTAAAGATCTTGCCAATTAAAACCCCTTCTAGACACTCTCAAACACACTGTCAGTGACAGCTGAGAGACCACATGGTAAAGACATGATCACATTAAATTCACACAAGACTGTTCTCCCTGGAAGGGCTGAGGGAGAGAGACGGGGGCACGTCCCCATAGCAGGTGCCACTGAGTCAACCCAGCCAGACTGTCATAAGAGAAAAGCAAATTTTTGGGTTTTATTTTACCCTAACTGCTTTCCAAAACAAACAGTGGAAATTCTTCTAAAAATCTGTAGGAAATTATCCTGAAAAATTGTGTTTCTCTTTGAGAGACAAGTGAAGAGAAGTGAATCTCTGAACCAATCTGAAACTCGCCAAGGTACAAGTTGGCTCACCTGGGAGGTGGTGGGCTTTAGCCCAGAGTCTTCTGGGACAGTTTGTCCCTCTCCAGGGGTTGCAGAAGCGGCAACAATAGTGATGAGTCTGTCTCTGGGAAGTCACCTCAATTAACAGCCACAGTGAATTCCTTTAAAAGTTAACTTTACAAGCTCTGCCCAGCAGTGGGTCACTGGGGGAAATTTTCCAGATTTGAAAGTCAAGGTAGCATGACATGGCATGTATTTAAATGATCAGATTTCATGCAGATAACCCTAACAGCCAACACTTATTAAGGGCCTACCATGTGCATGATGTCATTTATTCATTACAACAATCCTATAAGATTGGTGCTATTATTATCCCCGAAGGACAGATGAGAAAATTAAGACTCAGAGATATTGCAACTCATCCTTGTACACAGAGTTGCTATGCAATATAGCTGGAATTCTAAACCCGGTCCCACTGAGGGCCGTGACCCTGGTGGTGAAACTCCACAGTGTGACAGGCCTTATCCCTGAGATTTGTGGTCTATCCACATACCAGTCCATGGGAGATTATGGTCTTTTCTGATATCCATGTGTAATATTTCTCCATCCACTGAGATATTCGGGAATATATCAAGTTGTGCAAGTGTAACCACACACTAGGTTACTGCACAGAGACATTTTGTATGGAAACAGTGTGTAGTACAACTTTATTGAGAATCCAGATTCAAAATATGTAATTATTTGTGAAGAACGTGAAATTAAAAGGGGCTTATTCAATAAATTGGTAAGTAAATAAGATGGTACTAGTGTTCCAATGTCTACAGTTGTATAACACATTACCCTAAAGCTTAGAGGTATAAAACAACCACTTAGTATGCCCAACTCATCCTTAATCCATGATGTCTGGGCCTTCAGGTGGAAGACTTGAGGCTGATAGCTAGAGTCACCTGAAAGCTCTCTCACTCACATGACTTGGGGTTGATGCCGGCTGTGGGCTGGGGGCCTCAGTTCCTCACGTAGACATCTTCATGGGGTCTCCCCATGCAGTTCTTACAGCCTGGGGGCTGGGTTCTAAGGGAAAGCATACTGAGAGAGAAAGCCAGGGGGAAATTGTATCATTTTTTATGATCTAGCCTTGTAAGCCTCACAGCATCATATCTGCTGCAATCTATTCATCAGAAGCAAGTCACTAAAGCCATCTCATATTCAAGGGGAGGGAAATCAGACTCCACCTCTTGTTGGGAGGAATGCCAAAGTCCTGAGTAAAAAGAAGGTGGGGCTGGAAATATTGCTATGATCATTTTTAGAAAATAACGTATGCCACCATTTGGAATATTTGCCATAGTTTAAAGAACAAATTACTTATATACATACTATATGCACAGATTAGAAGCATCCACTTTCCTATAAACATTCTTGTCTGTTATCTAAAGCAAACTTATGTACACCATATTAACTATACAGCATTTGTATATATTTTTTAAAGCAATCCATCAAAGTATGCCATCTGAAAACCATTGTCTAAATACCCATATATTAGGTGTGAAGGTAATGAAATTATATTTGCCTTTAAATATGTTACAATGCATTTTAGAAATTTAAATTAGCTTTTCTCTTTCTATGAGTTTATGAAGATTTTGTTTGTTTGTTTGTGGGTTGTTTTTTTGTTTTTGATTTTTGATTTTTTTTGGGGTTTTTTTGCATGTGCACAAAGACCTTGAACTACAAAGACCATTGGTGTCAAACTGTTTCTTTCACTGTTCCTGGGTAGGAAAGACTGAATCTAAATCATCATTACATTTTTATTGTTGTTATCTATTAAAATCCCAAACAGAAGAAAAATGTGGCCTAACACCTTCCAACAGGCTCAAAGATAAGCAGGGTGCCCCATGTGGTTTCAAAATGTTTGGGGATTTTCCAGAAATCTTTCTGTTGTTCATTTTTAGTTTAATTCCATCATAGTAAGAGAAAACACTTTGAATGACTTAAACACTTTTTAAATGTTTTGAAACTTGTAATAAATGTTGTGTGCACTTGAGAATTTGTATTCTGATATATTTGGATAGAGTGTTCTATAAATACCAATTAGGTCATGTTTGTTGATTATGTTGTCCAAATTTTTAATATCCTTACTGATTATCAGTTTGCTTACTCTGTTATTAAGCTAGCAGTACTGAAATTTCTAAAAGTAATTGAGAATGTATCTATTGCTACTTGAAATGCTACAGTTTTTTGCTTCATGCTTTTTGAAGTTATGTTATTAGAAGAATAAACACAGAATTGTTATGCTCTCCTGATAAAATGACCCTTGTATCTTTATGAAATGACCTTCTTTATATCTGATAATATTCTTTGCTATGATGTCAACTTTTTTCTGATAGTAATATAGCTTGTCTGACTTCCTTTTGGTTAGAGTTAACATATATATCTACTTCCATTCATTCACTGTAAACTTGTGTTTTTATTTAAAGTAATAAATAAAGTTATTATTTATATAGTTGGATCTTTTTTTGAAATCCAATCTGATAATGCCTGCCTCTTAATTGGGTATTAGGGCCTTTTAAATATAATGTGATTATTGATATGGTTAGGTTTGAGTCTATCTTCTTGCTATTTGTTTTCCATTTTTCCCATCAGTTTGTTGCTCCTCCTTTACTTTCTCTGCCTTCTTTTGGATTAATTGATTTTTTGTGATTGATTTTATCTCTTTTGTTAGCTTACCAACTGTATATTTTCTTTTTGTATGATTGTAGTGGTTACTTTTTGGTGTATAGTATACATATTTAGCTAACCACAGTCTAGCTTCAAGTGACATTATACTACTTCCCATACAGTATAAGAACCACACAATAGTATACTTCTGTTTCTCAACCTCCAGCCTCTGAGTTATTACCATAGATTTTACTTTTACATATGTTACAAACCCATATTATATTGTTATTATTTTAGTGTAAAAAGTTGATATGGTTTGGATATGTGTCTCTTCTCAATCTCAAGTTGAAATGTGATCATAAGGATGTTGGAGGCGGGTTTAGTGGCAAGTGTCTTGGTCATGGGGATGGATCTCTCATGAATGACCTGGTGCCTTCCCGTGGTGATGAGTGAGTTCTCGCTCTATCAGTCACCACAGATCTTGTTGTTTAAAGAGCCTGACACCTCCTGCTTTCTTGCTCCCTCTCTTATCATGTGACATGCCTGCTCCTCCTTCGCCTTCCACCATGATTATAGGCTTCCTGAGGCCTCACCAGAAGCAGATATCAGCACTATGCTTTGTGAACAGCCTGCAGAACCGTGAGCCAAATAAACCTTTTTTTCTTTTCTTTCTTTCTTTTTTTTCTTTTTTTTTTTGGACAGAGCCTTGCTCTGTCACCCAGGCTGGAGTGCAGTGATATGATCTCAGCTCAATGCAACCTCCGCCTCCCAGGTTCCAGCAATTCTCCTGCCTCATCCTCCTGAGTCTCTGGGATAACAGGTGCCAGCCACCATGCCTGGGTAATTTTGTGTGTGTGTGTGTGTGTGTGTGCATTTTTAGTAGAGATAGGGTCACCATGTTGGCCAGGCTGGTCTTGAACTCCTGACCTCAAGTGATCTGCCCACTTCGGCCTCCCAAAGTGCTAGGATTACAGGCATAAGCCACCACAATCGGCCCCTTTTTGCTTTATAAATTACCCAGACTCAGGTATTTCTGTATAGCAACACAAAATGGGCTAACTCAGAAAATCAATCATCTTTTAAAGAGATTTAAGTATAAAGAAAAAGAAAAATATTTATATATACTCATGGAATTCCTCTGTTTAGAACAGAGACTTTTCAGCTTCATTACTACTGACATTCTTTGTCGTGGGGGAAGTCATGTGCATTGTAGAATGTTAAGCAGCATCCCTGGCCTCTATCCACTAGAAGCTCTAGCGTTCCACACCTTCCCCCAAATTGTGACAAACAAAAATATCTGCAGATATTGCCAAATGTCCAGAGGGCCAGGGATAAAATCGCCTTCAGTTGACAATCACTGGTGTATATCCATATTTCTAACTGGTATCATTTCCTTCTTCTCAAAAGACTCCCATGAATATTTTGTGTAGTGAAAGGAATGCTGGTGATAAATTCTTTCAGCTTTTGTACTTTAGAAAAAGTCATTATTTCACCTTCATTTTCGAGAGCTATTTTCACTGGATGAAGAATCATAGGCTGACACCTTTGTTCTTCTTACAAATTAAAAATGTGGCTCCGTTGCCTTCTCATTTGCACCGTTTCCTGCAAGAAGTCTACTGTCATCCTTATCTTTGTTCCTCTGTATGTAATGCATGTTTTTTCCTCTGGCTGCTATAAAGATTTTCTCTTTATCACTGATTTTGAGCAAATTGATTATGATATACCTCGATGTCATTTTCTTCATGCTTCTTGTGCTTAGGGCTCATTCATACTGGTATAAATCTTCATCTACAAACAGTTGTGAAACAAATATCAGATTTCTTTTGTTATTTTAACTCAAGTTAAATCTAACTTTGTACCAACCCTCCCCAACACACTGTGGGAAACTCAGTCATAGTCATTATTTTTCCTTCCCCCACAGAAAGGGGGATGTCCCCTGGACCTTACACAGATGGGGGGGGTCCCTTCAATCATGGGTCACTGATGTGCTTTGTTGGCCATGGAGATACTTGGTGTTCTTGTTCACAGCCAGTGTTGTCTCTAATCTGCACCTGGGACGTGGAACTCTTCAGGCAGCCAGAGTCCTGTGCCCATCTTTAGGATGGGAGCGGCTATAGTTTAGATGTTTGTACCATCCAAATCTCAAGTTGAAATTTGATCCCCAGTGTGGTGTTGGAAGGTGGGGCCTAATGGGAATTGTTCTGGCAATGTGGGTGAATCTCTTATGAATAGATTGATGTCATCCCTGGGTTGGGAAGTGAGTTCTTTCACACTCTATTAGTTCTGTAGAGAGCTGGTTGTTGAAAAGAGCCTGGCCTCTTCCTTCTCCCTCTTGCTTCCTGTCTCACCACGTGATCTGCACACCCTGGCACCCCTTTGCCTTCCACCATGAGCCGAAGCATCCTGAGGCTCTCACCAGAAGAAACTGCTGGTATCATGCTTCTTGTACAGCCTGAAGAACCATGAGTTAAATAAACCTATTTTCTTTATAAATTACCCAGTCTCAGGTATTCCTTTATAGCAACAGTAAATAGACTAAAGCAAGAGCTGGCTCCCTAAGTCCAGCATTTTCCTCCATTCCCTATGCCTCCTGCTCTCTCCTGGAACACTGTGGTGGTACCCTGCCTCTCTCCATGGCAAGGGACTCTGTCTTTCACTACTCCCCAGGCTCTCCTCCCTCTTTTTTCCCCTTTTTTGAATATCCAGCATGATTTATTCAATAGGTTTGATTTTGAAGAACAACAAACAGGAAAGTCAAATAATTCCAAACATCTGCTTTCCACCTTGAAAAAAAAAAAAAATCCCCCAAACGAAGAAATGCCAACAGCATAGCCACCTACTTGAAAAGAGAATGAAAGGAAAAGTTTGAAGAACAAAATCTAAGTTTACACCAAAGACTGCCCTTCCATCTGTATAAATTATGACATGAAGTGATAAATGGTATAATATATATTAAGAAAGTGCTATGGGAACACTTAGGAGTAATCTGTAAAGGAGGCAACAATGAGCTGGATCTTGAAAAATAAGGAAGAGGGTACAAGGCCAAAACAAAGGCATCCCAGGAAGAGTGAGAAGTTTGTGCAAAGCCCCAGGTTGTGGGGTATCTTAGGAACAATGAGAAAAAAGAGATCGTGTGTGGCAGTGTGAGCAGAGGGAGTGATGAAGGAATGGGAGAGTAACAGCAGAGGAAGCTGGAAAACTTAGTAACTAATTCTAAATGGCTTTATAAGCGAAACTAAGAAGCTGAAATGGGATACTGTAGGGAGCAGGCATTCAGCAGAAGTCCTTTAGGTGTGTGAACAACATACATAGCTCCACTTTTTATTACAATGAGATTATCAAAAATTAAGATACAGCAATTATGGTAAAAAGAAAACTATATTCATTTTCTATCACTGAGTAAAATATTACCACTTTAAACAACACACATTTAATATCTCACAATTTCTGTGATCAGGAATCCAGACACGACTTAACTGGGTCCTCTGCTCAGGGTCTGTCACAAGCCTGCAATCAAGATGTCAGCTAGGGCTGAGATGTCATTTGAAGGCTTGACTGGTGGGAAGATTTGCTCCAAGCTCAAGTGGTTTTTGGCAGGGGTCAGTTCCTGAAGGATTGTTGGATGGTGTATTTGTCTGTTCTCACACTACTAATAAAGACATACCCAAGACTGGGTAATTTGTAAACGAAAGAGGTTTAATAACTCACAGTTCCACATGGCTGGGGAAGCCTCACAATCATAGCAGAAGGCAAAGGAGAAGTAAAGACATGTCTTACATGGCGACAGGCAAGAGAGCTTGTGCAGGGGAACTCCCATTTTTAAAACCATCAGATCTTGTGAAACTTATTCACTACCATAAGAACAGTATGGGGGAAACTGCCCCCATTATCTCTACCTGGCCCTACCCTTGACATGTGGAGATTATTACAATTCAAGGTGAGATTTGGGTGGGGACACAGCCAAACCATATCAGATGGTGAGCCTCGTTCTTTGCTGGATATTGGCCAGAAATGTCCCTCAGTTTCTTGCCACTGGGCTTCTCTATAAGGCAGTTCACAATATGGCAGCCTGTTTCATCAAAGCCAGAAACAGAAAGAGTCTACTAGCAAGACTGAAGTTACAATCTTATGTAACATCATCATGGAAGCAAAATCCCATCACCTTTGCAACATTTTATTAGTTAAATGCTGGTTGCAGGGCCCCCTGCTCCATATTCAGACAGAGGGATTACACAAATGAATGAATACTAGGAGAAGAGAATTATTTGTCACCATCTCAGAGTTCATCTACCACAAAAAGAAAAGAAAAGCAATTATTCCCCGGAAGCTGCCTTCTAGGCTTGGAGTAGAAGGTCACAGCTACTGGTCTAGCTAGGTCAATAAGTAAAAATTCTAATTGCCATGACACTGCCCATGGGCCTCCAAATAGGCTGCCACCTGTTCAGTACGGGCTTACCTCCAAGGAGAATCAAACAATTAGCAATTTCATGAATTAATGAAGAGCTTTCCCTTACACTATGAAGGATAAATATTTCTGAGCTTACATAAAAATCCGTGTACTTATTAGAAAAGGCAGACATATTTATGAAGCCTGATTCCTTCTTTTAAATGCAAGATGTAGATTCATAATAATCCCATTCTTATAAAACTCATGTGCATTACTGAGGAAATAATATTTGAGCAGCAATCTAAAGGATGCCCAGTGGTTAAACAGAAAAAAGGTGGAAGAAAACAATATGCCTGATGACCAAAGGTCAAGGGAAAAAATGTTGCAAGAGGAGTCCAGGAAAATGTCAAAGCCAGATTATGAAGATCCTTCAGTATTGGGAAGCCACTGAAGAGTTTTAAGCTAATGAGTAGTATCCAGTTTGAATTCTTAAAAGATCACTCTGGCAGCATGAGACCAGTTGGGAGGGGATATTCAAAAGGTTAAGCAAGAGATCATATTAGCTTGGATGAGGGTGAAGAAAATGAGATGGGGGGAGATGGACAGATTCCAAAGATATTTAGAAGTTCCCATTTGAAAGGTTTAATGGTAGATTCAGCAGGCGAAGTTAAGATGAAGTAGAGCTCCCAGGGGTGTAACTGGACAACTGGAGTGGGTGGTAGTGGATTTCACTAAACCAGGGAATTATTAGGGGAAAGTCAGGCTTCAAGGGTAAGATCATGAGTATTGGCTAAACCACAATGAGTGTTGAGGTGCCTGTGCAACCTCCCATTGGAGGTTACAAACTATCTGGGTACATGTGTTCTGGAGCTCAGGAGAGATTTCTGAACCAGGGATCAACATGTGGGAATCTCTGACACACAGATGGCAACTAAAGACTCAGCTATGATAGATAGCATCTAGAGAAAGAATGTAGAGTGAGAAGAGAAAGAAGAATAGAACCAAACCTGGAGGGACCTCAATGTTCAATGGGCAGATAAAGAAGGAATGACCCTTTAAAGGAGGTTGGCAAGCACTACTAGCCAAGGATATAAAATAAAAATCGAGAAGGAAGAGATACACAAATATTTCAAAGAGATACTGGTCCACATTTATGAGAGATCAACCATGATGGGATTTGAAGAATGTTCATTGTAGTCAGTGACATGGAGGTCGTAAGCAACTTAGAGTCACTTCATTGAAGTGATGGGGATTAAATGCATACTGAAATGGGCTGAGGAGAGAGTAAATGATGAGAAGAAAGTAGGTATGGCTTAGCTATAAAAGGGTGAAAGAGACTGGACAGGAGCTAAAAGATAAGGTATAATTGAAAGAAGATGGTTTTAAGATGAATGAGACTTTATGGTAGTGAAATGCTGAATAAAAAAACTAGTGGAGAAGTGAATCGTAAAGACAGAGCAGAGAGATTATATTCAGAAATGTTCTGAAAAGCAAGAATGAATGGAAACCAAACACAAGAGAAGGAGGTGACTTTAGATAGGAGGAAGAACAACTCCTTATTCTAACAGGAGGTTGAAAGAAAGAATGGACGTAGATACACATAGGTTTGGAGGATTTTAAAAAGTTGGGGTAAAAGCAAAAAAAAAAAAGTAAAGTTGGGGTGTGCATGTGTGTCTGTAGGCAGAGAAATACCTTTAAAATGGCTTCTATTTTCTTTAGGAATAGAAGTGAGTTCATTTGCTGATCCAGCAAATGGAAATGATAATAGATTTGGATTCTTACGTGAGAGAATTTTTTTATTAGTACATGAGCTTGTATTCTCACAGTCTTAGCAACAAAGTGAAACATTTAGTCAATCTGTTTTCTAAATATTAGATATGGCTTTTGTTTTTGTTTTTGTTTTGTTTTTTTTTTTTGAGACAGAGTCTTGCTCTGTCACCCAGGCTGGAGTGCAGTGGTGTGATGTCGGCTCACAGTAACAAACAATTCTCCTACCTCAGCCTCCTGAGTAGCTAGCTGGGATTACAGGCACCTGCCACCACTCCTGGCTAATTTTTGTATTTTTTTTTTTAATAGAGACAGGGTTTCACCATGTTGGCCAGGCTGATCTCGAACTCCTGACATAAAGTGATCTGCCTGCCTCAACCTCCCAAAGTGCTGGGA
The DNA here is from genome assembly GCF_000001405.40 of Homo sapiens. Classification (NCBI taxonomy): domain Eukaryota; kingdom Metazoa; phylum Chordata; class Mammalia; order Primates; family Hominidae; genus Homo; species Homo sapiens. Next base: position 56,342,039 of record NC_000018.10, read on the forward strand.
TTACTGGTGTGAGCCACCGCGCGTGACCTAGGTAAGTTCTTAACGGCTTTCTTTACTTAATTTAATCATTTTGGCTTTGGTCTGGGTGATGTTTGCTTTTTGTTTACTAAAATAATCTAGTTTATCCACATGGACACAAACTCAAATCACGTTTTCAGAAGCAGCGGGCACGTTTTCAGAAGCATGTTACCAATACTTCTTTCTTTCCTGACTACTGTATTCAGGATACAGCTTCCTGGATCTTGTTGAGAGTTTCAGTAATGCCATGCTACATTTCAGCTATTACTAGAACATTTCATTGTCAATGTAATTTCAGTAATAAGTTGGATTCTAACCATTTCAAGGAGGCAGTCTCTCAAAAATATTCTGGTGCTTTTCCAAAAGTTTCGAAAGCTAAGTGTGGCCAAAATGTTGCAGGTAGCCTAGAAGTTAATGTTCAAGTTTACACAAATCTCCCAAATTCCAAACTTATCATCACTTCATCTAATATTTCCTGGGGCTTACTGATTTCCTTCATATCTCCCTAATCAATGTTTTCTTGTTCCTATTTGTGGCATATCAAACACCCTTTAACTTACAGCTTTTTTTGGCTCTGGCCTCTGAGATTATGTTTATTTTTAAGTTGTTCTTTGATTCTGAAGACTTATTAAGGCATTAATGAAGAGAGTAACTTGATGGATGTCAAAGGAGTTTCCAGTGAAGAGTTGCCAAGGATGGGCTTGATTACAGGGGCCTGTCTATGAAAATAACAGAGAAAGGTTGAGCTCTGTAATTAAATCTCTAGGTGCCTAAGCTCATAAGGACCTCCAAAACACATAAGTTGAACCCAGTATAGGTGATTATTCCAGGCTATCAGGAAGAAAAGCAAAATGTATAATCATAACTCATAATTTAGGAGATTTAGGAGATTTAATTTAAAAAACAAATATTGAAAGACTTTCTCCAGCTATATGAGTGGTGGCCCTCTGTTACCTGAAAAATGAAAGCAGTTGTGTACACACTATCCAGAAAATGTTCCTCCTCCACTTCACTTTAGAATGACACACCCTTTTTTTCTTTTTCCTATTCCTCTCTTTGATTCAAATCATTCTTTTCCAGGAGCATTGGACCAGCTTTTTTAAGAGGGTCATCTATTCTTTCTCACTCCGTCAAATTTATCACCACATCATCCCTGCCACTCCTGTTATCATCCTTCTGATAGGATTAATACCATCTCAAATAAGATGTGTGGTCTGCAGGACAATACACCAGGTAGAAAGCTGCACACAGAAGGAACATGTGGGAAAGGAACTTCCCAGGAGCCTGTCAAGACAAGAAGTGTGTTGTTCAGGAGCAATTAGACCCAAGGAGGTGAAAAACTAAGAATCCAAATTAGCAAGAAAAGATTGGATCATGCGTGTGGCTGAATAGGCAAGGGAGAAGCATAATGATAAGAAACAATGATCTCTCAGTAGGGAAGCCAAGAGTGGGTGAGGTTAAGTAGAAGGATGAATGAAGATCATGCATGGTTGGGATGCACATTCTCCATTGCCATTCTCACAAGACATAGCATGAACAGAAGGAATATTGCATTATTGAGAATGATGCTTTTATTTATTCCCACATAAAGCTTAGTTTGACATTAAAATATAAATGTATAAATGGCATAAAGGGAGACCATAAACTAAATTCCATTTATTTCCTCCCTGAAAATTATCTCTGTACTTTGAACCCTCATTTTTAAAGAACTTGACTAGTATGTATCGAGATGGAACATAGGCCATGAAATTTACTCCTATGCCCCATTGTACTATTGTTTATTGAATACCTCCCATAGATATGTGAAATGATCCCATGTTTAGTTAGAATAACTCTTTTTAGGGCTGGGTGCAATGGCTCATGCCTGAAATCTCAGTATTTTGGGAGGCTGAGGCAGGCAGATCACTTAAGGCCAGGAGTTCAAGACCATCCTGGCCAACATGGTGAAACTCCATCTCTACTATATATACAAAAATTAGCCAGTTGTGGTGGTGTGCACCTGTAATCCCAGCTACTCAGGAGGTTGAGGCACAAGAATCTCTTGAACCCGGGAGATGGAGATTGCAGTGAGCTGGGATCACACCACTGAACTCCAGCTTGGATGACAGAGTGAGAGACTCTGTCAAAAAAAAAAAAAAAAAAAAAAAAAAGAGTATAACAGTAACTCTTTTTAGGTATCACATTATGTGGTACCCAGACCACAGGAAACTCATGATACAAAAGATTGTGACATTTGTTCTTTTTTTTTTTTTTTTTGAAATGGATTTTTGCTCTTGTTGCCCAGGCTGGAGTGCAATGGTGTGATCTTGGCTCACCACCACCTCTGCTTCCCTGGTTCAAGATATTCTCCTGCTGCAGCCTCCTGAGTAGCTGGGATTACAGGCATGCACCACCATGCCTAGCTAATTTTGTATTTCTTGTAGAGATGGGGTTTCTCCACGTTGGTCAAGCTGGTCTCGAACTCCCAACCTCAGGTGATCCGCCCACCTCGGCCTCCCAAAGTGCTGGGATTACAGGCATGAGCCACCGCGCCTGGCCCATTTGTTCTTTTTGTAGTCTTGATTTTAGATTGCATATAGAAGAGAGACAAAACTGCATAGAAAAGGGCCTTTCACAAAAGAAAGAAAATCTGTCACTTGTCATTTCTCTGGCTCAATGTCCCTTCTCCTCAAAGCATTCTCCCTTCCTCTCCCTACCTCTTTCCAGAACAAACCAATTTTCCCTCCATCTCCTACTTCTGGTACCCAGCTCAACTTTCCAAATCCTAGACACGTTATCTAAGTTATGAAGCTTGATGCTCATCCCCAAGAAGCTTCATTAGCCCATGCTCCCAAAAAATGGGGATCTCTGCAGGGAGGAAGGCAGCTAAGCAACATTGAAAGGCAGCATGCACCCAAAGGAAAAGCACAGACCTCTGAACAGGAGACCAGCATGAAACGTATGGATCAAGGAAAGCCTCAGGGAGTACTGGGCCTAGATTGATGAAGAGATTGGAACCAGGAGGACTCACTCAGATGGGCAAATGAAAAAGGAGGCTACACTGGGGCAGAGAGGAAGTAGAAATGCTCAAAGATGCAGGAATAAGCATAGACTCTCTCCAGTCTGACTAGAACAGAAAATATGTCCAAAAGTAATAACAATTAGGTAGGTAGTCCCAATCCCATAGGCACCTTGTGCCAAGGGCAAAACCTTAGAGGGCAACTGATGTCAAAACCAGAAGAGACAGGGATGGTCCCTGAGCCAAGAAGGTCAGACAAGATAATTATTTAACATGAGAATTGAAGCTAGTCAGGTAGCCAAGAGGCTAGGAAAAAACTCTGGAATGGGTCAATGGTTTTACATACTAAGACTAAACTGGGGTACAGGTGATAGTTAATCTTATGCTTCCACTTGGCTGGGTCATGGAGTGCCCAAATTAAACATTATTTCTGGGTGTGTCTGTGAGGGTGTTTAAGGATGGGATTAGCATTTAAACTGGCAGATTCAATAAAGCAGATGGCACTCCTCAACATAATAGTAATAACAGACTTGAGTGTCCTCTCCAGCCCCTTGCTCCTTTATTTTCTGGTCCGGAATCTTTTTTAGTGGATAGTTCTTTAACAGCACTAAGGCAGATTTAGAAACAAAACAAAGCTAAATTTAAAAAACAAAAACACCTTTCAAACTTTGACCAGAGAACCAAGAAAAATAAGTATTTCAGAGACAAGCTGGTAGGAAAAGAAGGCTAGGCTGCTTTACATAACTAATGCTGACTTCAGAATGATGTGGAAAGACAGTTAGGGTTTGTTAAGAATCCAGAGACTTCATTAGGGTCTATACTGTAATTTTGCCTAATTAGGCCCCCATAATTAGTGTTGTTCAGTATAGTAGAGAATAGGACAAAATGCTGGTGTGCAAAGCCCCATGAAAGTAATACATTTTCTCCTAGTAATGATAATGTTCCTTTTTATTATTAAAGATACAATTAAAAGGATTTGTGTTTTTCCCTTTTGCATGAGGAAAAAATAAACATTATATTTGATATTCTGATTTTCCATATATAGTGACACTGGAAATGTAATTAGCTATACTTTTTAATGAATGATATTAAATGACTGCAATGACAACTTAAAGATGCTAAAACAGAATATGGACTCATTATTTGACTGGCAATACAGTACTAGTATTCTGTTAACCTAAGTTGCCAAACATATATCTACCATTTTTTTAAAGGTCAGGCATATACTGCTTAAAAGTAATATTTGCCTCCTATGAAATGACTGCTGGCAAAAACACTGGGAATGGAGTGATTCTTAGTGATTTAAAAGAAAAGAGGGTGAGAGGAAGGAAAGGATAGGGAGAGCAGAATGCCTTTTCTGGATGACTCTTTATGTTCATATTTACTCATTAAAGTCTAATAGCCAAAATCAAGAGCATTCAGTAACTGGTTGAGATTGACTATGGTTTTGATCACAACAATCATGATGACAAATATAACTTTCTTTCTAATCCTCAAGAGGTATATTAACAGGAAATATCATTATCTCCAATTTTCAGGCAAGGGAAAGCAGAGGAAGTTTAAAATTATGATAACAATTCTCTCTTTTTAAAATTATTTTATTTTTTAAAAAACATTCTGGGGTACATGTGCAGAATGTGCAGGTTTGCTACATACGTAAACATGGACCATGGTGGTTTACTGCACCTAACGACACATCACCTAGGTATGAAGCCCAGCATACATTAACTCTTTTCCCTAATTCTCTCCCACCGCCCCCCGACCCTGCCCTCCCACTACAGGCCCCAGGAAGTGTTGTTCCCCTCACTGTGTCCATGTGTTCTCATTGTTCAGCTCCCACTTACAAGTGAGAACATGCAGTGTTTGGTTTTCTGTTTCTGCGTTAGTTTGCTGAGGATAACGGCTTCCAGGTTCACCCATGTTCCTGCAAAGGACATCATCTCATTCCTTTTTATGGCTGCATAGTATTCCATGGTGTATATGTACCATATTTTCTTTATCCAGTCTATCATTGTTGGGCATTTGGGTTGATTCCATGCCTTTGCTATTGTGAATCATGCTGCAACAAACATATGCATGCATGTATCTTTGCAATTCTCTTTTTGTCTAAGATATTATTTGTGCTGAAGGAAGAAATACATAACAGCAACAAAACTTGAAAGATGTCCAATACTATCACTTTAAGATCTGGGAATTACCTTTGTAAAATAAATACTCCCTCCTGACTGCCTTTCCCCCTTTTGGCTCACTATGCATCATGGTTATATGATGCACATTCTAATTATATTTCGGTATCGGTCTATCAGGAGGTCGAGGTATCACTTGATTTTCCACATGCTGGTTGCAATATCCCCATACATTTTGTCACATTTTCAGAATTAACAAAATGAGCATAAACCTGTTGCAAGTGAAGAGCCAGAACCTCCTACTGAAGGGATTTTAAGGCTCTAGCACAATCCGTGTGATTCCGTATGAAGTGTGAGTAGCCTAGCCCTGTTAATGAGCTTCCCACTCAGAAAAAGGGCCACTGTTTGAGCAGTATTGGAGAGGAGGATGGAGCATGGGTTAATGGCAGCAGACAGAGTCCAGAGAAAGGATAGTGCTGCTAACGCCTGCACTCCTGGGAATGTCAATGTCAGGATGCTGTAAAAGCCGACTATCATGAAGATACTGCCCTACATGTAGGAAAAGTCTCGATCAATGTAAACACTCATGTTTACTCTTAGCAAATATTGTTTTTCCTAATTGCATGGAGAACATTTCCATAGCCACATCTTTTTACCTTTGTAACAAATAAGAGTCAGAAAACTTACTTTGCCAGTGCCACTTTGAGGATGGCTCTCCAGCCATCAGGAATGCTTGAATGACACAGTGCTTCTACCCTGGGTGTCTTCAGAACATCCCTGTGGAGCAAGGAGGATGCGGTATTATCATCCCCAGAATACAGATATGGAAACTTCAGCTCAAACTCAGCATCATATAGGGAGTCATAAGTTATCAAAGCACTAAGCAATACTTTCTGACTATAAGCCTAGATTTCTGAGCCACAACCAGAATAATAAACTACATCTAAAAATGAATGAAATTATATAGAATTTCAATAGGAAAATTTTTATTATATATACTCAGCATGGCAAAATTAACTATTAATGTTCTCAAGTTCATTAGAATGAAAAGTAAATTCAATCAACAACACACTGAGCTCTACCATGTGGAAGGCACGCTGGTATGTGCTAAGAATGTGGAAAGAGGTATCAACTACAGTCCCCCTTCATTAGGAGAGAAAGAGAGAAAAGAAAGCACACATAAAAATATAACTTTTTCAAAAAAGAGAACAAGATGCTTTAAATTTCAAAGCATTGGATAACATCTAGACTAGGAGTTGGCAAACATTTTCCAGGAAGGGCCAGATAATAAATATTTTGGGCTCTCCAAGCCAACCCTGTTGCAACTAATCAAGTCTGAAGTTGTAACTTAGTGGCCAGCTTGAAAGCAGCCATAAATAACTTGTAATGGGTGTTGCTGTGTTCCAATAAAACTTTATTTACAAAAATCAGACAGCAGTCTGGATTTGACCTGAGAGCCATAGTTTGCTGATCCTTGACCTAGATAATAACATGACTGTGTAGTTATCTTATTTTTTCTGATAATTAAGTCTATTCCTTATTTATTATTTAGTTTTGAATAGGTGATGAGCATTCCTAGTACAAAATGCAAGAAAGTCCAAAGGCTATTCAGTGAAAAGTAAAAAAAGTCTTCCTTCTCCTCTCTAACCATTATTGCCCTGCTCCTCTTATCCAGTTTATCACTTCTCCACCTATATTGCAATCAGTTAGTTTCTTGTGTATCCTCCCAGGGATACTCTAAGCTACGTAAATCATGGCAGCTTTTACAGATACAACGATGATTTAATTCTCGCTACAGCTCTGTGACTAGGGAGATTATCCATTATTATCTCCATTTTGAAAATGATGAAAGGGAGAGACTCAGAAAAGCCATTACTTATCCAAGGCCATACAAGTAATAGCTGGGGTGCAAATTCAGTATTCTTTTATGTAATACACTGCCTCCAAAAGAATGACTCTTTATTAAAATCAAACATCTTACAAAATGTGGAATAATGCTGGAAGTTTTGTAAAAAAAAGAGTGATTGAACTAGACTTATTGGTAAGTATAGCCTTAATCTCAAAAGCTATTTGCCCTACTTTGTGCACTTCATTCCACTCTAGGATGTCTTCTTTCCCTTCTGTAGCTGAGATGTCTGTTACACATAAATTCTCTACACCATGGGGAAAAATAGCACTTGGCATCTTCAGGTGCCATATCATGCACAGTAGAACATCAGTAAACCCCAGGGTCTTCACATACAGGGTGTAAATCCTCCCCGTCTTCCCTCATCCTCTCTTTCTTTCTCTCTCTCTCTCTTTCCTATCAAAAACTCATGCTGATATGAGTTGGCTGTGTCCCCACCCAAATCTCATCTTGAATTCCCACATGTTGTGGGAAGGACCCAGTGGGAGGTAATCAAATCATGGGGCAAATCCTTCCCGTGCTGTTCTCATGATAGTGAATAAGTCTCACAAGATCTGATGGTTTTAAAAAGAGGAGTTCCCCTGCACAAGCTCTCTCTCACTTTGCCTGCTGCCATCCATGTAAGACCTGACGTTCTCCTCCTTGCCTTCCACCATGATTGTGAGGCTTCCCCAGCAGTGTGGAACTGTAAGTCCAGTTAAACCTCTTTTTTTGTAAATTGCCCAGTTTCGTGTATGTCTTCATCAGCAGTGTGAAATAAACTAATACACATGCTTAGCACTTTTTCTTTTTTTGTTTGTTTTTTTGAGACAGAGTCTTGCTCTGTCATCCAGGCTGGAGTGCAGTGGCATGATCATGGTTCACTGCAGTCTCAGACTCCTATGCTCAAGCAAACCTCCTGCCTCAACCTCTAGAGTAGCTGGGACTACAAGTATGCATCACAATGCCCAACTAATTTACATTTTTTTTTGAGACAGGTCTTATTATGCTGCCTAGGCTTATCTGAAACTCCTGGGTTTAAGCCATCCTCCTGCCCTGGCTTCCAGAAGTGCTGAGATTACAGGCCTGAGCCACCACACCCAGCAGCATCTTTTCTTAAAAGCTCCTATTTTATTTCCTCTCTGGTGATCTGTGTGTTCAGCACACCAATATACCTGTGTGCTTTCCCCACGTTTCTCCATATATCTGAACCCTGGACATTCTTTAAAGGTTAACTCGGGTTTGTCTCATTCCAAGAAGACTTTATGATAACTGTGGCAAAATTCACTCTCTTTCCTCTGATTACAAAACTTTCGTTGTCTGATCTTGATGGTTCTACTCTTACTGTCTGTATTGTTGTTTAATTATTCACATATGACTGATCTCAGAGAATATTTCTCAAAATCAAAAACATACTTTTTATTCAGTCGTATACCACCTACCTCTTATCTCCATGCTATAAGCAATTCACATGGTGAGTGTTTGATAAATTTGTGTTGAATAAATAAATTGATGGAGAATATACTTAAACCTTCAGCTAGGAGCATATATTATCTGCCACAATTCTCTTCAAAGGTGTTGTTAAGGATACTGCCCTCCATTCATAGTACAAATAATGGGTATGTTTACCTGCAGGCAAGCTGGCTTGACTCTTAGAACCACTGTGAATTCTCTGGATTTCAAATATGTCTTTTAGTGAAGGATGCTTTTTAAACCTTAAATCTTATGCGGAATCTCACACCATATAAAACAAACTCTTCTGGCTGAACAGGTTGGTGAAGAATATTGAAACATTACAGCTGGCCTGCTCTCACCTGCTGTACCTGCCCCTTACTATTTCTGGGGAAGCCAAAGGCTTTAAGGGACCAAGATTTGATGTCTCTGACTCTCTCTCTCTCTATGCATTAGCCACTAGAGTTTATGGCCTACTTCTAGAATAGGTAGAAGACCTGCTAAACTCATTCTTAGCTTTATTTCTTCTTTCTTACTATTTTGTCTTTATCTCATTTTCTGTAACTGTTACTTTATAATTTTATTTTATATTTTGTAAGGCATCTCAACTTATTTCTGACACAAGGCATAAAAAAGGTAGATATATGGGTGGATCAGTACAAAACTAGTTCTAGAGCTATAATATTAATTGGCAAACAAGGTACACAAACACTTGTGAAAAAAAACTCAATAATCAACAGCTACATATAAAACCAGTAGAAACTTTCCAGAGTGTACCACCATTCCTTCATAGTAGAGGCATGCTGGGACTTTGTGCAGGGCAGAGCCACTGCAATCCATAGTACAAACTACACCTGCATAAATGTAAGTGGAACATAGAAAAAAAGTGTTGAAAGATTTCCTCTTAATAATTATTGCTAAAAAGCTAAAATCTTCACACTGCTATATGGAGTATTATGGTTGAAAACCTTCAAACTGGGAAATTAGTCTACGTGATGATAAAAGTCAGCTCTCAAATGTGTGTTCTAATAGAAGGAGGTAGTGAAATGATAACAGAGCAGTAGGGGATATTCCTACTCATTTCAGTTTCTTCTCATAGATCATTATTTCTCAGGAAATTTCTGACCTCAATAAATTTCCTTTATCTTAATATTAACATTGTTCTCCACTGATTTTATTTGCCTAATGCTATTATGGTTGCCTATCCTGTTAGTTTGCTGTGATCTTGGCATCGAAACTTCCCCAGACCTGCTTGCTGGTGACTATATAAAGTTCAAGACCAATAGTTTTCAATGGTTCTTACATGAGTGAATAGAAATGTCGATTAAAGACTGGTAATGAAATGCCACAGTTTCCTGTGGATCTCAAAGCAATTTACCAAGCATTGTTATATGATCTTATGATGTTGAGGACAAGTGATTGTGTCCGCATTTGTTCATGGAGCTGCAAAACCCAGGGCCCATTTCTCTCATTGCATTATTCCCCACCGAGCTGATGATAATCCTGGGAACTCTTCAGAAGTGAGTGGGGAAGCTGATGGAAACGTTGCACTGCGGGGGGTTGAGGGTTAAGCCTGCCGCTCAGTTGTCCCAGCAGGAATCACACAACAGATTGGTTACTTCCAGAGATTAGCTCCTTCAGGTTGAACTATTGGGTACCCTTTTAGGTCCAACCAGAGGTTCACATTGTGGAGCTGTTGACTCAGATCCCCATTCAGAGACTGGACTCTACTGCCTGCTGGGTGGAGATCCAGGAGACGCAGGGTGGATTTTCCCCACTGACTCAGGAAAACAAAGACTTACATTCTGCCTGCTTTGCCTGCTTCTCCCAATGACTAAGGCAAAACCTTCCCTTTCACTTTCCACATACACCTTTTCAGTTGCCTTTCTGTTTAATAAACATTTATTAGGTCATGCCTTTCTGGGTATAAAAGCAACTACCAGCATAGGAATGTTTGAAAATACACAAAAAGCAAAAAGACAGGATCATTTAAATCATGCAAAGTTTCACTTCCCAGAATTAAGCAGTTATCATTCTTTAAATATTTCCTTCCAGTCTTTTTTCTATACAGTTACACATAACACACACATAATGAGGCCAAACTTCATGCACTATATATAACGTTTCAGCTTTTTGCCTTTACAAATACATCATGAATAGTTTTGCAGGTAAATAAATGTTCTTCACAACATGATTTCTAAAGGTTTCATAGTAGTCCATGTTAAGTCATTTTTTCATTTATTAAATCATTTTACCAATGAAATTTTGTCAATTCCAAGTTTTTGCTATTTTAAAAAAATACTGTATGAATATGGTTGCATGAAAGTTGTTATATGCAAGTATCTCTGATCATTTTCTTATGATCCCATGAAATTGATTGCCTAAAGGCCACAAACATTTTAAAGGTCTTGGTACATGTCCTTTAGTTGCACACCCCCTCCAAAAAACAACCAAGTTATACTCTGATCAGCAAGCATTAGTGTTCCCAAAATATTCTTTTGTAATTTTTTCCCCGCTCAAGTTTGCTTTCAAGGTTCATTTTTCACATGATTTTTTCTGGATAGAAATATTGTGGGGGGTAGGAGAAGTGGTATGAGATATTTTGAACACAACATAATTTCCACCAAGGCCCCAAACCCTCTATGACCCTCAGTGTTGGGAATAGGAGGGGTGGGGAAGCAAACCCATGCTTTCTTTTCCCTCCCAAACAAAAAGAGCTCCAAACCCAGATCTTGCCCCATGATCGCCTACATTCGCAAACCTACATTCCTAAGAAATACAGACTGGTTTTTCCGCCGTAAAGAATCAAGCCAGATGAATAATCTCTGTACAACTAACTTGAACTATTTTTCCTCTGCTAATAAAGAGGACAGCTCTATTTTTCAACCTGTGTAAATGACTTAAAGTTTCTATTTTTCTCAAACTGTCAAGAAAAGGATTCATTATTCCTTGCACATATACTTCTACATTTTGCTGTGAAAGTCAATATTTATTGCACTTTTTTTCTGCATTTCTTAATGGAACATGTGTGTGATTATTGAATAAACATGAATGCATTCAGTTTTGCAACACTTCTACTCCCGTAATTTGTTAGGATTTTTTCAATCTTCTAACTCAAAACAGATTTATTTTTCTAATAAAATTTTGCAAGTTCTTCATCCATAGTATCCACTAGATTTATTTCATTTTCAAAATAGAAACTGCTGCACCTGGGCAGCAATTTTTTGATCACCCCAAATGGTTTATAATGGTTTCTAGCATAGAGCAGCGGCATGCATACTCACCAGATGTACTTCAGTTCATGCATTACATTTTGGTTCACATCTTTTGGTTTGCTTATTTCATCTCAGTCTCCCTGACCACATTCTCAGGCTTTATTTCATCCTCATTTGCACATGGCGCAAGAGAGCATTTCAGCTGCATAAAGCATCCTTTCAAAGATTCCACATGGAGACAGAAAATCTAATAAATTTCTGTTGAGTCACTTTATTATTATTAATATGATTATATTTATTGAAGTATTTTACTCATTATTTATTACCAGATGATTATTTATCAAAATTAAAATATATAAATGAAAATTATTTAATGATTTTTATTATTGTTTTTATAACAACTTTATTAAGATATAATTCACATACCATAAAATTCACCCATTTAAAGTATACATTTCAGTGACTTTTTAAAAATTTTATTTTTAAGTTCAAGGGTATAAGTGTAGGTTTGTTACATAGGTAAACTTGTGTCATGGGGGTTTGGTATGCAAATTATTTCATCATCCAGGTCTTAAGCCTAGTACCATTGGTTATTTTTCCTGATCTTCTCCCTCCCCCACCCTCCACCCTCCAAAAGGCCCCAGTGTGTGTTGTTCCCTTCTATGTGTCCATGTGTTCTCATCATTTAGCTCCCACTTATAAGTAAGAACATGTGGCATTTGGTTTTCTGTTCCTGTGTTAGTTTGCTAAGGATAATAGTCTCCAACTCCATTCATGTTCCTGCAAAAGACATAATCTCATTCTTTTTATGGCTGCATAGTATTCCATGGTATATATGTACCACATTTTCTTTATCCAGTCTATCATTAATGAGCATTTAGGTTGATTCTATGTCCTTGCTATTGTGAATAGTGCTGCAATGAACATACATATGCATGTGTCTGTGTAATAGAATGATTTATATTCCTTTGGGTATGTACCTAATAATGGGATTGGTGGGTTGAATGGTATTTCTGTCTTTTGGTCTTTGAGGAATCACCACAGTGTCTTCCGTAATGGCTGAACTAATTTACACTCCCACCAACAGTGTAAAAGCATTCCCTTTTCTCCACAACTTTGCCAGCATTTGTTATTTTTTGGCTTCTTAATAATTGCCCTTCTGACTGGTGTGAGATGGTATCTCATGGTGGTTTTGACTTGTGGCAGAGAAATGAAAATTAAAACCACCATGAGATACCATCTGATGGAGCTTTTTTTCATATGATTTTTGGCCACATGTATGTCTTCATTTGAAAAGTGTCTGTTCATGTCCTTTGCCCTTATTTATTGATGCATTCCTGTAATATTTTTAGCTTTACAGAGCCTTTAGGTAGTATTCTCTTCTAAAGCATCCTGGTAGTATTTCTCAATCATTTTCTTTTCATTAATTCCATGGCCCAAAAATTAGAAATTCAGAAACCATGAAGGAAAAATTTCAGTTTCGAATTTAAAAGATGCTATAATGGTTAGACTAGAATATGTAGACTACCTTTTTTTTCTACTGAGCTCAAAATATTTCATAAATCATCAACAAGATTTTCCTCAACACTTGATAGCATAACTAATCTCAACAAAAACAAAAAATTAAATACAAAATGTACATTTATTTTGATTTACAGTTCACACCATTGTAACTACGGTATTAGTAGTTTCTATTTGGTTTTGTTTGGGGGTTTGCTTGGTTTGGGTCAAATGGTCAATAGTTTCTGTGGGATCAACCAATAGACAATAGAACAGATCTAATGTACTCATTAAGAAGACCACAACTTCAAACCAAACCAGTTGAAAAATGTTTCAACTTCTATAGTTTTCCTCCCTGTTGACAAGGAATTTAGTTATTTTTAAAAAATGTATAGAGGGAGCTAATTTATTTAACTTTGAAAAATGTCCCAAGTCTACAAGATTTTACTGGCCCAGGAATACCCCCCAGACCTTCCTATAACTCATCATAGCATAAAGAATTCACAGAAATAAATGCAGGCATTTGCACTACACAAGTCCTTGAAAGTTTACAACTTAGTCAAAGTCAATATTTTCATTTTTATTCTTTTTTCCTCCTTAACAAATCGATGATGTTTTTAGGCTTAGAATATTAGGCTGGGGATTAAGCAATCTTTTTCATAGATATTTCAATATTCATGGAGTTTTAAATATCATTAGTAATTTCCCCCCACCCCTCCCAAAAAAAAAACCCACACAGATTTTTACTAAAGAAAATAAGTCAACTTGCATTATCTACTCCTCTAGGCTTAAGTACATGTCTAAATACATTATTTCCAACCATGACCTTTTCCCTGATGTCAGAAAAGCAACTCACATAATAGCCATTGTCTAGACATCACCACTTGGATGATCAATAAGCAACTCAAACTTAATAATCTACCTAATAAATACTCTTGATGTATCCTTTAAATCAGTCAATCTTTCTCCCAGCCTTTCCTGTCCCAGCAAATGACAAATCACCTGCTCAGACTAAGACCCTAGGGGCCATCTTTGGTTGTTCTTTCCCGTTACCCAACATCCAATTCAACACCAAGTCCTGTGGGCACTAACTTCAAATATATGCCAAGGCAGTCACCTTCTGTCCATATCCAGCAGTGCCATCTTGTGCAAGCCACCATCGTCTTTCACCTTCTGAAATTCAAGAGCCTCTCCATGGATCTCTCTGTTTCTACCCTTAATACACCACAGTCAGTTCACTGCAGAGCAAAGTGCAAGCCAGAATGTGCTACTTCCCTGTCTAACCCCACACTGGCTTCCCATTACACTCAGAATAGAACCCAAGCTCTACCATGGCCTGCAAGGCTCCACAAGAACAAGCCATGCTCCCTCTATAACCGCATCTCATACCATTGTCCCCTCACTTTCTGTGCTCTGGACTTCCTGGTCTTTTGCTCCTCAAACATGCCAAACACATTCCTCTCTTGGAGTTTGTTCTTTCCAACTTCTTGGCATCAAAATCTCTCCCCACTTACCTTTGCATGACTGACATCTCCTCCTCAGTTAAGAAGACAGAATAGGGGTAGTCAAGGCCCATTCTGACCTTAGGTCGCAACACAAATATCACATCCTCAGAGAGGTCAACCTTGACCACCTCCATTATATCTCTCTCACCTCACCCTGCTTTATTTCCTTCCCAGCAATTATTTATCTTTCAAATTATCTTCCCGAGTTACTTGTCTGTTTTTTATTTTTAATGGCCTAGCTCCCCAACTAGAATATGAGCCCCACTGTAGAAGAGAACTTTTCTCTCTCATTTACCGCTATAACCACAATGTCAATGTTTACATGGAAGGTATTCACTAAATACTCATTGAATAAATTAATTTTTTCAACATCAGAAAGTCAAACTCACTGGCATGTCATTGAAGGCCCCTCACAATCCTGCCCTAACATACGTTTATAGCCTGTCTCCCAATATGCTACATACAAGCCATATCAGACTAGTCACTGTTTCTTAAATATACAATGAAATTTCACAACCCAATGTCTTTGATCAGTCCCTTAATTCACTCTCAAATGTCCTTTCTCACCCTTCCCCAACGCCCCCATGCCCCAATTCCACTGGACTAAATTCTACTCAGTGCTCAAGGACCAGCTCAAATGTTCTCTTGTCTACTGAGCCATTGCAGTTTTCTCCGAAGGATCCAGAGCACCCTTTTCTTTCCATTGGGTGGAGGGTTCCTAATGCAGCCCTCTTTTCATAATTATCTGTGTCTATCTCAACTGGGATAGTTTTTTCCCCTTGTGGATAAGAATGTTGTGATATATAAATGTGATTAAAAATATATATATTTAGTTCCATCTATAGATACATAGATGGAGATATACATATATGGAGCTAGTTTTTTTTTTTTTTTGCTTCTCTTTGAAAAAAAAAAAATCTTTGTTTCCCCAGCATATGCTATGTTGTTTGAAAGCAGAAACTTAGTCATTCACATATCCTTTGTAATACACAGTCTAGTCCACAGTAAGGGGTTAATAAATATTTTTTTGGATTGAACTGAATTGAATTGAACTAAACCAGACTATGAGAAAAATGACCCAGAAATTAAACTCGATGTCACCAATCAGGAGTATTCAACTCTCAATTGATTGTGAAACATATAGCTCTCTAATTTAATGAATAGGGTGGAGGTGGCTTTTCTGTGGGCTGAGAAATTTTCTGAGTTTGTTCTGCCTATTGCAAAGAGAGACATGGTCAGCAATCATTGACCTTGTGTTATTTGTATCTCTGTCTTAAATTTCCAGATACTTGGTCAGCCTTTATCCCTATGTTTGGAAGAAGCTAAGTTGCCTCTCACACATGTTTTTCCTTCAGAGTGTTGATATTGGGCTGTATCCTATATGTTAACAAAATACCAGATTTCTCAGGTCATTGGTTTAATGCAGCTGTGGTTGGTTGAGTTTCAGGAAAGTCACCACTTGTCTTCGTCTATATCACTTCCCTAGTGACATTAGGGCTTTTCTTTGCTAGAGAGTCAGAAATTTTATCCTCAGATCCAGAACATTGCCCCCACTTCTTGTTAACCAGCATGAAAATGGGGAATTGCATGGGGCAAGGTATCCTGTAAACATTCAGAAAAGACTCCATAGCAACTTAGTAGAGAGCCTAGGAGGAAATAGTCTTCACTAGTTTCTTCTGGAATTAATCCCCTCTGGTTCCATTAGAGTCAGGGAACAATCTGTAGTGTAGCAGGGTGGGACATTGTATTCTTAGACAAGGCCGGCTAGAAGGAAGATGTACCTAGAGGACACAAAAGAATCTTAAGTATGCCCGATGGTGAAGTGGTTCTATGCAGGCATTCCTGAAGCTCTAAAATACAGGGCCAAGGCCTAGCTGAAGCAAGGCCATGGTACAGCACAGCTGTGCAAAATGCAATGGGCTGGGGATAGCCCAACACCAGCTAGATTGTTGCCAGCAAACATCCCCTCCTCAGCTTTGATCCACAAGTCTCCGGCTACATAGAGGACATCTACTCCTGATATGCCCACACAGGGAAAGGTGAGTATATTATACTACCACTTGGTGGTAGTATCTGCCATGAATAGGGTATGAGATACCTGAAACTGATCAAAGGTCTGCACCTCTTTTTCTTTCTTCACCCTTAACCACTTCCCTACTTTTCTGGTACCTCACAGAATCCCTCCTGATATGGTTTGGATGTGTTGCCACCCAAATCTCATCTTGAACTGTAACTCCCACAATTCCCATGAGCTGGAGGAGAGGCCCAGTGGGAAGTAATGGATCATGGGGGCGGGTCTTTCGCGTGTTGTTCTCACAATAGTGAATAAGTGTCATGAGACCTGATGGTTTTAAACAGAGGAGTTCCCCTAAACAAACCCTCTCTCTTTGCCTGCCACCATCCATGTAAGACATTACTTGCTCCTCTTTGCCTTCTGCCATGATTGTGGGGACTCCCCAGCTATGTGGAAGTGTAAGTCCATTAAACCTCTTTTTCTCCCCGAGTCTCAGATATGTTTTTATCAGCAGCATGAAATGGACTAATACACCTCCTCTTGCTGCCTCCTTCTCAAAGACAGAGAAGTCACTATTCCAAAGGAAAAACAAGTTTCAAGCAATGGACTAAGAGAAGAGTAGACCAAAAAAGCTTTAGTTCTGGATGGCTACTAAGGTTACAGCAGAAAAAAAAAAAAAAAAAGAAAAGGAAGACTGGTTCAGGACTAGCTGACAGCAACTTCTTCAACCAATTTGATTCAGTTCAGTTTCATTTAATTGTTAAGGTAAGAGGAGATGGGAAAGGGTAATAGGATGAATGGTTAGGTCATTGCTCTATTGGGTGATATGGCTCTAAAAGGTTTACTAAATGCAGTTAAGAAATAAAGACATAAACCGTACGCAGATGTATACAAACTGCTGGTAAAAAAGAGCATGACATCAGAAGAGGGTAGTGCAATTCCTCAGAGCCCAAATGTGGCCTCTCCTAATGTGGTCTCCCCAGTCTGATCTTGACTTGGAGGTCAGTCAGGGTATACTCAGCCACCCTGATTCCTTGGGAAGTACCAATAGACCAGGATATGTAAACAAAGCCGATCATTTTAAATGTTGTATGTAAATTAAGCCTTTGAAGGTCCTGTAGAGCTTGCCGCACAGGATCACAAAAGGGGGCAGCATCTGACCCTTCTCCACTTCCCTTCGCTGTAGATTCTGAAATGTGTTTCCGTGACTTCTTGTTGACAAAGATAGGTCTGATGTTGAGGAACTGACCTTACTTAAACAAAACAAAGAAGCCCCATTGAAAAGATGTCCCTCCAGAGGCCCTTACAAGAAACTCCTCCCTTCCCAGAATCTAACAAAGTATCTCCCTCTCTGGACACATCCTCTCTTAAGATACCTTAGCTTACAGTGGTGGATAAAGAGGCTCTTCTCTGTGTGTCTGTGAGTGTTGTACCCACATGATTGCCTGTATGCACACGTGTGTGTTTCAGTGTATGCGGGAAAGTGTTTGTGTCTCTTTATCTAAAGAACTACCTGCTGAGTTGCATATTCTATAGAGAAGTAAAAGTAAACAAGGAATAATAAATAATAATAAAATGTATTGATATAGGACCTTACCATCCACCCCGTAGAACTTTGAAAATACTTTAAAAGCATGTTTTTTCCAAGAACAATTTACAGGGTGGATATTCAACTAAAGACTTGTGTACTTAAGACACAAAATGTTACTGAGACAAATTCTAGTAATTATTTTATACCAGAAGTATTTAATATTATCTTCCACTGTATAGAGTAAAAACTACTATGTTCCACTAAGTTTCATCAAAGTTCCTAAGAAATGTTAGGAAGAACAGCAGCATAATCCCCCAAGGCCTCAGGACTGCCTTTTCATTCAAGTATCTCCTAGAAATTTCCACTGAAGTAAAATGACTGCTTTGCCCCAGAAAGACAAAGTAGAGCCTTATAAATGAGCAAACCCTTATGTACTTAAGCTCTGGCTAGATTATGTAACAAGAGATATTACAAGACAAGCAAGACTCGTTGGGATTCTGAATCAAATGTAATGAAAGTGGTGTAGTGTTTACTGCCAGGTTTAGTTCTCTTAAAACACCAAAATTATATATGGAGGAGGCAGGTGTGGGTAAGTGGGTCACATTCATTTGGATCCTGTAATTGCAATATTCAGGCCGAGAGAGTGATATGCACCTCACTCTGGTTGGCTAGCTGCACCTGGAACTGGGTTCAATTCAGGGGTGGAGGGGGGATCTATTTTGAGAAAGATAGCTGGAAAGTCTCCAGAGTCAGAAACCAGAGTGGTGAATGCCTCAGGAATTATTTCATGGGGCGCACACTCGAGATAACTTGGACTGTGAATCTGGACAAGAAAACAATGGAGGAGATTAAAAACCCAAATGTTTGAATGTTTTTCAAGTTGCATTTCTATTTATTTATTTATTTATTTATTTATTTATTTATTTGTTTTTTGAGACAGAGTTTTGCTCTTGTCACCCAGGCTGGAGTGCAATGGCACGATCTGGGCTCATTGCAACATCCACTTTCTGGGTTCAAGTGATTCTCCTGTCTCAGACTCCCTAGTAGCTGGGATTACAGGCACATGCCCTCATCCCCAGCTAATTTTTGTATTTTTAGTAGAGATGGGGTTTCACCATGTTGGCCAGGCTGGTCTCAAACTCCTGACCTCAACTGATCCACCTGCCTCAGCCTCCCAAAGTGCTGGGATTACAGGCATAAGCCACTGTACCCAGCCCATGCTGCATTTCTTATATTTTCCAAAACAGGCTGTAAGGTCTCTACCTGTGCAGTTTCTTCTACTTCAAGTGCTCCTCCCCCTCCTCTAGCCTGTTGATCCCTCCAGATCCAGTTCAGGAACACCTTCTCCAGAGACCTTCCATGAATCCTTTTTCATTTTCTTGCTCCCTGCCACGGGCAGAGGACTAGACATTCTCCCTCTCTATACCTTGTTATTATCCATAAAAGCCCCTTCATATTGTAGTAGAACTTTGTATTCCAGTGTCTGTCTCTCTTCTCTCCCCCATTAACTGTGGGTAAGAAGTGAATTCCACATTTCTTACATTAATTTTTTGATCACCCTTTACTGAATATTTGCTATTTCCTAAATAATGTGCTAAGGAGTAGGGATCCAAAGAGGAAAAAATGTAGGCTCTTTCCCTGCAAAACATAAAACAAGAAAAACAGTTGCAAACATCAGAAATAAGACAAGGATGTTTTCCCTCACAACTTCTTTTCAATATCGTATTAGAGATTTCAACCAATGCAATAAGGCAAGAAAAAGAATAAAAGGAACCCAGATTGAAAAGGAAGATGTAAATTATATTTGTTTACTAATGACATCGTGGTCTATATAGAAAGTCCAAGAGAATCTAAAACTAATGAATGAATTTAGTAAGATTGTATAGTAGATGATCTATACAAAATCAACTATCTCTACATATTAGGAACAATTCAAAATTGAAATGTAAAAATCAATACCATCTCTCTAATAGCATCAAAAATATGAAACAGAGATAAATCTTTACAAAAATGTGAATGGCTTATACACTGAAAACTACAAAATATTGCTGAGAAAAATTTTAAAGATTTAAATAAAAGAAGAAATATTTGTGTTTATGGGGTGGAAAACTCAATATTGTAAGATATCAAATATCTCTAGGTTAATAGCTAGATTCAATAAAAGATTCACCTCAATAAAAAATCACAGGAGGCTTATTTTTTAATAACAAATGACCAACTGATTCTAAAATGTTATTTTTTTCATTATTATTATTTTTGAGATGGAGTGTGGCTATGTCACCGAGGCTGGAGTGCAGTGGCATGGTCTTTGCTCACTGCAACCTCCACTTCCCAGGTTCAAGCAATTCTCCTGCCTCAGCATCCCAAGTTGCTGGGATTACAGGTGCCCACCACCATGCCTGGCTAATTTTTGTATTTTTAGTAGAGACAGGTTTTCACCATGTTGGCCAGGCTGGTCTCAAACTGACCTCAGGTGATCCACCTGCCTCAGCCTCCCAAAGTGCTGGGATTACAGGTGTGAGCCACTGCATCCAGCCTAAAATGTTACTCTTTTTCAAAGTTGTTTTGACTCTTCTCTATTCTTTTCTTGCACTCTGGTGGCTAGTTGCTTCTGGAACTGTACATTCTTTGCATGCAAAAAATAGAGAATAGTCAAAACAACTTTGAAAAAGAATAACATGCTTAGAGGACCAATACTACCTGACTTCAAAACTTCTTAATAGGTATTACAATCAAGACAGTGTGGTATTTATCTTAAACAGAGGAATAGATAAATGGAACAGGATACAAATTACAGAAATAGATCCATACATATATGGGCATATGTGATTTTCAATGAAGTGGTAAAGGCAATTCATTGGAGAAAGAATAATCTTCTCAACAAATGCTATTGTAAGCACTGGATATCTGTATGCGAAAAAAAAAAGAACCTGATCAATACATTTTGCTACATATACAAATTATCTCAAAATGAATTATTGAACTAAATGTAAAACTTAAAACTATAAAACTTCTAGATGGAAAATAGATGAAAACCTTTGTGACTTGGGATTTGGCAAAGATTTCTTAGATGCAACATTAAATTCATGTTCCATAAAAGAAAAATTAATAATTATTCTTTAACAAAATTTAAAACTTCTACTCTTTAGAACACACTGTTAAGAGAATAAAAGGACAAACCACAGACTGAGAGAAAAAAGTTTGTAGTATATATCTCTAATAAAGGACCAGTATCTTGATTGTATAAGAAAGTATTAAAATGCAATAATAAGAAAACAAACATCCCACTCTTTTTAATGGTGAAAAGATTTGAACAGACACTTTATGCTCAGAAAGGTATATTATGACAAATGAACATTTAAAAAACTCTTCAATGTAATTAGTCTTAGAAAAATGCAAAGTAAAAACCACAATGAGATACAACAACATACTTACTAGAAACTAAAAAGATTATACCAAACATTGGAAAGAATTTGGAGTGACTACAACACTGAAGCCCTGCAAGTGAGAATGCAAGATACTAGCATTGCTTTGGAAAACACTGGCAGCTTTTCAACAAGTTAAACATACACCTACCATATGACCCAACTATTCCACTCCTAGGTATTTATTAAAGAGACATGAAAGTTTATGTCCATTCCAAAGCTTGAATCCTAATGTTCTTAGAACTTTGTTTATAACAGGCAAAAACTTGAAACAACCCAAATGCTCATAAATAAAGTATGCTATAGCCATACAATGTACTACTGCTCAGCAATAAAAAGGAATGAACTATTGATATGCTCTACAACATGGATAAATCTCAAAATAATTAAAGCCGTTATTTTGAGGGAGGGATTTTTAAAGGCATGAGGAAACTTTTGAAGGTGAAAAGTGTGTTCATTATCTTGATTGTGATGACGATTTCACAGATATTTACAAAATGTATTGAATATTGTACTTTAAACATGTGTAGTTTGTTATTTGTCAGTAATGCCTCCAAAAAAGCTATTTTAAAAAGCATAGTGACAGTAATGTTTTTGTCTTTTTATTTTTTATTTTTTAGATTTTATTTTTTTTAATTTTTTTAATTTTATTTTTCTGTAAGTTATTGGGGTACGGGTGGTATTTGGTTACATGAGTAAGTTCTTTAGTGGTGATTTGTGAGATTTTGGTGTGCACATCACCCAAGCAGTATACACTGCACCATATTTGTAGCCTTTTATCCCTCACCCCACTTCCACTCTTCCCCACAGGTCCCCAAAGTGCACTGTATCATTCTTATTCCTTTGCGTCCTTATAGCTTAGTTCCCACATATTAGTGAGAACATGCAATGTTTGGTTTTCCATTCCTGAGTTACTTCACTTAGAATAATAGTTGCCAATCTCATCCAGGTCACTGCAAATGCTGTTAATTCATTCCTTTGTATGGCTGAGTAGTATTCCATTGCATGTATATAGATACATATCACAGTTTCTTTATCCACTCATTGATTGATGGGCATTTAGGTTGGTTCCATGATTTTGCAATTGTGAATTGTGCTGCTATAAACATCCATGTGCAAGTATCTTTTTTGAATGACTGCTTTTCTTCTGGGTAGATACCCAGTAGAAGGATTGCTAGATCAAACGGTAGTTCTACTTTTAGTTCTTTGAGGAATCTCCACACTACTTTCAATAGTGGCTGTACTAGTTTACATTCCCGTCAGCAGTGTAGAAGTGTTCCCTGATCACTGCATCCATGCCAACATCTACTGTTTTTTGATTTTTTGATTATGGCCACTCTTGCAGGAGTGAGGTGGTATTGCATTGTGGTTTTGATTTGCATTTCCCTGATCATTAGTGATGTTGAGCATTTTTTCGTATGCTTGTTGGCCATTTGTGTATCTTCTCTTGAGAACTGCCTATTCGTGTTGTTAGCCCACTTTTGATGGGATTTTTTTTTCTTACCAATTTGTTTGAGTTCGTTGTAGATTCTGGATATTAGTGTTTTGTCAGATGTGTAGATTGTGAAGATTTTCTCCCACTCTGTGGGTTGTCTGTTTACTCTGCTGACTGTTCTTTTTGCCATGCAAAAGCTCTTTAGTTTAATTAGGTCCCAGATATTTATCTTTGTTTTTATTGCATTTGCTTTTGGGCTCTTGGTCATGAAATCCTTGCCTAAGCCAATGTCTAGAAGGGTTTTTCCAGTGTTATCTTCTGGAATTTTTATAGTTTCAGGTCTTAGATTTAAGTCCTTAATCCATCTTGAGTTGATTTTTGTATAAGGTGAGAGATGAGGATCCAGTTTTATTCTCCTACATGTGACTAGCCAATTGTCCCAGCACAATTTGTTGAAAATGGTGACCTTTCCCCACTTTATGTCTTTGTTTGCTTTGTCAAATATCAGTTAGCTGTAAATATTTGGGTTTATTTCTGGGTTCTCTATTCTGTTCCATTGGTCTCTGTGCCTATTTTTATACCAGTGCTATGCTGTTTTGGTGACTATGGCCTTATAGTTTGAAATCAGGTAGTGTGATGCCTCTAGATTTGTTCTTTTTACTTAGTCTTGCTTTGGCTATGAGGGCTCTTTTTTGGTTCCACATGCATTTTATAATTGTTTTTTCTAACTCTGTGAAGAATGATGATGGTATTTTGATGGGGATTGCATTGAATTTGTAGATTGCTTTTGGCAGTATGGTCATTTTCACAATATTGGTTCTACCCATCCATGAGCATGGGATGTGTTTCCATTTGTTTGTGTTGTCTATGATTTCTTTCAGCAGTATTTTATAGTTTTCCTTGTAGAAGTCTTTTACCTCCTTGGTTAGGCATATTCCTAAGGATTTTTTTTGTGTGTGGCTATTGTAAAAGGAGTTGAGTTCTTGATTTGATTCTCTGCTTGCTCGCTGTTGGTGTACAGAAGAGCTACTGACTTGTGTACATTAATCTCATATCCAGAAACTTTGCTGAATTCTTTTATCAGGTCTAGGAGCTTTCAGGAGGAGTCCTTAGGTTTTTCAAGGCAAATGATCAGATCATTTGACTTCCTCTTTACTGATTTGGATGCCCTTTCTTTCTCTTATCTGATTGCTCTGGCTAGGATTTTCAGTACTATGTTGAAGAGGAGTGGTGAGAGTGGGCATCTTTGTCTTGTTCCAGTTCTCAGAAGGAATGCTTTCAACTTTTCCCCACTCAATATTATGTTTGCTGTGGGTTTGCCATAGATGGCTTTTATTACATTAAGTCATGTCCCTTGTATGCCAATTTTGCTGAAGGTTTTAATCATAAAGGAATGCTGGATTTTGTCAAATGCTTTTTCAGCATCTATTGAGATGATCATGTGATTTTTGTTTTTAATTCTGTTTATGTAGTGTATCACATTTACTGACTTGTGTATGTTAAACCATCCCTGCATCACTGGTATGAAACCCACTTGATCATGGTGGATTATCTTTTTGATATGCTGTTGGATTCAGTTAGCTAGTATTTTGTTAAGGATTTTAGCATCTATGTTCATCAAGGATATCAGTTTGTAGTTTTCTTTTTTGGTTGCATCCTTTCCTGGTTTTGGTATCAGGGTGATGCTGGCTTCACAGAATGAATTAAGGATAGATCCCTCTTTCTCTATCTTGTGGAATAGTATCAAAAGGAATGGTACCAATTCTTCTTTGAATGTCTGGTAGAATTATGCTGTGATTCCATCTGGTCCTGGACTTCTTTGTGCTGGTAATTTTTAAACTACCATTTCAATCTCGCTGCTTGTTATTTGTCTGTTCAGGGTATCTAATTCTTCCTGATTTAAGCTAAGAGGGCCATATTTTTCCATGAATTTATCCATCTCTTCTAGGTTTTCTAGTTTATGTGTGTAAAGGTGCTCATAGCAGCCTTGAATGATGTTTAGTATTTCAGTGGTGTCAGTTGTAAAATCTCCTGTTTTGTTTCTTAGGAGGTTATTTGGATTTTCTCTCTTCTTTTCTTGGCTAATCTTGCTAATCGTCTATCAATTTTATTTATCTTTTCAAAGAACCAGCTTTTTGTTTCATTTATCTTTCGATTTCCTTGCATTGGGCTTTGCCTTTCTCTGGTTCCTCACTGATTAGCTTAATGACTAACCTCCTGAATTCAGAAATCAGGGATTTCATCTTGGTTTGGATCCATTGCTGGTGAACTAGTGTGAGTCTGGGGGAGTGTGATGAGCCTCATTTTGCCATATTACCAGGGTTGGTTTTCTGTTTCCTTCTCATTCAGGTAGGCTCTGTCAAAGGGAAGGTCTATGGTTGAAGGCTGTTGTTCAGATTTTTTGTCCCATGGGGTGTTCCCTTGATGTAGTACTCTCTCCCTTTTCCTGTGGATGTGGCTTCTTGTGAGCCGAACTGCAGTGATTGTTGTCTCTTTTCTCAGTCTAGCCACCCAGTGAGTCTACCTGGCTCCAGGCTGGTACTGGGAGTTGTCTGCACAGAGTCCTGTGATGTGAACCGTCTATGGGTCTCTCAGCCACAGATACCAGCGCTTGTTCTGGTGGAGGTGGTGGAGGATGCAATAGACTCTTTGAGGGTCCTTAGCTTTGGTGGTTTAATGCTCTATTTTTGTGCTGGTTGGCCTCTCACCAGGAGGTGGTGCTTTCCGGAGAGCACCAGCCGTGGTAGTGTAGAGAGGGACTGGTGGTGGGCGGGGCCCTAGAACTCCCAAGAGTATATGCCCTTTGTCTTCTGCTACCAGGGTGGATAGGGAAGAACCATCAGGTGGGGGCGGGGCTGGCATGTCTGAGCTCAGACTCTCCTTGGGTGGTTCTTGCTGCAGCTGCTATGGGGGATGAGGTTGAGATACCCAAGTCACTGGAGTTGTGTACCTAGGAGGATTATGGCTGCCTCTATTGAGTCCTGCAGGTTGTCAGGGAAGTAGGGGAAAGCTAGCAGTCACAGGCCTCACCCAGCTCCCACACAAACCAAAGGGCCATTCTCACTCCCACCATGCCCCCGCCAACAGCCCAGAGTCTGTTTCCAGGTGGAGGGCAAGACAGGCTTGAAAACTTGCCTGAGGCTTTCCACCTCCCAACTGCGAAAGAAAAAGGCCTTAGTTCATCCCCCGCCTGTGAAGTCTGCAAGCCGGTTTCGTGCCCTCCCCTGAGTTCTGGCCAGGAGGCTTCTCTCCCCATGCAAATTGTTACAAAGTTCAGCTAGAGACTTCCTTCTCCCTGTGGAGCTTTACCCCCTACTCCTCTGGCCACCCTCCTGTTGGATCCCTGTGGTGCCAGGCAGGAATGGGCTGCTTGGGGACCCAGCGAGCTCCCAGGGCCTCTCCACTGCTTCCTTTACCCCTGTATTTCACTCAGCTCTCTAACTTGACTCAGCTCCAGGCAAAGTTGTAATTTCTCCCACAAACAGACCTTCAGCTTCTCCAGTGGGGGTGTTCGGAAGAGGAGGGTCTCCCTTTCCCACTTCTGCAATTGGAGCATTCACAGTATTCGAAGTGTCTCTTGGGTCCTGCAGGAGCAGTCCACTTCCTACGGAGGGTCTGCAGTTCCACTCAGGATTGCTGGTTTGTTCTTGCAGTTGATCTGGAGCTAAAATTGACAATGCAAGCCTCCACATGCTGCTCTGTACAGAGCTGCAATCTAGTCCTGCTTCCCATCCGCCATGATCTAACAATAATTTTTAGAAGCTTAATTTTTAGTGTGCCTGGAAAATAGCAGAGGCCCAATATGTGTTGAAGCATGTGAGTAGTCTAATTAGATTAGTTCTCTGTTACTCCAAAGTACAGAACTAGACCAAAAGGCAGATTTCAGTTTAATGCATTCATTAGAGATGTTCAATAATGAAATGAACTTCTAAATTAGGAAAGATGTGTAGCAGAGTGATTAAAAGTGTGATTATAGAGTAAAGAAAACTATAGCTCAAATTCTGGTTTTGCTTCTTATTGTGTGACCTAAGCCAAGTCACTTGAATTCCCTAAGCCTCTGTTTTCTCATCTATAAAGCAGAGATAACAATAACATCCATACCATAGAGATGTTATGAATCCTAATGAGATAAACATGTAAAATATATTATTGAACTGACAGCTGCACTGCATGGAAGGTTGAGTCAGTTGATTGCAAGTTGTTCATAACGGTACTTGGGTAAATATGGTAATAATTGAGCATTTCATCCAGGGCATACAGACACTGAGAAGGTAATGGAGCCAAAGGGAGGCTCAGAAAAACTCAGGGGCAAGCCTTGTTCTCATTGTTGCTTAACCCTCAATTTCCCTAAATACTATGGTTAATTTCACTGGACATTAATAATGGCACCTGTCCCCTTTGACCACTTCAACATTTGTAGGCATCCTACACTGCAAAGTCAGGCCCCCACTAAACCTCCACACCCCTCCTCCAAGGCATAGTGATAAAGTCAAAAAAGCTGTTACTTTGCCTGTAAATATTTTGAATTATACAATGTTTCTAACAGAGAAGCACATCCCAAATTCATTTTTGCAGAAACTCTTTCCCCACAAAATACTATTTTGTAATATTGCTATAAGGCACTAAGGGCAACAAACATCCCTAAAGGGGACTTTAAGGAGCTTGCTTTGACAACATTCTTTATTATGAATTTCTCTTTGGTGAGTTCCCAGTTATCAATGCTTATATAAAAGCTTGATTCATGAAAGTGAATTCAGCAACTATAGAACTGCCTCTTTGAAGGCCCTAGTTGGCATCCAAACTGTGAAAAATGTGTAGCAGACATGGTTCCTTAGTGTTTCCTCCATTTTATAGGCCAGGAAAAGGAATAATTTTCTTGCTCAAGGCCATGCAGAGGGAGAGCACTAGAGGAGTCAAAGGAACTCAAGAGTTCCTGATTGCAGATCCCAAGTATGATTTCCTGTGGCCCAGTGGTTCTAACATCTGTGGCCAGTTAGCTCTTCGTTCACTTGATGCTGGGATAAAACCAAAGGCTGCCTTCTTCCAGGCCCAGGCTTTTGTTTCTTTAGACTGATGATCTTAAAACTATAGATGCATGATGTTTACTCATAGGGTGGACATGGGTTTATTTTTCTAATTTTGAATCAGCAGGTTTCCTCTCTAATGATGAGCAATTACAAATCTGGCAGACTGTTTCATTCCACATGCTGAAAGAAGGCTACAGGAAGTATTTCCATTCTGAATGCCATAGAATTTGTGATTTGCATGTACCTTTTGAGTAAAAATAAAACATTTGCCCTGTATTGGCCCGAGTTTAATTAAAATGATGAGAATGTGTGATAGGCATTTGGTCTAAGGCAAAAAGGATGCACAGTATAGAAATTTGGAACAAACATTTTTTTTTTTAATGAGAAATGCATGGTTGGCCGTGATAAGAAATGCCAAGACTATGTATTACATGGGATCACAGGTTGAAAATAGAAAATATCCTAATAATTCTGGTGCAATGTGAAACTGTTATAGAAAGGTTTGGATAGGATTACATGCTTTATGGGTAATGTTCCTGTAACTAACACTGTAGATGTTTATAATCTTTTCTATAGTCTTTTTGTGGCTGACCATGTATAGCTGATGGGCTGCTCATCAGTCCTGGCAGATTTTCCCATTTAACCATGCAGGGAAGAAGGAAGAGGATTTCTCTATCCCCGAGGGTTAAGCTCTGCAAAACTGATGATCATCCAAGAACACCAATGAAACAAAGTCAAAATGGCCAAGCACAGAAAGTGAATAACTCATCACTTGAATTGAGGATTATTAAAATTGACCACACTCTCCATTGCAAAACATTGTAATAGGGTGGATGTTAAAGAATGTTTCCTATTATATACCAAGTTCTAATTTAAAAAATACACACATATATAGTAGGCTAAGTAGATTTGCAGGTACATGTTGCCAGAGTCTTGGAGTGAATACAGTGGAATGAAGAAAAATCTGGGCTATGGATACTCTCATTTTACAGAACACCTTTAAGCTTCGTAGCTTACCAAGTAAATATTAAAATTCCTAAATAAGAGATGTGGAATCATTTACAAGGAGAATTATCACATTGTGAAGATACGCCATCTTCATTATTGAGGAAGACTGACATAACAAAATAGACCTCAAACAACTGCATACATCATGAATAGAGTTATTTCCATAGATGAGAAGTCTAATGTTTGGATAATTGGGATCAATTGTTTTGTTAATCTGTACCAATATCCATGAAGACATTCCTAAATTTCATTAAAAAATGGTGATTAAATGGCCTCTTATACTCTCTCCATGAGACCCAAATTCCCAACTTGAATCTCATCTTGGAAGTCTCCAAGTCTGGCCTTGACCCCTGTATACCTTGACTCAAATAAGTAAAATAGAAAATAGGGTAGAAAAATGGCAAATGGCTTGTATCCTCCCTCCTCAAGGAGAAACAGACAGCTACTACAAAAGATAACTAGTGTGAATTTTCACTTAGACTGCAAAGAGATCCGTGGTCTGCCTTTATCTTTATTAATAACGTTTGTCTTCCAAATAGCTCCTACCCAAGTTTCAGTGTTTAGTTTTAAACAGTAACAGACATTGTTTCAGCATCCTCAGAGTGCAATAAGAGTGTTAAAAAAAAAAAAAAAGCTTTTCATTTAAACCTGACCTTTCTCCTATTTACTCCAAACACTTAAAAAATATAACCTTGAATTTCAGAAGCTGCAAAATTCGACTTTGCTAACATGGCTGCATCTTAGGTAATAATATTGAGAAATAAACAAATCACAAAAGATCACCAAATATCCTAAATATGAAATTGGGGTATAAGTGTGCAATTGGATCAAAAGCCCACATCGGTTCAAACACACCCAAAGGGAAGAGTGACTGCCTTAATCCAACAAAGGTGTGAACATCTGTTCCAAACAGTCTCTCTTGGGTAGAGTTGGGCTCATTTAAGCAATTTTGTATACCAGACAAATATACTTTATGAGAAAATATGTGTGGCTGAAGACCTCACAGAATCAAAACTCACCTTATTAAGACTTTGTTTCCATAAGAATAGATGTAAATAGAAGAATGTATAAAAATCTACAACCTTTGTATCTTAACCCATTTTTGAAACTCTTTTCGGTTTCTTTGTTTTTTTTTTTTTTTGAGATGGAGCCTCATTCTGTCACCAGGCTGGAGTCCAGTGGCACAATCTCAGCTCACTGCAACCTCTGCCTCCTGGGTTCAAGCAATTCTTCTGTCTTAGCCTCCCGAGTAGAGTAATTTCACAATGTTGGCCAGTAAAACTCATTTTTAAAGCACAGGCTTTCTCTCTCTCTTTCTCTCTCTCTGTCTTTCTCTCTGTCTCTCTCTCTCTCCCTCTCTCTCATACACACACACACGCACGCACACACACACAATCAAATTAATAGATATGTAATAACAGGGTCACATCTAACTTCAATACTTCAATACCAATATTATTTATCTTTTCAGCACATTTTGAGACGGGCATTAACATCACCATTTAATGAATGCTAGGATGATACCCTTAGAGGATGTAAAGAAAAAAAAAATTAGTTCATTCATTTTTCAGGGCTTACTGAGCACTATGAGCCAGGTACTCTTCTAGGTAACAGAATTTTAATTGTAATAATGGTAAGTGTCAAAATAATAGTACAGTAGTCTTCCAAATCATAGAGATTCTCAGGCAGGTTAAAAAAAACAAAAAACAAAAAACAAGATAATGGTAAAGAACAGTGAGTAGCTCTGTGGCCAATCTCAAGTGACACTACCAAGCGGCAAGGGCGTTACTAACTGTATAATGCTCCTGGCTCCCCCAGCTTTGGAATTATAGAGTGTTTTATTCTTTTTTGGAATTCACATTATTTTTATTTCTGTTCAAAAAGTTATTAATATTTTATCTAGTGCTATTTTATATATGTATACTATGTAGTCATGCTGTTTTGGTTGTTAGTTGGCTGAGATACCTTCCAAATGTCACTAAATAACCATGTGAATTCTTTCATTAAAGAATCTAACCTATTTGTGGTTATATCTTGATATAAAAATCAAAGAATGCTGATGTACTGTGCTGTACAGTTGCCATCAGGATGTATGCTGTAGTACTCTACAGCCAAAAATCTTAATGACAAATGGCCTATTAGAGCACAGAAATTTGCATTTCCTTTTTAAATTATGTTTTCTTCTATGAAACCTAATGTTTATAAAGTTTAGTCGTCTAAAAAGTTACTAAACAAAAAATTACCTTGTTTTTCAACATTTTATTTATTACAGACCCAGATAACAGTCAGTAAGAACTTTAGACCAGATCAACCACACTGAGTGTGAATAACTTCGGTGCAATCTTATTTCTGGTAAGTATGCAATATCCATCAGGGGTTTTGAATAAAAAGAGCTCACAGATTCCTATATTTCATTTCAGGGTTCCTAGGATTCCCGTAGAAACAGAGAGAAAAACTTTCAGGCAGAAATGAGATTGACCTATCTCTTTTTTTCCTGTAGAGTATTCTGCCTTGAAGAAAATTTGAAAATATTTGCAATATCTTTGATTACACAATTCAAGTAGGTGATTTCATGCACCATCCTGTTTTATGTTCTCAGCTGCTTCAGAGTTTTTACAGGTTTCCATTGTGAAATATCATCTTATGCCATGGATGGGTATGGGATGAGAGAAGGGAAATTACCCCTCACCTGGTCTGAGGATCCTGCTAATTATCTGTAACCACACAGGGGTCATCAAGATGAAAGCAAAACAGAAATATTAAGGCAGGTCACTTTCAGTTATAAACTCTATTGCAATAAAGCGAGATGAGTTTGGGATTTAGCCCTCTTGGAATTATTGGAAGCAGAATCTAAAGTCTCCCTCGTACTGGCCGGTGTAAACAAACACTGAAGTCTTTATCCATGTACCCAAAAATGCTGGAACTTCTTTTCCACTTGTTCCCTGCAAGTCATTAATGACCTTGTGCTGTTCCTTTAAGAAAAGCATATTAGAGAGTCGAAGGTAGCTAGAACAGACATCACCAGAGGCTGAATGTAAATGACTCAGCACAAGTTAAATGGAAAGAGAAATAGAAGCACAAATATTTTCATTGAAAATTATGCATTCACAAGCCCTTAGAGTAAATATTGTTCCTGAAATGAGTGGTAATGCATCAGGAAAGAGAAACCCCAAACTTACATGGATTGCCCTTTAACTACAGAACAAATTTGGTGGAATTTCTAGAACACCTGTTCACACCAAGCCCTCTGCTTTCAGAAGTTTCATTTTCTTAGATCAGAGCTTGCTGCCAACAAACAAACTCCAGTGAGTGGCACAGCCCTCCTCCTCCTTCCCCTGCCTCTTCTTCTTTCTCTCATGGTTTGCTATTTCTGAAACCCTAAAGGTCAGAATAATCAGAGGAGACTCAGGAGAAGGATCCAATGTTCCTGGTACCTTCCCATTTTGCCTCAGGCCATTAAAAATCAGGTATTAAAACTCTGAGTTTTCTTTTTTTTTTTAGACTTTAGACAGAGTCTCACTCCATTGCCCATACTGGAGTGCAGAGGTGAGATCTCGGCTCACTGCAACCTCCGCCTCCCAGTGCAACCTCTGCTTTCCAGGTTCAAGCAATTCTCATGCCTCAGCCTCCCGAGTAGCTGGGACTACAGGTGCACACCACCATGCCCGGCTAATTTTTGTATTTTTAGTAGACACGGGGTTTCACCATGTTGGCCAGGCTGGTTTCGAACTCCTGACCTCAAATGATCCACCCATCTCGGCCTCCCAAAGTGCTAGGATTACATGCGTGAGTCACCGCGTTTGGCCAAAACTCTGAGTTTTCAAAGGAAGACATTATTTAAACATAGATACTTGTAGATCACAGTTCCTGTTTCAAACTGGTATCTTAATGTAAAACTCTTCTCCCCCTCCCATCTTGGTAGCTCACATGTCAGCTTCCTCTTGGCTCTATCTCTCTTTTTCCCCCTTCACCTTCACTACCTAGTCCTGAATTGGGGGTCTTGCCTGAATTAGAGCCCAGTCCCAGGAATTTCCACTAAGAACACCTAAGTTTCTTCCTATAAAGGTAGAGAAAGGCCACCCCATATGCTCTAAGTAGATGATAAAGTTTCAGTGGAACCCATCTGCCTCTCTCTTTTTCAGTTTCCAAATCCTGAGAAGTTTTCTCTGATATAAATTGATCCCAAAGCCTGTCCCATGCATGAGCGTGGGTGTGACTCTCTGTTCACAGCACTACCTGCTTCAAATTGGTTAAAGAGCCTTTCCAGATTCATAGACCAGATCAAAGGCATGGTGCTGGCAGCCAGAGGACAGGGGCTGTCACACCCCAATTCACAAAGGAGGGAACTCCAGGATTTTCATCTGGTTTTGCAGAATGCCAAATGTGCTCCTGGCTTTTGTAATAATACTAATTATGCCTTCCAAATTATAGGCTGGACAGATGTGTTAACCAGGCCCTGAGGTGCATTTGTCAGTAGGTGTCCAACTGTGAGCACCGGGCAAGTCTGCGGAAGAGCCCAAAGGGCATAGCCAAACACATAGCAAACTTCGAGGAGCTGTTCAGCTACTTGGACTCAAACTTCACTTGCTCTTCGCTGTCTGGTTGTAAATTGCTTCATGTGAAAGCACATACACACTCATTAAACATTAAGGCTTTCCAGGTATTTCAGGCCATTTTCTCCCTAAGTCCACTTTTTCGGTTTTCTATTTTCTGTTTGGCCTGTCCTTTCTTCTGAAGTGTGCACAAGCTTCCCCTAGGTTAGAGATGTGGGTGACAGTATTTCAATACCCAAAGATCCCACAGGTCACCAATTGCCTCAAGGACAAATTCTTCTGCTCTAAAATACACCTTCCTTATCCATTATTTTTGGTGCCTAAAATACTGAAGTTCAGGCTTAGTTGTTCGTTTTTTAACTTTTTATTTCTTTTCAGATAACTTCCCGATATTTGTGTGCCAACGAGGGGTCATATTTTAGTTATCTGTGTGAGATTTTTTTCAGATGTTTTACAAGAAGTAAGTTTTGATAAGAAAAAAAAGAATGTGATGATATAGGAGAAAGGGAGTTAAAGAGAGGAAAGGAAGGAAAAAGGAGAGGGAGAAAGGAAAAAAGGGTGAGAGGGAGGAAAAAGAAAAGAAAAGAGAGAAGAGGAGAGGAGAAAAGGAAAGAAAAATCATGAGGAGTTGAGAGGAATGAAGCGGGGAGACACCATAGGGCCTAGAAGAGGAGTTTGGAAAGTACAACAGACAAGTGTCACCGTCTCAGAATAGACCAAGGACAGCCTCTGTTACCTCCTATTCCAAATACTTATTTCTGCAGGGAATTTTCCAGACCCAAAGATTTTGCTTCCAGTCTGAGGAATTAGATTCACAGTCAAATTTTTCTGAATTGCTGAAAGCGAGTGAAGTCCATAATTATCCCCAGAAACTAAAGAGTCTGCTGAGTCATTTAAAAATATAATTTAAGTGACACTCCCTCAGTTATATCTCTCTTGTGTTAGCATTTTATTTTAAAGGTGGTATAAATAGTCATTTTGAAAGCAGTTGCCATCAGGAGCCCCAAGCTGACTCTGCTAAAGGGGTATGCAGACAGAAGGGTTCCATGTCCAATAAGCCCACTCCCCTTAACCCACCTGGGGCTCCTGCCCTGGGGGCTGAAACTTCAGGTTGTCTCTTTTCAGGGTAGAAGGATGGAAAAGTTTGAAGTGAAAATGCCTGATTTTAAACTTTGTTCTGAGCATCACTCAGAAGACTGTCCATAGATGTTCTTCCCATCGACTTCTTCCAGAATATTCTTTCTCAGAAAAGAAAATAAATAGACTGTTGTCAGCTTCACTTTGATGCCAAGCAGGAAAGACTTCCAAGGTTATAAGCTCATGTCTAAGGTTCTAGATAAACATCTCCAGGTGTGGGGATGAAGCTACTGCACACTGCAATTGTAACAGAATCGTAACCAAGCACATACGTACATTTCTTTTTTCAACTCTTAGGTCAGACACGATGTAAAAATATCAAGATGTTTACCAAAGTATTCCCAACCACAGTTTGAGCTATCAATCCATCCACTACTAAAACGTAAGCTTTGGTATTTTCAACGACTCGAAGAAAATTAACTCTAGCAATCGCCTCCTACTTTTTACAGAACTGCTCAGCTTCCGCGGCGGCAGGAAACACTGTTTGAATCAACGGCTGTAATAATACTCCTCATTCCTGCTAATGCAAAGCAGCAAGGCCTGGGCCCTTCTGTTTTACACTGCACACTGATTTGGAAGCAAATATTTTTCCAACAACATCACTAAATTGAAAGCATTTTGAAAAATCTGAAGCTTTCACAGAATATTGTTTTGGAAAAACCAACCCTAGTAGATCTGTCAGTGACATAAGCCATCCCCTTCAATTTAGCTTGAAAATGCGAGCTCACCCTGTCAAACAGCTCTAAATTACATATATCTTTGCACAGGGCATTCCAAGATCCAATTAAAAAGGTGGGGAAAGTGGGGAGTAAAAAATGTTATTTTTTTCCATTATGCTCTTCTTATTTATTAATAAAAACAGTGACATCTGTCTGCCTTTAATATTGTTGGGGCACATGTATTTGTAAATAAGGAATCCAGGCACAGTTGAGAATCTAAAATGCTTAATCACATATTAATTTTTACAGTTATAATTCACCCAATACCCAAATAGGTACTAAGAGCTTACTACAGACAATGATCAATATTAGGTTCTTTGATAGGTATAAAGTTATTCAAGAAATGAAGCCATCAATTTAAGGTACTTACCCTCTATTCGAGGATATAATAAAACATGCAAATACTTGAATTCTAAGACATCATTCTTCTATGAAAATGAATCACTTGGCACATCTTTTCCTGTGCTTTCTAATCTCTGTTGATTTGAGCATCGGAGCTTCTAATGGTCATCCCTCATGTGTCTATCGTCTTATTTATCAATATTTAGGGGGAACCTTGTAAAATAAACTATACCCAACTGTGTTTTGCTATCTTAACGTCTCTTATAAAACACTCTAATATTTAAATACGCTGCAGTTTGTTACATTGATTTCCCTCCAATCCTTTTACTTTTCTTACAGAAAATTTCAAAAATATAAAAAGTACAAGGAATGTGTAATGCTCCCTCAGTGCCCTTCACACAGTTCCAGTGATGATCAGTACTTAGTCAGTTTCCATCTGAATGCCCACCTGACCTCTCTTTCTTAACACCCAGACCAGATTATTTTGAAATGAATCCCAAACATCGTAGCATTTCTTCTGTA
This sequence comes from Homo sapiens, assembly GCF_000001405.40. Classification (NCBI taxonomy): domain Eukaryota; kingdom Metazoa; phylum Chordata; class Mammalia; order Primates; family Hominidae; genus Homo; species Homo sapiens. The sequence goes on from NC_000018.10 coordinate 56,378,451, forward strand.
AATATTTCAATGTTGTCACATTGAGTTTTAAGTTTCCTTTACATTTTAAGGAATCCTTGATATTTTTAGGTATTTATCAGGCTACTTCACATCCTACAAAGTATGTTAATTTGTATTCTATCTACACACATAAGTGGTGGAGTTGGCCCATCTATTTTAAACGAATTATCATGGAAATAGTCTATATGCATCATCATTTTTAATCATCACGGAGTTTTGCACAGCTATGTATCTGAGTTTACAAGCTCACACTTTGTCAGTCACTTCCACACTATTATTTTGAGCATGTTAGTTCTTGCCATTTATTTATTTAGAATATTTTTATATTATAATGAGTTTCTCACATTCTTGTTTTCTTTCATGCTCCCAGGCCGTTATTGATCTGTGAAAGTCTCCTCATTCCAGGGAGCAATCTGCTTTATGGGAGGGAGCTGTGCCCAGTTCATGGGTCTTTCCATGTGGCTTTGAAGGGACAAAAGCATCAAGTTCAAGGATATTATTAGGAAAAGCATCCAAATACCTTGGAGATTCTCATGGGGAGGGGCTGAAGTGATGGGGGTAGGACAAACTCCTCGTGGTAGAATAAGAAAGTGAAAGCTACATCATGAGGTTAAATAAGCAAGAGGATTCAAAATGCCAAGCTTCTTTATTCTAAGTGAAGAATTGCATTCCCAAGGCTCACTTCTATTAGAAAAATGAAGTCTTGTGTTCAGGTTGTTAAATCAAACATAAAAAGGAGAAATAAATTCCCCGGTGCCAATAAAAAGTCTCTCCTTGCTGCTGAAAGCAAAAGTTTTGAGACATTCAACAATAGGTCAAAATAACATTCTGTGTTCTGCACACCATATTCCAAACTCAAGCAAAATGTCTACGGAATTTTTTTTTTTTTAATTTCAAAGCCTTTTGATTAAAGTGTACCAGAAGGGCACTGACAGAGCAGGCTGTTTCTGTTCTTCTGCGGAAGGTTTCAATGGCCGCCGCACACTCTCTAAATCTATTTACTTCAAGGCTGGAATGAAACAAACATGACAGATGGTTTTTTAAAAAAATCAAAGGGGAAGTTCTTGGAACACATCCTTCAAAATAAAATTTTGTTTCTTTTTTTTTTTTTTTTTTGGAGCAGCTGAAATGATTTTTCAGAACATCTGATGAGCGATTTTAATACTTCAACTTTCTCCTCCATGAAGCGAGCCCATTCATTTGGAGACTTCTGTTCTTTTGTTTTATTTCTGTGAGTGTCTTTCTTTGACAAGACATAAAGTCTGAAAACGACAATATGCTAAATGAATGGACCCATAGTATATTTGGCTACATAAGGGCTGCTGGAGTATACTTTGGATTTTGACGGGATAATAGAACGCTTAATGGAAGAAATCTTGAAGAAATAACAAGGAAAGTTAATGAGTCTTCATGTTTACTATTGCTCATGTTCACGGGGGATGAGCAATTTTCCCTCACCTGTTGTAAGGACAGTAACTAGAGGGGTACTCCATTCCCCGGAAGGCCGGACAGCTTAGGTTAGGAAAACACCATAAAAGGGAATGGGGGGTTAAGGAGCTTGAGGAAGGGTTTGGGGATTACTGTGTAGAGCTGGTTTTCACCTACTCATGCTCAGAGGAGCACTGGTTTATCACCACCAGTAAGCCTCACTTACAAAGCTGAAATTTAACTTTTGGAAACGTGCAAAACCACAGTTGACATTAGCACAGTCTGTTAAAAGTAAGGAATGGCTCTTGCTCAGTTTTCATATGGACTGGATATAAGGGAGAAAGAGGAGACAAATAGGACTCCCAGGTCTCCTGGGTGGGTCACAGCAGGTGGGACACTGAGTCCATGGAAGACAGGCGACAGAGGAGATCTGGAAGCTAACATGTAGCTTTCAAAGGCTTGTCTAAAGACTCACAAATTTAGAAATCATGCCATCTCTGGATCTCATAACTAAAAACTGGAGGACTGAGACCTCCACAGAAAAGCAGCATGAGGCTATTGTTTAAAAACACTAACTTCGGTTTGCAAAAGACCCGGATTAAAGTCCCTGCATCCCCACCTTTTAGCCATATGACCCTAGATCAAGGGGAACAGCCTTTTTGGGTTCTTTCCTTATTGGTTAAACTTGGGTCACTGAACCTTCTTAGGATGTTAAGATACTCAAATGAGGTCATGTGAAGAAAGCATCTATCATAGAAATAGGCCCTTAACACAGCTATTCCCCTCCACTCAGGCCCCATGGTACCAGCCAAAGGAGAATATGTTCTATACGGGGGTCACAAGATCTGCCCTGACCATAGCCCTAACCCAAGAAAAAACAAAACTATGCTAAGTGAAATAAGCCAGGCACAGAAGAACAAACACTGCACGATTCCATTTTCCTCATTATCGAATGCAGTCGAACTCACTGAAGCAGGAAGTAGAATGGTGGTTGCCAGGGGTGAGGAGGGCGGAAATAGACAGTCGCTCTGCGCACAGGGCTTCAGCCGCACAAGATGAAAAAGTTCCAATGATCTGCTGTACAGCAATGTGCATATAATTAACAATACCATACCATACACTTAAAAATTTGTTAAGGGGATAGATTTCATGTTATGTGTTTTTTACAATAAAAAGAAAGTAATGCTCTCTAAACCCCCACCAGCTCCCCGCATGGTCCCAAACTTTGTTCGATATCATTCCTAGAAGGACTGCCCAGGGAAGCTCGCTAATAGTTATCCTGGTTACAAGCATAAAAAGATAACTAACAACGCAAGGGCAACATGATAAGTACCAGATTCTAAACAAATAGTAATGCAGAAGATACTTTGAGTTACAAGAGAGAGGAATCACTTGTGTCGATGTGATAGGAAGACAGAGCGGGCAGGAAGGAGCAGCCTGCTCTGGCTGAACGATCTGTGCCAGGCCCCATCCAAAGTGTTTCCAGAAGGCACTATTGCATGAGAAAGGAGAATCCAGAAATAGATCAACACATCCCAGCCCTTAGCATTTCCTGGCCCAAACTCAATGTTTCCTAAACATTTGGTGAATGAATGTAAAATCCAAATTTCACAGAACCACCTATTACAAATTTTATTTACTTAGCTGACAGCAAGTTAATGACATATTTACAAAGCTTATAACAAAGCCATTTGGTTTGGCAATGTCATTTGACACTAAAAATGAGCTTATGCTTTGACCCAGCAATTCCAATTTGCAATGTCTGCCTAAAAAATTCCTGTATAGAACACAAGGAGACACGTATGACGATGGTCATGACAACGTTGTTTGTCAAGGCAATGGCTGAATAAACTGTGGGTGACTTGTACAGTGGAATACTACACAACACTGAAAAGGAATGAGCTGGATCTATTATAAAAACATGAAATGAACCCAGAAATATAATATTGAGTAAAAATGATTATTGCAGAAGATTATGCCACTTATGTTCAAACACACATGCACACCCTCAATACTATGTTGCTTCTATACATATACATGTATGCATACAAAATATGGAAAAAGTCTAAAAGGACAAATATGTATCTGGCCCATATATATATATAAGAGTACAAGAGACAATGCCAACTTTCAGAGATTTAGGAAACTCAAAATCATTATGCTAAGTAAAAGAATCCAAACATAAAAAACTTTATAATATATTATTTTACTTATTTGAAAATTTAGAAAAGATAAGACTGTAGTAACAGAAAGTAGGACAGTGGTTTCCAGAGCTATAGCATGGATACAGGAATTGGATACAGAAGAGCCCAAGGAAGCTTTTTGGGGGGACGGAAATGTTCTATATTACGATCAAGATGGCAATTACACAGGTGTTTACATTTGTCAGGACTTACTGAATTGAACACTTAAAACTGGTGAATTTTATTGGATGCAAATTATATCTGAATAATATTAATGAAAGCCTACGATAAAGGCTACTATTAGGAGGATATGAGAGCTGATATTGGAGTTTAATTTTTAAAGAGAAAACACACATGTTAATCTTATTTACTGTGACATTATGTATATTGTCTTGAACTCTTTTGCCCTTTACATAGCAAATTACCACAAACTTATTTTTTATTCTTAGGGAAAAAAAATGTGCTGTATACATTTTTGTTGTTGTTGTTACCTGGACTGTTCTAAATAGAAACTGAAAATGTTTGAGGGGGAAATATGTGTCCCTCCCACATTTGGTATGAAAAGAAGAATGCTGATGAGAGCGGCCAAGAGCTGGGTTCTAAGAGGTCTTTTGTCTGTTCACCCTCCCCTCTGGAGGCTCTGTTGTATCATCTGAGTACTAGAAGGCTGGGTGCCAGCTAACCTCTTAGACTACTTCCAGCCGCAGCCGAGTGCTTGGTTCTTTTGAAACCCAATGCACCAGGGAAAAAGATTGACATGGGCCTCAAAAGAAAAATAAAGATAGTTAGAAATGACTGTATCCACTTATATCCAAAGATAAGATTGGGAGCCTTCAAATTCCACATGCACCGTTCCTTCAGTCAGTTTTTCCCATTGCCTGTAGCAACTGAGTTACTTTACTCCTGAGAAAGCTGTTGTAGTGCTGAAGAAAGCACAACAGACCCAAGACCGTAGTGAATGACCTTAACTTTGACTGAAGCAAATTCCTACAGCTCTTTTTTTTTCAATTTGTTGTGGAAATGCAAATTAAAAGAGTATAGATTTAGTCCTTTCCCATCTGTCTTTTTTCTAATGACCTATTAAAATATTTAATTATATATTATATTTATTATATACCATATATATATATAAAAAGAAATAAAAATTGGAGTGTTTTTTTAACTACAGGTGTATGAGACAGGCTTCTTCAGAGAAACAGAATCAATAGGATCTCTATATAGATTCATAAAAAGACCTTTATTTTAAGGGATGAGCGCTTGCAATGATGGAGGCTGTTCAGTCCCAAAATCTGCAGTTGGCAAGCCAGAGACCCAGGAGAGCCAAGGGTGCATTTCCATTCTAAAGGAAGTCAGGCTTGAGACCCAAGAAGAACAGATGTTTCGATCTGAGTCTGAAAGCTAAGGAACAGAAAATAGTGTCTCAGCTCAAAAGCATCAGACAGGAGATCCCTCTCACTCATGGATGGTTCAGCCTTTTTGTTTTATTCAGGCCTTCAACTGATTGGACAAGGCCCACCCATATTAGAGAAGGCCATCTGCTTGACTCAGTCTACCAATTAAAGGCTAATCTCATCCAGAAACACTTCCACTGACACATCCAGAATAATGTTAGATCAAATATCTGGGCACCCCATGGCCCAGTCAAATTGACCCAAAAAATTAACCATCACAATAGAGAAGTCTTAAATTCCGTCATTGAAAGAGTACAAGGAACTCTAGGACACCAATACCTTCCCAAACAATAAAGAGTCTCAATAGTAATTAACTGAGGTCTTAAAGGAATTAGAACCAAATGTAAGCATCATTTAGCTAGAAATTTCTTCTCTTGAAACCCACCTTTTTAAGAATACAAGAAACACATTTAAAGGGAAGCTGGGGCAAACCCATTGAAGTTGGCATCTTCTACATAGTTAATCCCAAATCTGGAAGGGGGCAAGGCAGATTTATTTGGACTGAATGAGTTGATAAATAGTTTTTAATTTGCAAATTAATTGTGAGGGCTTTCAGTACATTTGTTCTGTCTCTCAAAGTCCATGTTAACAACCATTTTCAGTAGCTCTTGGCCTTTGAGTTGTCTTTCCCTGAGAGAAGAGATCATTTGGCTCTCTCACTTTGAACCCTAGGACTTCCATCTTGATGATGGTTGGCCAAGGTTTGGGCACAGTCTGGGCTAAAGTGACCAACTATGCTAGTTTGCCCAGGGCTGTCCAGGTTTTAGCGTCACAAGTCCCACATCCCAGGAAATTCCTCAGTGTAGGCAAACCACGAGGGTTGCCTACCCTAGTCTGTGGCCCTGGCTCTGTCCCCTGTCAATCTCTCCCTCCTTCCTTGTTGGTCTTCTTTCAAGTGATCAATTCATTGTGAATAGCCAGCACCCAGCACAGAGCCTGGTTCATAGGAAGTACTAAGTAATTTGTTGAAATACTGAATGAATAACAATAATAATGATATAACAATAGCTACCATATATTGATAATTTTCTTCATGCCTGTTTCAAGAATTAAAGTATTAATTCATTTACTATCTCAACAGCCTCATGAGACATAAAACACTATTTTCATATACTATAACTGAGAAGGCAGAGGCAAAGAGAATGCTTGGGAAAAAAATAGAAATAGAGCAAAGCCTACTGATCAGTCCATCTGGGATGAGACCCTGTAAAGTTGGCCTTTCTAACACTGGAATTTAGCCAACTGAGATAAGACCTCTATCTTCCTAGAATACATCACCTTCTTTAGCAAACTGAAACAGAAGAAAATTATTCATTCTTTCTGAGCAAGCTGTCACCCACCATAATTGTGAACTGGAATTTTCTGGTGAAAATAATAATGACACTGATCCAGAAAGTCAGCTGAAAAGCAGGATACAGGCTGGTAATATTGCAAAATTGCACATGGGAGGACCTGAGCTCTGGGCCCCAGAGAGTGCTGTGGCTCAGGAGGTAGGACCACATGGGAGACCACACCCTAGAGGAAGATGGGATCTGGACATGGGACTGGCTGTGACCGTAGGGTACATTCTGGTTCTGGGGAAAGACCCAGTCCCTAAAAGATGCATCTTCCCTCTACCACTGGACTAATAAGGATCATTCTCCAGCTAAGAGAAAACAATCTGATCGGTTCAGCTAACCTGATTTAGACAAGGATTATTCTCAGAGAAGCACATGATGTTAAGGGAAGTGCAAGAAATAAGAGAAAGAGAAGCCAAGTTGGAGAGCTCCTCAGAGGACATGGCAGAGGCAAACAAGATACAGAGAACAGATAGATTGGGAGAATCACCAAGGAAATCTGATGCTTATTTCAAGACTGAGGTTAAATGTAAAATATGGCCAGAAGGACCTTGTCATAGCAAGATGATGCCTCTCTTCTACCATAATAGTTTCCAAGCTTTGTAACCTGGGCTAGGAGCCACATATTCTTAAAACCATGGTATGTGCTACATCCTTCCACCAGAAATTGATGTGCCAAACAATTTCTCCTTGAGGAGCGATGAGGTCATTAGGTTTCTCATTATAGTAATTAGCATAAAACTGAGAAAATCATCAAGATAATTCAGGGTTTTCTTTAAGCACTTTTGGCTACTAGCTAGATACAACAAACAAAAATAATTTTAGGTAGAAATTTCTGAGTATTTGTCTTATGTCTTCATTGTTACTTGACATAACATATACACACAAAATAAAGGTAACTGGAAAGTAAGATTCAGATTATAAAATCTTGACCAGGCACAGTGGCTCATGCCTGTAATCCCAGCACTTTGGGAGGCCAAAACAGGAGAATCACTTGAGCCTATGAGTTCAAGACCAGCCTGGGCAATATAGTGAGATCTCATCTCTACAAAAAAAAATTTTTTTTAATTAGCCAGGCGTGATGGTGTGTGCCTATAGTTCCAGCTACTCAAGAGGCTGAGGTGGGAGGATCGCTTGAGCCAGGAGGCAGAGGTTGCAGCAAGCCAGGATCACACCACAGCACTCCAGCCTGGGCAAGAGAGAGAAAGATTCTGTCTCAAATAAAGAAAGGAAAGAAAAGAAAATCTAGGGTTTTTCTCTCTCTTCCTCCCATAAACCATGTTCATTAAAATAGCATTTTCTTATTAATGATTTTTAAATTTTGTTTGGCTGTAAAGTATTCTCCATTTTTGTGTGTGCCACCCTGAGAGAATGACACAATGACCTCAAGAACTATCTCAACTTCCTCAAAACTATGTTAATTTTTCTGCATTTCAGGTATTTTTCTTCCATCTATTTAGCACTTTAGTAGAGGGAGTTCATGGTTTCAGCAGGGAAGGTCGGAGAATCAAATGGATGGCTTCGGAGTGTGATCACACAAGATCATCAGTCATAATATCAAGGACCTATTATAGCTGACTCACAGAATTAAATTATTAGGAAGCCAGATCTTTGATACGTTATCCTTTCCACAGCAAGCTTAGCACTCCTTTTATTGATTCTTTCAACAAATAGTTATTGAGCATCTTCCATGTGTAAAACCTCTGCTTGGCACTTTGGGATGGGGAGTGAGCGAGGGGGGCGCAGAAGATCAAAACAAATAAGACACAGAGCCTGACACTTAAACGTTTACAATCTAGTAAGGGAAATAAGTCCAGCACATAAATATAATGAATAAAAAATGAGAGAGAGAGATAGATAGATAGAGAGAGAGATAGAGAGAGAGAGAGAGAGAGAGAGAGAATGGCTGTGGCATTTATGGAAAGGAAAGATGGCCTTCTGTAAAGCTGGGGTTGAGAATCAAATCTGTATTCTCTTCAAATATATAGATTTGAGCTCAACCTTAATATGTGGTTGCAACTTTGGTAAGCAGAGTTAGGAAGAGAAGAGAATTAATTTTATAAAGAAAATCCAACATTTTAAAAATAGCCTTATATGAGGAAAGGCAGGATCATGTCCAGCATTACAGAAAGTTTAAACTCAGAAGTCTCTTATTAACTCTCCACCACTTTGAAAACCACAGCTCTCTTAACACACCCAAAACTGTTATCTTGTGCATTAGTTGTGAGACTATCCACTTATTGGTTCCATCTGGGTATCTAAAATGAAATCAGAAGGCTCTAGACAGACTCTCTTCAGTTCTCTTCTGATTAGTGTTCCCCTGGGCTTTTCTTCCCAAAATAAAGTTAAGTGCATTTAAGTTTCTAGGATCTTCTTTACATCCTTTTGAAAATGCAGAGTAAATATTATGTTGGCTTCTTTCTGCAGTCAATTAATGTATCTTTCTTGCCAATGTCATAAATATAACTTTTTTCAGTTGATGCTTTTCTTATTGCATACATATGCTATTGATAATTACTTGTTTTTGAGTTCTTAACCATTTGTGCATGGAAATACATCTGAGGTTTAAATGTTAAGACTATTACATTACTAAATGCCTTATTTTATAAGTGAATAGGCCATCACAAGCCCTATTCCATGCATTAAAATTGTACTCACCAAAGGAATCCATCTACCATACTGAAATCCTAAAACAATCAGGCATTCTTGTAGGAAAGTTAATACAACAGCCTCTGTGCCTTCTCTGTAATCAATTTCCTACAGCTTCTGTATGATGGCAGCTTAGGAAATTTTCTGGTTTTACTTTCTATGTTTAGATAAAATAATGATGACTCAATTAAAGATGCCCAATCTTAAAAATGAATTGGAAGGAGGTCCTGTTTGGGCCTAGAATAAATGACTATGGCAGTCTTCTATGGAACTATGAGGGGCAAAGAGAGTAGGGAGGGGCAGAACAGGCAATGGGATGAATCACTGCACAGACATAAGGTTCCCCATATTAAAACACGCATGCTTGTCTCTGTCTCTTGTTATTGCAATGAAAGGCGGACTGTTTGTCTTGGTATATAGGTCAATCATGCATTCTCTACTAGATTCCCCTCCATGGAAAGTGGAGAATACAGTTGGTTTAAGTGTGAACATTGCTTTTTTAAAAAGGGCACTTGAGATTTCGAGCTTAATGAGCTGTTTCCTATAAATCTGGGGTTATGTTTGCAAGCATCTCCTCAGCTTCTTCTGTTGAGGTCCGTCAGCCCACAGAGCACTTGACTGGACAGCGGGATGGACAGTTTTCATCTGCCATCACCCCGGAATGAGTGGTCCAGTTGCCATGCACACCTGCTTGCCTTATAAAATGTGCTACAGTTACAGCTAAAACAAATTGCCCATAATAAAAATAACAATAATGATAATAGTAATAATAATTAACTTCTGCTCCATTCCAGGATCCCAACCTCTCACACCTTTAATGAGCCAATGTGCTCATTTCTTAAACCTAAATTGTATCAGGATATTTTTAGAAGTATGTTGCCTAACAGGTTTTAGTTGGGAGGCATTTTGCCTGTTTATTTGGCCTCATCTTTGTAACATTAGTACTCAGCTTAATGAATTAAGAGAAGCCAATGGATGAAGCCACAGGAAATAAACTCAAACCTCTTTAATTTAGATTTATTAGGAGATCTGAATGACCTTTCTTGAAATCTTAATTATAAAATACTAACTATATTATTTTTAGCTGTAATAAATTATTGCCAAATAAAGATCTTCTGACAATAAATACATATTTGTATTACACATAATTTTCCCATTAAGTTATTCAAATATAAGAATGATCCTAGAAGATTGTTACGTTATTATTCTTAAATAGGCTCAAGCCTGTGGTCAAACTAGTTGCCAGTGTTCATTTCCTTAGTGAACACTCAGGAAGGCATTTCCGTGAAGTACTTAATTACACGTGCTTGCTTGCCTTACTCTTAAAAAGAACGTCAGAATTATTTTGACCCAGCACCGTCCAACAGAAGTAGCCATATATGTCATTTTAAATTTTCCAATATCCACAATGGAAAATAAAAGAAACCAGTAAAATGGATTTTAATGATATGTTTTATCTAACCAACATTTTCAAAATATTGTTATTTCAATATATAATCTGTGTGAAAATTATTGAGATAGTTATGACTTTTTTGCTGTACTATGGCTTCAAAATGCAGTTTGCATTTGTCACTTACAGCACCTCTTAGTTTGGACCAGGCTCACATCAAGTGCTCAGGAGTCACTTGTAGCTAGCAGCTACTGAATGGGACAACACAGTTCAAAATAATTACAGTACTTATCATAGCTTTTCCTTCCAACTACTTATATATGTATTCCTAGCTTTGAACTTAAACTTCCGGAATTACTGTCCAACGAAACAAAACAGAGCCAAACTAAAAAAAAGGAAAACAAGGGAAGAAAGAAGATGTCTCTGGTCCAAATTTCTTAACGTGGCTTACAAAGAGTTTCAAGGCCTGGCCTCTGCCACCCTCTACAGCCTCATCGACACTCCTGCCAAACAGAAATTCTTCTCCTTCTCCAAATGCCCTGTGCTCCTGCCTCAGTCTTCGCTGTGTGAAAGACTATTTCCACTTCTGCCTTCCTGCTGGCTCCTCATTCTTCCAGTCTCAGCCTAGACACTCTTTCAGAACTGCCTGGACTCTGTATGTCGCTGAACCCGCCAATGGCCGCAGCATTTATACATTTTAGGGCTGCATGATTTTGGCTTTTTAAACCTTTCAAGTCTTCCTTTCTAGACTTCAAACTGCACAATGTCAAGAACCACATCATTTTTTAAAATTATTGCTTTCCAGTCCTTAGCACATTGCTTGACTCATTAAGAGTGCTTGCTAAATTTTGTTCAATGAATAATGAATGAACTGACAGGAGAGAAAAAATATGAACACTGAAACTCAAGACAATCGTCTCCTCTCCTATCCCCAGCCTCTCATTAGGTGATTGAGAAGTTGATTCCTGTGTCATGTGAGACACGATCTGGGGGTCCCAGCATCTCCTGATATATACCAGTTACCTGAACTGCTTGATGTAAACTGTATTCTGCTGATGGATAACCCTGCTTGATTCTGCAGCCTCCTAGTCATACACTGGTTAAGTGATTAATTCATTCTAGAGATAGACAAAAGGACATCTAAATTCAATGGATTATTAAACTCCTTGGGATTCTTTAGAAGGAAAGGGTTTATATCTATTCAACCCACTTTGCTTCCCGGAGATTTTTAAAATGTAATGCAATAAAAAGCAACACATCAAATTTGGGTTTTAGTTTTTTGTGGTTGAAGGCCCCCACTTTCTAGTCCCATGCCTATCTCATATCCACCAAAATTCTTCCCATTCTCCACTGCGTTAATCAAATCACTAAGTTTGCGATTTCCCCAAAGCATCCTATGCTTTTTATGTCTTTGCTCCTTGATTTTCCTCCTCCTAGAAGGATTTTCCTCAATACCATCTGTCAAATCCTTCATCCTCATTCAGTGCCAGCCAAAGACCACATCTGCTAAGAAATGTTTCTCTCATTTCCCAATTAAAGCTACTTTTTCCTCTTCCAAACTTCCCATTGTGCTTTATGCCACTAAGAGGCCAAAATCCCATTCTGATTTGTGTTATGTACTTGTCTCACTTTGTTATTTCCCTTGCCAGACTTTAAGTCCCTGGCAATGGCCATGATGTTTGCATTGTTGCATATCCTCATCCCACCTAGCATGATGTCTTACCCAGAATAGTTGCTCAACAAATATTTGCGGAAGAAAAAGATGCATCAAATTTCTCTTAAATCCAGAAAATAGAACTACATATTATTATAAAAGTCTTTGACAAGATTTTTCCAGCAGTCACCAGTGGCTAATCCTAAACCTAAACCTTAGGTCGAAAACAGCTTACAAAGTATCTGGCCATAATCCCAGTATACACAGACAGTTGTGTTTTCCAAAAGATGGATCTTTTCTTTTCATTCTTAACTGCTTTAATGTGCTCCGTAATAAAGATGTGGTTGTTTAAGCTCTGCATCTCAGTACTGCATGCTCTTGGATCAGATACAAAGCCCCTTTAGAACTCAGTTTTCTCATTTGTCAAATTAAAGGGTTGAACTAACTGATTTCTACTGTCCCTTTCAGATTATAAAAACCAATAATTTTTTTTGAGCACTCCTTTTTGGCCTAGGTTAAAATAGGATGGGTGGAGATAACTCAGTATTTCAGTAAAAATGCAATAACCAGAGAGGATAAAAAATAATGAGCATCCATATTCGCCATCAGTTTCAGGCATTCACAGACGCAAGCAGCAATCTCACTCATGAAATGTAGGCGTAAACGGTGTTCCTCTTTGGTATATATAGGCAAAGTTTTTACTTTAAACTATATGAGTACAATGCCAAGAATTTGAAGGTGGAAGAGATTCTGGGTTGGTTATCTTACACTATTCCTCTCAAGAGATGGTTTCCCAATGCATTAGGAGAATTCTTCCTTAATGCATCTCTCCATCATGGTATCTTCGTGAAAAGTCAGAGAGTAGAAAGAATGATAATGTACACAATAGGGCATTGCCAAAAGTTTAGAACCAAAATTTAAGTTTTGATTTATTTTCACAGTTATTTGGAGGGTGGGGGTAGAGGAGAAGTGCTGTACGGTCGCTGTTGGTTTTTTTAAACAAACCTAATCTGAATGCCCCTTGTTTGTGGCTGCATATTGTTTAATATTCACTATACACCTTCTGCAAACAATATGCAAGACAGGGCCCTTGCTCTTTTGGAACTCAGAGAGAATTCAGGGAGGAAAGGAGGAGATAGAATCTACATTATGTAAATAAAATAATCTCTAATGAAAACATTTTCCTTGAGGTGTGAACAAATGTATTAACTCCCAATTTTGTGATACAGCAATCAATTGCTTTCCAGCCCTAAAACCTACTGTTATAACAGCCTTAGAAAGACTTCTGGATTTGGGATTTAAGAATTTCTCTGCCCTTTCCTATACTTCACAGGACGGATTGCAAGCTCTTTCCCTAAGCCCCCTTCACAAGCAGCCCTGAATCAACAGTATGGGAGTCCAGGCATAAGACAGGCCCTTATTCTGCCCACTGAATTCACTTTTTTTTTTTTTTTTTTATCAGCAGGGATAACAAGAGTCTTTTTTCCTTCTTTCTCAACTCAGTCCCTGCTGGTCAAATATTGCTGATGTGTGGACCTTGTCAAAGCCTTTGGGAATTATCATTATTATCAGTCATGATGTTAATGGGCTGTCATCATTGGCTGAAGTTCTTATTCTAGATGCTTTGTTTACTCAGCTAACAAAAAGGCAGCTTGGAATTAAAAAAGGAAACGTGCCAAGCAATTAATCCATAACTTGGTTGGAATGCTTTGGGGACTTTCTAACATTTCTTTTATTGAATTTTTGTTTAAGTGCAGTATCCTTTTTTCCTCTGAAATTTCATTCTGGAGTTTTTTATTACATGCCATTTCTGCAGGAGGCACATTGAGCCATTGGGACCTTCTGGGTAAATATCACGTGTTTTAAAATATTTATCAATAATGAGGCTGCTTGCTCACACATTCCCTGAAAATGCCAGGCTATGAAGCCAATTCATTGCACAGGTTTTAAAAAGATATCAAAATGCTCATGCCATAAATATTTTTGTTACACGACACTTTTCAACTGCATACCAAGACAACAACCACAAAAATAATAATAATAATCCTTCAGTTAGAAGGATGAAAAAACAGCTAAACCTATAGACTATAAATACAGAAATTTTTTAAATGTTAGCAGTATAATAGACAGTGTGGAAATCTCTCTATGGAGAGATAGTTGAAGTCATTTATTAAGCATATATCCTAGTTACACTTCATAATTTTCTTAAGAGAGTACCAGTTCTATCCTTTGGTTGATTGATTGCCAAAACATATGAATCTGTCCTTAACTGATTGCACAAAAAAAAACTCACTGTATAATTTTTCCAGAGAACATTACCTTGGACTCGATGCTCTCTAAAGATTTATATCAAAAGCTTAATTGTAAAAAACAATATGCATAGATTTCCTGAAGAGTCTATATTCTATCCATTTCTCTGGATAGTCTAAATCTGTCCTTCATTCAAACTAAACAATTAGAAAACTGTATGCTTGAGTTGCGTTGATTTGCATCCTAAAATGCTTTTATTAAATTTTGCTTTGGCATTACGCCAAAGTTTGCTTTGAGGGGACAGACAGAACCGTTGAAGAAACAATGGAACAGTGGGACAATAGAACAATAATCACCCCTGTATTAAGCATATGTTTTGATGTTGAAGCTTGGTGTTGAAGATGTTATCTTCCCAGAACACTCGGTGTCCTCTTTTAGGTCTCAGAAAACTGTACTTCTCATCAACTGCTTTTTGTTGATGTTTTCTATCTTTGAGGGTTTTATTTTGTTTTAATCTTAGGAATACTCTGTCACTTTAAAGCGATCATCTTCCTTCTCTTAGATAATTTTTTTCTTTGCTTTGAATGTCAGAATGTTCAGAGCCCCAAAAATGTGGCTCGGTTCTCACAAGTATGCAAAGTGCACAACAAACGTGGATGTTGTACTAACTCTTACTTGATTTTATTTTTGTTTTCAGATGTTTCCTTTCCCCTGATATTCCTATTTATTTATATTGATATTTTTATAAGTCATCTTACTTGTGTTTTTCTTAGCCATCTCAAATCAGTTTTAGGAGCAAGATGGACTATAAACCAATCTATGACATTGATCTTATAGTAGAACCAGACATGCTATAGACCCAGTGATTTAGTAAAAATTGGAACAAAGAAGATAATTAACATCCAAACATTAGAATATAAGGTAATAAGATGGGCCCTGGGGCCTACCATCACCCATCCCTCAGTCTAAAGGCTTAAAAGGCATAAGCCTGAAGCTCTAGGCTTATCCCACATGGTCGGAGTCTCAGAGACCACAGACTTCAAGTGCATGTCCATGACAAACCAGGAAGGCAGAGCATGGCAGGGAGGGAAGAAAGCATCCTGAATACCTGCATTTACTTTTGTGACTCCTAATCTCACATATGTCCTTTGTACTGCTTCTTTGCTGGTTCAGAGGTAAATCAAGCTGAAAGCAAACTGCAATCTGAGTCCTTTCTCTCTGCTCTCACTCAGCCCCTACAGCAGATGTTATCAGTGCCACACTCAGGTCCCTTAGCCACCCACTGTTCTCATACATGCCATGCCATCCTACTGAGGCACCTGCACCTCTGCCAGAGAGCTTCCTCTCAAACTACACTCGAAGCTGCCTAGAAGTGTTGGGTTCTGGGAACAGCTCTCAGCCAAAGACGAATGGAGATATGGAGGACAAATACCCCGGCTCCTTCAGCCCTTGGATGTAGTAACATCCCTGATGCATGCTCAATACTGTCTCCCAGAGTCCCAGTTGCTCAGATCTTAACCTACTCGTTAACTCACATTGACTTCTTTCCATGCCCTATCTCAGTTCTTTATTCTCCTAGAGATGTTCCTGGCATCGCCCCCTAAGTAAACTACTTGCACAATAATTATGATCTCAGAGTCTGCTTCAGGGAACCCTAACTAAGATTGAATCCCCCTAATGTAAGAGGGAAATGGCATCAGTCAGCCACTTATTATGTTTTTTTGAGTACCTACTTCCTCTCGTTCATTTAACAAATTTTTTTAATACCTACTAAATGCCACGCATTGTATGAAGAATTGAACCTAAGCTATAAACAAGAAAAAATTGGTCCCTAGCCTCATGGAACCTAATTCAAGGATTGTCATCTAATCTTAGCACATTCCTATTTCAGAAAAGGCAAAGTTCCTGAACTCTAGCATTTTTAGTCTCTCGCTCACTGTCTAGACTTGCTTGAGAAGTTGCCATAAGGGGTGTTGGCCCAACAAATGTCTTATTTGTTTATGGTACAACCCATTTCTAATTGCTCCTAAATCTACAGAAAACAGGACTTAAAAGGTGTTGCACTTTATCACTGCCCTTTACTTCCTTCTCGAGCATCTCTTTACCTATCTTCTTCTGCCTCCCCATATCTTCATTCCCCTAAAGAACTTCCATTCATTCCCTTGATTTTTCCCTGACCTCCCTTATCAAGTTCAGACTTATCAGGCCAATATTCAAAGCCTTCCACATAGTGAATCCCCTCTGCTTTGCCAGTCTCTTCTCTTACTATTTTCGTATATAAATTCTTTGTTTCAGCTGTGCTCATTCATTTGCCAAGCCTTATACATGACTTGCTAAATAACATTTCTAAATCTTCTATTTCTTTTTTTTTTCCTTTTGAGATGGAGTCTCGCTCTGTTGCCCAGGCTGGAGTGCAGTGGCACGATCTCGGCTCACTGCAACCTCTGCCTCTCGGGTTCATGCCATTCTCCTGTCTCAGCCTCCCGAGTAGCTGGGACTACAGGCGCCTGCCACTATGCCCGGTTAATTTTTTGTATTTTTAGTAGAGACAGGGTTTCACCGTGTTAGCCAGGATGGTCTCGATCTCCTGACCTCGTGATCTGCCTGCCTCGGCCTCCCAAAGTGCTGGGATTACAGGTGTGAGCCACTGCACCTGGCCTTCTATGTCATTTTTTAAGACCTAGTTCAAAATTACCATCTTAAAGAGCTTAGTCTGAGTTACCCCATCCTCACTGTATTAGTCTGTTTGTTCTGCTATAATCAAATACCACAGACCGGGTAATTTACAAACAATAGAAACTTATTTCTGGTGGTTCTGGAGACCGGAAAGTCCAAGATAAGGCTCTGGCAGGACTGGTATCTGGAGAGGGCTGCTTTCCGCTTCCAAGATGGCACCTTGTTGCTGCACCCTCCTGAGGAAAGGAATGCTGTATCCTCACATGGCAGAAGATGGAAGGGCAAAAGAGATAGAGCTCCCTTCAATCTTGAGCCCTTCTGTAAGAGTGTTAATCCCATGCACGAGAGCAAAGCACTGGGTATTCAAACCGTAGCTCTCACCATGATTGAAGACTTGGTTTGCTATTACTTCCTTCTGATTGAAATGAACTACAGTCACTTCCTAACCCTCTCACATATTTATGTTTTTAAATTTCCAACTAATTTGTAATTTCTCTAATAATTGGAACAATGCTTTCTTAACTTTTATTCTGTAAGGGAGGATAATGAGGATAATATAGTGCAAATAACAATATACCTGCATGTCCAGTATCACAGCCATGAGCCTCAGTTGGCTGTTGAGCACTAGAAATGTGGCCAGTCCGGATTAAGACGTGCTATTAGTGTAAATTGCATACCAGATTTTAGAGACTTAGTACATACAAAAGAATGTAAAATATCTTATTAATAACTTGTTATCAATTAAATGTATAAGTGATAATACTTTGGATATATTGGGTTAAATCAAATACATTGTTAATATTAATTATACCTGTATCTTTTCACCTTCTTTTAATGTACCTACTTGAAAAGTTTTAAATTGCATACTATTTCTATTGGACAGTGCTGATATAAACTTTTTACAAGGATATATCTGGGTTTAAATCCTAGCTCTCTAAATAGGAATAAGAAGCCACAGAGCCTGTCTTATAGTTCATGCTTAGGAGATACTTTTTGAATTGTGTATGAATGAATGAATTAATGAGTTAATTAATAAAGAATGTTAGTGTAAGGATCAAATGGTATGTATTTAAAAACCATCAGAATAATACCTAGCACATAGTGTTTATATACTGTAAGTTCCTACTCCCTATTAGGTTCAACATGGTGTTACCAATAAATCAATTTTCTTCTTTTTTTTCTATAACTCACAGAAACATGCTGAACCATGTATGATTCTAATAGCTATCATTTTCTTCACAAATATCTGTATTTAAAATAAAATATCTTTAATATTATAAAATTAATATATGCTCATTATTAATAATTTTAGAAAAATGCAAATATTAAAAGTAAAAATTGTACAATGTAATATATCACATAGGTATTATTTTTAACATTTTGATGTATATAATGTAACTTTTCTCTTCATATATGTACTTAACATGTCTTAATTAAAAAATAAATTCCTACTGTCTATGCAAATGGCCTCATAATGTATCTTCTTACTTTGCAGACATCTTTCCATATGAATTAAAGATTGCTCTACATAAGTATTGAATGGCTTCATAATATTCCATTGCATGGATATAACATAATCCTTTAAATCAATTCCTCATTGATAGTGATTTGCGTTGGTTTCCTGTCACTAAAATTAGTGTTCAGATTTTTGCAATTTATTGTTTTTTTCATAGAAAAATATATAATTTAAATGAGTCGATAAAAGAGTGACTTTTCCTATTTTTCACTCAGAATTATTACACAATTTACATTCCCGAAATAAAATAGGAGATTGCTTATTTCCAGATACTTCACCAATAATAAGATTAATCTTTTTTCATTTTGAATGATCTGATGTGTTTTTTAAATGCTATCTCAACATTGTATTTCATATTCCTTCCTAAATCTGGAAGGCATTTAGGGTCAACTTTTGTGTCAAATTCCCATTTATCTCCTTTTCCCTATTTTTCTTATTGGAGTATGTTTTTTCTTATTGATTTAACAGTCTTTAGTATCATTTAAAGCAAAGATTCCTTTGAGATGTATGGTTCAAATATATTTCTCACCTTGTCCTTTTTTGTTTGTAAACGCTATTTTTGGTCATATGAGATTTTGTTTTCTGCATTTTCATTTCGTTTTGTTTTTACTTTTTGCTGTCTAACCTATTAATATTTTTTTATGATTTCTATCCTTGGTATGTGGTGTAGAAAGGCCTTTTCCTCTCCATTGCAAAAATTTTATCTTAGAATATCATTCTAGTTATTTTATGGTTTCATTTTTTTACATTAGAAATACTTAATTTGATCAGAATTAATTTAAGTAAAAATATGTGAACTAAAAATTTAATCTTTTAAAAATAATTTAAATTTTAATAAGTTAAAATGTTAGTAATTTAATAAATTAAAAATTCATTCCAATATCAATTACTTGAAAGCATTATTTTTCCACTGACTTGAAACATCATCTATATATTGTATAATAACTTGTATATATAATTTAGTCTGTTTTGAGACTATTTTAAACATAGACTTTAAAGGTTTTACTCTTGATCCCACTTTGAATTTATCTTCTTAAGTGGTTCCATAGCTCAGGGGTTAGAGCACTGGTCTTGTGAATTTATCTTCTTAAAATCATCACAATACTTATTGTTTTGATTTTTAAGAATATTGGGTCAGCTGAAGAATTCTGACTTCTTATCTGTTACATGCATTCTTTTTTTTTTTTTTTTTTTTTTTTTGAGACGGAGTCTCGCTCTGTCTCCCAGGCTGGAGTGCAGTGGCGCAATCTTGGCTCACTGCAAGCTCCAGCCTCCTGGGTTCATGCCATTCTCCCGCCTCAGCCTCCCGAGTAGCTGGGACTACTGGCACCGGCCACCATGCCCGGCTAATTTTTTGTATTTTTTAGTAGAGACGGGGTTTCACCGTGTTAGCCAGGATGGTCTCGATCTCCTGACCTCGTGATCCTCCCGCCTCGGCCTCCCAAAGTGCTGAGATTACAGGCGTGACCCACCACACCCGGCCTACATGCATTCTTTTGATTAAAACATGTTCAGCACCGTATTATCTTAGTTTAAATGAGGTAAACACAAGACATCACCTGTCAAGTTAAAGGCATCCTATCACACTATTTTTGATCAAACTTAATGGAATCATTTTTCCCAACCCTTTTCTTGCTTGCTTTACCACTGTTGATCATATCTGGTCTTTTTCTTTTGGTTTTTCTTTCTGTCATTTTTTTCTACTCATCTGCCCTAGTGTAAACCCACCCACCACTTCTCACATATATCTGCATTCTCGTCTCTGCTCTCTTTTCTTACATATGGCCCACTCCTCTTCCGTGATCCCAGCATGCAGCTCTTGTTTAAGGCAAATACTAAAAGAGGTTTTTACGAAACATGTAGGACTCACTTTATAAACACAAGGAGCAGAAAAATCCTTAGGAATACCTAATTCTGTTTTCTCATTTTGTGAATGAGAACTCCAAGTACCAGCTATAACAAAATCCCACTTACTCTGACCTAATAGGCGCTAGAAGCCAGGTCTCCTTGCTCTCAGATAAGGACTCTGAGCTCCACTCCCCACTGGCTCTGTATTGAGAGGTAAAATGATTAGAGTTAAGATCCCTGAAAACAAGCTTTGCCAAAGCTCTCCATAAGCAAGAACATCGAGGTGTCTTTTTTATGTTCAGCCTTGAAGGCCAATGAGCACACTCATTGTATTTAAGAAGTTAGGATTCCTCCATTAGATTCTCTTAACGCAGACAACTTATGACTCTCTCTTATTGATGAGAAGAAACAACAAGGCTAACCTTTAAACTAGAGAGTTAGAGACAGACACACACAAAACTGCAGGATATGGTTCAGTAACAATAGCTAACGTGTAGAGCACATTTTGCTTCAGTGTATTACATGCATTATCTTACCTAATTCTCTCAACAGGCCTGGGTGGCAGGGTCCTATTGCTTCATTCCACAAGATGGAAGCTATACCTCAGGAAGGTATAGAAACTTGCCCAATATCCCATTAGGAGAGAGTGACAGAGTTGGCCTTTGGTCCCAGGCAGCAGGACTGTTAACTACCACCTACATGCCTTAAAGATATATCAGAATGGCCAAGCCCCCAGGCTTTGGTGTCTGCCTGTCTGTGTCCAAGTCTCAACTTTACTACTTACTGACCAAGCAAACATCAGCACATTTTTCAACCTTCCTAAACCCCAGTTTCTCCAGCTGTAAAAGCAGATGATAAATATACCTTCTTCATAGGACTGTTATGAGAATTAAACTAGATAACTAAGCAAAGTGCTTAGTACCTGCTAAGCCATGGAAAAATATTGGCCATCCAGGAAAGAATGTTTCTGACCACTCAGTTACTAACAATCCAAGAGCTGCAAGAACACCACAGGAGCACATCGACACACTGCTGGTTTCCAAACCTATTCAAGAGGTGGAAGGCATTTTCTCACTGCAGAAAGCACCACACTGAATTGAAAACGACCTGTCCTAAAGCCACGCTCCAATGTGAATTGCTGGAAGAATGAGAAGTGTCAAGGTTTTAGTGCAGCAGTGAGATCCATCCAAGTTTTGTTGGCTGTGATGGCAGATTTGGCATTTTGAAGAAGCATTCAGGTGAACCCCAAGCACAGAGAAGAACTGCCATGCTCTGAGCAAAAATCATTTTTTCTGACTTAGAGTCTTCGTAGGGGGGAAAATAAATGTGATAAGCAGAATCTCCTTGAAGAGGTCTCCCAGCACTCCTCGCTCTAGGAAGAACTCAGAAGGAGTCTTTAGGCCAATCGCTACAATTTTCTGATCTGTCTGTAGCTGATTGCCCTGGTAGTTTGAATTTGCATCATTAATGTTCCCCAAGATACATTGTCATCTTAGAATGCAGAGAGAAGAAATCATACATGGGCATTCTAACAATACAATCATGGAAGCAATTTATTTTGAACGTTACTTTGGAGTGAGGCCTTTATGCAACCAGAGATTTAATAAATACATGGATATGAGACTGCATTTTTCACTTAGGTTCATCAAACACAGAGATATTTCCCATTATAGAGCAAGAGAGTTTGGAATCAGGCTGGGGTATCCCTTACAGATATTAAAAAGACAGATGGCAAGGTGCTGTGCTCAGGGAAAAGGCCTTTATATTCAAGGAATTAGAATTTACTCCTCAATCTGCCATTTATGTTCCGCCTCTATACCCAGGGTCAACTCATATGCTACCAAAAGTTTCTATTATTTCAATTTCCTGTGGACCATCAAGCCAACATTACCAATTCTGTGAGTCTCAGGAAAGACACACTTCAGGAAATTAAAATATCTAATTCAATGGTGTCTGATTCCATTGCAAAGATGTGGATATATACACAATCAATAAATGGCACTTCCATCAAAGTGATGTTTACTCCTGTTGATTTTAGCCCTTGAGCTTTATGTACATTACTTCATTTAACCATCTTGACAGCCCCGTGGGATGCATCATCCAGATGTTGGCTGTCACTTGTCCACTTCTGCTGCTCTGTTTTATCCCTATGGCAATCTGGACGCAAAACCAGATCTTTCACTAGCTTCCACAAATTGAATCACATCTAATATTCTATAAGTCTATTTTTGTACCTATTTGAAAAACACAGGATCTTGGCAAAGAATCACAACCCACGATATTATCATTTATAACATCAGGAAGGTTTACATGCCCCCTTCCTGAGTTGCCAGAATATTCTAATGATACATTTGGTAGGATTAGCAGAAGTAACATAAGATTCTCTGAAAATGTGGCTTATCATTGGGAAACTATCATTTTCATTTACAAAAACCACATACACACGCACTCTTGGAGCAAAACCACAAGGAGATGCCCCACTGGAAGTGAGTAGCGTTTTACAGTTTCAATTATCAGTTCACTGAGTATTCACTATGTACCATGCTCTGTGGGACTAGAGAAATAAACATATTCTGCCCATAAGACGTTCAAAGTCAGGTTGGGGAGATGTGCACCATACATATGTGTAGCATATCTATGTGAACCATACATGTGTGTAGCATATCTACGTGAACAATACATATGTATAGCATACACCATACATATGTGTAGCATGCGCTATACGTATGTGTAGCATATCTATGTGTGCCATATGTGTAGCATGCACCATACATATATGTAGCATGCACTATACATATGTGTAGCATATCTATGTGTACCATGCATATGTGTAGCATATCTCTGTGCATCAAACATATGTGTAGCATATATGTGTGCACCATATATATGTGTAGCATATCTGTGTGCACTATATATATCTGTAGCATATATATGTACACACATACACACACAATGTTTAGGAGTTAAATAAAAATAAAACAAATTTGTCCCAAAATAGGGCACATGGATATCCTGAAAGGTCGTTTACCAGAGCTGCAAAATCCTAAGCAGAAGAATCCGTACTGCAGAAATAAATAAGTACAGGCATTGGAGGTGGATGGATTTAGGAGGAGGAAGAGAAGGGAAGGAGGGGAAGTGGGCCCGCCCAGGCAGACAGTGGGTCAGGTAAACATGTTGTTCATTTCAGAGACCAGAAAAGACTAGCAGAGTGGGAAAACGTGGGAACCCTGGCAGGGCCAAGGAAAAAAAATAAGCCAGTAGATCATCATTAACTCTCCTCTCAGCTCTTCCAGAGCTCAGTGCCCCGGACCCTGAGTCCTATTTAAATTCACTTACAGGTCCTAGGTATGTTATCAAAGGGTCTCCATATTCTCTTACTCAAAGTAAGCTCTGCTCAGCTGTGCTCTCTGGTAGATAATTCAGAGGTGACAAGGACACTGGAGGAGGTTTTCTCTGGCTTTAGCTAACAAATCAAGTGTCACACCTGAATGGTGCCAGAGTGAGTTAAAGATTATACAGAACTTTGAAGAATGACCACATCATGTGATCACACAATCAGCCCATCAAAATATACATTTTGGGCACTTGTTTTGTGTCAAACTCCTATAATGACAGTAAATATCATCATAATGTGCTCACATATCTTTCTGATTCTGTAATGAGAAGTAGAATAAATTGTGGCTTCTCCATTCAAGATTAACTCTTCAGTTGTCTTCTCAAAAAAGGAAAAAATATGTTTGAAGCACTTGATACAGGTTGAGTTGTGTCCCTCCAAAACGATATGTTGAAGTCCCAACCCCAGCACATCAAAATGTAACCTTATTTAGAAATAGGATCTTCTAGAGGTGGTCAAGTTCAGAATGAAGTCACTAGGGTGGGCCCTCATCCAATACAATATGATGTCCTTATGAAACGGAGAAGGTTGGCCACAGAAACGGACACGCAGAGAGAAAATGATGGGAAGACACACAAGAAGTAGATGACCACGTGATGGAGGGATGTATCTACAAGCCCAGAAAGGCCTGAGACCACCAGAAGCCAGGAGAAAGGCCTGGAACAGATCCTTCCCCAGAGCCTTCAGAGGGAACATGGCCCTGCCAACACCTTAATTTTGAACTTCTGGCAATTCCAGAACCATGAGGCAACAAATTTTGGTTGTTCTAAGCCACCCAGTGTGCCAGCCCCAGGAAACTGACACAGCACTTTATTAAAATCCCTTCTGATGTCATTTAAGAGATGGTGAAAGAGAGTGAGCCAATTATGCATGAGTCAACCTTTAGCCATTTTAATGCTGTGAGTCCTCCTTTTTTGAAAATATTCCAGTGATCAAAGATGCTGTTTTTTACAACACTGGGTTAAGTTCCACTCTTGTTACAACTACAAGGAAAGCCTCCTTATTTTTACCTCACATTTCTGTTGGGAGAAAAAAGAAACCCAGAGTTCTTCTGTAAGTCATTATGCTCTGAAGATATTTAGTATCAGGCTGATTACTGAATCAAAAGATCTGGTTACCATCATGTCTAATCTGCCAGAACTGAATCATATCCACTGCATGGCTTTCTCCTCCGTTTCCTCCAATTTCCCCCCATTCAACCACCTTTAACTATATTCCAGTTTCTAGCAAATGCTGCTGAAGCTTCAGCTATTTTCTTTAGATTATATAATTTTCCAGAAAACTCAGAAGTTGATCTGCTTAACAAAGTATTCATTTTTCCTCTAAAGCATGGTATTATTTTCCATCTCTAAGAAACGGAGCTTTGTAATATTTGCTCTCCAATTTAGAAAGAAGCATTAGTCAGCTTGCATTGAATGTTAAAAAAAAAAACAAAAACCTGAATGCTACTCTGGTTCTCATTGGAGTGAAATATTTTCTCCATGTAACCAGAAATAGTAATGGAAAATATTTTTCTTTCACACAATATTTGAGCATAATTGGTAAAAGCCTTCAATTATGGAGAAAGTCTTATGAGAGCTAGTCTTTCTTGCAACAAAAACTAATCCATTTGGATTTATGTGACTCTATTAGCTGAAGCTTCTCTGTTTCGATAATAATATGAAATGCTTTTTTAAAGTTTGCATATAGTGTCACCCACGAATGTCTCCAGCCATTTCCCCTGTTCATCATAAAATTTAGAAGTAATAACACTTTGCACCTTAGTGCTGTTTGACAGAAATACTACAATACTAGAAAATTGTAGTAGTACCCTACAAATTGACTCTGATTGCTCATCAACATAGAACTGATTAGTTAAATTAGCTTAAATAATAGAGCATTATAAAAATGACTTATTATCTCAAAATCTGCCATATAAATCATCCTTTTCATTATATTTAATAAAGAGAGTGGACTTTGAATTGTGCTTAATGATAGTCTATAAATGCTAATGCACTCAGTTTGAAGGAACTGAGGTGGGAATTATTGGGCAAATCATAGGATTGAGTCTTGATCCCTATACTAATTTTCCTATAAATTCATAGCCAAATAACTTTACTTCTCTTCACTTTTATTCCCAGTCTATAAAACAAAATAATAATATCTACCCAATAGGATTCTTAAATTGATCCAATAATGTAATGTGTGCACAAACATAATACTTTGATTTCTCAGGCTTCACAAGAACGAAAGTGTTTGTACACAGACAAATCAAACTTGTGATGCAAATTATTTACAATTAGAAGTTGTATATGCAAATATATAGAACATCCCCATGCATATCAATATATTTGCTATAGAATTTAGCATCTTATTCCAACCTTCCCACTAAGGCAGGAATAGACACTACAAAACCTTTCACAGGCAGCCACCCTGCCCTGGTGTAAACATCTCTAGTGGGGGAAAGCCCACTCCCTCACAGGAAGGCTTATTCCACGTTAGAACACCTCCAGCTACAAGAAAGTTGTTTCTACTGTCAACTTTTAATTCCTCATGTTCTAGATCTGTTCTCTGATGCTATATAGAATAGGCCTGATGTCTCTTTCACATAGTAGCTCTTTAGTTATCTAAAGAGTAATGCCCCAACACACACAGATCCATGAATAAATAGCAGGTATCTTTGAATCCCTGGTGTAGCAACCTGCTGTAGAAAGTTCATTTATGATTCTCATAGATGAAAAACTACAGCTCAGAAAGGGTAGTAACGTCTCCAAGGTCACACAGCTAATAACACAAAAGCCAAGGTTCAAATGCAAGTCTGCCAGACTTCACAACCCATGGTCTTAACCACCACACTTTGCTTCTAAGTATTTTCTTCTTCAAGCCAAACACTCTGTTAGCCCAGTTCCATTAGTCGTTCTGCATACGAAACATTTCTTAGACCTTTCTTCAACCCTGCTCCACTTACAGGACTCTCTTTATGCCTCTGTTAAAATGTGCCAGTATCAAAATAAACCACATGCAGTAACCAATCCCATAGTCCAACAATTCCAGACACTGTTACTATACCTCCTTGAGAGATTTGTTCACCCACCCTCCCAAAAGATAATTTCATATTTTCTCCTTTTTAAGACTGGCTGCACCTCCTCCACCTGCCCTCTCCCAGCTGATGGCCATGCTCCATACTCCTCTAAGAAAATTAATGCAAACCAGCCAAGGTCCTCTCATGGTCCCACTACTAAATATAAGAACCCAACTGCATGGTGTCCACACTATCTCCCATCCCTCTCATCACAACATCGCCACCCCATCCCTATGGCTGATATTTGTGTTCCTGCCTTCCCATTGACTGCCCTCTTGAAATTTCACCTTCTTTGTCCTGTATCTTCGTTCTCCCTCAGTCTAATGATTCATTTCCATCAGAATACAAACAAACGCTAGTATTTCCCAACTTCAAAAGAAGGGAAGGAAGGAAGGAAAGGAGCGAGGAAAGAAAGGAAAAAAGTAAGGAAGGAAAAAAGGGAAGGAAGGAAGGGAAGGAGGGAAGGGAGAGAGGGAGGGACAAAGAAAGAGAATAGGAGAGGAGATGAAAGGAAGAAAGAGGAAAGGAGAGGAGAGAGGAGAGGAGAGGAAAAGTCTTCACCTCACTACCCATTTCCAACAGTTTGGAAGTTTCTATCCTGCCTGTTCAACTCACTCCAATAAGCTTTGATTCCCTGAACACCCTGTAAGTGCTCCTACTACTCCATTCTTATCTTCCCCACTTTTCTCTTAGTTAATTTTGCTCCAGTCACATTGGTCTTCTTTGTTTACTCCAAAAACTTGTCATGCTTGTTGCTGCATTATAATTTCATCACATGATTCAGGTCTGTGCCCAAATATCATCTTCTCAAAAACGTGTTTCTCTGCTTTCTATCCCTGGCACACTCTCTCACAACTTCCCTAGTTCACTTTCTTCATAGAATTTGTCACTCTCTGAAATTATCACATTTATTTGTCTTCTTGTTTATTCTGTCTTTCCCTACCAGAATGAAAGCAAGGATCTTATTTGTCTGTTCACCACTGTATGACCAGTGCCTAGAATAACACCTGGCCCACAGTGTGTACTCAATACATACTCATTGAATGAGTGAATGAAATCAAAAAGTTTACCAAGAGTATTTTATAATTCAACAAGTATCCTGATCATGACCCTTGTTTTAGATTTAACTAAATCATTTTTCAAGCATTATTCATTTTATTAAATTAATTTAATGTAGTATAAGACAAACTTATTAGGCATCCACTATGTGCAAGACACTGTGGTAGATGTTTGGGTGGCACAAGAGTGAGTTCTTGTCACAGTCCCTGCCCCCTGTTAGAAATGGATAGGGAAAGAGATATCCAGAAATAGTGGGGTTATTATTGAAAGTTTACCCTCATAAAATAATAATTTTGAGTGCATTAAGGCTATGGAAACTAATATTGATGCAGGATTTTTCCTCCTTAGCTCAGCTAGGTCCAGGTTCTTGTCTCACGACCAGGAAAAATTAGGCACATGAACACTCACAGAGTAAGTGAAGTAGGGTTTATTAAGCAAAAGGAAAGCTCTCAGCAAAGAGAGGGGTCCTGAAAGCACATTCCTGGTTGCCCCTTCACAGGTGAATACAAGGGCTTGTACATACCAGCTGATGGGGCTGGGTTCCCTATTTGTATAAGGCACAAATTCCTGGTGGCTCCACTCCATCCCCCCAGTGCACATGCAGGCCCTTAGTCCACTGTGAGCATGTTTAGGCAAGTACCCTGTGCAAGTTCCCTTATCTGCACAAAACACAGGTCAGAGGTTCTCTGGGAACCCTTTTCTTATTTTCTGCCTAAAGCAAGCTGGCTAACTTTTCAATACAACAACTAAAATAAATGGAAGGACTATTGGGAAGATGCAAAACACTACAGAATTTCCAAGGACATAGAGAAAAATTCTTCTTGGGAAAGGATCTGGGTAGATTTTTTTAGCTAAACCTAGAAGAGTGCATTTAATTTTAACAACCACATGTCCTAATTGGAGGGAAAGCATAACAAAGCTGAATCGGCGAGAATAGCAGAGCTCTTCTTAAAGTAGAGTATTTTCCTGAGCCCTTCTAGGAGACCACCAGTGGTCCAACCCACCTGAACGCTCCACTGCAGTTTGAAAGTCTATGATCCTGCATGGACCATTTCCATGTTCTAAGTTCTCCTCAGAATTTTTTTCAGATCCTCAAGATGTACACATCCACTTCTATTTTTGGGTGGACTCAGAAAGATCTTCTCACTCAGGAACACTACATTTAGATAAACACAGTCAGATGCCCTCAAAGACAAACCTAAGGAGAAAGCTTTCAGAAGCATTTTGAAGACTTGAAACCACTGCATTCATATAAGATGTTGTTGTTGTTTAAAAAGCAAACCAGTTGATGGAGAACTGTTATTGAATGGCTCCAATATCAGTGACTTGGGATATGTGAGTCCAAAGAGATGAAGCATATTTAATGTAATTACACATCCATTTCTTGTGCTGCAGGACCACATGAAGCATTACTAATCCCCAAACATACCTGCTGGGAGGACTGTGGGAAACAGCTGTTTGGTTCATAAGAAATGAACCAAGTGAATTCAAAGTACGCAGGCATTCAACTGCCGGGTTCCCAGAGTCAGACCTGTCCACTAAGCCCAGGATTGATAAGGAATTAAAGAGGATTCCATCCAAAGGTACATTTGTTTCAAGCACAAATCACCCTGCCAACTCATTTGTTATTGTAATAACCTCTCTCAGCATTTCTATTATTGGAGAGGACTTCTTTTCAAATGAAAAATGACGTACCTGATTACTTGCATGGGATTTGGCGTCATACTCATTTTGGCTTCTTGTTTGAGTCAGTGAGAGGGCCAGGGAAAGGCCTTTACATCCTTGCATGCATATCAGTTGCAGTTAATGGAGTTCATAGGTTTATTAGGCATTGGAGAGTTAAAAGCCAAAAGCTGTAATGCTGGAAGCTGTGCCAATTCTGCAGGTATATCCAAGAAAGCTTCAAGATTTCAAGTACTAAAAATAGTTAAAACGATCTCAGAAACTGTTTACATTCAGCAAGGATAATTATATGAGCCTCTAACTCTTTCCTATCATATTATAATCCTTTAATAACCTATATTTTATTTATATCTAGTTGCTAAGTTTATTAGTGCTTATTATAGGATATGTTCTTAATTTTATGTTTTACAAAACAATTTGAATAATTGGAATTGCTTTTGTGAATTTTCTTCCACTTGCAATAAGATGGGTGATTTATAAAAAGCCATTTTCTAAACATGCTAACAGGTGCAGGAAAGATTGACAGAGCAATACGAGAAAATATTCTTAATGTAGGCTTTCCAAGATTTTAAATGAAATTTCTTTAATGAGTGCATATCATTTTTTACAGGCCTGGTTTACTACTCAGGGGATGCTGAACATAGACTATAACAGTATGTTTTATTTAACAAGAACCATAATCAGAGTTATGTGATACATAGATATGTGTATAAAATGAAAATCAACTAGAAACAGAGATTGGCTATCTGAAAAATATTTTTAAATAAACTTTGGCAAAAAATGGAGACCAATAGAAAAATAACAATTTTGGGTTTTTGAATTATTAAATTACAGAAACAGATCTTTTTTTAAAACTGACCTCTTGAGAGTAGTAGGAGGTGTTGACTTTTAAGCTTTACTACACGCCTATGACCTTGGTCCTGTCACCAGTTGAACTTGGTAATTCAGCCAAGTCTTCCCAAGCATTTGCTATGTGTGGGCCCAGTGCTGGGGACACAAAGAGGAAGAAGGTACAGGTCCCACCAACAAGAAGCCACCTGT
The DNA here is from genome assembly GCF_000001405.40 of Homo sapiens. Classification (NCBI taxonomy): domain Eukaryota; kingdom Metazoa; phylum Chordata; class Mammalia; order Primates; family Hominidae; genus Homo; species Homo sapiens. The sequence continues at coordinate 56,409,071 of NC_000018.10, forward strand.
CCTGAGGACAGCCATATATTATAAATATAATATAATATAAATATAATATAAATATAAACCCGAATCAAGGATTTGCCTGGTCTCCCAAATATGTCTCCCTTCTCTACTTGACTAGGGTGTGGAGTGGTTATTTTTTAAATCACTGTGTATGAATTACCAAGATTCTTTCTGATTTTCCTTCACAAATCTTTCAAGCCAAAAGAAATTTTACCTGAGTAAGGTTCTCAGAACTGGACTCTGATGTGAGACCTCTATGAAGTAAGTTGCCTTTAAGAAGTTCTGAACATAAATCGAATTACCAAGAATTCTATTTATTGAAAAACACATTATATTGCATCATGTCCTTTTCAAATAGAGTGAAACTTGCTTATATTAAATTTCTAGGAACCCGAGGAAAAAATTTGATATAGGATGGAATTTGATATACTCTAGAAATATTACATGTGCGTGTAATAGACCTGGATTTCCAATTTGATTGCTATACACAGGGATTCAATACAGGTGGGTTCAATATTAAGGGGTTTCATTGAATTTGCATTTGTGTTTTTCAGGACATATATGGTATGTGTTTCCTCAAGGTAAAAATCAGATTCATTCCTGAGTCTAGGAAAGCTAAATATTCATGGAAACAGGAATTATTCAAGGAATATGACCAGATGAAAGTAATGTAAGCAATCTAGTTTCACTTCATTCCATCTTAATATTAATTTGATTGTCTGGAAGTTAGACTATTGAATTCTGGAATGGCATCTCTCTTTCCCTAGCTCTATAATTCTCTAGCCTATAACTTCTCTATTCCTTTCTTTCATTTAACATTTTAATATTCATCTGAAAGGAAGTGTTCAACAAAAGGGAATTACCAAAAGGTTTCAACATGTGAGGAAATTTTCTGTTCCTAAAAATGTCTCAAGTCTTGGAAAATCATAAAAATAACAAAAAGGTACTGACCATTATAAAATTGAAAGAAATCACTATACTAATATTTATATAAAATATACCATCTCTTTAAATTATAGGCACTGAAAATTATTAGCATTGCATAAAATATTGCACATATTTTTATTGTTTAGTTTTCAGAAAAAATTCTGAACCTGAATACTATTATTTTATTGACTTGAACTTGGGTGAGGGGAATTGAGATTTATAAATCTTTCCCTCCCCGATGGAAGTATCTAACACAGGCAATGCCCAGGAAGCAATGTTCTTCACTGAAGGAATGAATGAATGAATGATCTAAGCATACAGCTCCATTTAGGAATCTTTTGGGTACTTTGACATATATACTACTTTCACCTGAAAGAACCAAAAGATAAAATCCCTATTAAGTTTATCGCCATGCAGTTCTATAGTCACTTCTGAATTCTACTGATTCCACCCAATATTCCAAGTAAGCAAATGTAATAAAACTAATAGAAGAATATGCTTTGGGTGCCATAACAGATCAGCCTTCAAACAGATTAGGAACTTCGAGCTATTTGCCACTAAAAACAAGACAGGTCTTGCACAGGTCATACAAAATAATACTAATCTCTTTTGCCTGAAATAGTTTACATAGTTGCCTCAACAACATTTTTTTTTATCATCAAAACAAGTGTATACTTAACTAAATTAGGTTTTCTTTATACATTGGGTTGTGCCAGGAACCCTATTGCTTATAGAAGGAGCTGCTGTCTTTTGGGGCTCTACATACTTGGTATATATCACATAATGATGTATTTATGAGGGAGATCAGGTCAACTATTCACCTAAATAGCTGATTATTTTACTGATATGACAAGACATCCTATGCAAAACCATTGGTCAAGTGGCATCATGTAGCCACAGCTTCAGGTATATCAAAAGGAGGCAACACTGATATATCTAAAAGAGATGCAGCAGAATAAACACACAGAACATAGAAAGGTGAATGACCTAGCACTTTGGGAGGCTGAGGCGGGACGACCACTAGGTCAGGAGATCGAGACCATCCTGGCTAACACGGTGAAACCCTGTCTCTATTAAAAATTAAAAAAAAAAAAAAATAGCCGGGCAAGGTGGCAGGCGCCTGTAGTCCCAGCTACTAGGGAGGCTGAGGCAGGAGAATGGCGTGAACCCGGGAGGCGGAGCTTGCCTTGAGCCGAGATTGTGCCACTGAACTCCAGCCTGGGCAACAGAGCGAGACTCCGTCTAAAAAAAAAAAAAAAAAAAAAGGCCGGGCGCAGTGGCTCACGCCTGTAATCCCAGCACTTTGGGAGGCCGAGGCAGGCGGATCACAAGCTCAGGATATCGAGACCATCCTGGCTAACACAGTGAAACCCCGTCTCTACTAAAAATACAAAAAAAATTAGCCGGGCGGGGTGGCGGGAGCCCGTAGTCCCAGCTACCTGGGAAGCTGAGGCAGGAGAATGGCATGAACCCAGGAAGCGGAGCTTGCAATGAGCTGAGATCGCGCCGCTGCACTCCAGCCTGGGCGACAAAGTGAGACTCTGTCTCAAAAATAATAATAATAATAATAATAAAGAGGTGAATAAGTTGAATAAATGATGCAGAGTTAATGCAAACCTTATACAGTGGCTCCATGAGAAATTTCCCTAAAACTAGTTTCTCCTCTCTCTTTTTCTTTTTCTCCCTGTGTCATTCTTTTTCTCTTCCTCTCTCTCTCTTCTCCCTCTTTCTCTCACTTTTTCATTCTTTTTCTGTCTCTCCCATTTCTTTTTCTCTTTCTCTTTCTCTCTCCCTCCCTCTTTCTCTCTCTGTCATTCTTTCTCTCTTCCTCTCTCTTCCCCCTCAGTGTCTCTCTCTCTCTCTCTCTTTCTCTCTATCTCTCCGTCTTCCTTCTTCCCAATCCACTTCCCAACCCCTCCCCTCACACACACATACCCCAGCTGCCATGGCCAAAATACAGCCTCTGGAGATGCTATCTTTTTGGCTGCCCAAGTGTCCTTTTTCTAACAGCATATACTGCAGGAGGGCAGCCACACGTTGCATCGGAGTCATGCGTTCCCTGGAAGCTTCAAACCCCCATGCTGGATTTAGACTGCCTGTTGCCAAGAGTCTAGTCTGGGCACCTCACTCATCTGACCTAAGTGCCTTTCTAAACTTTTGGCTGAATTTGGCAGCTGCCAGCCCCTCTCCTCTGTGTCCTTTCTTGTTCCTCATCTTGTTACTCCCAGAGCCAGCCAGAAGCAGCAGTACATAGCTCCCAAATGAAATACACTCAAGTCCATTAAGAATCACCTAAAATGTTGACTCAATTTGAAAGCGGGCTGTTAACAGTGCATATGTGAAGTTGACGGTACTTGTGATAAGCAGAAAAAACAACAACGAATACTAATGTCTTATATTTGTATAGCACGTTAGAGTTTTTAAAGTGTTGTTGTAACACTCTGTTGAGATAAGCAAAAGGGGGTACTATTTTGCACATGAAATCATTTGGGTTCAAAAGGGTTAAATAAATGAGGAAAAACAAAAAAAAAACAAAATTCAATCTTGGACCCACAAAGTGACTGCTCTGTACACGCTGAAAGATGCCCCTTAGGAAACCTAATGGAAGGCACTTGTAAGGCATTCAGGCTTTTGGAACTTGTCTTTAAAATGTTATCAGTTCTCCAATGTGGACTGCTGATCCCCTGCATGAGCCATCAGGAACCCCTCATCATTCTCAGGCCTCACCCAGCAGGCAGGGAATCAGAAGTTGGGCAGGATTTGTATTTGAACTAGCAGTCTCAGGTAACTGATACACCTGCCCTAACTGAGACAGAGCTTATGAAGAGCCAGCCCCAATCTGAACAGTAGCCTCCTTAAGGAACACTACAGAGAAGCCAGGTTAGCCTGACCTCTCATCCTGAGGAGTAGCCAAAGAATCAGGACACCATTGAGATCCCATTCATCAATCTTTGAACCCAAGTAATGGAGGAGGTTTGCCCTTGAGCACAGACAATGGAGACAAACTGTGCAGGTTCAAGCCCCAGTCCTGCCACTTACAAAGTGACCATGGTGGCTGTCTCCCCACACAAATCTCATCTTGAACTGTAGTTCCCAACATCCCCATGTGTCATGGGAGAGACCCAGTGGGAGGTGATTGAATCAGGGGGGTGGTTTCCTCCATGCTATTCTCATGATAGTGAGTAAGTTCTCAAGAGATCTGATGGTTTTAGAAGGGGCTTCCCCCTTCACTTGGCTCTCATTCTTCTCCTTCCTCCTGCCATGTAAAGAAGGACTTGTTTGCTTTCCCTTCCGCAATGATTGTAAGTTTCCTGAGGCCTCCCCAGCCCTGAAGAACTGTGAGTCAATTTAACCTCTTTTCTTTATAAATTACCCAGTCATGGGCAGTTCTTTATAGCAATGTGACAACAGACTAATACAGTAAATTGATACAGAGGGAGTGGGGCACTGCTAAAAGGATACTGAAAAACATGGAAGTGACTTTGAAACTGGGCAACAGGCAGAGGCTGGAAGAGTTTGGAGGGCTCAGAAGACAGGAAAATGTGGGAAAGTTTGGAACTTTCTAGAGACTTGAAAGGCTCAGAAGACAGAAAGGTGTGGGAAAGTCTGGAACTTCCTAGACACTTGTTGAATGGCTTTGACTAAAATGCTGATAGTGATATGGACAATGAAGTCCAGGCTGAGGGGGTCTCAGATGGACATGAGGAACTTGTTGGAAACTGGAGCAAAGGTGAATCTTGCTATGCTTTATCAAAGAGACTGGACACATTCTGTCCCTGCCTAGGGATCTGTGGAATTTTGAACTTGAGAGAGATAATTTAGAATTATCTTGAACGCAGCAAAGCGTTCAAGAGGAAGCAGAGCATAAAAGTTTGGAAAATTTGCAGCCTGGCAATGCAATAGAAAAGAAAAACCCATTTTTCTGGGGAGAAATTCAACCCCATTGCAGAAATTTGCATAAGTAAAGAGGAGCTGAATGTTATTCACCAAAACAATAGGGAAAATGTCTCCAGGGCATGTCAGAGACCTTCAAAGCAGCCCCTCCCAGGCCTAAGAAGAAAAAAACGGTTTTGTGGGCTGGGGCCAGGGCTCCCCTGCTGTGTGCAACCTAGGGACTTGGTGCCCTGTGTCCCAGCCACTCCAGCTGTGGCTAACAGGCGCCAAGGCACAGCTCCGGCCATGGATTCAGAGGGTGCAAGCCCCAAACCTTGGCATCTTCCACATTGTGTTGGGCCTGTGGATGCACAGAAGTCAGGAACTGAGGTTTGGAAACCTCTGCCTAGTTCAGAGGATGTATGGAAATGCCTGAATATCAAGGCAGACATTTGCTGCAGGGGTGGGGCCCTCATGGAGAACCTCTGCTAGGGCAGTGTGGAAGGGAAATGTGGGGTCAGAGCCCCCACATAGAGTCCCCAGTGGGGCACTGCCTAGTGAAGCAATGAGAGGCCATAGTCCTGCAGACCCCAGAATGGTAGATCCACTGACAGCTTGCACCCATGTGCCTGAAAAACTGCAGGCACTCAACACCAGCTCATGAAAGCAGGCTGGAGAGGGGTTGTACCCTGCAAAGCCACAGGGGCGCGGGGCAGAGCTGCCCAAGACTGTGAAATCCCATCTCTTGCATCAGTGTGACCTGCATGTGAGACATGAAGTCAAAGGAGATTTCAGAGCTTTAAGATTTAATTACTGCCTAGTTGGATTTCAGACTTGCATGAGGCCTGTAGCTCCTTTGTTTTGGCCAATTTCTCTTATTTGGAATGAGTGTATTTACCCAATACCTGTACCTCCATCATACTTACGAAGTAACTAACTTGCTTTTGATTTTACAGGCTCATAGGCAGAAGAGACTTGCCTTGTCTCAGATGAGACTTTGGATTTGGACTTTTAGGTTAATGCTCAAATGAACTAAGATTTTGGGGGACTGTTGGAAAGGCATGATTGTGTTTGAAATGTGAGGAATGAGATTTGGGAGGAGACAGGGTGAAATGATATGATTTGGCTGTATCCCCACCCAAATCTCATCTTCAGTTGTAGTTTCCATAATCCCCACATGTTGTATGAGGGACCTGGTGGAAGGTAACTGAATTATGGGGGCAGTTCCCCCATGCTATTCTCATGATAGTTAATAAGTTCTCATGAGATCTGATGGTTTTAGAAGGAACTTCCCCCTTCACTTGGCTCTCATTCTTCTCCTTCCTTCCACCATGTGAAGAAGGACATGTTGCTTCCCCTTCTGCCATGACTATAGGTTTCCTGAGGCCTTCCCAGCCCTGAAGAGCTGTGAGTCATTTAAACCTCTTTCCTTTATAATTTATCTAGTCTCAGGCAGTTCTTTTTAGCAGCATGAGAATAGACTAATAAAATGGATAAGTTAATTAATCTTTCTGTGCCTCAGTTTTCTCATCTGTAAAAATGGAAATAATGATAGGGTTATTATTATATGTCAGGCCTCTGAGGCCAAGCCAAGCCATCGCATCCCCTGTGACTTGCACGTATACGCCCAGATGGCCTGAAGTAACTGAAGAATCACAAAAGAAGTGCATATGCCTTGCCCCACCTTAACTGATGACATTCCACCATAAAAGAAGTAGAAATGGCCGGGCCTTGCCTTAAGTGATGACATTACCTTGTGAAAGTCCTTTTCCTGGCTCATCCTGGCTCAAAAAGCACCCCCACTGAGCACCTTGCGACACCCACTCCTGCCTGCCAGAGAACAACCCCCCTTTGACTGCAATTTTCCTTTACCTACCCAAATCCTATAAAACAGCCCCACCCCATCTCCCTTCACTGACTCTCTTTTCAGACTCAGCCCACCTGCACCCAGGTGATTAAAAGCTTTATTGCTCACACAAAGCCTGGTTGGTGGTCTCTTCACACGGACACGCATGAAATTTGGTGCCGTGACTTGGATCGGGGGACCTCCCTTGGGAGATCAATCCCCCGTCCTCCTGCTCTTTGCTCCGTGAGAAAGATCCACCTACGACCTCAGGTCCTCAGACTGACCAGCCCAAGAAACACCTCATCAACTTCAAATCCGGTTAGAGGCCTCTTTTTTACTCTCCTCTCCAACCTCCCTCACTATCCCTCAACCTCTTTCTCCTTTCAATCTTGGCGCCACACTTCAAACTCTCCCTTCTCTTAATTTCAATTCCTTTCATTTTCTGGTAGAGACAAAGGAGACACGTTTTATCCGTGGACCCAAAACTCTGGCACCGGTCACGGACTGGGAAGGCAGCCTTCCCTTGGTGTTTAATCATTGCAGGGATGCCTCTCTGATTATTCACCCACGTTTCAAAGGTGTCAGACCACACAGGGACGCCTGCCTTGGTCCTTCACCCTTAGTGGCAAGTCCCGCTTTTCTGGGGAAGGGGCAAGTACCCTAACCCCTTCTCTCCTTGTCTCTACCCCTTGTCTGCTTTTCTGGGGAAGGGGCAAGTACCCCAACCCCTTCTCTCCTTGTCTCTACCCCTTCTCTGCTTTTCTAGGGGAGGGGCAATTACCCCTCAACCCCTTCTCCTTCACCCTTAGCGGCAAGTCCCGCTTTTCTGGAGGAGGGGCAAGTACCCCTCAACCCTTTCTCCTTCACCCTTAGCGGCAAGTCCCGCTTTTCTGGGGGAGGGGCAAGTACCCCTCAATCCCTTCTCCTTCACTCTTAGTGGCAAGTCCCGCTTTTCTAGAGGAGGGGCAAGTACCCCAACCTCGTATCTCTGCACCCCAATCCCTCATTTCCGCACCCCAACCTCTTGTCTCTGTGCCCCAATTCCTTATTTCCATGCTCCAACCCTTTCTCTGCTGTTCTGGAGGGCAAGAAACCCCTACCCCTTCTCCGTGTCTCTACTCTTTTCTCTGGGCTTGCCTCCTTCACTATGGGCAAGCTTCCACCTTCCATTCCTCCTTCTTCTCCCTTAGCCTATATTCTTAAGAACTTAAAACCTCTTCAACTCTCACCTGACCTAAAATCTAAGCATCTTATTTTCTTCTGCAATGCTGCTTGACCCCAATACAAACTTGACAGTAGTTCCAAATAGCTGGAAAATGGCACTTTCAATTTTTCCATCCTACAAGATCTAAATAATTCTTGTCGTAAAAGGGGCAAATGGTCTGAGGTGCCTGACGTCCAGGCATTCTTTTACACATCAGTCCCTTCCTAGTCTCTGTGCCCAGTGCAACTCATCCCAAATCTTCCTTCTTTCCCTCCTGCCTGTCCCCTCAGTCCCAACCCCAAGCATCACTCAGTCTTTCCAATCTTCCTTTTCTACAGACCCATCTGACCTCTCCCCTCCTCACCAGGCCAAGCTAGGTCCCAATTCTTCCTCAGCCTCTGCTCCTCCACCCTGTAATCTTTTTATTGCCTCCCCTCCTCACACCTGGTCCGGCTTACAGTTTCGTTCTGTGACTAGCCCTCCCCAACCTGCCCAGCAATTTACTCTTAAAAAGGTGGCTAGAGCCAAAGGCATAGTCAAGGTTAATGCTCCTTTTTCTTTATCCCAAATCAGAAGCGTTTAGGCTCTTTTTTATCAAATATAAAAACCCAGCCCAGTTCATGGCTCGTTCAGCAGCAACCCTGAGACGCTTTACAGCCCTAGACCCTAAAAGGTCAAAAGGCCGTCTTATTCTCAAAATACATTTTATTACCCAATCTGCTCCTGACATTAAATAAAACTCCAAAAATTAAATTCCGGCCCTCAAACCCCACAACAGGATTTAATTAACCTCGCCTTCAAGGTGTACAATAATAGCAAAAAGTTGCAATTCCTTGCCTCCACTGTGAGACAAACCCCAGCCACATCTCCAGCACACAAGAACTTCCAAATGCCTGAACTGCAGCGGCCAGGCGTTCCTCCAGAACCTCCTCCCACAGGAGCTTGCTACATGTGCCGGAAATCTGGCCACTGGGCCAAGGAATGCCCGCAGCCCGGGATTCCTCCTAAGCTGCATCCCATCTGTGTGGGACCCCACTGAAAATCGGACTGTTCAACTCACCTGGCAGCCACTCCCAGAGCCCCTGGGACTCTGGCCCAAGGCTCTCTGACTGACTCCTTCCTAGATCTTCTCAGCTTAGCGGCTGAAGACCGACACTGCCTGATCGCCTCGGAAGCCCCCTAGACCATCACGGATGCTGAGCTTCGGGTAACTCTCACAGTGGAAGGTAAGCCCATCCCCTTCTTAATCAATACAGAGGCTACCCACTCCACATTACCTTCTTTTCAAGGGCCTGTTTCCCTTGCCTCCATAACTGTTGTGGGTATTGACGGCCAGGCTTCTAAACCTCTTAAAACTCCCCAACTCTGGTGCCATCTTAGACAATACTCTTTTAAGCACTCCTTTTAGTTATCCCCACCTGCCCAGTTCCCTTATTAGGCTGAGACACTTTAACTAAATTATCTGCTTCCCTGACTATTCCTGGACTACAGCTATATCTCATTGCTGCCCTTCTTCCCAATCCAAAGCCTCCGTTGCGTCCTCCTCTTGTATCCCCCAACCTTAACCCACAAGTATAAGATACCTCTACTCCCTCCTTGGCAACCGATCATGCACCCCTTACCATCTCATTAAAACCTAATCACCCTTACCCCACTCAACGCCAATATCCCATCCCGCAGCACGCTTTAAAAAGATTAAAGCCTGTTATCACTCGCCTGCTACAGCATGGCCTTTTAAAGCCTATAAACTCTCCTTACAATTCCCCCATTTTACCTGTCCTAAAACCAGACAAGCCTTACAAGTTAGTTCAGGATCTGCACCTTATCAACCAAATTGTTTTGCCTATCCACCCCATGGTGCCAAACCCATATACTCTCCTATCCTCAATATCTGCCTCTACAACTCATTATTCTGTTCTAGATCTCAAACATGCTTTCTTTACTATTACTTTGCACCCTTAATCCCAGCCTCTCTTCGCTTTCACTTGGACTGACCCTGACACCCATCAAGCTCAGCAAATTACCTAGGCCGTACTGCTGCAAAGCTTCACAGACAGCCCCCATTACTTCAATCAAGCCCAAATTTCTTCCTCATCGGTTACCTATCTCGGCATAATTCTCATAAAAACACACGTGCTCTCCCTGCCAATCGTGTCCGACTGATCTCTCAAACCCAAGCACCTTCTACAAAACAACAACTCCTTTCCTTCCTAGGCATGGTTAGCGCGGTCAGAATTCTTACACAAGAGCCAGGACCACACCCTGTAGCCTTTCTGTCCAAACAACTTGATCTTACTGTTTTAGCCTAGCCCTCATGTCTGTGTGCAGCGGCTGCCACTGCTTTAATACTTTTAGAGGCCCTCAAAATCACAAACTATGCTCAACTCACTCTCTACAGTTCTCATAACTTCCAAAATCTATTTTCTTCCTCATACCTGACGCATATACTTTCTGCTTCCCGGCTCCTTCAGCTATACTCACTCTTTGTTGAGTCTCCCAATTACCGTTGTTCCTGGCCCAGACTTCAATCCAGCCTCCCACATTATTCCTGATACCACACCTGACCCCCATGACTGTATCTCTCTGATCCACCTGACATTCACCCCATTTCCCCAAATTTCCTTCTTTCCTGTTCCTCACCCTGATCACGCTTGATTTATTGATGGCAGTTCCACCAGGCCTAATTGCCACACACCAGCAAAGGCAGGCTATGCTATAGTACAAGCCACTAGCCTGCCTCTTAGAACCTCTCATTTCCTTTCCATTGTGGAAATCTATCCTCAAGGAAATAACTTCTCAGTGTTCCATCTGCTATTCTACTACTCCTCAGGGATTATTCAGGCCCCCTCCCTTCCCTACACATCAAGCTCGAGGATTTGCCCCACCCAGGACTGGCAAATTAGCTTTACTCAACATGCCCTGAGTTAGATAACTAAAATACCTCTTAGTCTAGGTAGATACTTTCACTGGATAGGTAGAGGCCTTTCCTACAGGGTCTGAGAAGGACACCACAGTCATTTCTTCCCTTCTGTCAGACATAATTCCTCAGTTTAGCCTTCCCACCTCAATACAGTCTGATAACAGACGAGCCTTTATTAGTCAAATCAGCCAAGCAGTTTTTCAGGCTCTTAGTATTCAGTGAAACCTTTATATCCCTTATAGTCCTCCGTCTTCAAGAAAAGTAGAATGGACTAAAGGTCTTTTAAAAACACACCTCACCAAGCTCAGCCACCAACTTAAAAAGGACTGGACAATACTTTTACCACTTTCCCTTCTCAGAATTCAGGCCTGTCCTTGGAATGTTACAGAGTACAGCCCATTTAAGCTCCTGTATAGACGCTCCTTTTTATTAGGCCCCAGTCTCATTCCAGACACCAGACCAACTTAGACTGTGCCCCAAAAAACTTGTCATCCCTACTATCTTCTGTCTAGTCATACTCCTATTCACTGTTCTCAACTACTCACACATGCTCTGCTCTTGTTTACGCTGCCAGTTTACACTGTTTTTCCAAGCCATCACAGCTGATATCTCCTGGTGCTAGCCCCAAACTGCCATTCTTAACTCTTGAAGTAAATAAATAATCTTTGCTGGCAGGACTATGCTGAATCTCCTTAGGCACTCTCTAATCAGATATCCTGAGTCGTCCTAATTCTTAGACCTTTTATACCTGTTTTTCTCCTTCTGTTATTCCATTTAGTTTCTCAATTTATCCAAAACCGTATCTAGGCCATCATCAATCATTCTATATGACAAATGTTTCTTCTAACATCCCCACAATATCACCCCTTACCGCAAGACCTCCCTTCAGCTTAATCTCTCCCACTCTAGGTTCCCACGCTGCCCCTAATCCCGCTTGAAGCAGCCCTGAGAAACATCGCCCATTCTCTCTCCATACCACCCCTCAAAAATTTTCGCCGCCCCAACACTTCAACACTATTTTGTTTTATTTTCCTTATTAATATAAGAAGGCAGGAATGTCAGGCCTCTGAGCCCAAGCCAAGCCATGGCATCCCCTGTGACTTGCACGTATACGCCCAGATGGCCTGAAGTAACTGAAGAATCACAAAAGAAGTGCATATGCCTTGCCCCACCTTAACTGATGACATTCCACCATAAAAGAAGTGTAAATGGCTGGGCCTTGCCTTAAGTGATGACATTACCTTGTGAAAGTCCTTTTCCTGGCTCATCCTGGCTCAAAAAGCACACCCACTGAGCACCTTGCGATCCCCACTCCTGCCCGCCAGAGAACAACCCCCCTTTGACTGTAATTTTCCTTTACCTACCCAAATCCTATAAAACAGCCCCACCCCATCTCCCTTCACTGACTCTCTTTTCGGACTCAGCCCACCTGCACCCAGGTGATTAAAAGCTTTATTGCTCACACAAAGCCTGTTTGGTGGTCTCTTCACACGGACGTGCATGAAATTATACTTCTTAAAATTATGAGATTAAATGAGTTTAGCAGAAGTCAAGCACTTAGAACAGTGCCTAGCACCAAGTCATTATTGAACGAGTGTTGGATATTTATAACAAACAACTCCTTTCCCTAATTACAGATTTTTGAAGTGACACATATTGCTAGCAGCCAATACAGGCTGATGGGATTTCCAGCACTGGGTGCAATATCTACAACTAAATACTTACTATGGTAAGTATTCAATATATATTTATTAAGGGATAAAATGGTACAAAGTCCAACACTTCACCTGGATGAACAATTTGAATATGAACTAGATGGAATCAAGCATCCATTCTTTGGTCTCACAGACCTTTCCCAAAACCTTTGAAATTTGTCCTGAGAAGAGGCATACCATACATTATGAGTTTTGTTTTGTCTTGTTTTAATAAGCCTTTATATAAATTCTAGCTGAGATCAGCATCATTATCATTTCCGGAGGCAATACAGGTGGCTCCCCAGTTGAGTCATGATAGTCCTGTACAAATATGCATTTCATCAATCCTATTCCCACGCTGCCCTCTGTTTTCTCATTCCTTCCTTTAACAGCAGCTCAGCATTCACAATCTACCCCTGCTGTTTATGGTTTCATAGTGCAGCACCATCCCTTGGATATTTTAGAGAGCAATGCAATAAACAAAATTTTCCAGAGTTGTTCATTTTCTAAAGAATAATTGAATTGCTGAAATATTATTTGGCTACAAAAAAGTTGGTAAGTTTTGAGTGCTGTTGACTTAAATGCACACATATGAGTCTACCCAACAATATTTTAATCATTATATTATTTGAAAAAGCATAAGGAGAAGCTGTCACTCTGCACATGGTAAAAATGGCAGCCACTTGGAGCCACCCATGAAGATGTTAAGGCTGAGCTCTTGGAGAGACGTAGATATTTTCAGCATGGGCAGGAAAAAGCAAATTTCCCTAAAAGAAAACACATTGACAACAAGGGAACAGGTTGCTTCTATTGTCAATGCCCTAACAACTTTCTTAAATTAGCTTTTTAAGAGAACCCTTTTCTGCATGCCTGATGACTCTCAGACCACCCAAGTTAATTTGATACAAATGTAATTTAAAAGATTCCATGTGTGTCTTAGAGAAGATTTGGGTATGTGGGGGTTGAGGTTTGTTTCTCTCTTTCTCTCTCTTTACTTTTAAGAAAGAAAAACCTTTATCATGTACATGCTTTTGAAGGTGAGGATTTTCTACTTAATCATTACTCATAGTCTAAGATAACATTAAAATAAATGGATTTTACAGTCTCCATTACCATTCCCATTAACATAAAATACAAATCAAGAAGATGGTTCTTTCATGGAAGCATTTGGACATAATTTCAACTGGAGTCCATAGGAATAACTGAGTAGATGTTGGTTAGTAGATGAAGTACTTTATGTTATATTTTGGGCCGTGAAAATCAAAATGAATTTTCTTATAAAAGACAGAAACCAGAAAACTAATCTGAGTTGTTCTATTACAATTTACTCTTTTTTCAAGGATGAAGCAAATGAAGTGAAGACCTTCTGTGCTGTATCTATGACTCCTTGACACTTTTCTGGTATTCAACAGAACACTTAAAAGCAGTTGGCAATATAAGAGAAAAATGTGTAGGTGATTCTGTTGCATTTATTTTTATCCATCATCTTTAATGAATGGTTTCTTATTTTCTTACATGTAATATCAAACTCACAGCATAAAAATTCCTAGGGATAAATTAGTCGAGCATGACCTAAATTTGCCAGAAGTTGAGATTTGATACTGTTTTTAAAGCATCCTTAGAGAAAGTGGAGAATGTAGAATTCGGAGTCAGATATTTTTAGGTTCAAATCCCAGTTCTGCCTCTGGTTCTCTTTGAGCTTTGGGAAAGTTAGTAAACTTCTCCATTGGTTAGTCTCGCTGGCTAAAAACTTGATATAAAGCCACTGCATGAATTAAATGGGGGTAACCTTTGTGAGGTACTGAGTGTGATGAATTAATGGGAATGGTTGAGGTGGGTACATTTTTCTGAGAGGTCTTGGGCAATCTGAGGGTTCCCAGGGGTGGCTAGCACCCCAGACCCCAAGACCACTGTTCACCCAGGTTGCAGATTTGTTCTGCGTTTGGATGAGAGTATGAGGAAGTCAATCACTCCATTAAAATGAATTACTTCATACTATATTTTGAAGAGAATGAGACTGGATGAAGTAATAATCCAAAGAAATGGAGGGGAAAGATCAAATCAGGAGTTTCAAGATCTGTGAACCATAAACAAAAAAAAGTCTATAAAATTTTCTTTTTCTCAAAAAAAGAGTGAAATATGCCTCTAATTTAAGGACAGAAGGCCAAATACAAAGCTGGAACAGTCAAATAAAGGTGAATCATAAAGCTGTCAAGGAAAGACACCCCTTACATAGAGAAGTTCTAACAAAGGCTTCTTTAGACAGGTCAAAGAAAAGTATATGCATGGAAAAGGAATGGAGAAGAGCTATCTTAGGGTAAATCAACAGAGTTGATGATACACAGTTGACTCAGTACCTAAGCAAAATACACTATACAAAAGGATTCTCTCTAATGCTTTATGTGGATTGCATTGTCTGAATGAGGATTAAAAAGCAATGTCACCAAAAAACAAAAAACAAAAAAAATGAGGAAGAAGGCCTAAAATGAAAGAAAGAAAGAGAGAGAGAGAAAGAAAGAGAAAGAAAGAAAGAAAGAAAAGAAAAGAAAAGAAAAGAAAAGAAAAGAAAAGAAAAGAAAAAGAAAGAAAGGAAGAAAGAAAGAAAGAAAGAGAATAGTTTCTTTGGCAAAATGTCCACATCATTTTAAAGTCTAAAACTGAAATCATGTTTAGGATCAAACCTAGGATATACTAGCTTTTCACCTTTCTTGGCTGAACACCACTCAAATAAAATTTGTTGAAATTTATACTAATAATACATACACAAAGGTAAATTCACTTTAAGAGGTTCTAAAATAAAATAATAAACTACCTAGTATATTACTGTGCACATAGATTATACCCAATAAATTAGAGCATTGTTATTACTAAATAAATATTCCAATAGTCCAAAATATGAAATACTTTTATCCCATCTCTGTGGCTCAGATTGCTATGCTACTATTTAAGCCCATTTGATCATTAGCACAAAGAGGCATAAGGAGTATAACAATTATATTCAAATGTTCTCATTTTCAAAGCTCATAATACAAGTTCTTTCAATTTTTGTGATTTGTTTTCAATCCCTTGATCTCTTTTCTTGATTTTGTCATAAATTATTTCTGTCCTCCATAAGTGCTCCTTGCAGACCAATCATCACTCCAGACCTACCTCTTGCATGCTTTACATATCTCAGTCTTCTCTATTACCTGCACTTTTAATCCCATCCACCACATCATTTCCAGTTTATTTAATCCCTTCCCGTTCATTTATCCATTCATCTTCCACTCTGGTTTTTAGTTCAATGGTTCTCAAACTTTTTGGTCTGAGGACCTTTTGACACTTTTTAAAAATCATCAAGAATATCAATGAGCTTCTGTCTGTGTGGTTTATATCTATGAGTACCTATTATATCAGATGTTAACACTGAGAAATTCTAAAAAATACTAATGCATCTTAAAATAGCACTCACAATCTCTTTATATGTTAACATACATATCTTTGTGAAAATTAATTCTGCTACAAAACAAGAGCAGTGGGAAGAGTGACATTGTTTTATACTTTTGCAAATTTCTTTAGTATCTAGTTTGATGGAAGATAATTGGATGGTCATATCTACTTCTGCATGTTATTTGTTGGAATATGTTGGATTAGTTCAGGCAAATTAAGACTATTCATCATCATGCAGATCTATAGAAGGAAAACGGAGAAGTGTTTTCATAACCTTTTCAGATAATTATAGATTTTCTTCTTTGACACCCAACACCCAACATGGGTAATTTCTTAAGGTCGGTTTTAATATGGGATGTGAAACCATATCAGTGAAATGTTTGTAATCTGTTACAGTAAAATCAGTTGGTCTATCTTACACATTAATGGATTGGTTGCCCATGTGTGATTTTATATCATCATGCATTATTCATTTGGAAAATATTGGTTCCCTGAGTTATGCAGATCTTTCAAATGTTGACACATTTAATTATACAATATTAAAAAATTGTATTTGTTACTATCTCCAGCAATCTCATCACAAAAGTCTTTAAGTATTGTGAAGCTGTCAAGTTCATGGTGGTAGATAGAAGTCTTCCAAAATTCTAATTTTCACTTGAAAGCTCAAATTTTTATCATAGGCAACAACTTCTGTCAGTTGTTTCCCTTGAAGTGACAGGTTCACTTTTTTCATTTTTGAGAATGTGTCTGCCAAATAACAGATCTGAATAAGTCTCGCTTTTCTG
Source organism: Homo sapiens (assembly GCF_000001405.40). Lineage (NCBI taxonomy): Eukaryota > Metazoa > Chordata > Mammalia > Primates > Hominidae > Homo > Homo sapiens. The sequence continues at coordinate 56,425,746 of NC_000018.10, forward strand.
CCAGTTGTTCTTTCAAGTAAAAATGGTATTCCACGAAAAAAATGGCTAGATCAGTTCACAGCACAAATGATCTCACAAGTACATTTCCTCAAGGTGACCATCATACCTCATTTAGCATCAGAAGTGTCTTATCCATCTTTCCCATTTAATCATACAAAATGTTAAAAATATATACTCACCAGCCACCCCTGCCACTGGTAGTCAGGCGGACAACATCTGCTAGAGCTTCTGGCCCAGTGGTCCTGCTTCTGTGGGAACTCAGCTGGAGGATGCAACCTCCTGATGTCCTGGGAAGCACCCAGGCAGCAGAGCATGTGACCCCACCCACCCCCACCACGGATAGCCAGGCATGCAATGTCTACTAGAGCTTCCAGCCCAGTAATGTTGCTTCCGTGGGAACTCGGACAGTTGGCATGACCTCTTGTCTGAGGAGGAATCCAAACAGCAAGGTAACAGCCCCATCCATCTCCACTGCTTGTAGCCAGGCAAGCCATGCCTGCTAGAACTTACAACTCAGCAGTCCTATTTCTGCCTGAATTTGCCAAGGAGCACAGCCTCCTGTTGCCCTGGAAACACCTGGATGGTAGGGTGGACAACTCCACTGACCCCCACCTCCCATAGTCAGATGGGTGACACCTAGAGAGCTTCCAACCCAGCGGTCCTGCTTCCACCTGAATTCAGTGGCCAGAAACAACCCTGTGTTTCCCCAGGAAGGACACAGACAGCAGATTAGATTAGGGCTGACCTGGCAAGGATACAGTTTTTCTGCCAACCATGGCCCTTGCCTGCGAAAGCCCTCTGGACCAAAACATCTAATAACAAAAAAATGCAAGCAGAGAGAGAGTAATCAGAGAAGGCTCCTCCAAACCCATGAGCTGATTAGAATTGAAGCCAGTCAGCTGAATCCACTTTATACCATAATCAAACTCCCATGGGCATCAAAGAAGATAAAGGCAAAAAAATCCATCCGAAAGACATCAACTTCAAAGACTGAAGGAACGTCACATCACACAAATTAGAAAGAACCAGCACAAGAACTCTGGCAACTCAAAAAGCCAGAGTGCCTTTTTTCCTCCAAATGAACACACTAGTTCCCCAGCAAGCGTTCTTAAGTGGGCTGAAATGACAGAAATAGAATTCAGAATATGGATAGGAGTGAAGATCATCAAGATTCACGAGATGTCAAAAGCCAATCCAAGGAAGTTAAGAATCATAATTAAAATAAAAATACAGGAGCTAATCAATGAAATAGCCATTACAAAAAGAACCAAACTGATCTGATAGAGCTGAAAAACACACTACAAGAATTGCATAATACAATCATGAGTATTAACAGCAGATTAGACCAGGCTGAGGAAAGAATCTCAGTTCAAAGACTGGCTCTCAGAAATAACTCAGTCAGACAACAATAAAGAAAAATGAATAAATAAGAATGAACAAAACCTCTGAGAAATATGGATGATATAAAGAGACCAAATCTACGACTAATTGGCATCCCTGAAAAAGACAGAGAAAAAGCATGCAAACTGGAAAACATATTTCAGAATATCGGCCATGAAAGCTTCCCCAACCTCACTAGAGAGGCCAACATTCAAATCCAGAAAATGCAGAGAACCCCTGTGAGATGTTACACAAGAAGACCATCCCCAAAACACATAATCATCAGATTCTCCAAAGTTGAAATGAAAAAAAAAAAAAGTTAAAGGCAGCTAGACAGAAGGGGTAGGTCACCTACAAAGGGAACCCCATCAGGCTGACATGGACCTTTCAGCAGAAACCCTACAAATCAGAAGAGATTGGAGGCCTATATTGACCATTCTTGATGGAAAAAAAAAAAATCAACGAAGAATTTCATATCCAGCCAAACTAAGCTTCATAAGTGAAGGAGAAATAAGATTCTTTTCAGACAAGCAAATGCTAAGGGAATTTATTGCCATCAGACCTGCTTTACAAGAGGTCCTGAAAGGAACATTAAATTTGGAAAGGAAAGACCATTACCAGCCGCTACAAAAACACACTTAAGTACATAGAATAGTGATACTATAAAGAAACCACACAAGCAAGCCTACCTAATAACCAGCTAACAACATGATGACAGGATCAAATCCACACATATCAATACTAACCTTGAATGTAAATGGACTAAATGTCTCAATTAAAAGGCACAGAGTGCCAAACTGGTTTAAAAAAAAAGCAAGACCCAATGGTTTGTTGCCTTCAAGAGACCCATCTCACATGCAACAACACCCGTAGACTCAAAATAAAGGGATAGAGAAAAATCTACTAAGCAAAATCTACTAAGTAAAACACTTAAAAAGCAGGGTTTGCAATCCTAATTTCAGACAAAATGGACTTTAAACCAACAAAGATTAGAAAAGATAAAGAAAGTCATTATATAAAGATATAGGGTTCATTTCAACAAGAAGACCTAACTGTCCTAAATATACATGCACCCAACACAGGAGCACCTACTTTCATAAAGCAGGTTCTTAGAGACCTACAAAGAGACTCAGATTCCCACACAATAATAGTGGGAAATTTCAACATGCTACTAACTTATTAAGTACTAGATTATTGAGGCAGAAAATTAACAAAGATATTTAGGACCTGAACTCAACACTTGACCAAATGGATCTAACAGACATCAACAGAACTCTCCACCCCAAGCCAACACGTATATTCTTCTCATTGCCATATATTAAATACTCAAAAACTGACCACACAATCAGACACAAAACAATACTCAGCAAATTTAAAAAAAATGAAATCATACCAACCACAATCTTGGACCACAGCACAATACAAATAGAAACCTAGAAAATAACTCAAAACCATACAATTCATGGAAATTAAACAACCTACGCCTAAATGACTTTTGGGTAAACAATGAAATTAAGACAGAAATCAAGACATTCTTTGAAACTAATAAAAACAAAGATACAATGTACCAGAATCTCTAGGACATAGCTAAGGACATGTTAAGAGGGAAGTTTATAGCAACAAACACCCACCTCAAAAAGTTAGAAAGATCTCAGATTAACAACTTATCATCACAACTAGAAGAACTAGAGAAGCAAGAGCAAACCAACCCCAAAGATAGCAGAGGACAAGAAATAAACAAAATCAGAGCTGAACTGAAGAAATTGAAATACACACAAAAAATACAGAAGATTAATGAATCCAGGAGTTGTTGCTTTGAAAAAATTAACAAGGTAGATTAACCACTAGCTAGACTAATTAAGAAAAAAAGAAGATCCAAATAAACACAATTTGAAATGAAAAAAGAGATGTTACCACTGACTCCACAGAAATGCAAAAAACCATCAGAGACTACTATGAACACCTGTATGCACACAAACTAGAAGATTTAGAAGAAATTGATAAATTCCTGGACACATACAACTTTCCAAGACTGAACCAGGAAGAAATTGAATTCCTAAACAGGTAAATAGCAAGTTCCTAAATTGAATCAGTAATAAAAGGCCTGCCAACCAAAAAAAAGCCCAGGACCAGACAGATTCACAGCCAAATTCTACCAGATGTATAAAGAAGAGCTGATGCTCTTCCTACTGAAACTATTAAAAAAAAAATAAGGTGGAGGAATTCCTTCTCAACTCATTGTGTAAGGCCAACATCATCCTGAAACCAAAACCTGGCAGAGACACAACAAAAAAAGAAAACTTCAGACCAATATCCTTGATGAACATAGATACAAAAATCTTCAACAAAGTACCAACAAACTGAGTCCAACAGCACATCAAAAAGCTAATCCACCATTATTAACTAGGCTGTATCCCTGGGATGCAAGTTTAGTTCAACATATGCAAATCAATAAATGTGATTAATCACATAAAGAGATCTAAAAACAAAAACCACCTGATTATCTCAATAGATGCAGAAAATGCTTTCAATAAAATTCAACACTGCTTCATGTTAAAAATCCTCAGTAAACTAGGTATTGAAGGAACATACTACAAAATATTATAAGAGCCATCTATTACAAAACACAGCCAACATCATGTGATTAGGGAAAAGCTAGAAGCATTCCCTTGAAAACTGGCACAAGACAAGGATGCCCTCTCTCACCACTCCTATTCAACATAGTATTGGAAGTTCTGGCAAGAACAATCAGGCAAGAGAAAGAAATAAAAGGCATCCAGATAGGAAAAAAGGAAGTCAAACTATCCCTGCTTGCAGAAAAGATGATTCTATATCTAGAAAACCCTATAGTCTCTACCCAAAAGCTCCTTGATCTGATAAACAACTTCACCAAAGTTTCAGGATACAAAATCAACATTCAAAAATCACCGGCATTCCTATATACCAACAACATCCAAGGCGAGAGCCAAATCAGGAATGCAATCCCATTTACAACTGCCACAAAAAGAATAAAATACCTAGGAATACAGCTAACCAAGGAAGTGAAGATCTCACACTGCCCAAAGAAATCAGAGATGACACAAACAAATAGAAAACATTCCATGTGTATGGATAGGAAGAATCAATATTGTTAAAATGGCCATACTGCCCAAAGCAATTTACAGATTCAATGCTACTCCTATCAAACTGCCAATGACATTCTGCGTAGAATTAGAAAAAACTATTTTAAAATTCATATGGAACCAAAAAAGAGCCCGAATAGCCAAGGTAATCCTAAGCAAAAAAAAACAAAGCTGGAGGCATCAGATTACCCAACTTTAAGCTATACCATAGGGCTACAATAACCAAAACAGCACAGTACTGGTACAAACACAGACACATAGGCCAAAGGAACAGAGGACAGAGTGCGGAAATAGTGCCACACATCTACAACCATCTGATCTTTGACAAAGCTGACAAAAACAAGAAATGGGGAAAGGGCTCCCCACTTAATAAATGGTGCTGAGATAACTGGTTAGCCATAGGAAGATGATTGAAACTAGACCCCTACCTTATACCACATGTAAAAATCAAGTCAAGATGTATTAAAGACAAATGTAAAACTTAAAACTATAAAAACACCAGAAGATAACTAAGGAAATACCATTCTGGACATAGGATTTGGCAAAAATTTCATGACAAGGACACCAAAAGCAATTGCAAGAAAAATGAACATTGACAAATTGAATCTCATTAAACTAAAGAGCTTCTGCACAGCAAAAGAAACTATCAACAGAGTAAACAGACAGTCTACAGAATGGGAGAAAATATTTGCAAACTATACAACTGACAAAAGTCTACTATCCAGAATCTATAAGGAACTTAAACAAATTTGCAAGCAAAACCCAAGCTACCCCATTAGAAAGTGGGCAAAGGATATGAACAGACATTTTTCAAAAGAAGACATGCATGTAGCCCACAAGCATATGAAAAAATGCTCAATATCACTAATCGCTAGAGAAATGCAAATCAAAACCAAAATGAGATACCATCTCACACCCGTCAGAATGCCTATTTTTAAAACAAAAAAGAAATAAACACACACTTTCCACAGAACCCAAAAAAGATATACTCAAGAGCTGAGATTTAATAACCTTAATAATTGTTATTGCTTCATTAAGAACATTCTTAAGTAAAACTAGCATTTATTTTCCCATGAATGCATGACAGTAGTGAATACAATGACCACCAGTAGAGTTTAGTACCACTGACTTGATTTGTGCTAGTGTGGCTACAGTATTTCCCATGCTGAAGAACCGCTGTTTTAGGTGTCTCTGCACACTATTTAAAACCACACTTCCTTTCCTCATGAGGGCTTCAAGAACCAAGAATTGATAAAATTGCTTCTCCCCCCTTAAACTTGTGCATGTTGATACATCCCTGAGTCTCTCTACATCTTGTTTTGCCTTCAGACTTTAAGTATTTATATGAAGCATTTAAAGGATATAAACTCTTGCTGATTGCTTGATTGATTTTTTAAAAAGCTTTAGAAATCAACTGCACATTAACAGGTTAGAGTACACCTGGCTTAAGTTCCAAGTGACTGACTCATTAAGGAGAATGTTGAAAAGCTGGAGGGTGTCCAGGAGAGGTCAGCTGGGTGAGTTGAATGGCTAAAACCACATCCTCTTAGTACCTGTTGTGAGAACTAAAGATGTTCATACAAAAGATCTCTTGGGAGGACATAGAGGCTACCATCAAATAGAAGAATTGTGCTGTGTGGAAAAGTTATTAGATGGCTTGCTCATAGTCCTGGAAGATTATTTTTAATTCAATATTTTTTTCTAAAAAAAAGACTTTCTAAGAACTCTCTGTCCACCAATGGAAAGGGCTATTTTGAGGTGTTGGGAGCATCAATCAACATACGTGGCACGGGCTGAAAGAAAAGGGAAACTTAGATACCAAGGCCTGGAAAAGCTCATAGTTTGCAGAAGGCTCACTTTGGAGGCCTCCCAAGCTTACCATGGCTTGCCTGCTTGTTTTCACATCTGCGTGGATAAATAAATGTGTCCAGAGGTAGACCACAGCCGGGAATACTTGGTGGGTTGCATTACCATTAAACAATTTCAACTCTCAGTGGTCCATATTCCTTTTTTTTTTTTTTTTCTGAGACAGGATCTTGCTCCGTCACCCAGGCTGGAGTGTAGTGGTGCGATCTCAACTCACTGCAACCTTCACATCCCAGGTTCAAGTGATTCTCTTGTCTCACCCCACCAAGCACCTGGGACTATAGGCATGCACCACCTTGCCTGGCTAATTTTTGTATTTTTAGTATAGACAGGGTTTCACCATGTTGGCCAAGCTGGTCTTGAACTCCTGACCTTAGATGATCTGCCCATCTCAGGGTTCACATTCCTTTTGAAAACAAGAGTTGGACTGTGGTATCCTGGGAGATGCTGTCAAAAGCCATGGAAGCAAATGCACAGGTACGCAGAAAAGCACACAGAATTTCAAGACACCCACAGACCCCAGATTAAGAAGGCCTAAACTGATAACTTCTAATGTCTTTTCCAACTCTCAGGTTCTATATTTCCATATATCTTAGGCATTAAGATGCCTTAATAACATTTTCATAATTTCTTGTTCCATTTATTATGAAAGTAAAAAGATATGTTTGATGAATTAAAAAATAAATTGGGCTGGGGGGATTGATTCTAGCAAAGTCAAGGTATTGCTGCCTAGTACCTAGTATCAGGAAGGATGGTTATCTCCATATCCAGTGCATGATACGGATATATACTGAAGACATACCTGAGACTGGGCAATTTGTAAAGAAAAAGAGACTTAATGGACTCACAGTTGCACTTGGCTGGGGAGGCCTTACAATCATGACGGAAGGTGAAGGAGGAGCAAAGGCACGTCTTACATAGCGGCAGGCAAGAGAGCGTGAGGAGGGGAACTGCCCTTTATAAAACCATCAGATCGCAAGAGTCTTATTCACTATCACGAGAACAGCACGAGAAAACCTGCCCTCATGATTCAATTACCTCCCACTGAGTCCCTCCCACAACACATGGGGATTATGGGAGCTACAACTCAAGATGAGATTTGGGTGGGGTCACAGCCAAACCGTATCAGCCAGATAGGTTTTAAAAGCCTTTATGGGGTGGTGGAAACAAGTGGACATTGGAAATCAATCAGAGACAGGATCAGGACTTGTTTGTGGACTCAAGTGTCTTGTTTGGGTGCGTTAGATGAATCATTTAACCCCACCTATAAAATATATGTATGTTTGTATGTTTTCACACCTCTCACAGAAATATTGTAGTTATAAAGTAAGTGGTATCGTCGGGGTTTTTTTTCCCCAAGATAAAGCTCTACCAACACTGGGATTTATTAAAATTTGTTTGAATGCTTGCCTCAGGAAACTATTTACTGAGAAAACTGAAAAATTAGTTGGTCAAAGGAAATGCAGCTAATACTCTGTGATTAGAGCAGCACATTTAACACAGTGTCTCATTAAATGCTCTTTGACAAATTCACTTAGATTATCTTGGTTATGACTTGTGACAAGGACCAAGAAATGGCTTGAAGGCCTGGCAGGCCAAAGTGACAGTAAATGGTCGCTGAGTTGTGAGAAAATGCAACAGGGAAGGTGCAGGGGCAGGGAGGATAAAGAAGGGAGCTTCATGAATTGATGCTTGACCTGGTCTTATTTGATATCCTCATTAATGATACGGAAGAGGCGTAAATAGCCTGTTAATTAAATTTTCAAATGAGACTAAATTAGGAGTTGTTGTAAACAGGCTCAAGGACGAAGTAACAGGAAGGCACCTTGAAAGGCTGGAAGGATGGGCTTGAACAGAAAAAGCCAAAAACGTGTGTGTTCTAGAAGCAAGCAGTGGGCAAGAAACAGTAGGAGCCCCTGCATGTCTTTTGGGTTCTCTTGTTCCTCCTTTATTTTCTCGCTCTGGTGGAGCAGATGCCTATCAATACCACTTGGGGGCATTCAGGTCTGCACACCTTGAAGCTTGCTCACATTCTGCCTGAAGGGTCTATTCTGGCCTTAGGAGTAGGAGAAGCCAGCAGTATGGGAAAGTTAATGCCCCAGAAACAGCTCTCAGCCAAAGGTGAATGGAGGGGAGTAGATAAATACCCCCACCTTCTTCACCCCTCTGTTTGGGTAACTCCAGATGGCTGCCAGAATTCCTCAGCAAGACAGACCTTCAGCTGCCCAGGGAGGTAAGTGGCATGAGGTTGAGCCCTTTATTGGCTTCCTTTCCTTTCCTATCACTTCCCAGCTCATCTACCAAGGTTGGGTGGGATCACCTCTGTCTCGGTCAATTTTTTGCTGCTATAATAGAATACCATAGACCAGGTAATTTAAAATGAACCCAGGGACCCAGGGGACATTTGCAAAAGCAGGCTGAGTACCTTTAATGGGGTTTGGATTCATGTTTAGGATTAAAATCCTAAGTCGGTCAACCAAGCCCACCTGTCCCATTAGACTCATGTTTCTGAAGATACAGTACCATGTAAAACAGGGTTCTCAAAGAGTGGTCTAGAAACCAGCAGTTCAGACTCACCTGGGAACTTGTTTTAAAAATGCACATTCTTTTTTAAAAAAAATAAAATGTTTCTATTTCAATACCTTTTGGGGTACAAATGGTTTTAGATTACATGGATAAACTGCGTAGTGGTGAATTCTGAGATTTCAGTGCACACTTTATCCCAATAGTATACATTGTACCTAATATTTACTTTTTAATCCCACATCTCCCTCCTATCCTCCCCCTTCTGAGTCTCCAAAGTCCATTATAACACTATGCATGTCTCTGCATACCCATAGCTTAGCTCCTACTTATAAATGAGAATATAGGATACTTGGTTTTCCATTCCTGAGTTACCTCACTTAGAATAATGGCCTCCAGGCAGGGCGTGGTGGCTCACGCCTGTAATCCCAGCACTTTGGGAGGCCAAGGCAGGCAGATCACCTGAAGTCAGGAGTTCAAGACCAGCCTGACCAACATGAAGAAACCCGGTCTCTACTAAAAACACAAAAAATTAGCTGGGCGTGGTAGCGCATGCCTGTAATGCCAGCTATTCAGGAGGCTGAGGCAGGAGAATTGCTTGAACCTGGGAGTTGGAGGTTGCGGTGAGCCAAGATCACACCATTGCACTCCAGCCTGGGCAACAAGAGTGAAACTCTGCCTCAAAAAAAAAAAAAAAAAAAAAAAAAAAGAATAGTGGCCTCCAGCTCCATCCAGGTTGCTGCAAAAGACATAGAAATGCAAATTCTTGAGCCCCACCCCAAACCAAATTAATCAGCAATTCTAGAAATGAGGACTAGCCATTCGTGTTTTAAAGAGCTCTCCAACTGATTCGGATACCTGCTGAAGTTTGAGAACCAGTGGTTTACTAGGACTGAATCCAGACTCATGGACACCATGGTACTGTGGGCAAGTTAAACACATCTCCTGGCCTCAGTTTCCTCTCTATGAAAAAGGGGATAATGATAAGAAAACCTTCAAGGGACTGATGTAAGAATTAAACAAAACAATGTGTGTAAACTACCTAACACATCATCTCAAACACAGGAAATAGTGATGTCTTTCCCTACCTCCCTCTCCCCTGAGACAGATGACAGTTCAGTGCAACTTTGATTCCTAAGACGTGGCTCTAATTTAAACTGAGGGTGGATTCTGCTTTGTCCCATGGACTTTGAAAAAGGGATTTTTATAACCAGTATACTCTCAAGTGACTGTGTCTAAAGCCCCAGGACAGACTGGAAGAGACAAGTGAGCAAAATGTGCTGACAGTTTTCAGGAGAGCATTGCTGGAAAAATCCTTGGCCATATTGAGTCTTTGTAGTTCAGGTTAGTATCTACCTTTCCACTAGCTTATTTATCATCAGGAATAGATACTGGAGAAACTAGAGCCTCGATGGCCCCATGAATGTCAGCACACCTGAGATAAGGCCAGATCCCCAAGGCAGTGACCCCGTTTCTCTGGCCTTAGAACGGTACCTCTTTTGACTTTCTCATGGTTATGTAACTTAACCACATGTCCCTGGCGTCCTCCGCACTCACTTGTAGGGCTAATTGGCCCGTTTTCTTATATTTCTTATGCTCAAAAGAAAGGCATCCTTTCCATGTCTCAATGTCCCAATGACCCAACCACAGAACAAGGCATTCTACCCTCACCCTCATTTGTCATGGTACAAACAACCAAATGTCACCTCAGTAAATATTAGTGGAAATAAATTAACTAAAGAAACCCAAAACCCATGGGACATATGGAATTACATTAGAATCTGTGAACAATGGGGTGATAATGGTAATAACCTATGTCCAAGGAGACTTTTTCACAGAACTGAAAACACTTTACAATTAAGTGCCACATCAGTGCTAAATTTATTAGTGGGTAATTGGATGCAGCCTTAGCAAAACTCAGGCTGGACAGTACCACCCCTACCCAGTGGAAAGCTATTCTTTTCATCACTACCAAAAAAGCTCCTCCCAGCACTCCCATCAATAAGAAAATACAGCAGCTTTGAATCTGAACTGTAGTGAGCCAAATCGAGGTTATCTCAAAACATTGCAACTAAAAATGTATCTTTCCATAACATGGAGAGATAATCTATACCCCAAGATTTATTTTTTTAGCATAACAATGGTTTCAGCAGGAGTGCTATATCATACAGTGGAGTTCAAGCATCCTTTTCAAATACATTCAAATTTCAGTGCCAAGGGCATTGAATTCCTCTCTGTGCTTGATCCTGAACAATGCTGTAGAAAATACAAATAAGTGGTTTAAAAGGTCCATAAGAATGCAAAACATGCAATTCCATTATGGTATCATATGAGAATGATATAGTATCAACATGATAATGAAGCAAAAGAGAAGGTTCCATCAACTCTGGCTTAGAGAACACATTTAACAAATGAAATCTGGATAAAAGCAGAATGGCTGATAGCAACTCTAGGAAGTTAAAGAAATCCCCTATGCAACATGTTTTATTTTTATGTATCTAACTGGTGAAATTTGATAATTTGTATTTGAAAACTGTAAGGAAGAAAATCTGAGCCTTCCAATTTAAAATTATAACTGGATTACAACTCTGGACACACTACCATCAGCCTTTCCATAAAAATATTTATAGGCTGGGCACAGTGGCTCACGCCTGTAATCTCAACACTTTGGGAGGCTGAGGCGGGTGGATCACGAGGTCAGGAGTATGAGACAAGCCTAACATGGTGAAACCCCATCTCTACTAAAAATACAAAAATTAGCCGGACATGGTGGTGCACACCTGTAATCCTAACTACTCAGGAGGCTGAGGCAGGAGAATCACTTGAAACTGGGAGGCGGAGGTTGCAGTGAGCTGAGATCTTGCCACTGCACTCCAGCCTGGGAGACAGAGTGAGACTCCATCTCAAAAATTAAAAAAAAATAAAAAAAATAAAATCTATGAAGACCCAGAAGATGAAACACCACAGAATAAGAAAACTGGGATTTGCAGTCAAACTCTTACCAGAATTTTGGAGAAAGCTCTACTAATCAAGAAGCAATAAACCAGATTGGAAAACTTGCTTCGTGACTCACCAGTTGTATGTCGGGCTGAAAAAATGCTCCCATTGTCAACCAAGATTCAGGCATTCATCATCTGTGCCAATCACAAAATTGGAGAGCTGATTTTCCCCATCATGGGGGTGCACTGGAGTGCCCTCTACTCCAATCAATATTTCTCTATATATCTCTACTCAAAGACAGCAATAATAATATTAATAATGACAACCGCAGCTATTACTTAGAATTTCCTATACACTCTGCTAAGTGCTTTACAAGCATTACCTCATTTAAACCTTGCAACAAAAGATAAATGAAATGAAAAGCTGGTTCTTTGAAAAGATAAATAAAATTGATAGACTGTTAGCAAGATTAACCAAGAAAAGAAGAGAGAAAATCTAAATAATCTCAATAAGAAATGAAATGGGAGACATTACAACTGACACTGCAGAAATACAAAAGATCATTCAAGGCTACTATAAACACCTTTATACATATAAACTAGAAAACCTAGAAGAGATGGATAAATTCCTGGAAAAATACAATCTTCCTGGCTTAAATCGGGAGGAATTAGATACCCTAAACAGACCAATAATAAGCAGCAAGATTGAAATGGTAATTTAAAAATTACCAACAAAAAAAGGCCAGAACCAGATGGATTCAGAGCAGAATTCTACCAGACATTCAAAGAAGAATTGGTAGCAATCCTATTTACACTATGCCACAAGATAGAGAAAGAGGGAACCCTCCCTAATACATTCTATGAAGCCAGCATCACCCTAATACCAAAACCAGGAAAGGACATGACCAAAAAAGAAAACTACAGGCCAATATCCCTGATGAACATAGATGCTAATATCCTTAACAAAATACTAGATAACTGAATCCAACAACATATCAAAAAGATAATCAACCATGATCAAGTGGGTTTCATACCAGGGATGCAGGGATGGTTTAACATATGCAAGTCAATAAATGTGATACACCACATAAACAGAATTAAAAACAAAAATCACGTGATCATCTCAATAGCTGCAGGAAAAGTATTTGACAAAATTCAGCATTGCCTTATGATTAAAACTCTCAGCAAAATCGGCATACAAGGGACATACCTTAATGTAATAAAAGCCATCTATGACAAACCCACAGCAAACATAATACTGAATGGGGAAAAGTTGAAAGCATTCCCTCTGAGAACTGGAACAAGACAAGTATATCCACTCTCACCACTCCTCTTCAACATAGTACTGGAAGTCCTAGCCAGAGAATTCAGACAAGAGAAAGAAATAAAAGGCAAAGGGCATGCAAATTGGTAAAGAGGAAGTCAAACTGTCCCTGTTTGCTGACTATATGATTGTTTACCTTGAAAACTCTAAAGACTCCTCCAGAAATCTCCTATAACTGAATTCAGCAAAGTTTCCAGATACAAGATTAAGGTACACAAATCAGTAGCTCTCCTATACAACAGTAGCAAGCAAGTGGAGAATCAAATCAAGAACTCAACCCCTTTTATAATAGCTGCAAAAAAATAAATAAAATACTTAGGAATATACCTAACGAAGGAGGCAAAAGACCTCTACGAGGAAAACTACAAAATAATGTTGAAAGAAATCATGGACGACACAAACAAATAGAAACACATCCCATGCTCATGAATGGGTAGAATCAATGTTGTGAAAATGACCATACTGCCAAAAGCAATCTACAAATTCAATGCAATCCCATCAAAATACCACCATCATTCTTAATAGAATTAGAAAAAAGCAATTCTAAAATCCATATGGAACCATAAAAAAAACCTGCATAGCCAAAGCAAGACTAAGCAAAAAGGACAAATCTGGAGGCATCACACTACTTGATTTCAAACTACACTATAAGGCCATAGTCACCAAAACAGCATAGCACTGGTATAAAAATAGGCACAGAGACCAATGGAACAGAATACAGAACCCAGAAATAAGCCCAAATACAGCCAACTGATCTTCGACAAAGCAAACAAAAACATAAAGTGGGGAAAGGACACCCTTTTCAATAAATGGTGCTGGGATAATTAGCTAGCCACATGGAGGAGAATGAAACTGGATCCTCATCTCTCACTTTACATAAAAATCAACTCAAGATGGATTAAGGACTTAAATCTAAGACCTGAAACTATAAACACTGGAAGATAACATTGGAAAACCCCTTCTAGACATTGGCTTAGGCAAGGATTTCATGACCAAGAGCCCAAAAGAAATGCAACAAAAACAAAGATAGATAGCTGAGACTTAATTAAACTAAAGAGCTTAGTCAGCAGAGTAAACAGACAACCCACAGAGTGGGAGAAAATCTTCATAATCTATACATCTGACAAAGGACTAATATCCAGAATCTGCAATGTACTCAAACAAATCAGCAAGAAAAAAAACAAACGATCCCATCAAAAAGTAGGCTAAGGACATGAATAGACAATTCTCAAGAGAAGATATACAAATGGCCAACAAACATATGAAAAAATGCTCAACATCACTAACAATCAGGGAAATGCAAATCAAAACCACAATGCGATATCACCTTACTCCTGCAAAAATGGCCATAATCAAAAAATCAAAAAACAGTAGATGTTGGCATGGATGTGGTGATCAGGGAACACTTCTACACTGCTGGTGGGAATGTAAACTAGTACAGCCACTATGGAAAACAGTGTGGAGAATCCTTAAAGAACTAAAATTAGAACTACTATTTGATCCAGCAGTCCCACTACTGGATATCTACCAGAGGAAAAGAAGTCTTTATATAAAAAATACACTTGCACATGCATGTTTATAGCAGCACAATTCACAATTGCAAAATCATGGAACCAACCCAAATGCCCATCAATCAACAAGTGGATAAAGAAGCTGTGGTATATATATAACAAGGAATACCACTCAGTCATAAAAAGGAATGAATTAACAGCATTTGCAGTGACTTAGATGATATTAGAGACTACTAAATGAAGTAACTCAAGAATGGACAACCAAATATTGTATGTTCTCATTGATACGTAGGAACTAGGCTATGAGGACGCAAAAGCATAAGAATGATACAACGGACTTAGGGGATTTGGGGGGAAGAGTGGGGGGAGCAAAAGATAAAAGACTACAAATAGGGTGCAGTGTATACTGCTCGGGTGAGGAGTGCACCAAAATCTCACAAATCACCACTAAAGAACTTACTCATGTAATCAAACACCACCTGTACCCCAAAAACCTATGGAAAAATTTAAAAAATTAAAATTGAAAAAAGTTGAATACAGAAAAAGAAGCTTAGAAAGGAAAGTGAGAAGAAGCAACTGTGGCAGGGACCCTTAGAGAGAAGAACCTTTCAGGTAGTAGGGTGTCAACAGGGCTGGTAATTTTGACTTGAGTTGGCTTTAAAAATATAGCTACTTACTCATTCCAAATTAGGGTGAATCATACTGGACATCCAATTTAAGACGTGGCAATCTGAAACAATTGGATATTTCAAACTCTATTGACCTATATTTCTTTTCTTATCTATATGGATACTGCCATCTGCTGATAACTGGCATTTTTGAGGGGTCTTTTTTTGTAATTACGACATTGTATTTAAGGTATTGTTGCCCTTGTTCCCTTTGAGGGGTAGATTCTTCTCCCAGGTCTCCACATGGCTGGCTCATTTTCATCCTACAGTTTGTAGCTCAAGTGGCAATTCTTCTAAACAGTTATCCCTGATCACTACATCTAAACAACTTCTACCCTCTACCCCTAGTTAATATCTATTTCGTCATTTGTTTCACTCATTTAATTTCAGATTTATCATAATTTGTCATTACTTTATGATTTTATGTCTTCATTTCTTGCTTGTGTGTCTCTTGTCCCAGAATATAAGCTTCATGAAAGCAGGGACCTTGGTTCTCTTGTTTACCACTGCAATAATAGCACCTAATGCCACCTGTCTCTTAGAAAGAGCTTAATTAATGAAAAAAAGAAAAAAAAAAAACCTTGCAACACTCCGTAATACAAATGCTATTGTTATCTTCATTTTAGGGAACTGAAGTTCAAAGATATGAAACAATTTTGCAAAGTTCACAAAGCTTGAAGAAGTAGAACTGGGATGTAAACTCCGATTACAAGACTCTTGAGCAAGTAACGATTAGATTATAGCACAGCCCTTATAAGATATTTGTGAAGAAATACAGAGTAACATAGGGTAGCATTTAGGATCACAGGAGATACTGTCCTTTCGAGTGATGTGATATAAGGGCTGAGGGAAAGCAAAGAAATGGAGAGCTTTAGTAGCCGTTATATGACAGAAATTTTCATTTTTGTGCATTCAGTCTTTTCAGAATATCAGAGCTAGGAAATACAGAAAGAAGTTCCCGTCTTGGTCCCAAACACTCACCCTGTAAATGATATCTAGCCATACCACTGAGAAAGAAATGTTACCAGCACCAAAAAGCAAGGCCAAGACTGAGTGAAGCATTCTTTCCATGTATTTGTAGAAATAATAAAATAAATAAATAAAGCATGTAAATTGAATACAAGTGGGAAAGAACATTTTATGAAAACTCGGAAAATGAAAAGACTTCTGAAAAAATTTATTATAAAAACTGGAATCTAGAAAAATTATCTGGGATTCTCATTTAAATAGAGAACAATTTAACTTCCATGAGGCCAAAAAAAAAAAAGAAACCACTAAGCGATAAATAATTGAGGACAAAAGTCAACAGGATAAAATTAAAAGTGATATAGTGATATAGTCAAATAGAAAAGATTTCAGAGGAATTAGAAAAGCAATAACAGAATATAGAACTACACTGGAGGCAAAAAGGAGTGTAATTGACACTGCAGAAAATCTATCAGAGATATGGGGGAAAACTTCAGAAGTTCAGAGAAAATTAAATATTCAGAGAAAAATTAAAATGTTAGGAGCAAATATAAAATAACATCTTGATAAACATCTACCATGTTCCAAGAAAAACAGTGGAAAGAAATAAACACATGGACCCATCTAGAAATGTATAACCACTAGGATAAAGTTTTAAACATTATACATTTATAGGTAGGAAAAAAATCAGTTTACATAGAATAAAAGGCTGGCCTCATACATTTTTCTTCTAAATGCTAAAAAAAAAAAATGAGGTAATGATTAATACATTTTGAATATGACAAAGTTGTAAACCAAGAGTATTATACCCAGCCAATTCATCTTTTTGAGTAATGAAAAAGAAAGTCTTGGAGAGGCAAAAGTGATAGTTTACCTACTTGCCCTTCTTTTAAAATTAGAATTAAAATTAGGAAAACTCAACTCAAGGAAGTCATAATGTAAAAGGACTGGTAGCCCTGTGCGGTATTACTTCAGACAACCACACTTGAACCAATGAACCTGCAAGAAAAAAAAAATTCACCTACTTCCATTAAAAAAGACTAGGGGAAATAAATTTTGTGGTCATATTTAGTGCATAAAAAATGTATATATATTTTTAATTTTAATTCAACACATTTTCTTTAAGGAGCTCATATTATTTAATAGAATATAAATAAAGAGAAAATAGCATGTTCAGAATTCATCATACTTGAGCTAAAAGAATCAATATCTTTGGCTTTGCTCTGCTGGCATTAAAGCTTTCCAAGTATCTATTTTAAAGAAGTAGGACACTGTTTCTGGCTGGTTATGTTCTCTGCACACTGACTGTTGTGCTAAGGGGTTGACTAGAAGATCTCCATGGCCCCTATTCAAAAACGCAATGACTTTTCTGGTTCAGGAAGCTCAGTCAAAGCAGCCCGCCAATCCTGCTGGTCAGCCTTGCCCTGGGATGCAAGTCTTGTCAACTGGGGTACATTTCAGAAGCTTTCTTTCCCTAATTTTTTAAATAACTTTTTTTAAATCACAAAAGTAGTCCATGCTTGTAACAGAAAATATGGAAAACTCTAAAATATAAAAAGGAAATTAGAAAATGTCTCATAATCTCATGATTCAGAGTCCTGATTTTTCATTTCCAAGAATTCCAGGAAGCAAGTCATTTAAAGGCAGGACATCACCACATCCTATGGGGCTGCCACAGTTTCCATGGCTTCACTTTGGAAAGGAGACAGACAGACTTAAGCAAGCTGCCTCGCAAGGACTTGAGCACTCCTCATCTGAGCTGTCCACACACTCCAAGCTCAAATAAAATAAATATGATAACACCCATAGAAGCACTTTATAAACTTCCAAGGATTATACAAATGTTACTTGTAATTATTCTCAGGATCAAATGGGTTGGTATACTGACATTGTCATTATTGCACAAGGGGAAATTTGTTTCTGAGGAACATTTTCTCAATTTCCTGCCTTTGAAGGGGCTGCTGTCATTTCAGCTTTTCTCTGTGTGGCAGGCTACTCTCTGGAACCTCGTCTCCCACAATGATCTGGCAAGGCCCATGGTTGATCCTGGCAGACACATACATCATTTCAGGAATCTGCTGCCATATTCATAGGGCTGCACATTTATGTATAGTGTTCAGCTCTGCGTTGACCCCACAAAAGAACACAACTTCAAATGCTTCACTTTAAGGCACAGAAAATTCAAGAAGACTGGCCTCCCAGAAGAATGCAGCAAGAGCCCAGCATTTTTACAAACATAGGTATTTATGTCTACATGCTTTCTTATTGTCGTGTGCGTCATTTACCCTGTCAAGATGTGAATGATGTTACAATAGAGCCTTGTGAGAAAGGGATGAAAAGGAAATGTTGCAATTTGTCAGGGTGCAGGGGTGGAGTTCCCTGTCCTTAATTTCATGTCCCCTAAATCACGGCTGGTGGCCTTGTTGTTCCTTGTCTGGGAACACTCTTCTCTAGGCTTACCTAAAACCACTCCTTCCTAATTTTCCAGCCACATAACTGGTCATTTTCTTTCCTGGTCTCCTTACTCATTCCCCCTTCTCTGCTCAACTTTTAAATGTTGGAGTGATCTCAGTCTACAGCTTCCAGAGAGCCAAGCTCTTGTCTGATGGTTTGCCACTATAGCCTCTCATGACAAGAATAACGTCTGGCACTTAGTAGCTGCTCACTAAGTATGTTCAAATGAGTGCATGAAGTCATATATGAATTTATGAATTGCTGACAACCTCTCTATTTCAATTGCTGACAACCTCTATATTTCATAACACAAAATTTTCTCACACTTCCAAACAATTTATTCTCATGCCCAGAGCTGCCTACCATTGCTAGGTCATTTCATTGAATAAGATTCATGAATGTCTGCCTGTAGCTTTAGACCCAAGCCCCCCCGCCCTTCCCTTTATGAAGATACCTAAAGTCACATGGCCCATGGATCTCCTGCCTTACAATCAACTCTCATTGAGGCATCCACCTCTCTCTTCCTTATTCTTTGAAACACTTATAACCAAAAGAATTACAGTATCTAGTCAAGCAGTATTTTCCATCCCTAATCAAGGGAAGCTGCAATTCATTCCAAATACTTTGACTTTCAGGAAAATGCCCCCAGTATTTCTCCTCTATTAGAAAACTCAAAAACAAACAAAAAACTCTCTGCAGAATGAGGCCATGTAAAATCACTAGTTTCAGAAACCCATTATTACATGAGGGCAAACTAGGTCATTTTCTGAGCCTCAGTTTCTCCTTTGCTGATGTTGGTGTAATAGTATTAGAAAGAATTAGATCAGATAATGCACTAGAAAGGGTCTAGGACCATTCCTGGGACTCAGGACATTGAGAAGATCTGGTTGAATTTGAATCTTTACAACCCTTATTGTCAGAGTTCATTTACATTCTCATCTGAGAAACAAACCACAGCCAAATGGATGGTGCAGGAGTGGCCACTGAAAAAGGAGACTTTAAAGAGGTGGAGGAGGGAAGCTTACTGAAAACTGAAAATAACCACGCAGCCACGTGGTGAAGGCTGACGTGCGTAATAAATTAGTAAATGACTTAGTAGTGCTCTATCACCCAGCACAGTGTGGAGAGAAGCTGTAGGCTGAGATCACTCTAAACTGTTTGTTCAGCAGCCCATGAACAAGCAGTTTGCAGAGAGCCAGGACTGAGGAAAACACCTGTAGGAACCTGTGAGTGCCTCCTTGAAGTTGGCACCCCGGGGCACCTTGCTGGCCTCGTCCCAGTCCCTGCCCTTCTCAACCTCAGGGAATGACAGAAAGTCTTCCACCATCCCTCATGCCCCCGTACCGCACCAGAATCTGGTGACAATGGGCAGAGTGCTGTTGCCAACTTTGTGTCCAAACCACCAGATGAATGCTGTTTTATACCAATTCACATTTTACTACGACTCTGTAGTGGGGAGAAACTGTCCTGTGTTTCAGATTTTTCAGGAGTGCTAAAAAGAGGGGAATACACAACCTAGCAATAACTTATAGATGGAATGATCTGGGAGATTCACAAAAGAACCACCTGGCTTGGGCATTACACCTGAATGCATGCAATTGCCCAGCTCATAACAATCTTTAAAATTAGTGAATGTGGGTTATCAGCAAGAGAAGAGGACTCTCGCAGACAAGCATAGGTCCCAGTAAAGAATGGCTTTATTTAGAACCAGTAACCCACAACTTCTTCTGGGGATAGGAACAAAGAGAGAAAATTTTAACTTCCTTCCCACCATTTTCTTTTTTTAAAATGGGGTTTCTATGTATCTTTGATGAGCGAGACAATCCTTAAAAGACCAAGCTGTGTTGGATTTGACTATCAGGTGCGCTTAAACTGGAGGCAATCTTAGGCATTGTCAAGTCGTAACACTTTTATTTTAGGGTGGAGGAAACTGAGGCCAAGGAAGGATGTGTTATTGTTCCAGCCTAAGGTCTCATAGGTGATCCAAAAAGAGAACCCAGGAATCCAAAACCCAGGAATATGACATCATGAATTTTGCTGTATCTGCTCCCTCCTACATAGTTTTACTTAAAAGTCTTGAAGTTGGCATATTTTTTCCTTACAGAAATTTACTACTATAATGGAAAACCAGTATCACTTGCAATAAATAAAAGGCACCATAAGCATAAACAGAATGAAAGTGATACAATGTTAAGTTCTAAGTAAGAAGGTTCTGAGATTATGTCCTGTTAAATAGTGATATTATCAAGTGAAATGTCCTTAATACCAGCAGAAGCACTGAAAGAAGATTGGAAAAGCAATGGTTGTCTCAATACTTGACTCGATGTCATTTAAGGTTGTATTTCCGTATCACCAACCATGTGGTCACACTCTCGGAAGCCTCACACTACCCCTAACACCAGCCAGTAGCCTTGCCTCCTCCAGGCAGCCTACCAGAATCCCTGGAGAAGTAGCCTTGTCAGTGAATTATGTATGACTTTCTCAGTGGCTACACACTCTTCCCCTTTACCTTATTTTGAAAATTGAGAACCATTCTTGAATTTTAGGTGAGGATTGCTGAGAATGTGCTCAGATAGTTAGGAACACAATAGGAGAGGAAACTCACTAATTATAGCTTACAGAATAAAAACTGAGTCGCCAATTATAATCACTGAGATTGAAGTTCTCATAGAGGAAACATTTAATAACAAGTACCTACTTTGTGCCAGACAGGACATATGCTTTATCTCATCTATTCTCTCAACAACCTTAGAAAGCAGATATTATTGGCTCCATTTCACACATGAGAAAAACAAGTCTCAGAGATGTTAAGTAACTTGACTCAAGTTACACAGCCAATAGACGAATTCAAACTGAGATCTTTTTTTTTTTTTTCAGACAGAGTCAGAGTCTCGCTCTGTCGCCCAGGCTGGAGTGCAGTGGCACTATCTCAGCTCACTGCAACTTCTGCCTCCCGGGTTCAAGTGATTCTCCTGCCTCAGCCTCCTGAGTAGCTGAGATTACAGGCATGCGCCACCAGGCCCAGCTAATTTTTATATTTTTAGTAGAGACGGGGTTTCACCATGTTGGTCAGGCTGGTCTCCAAACTGAAATCTTTTATGCCAATTCTGGCTGCACATTAAGATTGTCTGGGAGCTTTTTATAATGATCCGTGTCAGAGCTTCACTCACATTGACTCTCAGTAAATTAGTCTGACGTGGAGGCTTATCATGGTATTTATTTGCAAGCTTCCTGGGTGGTTGTAGTATACATCTGGCATTTAAAAACCCTGGCTTTAAACCATAACCTGTGTTATTATTCCCTTGTCACTTTTTAAGTTATTTTTAAACTCTGTTTTCCTAAATTTTCTTTATCATTTCCTAGTGAAATTTCAGGGAGCACAAAAGTTCGAATCTATAAGCAAATGGGTCACTGCCTGCCCAGTGTTGGGGCACCTCCAGCCTGAGAGTGGGACGTCCTGGACCCCAGCTCTGCTTCTCCTCTGATGTAGCCAGGACCTTAGGCAAAGCACTCCTCTTTGTTTCCTCATCTGCAAAGTGAAGAGCTTGAACTTGGTGATCTTTAAGCTCCCTTCCAGCTCTAAATTTCTGTGATCAGCTTCCAAATGCTATGAGCTGGTTGCAAAGCCCTGTGAATGTACAGCCCGTCTGCCTTTCCCATTCTTTCACTTTCTTCTTCCCTCAGCTCCGTTTCTATTTAATGAGCTTTGGCCTGAGGGAGCCCTGCTTGTCCTTCCCCAGTCCTCTAAGCTGCTCCTAGGGCCCTAGCTTATTTCTTACCATGGGAGCTTTTGTTATTACAAATTTTCTTCTACTTTTTTTTACCCAACTTTAGTTCCCTTCAGTCCATAGGGACCCTTCATATACCCAAGTGTCCTTCCACAGATTTTAATTAAACACAATCATCTTCTTAATCACTTTGGCTCTTCCCAAAGTGGGGGCCAGGGCTCAGAGGGTAGGGGTGGAGAGAAGAGGAGAAGTTCATTAAGTTCATTACCAGATAAATGTTGTTACCATAGTCACCCCAAAAGGAGACAAGGGAGTTAAAATTCAAGTGTTTGCATGTGTACTCATGTGCATATCCAAATTTTAAGATTCTTTCAGTATCTCTCTTCCAGATCCATTTTCTCCTACAAAATATTAAACATAGAAGAATACTTTTCAGAATATGGATCATTTCCCTTCATAGAATTCTTCTTCTTGTGCTTGTGCATTCATTAGTTTGTTTCTTAAGACATACAGGTCTCAGGATTCATCACCACAAAGCAATTTAGAAAAACTCAAAACGCAGGATACTCCTTGCCCCTGTCCCTATGTTATACAGTTAAATCTAAGTCTAAGCCAATGCAAAGCTGTGAACCATGGGCCACTCCCTTCCAATGGACTTCTACTCGTGGGGTACACTTTGTCTGAGCATGGACTTGCCAGCCTTTCCCCACGAGCCCCAAATTTCCCTGAATTGCAACAGGCCCTGAAACATTTGTAACACTAAATCTGAGGCTGATTATTCCATGATGATACTCAGAATTTTCTAGGGCATGACAGACTTTATGAAGCGTTTGAACAGCTCCATGTCCCACAGGAAGAAAGACAATTTCCAGGCTGTGCCAGGATGGAGTGTGGGGAGCATCCGACAGTTTTTCTGAAGGGAACAATTCTGTTGATTGGAACAGTATTTTGCAAAAGCCTACTTAGTTTTCATAGGTTGCAGCTTTTTAAAATCTCCTAACATCAGTTTTATATTTATCCTTGTTGTCGCTTTTTTTAAGTGGAACTAATAATCAAGCCTTTTAGGGCGAGTTTATTGTTTTGGATACAACTGTTCCCCATCCAACTCCACACAACTACCTTCCCACTGTTAGGTGGGAAGAAAAGTTTTCAGTTCCTTTCATTATTCCTCCTTTGTCATAAAACCATTGGTGTGTTTCTGATTTCCAGAAAGAAAAGAGAGCATGTTTATGATTTTGCCTTTATTTTTAGAGACGTTCTTCAATTCCTCTTCTAACAGTGTATATTGTTACAGCAATCACAAGTTCTAATTTATTTATTGTTAAAATGCTAATTATGCATTTGCCTTGTTTTTATTGAAACTAAAGAAGTAAAAAGTTAACTCAGAACGTTTCTGAACATCCAGTTGGGCTCCAAATGTACATCAAGTCTTTCCGGGAAGCAGGACAGAGAAGGCTTGTTGGGATTTCGGATCCAGTGAGTCACTTTTAGATGAGGTTGCTCTCCATTTTAGCAGTGAGGCAGCATCAGACTTATTCTGGTGGCTGTTTTAAGTGACAAACTGGAACCACAGATCCCATATGAATCACAGGGAGAGCACGAGCCCCTAAATTATGTTCCGACTTCATGTGGACAATGGCTAACAGTGCCATTTGTGAAAGTATAGGAAGTCACTGGTCAGCAATGCGTGTGATGCAAGTGGCTCCGGAAGATCCCCCCAGGATCCATGTCACTAACTGTGTATAACAAAAAGTCACTATTGAGGCTGGGCGCGGTGGCTCATGCCTGTAATCGCAGCACTTTGGGAGGCTGAGGTGGGCGGATCACCTGAGGTCAGGATTTCAAGCCTGGCCAACATGGTAAAACTCAATCTCTACTAAAAAATACAAAAATTAGCTGGGCATCATGGTGCATGCCTGTAATCCCAGATATTTGGGAGACTGAGGCAGGAGAATCACTTGATCCCAGGAGGCGGAGGTTGCTGTGAGCTGAAATTGTGTCACTACACTCCAGCCTGGGTGACAGAGCAAGACTCTGTCTCAAAAAAAAAAAAGTCCACCACTGAATACATCAGAACACATTAGAATGTCAGAGCTAAATGGAACTTGGACACCACTCAGCCCTAATCCCCACCTTACATTTGAGGAAACTGAGGCCTTGAAGTGGGAAATGACTTAGTCACAAGCACTAAACTTAGCAAGTTAATGACAGAGTCAGGATTACAACCCTGGTCTTCTGACTCTAAAACCAGTGCTCTTTCCAAAAGTGAGCCCCAAAGTTTCATCTACATGTAGCAGCAGAGGGTTCTCCATTCTGCACCTGCAGCTCTAGGAGGATGAAAAAGGTCCCCATTTATTAGTCGTTGACCACATACCTGGTTCTGTGCTAAGTGCTTCAGCCACATTATCTCATTTCATTCTCATAACAACCCTTTGAGATAGGTATTATTACAGATAATTCAACTATAGCAGATCCAGAATTCTGTCTGGGCTCTTCTGTCTCCATAGCCCTTGGTCTAACCCACTGCCTTAGTCTCTTCTACTGCTTCTGTCAGCTCCTTCCACATCTACAGGCTCTGGACAGACACTGACCATGATCTTCTTCCCTGACCACAGAAATCCGACAGAGAGTTCAGGTAGCAAGCAGATATCCCCAGATCCCAGAAAAGGTGGGCCTTTCCCAGTGTCAGGGAGTAAATTATGACTGCTCTAACAATTCATAATAATCCCATTCCCCTGGCCCAGTGACTGGTGTAGGGTGATGTGTGATCCCATTATGGCCAATAAGAAATAAAGGAGAGAATTCTCAAGGCTCCCCTGACTGTCTAAAAAGATGGAGTTTCAGAAGATAAGATTTTTAGCCTTTGGCTCTCAGTTTCTGTGTAGGATACTGGCATGAGCATGAGACGCCTGGAGCTGAGGAAGCCACATTGCAAACATGAGGTGATAACCATGAGGGAAAACAAAACAAAACAAAACAAAAAAAACCCACAAAGCAAAAACAATAAAACAAATAAAAAACAATACACTGAGGATGGAGTGACAAGGCTTTGAAAAATTTGAGACATTGCTGAGCCATTGCACCAACCTAACAATGCCTACCTGCATATTTCTTGTTATTTTCAAAAGTTAAATACTTATTGCCTAGGATACTGTTAGTCAGATTTTCTGTTCCTGGAAGCTAGAAGCATTCCTAACTGATACGAGCTGTTAGTTCAGAGATGTGTCACTTGAGGGTAGCTGCCCAACCCTCTGCCTCACCTTCTTTGTCAAATGTGTACTAGTTGGAGTTATACCAAGATTTTGTAATGGATTTTATGCTCAGTATCATTTAACATACATCTGAAAGCATTTGCCATAGATTCATCTACTCTCATTTGGAGTATGGATTTTAAAAAAATTTTTATTGATATATAATCATTATACACATTTTGGGAGTACATGTGACATTTTGATACATGTATACAATGTGTGATGGTTATATCAGGGGAATTGGGATATCCACTGCCTCAAATATTTATCTTTTCTTTGTGTTGGGAACACTACAATTCTTCTGTTCTAGCTATTTTGAAATATATAATAAATGATTGTTTAGTACACCTTCCTTACTGAACTATCGAATACTAGAACTTATTCCTAATATCTAACTGTATTTTTGTACCCATTAACTAGAAGTATGGATTTTTGACTAAAGAAAATAAATCCCGATTCGTTGAAGATAAAATTTAGATACAGGGACACATATCTCACCGGTGTGGCCATATATTAGAAGTAATTTTTTTGTATCCACTATGAGTTGGTACATCACAAGATTATTCAGTACTCAACAGCAATTTGATAGTTATTCAAACAGAACCCAAATGTTGGCCCTTCGAGTTCAGCCTGAGCCATATAAACCATATACACCTCAGTCTGCAAGATCCCCTACGGAAAAATAAAAAGAAAAGGCAATGACTCAGAATCTACACAGAGGGCCCATTTCTGCAGTGTTTCCCCAAATATACAATCTTTTTCTTCCATCTTCCTACATGCATATTCTAGGATTTACTAGTTTTGAACACATACATTATGGGCATATGTTTATATTTGTTGTTTGATTCTGTCTTATTTTGAAACTATACTAGAGTACTCTGACACATAGAACTGTTTTCTAAGACGCTCTAGCTCCATGTCTGTCATCCCTGAATTGTCAGTTGTTCCATCAACAAACATTGGTGTGTGACGAGCATTGTGTTGAGAATTTAGGACTCGTATCTGAAAGGGTTGGGCTGTGTGGGTTGTTTTTTCCCAGTGACAACACTAATAGAATTGATCCCAGCAATAAGAAGTTATGGTATCCTCTCATTCTTATCCAAGAATCCCATCCCCAGCCTTGGGAAAGGAAGAGAGAACTGTCAATGTTCTCCTCTCCTCTGGGGAGAAAGACCGGTGTGAGCAAAGCATCTAGCTCAAATATGGTAAGACAATAGTATCATATTCTTTGAGCGGGTTCCATAGGCTTGGACTCAAGAAAAAACAACAAAGGATATAATCAACTTCCTTGTTTTCTAAGTCTTTTGTATTCAGCTGGTCCTTTGGGAGAAAACTAGAAAACTAGATGAGGAAACTTGTACAATTCACTAGAAAGAAGCTTATTTCAGAAACTATGAGATTTTTGAGAATATAGGTTTGCTTCTAAATCATTTTTACATTCTTAGAACCTGGAATAATATCCCACACAAAGTAGGTACCCAATAAATGTGTGTGTGATAAATGAATACACAGGGTTTATTATTATTATTATTATGGTCTTTTTATTATTACCATTATTTTTCATCATCATGATTATTATTAGGTACAGGTAGTCTAACTTGGTACTTTCATTTGAGATATGGTGGATAAAGAAAACTGGTCTCTAATAAAATATGGTATTCTGGTCTATTTTTCAAGGTCTGAGCTACAAAAGTGCCACAAAATGTAGTTCTGTGTCTAGATGAAATCTTATTTTAAACTTGCATTTTAAAAACTCTGGAATGAAAATCTAAGTTGGGGATCTCAAGTTGGTTAGAAAGGAAGTTATTAAGGACCCTTTATTACACTCTAAAGTGAGAAACATCACATTGAAAATGCACCCACAGTGTTGCGACCTCGTAAAATATCCATGAAGAAAACGCTCTTAGACAAAATACCTGATTTTTTCGATCAAGCATTGTATTTGTCAGAGTACATGATTGGGGTAGCACTGACAGAAATTTTATCACATTTAACATTTGTTCATTTCACACTTCAGGCTCTCTCTCGATCGCAGAATTTATTTCATTGGCATTTGTCATATCTCGGCTATCTTCTTTCACCACTTTGTAGATGGTGGCTTTTTTAGGCGACTTTTTCTGAGCTGAGGATTTTTTTTCTAGGATGCCAATCCAATCTGGTATTTCAAAATGCCAACACCATTGGCCCTGCTGGAAACCGATTAAACAATTTCTATGCCTAACAGCTCTTTTCAAGTTGCTGAGTTTTTGATTTTCATTTCTTAAGGCTAAATTTTCACACACACAAAAATTGCCCACTCTTTGCATGCAAATGAAGCAGTTTAGAAATGGAAATTCAAGCACAGTGAGCCCTGCATTAATTTACAAATCCATGGCATATTTAAAATATTTTTTCAAATTGCTTCACACGTTTTGGGTGTGTGACACATCGCCATTTAACTTAGTCAAAGTTATTTTGCTGATAAACTTTAGATAACTCTAAAGAAGGCATCTTTGGGAGAACCAAGGAAGAACTGTTTTCTGTTCCATTACATATATTTTTTTCATTAAAATAAAACGGGATCAACTTGGGTGAGCTAGAGCTCCCTTATAAAGACAGGAATTTCTCACCCAGATGAGAAATTTGAGTGAATGGAAGAGGAAAGGGAAATCAATGTCCTTGTGAGTAAAAGTCTATGAAAGTACAGTGTGTATGTCATCAACACTTTACATTTCAATCGCTTCATTTCTGGTTCCTATAAGAAGAGAACCCAAACGTATCTTCACGCCTCTGCAGAGATAAAAATAGGTAATCATCACTAGTCTTCAGAAAAGTATATCCTAGCTTTCTGTTTTATATTTGCAAAGCAAGAATGTACATTTGCCTCAAATAGGGCTATTGAAGGGAAAGACTTTTTATCCTTTCATTTTCTTATACTGCATCAAAGCTAGCACATTTTAGAACTGATATTCCTCAGGTTTTTTTTTTAATTTAAAGGAAACCATCCATTTATCAATATCAATCAGCCTGTTCCTGACCAATTCAGATTTCAATCAGACTTATAAACTATAACGTGCCCTAATTATGAAGTCATAATAAGTAACACAGTGGTATTGGTGCAGGGACAAATTGTCCATGGAAAAGATTAGAGAGACCTGAGAAGACTCACACATATACAGAAAATCTGACATTGCAAATAAGTGGGAAAGGAAAGACCTCAGTAAGGGTGCTAGGACAATGGGAAAGAAAGAAAGAAAAAGAAGGGAAGGAAGGAAGAATGGAAGGAGGGAGGGAAGGAAGGAAGGAAGGAAGGAAGGAGAAAAAAGGGAGGGAGGGGAAAAAAGGGAGGGAGAGAGGGAAAGGAAGGAAGAAGGGAAGGAGGGAGGGAGGGGAGAAAGCAGAGAAAGAAAGGAAGGAGGGGGAGGAAGGATAGAAAGAAAAGAAAAGAAAATGGGTTCCCCTCACACACACTGTTCACTAAAATCAGTTCCAGATAGATGAATAACATATGGAAAAGAAAACTTCACAATTTTTAGGTAAAAAATAGGAAAACATTTCTGTGACATTAGGATGAAGGAGGAGAGAAAACAAGTCACAAAAAGAACTATAAAGAAAAAAATATAGATTCAACCACATTAACTTCCACTCATCAGAAGACAACAAAAGAGAGTAAAGAAGCAAGACCCCAAAACTGGGAGAAGATGTCTATAATAACTATAATTAACAAAAGAAGAATATCCATAAAATAAAGAACTTCAATGATTCAAGAAAAAAACAACCCAAGAGGGGACACACAGCCTATGGGCAAAAGAGATGAAGGGGCATTTCAAAGAAGACGCAAGATGAATGCCCATTACACAAATGGGGAAATGTTCATGAATCATCAGGAAAATGCATAATGAAATCACTAGGAGATACCATTCACCCCCATGAGGTGGCAAAACATTTTAAAGTATGACATATCAAGTATTAAAATGGTGTCCAGTAAGGATATGGAATAACAGGCACTCCTGTACACTGGCGGTGGGAGCAAAGTTGTTACTCTCAATTTGGAATACTATTTAGCATCACCTAGTAAAATTAAACTTAGGCCAGATGCAGTGGCTCACATCTGTAATCCCAGCACTTTGGGAGGCCGAGGCAGGCAGACCACCTGAGGTCAGGAGTTTGAGACCAGCCTGGCAAACATGGTGAAACCCCGTCTTTACTAAAAATACAAAATATTAGCTGGGCATGGTGGCACGAGCCTGTAATCTCAGCTACTCAGGAGGCTGAGACAGGAGCATTGCTTGAACCTGGAGGCGGAGATTGCAGTGAGCCAAGATCATGCCACTGCACTTCAGCCTGGGCAACAAGATCAAAACTCCGTCTCAAAAATAAATAAATAAATAAACTTGTGCACACTCCACAGCCACTCCCAGATGTATTCACTCCCAGATAATACAGCCAATCCCAGATGTAGATATAGATGATATAGATATAGATACAGACATCGAGCCAAGAGAAGCTTGTGCACATGTTTACCGGTCCATATACATAAGAATATTCACAGTATCATTGTTCTTTGGAGCAAAACAAGCCAAACATCTGTAAACAGAAGAATATATGAATGAATGATGACACAGTCATATGCTGGAATGTAATACAGCCACACATTAACATAGTTAAATCTGAAATATATAACATTGAGCAATCAAAAAGCAAGTTTCAGGAAAAATGCATACATAAACCTTTATTTACCTGAAGTTCTAAAACAAGCAAAATTAAGTAATAGCTTATTTAGGAATATCTATACATAAAGAAAACCAAAGGTGCTATTAACACAAAATTCAGGATAGTGACTATCTCTGGAGAGTAGAAGAGGGGATTACAATCTGGGGAGGTCCTGCCTAAGGCTCCACAAATATCAATACTATTTCTCCTCTTAGTGGGTTCATTTTATCATTAGTCTTGAAATTGTATATAGATATTAGACATATTTCTTTGGAATTATTATATGTTTATTTTTTAAGTTT
Organism: Homo sapiens; assembly: GCF_000001405.40. Taxonomy (NCBI): domain Eukaryota; kingdom Metazoa; phylum Chordata; class Mammalia; order Primates; family Hominidae; genus Homo; species Homo sapiens. The sequence continues at coordinate 56,456,472 of NC_000018.10, forward strand.
TAAAACAAACTTTGATGCATGAGAGCCAAATCAAGGCTACAAATATGCACCATCCTCCCGACCACAACCTACTCCAATTTGTCTTAAATAGTGAGTTATTTCCAAAACTTTTCTCCAGAAGGCATGTGAGCTTCTTTCTCACAACACTGTGGGAGAAGAATACAAGCTGATACAATAGCATTGATTCTGAAAGCCCTTTGCACACCCGTGCTTATCACTGCTGTTACGGTTGTGTTGTCGTTCGTGCTGCTGTTATCTATCATGCTTGTCTTTCTGCCATGTCATAGACTGAAAAAACACTTGAAAGTTTGTTGACTTGATGCATCCATTCCATTTTAATAGCTCCTATGGTGGGTGACATTTGAAAAAAAGTCTCCAGCAAAGAATCTTATCCTGAAGTCCCACTGGAGCAAACTTTGTACAGGTAGACATTAGACAGAGGTTTTCCGGGGAAGCATCTTTATCTTGTATAGATGTGTTTAGTCCATGCTTGTTAGACCCCAAATTTCTATATGCAGACCCAAAAAAATGATGGAAGTGTATTTCTTCAAATCTTAAATGCACTTTCTTTAGCTACTTTATCATCTCTCAAATCAGGATGCATTTGCAATCTATGGCATAACATGGTTTGACAGCATTTTTTTTCTTTCTTAGTAAAACACAAAATAATGGTTTTCTTAAAGTTGATGGTTTTTTACTTTCTCTAGCATATAACATCAAGTTTCCACAGGAATTCCCATATTCCCATCAATTGGAGAGAAAAAAAAGCAGATGCCAGAACATAGAGATCAGATGCTGCCACACTGCCTAGAGACTGGAAATGACAGCCTGCAACAAGCCACACCTGAAGGCTGCTCTTGAGGGCAGGAAAACAGAAGGTCCAAGGAGAAGGAAAACGCTGTTTTGGTTCCATTTGAACCAAAATGCTGGTAAATGTTCACTTCAACTTTTTGTGGTTTTGTGTTCATTTCAAAACACTCACAGACAAAAATGCCTTAAAGCTGTATTATTATGGACCCTCTGCTAAACTCTGACCTCAGGAAGCTCTAAGCACAGCTCAAAATGTTGAGCCAAGAGAGATATACAGGTAGTGACAGCCACAACATGTGCAGTGAAGCTCAGCAGTGCTGCCGAGGACATCTGCCCCAGCAATGAGAATGAGAACAGAGTTCACGACAGCCACTCCCGAGCTCTGAGAAGCAGTTCCACAGTGTGCAAAGGGTAGAAGAAGCTCTTCACCAAAATCTCTGGTTAATAAAGAATATATCATGTTGCCCAGGTGGTCTTGCACAAGTGGTGTGATGCATATGAAGCAATCCAGTTGAATGAATAAGCAGTAATTCATAAATCTCCAGGACTTACAAAAATCCCTATAGAGCAAAAAATAAATAAATAGATCCGTGGGGTTCCCTGAACCCCTTTCATTAGTTAACCCTGCCCTGACTTAACTTTTATTTCAGTAATGGTCACTGATATATATGGAACCAGACTGAGGATTTACCAAATGATATGAGGATGTATTTTTTATATGAGGTTTCTAACAGAGTTATTTGTTTCTATAGATCCTTTGAGCATTTAAGAACTATTTGATAGGTTGCAATTTAGGTATTATAAGCTATATTTGCAGTGTTGGGCACCAAGTTTTCTTCAGGATACTAAGATGAGATTATTTCTGTGTTTAGCAGGAACTATCTATATTTCTGGGAGTAGCATCTACAGTTTTCCATCTGTTCATGTCAAAACCTCCTTTGACTAAGCCTTTCTAGAAGGAGGGTCTTGCTTATTTGGTTTGATGTGTTATTGGTGGGGCCAAGTCCAATATCATGTACCCATGGTGCTTAACAAGTAAGAACTGTTTAGAGCTTTAGTGAGTTTAATTTGGACACAGTTGGGCACCATGGCTCACGCCTGTAATCTCAGTACTTTGGGAGGCCAAGGCAGGAGGATCACTTGAGGCCAGGAGTTTGAGGTCAACCTGGCCAACACAGCAAAAAAAAATTTCTTGTAATTTTTACAAAAATTGTTTTAAAAAACAGCTGAACATAGTGCTGCATGCCTGTAGTCCTAGCTACCCGGGAGACTGAGGCAGGAGGATTGCTTGAGCCCAGGAGTTCAAGGTTACAGTGCACTATGCGGCACCACTGCACTCCAACCTGGGCAACAGAGCAAGACCCTGTCTCAAAAAAAAAAAACACCAAGCAGGAGGGAAGAGCAGAACTTGACATGTTTGGCTTTGTTTTGAGAAAACAATATTTACCTGATGCCTGATGTAGCCTGGTCCTGAGTGATGTCGTCTAACATGCTCCCACTCAAGGTGCAGCCTCCTTGAGTATCCCACATACTTGGGGGAAATCAAGATAAAAATTCTTACCACCTCCCATACAGTAAAGGAAATTTCAACAGAGAAGGAAAGAATGTAGGTAAAACTCCAGACCAGCAGCCTGAGCCGCTCTCTGCCACCTGGCCATTATAACACTCTCAAGGGCCTCTCCAATGCCGTGCCTTCTTTCCACTCCATGAAATACAGCACTGGAAAAGACACTGGGAAGTAGTTTGCTTCCATTGCCCTGACATGTGACAGTTTCCTGCATGAGACTTTTATTCTTATTTGGCTTTTGGACTTTTAAATGATTCTGTGATTAATGCTTCGATGCTGCACGTGATAATTGTCTTGGCAGAAAGATGTCTTTGTTCTTGCCCACTCACCTTTTGTATGGTGTTTCCCACTCCTGTTCCCTTTTTATGAGTTGTTGATGTTCATCTATATTTAGCGAGTGTTTTGCTAATATCCAAGGAGTCATCAAAGGTGCAGCTGCTTCGTCGCTACAGGAAACCCCCGCTTCAGGGGGCTAGCTCTGCTCTAGGAGGATCTGCTTTGGAACTGTCCTCTGCATAACGATGAGAAATGCTCTTCTTAATTTTTAAATTAGCTGGCTGAGGCATCCGTCTTTTCCCCCATTTGGGGCTTGATGAACTCATATGTTATTCTTGGTTGATTGTCAGACTAACGAGGATGTTTTCCTGAAGGTCTTTATTTGGAGTTATATTCACTTGTTTTTTCCTCCCTTTCCAGGGGTTCCTTTCTTCATTGTGTGGACATGTGACCTTGTTTTTATGTTTTCAGTGTCCCAAGCTAGGAAACTTGCGATAGTCCTTTCCTGTTCCTTCCTGAGTTACTGGTTTATGTCACAAATGCTTGGCTCACTTCCTTCATGTCCTTAGAAAAGGAGGTCCGCTAAAATGGCTCCCCCCACCCCACTGCCTTTTTACCACGTGTGAACACTGCAGCAGAAATCACTACAAGGCCCACCCTTCTTGAATGTCATCTAAATCTGGTTAATTGACAATATACTCAAAATATTCTATTTTAAAGCAATCTCACTATAAGACAATGTCATCATAGAGTTCTCACTACACTCTAAGCTGCCTCTGTCCACAAAAAGAGAATGCTCAAAGACAATTCCCCATAAGGCCTTATTAGTCTCTCCAGCAACTTATTTTCAGTCTTCCTTAGAAAGAGAAAATATTTATTCTCCATTGATTTGGGCTACCAAAAATCAGGAGTGCCAGCCTCGGCAACATAGCAAGAACCTGCCATTACAAAAAAAAAAAAAAACATAAATTAGTCGGGCATGGTGGTGCATGTGCCTGTAGTCCCAGCTACTCAGGAGGCTGAGCGGGGAGAATCACTTGAGCCCAGGAGTTCAAGACTGCAGTGAGCTACAGTCGCATCACTGCACTCCAGCCTGGGTGACCTAGTGATCTGGTCACTTTAAAATAAAAAATTAACAATCAGGAGTGAAAAAGAAATCACCCTTTGCATACACATCTTCAAACAAAATAAGTAGGGAAGCGAATTTTGGAATGGATTTCACAAGTTCTTTTGAAACTGATAGGAATCCACCAGAGAAGGAAAACTAAACACAGAAACTAGAATGGGTAGGAGGAGGGCATTTGAAGTAGTTGCTTCTACTTTTATTATTGCCCCTCCATCCAGTATGCATATGTGCTCTTGTGGCAGAATTAGAGGAGAGATGGAAAAATCAGCATTCCCAGGCAGCCCACTTTGTGCGAAGCTTTAACACACCTTTTGGAGAGACACTGTTGTGCGGGTACCTCCCTCATGATGTTATGAGGAGGAAATGAGTTGATGTTAAACAGTGCCTGGCATATAATAACTGCTATAAATTAACTTCAGCCAAATAAATAAATATATATTCATTTGACTTTCATCATCCTCTGAGCTAGATTTTTTTGGCAGAGACACCGTTGATTGCCTGCTCAAAATCTACTTCCTTCCCCTTTCCTTGTGGGCAGGGTTGACCTCCACTTGACAAAGGCTGCAAATGACATATTCTACATTTCCCAGCATTCTTTGTAACTGAAGCATAAACGTGGAACCCAGGCCTGGCCCATGGAATCAGAGGACATTTTTGCTGGGGGATCTTTTAGAAAGGTTTTCCTGCCTTACAAAAAAAAAAACAGATGGAAAAGGAAAAGTCCCCCTCTATGCTTCCTGTCTTTTTACATCTTTCTCTGACAGTCATCTCTGAGGAAAACAAGAACCTAGTTTTGCTAAACCAACTCTGGAACCACCTCCACCCAGGCTTGTTGTCAAGCCTTGTGTTGAGATAATGCACTTATGTCCTTACTCTTTAAGCCACTTCCAATCAGGTGCTCAGTTACTTGTAGCCAGATACATTCCAAAGAATGCAAGATTATTTTATATGAGGAAATGGGTGATTACAAAGGTTCAATAAGTTTGCCAGCCAGACAAGTGGTACAGCTAGATTTTGAACCTGATTTAACTCTAGAGCTTGAGCTCTTAGTGCTGTACCAGGAAGCCACCACCACAGTGCTCACCAACTGGACAAACTAGTTTAGGTCTTGGAACACCAAGGAACCACTGTGTGCAGGGTTGACTGGAAAGAGTATAATATTAAAAATGGCTTATGTATGTATCATGACTCGTTATTTGCAAATCACTTTTGCCTCTAGAAATGCAGAGTTGGAAGGCAGCTTATAGGCCATCCAGTCCAGGTGACAGAACTGAGATGTCCCAAGTCACATACCTGGTTAAGTGGCAAAGTCGTATGAGAACTGATGTCATGACCCATCATTCTTTCTCTACACCATTATCCCATTCTATCAAACTCCCAAGGTCATCCTGAGAGGTAGAATAAACAATTGGACATTCAACCCTAAAACTCAGAGAAGAGTCAGGGCTGGAGATAAATACTTAGGAGTCATCAACATGCCAAGGGTACTTTAGATCCCTAGGGCTGTTGAATTCTAGGATGCAAAAGAGAGAGTATGCAGAACTGAGCCTGGAGCTCAGTGCTTACTTTATTGAGTGCTTACTATATGCCAGGCACTGTGCTACCTTAAAGATATTAGTCCTTATAACAAATCATAAGGCAGATACTGTTATTGATCCCACTTTACATATGGAGAAACTGAGGCACAGAGTGGTTTGTTTGTTTGTATCTTGTCCAAGGTAGTAAATAGTGAAGCATAATATAGATTCAGGCAGTCTGGCTCTAAAATCCCGACCACTATAATATTTACTCTCAAGAGCTCTGCTTCTGTATCTTAGGCCTAGCTTATAGAGATGTGCTTTTATAATTTGGAGAATGAGTATATTAATACTCTCATTAATATCATAGATGTCAACAAGGTCAACCCTAAGATTATGACCCTCCAGCCTGGCCAGCTGGCACTGTAACCAGCAGATCGCTGCTGATATTCACTGCTGGATTACCCCAAGGACGTTCTAATGCATGCAAAAAACACCAGTGAATTACAACCAATAAAAGAGAAAAGTTCAACTTCAAAGAACTTACCCAGAATTTTCCAATACAAAATCTGAAAAGACACATTTTTAATTTTAGCATGCATGCAAGCTTTGGGCTTTATGATTTTGTATTGTCCTTATTTTTAGTTTCTAGGTCTGAATCCAGCCTTGTAATTAGGAAGTCTTGAGGGAAGACACCACCACATGGCCCTGTTTCAGGATTTCGTCATCTCTGTACACATTGTTACAGGAGTTCTTGACCATCTGCCTCTCTCACATCTTATCCTCCCTGATTTCATCCTTCATAGTGCCATATGAAAAGCTATCAAATATAAATCTAAGCTTGTCTTTCCTACTTAAAGTATTCCCAATCATCTATAGGATAAAAATCTAAGCACCTTGGCATAGTATTCAAAGCCCTTGGTGATATGGGTTGTGTTCATCCCTCTGGCTTCATGTCCTGACCATTCACACATCAAACTACCAACATACCATTTGGTATAGTACACAGACATACACAGACACACAGACATAGACACACAGAGACACAGACACACACAGACACACCATATTTCTCATGCCTCTGGGGCTCTGCTCATGGTGTTCTCTCTTCTTAGAATGCCCTTCCTACTATTTCCCTTCACCTATACTTTAAAATCCATAAAGACTCTTCAATAAACCTCACTGCACCACTTATTGCTATCTTGACAAATTACCTAAATTCTCTGGGTCTCCTTCCTCACGTTTAAAAATGGGATTAAATGGGATACTATTTAGCCACAAAAAAAGAACAAAATCATGTCCTTTGCAGCAACATGGATACAGCTGGAAGTCATTGTCCCAAAAAATTAATGCAGCAACAGAAAATCAAATATCGTATGTTGTAACTTATAGATGGGAGCTAAACACTGGGTATTTGAGGACATGAAGATGGCAACAGTAGACACTGGGGACTACTAGAGGGAAGTGAGTAGGAGAGATGAGGACAAGGGTTGAGAAACTAACTATTGGATACTATGCTCAGTACCTGGGTGGCAGGATCAATCACATCTCAAACCTCAGCCTCATGTAATATACCCAGGTAACAAACCCACACATGTACCCCCTGAATCTAAAATAAAAGTTGAAATTATTAAAAATAAAACAAAAATGTAGTAAATAAAAATTCCTGAGATAATCCAATTATACATTTTCTAAACCCATTTTAGATCTAAGAATGCACATAGGTTGAAAGTGAAAGGATGTAAAAGGATATTTCATGCAAATAGTAAACAAAAGAGAGCAGAGGTGGCTATACTAATATCAGACAAATAGAGTTTAAGTCCAAATCATTTAAGACAAAAAAAGACATTATCTAATGATAAAAAGGTCAATTCATCAAGAAGATAAAACAATTATAAACATATATGCACCAAACATCAGAGTTCATAAATATATGAAACAAATATTGACAGATTTGAAGGCAGAAATAGACAGTGTGACAATAATAGTAGAAGACTTCAAAACCTTACTTTCAATAATGGATAGAACAAAGAGACAGAAGATCAATAAAAAAAAAACACTGGAACATACTACAGGCCAACTGGACTGAACAGACATATAGAGAACATTCCTCCCAACAATAGCAGAATACACATTTTTCTCAAGTGCACATGGAACATTCTCCAGGATAGATCATATGTTAGTTCACAAAACAAGTTTTAATAAATTTTAAGATATTGAAAAAAAGTCTGAAATATCTACTCTGCCCACTATGTCTCAAATACTGTACCAGGCACTAGGAATACCATGGTGGATAACACAGATGTAAGTCCTGCTCTCACAAAGATTGTAGTTTAAGTGGAGTTACAGAAAATCAATTGCAATGCAATATGGTAACTGGTTGCATTTCAAAGCGTATTTATTGAGTTATTTTCAGATACAACACCTTTGCATTAGTTGTGTAGTCACCCACCATAGGGCCTGGGCTGTACATAGCTGTGATTCTCCCTCAGAGGCTGTAATTGAGCTTCTCTGCATCAAATTTTGTCACATCAATAACCTTTTGGATGCTACCTAAGGCAGATTTAAAATGTGACTGCCAATTATTTGGTGCTCCTGTGATCAGGGAGTGAGGTCTCTATCTCTTCCCATTGAATCAGGTGGGCTGGCAGTTTTGGCCAATAGAGTATGATGGAAGTGATGCTATGTGACCTCAAAGTCAGCTTTCACTTTGCTCACTGGAACCTGCACACTTGGAGCCCTAAAGCTAGCATGTAAGAAGGTCAACTTTTCTGAGACTTCTAAGCTAACAGGGTCACATGTAGATGTACTGGTCAACAGTCCCAGCTGGGCCCACCTTTCAGTACTTCAGCCCAAACACCAGACATGTGAATGAAGAAGCCTCCTCGAAACGGGTCCTCCAGACCAGCCCTCATAATCCAAGTTAACTGTACCATTCAAATTACCCCAACTGAGACTCCAGATATTATAAGGCTAGGAAGAGCTTTCTCTGAATTCCTGATTCACAAAATTCTGTGAGCAGAAATTTGGGAGTAGTTTGTTACACAGCAATAAACAATCAGAATATTACCACTTCATAATAATTTGCAGTTTTACCACACTGGACCAATTTATCAAACTATTGATTCAGAGCTTCAAATCTGTCTCTCACTTATCCCCATGCAATACTGCAACATAATTTAATTCGGATGCCAACTACCCAGAGTTAGCATCAGCCTCCACAGGTTTAAGGGCATGGTCCCCAACAAGACTACCTGCACTTCATATACCAGCTGCAAGTTCAGGGGTTCCCAGGATACCTGCACTTCTGACCAACTGGGTATATATCCTGAGAGTTTCCATGGCCTCACTCATGTTGAATAATTTGCTAGAATGACTCACAGAACTCAGGAAATTGCTATACTTACAACTACAGTTTTGTTATTAAAGGATACAACTTAAGACCAACCAAACGAAGTGAGATATAGCAAGGTCTAGGAGTGTCCCAAACACAGGGCTTTTGTGCCTTTACCTCATTAAATCAGAGCACATCACTATCCAGGCATATTGATATGTTCACCAAGCAGAAAGCTCTGGGCTTTGGTGTCCAGAGTTTTTATTGGAGTTTCATTACATAGACATGATTGATTAAATAATTTCCAACTCCCCTCTCTTCCCCAGACGTCAGATTGGCTCAAAGTCCCTCTTTAATCACTTGGTTGATCTTTCTGGTGATGAGCCCCACCTGAGTCATCTCATTAGCCTAAGCTCAGGTGTGATCCAAGGGGTCATGAATAAAACGGCACTCTTATTACTCAAGAAATTCCAAGTATTTAGAGTACCCCTCCTAAGAATTAGGGATAAAGGCCAGTCAAATTATTTATTATAAAAACCCTCCTTCCTCCCCATAGACTACTTCATTATATTGGCAGACTCAGCAAACTACATTTCTCATTTGATGCTGGCTTCTTGTTAGGCTTAACCAAAGGGGTGTGAGAAGAAGACTGGAAGGAGGAAGAAGAGATTTACTGCTTTGTGTTTGCCTCCTGTTTTCTTCCCGTTCCTGTGGGCATCACCCTAGCCACACTTTCCACCCTGTAGTGGCAGTTCATTTCAATACCTACTATCCATTACAATTTGTGGTTTTCCTAACACTCCCAGAACCAGATTCATTATGCTCCCTCAAAAACATGAGAACAAGCCAGCAATCAACAGTTACCACTCCCACTTAGACATCTGGGTCTCAGTCCATGAAGCCCCTTCTCCCAGCTCAGAGACACCAGCACCAGTCGAGCAGAATCTCTTCCTCAAAAGTCTGTTTCCCAGCCCCACAGGGTCCCCCAAAGACACTAGAACCAGCCAGCTAGTAGCCTCTCCTCAAAAGTCTTAATTTCAGCTCTACACATCCCATCTCCAAGTTTCTAAATTTTAATAATTCTAACCACTGCACTTTGTTTCCTAGACTCTGGGGATGATACTTTAGTTCATTTTTCCTTTTCTCCAATATCTAGTTATAAATTTTTTACATTTAATTCCTTCTGTTAAAAAATACTGGTGTCATTTTAATCTATTGACTGATACACAGACTGTCAAAGATGACTCCTCTCCAGAATTGGTAATAGTTCCATCATCACAAGAGTTCACCCTTGGCTTCCTTGGACTTGCCACATCATCATAACAGGAGCTTTAGACCTGCACTATACAGTAGAACCTACTATGATAATGAAAATGTTGCCATTGGCACTGCCCAACATGATGACCTATAGCCTCCTGTGGCTGTTAAGAACAAAAGTGTGACTGGTGTAAGTGAGAAACTAAATTTCCAGTTTTATTTATTAATTTTAATTTTATATAATTAATCTTACTTTAAATAACTACATTTCACTAGTGGCTATGGTATTGAACAGTACAGCTATATAAGCCTATTCTTATCTCTCTCATTTACTAGAATTTGTTCTATTTTTCTATTAATTATGTTGTGGTCTGTCTTACCAACTGTGAACTCTTTGAGGCATCACTGATTGTCTTGGTACCTGGATACATGGCATAAGGAGACATTCAAAAATGATTAACAAATTGAGTATAGTGTGTAACCAGGGTAGTGCAGTGGGCAAAGACTGAGGCCCTGTGTCAATGAAGAAAGTGATAGCCTTGGATTGTAGAATACAACTACTAGGATAGGGCACCTAACCTGTTTGTGCCTCACTTTCCTCATCTATAAGACCATTTATATCCCACAAGATGCACTTATTAGGAATCATGGTACTACTTACAAAATTGGTCTAGAAGCTAAAGTTTCACCTTGGTATTAATTTTGACATTCTATCTTTCAAAACTAAGTTTAATGCCTTATCTTCCTACCCATGTCCCATATCAACTAGATCTTTAAGAAACAGAAATATACGTCTTTTAAGCAGAAAATACACAGAAAAAGTTCTAGAAAGTTTGTCTCTGCTCCTTGGCATGAAGGAAAGAAGGAAGAACTCCACTTCCTTCTATTATTCATTCATTCAGTTGGTCATTCAATAAATAATTATTGCACAAATTCCAAGTATCAGGCATTGTAATGCCTAAACTACTTTTTTTTAAGATTATGTGAATTAAATCTTTCTACCATTCTCTCTCATGGCAACTTGTACTTCCATTAGTAGTGTATAATATAGTTAAATATTCTACAAATTATATAATTGTATCTGTTGTACATTCTCTCAATTAAATGGTAAGCTAAATGAGGGTGGAAACCATGCCTGTCTTTTCAACTTGTATCTCCAACAAAACTGTAACATCTATGGTAGCATCAATGTAGTATGTGATCACTAAATTGTTTTTTAATAAATGAATAAACAGTAAAAGAATGCCATAGATACCATTTTGAAAATTAGTCACTAATGCCATACCTCACAAGAATTTAATAATCCCATATGACAAGTTTTCTCAAGAAAATTGTCAACCAAGAACTGGAATTCCAAAGCCCGAAAGGGAATGTGGCTAGATAAAACATAAAGACCATAACTGCGTCCACAGTCCTCCACTCATTAAATCAATGGTATTCAATGAATTAGCCCAAAACAAAGAACTTGATAGGGGACATAAACAGATATTTTAAATTTGCAAAAGATACAAAGTTCTTGAAAATTGAATCTTTCCATTGCAAGAGCAGAGCTTTTTGAAGAAGAAAAAGAGTTCTGACCTTCAAAAAGCTAATAGTCTGAAATGTTAAGCCAGAAAGGAAGAGAGAATGCCTGATGATGTGACTATAGTTTTCTGGCCCAAAAAGACACTCATGTTGAACAGCATGTGGAAGGAAGAAGGGAGGAAGAAGAAAAGGGGAGTCAGAGAATAGTTTAGATGTTGGTGGATTTAAATGGTTTGCCCCTTCCCTCCAAGCCAAGCCCTAAACTAGGGAAGAAATTCTAGAAACTCTAAATTCAAGAATCTCAAAAAAGGTTTATAGGTCCTCAAAGTAGAGGTTGAAGCCTAGGTAATCAGCAGTCTCATGGAGAAGTCCCTTGTTCCAACACAGTTTTGCAACAGTCAAGTGAAAATGGTAGTAGGACACGTCTGCAGAGAGGATTTATAATGATACCCTGAGCCTTCCACAATACTGGTGAGGTAGAGAGAGCATCTGAAGTCCTCCATGCACAAAAAGAAGGGTTTATCATGAAGCTAAGGAAATTGAAGCTTCAGAGCCCTCATTTGCATACCCCCTTTACAAAGCCCCAGAAGAAGTCCTGGCAATGTGTTCACATGGTCTGAGGTTTTTATGAAATTCACAACAGTAAAATATTTTAACGCAATTGGTTAAGACCACTGTTTCTTTTCATTGCAACTTCCTCTCTGTCACACTTCCCTCTATGTCAGATGGTGTTGGAGTAGCCATCAGCATATTTTGGATACAGCTAAGAGGAAGTTGAATTGAGGATACATTTATATTTGAGTTTAGTCAGATATATTTACATGGTTCCCAGCCACTTCTGTGTATAATTGTTTATGTTAGCTATCCAAGTATACAAATGGGTGCCAAAACTCTTCCTAGCATCCACTGTGCCAACCCAGCCAGAGTCATGGCACAAAGTTACTGAGCCCGAAGTTACAATATGATGTAAACATATCCTACAGCACCAAGAACCAGAACAAGATGGGTAGTAGAGGAGAACGGTTTAAAATGTATGAGCCAAGTGCTGGCCTATGGAAAGTTCTTCCAGTCAAAAGAGCTATGAAATTATAAAGTAAATCATTCAGCTTTCATTGATGCCTACTCAAAATGAAAGTGCTTCCAAGCCAGGAAATATACCAATTAATATATTCAACTTCCAGAAAATCATTATTTTTTATCCTGTTTCTTAAAGGTAGCTCTCAAAATTAAATTAGGCCTCTCACCACAAGCCTTGTGTTCTTCCCTGCTGTACCCAACAGGGGCACGGATGTGCTGAAAGAATGGTGCTAGACCTGTGGGGACCTAACATGCAGGAGAACAAGGACACAGAGGGAAACACGTGGACAGAGACAAGGGCCCTTAGGACCCTCCTGCTATTAATACAGAGAGAAGAGATGCTGATTATCTGAGACCAGAGGAATGCCTCCCCCAAATACCAGAATGGAACTTAACTGGTACTTTGATCAACACCCAGGGAGAAGGAGAAAGGAGAGATTTGGCTCTGAATGAAAGACTAAATACTCAGGTGACCAAAATCCTATGGTGATTAAGTTGACATGAAAGTAACTGATATTTAATTCCCCAACATCAGCGAGAAAAAAGAATTGAGATCTTATTTCAGTTCAGTTACAGAAAAAGAAGTTTAATCTTTGGACACCTGAGTTTTGTGACACTAAACTTAACACTCAGCAAATGGATCACAGAGAAATTCTGCCAGAGTGGCTGAGTCAAGTCAATATACAATGTTTCTGGTGACAAGGTTGAACTTTACTTGAGTCCTGTGCTTCTAGAAAACAATGCTGAGTAAGATATCCCCCGCCCTCCTCTGCACCCATTGGTATTTTTGGAAAGGGTTAAATGCAATGAACCACGCTGCTCTTTTATATTCTAAACAAAATGCATCACTCTCCTTCCTCATGCCTACCGTATGACTTATAGATGACTCTTTCATTCACCTGCTTCTACAAAACCCTACAGTCCCTTCCTTCTTTCCCCTGAGATATTCCTCATCAATGAGCATTCTCCCTATCGCAGTGGTCCTTATAAAACCATCTCCTTAATTGCCCAGAGTATTACATCTTGACACTGTCATGTTCTCATTAAGCAGTAACCCAAAGGCTAGTTGGGTTTGCAGTTATAATCATAAAACTAGGATTTTATAAGCAGAGTGCAGTTGGGCATATGAAGGATCTGAACAATCCATTCCATGAAGAAGACTCTTCTGAAGTTAAAAAAATAAAATTGCAGACTTCCAAATGATTATAGCTGTGATTTACACAGATTTGAAAAAAAGAGATGACCAAAAAATTTCCCTGAATTTAGCAACGATTTACAATAAATTTTATTTTTTTAATCCCAAGGGAGCTCTGCATACATTCGATGAATTCAAACTTATGTTCAGGTAAAAATAATTATTTCTGTTGAAGAGCCATGCTTAGTGACTTCACACCTTCATAGCCTTTTTCAAGTATCTCTATGACACTCCAAGATATTTGGGCCACATGTTAGAAACAATGAACTTTGTTTCAGATAAAAAATAAAACGTGAAGAAAGAGGGGTTGACTCGGCTGGGGTAGGCAGAGTGTCATAGTATCTGAAGCTGTTCTTTCAGAGGGCTGGTGGCCAGGCAGGACTCATGAAACAGACATTTCTTACCCCTAACCTAATTCACCCCCAAGCTGGGAGCTGGGAATACTCAGAAGCAAATGTCTCTTCCAGGATCTCCTTATGTGACCCCACAGACAGGAATCACCCTGAAACCTCCCATTCCTCCAATCTTGTCCTCTACTCTCTTTCTCTGACACACACACACACACTCTTTTCTCTCTCACACACACACACACTTTTCTCTCTCACACACACACTCACACACACTCACATATACTCTCACACACACTCTCTCACACACTCTCACACTCACACTCTCTCAAACACACACACTTTCACCCTCACACACACTCTCTCAAACACACACACACACTGGCTCACTCTCACACACACACACACCCTCTCACACTCTCATACACTCACACTCTCACACACACAGTTTCTCACACACACTCACACTCTCACACACTTTCTCTCACACACACTCCCACACACATACTTTCTCTCACATACACTCTTTCTCACACACACACACACACACAAACTTCATTTCTGGCTCTATACTCAGGCCTCTACTTCCCGATGACCTTGATCCCTTGAGAAGAAGGAAAAAGAAAAGTCTGTTCTTCCAGATGTTCAGAGTTCCCTCTTCCCGGGACCCACTCCAGGGAAAGGAAAGAGACCAGAGGCGGAGAGCAGCCAGGCCAGGGGTGAATCCCAGCTGCACCCTGCTCCCTGGCCCCATCCTTCCTAAGCTTACCACCTGCTATCCAGCCCAAGCTTGAAATTGCCAACAGGAAAGAAAAATCTACATTTGTGAAAACACAGACAACAGGTTTGTGGATATTTCCAAATTGATTTGAAGGCAAGATATTTTGTAAATATTATGAAAGGAATAATGTATTGGTCATAATTTGTATATCATAGCAAATGCACATACTATCCTTCCTTAAAACCATACAGACAAACCCACACATATTTTGCAGGCTTCTTTAGAAATGTAATGAACATTAATTTAATATCTAGCCAAAATATTCAAAACCAGCTTTCGTGCCACGTGAAACATAGGATCACCCTGCCCATACTGTGGGTGGCACAAGCATTCCAAAGTGGAATCGTTCGCTGTCTTTTCATACGGCAGCATTCCATTTGTTTGTTTTGAGATGGATTCTCACTCTGTCACCCAGGCGAGAGTGCAGTGGCATGATCTCGGCTCACTGCAACCTCTGCCTCCTGGGTTCAAGCGATTCTCCTGCCTCAGCCTCCTGAGTAGCTGGGACTATAGACACACACCACCACATCCAGCTAATTTTAGTAGAGACAAGGTTTCCACGTTAGCCAGGCCGGTCTCAAACTCCTGACTTCAGGTAATCTGCCTGCCTTGGCCTCCCAGAGCACTGAGATTACAGGCATAAGCCACCACGCCCAGCCAGCATTCCATTTTTATGCAGGATTTTATTTTAGATCCGAATTTGCAAAAGGGAGTTAACATATTGCCTAGTTGTGAAAACTAGACAAATACATCCGCATTATTCTTGACCCTCAACATTCTAATGAGGGTGAGGGGGCATTTTTAGAGTTTGCATTTTGAAGCAATCCTGACAATTTTACATCTCAATATCTAAGTTTCATTTCCTTCCCTAAGATCAAAGTGTACATTATTGTGATGGGTGTGAAAAGACCCGAGTGTAGTTAGATGAAAATGGCCTATGTGTGTACTAGTGATTTACGTTCAGTACAGAAATGAGTGTGATTTTATAGACAAGAATGATTTTTCCTTCTGTTTAATATTTAGGCCGTGTCTCCTCTGGCATCAGAGTCCCTTATCTTTCTCCTCCTACTTCACACTTTCCATAAGCCTTCTGGTTTCACAGCAGACACACTATAAATCTTCTCCTTCTAAGTGTCCCACATATGTTTCATTAAAAGTGTTTGTTTCTTTGATCAGCTCGACGTTTTTTAATGTGAAAAAAAATAATAACTCTGTCACCTGGCACTTGGAACTGTAAAGGCCCTGTTTGCAGGGCCGCACATCTGAGTGGGCCCGAGCCAGTGGTCTGTGTTTGCCATTCAGACCCCACCAGGCATGGGCCCCCTCCTCCAGAACCCCAGTGAGCATCAACGGCATGAGCCAGAACACAGTCCTGGGGTGGCAGCTTTCCAGGGCTGCTGTAACAAAGTACCATAGACTCAGTGGCTTCAATAGCAAAAATTTCCTGTCTCACAGTGCAGAAAGCTGGAAGATCACAAGATCAAGGTGTTGGCAAGGTGGTGTCTTCTGAGACTCCTCTCCTTGACTTGGACTTATCTCTGTACCTGTCAGTGTCCAAATCTCCTTTTTTTTGAGATGGAGTCTTGCTCTGTAGCCCACGCTAGAGTGCAGTGGTGCAATCCCAGCTCACCGCAAACTCTGCCTCCCGGGTTCAAGCGATTCTCCTGCCTCAGCCTCCTGAGTAGCTGGGATTACAGGCGCTTGCGACCACGCCAGGCTGATTTTTGTATTTTTAGTAGAGACGAGGTTTCACCATGTTAGTCAGACTGGTCTCGAACTCCTGACCTCAGGTGATCCACCCGCTTCGGCCTCCCGAAGTCCTGGGATTACAGGCGTGAAGCACCACCCCGGCCCCTAATCTCCTTTTTGTATCAGGGCAGAGTCCTACCTACTGAATTACAACCCACCCTACTGGCCTCATTGTAACTTAATTACCTCTTTAAAGATCCTATCTCCAAACAGTCACATTCCGATGTACTGGAGGTTGGGACTTCAACATATGAATTTTGGGAAACAAAATTTAGCCTAACATATCTGATACTTTTTACACATTGGCAAAATACGTGAGGAGGAAGAAGGAAAAAGAACAGCCAAGGAGAGGCAGTCACTGCTGATTCCTTGGCAAAGTGGACTGGATTTCTCGGGGGCTTTGGATGTCGTCTATTAAGGGGCTTGACTCACTCACAGAGGGTACGGCACCAACACTTCAGCAGGCAAATTAAGCCATCACAGCAAGGCCAAGGCAAGCTCTGAGTCACAGATGTAGGTCTATTTGGGTCTTCTGGGCCTCTGCGACAGCCCATTTCCCAGCAGGGAGGACATGGTGCAGAGTATGATAAGGCCCCTAATTTTCCCTCCTTCTTCTCCAGGCCATCATTGGTAGTGGTGATCTCAGAATAATTTCACAGAATCCACTGAGTACTTGTAGCCTTCACCCCCAGGAGTCCAAATGACTCAACTTACGTTACAACTCCAGAAGCATAATTTTTGCCGCATAAAAGGGCACACCATGGAAAGCACTCTGTCCCGGGTAACTGATTCATGTGCCACCCATTCCTCCTCCAATGGGACTTTCTCCAGAGGGTGAGGAGATTGCACCACACATCAGGACTCCTGGGTTCCTGTCTGCGGCTTGTGATGTTCTCATCAGTTAGCACACACAGACATCACTGTCAGTAATCATTTTTAAATTGCTTCCCACACCACTCTGGCTGTTCAAAAGTTAGCTTGAGTTTCAGAGGCTATTTCACACATCAGGTTGGACTTTGGGTTAAACCATTAGGTTTTTCAACTCTGTGTGGAGTATTATTTCTGTATCTCATTTGCACTTTCTTCTTCTTAAAAGTGTACTCTCATTTGGTTTTGTAGCTTGCAAGTGTACTCTATGACTCAGGAAAACAAATGGCATCAATATTACCACCATCCCCAGAACATGTGGGTGTGTATATTAACATAAGTAAGGTAAGGAAGAAGGTAAAAGAGGAAAGGGGTCTTTTTATTAGAACCCACAAAATTCCCAGCCACAATCTTATCACCTTATACTCCAAAGATACACACTGCTGTCCTCAGCTTTTCTGATGTGAGTGTCAACAGTTTAGGGAATTGGGAATGGCAGATAAAGCGCAACAGACGCCCTTCGTGCTATTTCACATTTCACAGTACTGTTCATCCAATACTGTATAATAAAGACACACTTAACTTCTTTACTCTATAAACACAAATATCATCATTAATAATAGTATTATTTCAGTCTTTTCCCCCACTTACTTACATTATTGCACACAAAGGGAAAACGTTGTCTTTATTATAAGATACATTATATGTGCTGTACATGCAGACAGGCGGGCAGGTGCTATGACTGACCATCTCACCAGAACGACGGAGAACAGGAGAGAAATGGTTCCCCCAAAGAAAGGGAAGCTGTGCAGAAAAAAACAACAGCCCAGCATGACAGGGGGTGAATTCTGCAGAAGGAAGGATAAAGCCAAATTGTATGTGATTATTTTCTGTACAATTTCAATAAATAGGAAAGGAAAATTTAGTTATGGGCAGTGTGTTCCAGTCCAGACACAACCACTAATTAGTTACAAAACCTTAAAAAGTCTCCTCTTCTGCAAGCTTCTTTCTTCATGTGGAACCTGACAATGTTACAGTACATTGTCTCCAGATGACCTCTGGGTCTCAGGGGATCTCCTTACATGACTGAAATGTGGGAGATTTAAGTCTGGCATCAAATAGCAGCGTGAACATGAGAAAATCATTTAATCTCCCTAAACCTCATTTGTAAATCAGGAGTTATAATGTTTTAAGTCATTCATGAAATTTCATGTGCAAAATCACATGGAAAATAAATATCAAGAGCTGCCACGTAGTGAACATCTTCTATGTATTTAGTGCTATACTAAATACCTTCTTATGGCTGTATCATATTTCTCTATTCTGTTTATCCAATACAGTTGTCTCCCCTTATTTGAAGTTTCACTTTCTGCAGTCAACATTATGTTATTGCAGTCTGAAAATATTAAATGGAAAATTCCAGAAATAAACAATTCATAAGTTTTAAATTATATGCCATTCTGAGTAGCATGGTGAAATCTTGCACCATCCCACTCTGTCCTGCATGGGACACAAATTTTCCCTTTGTCTAATATGTCCACACTGTCTACGTTATTCACCTATTAGTCATCAACACCATCGTCTGCTCCTGATGGATGTCAGGATTGTCCTTCTTCTGACAGATCCTCAGAAGGCCAACAGTAGCCTAATACTATATCACAATTCCTACATCATTCACCTCACCTTATCTCATCAGGCAGGCATTTTATCATGTCATATCATCACAAGAAGAAAGGAAAGTACAATACAGTAAGATAATGTGAGAGAGAGAGACCACATTCACATAAATTTTATTATGATATATTACTATATTTGTTCTATTTTATTATTAGTTATTGTTGTTAGTATTTTCCTGTGCCTAATTTATAAGTTAAACTTCACCATAGGTATGTATGTATAGTATATTATATATCCTATATAATATATATAGGATTTGGTATTACCCATGGTTTCAGGCATCCACTGGGATTCTTGGAACATAACTCCTATGAAAGAGAGAGGAACTACTATAATGCCTGGTGAAGACCCATTCTTTATTTCTTTTTTTTCTTTTTTCTTTCTTTTTTTTTTTTTTTCTCTGAGACAGAGTCTTGCTCTGTCGCCCAGGCTGGAGTGCAGTGGCATGATCTCAGCTCACTGCAACTGCCGCCTCCTGGGTTCAAGTGATTCTCCTGCCTCAGCCTCCCAAGTAGCTGGGATTACAGGTGCACATCACCACGCCTGACTGATTTTGTATTTTTAGTAGACATAGGGTTTTGCCATGTTGACCAGGCTGGTCTCAAACTTCTGACCTCAGGTGATCCACCTGCCTCAGCCTCCCAAAATGCTGGGATTACAAGCGTGAGCCACTGTGTCCAGTCCTCTTTATTTCTTTCACTCAACTCACTCCACAGTTTGCACTGATGTCTGAATAGACAATGATAATGGAATATTTACACATGAGTGGTCAGAGAAACTTAATGGATTTTCACTCTTAAGAAAATAAGGGTGAAAAGACAGGGACATGTAACAGGAACAAAAAAATCATTAAAAAAAATAAAAAGAAGAAAAAGAAAAGAGGAGAGTGAGATGACAAGAAATTAGAATAAGATAAAAATGAACACAGGTAAGGCAAGGAGGGTTGCAAGAAAAATTTAAAATGCAATAGAAAAATTAAAATAATTCCTGGGACCTATAAAGAGCCAAGTTTAAAACTTCAGAAAAGTGGATGAATAATATGGAGAACTTACTTGAGACACTTTCCTGGAATTTGGAAAAAAATTACATAGAGATAAAAATATGAGAAAAAATGATAGATTTAAGCTTTGTTCATAGTCTTTCATACCTAAAAACCCATGCAGAAAAAGCTATAGCTCTTGAAACTGAAGAAATAAATGAAGACAGAGTTATAGAAAATTTTTGACCCTGAGAAACAACTTGAATATTGAAATGAGTGACCATATTACAAGTAGAATCTTAAATAGATAACCTCATTTAGACTTCTGGTTGTATTTTTTATTACAAGGATAACAAAAAAACATTTTGTCAAAATCTAGGCTGAAAGAAATTAACTTGAAAGATGTAAATATTATAGTATGCGAGTTAACATGTTTGCAACACTAAATACAAGAAGACAATGGAGCAACATCTAGAGAGTTTGGGGGTTGAATGTTCGTGAATATGAATTTTCATTGCAGGCTGAGTTATTATTTTTGTAGAATAGGAAACTAAGGCAGTATCAGATATGTACAAGCTCAAGAAAATATAACCCTTGTTGTTTCTTGAGGAAATACACACTGCAACTGACCAATGAACCAAGAGATAAACTAAAATTAAAACCTCAAAAACTGAAAACTAATGTTGGTCTATGTCTGAATGTTAGTGTTCCCCCAACCAAAAATTCATATGTTGAAACTTAACCCTCAGGTGATGGAGTTAAGAGGTGCAGCCTTTGGGAAGTAATTATATCATGAGGGTAGAGACCTCATGAATAGGATTAGTGTCCTTATGAAAAAGGAGCTTGTTCATCTCTTCTGCCACATGAGGACACAGTTAGAAGGTGCCATTTATGAGGAACAGGCCCTTACCAGACATCAAATCTGCTGGTGCCTTAACCTTGGACTTCTCAGCCTCCAGAACTGTAAGTAATAAATTTCTGTTATTTATAAATTACCCAGTCTAAGGTATTTTGTGATAGCAGCCAAACTGACTAGTGCATAGTATAAAAGGACTGGGTTTTTGCTTTCAATGGTCAAGGACTGCCAAGACTAATCCTGATGGAGTGATAAGAAAGAGGGCAGCATCTTCAAATTGGGTCCCTTGAGGTCTAGGTCCCACAGAGGTGACTCAGGTGCCAAGGAAGATGAGCAGAGGGCTTTGCTGAAGCATGCTAGGTCCCCCACTCCCTTTTCAACCACAGCAGCTCTGTGTTTAGCCCTTTCTATTTATTATGATTCTGCCAAATATTTGGTTTGGGGGGGGAAAAAGTTTCAGCAGTTTAAAAGAAACGGAGAATTAAAAACCATCTAAACAGTAGAAGGATCAGATAGAAAAATCTAGATTTGAACACCAACATTGCCACCTACTAACTATGTGACCTTGGGAAAATAATCAACCTCCATGACCTCTGGACTCTTCAGTTATAAGTTACTACCACATACCTTAAGGGTTCTTGTCTGGACAAATTGAGAAGAGATGTGAAAGCAATTTTCAACGTGCTAACTTCCAGCAGAAACTGCATAATAATTTATGCTGTTTGTTTAGAGTATGGCTCACTCAAAGGTGTATGTTCAATCTCATGCCGCAAACAAGTTTGGAAGGTGAGACAGTTTTCCACATGGAGCTGGACCTCCCAACCACTTTTACTTTAGGATGTGCTTAGTGAATGTCACTTGAGGTCAACAGAGGCATCAGCTTGTGGCCCAGGGGTTCCAGCCACTCAAGCCTCATCCAGACACCCAAGGGGAATAGGAAATAAGTATCATGACCCAACTGTAACCCATCCATGGCACACCAGTAAGGCAGTTCTGAGGTAAATATTCACATTTCCATCTCTTAATGTAACATGTTCTAGATTTAGCTATGTGACGGCATCTCTTAGGAAGCTACACCTCTTTTGATTTGCTTGCAGGTCACCAGCACCTACACACACCCTATCATTCCAAAATTAATTTCCGTTTGACAAACTGAAGTTGTCAATCACCTCACTGTTCCATAGTTTTATGCAAATCTACATGTCTCTCCCACAGAGCACTGAGCCAGGACACACTGAAATTTGAGGTTTAGCACCACATTGCTCAGAGTGTTCCTCTGTCTGTGGGCATCCACAATTCAACCCCATTATCTTCAGAGAAACTGACATTTTTCAAGGGTTTATAATTACATGAAAAATGATTCTGTTAAATATGTGGGAGAAATGGATATAAATTGTATATGAACTATAATCTTAATTCATAAAGAGTATACATTAAAAGAAATACTGAAAGTAAATACTTTACCAGGCTAGCGGTAGTTTTACCTGAGTAATAAATGACTTTTTTTCTTTCTACGTTTCTGTATTTTAAAAATATTTTCTAAGGAATGGCACTGCTTATTTTTAATGAAGCATAATTTAAATAATGTACACAAATCTTAAGTAAACAGCTCAATGAGTATTTACATATGTGTACACTCAGGTGACCACCATTTAGATCAGGACTATTTCCATCTCACCACAAGCCCTCTCACGTCCCTCTCAGTAATACCCACTCCGTCTCAAAAAAAAAAAAAAAAAGCAACCATCATCCTGACTCAATTGCTATGAATTAACTTTGAAGAAATATGCAATACACTTAAAATGGAAGAGATAATAAATATTATTTTTGATTATAAAAAATGTAAGAGATATAAACAACAAAATGTAAATATCTTAACACACATACATGCTGTTCCTGAAAGTATGGACTGATAATTACGATTGCTGTGTGCCTGCAAAATAGATCTTCTGGGAAACGGCCACCATGAAAGAGAAATAATTCATATGAGCTAAAGGTGACCCTCCAGGGCTCTGAAGTTTTGGTTCAGAATAGCAAACTCTGTCCTTTTTGGCACATGCATAAAATTAACATTCATATGAATTTGCAGAGTTTTTCAGTTCCTCCAGAGAGACCCTGCAGGAACAGACTCCCCTTTGAGATTTCTGATAATTATCAATGCTCAATGAGCAGAACTTGCTTACTCTAATACCTTCTTTCTAAATATAGTTGCATAGGTTTTTCACCTTCCCAACCTGGCGAAAACCTAAAGAGATAAAAGTTTGTTTTTTTTTTTAATTACCCTACACGATCCAAGAGAGCCAAAAACATCTTCTGTTTGAATACTCGATACTATGATGTTCTCCATAGAATGAGTTTCTGTACCTTCCTTTCAGATCTAAACAGCATCACTGAAAGAGAGTCTCTTTTTGCGTGATCAGTTCAACATAACAAGGGGTTTGGCCATTTCTCTCCAGTGTCTTTAAAGGGAGACAGCCAGCACTGTCAACATGCTTTATTTCATACGCCTTCATATAACTGAGAAATGGGTATCAGTTTCCCCTCTGACATCACTTATGACATTTAAATAATTTATCCTTCTGACTTTTCCATCTGGAAGTGATTTTGTTTAACTTCAAACACTTCAGGCTTTCTTCATCATGTCCTCACCACTCCCTAGATTCTCCACATGTGGTGAGGCATGGACAAAAGTTCTAGTGTGAGTCTGTGTGGTGCTCAAATAGAAAAGAGAATGGGTCCAGGCATGGTGGCTCATGCCTGGAATCCTAGCATTTTGGGAGGCCGAGGCAGGCGGATCACTTGGGGCCAGGAGTTCAAGACCAGCCTGGGTAATATGGTGAAACCTGTCTCTACTAAATATGCAAAAATTAACCAGGCATGGTAAACCCAGGAGACAGAGATTGCAGTGAGCAAGATCATGCCACTGCATTCCAGCCTGAGTGACAGAGTGAGATTCTGTCTCAAAAAAGAAAAGAAAAAAAGAAAAAGAAAAAAGGGCCAGGCATGGTGGTTCATGCCTGTAATCCCAGCACTTTAGGAGGCCAAGGCAGGTGGATCACTAGATCAGGAGATCAAGACCATCCTGGCCAACATGGTGAAACCCCGTCTCTACTGAAAATGCAAAAATTGTGGGTGTGGTGGCGTGAGCCTGTAGTCCCAGCTACTCTGGAGGCTGAGGTAGGAGAACTGCTTGAACCCAGAAAGCGGAGGTTGCAGTGAGCCAAGATCATACCACTGCACTCCAGCCTGGCAACACAGCAAGACTCTGTCTCCAGAAAAAAAAAAAAAAAAAAAAAAGGTTCCCATTGACTATGCGCATCTCCATTATCCTATACCTTACAAAACCCTCTCCCAACTGTGTGGTGTTTCTCACTGGCCTCCACCTCACTGTCAGATCTCTTCTCTTCTCTTCTCTTCTCTTCTGTACTAAACATTTGTTTTTCTTGGTAGTGTTATTTGCAAAGTCTCAACATCCTCTCTCCAAGCCCTGTTAGATCCCCTGAGGGGCTTCTTTCCCCTTTCCCTGTTCTCATGGTAGCTTCCTTTTCCTAAACATGTTTTGGCCAAACTTTTGCTCTTCTGTTTTTCAAACCTGGCTCCCTGACCTGTTGGATGCATTCACCCCACCTTCCTCTGATCATGCGTAGATCTTTCAATCTATATCCCTACCATAGAGGACATGGCTCTCTCTAAAAGCAAATCTCTCTCATACCCAAAAACTAGCTCCCTCTTTGCTGTCAGTGACTGCTCAATGTGCTCTAACATCCCAATTGCCCATTCAACCCACACTCAGTGGGTTATTTTCTGAACACATACAAACTATATGAAAATAATAATTTTCTTAATGTCCTTTAGATATTTAGCCTTGTCCCCAGATAATATTCTACCCACATAACAAACCCCTGCCCATTTTAATTGGTTTTCCTAATATATTTAAAGATTTAACAGTATACTGGCATAGAGGAAAGAACCTGGGCTTTGAAAGCAAACACACTTGGGTTCAAGTCCCAGTCAAATATCAACTTCTCAGGACATCAGTCTCCTTATCTCAAATAAAAAAATAAAAACTACTTCACAAGACAGTTGGTAGGAGAAATGAGGGAACATATGTTCCTATATAAGGTACCTAGCATAGTGTTTGACAGATAGGAGGAGGTGTTTTAAACTTAGTTCTGTGACCATTCCTTTCTCTGATTTTTTTTAAAAACAAATGTTGGCATGCATGGGTATGTGTACACACACACACACAAACACACACACACACACACACACTTAATATAAACCCAAACTCCCTAGACTGGTACCAAATTAAGTTGTCTCTCTTCTGAGCCACAAACCCTATTTCTTATTCCTTTTCTGAATGCAAACATTAGTGATGAAATCTCTCTTCCCCTAAGCTCTGCAGCCATCCTCTCTTGCAAACTCTAGATGTATATAGCCTCTCTATTCCCACTGATAAGATGCTACCATGTGTTTTGGTCACTTCTTGACTTAACAAATGTAACTGTTGTCCAGATGGCCTATCCTCCCTCTGTGCTTCTCAAGTCTAGTAAATATTAGAGACTGCTGCCAAGATTCTCTCTCCCTCTGGTCATTCTGAACCTAGTTCAAATCCCTACTGTTGCTTCGTAACAACAGTTACAAAATTCATTTTTTACAGAATTCAACATATCCTACATCTGAAATGAAAGCAAAATTCTCCCTCAAATGTGTTTGGTTACTTTTATTGTTCTGCTAAATGTTTACTTTGTTCATGTGTTTCTACTCCTTCCAACTTTTTTATTTCTCATTCTTTACCCACCACTTGGATTTTTCCATTCATGCTGCAATCATTTGAAAGTCCTTTCCACAACTCAGGTTGAAATTTAACTGCCATTGTGACAGTGCAGGAAGGTCAGACATTTAAGGGGTGATTAGGTAAAGGATTAATGCCATTATTACGGGAATGGGTTAGTAATCTCAGGAATGGATTTTTTATATATAAAAAAAGGATGAATTCAGCTTGATTTCCTCTCTCTGTCTCCACGTGCTCGCTTGCCCTTCTGCCATGTTATGATGCAGCACGAAGGTCCTCACCAGATGCTGGTGCCATGCGCTTTGACTTTCCAGCCTCCAGAATAATGAGCCAAATAAACTTCTATTGTTTAGAAATTACCCAGTCTCTGTTACTGTGTTGTAGCAGCAGAAAACAGACTAGGACACATGCTATAAACTTTTTTTTCCTCATCCAAAACTGTTCCTAAACCCCCATCTTAAAAGCTAATGAGGCTGGGCGCAGTGGCTCATGCCTGTAATCCCAGCACTTTGGGAGGCTGAGGCAGGCAGATCGCTTGAGGCCAGGAGTTTGATAGCAGCCTGGCCAACATGGTGAAACCATGTCTCTACTAAAAATAATAATAATAATAATACAAAAAAATTAGCCTGGTGTGGTGGTGCACGTCTGTAATTCCAGCTACTCAGGAGGCTGAGGCATGAGAATCACCTGAACTGGGGAGGCAGAGGTTGCAGTGAGCTGAGATTGCACCAGTATTCTCCAGCCTGGGTGACAGAGTGAGACTCTGTCATAAATAAATAAATAAATAAATAAATAAATAAATAAATAAATAGCTAATGATACCTAAATTGATATATCTATTCAAAGGATACTGTTGGAGCCTTTAAAAGAATAAAGCAGTTATTCTAGTGTAGAGAAATCACCCAGATATACCGTTAAAGACGACAAAAAAGTATGAAAAAGTGTGTTTAGTTTGACCCTTTTAATGCAAAAAAAAGTACATCTGTGTGTATATACGTACACACACACAAAGAAAGAGTCATATTTGCATATGTTTCTGCAAGGATACACAAGACTTTAAGTGTTTACCTTTGAGAAGAGGGACCTTTTTCTACTATTTGAATTTTCTAGCTATGTGCCTTAATTACTTTTTATTCTAATGTCATCAAGCATTATCTGGGCAGTAGGATGATGAGCAATTATTGCTTCTTTTTTATACTATTCAACATATTAATATCTAAGAAATCTTATATTTTAAAAATAAAAGTAATGATTTCCCCACTCCAGAGGCTTGAGCCTGGAAAGGATTGTTAGAAGAAGCCAACACAAACCCATCACAGCCCCTATGCTGAGTGCACTACTTATTTCAAAATGTCACAAGTCCTACATCATGTTCAGCACTGAGCTGGAAAAATAGAAATGCACTAGGGACAAGTGCACTGAGAACATAAAAATGAATCAAAGACAGCGCCTGTTCTCAAGGAGTTTCTGTATAAACAATGGAGTAATTTCTACAATCAAGGCGAGACAAGATGCTGGAGGAAACCTCTGTGGCACAGCAAGGACAGACTCAGAGGTAGTGACTTTCAGTTGGGCCCTGTTTCAGTAAGGGTGAGCCAGGCTATGCAGTAATAATAAATTGGCCCTGAAACCTCAGTGCCTAGCACTATCAAAGGTTATTTCTTGCTCCTATGAAGACTACTGCAACAGGCTGTGCAGGTCTCCATGTTTTCTGCCATATGAATCTCAGGACAGTCTGCCATTGGTAAAATGGTTAACAAGGTAAGTTGATCTTTGGGAGCCTTTCACACTTTCTTTCTTCTTCAGTACAATTTTTTCTTTCTCCTCA
This sequence comes from Homo sapiens, assembly GCF_000001405.40. Lineage (NCBI taxonomy): Eukaryota > Metazoa > Chordata > Mammalia > Primates > Hominidae > Homo > Homo sapiens. The sequence continues at coordinate 56,484,034 of NC_000018.10, forward strand.
CTATTGAAAAGCAGCATTCGTCACATCCCTTTTCTCCACCCAAGGAACCCAGCTCTCATACATTTGACTGATGAAGCCCCCTCCCTTATAATTGCACTTCCTCCCCCCATCCTTCAGACTCATCCAGTGCACCTTCCTAGAGGCAAAACTTACCTGAACTGTGTCTTGTTCTCAGCTATTTGAGGAGTGTGATACAACACACAAATGTAGAAACAAATGGATAAGAAACAGAGTCCCACTGGAAAAAAGCCTGCCAACATTAGGAATCAAATACAGAAAAAGTATTAATTAGAAGTGAATATCCACCCAGGGAGACTCATGCACCCTCTCTGAAACAGTTCCATGCTCCTCATTGTGACATTAGAGGCAAAGATCTGCAAACATGAAGGTGCTGTATTGAGCTAAAATGAAGCTGCGAGAATGCATCTTAGAAAACACTGACACCCACTGTGCTAATTCTCTATTGTACCCTCCATATCCATTCTCTTCCCTTCTCTAACCTGCTCTAGGTATAGAAAAGTTCTTTGTAGATTATAGCACTGGTCTCCCTTGCCATCTGGCTTCAACCAATGGGACTAACTAGCAGGTAATCAGAGGGCAGGAAAAGAGAAAGTTCATGGTATTCATTTCCTCAGGTTTTTCCCTGCCTTGCTGTGGCATGACAGTGGCTACAGTCCCCTATTTAATGCCACACTCTGGTCAAGTGGTCTCTTTCCCATGGCTACAACTCTCGTTAGGTTTGTTCCAGGAACAACCATCTCCTTTTATCTCATCAAGCCTAGATGTGGCAGCAGCTTCCCACTGTTGCTGGGACCTCATCATCTTTTGTTGGTTTCTGCAAACTTGTTCTCACCTATGTTGAATTATCCCTTCATTACACTCTTCAATTACCCCTTAAATGTGCCATCTGTCTCCTGCCAGTCTCCACCAAAGCTCAGCTCTTCAGCCTTCCTCAAGACAAGGGACTATACAAGAAACCCAGAGAAGCCAGGTCAGCCCTAACAAGCAGCCTCAAAACAAATTCCTCTACTGAAACCTTTGTCCACTATGAGTGGGAATTCTTAAATGGTGTATCAACTATGGAAAATAGTATGGTATTTCTTCAATAAATTAAACATAAAGCTGGGGGCAGTGGCTCATGCCTGTAATCTCAGCACTTTGGGAGGCTGAGGTGGGAAGATTGCTTGAGGCCAGAAGTTCAAAACCAGTTTGGTCAACATAGCAACACCTCATCTCTTAAAAAAATTAAACATAAAATTACCATAATTACCAGCAATTGCACATCTTTTCAAATAGGTATTTGTACACACATGTTCATAGCAGCATTATTTACAATAGCTAAGAGATGGAAGAAACCCTAGGATTTATTTATTTTTTTATTATACTTTAAGTTCTAGGGTACATGTGCACAACGTGCAGGTTTGATACATAGGTATACATGTGCCATGTTGGTTTGCTGCACCCCTCAACTCATCATTTACATTAGGTATTTCTCCTAATGCTATCCCTCCCCCAGCCTCCCACCCCACAACAGGCCCCGGTGTGTGATGTTCTCCACCCTGTGTCCAAGTGTTCTTATTGTTCAGTTCCCACCCATGAGTGAGAACATGTGGTGTTTTGTTTTCTGTCCTTGTGATAGTTTGCTGAGAATGATGGTTTCCAGCTTCATCCATGTCCCTGCAAAGGACATGAACTCATCCTTTTTTATGGCTGCATAGTATTCCATGGTCCCTAGAATTTATTGATGGATAAATGGATAAACAAAATGTGGTGTTTATACACTGGAATATTATTCAGCCTTTCAACATGAGTTTTGGAGTACATAATTGGAGTACATAATTTGGAGTACATAATTGACCATTTTAACCAGCATTTTTAAGTGGTATGGTTCAGTGATGTTATGGTTTGAATGTTTGTCCTGGGACATTCAAACCATAACATTCAAACAAAAAATTCAAACCACAACATCACTGAATCATACCATTTTCAAATGATGGTTAAAATGGTAAATTTTGTGTTATGTGTATTTTATCACAATTTAAAATAATTTCTAAAAATTCCTCTGCACCATGTTATAAATAAGCTTTCTTTAGCTAGAGCAAGTATCAAGCATGCTTAATTCAAACAATTCACTGCATCAGCCAGGACAGGAGGTGAACACATAAGCTCTCATACAAGCTTTCACCAGGACTGGAACCCAAACTGGACTACAATGTGTCATGCCAGGTAAGCCAGAAACCAACAACATGTTGAACTGCCAGAAACCCAAGAACATACCTATTCATACACAAGGCTCTGCCCCCAGGCAACAGAAAGATCTGATTTCCATGTTCTCCTCCAGCACCCTGGCTTTGAGGTTGAGCTCCATGTTCTCAAAACAAGGCAGTCTCTTTGCTTCTTCCTCTACCTGGGTGAAATAAAAGCCAGGGACAGCTGAACCGAAATGACTGGCTTTAAATTTTTTTTTAATGTTCTGTAGCCACCCTGGTTAATCCTTCATTTCCTGAAATATATGATCTCCCCTGTTCTTATCCTGAAGCTCATGCTGCCATCACTAGTAAAACTGGGACATTTGGAGCCTGACATATCTCATTACACAATATGCACAAAAGGTCCAGAGCAGAAGCAGTGTGAGCCCACACCTGGTCTTACTTCCTAGGGTGAAGCAGGGCTATAAATGCTCAGCTCTAGCTATTGGGAGAAACTCCCATTAGGCAGACAGTACAAAGACAAGCATTTGTCTCATGCAGTGAGTCTCAAAGTGTGGTCCCTAAGTCACAGCATAAGCATCACTTGGGAACTTATTAGAAATGGAACTTAATAGGCCTCGCCCTAGATCTACTGAATCAGAAATTCTGGGAGTGGGTCCCAGACATCTGTGTTTTAAAAAGGCCAAGTGGTTCTGATGCCCCCTTACTGTGGGTCTCAAACGTAAGTGCCAGTAGGAAGTGCAAATTCCCATGCCCAATACCAGAAGGACTGATTTAGTAAGTTAGAGGCATAGTTGAGGAACAGTGTTGGAGACCAGCAAGTTGTATAGAACAAGTCCAGCAAGAGAAGGTAGCTAGTAGACAGGCAAGCTTAGCAGTGAGGAATCAAGAGACAGACCTTATTCTGTAGACGTTAGGAAGGCTTGTAAGTAGTAACAGGGCTCTAGTCCCCAGCATGGGGAAAAATCCCAGAAATCCCACCACAAAGAGGTGGGATGGAGTCAGGGGGACGGGTGGAATGTTGAAGAGGAAAAATAGAAAAGATAAGGAAGACCTAGATAAGTCAAAGGGACTTAGAAAGGTTGTCAGGTCAGGCATACAGCCATGGAGGACAAGATAGAGATCCAGCCACCAAAACTGGAAACACAGTTCCCAAAATGTAGTCTGAAGACATATTAATTAACCCCAGAGCAGAAGAGTGAGCCAAGCCACCACAATGACAAATTCAAACTCCTCCTGAGTGAGCATGCTGGCCCTTGCCATGGGGAGGGGGTTGCCTGGCTCTACAGGTGGGATTCACCTGGAAAGAGAAGTGTGGAGACGGGGAGCGAGCACATCCTGAAAGAGACGGATGCCCGGGGAACTGATAAGTAACCAAGCTCCAACTTAGCGCTGGGAGTCTCACGAGGAATGTGTAGCAGTTTCTTTGCAGCCTTAACTAAAACACAAGTCGCTTATGTTCCTTTAAAACATTTTCACCAGGCAAAAAACCAAGGTAGTTAATCACACCCTTAATAAACAAGGTAAGTTATCATGCCTACACAGATACCCCTACTCACACCCAAACTGAGATTTTATATAGCATTAGCAAACATAAAATCTTCCAAGAGAAGTGGAGATTAGGCATGATGAGCGTTTTCATTCTCTCATTTTCCCCTCAGGTCTGCCTCCTTCTCTATATTCCAAGTCACAGTGGGGAATGCCAAGGCAAAAACAGTCTTGCTTCTCAAGTAAGCTCTTTCATGCAGATCGATTCTCCTTCCTCTCCCAGTGGTTGTTCTCAACTCCCACATCCTTCCAGATACCCTGAGTCCTAAAATAACCCTTGTTACATCATCACAAGTCAGTTATGTATGTAATACAAGAAGGTTTTTAGTATAATTTGATGAACTCTATTTTCATGGTTTCTTTTTAGAACTATTAAGTAATAGTAATGTAGCAATACCTTATGTATTATATACTGCACACACACACACACACACACACACACACACACACCACACACATATACACACAGAGGCCCCCTGCTGACCCTCACTGTACAGGAGGGGACTCCTAAAGTTGTGATGTCTTAACCTAAAGAGTCGGAGCTCCAACGGGAGGAGTTGGAAATACTTTCCCAGCCTAATTAGGTGTAGAACAGAGACACAGAGAGCCTTAGACGCCTTCAAATTTAGTTAAAAAGGAAGTCATTTTCTTTTTCAACTCTAAACTCCTGAATTTCAGAGCAGCTCTGTGAAAGCCTCCAGGCCCTATGCCTGTCAGGAAGGCTATTTGGGGTATTTATCCTTTGCCACACAAAATGATTGTCTCTGAGCCATCTTAGAGAGAAGAGAGGGAGTTGAAAAGTGTTTTCATCAAACAAACACCTCTTCATCTCAAAGAAAAACAGAAAATGCTAGCCTATGACATAGAAGTTGCATCACCGTAATAGATAGATCATGTTTCTGTGCTTCCAGAATTGTGGGGTTAATTTTGGTGAAAAATCCACTCCAAAAAGCATACCAAACACAGCATCACCAAGAAAGGGTTCCCTCCTAGGCAGCTAAACTCCTGGAACGCTCAAGACGTCTAGACTGAAGAGGCAACCAATAAGAGACCTCCCGTCCCTGCCATGCCCCAGGTTGTCTGCCTGGAGAAGCGGTGAGGGAGTGATAGCCATCAAGCCCAAATTGTTGTGCAACGTCCATGACAGCATGATCTTCACGCAGCATCTGTTCCTTCCTGTCAGTGAGTGCGGATGATGAACTACCAAGGACACTAACATCTGATTGCTACTTTTAAATATCTGGGATTGGCTTTGAGGACTTCTCCATTAAAAGTGGGAAAGGACTAACACCAAACCAAGCCCTGGGTAGATTGTGAAACAAGGGCAGATGTCTTGGCCTTTGACTGTCCTCTTATTGCCATCTCTTCTCCATCTTTTTCCTTGCCTCTACCCATCTATATACCACCTTCACCTCCCTTATCCAGGGACCTAGGGACCTTAGCATTACTCCATCCTCAAGCACTTCAAACATACACAGCACAAGTAATGGTTAAAATGGCAGAGAGTGGCGGTTAAGAGCAGTGACTGTGGAGCCAGAATGCCTGGGTTTAAATCCTGCTCCTCTGCCCACTGGTGCTTTGATGTTGGCAAAATCCTCTGTGCCCCCGTTGTCCCGTATTAAGCTACGGACAATCATAGTAATAGTATCCACTAGGGTTGTTGCAAGGATTTTAAAAGCTGACATTTTTAAACATGTGTAGTAAGCACTCTGTAAGTTCTTGCTAAATATATAGCAACATGTGTTATCAATCAAGAAGCACTAAGCTGGCACCTATCAGGTGCCTTATGGGGGAACAGGTGCTATGGAAGACATACCTGAGTGAGATTCTAATGCAGCCTAAGCGCGTGCCAGTCATGGAGCATTAAAATGGACACTCATTTCCTATAAAGATGGCAAGTTTCCTTCATCACCATCAGTGTCTTGGTCATGGATATTCATGCAAATTCTGTTTCTCTGCTTTGGTCCTGAGTCTTCACTGTTATTTCTCTTCCAGAACAGACCTCAGGTTCACTCTTCCCCCAAAGCCAATGAAGAAGACATTTCATCATCTAGGACAGGTATGGACTAGAGTTTGCAGGGTCAAGAAAGGGCAGAGTGTGACAAAGCATGCACACTCACAGCCATTCTCTTTCCAAACCCACCCTCTTCTCACCACCTCACCTCCAGTCACCTCTCCTGGCTTTTCATAACACCTCCTTTTTGCAAAGGGGCATTTCACCGAAAACTAAGCTTGAAGACAGAACTAACGTCAGCATGTCAACGCTCTGTGTGGAAGCTAGTTCCTCTATGTGCAAACCACAAACAGCAGATGGGTCTGAACACTTGCCATGTGTCTAGGCCAGACTAGGCCTTGCGGACATGGTGGTCACCAACCATTCTTCAGTGAGCTCTAGAAGACAAAAGGCCAGCTAAACCATGTGGAATCGCCTTGACAGGCTTGGGGACTTCAGAAGACAGAGGAATAAATAATAGTAGGGATAATCAGCACAATCCCTGTGTGAGAAATGGGCTTTAAAGCTTGCCTAGGATGGAGAAAACAGAGACCACCCTAAGAGTTAGGGACAGAATCTGGGTCACATTATGGATCATAGCATGTTTGTGGAAGAATAAGACCAGCCTACCCATGGTGGAGAATGAAAGTTAGGAAGGAGTGGGAAGACAAGATGGATCGAGAAGGTTGGCTTCAGTTTACAAAGGGCCTTTGAAAGTTCACGTTGGGAATCTAGATTTGATTTAGTACAAAATGAACAAGATATTTTTTTTTTCTACTAGCTCTCTTAGAAGCTAGATAAACATATTCCCTACCTGGGCCACTGGGAAAAGCTATTTCTCTAGTAGCTCCCATCCTCTCTTTTCTGCTCTCCCTACATTCATCCTACCAGGCCCATTGCCTCACCTGAACTGTTGTAAAAAGCTCTTAACTGGCTTCTCACCTGCACCCGCTGCTTGTTCCAATCCATCCCACATTAGGGTTGTCAGGTTCATCTCCCTGAATCCCAGCTCTCATCAAAAGCCTTCTGTAGCTTTGCACTGCCAATTAAATTGCACTCAACCCCTCATTCTTAAATTCAAGGCCATTCTGGCTCCAGTCTCAATTTGCTTTTCCCATCTTTTATCCTATTTCTTCATATGTAGTCAGGATAGATCAGACAGGGGCATTTTCCCATCTCAATCTACTTGACTACATGTGGTCCTCGCCCTGAAATCGTCTTCCTGGATGCAAAACTGAGCAGGACATAAAGCAACCTGAGATCATGGAGACAGGTACAGTCTAAGCAGAGAGTGGGGTGAAAGGGAGCCTCAGGCAGTAGCAAGGGGCTCTACTACCAGGTGTGTTTGTGTCCAGAAGGAGGCACTGGCAGCCTAGTAGTTTTGAATATGAACTTTGCAATCAAGTAAACTGGATTCATGCCCTAGATCCAGCATGCCATTGCTGTGAGACCTTACATAAATTACTCTAGCGTTCTAGGCTATAGTTCCCCCATCTAAAAAGTTAGGCTCATAATAGCATCTTCCTTGGAGGGTTGTTCTGAGGATTAAACGAGATAATATGCATAAGTACTTAGCATAGTGCTAGGCAAATAGCAATAGCTAAATAAGTGCTAGCATTGTTTGAAGCAGACTCACTGCAAAGTGATTGCAAACAGGCAGGTACATCTCTAGTTCCAAATATCTTCATATTTATCATTCCTCCTTTCTTCCCTCTTCCCAAAGTGAAGCCCCTCTGAGTTCTTTTAGGATCTTCTCTTCTTGCATCTTCAGTCTTCAGCTGTCCATTAGTATGCTCTTTTATTCCCCCGCAAACATCTTACCTCCTTGACCCTATCTAACCCCACACTTTCAAGGACTTTCCATACATGTTTTGTAGCACCTGAAATGTGCAGACTGAGTGAGGGAATGAGGTTTAGAGCTGCAGTTCGAAGGCGAAGGCAGGACGGAAGGTGTGGATGTGGAAGATGTTACCAGAAAACTGACATCATTAAAATAGATGAAGTTTCTGAAGAGAGAAAACACAGAAAGAGGAGTAGAAACTTGAGAAATGTGCACCAGGAACCAAGATGCCTGCGAGGAAAGACAGGTTTCTCCCACCTTTGGTCTTCTTGGTTCCTCTTAGCGCCCTCCACTCCCTTACATGTATTTGGCTGCTACCAAGGTACTGTTCTTGGCGCTCCTGTCCTCTCTCACTGTGCTCCTCTGGTCATCTCTCCTTCTGATATTTACCCAAATGTACAGCTTCATCCTGAAGTACCTGGCCTAGAAGTCTAACAGATACGTGGAACACACCCTCCAATATTGTGCCTTGAAATGCAGTGAAAGAAAAAAGAGAGGCAGTGAGTAGTGTCCAACTTAAAATGGTCTTTTAAAGCAACCTACAGAGCAAATCTAATTTTCTGTGAAGTTGCTCTATCTTCAAATGTCATGAAGATCCAACAGAACTCCAAATACAGTCTTTGGGTAGTGGATTGGATTAGACATTGTGTATTTCTTCTATTTGTAAAATGAGCTCCATGCAACCCCAAAAGAGGAAGAGAGTCAGCAATAACCTATTGTGGCTGGATTGCATGGGCAAAAGAGCAAAGCCAAATATGGCAATCTCACCAATGTGCCCAGCCCTCAGATCTCTTATAGCCCAATACTTTGTGATATCTACTTTTTAAAACTGAGGCTATGCATGCATATTTACAGTAAAGTATATTGATCTAAAGAATACCAACTGATAAATTTTTGTGTATGAATACATCTGTGTGGCTACCACACAAATTAAGATACAGAATAATTTCAGCCCCCCAGGAAGTTCCCACATGCCCTTTCCCAGTCAATACTGCTCTCCTGTCTGCCAAGTAACCACTCTTGTGACTTTTATCATCACTGATTACTTTTGTCTACTCAAGATCACTTAAATTGAACCATACAGTATGCACTCATTTGTTTCTAGCTTTTTTCACTCAAAATAATATCAATTCATCTGTATTTTTGTGTGTGTCAGGAGTTTGTTCTTTTTACTGCTGTGTAGTATTTTGTTGTATGAATACCACAATTTATTCATCCATTCTCCTGTTGATGGACATCTGGATTGTTTCCAGTCATTTGTTATTGAGAGTAAAGCTACTAAGAACATTCTTATACATGTTATGTGTTGTTATGCATGCACTTGTTTCTCTGGTGTATATATCCAGGAGTGAAATTGCTGGGTCATAGGGTAGGCATATATTTGCCATTATCAGATATTGCCAAATGTAGTCCAAAGCAGCCATACTATTTTATATTCCCACCAGTAGTGTCTGAGAATTCCAGTCATTCCACACATCCATTATGGCCAAATCTTACTCCAACTAACTCCATTTACAGCAAAAGATTTTATGGCTTTTTTGTCCTATGAATTTCAGAATAAGTTTTTCTTTCAAATGTCATCTCTATTCTAAAAGGAGGACATTATTACACGAACATCTCATTTCATCCACCAAAGAGAAAGAAGTTATTTTTTTCCCACTGCTTCAATTCTACAAAGATCTCTTACTAACAGGCATGTACCCATAAAGAAAAATAAACAGAAATATAAATTGGTAAAGTAAAAACCTGACTTACAAAACTCCTGGCTTAGGAAATTGTTTTAATTTGGTACACATCACTGAGACCATCCACTTACCTATCTTAGTTAAATAACGCCATTTGGCAAATAGCAATTGTCTCAGAAGATATCATCACTCATATAAGAGCAGACATCTAGCCAATGTGCCAGAGGAAGGACTAGCAAGTCTGGTTCTCAAACTGCCCTGTAAGACACCCCCATGTGGATTTCGGCATAAGTGGGCTTTTCGTTGTCATTAGGAGTTTTCCTCCCCCTGGCTGTTCAGAAGTTTCGATGAAATTTTTGTGATGTTTCTAATGAAAGATGGTATTTGCTTACCCACCATTGAAGGTATTTCCTCGGCAGGAATGCTGTCGAACATGTTGCATTCACAACATGACACAAAGTATAAAAATCACAGAGAGACTAATTACTGGAAGAAAATTACACCAAAAGACCTATTTCCTCATGATAAAAATGACAGCCTGGTGCCCCGTTACCTGGCCTTTTCAGGCAACTAGCCTGTGCAACATGGTTCTAGTGCTTTGCATTACAAACCATGGTAGAGGAAGGAAGCACTTCGGTCCTGTAAGCAGCTCAGTGAGAAATCAAGGTGAGCTGTCAGTTAAGTGAGGTATAATTATAAGTCTCATTTCCAGTATTTATGAATGTGACAGACAGTAACCGGGGCTTACAGGCGGCTATACATGGGACCATTGAGTAAGTCCTTCTCTCTTTATACCAACATCTGAATTATCTTGAAGCTTTGACATTTAGGGCCGACAGCCCAGGCCTGGCCCAGCCAAAACTGTGAAGTGAGGCCCACCCCTCTTTGCTCACTGTGCTTTGTCTGTTCTCATCACCCACCTCATACTAAAATGGTCTGTTCCTACCCCCATCAAAAACCTGTTTAAAGAGATAGAAAGTAGTCTTTTTCCTCCTTAAGATCCTAAATCACTTCAAATCATTTCTCTTCCAATCAAAGGTCACATGTTGTATTATTCCATTTATATGAAATGTCCAGAATAGGAAAATGAACAGAGGCAGAAAGTAGATTAGTGTTTGCCTGGCACGGGGAGGGTCGAAGGGAAAAAGGGTGACTGCTAATGGGAATGAGGTTTCTCTTTAGCTGGTGAAAGTATTCTAAAAAATATTGTGGTAATGGTCACACACATCTGCAAATATACCAAAAACTACTGGATTGTACATTTAAAGTGGGTAAATTGCATGGCATATGAAGTAAATATCAATAATGCTGATTTAAAAAAAAAAAAAACACTTAAAAAAATCTGTGGGTTTTTTTCCCAATGCAGAAAATTGCAAGCATCCAAGAATAGGTAAGAAATTTGGGAAGTAGAGAGTGAGCAGGGAAGAACAGAAACCCTTCCTGTTCCCCTGAAATCACCCCATAGGTCAATACTGCTAATTATGTTAGAAGAGGGGAATCCTGCTTGATATTAATCAATGCCGTTCATACTTTTTAAAGCCATGACTGTTTTGATCAATATAAATGTCTTATGACTTCTTCTGAGAAATTTGAAAGTCCAAAATAAGTTAAATGTTATGATTACAGGTGAGTCAAAGAAATTATAGCACAGTCTCTCAGAGACAATGCTGTACTCTCTTCACTCATTCAGAATCATGAGACAGATTAAGCACTGAATTACGTTCCTAAAACATGTAACTTTCTCTTTATATCATATTATGTCAGAGCTGGAAGACACTGTAGGATGCTCCCTTTATCTTTAAAGATACTAATCTGCCAGACGTGCATATGAACTTAGGGTTCAGACTAAACAAGAGGAGGAAAGGGGCCTTGAATATGGTTGGGAAGGGCCAGAGGGAAGAATGGATACTGGCAGTTGTCAAAGGGAAAGAATAGAAACTACTGGGGATTACTTGCTGGTAGAAGAGCAAATTTGAAAAGAAAGGGGTCTGTAAGTAGAGGCAGAGATTCAAGCTCGGATACGACCATTCCCTCCGATATTATTCATTGAGAATATATCACTCAAGCACACCCTACCCTTCTGGGAGGACATGGAATTTTACATTGTCTGTAATTGATGGTATTACAAAATTGTTATTTTTATAGGTATGATAATTCCAGTGTAGTTATGCTTTTTAAAAGAGCCTTACCTTTTAGAAATGCATACAAAAATATTTATAAATGAGAATACTAAATATATGGGATTTGTTCAAATAAATCCAAATAACTTCCCCTATAAGAAGCAGGAGGGTATATAGGTTAAAGAAGATTGGGCATGAGCTAATAATTGTGGATTCTGGGTGGTGGGTACAGGGAATCCATTATATCATTCTGTATACTTAGATATATGTTTGAAATTGTCATAATAAAAGAAGTTCTCAACCACATGGAGTATCTGAGACAGGATTTCTTCTCCTGCCTTAGAAAACCAAAAAAAAATAAATATATGAAACAATTCTTTTCAGACATTGAGTAACAAGCAGTGTATGGAGAAAAATGAAGTGAGCCCTACAATTGCCCCAGCTCATTGCCGGGAGACAGTGTCCATGTGGTAGTACAGAAAGGAGGAACCCAAATGAAGCTCAGCATTCTCACTACAAGGTGGAGACAAAGATTGGAGCTGAGGGAGGCCAAGGTCTGTAGAATGTACAGGATAGAGTACTGCAGAAGAGAGAGCCACACAGAGAGCGACAGCATGCTCCAGAAATCTGAAAAGCTGTCCCTTGGCTGCGCATGCGTGAGGGGAAACTATAGAAGGTCAGTGAAAGAAACACTGGAAAGCAGTAGGTTGAAGAACTCCTGAAGCTCACATGGGGCTTGGTATTATTTGTGCTTCCAGCAACCAGACTGTGGAATACACAGAACATAAGGTAGAGTGTTCAGAAAGATTTTGCCTTAGTAAGGAAGCTAAATTGATCCTAAACTAAAGGCAGATTCAAATCTAACCAGTCCTTGAAAGGATCAGATGGATTTTAAGTATTCCCTTTAGGACTAGTGTTCCATTATTGGAATGCTAAGCATGTGGGAATTATTTACATTCTACTGCTCAAGGTCATCACCAAGGTTTGATTGTAAAAATTCAAAAAATTGCAATCTCAGGCATAAATGGGTTAACTAGGTGCCACAATAAATCCAACACGTTTTTTAAAAATACAACAAAACCCAGGATCCAGCAAAGTAAAACTCACAATGTCCATCACCTAATCAAAAATTACCAGAGATGCAAGGAAGCAGGAAAATATGACCATATCCAGGAGAAAAGTCAGTCGCTAGTAACAGAGCAAGAAATGACAGAGATGATGTAATCAAGGGACAAACATGTTAAAATAGGTATTGTAAGTATGCTCCAAATGTTTAGGAAGGTAGAAGAAAATATGAATAGAATGAGGAGAGAAATAGAAGGTGTAAAAAGAATCAAAGGAACTTCTTGAGATGAAAGCTAAGTATCTGAAAATTTTAAATAATACACTAGATTGGAAAATTACTGAAGAAATTATCAGTAAACTGGAGATATAACAAGAGAAACTATCCAAAATGAAGCACAGAGGGGGAAAAAAGACTGAAAAAAACTGAACAGCGTATCATTGACCTGTGGGAAAATTTCAAACGGTCCAACGGAGTTCCAGAAAAAAAGAGGGTGAAAGATAAAAAATATTTAAAGAAATAATGGCACAAATTTTTCCAAATTTGATATAAACAATAAACTCACAAATCCAAGAAGCTCAACAAACCCCAAGGAGAGTGAACATGAAGAAAACCACACCAAAATCTCACCAAAATAAATTGCAGAAATCCAGGGGTAAAAAGAAAATCTTAAAAGAAGCCAAATTAAAAAGACACATTACATACACAGGAATAAAAATAAGAATTACAGCAGATTCCCGCCAAAATCCATGCCAGCCAGAAGGCAATCTAGCAACATATTTAAAATACTATACTGAAAGAAAAAAAAAAAACCTGTCAATACCCCAAAAATATATTTCAAAAATGAAGGTGAAATGAAGGCTTTTTCAGACTAACCAAAACTGAGAGAATTTATCACAAGCATCCCTGCCTTACATGAATTTTAAAGAAAGTTCTTTAGGCAGAAGAAAAATGATACCAGATAAATACCAGATGGAAATTTGGATCCACGCAAATAAACAAAAAGCGCCACAAGTGCTGTTGTTATTCCCCCCTCAGATTCACTCCTTCCTCTTTGTCTCTGATACCTACTCCCTCTATCTGCAAGGCCACTCCTCCCTCCGTGAAACTCCTGCTCATGATCTCGAAATGGCTTAAATGATAGTTTCTCAGCAAAGCCTCCCTTACGTTGGTGACAGGACTCCCTCTTACTTATCACTGGGAGTAGCACAATCACTGTTGAATGAATTAAGTTTGGATGGATGGGATCCTGAATGGAACATGTGCAAGAGCAAGTATCTGTCCATAGTCACTCTTCATTCATTTCTTCACTCACCCATGTAATATTTTATGCAATGACCTATAATTCATCAAGAAAAGAGAAAGATGATCTGTATTCCACACATGAAGAACAAACTGGCATTTTCAGCAATTCTCCAGTGATACAAACCATAAACTCATTGAGTGCATACTTTGTACTATTTAACACAGAACTGCACAGCAATGAGGCTCACTGAGAAGTGGATGAGGTTAATGGAGAAAATGGAGTCAAAGTAAGTAAAAATCTGCTCCTTTGTTATAGTCAAGTTGAATAAAACACATATGTTTTCATATGAAGTTGAATGCTCTCTTTTAACTCTCTATTTTATCTACAATTGTGGGTTTAGTTTGTATCCAGGTTAAAGCTTTAACCCACTATTTTATTCCTTTATTTTAAAATAACAGAAATATTATGAGGTTAAAAAAAGCATGAAGTTCAAATCATATCTCTACACTATTTATAAACTTGCTTCTCATTTCCTTTGCTCTATTTTTCGCTTAAAATATTTGTCCAAGTAATTAACACCCTATTTATTTAAATATGTAATGACTACATTTACTTTTGGCCAGTTCATGAGAATCTCAGAAATAAAATACTAGGCAAAAATTGCTAGTTAACATTTAAAAGAATTTTAATTTCCATGTTTAAAAAATGGAGATTATAACCTACTTAAGAGTTTGCTAGTAGTTATTGGAAATAGCTTTTTCTATTTTTTTTAGAAAGAATTTCTTACATACAACCCCTATCTATTCTAAGTCAGTTTCTTTTTGAAAGCAGAAAGCCAATCTTTATTTTTAAATCTTTTTCTCTTTATACATTAAGCAGTATTGCTGTCACATACAAATATTCAAATGAAATGCTTTGCTATTTTTAATAGCTTTCAGATTATTAACTATTTTAATAATAACGTATTTGGTTTGTAGCAATGAAAGCTTCAATGGGGCAGGAACTTTTGTCTGCTTTTATTGTTCTTGTTATTGTTGACTACTGAATCCCTAGAGCCTACACAAGGATTTGGCACAGAGTGAAAGTTCCATAAAAGCTGGAGGAATGAATGAATGAATGAATGAATGGTGTCCAGCCTGTGGCAGCCACAGAATCTTTCCTGGGGCCCCTGTTGGGCCACCAGCCTTTGGAGTTGTGCTTGGAAGCAATCTCTGGCCATCTGTTCTCCCTCATTCTGTCCACCTGATCTTTCTGTGTACAATATGTTAATTTATTTGATGATATTATCTATCTTTGTGTAATCATTTACAAATAAACCCCAAAGGTTTCTGAGGGGGGAAAATATTGCAGTCTCTCACATATTGCTAAGAGACTTCACATACTCATTGGGCGCTCATATTTCCCCACGACTTTCAAAACAGTCACATTTCACACCACCGTTGATTCTGCACTCAAATCCCATCCCAGGTTTGGGGTACTGCTTCTGGTTTGTTCTTGGAGGGCTTACCTTGAGAGTAACCCACAGCCAGATGACGGTCCAAACTGAAGCTTCCCAGGCCAAACCTGAACCCAGTCTAAACTCTAGAAATGCAGGTTGGGGGTATCTAGCTAACCAAATCCAGTGCTTTTTTGTAAAATCTGGGTGGCTCACTGATCTGCCAGGATCAGAGAAGTTCCACAGACAGGGAAATTTCCCTGAGTCAGGATAAATGCCTCATAACCTCAAAATACACTAATCTCAATCCCAAATTCTCTCATGCAGGACCTTGCTAGACATTGAACCACAATGAGACTTGTCAGAGACTCTCTACGGGAAACGGCCACAGGATTTCTCACATTGTGGCTTACATCTGTAAGCATCGAGAAACCCTGAACATAGAAAGGATGTGTGAATAGCCTATTACGACAAGAATCTAGAAGACACAAATGGGTAGGAGTGAAGCAGTGTCTTCTTAAATGTCTGTAAGACAGAATACCAACATTGTTTGAAACACTTTTCAAAGCTGCCTTTGATGTCACTTCACTAAATGGTTGTTCCAAACACTGTTCATGTTTTTAGTGTGATCATGCAACAAAAAATAAACTCATTTCAACAAGGCTATTTGGTTCAGGGGAGTCAAAGAGCTCTGGTCAAAGAAGATCCCTTTGGCTGTGGTTGCTAAAATTCAGCCGTTTTATCGGAAAATATTTCCAAACTGTAAATAAAATAAACTTTTGAATAAGACACTTAAAGCCTCTATAATTTTAAAAAGTATCCTCCCATCTTTTAAATGCATTGCTCAGAGGAAATGTGAACATGCATCTTTTAGGGTTTTCAAAGCATTGGCCAGAGCCCCGTAGCATTTTAAGGAGAAAGAGCTCTTTCTATTACTCTGTTATAAACACTTTTTTTTTTTTTTTTTTTTTTTGAGACAGTGTCTTGATCTGACGCCCAGGCTGGAGTGCAGTGGTGCAATCTCGGCTTACTGCAAGCTCTGCCTCCCGGGTTCGAGCCATTCTCCTGCCTCAGCCTCCTAAGTAGCTGGGACTAGAGGCCCCCGCCACAATACCCAGCTGATTTTTTGTATTTTTAGAAGAGACGGGGTTTCACCATGTTAGCCAGGATGGTCTCGATCTCCTGACCTCATGATCCACCCGCCTCGGCCTCCCAAAGTGCTGGGATTACAGGCGTGAGCCACCGCGCCCAGCCTTAAACTGTTTAGATTTATTTATTTATTTATTTATTTTTTTGAGACGGAGTTTTGCTCTTGTTGCCCAGGCTGGAGTGCAATGGCACAATCTCGGCTCACTGCAACCTCTGCCCCCTGGGTTCAAGCGATTCTCCTGCCTCAGCCTTCCAAGTAGCTGGGATTACACTCATGCACCACCACGCCCAGCTAATTTTGTATTTTTTTAGTAAACACTTTTTATCATGTTTCCAAATCAATTGAATGCCGTATTTTTATAAACTTCCCTTAAAAGACAAAAAACTGGGTGTTATATATTCATATAGTGTGTATTTCACATTATACATTTAGCTGAAATCTACAGTGAATTTCAGCTAAATGAATATAAGGTGAAAGTCACAGGAAGTTGTCAAAAATAATGACTATTATTTTATTCCAAAATTTACTTGCCTAAATGCTTAAAAAATATGCCTTTTTAATGATAAAATTCCCACAAAAAAGTGCATAGCATGAGAGTCTAAATCCACTTTCCAGACTTGCTTCCCCTGTAATATCTGTAATAGAACAATCCTGAATTAGCTGCTACTTTCCATAATTCTTGTCAGCAAAATCTATCAGTAGTTCTAACTCTGATTATACATGCTGGTAATGTAATTAAATGTGTTTTAAGCCTATCTCTGATGTCACAGTTTCAAATATAGCCACATAAATTTTAGCTATGAGTATTTCATACATAATTTATATATACAAATGTGTTTGCATGTGTACCTGGATTAAGTATAATAAATGTAAATTATATAATTTATATCTATATATGTTTAACTGTGTTTAGTTTCAATCAGACAATGGTTTGATATATATTTTTAATGAGGGAAAATCCTACTGCAATATTAAGATTTTGTGTTTTGCAGACTTCATTTCTTAGTATTTTTTTAATTAAAAAGACAAATACATTTCAATGTTCTTTTTAGTAAATGTTATGCTTCCTTTTCCAAAACAACCTTAAGTTTATAAATAAGAGTTAATGAATCCAAGAACCATGTTATTTCATGAGCTTGTGAACAAACAATTTAAAGTCAAACTAGAATTCTTTCCAAGTTGGATTTTCACATGATACAGTTTATAAACAAGTTTTGTGGGGTAGAGAGGCTGGTTTTGTCTTGTTTTGTTTTTCTTTATTTTTAAAAACAAAATTCAAATCCTGCCTTTGTAATGACTTAACTAACTGGATTTCTAACCCATCCCATAAATGGATGTGTGCTAAACTTGGGGGTTGCTCATGCCACCGAATCCTCACCCTGCACTTGTTTGGCTGTCTGAGAGCATTCTAGACGGGCACATAAAGGGTTTCCAGCGTCACATGATGCTCCCTTCATTGAAGAAGAAGGGAGCCTGCATGGCATCCACTCCGGACACCTCCATCAGAAATTGAGCCTGAGAGAAGTCACACTAACCTTGGACTCCACCACGCTGTAAATTGTCTCTTTTGTGATTGTGACAGACACTCCCCCAGATTCTCTCTTCCATACGATCACTTTATCCTTTCTTTCTCTGCTGCCAAACAGAGTGGAGTTCCCGGAGTTTTGACACCTTGTAAAGACATTCCAGTGGATTCTAGCACACCCAAACAGATGGTGTGAAAGGAATACAGGGGAAGAAAATGGAGACCTCTGCCAGATTCTCATGTATTCTAGGTAACATGGTGTTCCAGGAGAAGAAAAAATATATAAAAAGGAACTGATATCATTGTTACTGCCTGCTTTCTGAGCCAAGCCACCATGCTTCTGCCAAAGATAACAACGTCTTTAAGATAGCTACAAAAACTCCTAACATTATGTGAGGTAAAAGAGCTAGACCTATGAGGGGATATAAAACAATAATCTTTATTATTGTTATACTGTGTTACACTGACATTTACATAAAACAGAATTTTTTTATTTTAACAAGGAATGACATCCAGATCAAAATAACATCTCTACTTCTTTTCCTTGTCCAGTGTGTTGGAAATCTCTGCTTAGCTTCCTCTCTGTAGCTAGCACAGACTTCCACAGATGAAGGCTAGAAACATGGGAACTAAGTATGTGAAATAAACATTAAAGAGCAATTAAATGTTTTTCTTCCCAGATACAACCAAATGTTTAAAACATATATATATATATATGCACAGATAAGCACATGAAAAGACATTTAATGTCATTAGATGTTAGAGAAATGCAAATTAAATCTGCAGTTCCATAGCGCTACACACCTCTCAGAATGTCTAAAATAGAAAATGTGATAACACCAAATGCTGGTGAAGATATGAAGAAACTGGACCTCTCTTACATGGCCAGCGGGATGTAAAATGGAAACGGTTTAAAACTTTGGAAAACAGTTTGGCAGTTTCTTTGAAAACTAATCATGTAACATGTATACAAAGCAGCAATTATGCTCCTAGGCATTTATCCCAGGGAAATTAAAGCTTATGTTCAGATAAAAATCTGTAAACAAATGTTTATAGCAGCTTTATTAATAATAACCAAATCCTGGAAACAACCAGATGTCTGGTCAATGGGAGGTGCAAACTGTAGTTAAACAAACCATAGTATGTCCACACCATGGCAGGGAAGTTGGTGTGGCTATAAAACGGCAACAGGAGGAATCCTCCTGGTAATGGATGTGTCCTGAATCTTGACTGTATCAATGTCAATATCCTGGCTGTGATATTGTACCATAGTTTCGCAAGATGTTACCATTGGGGGAGACTGGTTAAAGGGTATATCAAATCTCCCTGTATTACTTCTTACAACTGCATATGAATCTATAAGTATCTCAAAATTAAGTTTAATTCAAATGTAACTTCTGTTAAAATTTAGATTTTTTAAATCTATGCCAAGATGCTGTTACGCCTATGGACTGAATTGTGTCCCTCCAAAATTGATATGTTGAAGCCCTAACTCTCGATGAGACTGTATCCAGAGATAGGGTCTTTAGGATGTAATTCAAGTTAAATGAGGTTATAAAGAGGCAGCTTTAATCCAATAGGATGGTGTCCTTGTTGCCAGAGGGAGAGCCCTCACCAAAAACCAACCGCACTGGACTTTGATCTGGTACTTTTAGTTCTACAACTGTGAGAAAACAAATTTCTGTTGTTTAAGCCACCCAGTCTGTGGTATTTTGTTATGGTAGCCCAAGCTAAAACAGACACAAAGGAAAACATGGATATTTTGAAAAGATAAATTTGAAGACCGTAGTGATCCAAACAGGTTTTTTTTAAGCATTCACATTAAAATAAATTATGGAGTGTGTGGGGGGGTGGGGGGGGCGGGTTGTTTGTGTGTGTACACACATATATATTACATATAGACTATTTAAATTCAATGAAGAAAGTAGCTGCGTCTTGCCATGTCTTCATCAACCTACTCAAAAGCTCTAGATCAGAAAAAGGAAATTATGGGTGCTCTATCAAGGACATTATAATGAAAAGATGATACAGATAGCATTAAAGCAGTGATATGCAACCGGGCTGTGCGAAGACGCAATTATTTAAGTGCCATTCCCTGGTCATAAATGTGACTTTTCTAGGGGTTTTTCACTCTCTCATCCAATGTCCCTTGGGTACGGAGACATAAATTATTGCATGGCTAACCAAAATCAAATTATGGAATATAATTTAGAGCTGGTATATGATCCACATAGATATAAAACCCATGCCCTTCACCTGATTGCCTTTCTGCTTGTCAGACATGCACATTTCATATTGAGAGACTTGAAAGACATATGATGAACCACATTCTTGCAAGTCCTTTGGTTCTTGAAATCCTCATGCAGATACTCATGCCCATATCCAATTTGCTACTCCTCACCTTTTCCCCAACTCTGGCTCTTCTTGATCTGCCCCTTTCCTTCTCCTATGTTCTTTTCCTCAGCTTCTCGCTAACCCCAAAGTTCTCTACTGACTCGTTCTCATCCCTCATCTTCTATACACAGGTGCTGCCTCCTATCCCACTCAATTGCCCCTGCTCCACCATGTTTTCTCTTCCTTGTATTTGTATCTCCTTACTCCATCGTTACATAATCCAGATCTCAGCCATACACAGGCTTAGTTAGAGAGGAAATTAACTGTTTCTTAAATAAACTCTACAAAATTTCATTAACGAGACTGTTTTTTTTTCTTTTGAATGACACATGACATTCCCCTCAATTCTCTAGAACACTTTTTACTCTGGGACTTTGGCCCAGAAAGGGTGGATGGGGACACACATCCAACAGCCTCCTGCCTTACATCTGTCTCCCTTCTCCTTTCTAAGCATCCCTCTACCTCTTTTTGTCTTGCTTAGACCTCTCTTATGTAAAACTTCATGGTTTTAAGCCTCTAACATAAGCATTATACCATACATTTTGGTTAGAAATACACAATACACACACACACACACACACACAACAGCAGCTGCAGCAAACTTATTTTCAGATAAAATCAATCAGTGATGATCATCTTGCACTACGACTGCTCCAAATTTCTGCCCCAACACACATTCCACGTATTCTAGGGTATGAAAAACCTATAGAACTTGGGGAGGTAGGGTGTGTCATGTAGGAGCCACAGTCAAATCAGTCACACCATTTCCACTAGAAAAAGCCACTCCTGTGTGATTACTCCCCTAACCATCAGCTTCAGGCCTTTGGCCTAGTCTTCAGTGGACAGAACCAAGCCAAAGGAAAGGAAAAATAATAATCTGGCATTTAGCACAACCTCTTTGGCACTGCAATGCCCACTACATCACCGATTTTATGTATTTATTTTCTGTTTCTCATTCAAATCCATTTTATAGCCTTCATGACAAAACACTCCAAACCAGATTCTTTTAGGAAACAAAATGACTGATAAATCATTGAAAACATTAAAATTAGAAAACTAGACCACCTCTGCAACTAAACAATTTGTGTTTTTCACCCTGAGTCACTTTACCTGGAAAAGTAACTTGCACTATTCACCTGAGGTCAAAGAAAAGCGATGCATTCATGACCTACAGGATGCATAGTAAAGTTGAAAATCAATGACAAAATCTTTCCAGCCCTGGGCTCTCCTAAAAAGAAAATCAGTCCCTGAGTGCTTAGACCACAGGCAGCCCTCACTAGTCAACTGTGAAATATGTTTTCTGTGTGGTTCTGAGAACCCAGTGTAGGAGCAATAGACTACTAGACAAGAGAGGTACTGATAAAATATCTCAACAATAAGAAATGATGTTGGCCGGGCATAGCGGCTCATGCCTGTAGTCCTAGCCCTTTGGGAGGCTGATGCAGGAGGACTGCTTTAGTCCAGGAGTTGAAGACCAGCCTGGGCAACATAGTGAGACCCTGTCTCTACAAAAAATTTTAAAACTAGCTAGGCATGGTGGTGCACTCCTTTATTCCCTGCACTTAGGAAGCAGAAGTGGGAGGATGGCTCATTTGTGGCCAGGAAGTTGAGGTGGCAGTGAACCAGGATCACACCACTGCACTCCAGCCTGGGCATCAAAGAGAGACCCTGCCAAAAAAAAAAGAAAGTTGATGGTTGATGTCAGGATTTACAATTGCATGTGGGAAATCTAAGAAATTTGTTTGCCTATAAATGCCTAAAGGTTAATGTTTTAGTAATTTATTGTTGTTTAATAAATCTAATGGCTTAAAATAACAATTCATTAATCTCAAAATTTTGTGGGTTGGCTGAGTTCAGCTGAGTAGTTCTTCTGATCCACAATGTGTAGGCTGAGGTCACCCATGTGACCTCATGTGGTGGCATTCAGCTGGGAGCTGAGCTGAATTTGGAGAGTCCAAGATGACTGCTCATCTTCCAGGACCTCTTTCCTGTGACCTCTCATAATTTCATAATTGAGCACAGCTTCTTTATCTGGCAACTGAAGTGAGAGAGAGAGGCTGGAGTCAAGGTAAAAACTGACAGGACCATAACTGACCAGGTGTCACTTTTGCTGCAGTCTGTTGGTCAAAGCAAGTCAAGGCCAGATTAGATTAGAGTGAGGCAGAAGAATAGGATCTGGAGGCAGGGAACCTAAGGCCAATTCATGCTGACTTCCTAGAACTAAATCAAAAGGAAAACCCCAACTTTCCATGCCCACATGACAAAAGGACCAGAGGCTACTCCCTTTGCACCTCCCCTCCTTTTTTGCCTGGGAGATGAAAAATTGAGAGTACCTCTGACTGGTTCCCTCCTGCAACCAATCAGGCTGTTTGCAGGCCAAGTCTTCATTTGCATAGGAGTATAACTCTGTAACTTCACTTCAGCCTCTGATTGGTCACTTTCTGCAAGCAATCAAACGTTTGCATAGGATGTAACTTTATAACTTCACTTCAACCTCTGATTGACTACATTCTGCAACCAATCAGACTGATCGTGGGCCACTACTTCATTTACATAGGGTGTACACTAAGTAACCAATGGGAAACCTCTACTGGTATTTAAACCCCAGAAAATTCAGTGAGCTGCTTGCTCGGCCCACTCCCACCCTGTGGAGTGTGCTTTTGTTTTCAATAAATCTCTGCTTTTGTTGCTTCGTTCTTTCTTTGCTTTGTGCGTTTTGTCCAATTCTTTGTTTAAGACGCCAAGAACCTGGACACCTTCCACTGGTAACAAGAGGGGAGAGGAAATAGACTCCACTTCTTGAAGGGAGGAGTAACATACATGTTCATAGAACAGAGAAACTATTGGCTACCATGTTTGGAGATAATCTGTCACAAATAGGCAGGAGGAATACAGACTACTTCTGCAATAAGTGTACCATATTAAAAACTGGGGTGGTTTTAAATGATCTTGAAGTCTGAGCAACATAGAAAGACCCCATCTCTACAAAAAAATTATTTAAAATTAGTCAAGCATAGTGGCACACACCTGTAGTCCTAGCTACTTAGGAGGCTAAGTGGGAGGATCACCTGAGCCCAGGAATTTGAGGCTGCAGTGAGCCAGGATCATGTCACTGCACTCCAGCCTGGGCAACAGAGCAAGACCCTGTCTCTAAAAACTAAAAATAAATAATCTTGAAAATGTTCAGAAGCCAATAAAAATAACAATGCTTATTTTTTGCGAACAATACTATTATATATTTTCCCTAGGACTGTTAATAAGACCCACTTATTAACTTATCAGTGAGTCCTAAAATTTCTAGGATTAGAGTCATTCCTTTGGGTTATTTCACCTTCACAACTCCTGCCTGAAAATGCAAATGCCTCTGGCATTGATCTGGGACCAACCACTAAGGCCCTTGGGAGAATTTGAGATTAGAAGCTAAGTCTGTGAGAGGTCTTTAAGGCAGTGCTTTTAGTCCACAATCCATGGTTGGGCTTTGGGCATCTGAAAATCCTTGAAATCACTTTCAAAATGTTGTGGTTCAATGTGCATTTTTCATCAGTTTCTTAACTGATACCAAAAAGGTTAAAACTTGCTATTCTAAGGGTGTAATTACTAGTAAATCTCACTAGAGAAAAGGCAAAGCTAACATCATTCTCTTTAGTAGAACTGAGTATGTAGAACTCTAGTGTTCCTTAATCGTTTGATATTCGTTACCTTTGTCTCTCTCCTATTAGATCTCAGCACATGGAAGGAAAAACCTTCTCTTTATATTTGCATCCCACAGTGGGGAGAATCATTCAGAGTCTTCAACATACACCCCGTCTAGGTCTTCAATCATGTTCCTTAGAACCCTTCTGGGGCTAATGGGGTCGAGGATGGAGCATAAGATGAAGGAGAGCCCCAGGAGGTAAGTATTTTTCCCATTCAAACAGAGCAACACCACTTTGACTCTTGATCTTACTATTCTTATGTATAAGTTTTCCTTTAAAGAATGAATCTTGAGGCTAAAAGTAAAGTTTGAGAACTACTAACAAGTTCGACTCCCTTATTTTTCCAAGTGATAAAATGGATTTAAATGTTTTGCTCAAAGTCTGGAGTCAGGGCTACACTGGAACTATAGTTTCTGTTTTCAGATGCTTCATTACACAGTTTTCCCCCTGCCACCTTCCACTAGAGGCCTGATATGGTTTAGCTGTTTTGCCACCTAAATCACATCTTGAATTGTAGTTCCCATTATCCACATGTGTCACAGGAGGGACCCAGTGGGAGGTAATTGAATCATGGGGGCGGTTACTTCCATGCTATTCTCCTGATAGTGAGTGAGTTTTCACGAGATCTGATTGTTTTATAAGGGGCTTTTTCCCTTTTGCTTGGCACTTCTCCTTTCTGCCATCATGTGAAGAAGGATGTGTTTTCTTCCCCTTCCACCATGATTGTAAGTTTCCTGAGGCCTCCCCAGCCATGGTAAACTGTGAGTTAATTAAACCTCTCTCCTCTATAAATTACCCAATCTCGAGTATGTCTTTATCAGCAGCATGAAAACAAACTAGTACAAGGCCTGAGTGTTCTCTCCCTGACCTTCATTAGGTATTTTCCTCTCAAGCCAAAATGTCCTGCAATCAGGAAACAGCCAGTTGACAAATCAGGAACCTGGGGAATTCCAGGGTGGACCTCTTCCTGGACCCAACACTACAGTGGGGCTTGGGAATGGGGGGAAGGAGAGCTCTGAGGAATCCACCAAAGAGAGTATCTTCAACCTGATCTCATTATTAGGCCGTGAACTGGTCTTGATTCTTCCCACAGCTTTCTATTTCCACCAAAGAAGAAAAATATAAGGCAGCAACAAACTGCATTCTTTTTTCTCTTGTATAATGCAAAAACACACTGTCCCTGATCACTTAATTCCCGACAGCTAGAAAGTGCATTTCAAAGTCATACACCATATTCCAAGCCTTCCGAAATGCCTAAAGGAGAGAAAAACTAGACAAACCCCGAATAAAGATATGTGTATAGATTTCTATATTTGCAATGTTAATGGGCCTTGACTAAGACCACTGTGATTTTAATACATTGTATTGTTTTATTCCTACTGTATTTTAAAATAGAACATCTCAAAACAATTAGATTAATTAAATATCCACGGGGATGCAGAAAATGTTTTCTTATCACACTTGGGGACTTGACCAGCGCAGTTTCTTAGCTTTTTCAGAACTTCTTAATGACAGAGTTTCACCCCATCAGAGCCTTGACAACTATTTTAATCTGTCATTAAGAAGAACATTTCAGTACCTGGAAAATTTTCAGGCTTCTTGAGACCTAAATTTGCCAAATGTAGCTGTTTAGTTTAGAGGAAGCTGTCCTTCACCATGAGTGGCACACTTTCAAACCCTCTAGCTTATTGTCTGTGAATGCAAAGTGGCTCGTGGTCTTGGGGAGTAAAATACAGGTTAGAAAGGTTAGAAACAGTCACTGAGCAATTTTTATTGTCTATGTTTCATCAAGATACGGAAAGTTGAAAATTTCACCCTGTGCTAATAACACAGTATTAGTTACACTTCACTGCTTTGTTGGAGCCAAACCAATCTCACTTCTGTTCTCTCAAGCCTAAATTCCAAGAGCGGCCAGGTTTCTAAGAAAACAAAAGCTGCCATAATCTCTAGTATAGGCCGGTGTCAAGCCACAGGAGTTCTAGCAAAGACCACATATTATCATGAGCTTGAAACATTAAAGAATTCTGCAGGGTGACAAGCTCTAGGAAAGAAACTCTTAAAAGAGACTCATTTTTCTCCACAGTGTCAGCTGCAGGAATAAACTAGCAATGAGTGAGAAGTTTGGAGTTGAAAATGAAGAGACAATGGCTTCCTTGGTTTCAAGGACAAGTTATTTTATGACCTTGGATTAGGCACTTTATTCCTCTAAATGCCTCTATACTAGGAGACTTGCTGTTTGGTCCCTTTGTGGATGTTGAGTTTGCATAGTTGGATGGGAGATTCTTTCTACATTTATAAAATGACAGGGTTGTCAGTATCCTGCACCAGGCAATGTGGCCCCACACTGTAGCTTTCTCCCTTACAACTTTGTGACCTTCAGCAAGATATTCTCACTTCCTGTGTCTTAGTTTTTCCAATAGCAAAATGGTGGTGGTAACAGTAGCCCTACTGCATAGGGCATAGGAAATATGCATTCATAGTTTAAACCATTTAGAACAGTGCCTGGCATATACAAAGTGCAATAAAATAGACTTCAATATTCATATTCTACAGCCTATGTCATGCTTAACTATTTCTCCCTTCAGCCCGCCTCTACCCTAGTATTTAATGATCCTCACTGAGGAAATTCGGTTTTTATTTTTATTTTTCCAGACAGACTCTTGCTCTGTTTCCTAGGCTGGAGTGCAGTGGTGCAATCACAGCTCACTGCAGCTTCAACCTCCTGGGCTCAAGTGTTCCTCCTTCCTCAGCCTCCAGAGCAGCTGGGACTACAGGCACAAGCCATCACGCCTGGCTAATTTTTGTAAGTTTTGTAAAGACAGGGTCTCACTATGTTGCCCAGGCTGGTCTTGAACTCCTGGGCTCAGGCAGTCCTCTCACCTCAGCACTGCAAAGTACTGGGATTACAGGTATGAGTCACCACGCCTGGTGGAATTGGCTTTTTTAAATGCATATAAACCTAATCTCTTTTTAAAGGCTCTGGCAACTACATTGCATGATAAAAATAGTTTTCATTCAATATTTCAGATTGGAGGTGAATGATGAGGAGATACAGAGATCAACCCTTCAATGTCTTCACTGCTTAGCTACCTGGAAACTCTGAAGCCAAGTAATGCAATTCCAATTCTACTAAAAAAGCTGAACTCGGTAATAACCAAAGAGCTCACAGGATTAAAGAGCTAAAGACTATTAGCAATCATCTAGCCCAACCCCTTAGTTTTACAAATAAGGACTGAGGAACATAGAGGTAAATAGCACTGGTTCCTTTAATAAACCAGAAATTATACTTAATAATTCATGGTTTCAGAAAAAAAATTAGTGGTGCCCTCTCAATATGTTTGCCCAGGGGGCTATAACTTATTCAATATAATTGCCATTGCTTGGATTGTGGTTTCAACGTTTTTTGCTTTTCCCAGTTTGTTTATATATCACACAAGAAAATCATCATCTACACTTTAAAACCAGGGTTTTTACCCAAAATGGCAATATACCCTGCCCACTCACCTCTTTACCATATCTGCCTCTTTATGATTTGTATTATTTCCAGAAACCAAATTTATGCTCATATGACAAAAATATAATTCCAACTTCTCCAAAATGCATCAGACAATGGGGAAGATGATTTTATTCAGGCTATTGGCAATAGGGAGAATGTTTATTATAAGGCATATCTCGAAGAAAAGGAACAGCATCCCAAAGAAAAGGGTTTTACAGAGGCAGGTAGAAAATGGAGTCATCTGAGAGTATTTTATGGGTCAAGAAAAAGGATAAAAACAGGTCTTATCTCAGAATCTACAGGGCATGATCATACTTTGTGGTTAGTCATTCCCTGGAACTCAAGACAATTGGGAGGTTTCTTTCTCTCTTTTTGTTTATTTGTTTGTTTGTTTGCTTTTGTTGCCCAGGCTGGTCTTGAGTTCCTGGGCTCAAGGGATCCTCCCAACTCAGCCTCCCAAAGTGCTGGGATTACAGGCATGAGCCACTGTGCCCAGCCGACTGGGGGATTTCTTAACCACACTTTTTCTGAAAGCACAGGACTCAGGTAACGTTCAACCTTGTCATATCTTTGAGAATAATCAAAAAATGTACTCAAGCTCTTAAGGCCACTAACTGTTCAATGCCCCAACATGATTCCCTTGAAAAGACAGCTGTCATTTAGGCATTGTGTGAACTAGATGGGGTTTTCCTGCCCAATTAGTTTCATTATCTCTTACCTACCAGTGACATCATTGGTGAAGCTTTTCCTGTATTATTTATCTGAAACTCAAAAAAATGAAGAAGTATGCCAAATCAGGGCTGAAGTTCAGCACTCCACGGAACACATGCACCTGAGAAGGTTGACTGGCCTTTCCATCCTCTGTGTCATCATCTTACTCATCTTGAAAATAAAGCTTGTGCTCTTGGACATAATATTCACCACATGGTTAGGATTTGGGAGTAGAAAGTGAGGTGAACTGAACTGCTGAAATCTACTTGAGTTATGAACATAGAAGTGGTTGGTTTAATATCAACAGATAGGGATACTATGTCTAACATAGCATCACTATAATTTCCCCATGATATGGCTCAATGTGTGTGGGGGGTGTGTGAGTAAGGAAAAGCTGGAAAAGGTTTTAAATTTGGTAGTATTTCTGTTTCATCCATTCTGTTTTTCTCTGCATTTTATTCTTCTTGACTAGGCTATTTGACAACTTTGAAGAGATATAAGTTAACTTGTAGAAGTCTGGTAATAATGCAAATAATTCCTGTCCATAAATAGGCAAAATCTGTCCAGAGGAGGTTCTGTTGGCTTGCCTCTCCCACTGTGAGAGAAGCCAGTTTTGCATCTACCTAAACGAATTCATCCTGGCTTTCTTAATAACCTATAAATACATCTGGTCTTTGGAGTCTACTTGGAACCAGTTGTAACACTTTTCTGGTTCCCTTATTAGTTAGTGAGTTACATAAAATCATTAGCATGTGTTTATTTTAAACTTGTCATGGTTTTACCTTTTTAAAAATTATTCTTTTTTTTTTTTTTTTTTTTGAGAAGGAGTCTCACTCTGTCACCCAGGCTGGAGTGCAGTGGAGCGATCTCGGCTCACTGCAAGCTCCACCTCCTGGATTCACGCCATTCTCCTGCCTCAACCTCCCAAGTAGCTGGAACTACAGGCACCTGCCACCACGCCCGGTAATTTTTTGTATTTTTTAGTAGAGATGGGGTTTCACCGTGTTACCCAGGATGGTCTTGATCTCCTGACCTTGTGATCCGCCAGCCTCGGCCTCCCGAAGTGCTGGGATTACAGGCGTGAGCCACCATGCCTGGCCTAAAAATTATTCTTTAAAATATGAACATAGATATATGTAAAGTGACATTAACTAGACTTATTTTAGAAGGAAAAAAAGTCTTTTTATTAGAGCATGTTCAAAGGAATAGTTGGATTACTTTCAAGTTTATACTAAGAGGTATTAGCCAATAGAGATCAATACTTTAATAAATGATTTATAATGAGTATTTTCCTAAATAAATTGATGCTTCTAGAGCATTTAAACACAGAAGCATATTTCAAGTGTTTTAAAAATATTCCTCTAATCTTATTTATACTCTCTTTAAAAAGAAAAAATATGTGCTACATAATGAAAGATTTCAGCTCAATTATTCCAAATTACAAATTGATGAAATCCTACTTTAATGAAATTTTACATATGTAAATTAATAGAACACTGACTCTTAAAATGCTTGCAGTGGATTGAGCCCTAAGATATCAGTTAATGCAGGCCGGGTGCGGTGGCTCACGCCTGTAATCCCAGCACTTTGGGATGCCAAGGCGGGTGGATCACCTAAGGTCAAGAGTTCGAGACCAGCCTGGCCAACGTGGAGAAACCCCGTCTCTACTAAAGATACAAAAAATTAGCTGGGCATGGTGATAGGCACCTGTAATCCCAACTACTCAGGAGGCTAAGGTAGGAAAATCACTTGAACCTGGGAGGCGGAGATTGCAGTGAGCCAAGATCGTGCCACTGCACTCCAGCCTAGGTGAGAAAGTGAGACTCTGTCTTAAAAAAAAAAAGATATAAGTTAATACAATGCAAAAAATCCCTTCAAAATTAGTCTTGGGTAATCAACCTGTCTGAACACATCTATTAACAGGGGCTCGCTCTCTTTCCAAGAGGCTATTTTATGGTTAAAAGCTTCTATGGTTGGAAAGTTTTCCTTCTAATTCATCAAAGTCTCCCTCCTTGAAATATTCACCCACTAGTCCTAGTTACAGTTTTAATATTAATAGACATGTAAAATCTGTCTTTTATCTTCCTTCTCCTGTAATGGTGTAGCTGACTTGCCATTGCAGATTCTTTCAGGAACAAAACAGGTCAAAAAAATTATCATAGGCTATGTCTGCTATATCATTTCAAACAAAGTCAAGAGTTAACAATTATAAACACAGACACCTTGATTGCTGCCATGAACTATCCAGATCAACCCCTTATAAACAGAATCTAAGTCACACAGAGGTTGCAATGTTATTCCTAGGTTTTCGTGGATATTTTTATAGATATTCCTTTAAACTCTGAACCTTTAATTGGAAAAAAAGGTACTTCACAACCAAAATACATGATTCTTTCAAAACCAAGACAATACAATAATAAAATAAGGTGTTGTCCTATTCTGCTCCACTATCCTATAATTCCGAGATGTCATTGTATCTATTTTTCTGCAGGTATTGGAACTCTTCTGTAGTCTGTCACAGAAATGGCCGCAGCTTCACATTATGCTATGACAACCATATAATCCACAAGACTCTTATGTTGTAGCACCCTTTGTCTAATAACAGGCATTTTAAAAAATAATTTACAGTTTAAGCATTAAGACAACTTACGGTTTTTTACATGACTTTCTCCTTTCCTTAAAAGGAAAGACAATATACAGACAATGTGTCTCAAAATAAATTCTCTAGCAGAGGGGACAAGCTGTGGAATGCAAGATCTCCCTCTTCATTGGTGAAGAAGAGAGAAGTTTCTGTGGTTTTTACAGATTCGTTTGCTAGGGAATAAAGAAAATCTTGCCATTTTCTCTATGTCAGATGTAAAAATAAAAAGCATAGAGGAGAAGAATGGGGCCATAAACTTGATACAACGTATTGCAATCGAGTTTCATCAGATAAACTACGGAGACAGTTTCGATGATGCTCTTGTCAGAAAACACATGGTACGATACACTGTATATGTGCCAGATAGCTTCTGCACTTTCAGAAATGTCATTTCTAAAAATGTCTATCCATTTGGAAAATAAGTATGCAATAAATCTGTAAATATTTTTTATAAAAGCAATAAGAAAACAGTAAAGAATGAATGCAGCTTTTGACAACACTGCATAAACTGTTAACAACAGACCTTTGGAGCCGACAGTTCTGTTTCTAGATCAGGGGCCAGGGCCCAAATGTTGCAATAACTAGGGCCATATCAATATATTCCACACCCTCTTTCCCGCCATAGGAGGTCCACCTAATTGAGATGCCAAATGATGCGATGTGAGGCAGAAGTAAAACATACAGATCTTGTATTTCTGAATCCATATGTCTTGCTTGATCAATGAACCAAAATAGCTACTCGTTGGAATTGAAAAGCTGCAGAACCTGCTGCTGTTCTTTTTTGTTCTTGATCCTATAGAAAAGAGCTAAAAGGCAAGTAATAGGGAGAGAATCTCCCATAGAAGACTATGCACACTTCTGCAGGTCTTGCGTCACCCCAAGGCTGTCCTTAGAAAGCACCCCTTTCTCTTTGGTAATGACCTTTCTGTTTTATTTGGCAGCCCAATTCCCCTCAGCTGACTGAGAGAGGATGGTTATAAGCTAGGGGAGGAAGGCATGGATTATGAATGACTTCCCTGTCTTTCTGTTTAAGAAACTCAAGTTCATATTAGTTCACCTTTTCTAAATAACTGTCTTGTGGACAACTTAGCTCAACACTTCCTGACTTAATCCACGGAATTAGAACATCTGCTCTGAATGTAAGATTTACAGAGGGAATTATACCTACTCCATCTAGAGACTGTTTGCCTCTGATGTCATTCTTGATTAGATGATTTTGGAATTTTGATTGCTTTACATGAGATTATTATGATTTCAAAATGCAGCTTGTAAATGTATTCAGTTCATCAAGGACTATAAATATAAATCTCCACCAACAGACTTCTCCTTGCTTCGGTCTTCTTAGATGCTCTTAGGTTAATAAGGGGACACAAGAAATATCTTTAAGAAAAGGTGAGAAACTCCTACATTAGAAAATAATTTTCAAAACATCTGGCCTCGTATTCAGGAATTTGATGATAATCATGAGCCTTTTAATTAAATTAATGAACACAGGGTAATGAAGGCTATTTGAAAAAAAAACAGATGTTAAAAATGTAAGGACCAGTCATGCTCTGTTCAGTAAAACAATGACATGATTAAGTAATAAAACTCCTCCAGATTTTTCTATATGCCTTTGGGTTCCATCTTCAACTTTCTCTTTCAAAGGAAACTACCTACTTTCTATTCACAATTCCTCACACTCTAGTGGGATTTGGATCTAACATGGTGAGACAGGAAAAAAAAAAAGAAGTATCTCTTTATAGAAAAAAAAGAGATTACAAAGTTCCTAAATTAAAATTAGATTGAATGTATTTTAAAACTGAGGTTCCCTGAAAATTTGACTTGCTTCTTTATTTTAATCAACTTCAAGGGACTTTTGCAATTAAGATTAGCTCTCAAATATACTCTAAAAATTTAAGATTTTATGATTCCACAAGTTTTATGTGAATTCTACATGAAATCGTGCCACTGCTGCTATTTCCGTTGAAGAACTAGGATAAGAAAGAGGAACAATAAGATGTATATTAGAAATCTAGTGGGTCAGTTTGCAGGAGAAAAAGGAATAAGCATCATTTATTTCCAAAAGGCTGCAGTTCAGCACGAAGACTAGCCTATCTGACATGCAATTATGTGTCATGAGTTACAGTGGTAATTAAGTCTCTAGAACAGCAAGCTACCTCGAGAACCCCCCAGGACTTCAGGTGGCTGGCTCCCAACTCTGAATCATCTAGTGCTTCGCCGTGGCTCATCCATCTACTTCATTCCTTTATTTATCACCATTGTAAGCCAGGGGACTATGTTTGGCTCTAAAACACATATTTTCCCCCTTGCATGCCTACTGGCCTATCTTTCCACTTCCTAAACACTTTCTCTAAAAAGGAAGCCCATTATCCCAGATGGCATAAAACCAAGTGTCTTCATTTTCTCTCTTCTTTACCAATACTCCCGTTCACCTCTCCAAGGGGCTGAGCGAGGTCCCCCCACGTTAGGTCACTGTCTAAGTAAGGGTCAGCTCCATCCATTCTCTCCATGGTCACCCTTACACATCCTGATACACATTGGCAATAGTTCTTCTCATTTATTCATTCAGAAAATATTTACTGATGCACCAGCAGCTGAGACATGTGGTCCAATTGTCTGAGAAGGGAGGAAACAGATAAAAGGAGAGCCATAAATCCAAAGGGAGATAGGCTTTCACAGGAACAGCCATAAAGCCAAGCTGTTTTCAAGCTCCTGGATCTTCCGTGTGGCCCCTCTTTGAATCTGGCAGCTCTACCCAGTCTCCCTCATGGAACCATATGTAAAGAGTTAAGCATCAAAGAGGTATCATGTTATAGAATGTATGAACCTTTTATGTAGTGGCCCAGTGGGGATATTAAAGAAAAATGAAGGAAAAAGTTCCCACCCCATATCCAGTAGAGTCACGTCTCCATGCATGATAAGAAGAAGCCAATCAGGCCAGGTTGTGGCTGATGTGCCTGTTATTTGTACTCTAGGCCCCATTAACTTATACTAGCTATTTTGGAGAAGTAATTTCTGCTGCCAGATGGCAGCCCAGAAGTAACTTTCTTGATGAGCGAGAGAAGTTGCTCCCCATTTCCTTCCTTGACATCACAGCGCAGCCCCCTCAACCTCAGCCCCGCAGGCTGGGGACTGGCTGGTGGGGTCCACGCAGACTGTGATTAAATGACTCATCTCCTCAGCATGACTTGTTTGTAAAGGTTATTCACAACAAAAACAGCAGCAGGGTCCCAAACCTGGAGTGGGTATTTGTCGAAAACGCGTCAAGATAATAAGGGGCCATTGAAGGAACACCTACAGTTGGGTGGGAAAAGAGCGGCGTTTGTGACCTGAGGATGATATTCAATTGAACACTTCCATCTGCCCTTTGGAAAAATTTGACCCTAGCAACAGAATCAATTCTTGGTTTACCGCTAGTTACTCAGTTGAGACCACAGACTCATATCTACCCATGACTTTGCCAGTTGTAACGATGCCCGCATCTTCCGTCAAGTCAATAGTGCCCTCAGCTCTTCTTCTCCAAGTCCCCTTGGTGCTACCAATTATAATAGACAGGGAGACAGATGCCGCCCCAAACCATAAAACCCAACTAGTCCTCATCCACCCGGAATTTCAAAATCAGCAAGAAGAAATGAAATAAAATAAAAATCAGTGAAGGTCATAAGTGGTAATTTTCATTTAAGGAAGGCATATCATAAAATAAAATAAAAGCAGGCTGTCACTATCTTTTGTTGCAAAGGAGACTTGGAGCCATTTAAATAGACACACACAAAAGACTAGAAGGGAATTGTCATTAGAGATTTCCATTAAAGTTACTATGTCCAGATTAGTAGCTTAAAGGGTAATGGGAAAAAATCTTCCTGATAAAGGATTAAGGAACTAACAGTAGGAGAGAAGGGCTCACATTTGTTAAGTGCTCACTTATGCCAGGCAGTATGGGACTGCACATATCACCTTATTTAATCTTTAAAACAACCTTGTTTGATAAATATTATTATTTTCAGTTCAAACATAAGAAAACTGGGACTCAGAGATTTTCAATGTCCTGGCCGGGTGCAGTGGCTCACACCTGTAATCTCAGCAGTTTGGGAGGCCGAGGCAGGCGGATCACTTAAGGTCAGGAGTTCAAGACCAGCTGGCCAACTTGGTGAAACCCCATCTCTACTTAAAACAAACAAACAAAAAATAGCCAGGCATGGTGGCATGCACCTGTAGTCCCAGCTACTCAGGAGGCTGAGGCACGAGAATCGTTTGAACATAGGAGGTGGAGGTTGCAGTGAGCTGAGATGGTGCCACTGCACTTCACCCTGGGTAACAGAGTGAGACTCTTTCTCAAAAAAGAAAGAAAGAGAGAGAGAGAAGGAAGGAAGGAAGGAAGGAAGGAAGGAAGGAAGGAAGGAAGGAAAGAAGGAAGGACGGAAGGAGAGGGAGAGAGAGAGAGAGAGAGACAGAGGGAGGGAGGGAGGGAGGGAGAGAGAGAGAGAGAGAGAGGAAGAAAGAAAAGAAAGAAAGGAAAGAAAGAAAAGAAAGAAAAAGAAAGAAAAGAAAGAAAAAGAAAGAAAGAAAGAAAAAGGAAAGGAAAGGAAAGGAAAGGAAAGGAAAGGAAAGGAAAGGAAAGGAAAGGAAAGGAAAGAAAGGAGAGAATAAATTTTCAATGTCCTATATAAGTATGGTGAACATTTAGTGGCATTTGTCCTGTTTGGCTCCCTCGCAACCAAACACCCTTATTACTAGAGAAAACCTTCCCCAGGTGATTCCCGATGCTCCCTAAAGGCATCCTTACCTCCACTTTTAAAGCCACAAGACATTCTTTCTTCTTCCCACTGGCACACAGAGTAAAGGAATGTGGCAGGTCCACCCAAAAACTCCAACCCAGGGCTTGCCTCCTGAGTGTCAGACACAGGACTGACACAGACAGCTAGAAAATTATTCTCAGCAGTAGTGGCAGGTTGGAAGGTATAGCTATGTTGAGGATCCAATCACAGAAAGATTAACTAACAACACACAGCAGTATTAAGTGCCAAGGAGCCACTCTAGGCAATCAACAGTGGGAATTCTTAAACAGAACTCTCCTTACAGGTTGGAATAATCAAGGGAGACCTAGTTGATGGAGAAGTTGGGGCTCTGATCATACCTGGAAGTATACATAGAAATTAGAGAGGGAAGGTGATTTGTGATTGCAGGAAGACCCTAAGAAGATGAACATGGAGGCTTCAGAACAGGTTCAAAAGCCAAAGGGTTGTTACTGAAGATGTTCAGCCGGGGGTGGTGCAAGGGAAGTGGGGCTTTCAAAGATGGACCTGGTGGTGTTGAGCAAGATGAATTTGATAAGAGAGAGAACAGTGACAAGGTTTGTACATGTTTCTTGAAGGAGTGCTCCTGACCCAGACTTTTTTGGGAAAAAGCGGCCCAGTTCTGGATGTTCATGATTTGGTGAAGACATGATGAAGAAGCTGTTCTCAGCAGGGATAGCTTGAGGGAGTGAGCTGCAGGGATGAGACTGAGAAACAGGCAAGAGCAGAAGACCCCACTCTCCTTCACTCCTTTCACGGCTGTGCCCCACTACTCTGTTACTGGTTCTATTCAATGGTACAAAGGCTTCACTCAGTACCACCCTCACCAGGGGACTAAACCAAATCAAGTCTTGGCTCCCAAATCTAAGGATACATTCAGTCTTCACTAAATATGGCAGCCATGGTTTAGTATTTTCAGAATAATCCTGTCTATACCTGTATTTCCCTTTAGAATTTGCTAAGACAATTGTATCATAATTTCCCCTCCCCTCACTGAGAGTAGGGACCTTTGGATCTAGGCTAAATTGCTCTTGTGTTATAGGCATGAGATGTTTGTCTGAGAAAGATCTTAAGCCCTATGCTAGGTGGACCAATGATGCTGAGGGAGAGGGATGTGGAAGGGGGAGGAATTTAAGGTTTTTAAAACAGGCAGGCAATTGTACATAGTTACATAAGATGTAACCATCAGGGGTAGCTGAGTGAAGGGTACATGGGGCCTGTTTATACTATTTTTAAAACATTCTGTGAATAAACAATTATTCCAAAATTAAAGGCATTAAAAAAAAAGGCTGTTTGTTTGTTTGTTTTTGAGATGGAGTCTACCTCTGTGGCCCAGGCGAGAGTGCAGTGGCACAATCCTGGCTCACTGAAATCTCTGCCTCCTGGATTCAAGTGATTTTCCTGCCTCAGTCTCCCAAGCAGCTGGGATTACAGGCACACACCACCACATTTCGCTAATTTTTGTATTTTTAGTAGAGATGGGGTTTCACCAAGTTGGCCAGGCTTGTCTCAAACTCCTGACCTCCAGTGATCCGCCCGCCTCAGCCTCCCAAAGTGCTGGGATCGCAGGTGTAAGCCACTGCACTCAGCCACAAAAACAAAAGATAGATTTTAACTAGTAAGAAGGAGGAATTGTGAAAGGAAAGAAAAGAGGCTGGTCAAGAAAAAAAAAAAAGGTTTAGAGGAGAAGACCCATTGGTCAGAGGACTAGGAAAATCTTTGTCCAGTGTATCTGCAAGGCAGCACCTCTCTCCCACATCCCCAGCTTCTTGCCTGATCCCCACTCTGCAATCCCTCCCTAGACCCTACGGGACTCTCCTCTCCCTTTAGGGAGGCAGCCACAGAACTGAGAGCCTAGGGTGTTTCCCGTCCCTCTGCATGCATGGATTCAAATGAACACCACAGGAGCACTGCCAAGGACTCCTCAGCCCCTCCCTCCCTGTGTTCAGCAACAAGGTGGCCAGCTCGGCCTCTGAGCCACAGGGAGCCTGGCTTTTGTGGGCACAGGGGATGGTGGAATGAACAGTTGGGAGATCTGAGGTCTGCTTTCAGCTCAGCAGGGCTACCTGAGTTGACAAACCTCATCTCTTGGGGCGTCCATTTTTTTGTTTGTAAAATGAGCATGTTAAATTACTATGGAAGGTTATGCTCCTCCTGGGAGTCCAGGATGCTATGAATTCTATGAATCTAGATACTGCCTAATGTGCCCCTTCCTAACACTAAAGAACTGAGGTGAATATCATCAGAGTTTTGATTAAATATGGCCGGAGGAATTCATTTGTTCCTTGGTGGAGTCTCCAACTTTACTGGAAAGCAAAGGCCCCTGTCTGCCCCATTCACTCAATGCACTCCAACTCAATGCACACTCTCCACAATGCCCTCCCTGGTGATCAAAGCCAGGGCACTTTTTCTGGCCTCCTCTTGGTATGGTCAGTATCTACTGCAAAGGTCATGTTCACATGTGCTCTTCTCCCCAGCTCAAATGGCAAGCTCCTTGAAAATAAACATTATTATTATTCATAGATGTGTGCCCATGTATGGCAGCAGTATATGCTCATGAAATGGACGAATGAATGATGTCAAGAATTCAAACCAAAAGGAGATGAAGGGTGGCTTCTGTACCTTGTCTGAAAATTCCCTTTTTTTTTTTTAATTCGGGAAATAAACAATCATATCAAAGGAAGGCAAGTTTGGGGGCAAGAAATCACTCAGAGATGCATGTTACACTCCACATGAATTACCGGCAAAATGAAGGATGAAAGCTATGTGAAATAAACAATTACAGTAAATCTGAGACTCTGTACTGAGATGAAGCCAAAGGAGCAATTGCCACTCCTTACAAATGAGTTTGCTCAGGTCTAGCTTGGAAGCAAGGTCTTAGGGACTGTGCTTAGGTTCAGCTGACCCACTTTGGGAATAAATGCTGTGTAAAAGAATCCCAGTTGTCTACTTTTGGAAGTATTAACAGATCACAAGAACTAGATTCTACTTCTACTCAGCACATCTCTGATCTATGTGTTTATGGAAGTTAAATGAAACCAAGAAAAAACATACCTGCAAGACTGTTGGAAAATGCATTTAAAAATCCAAAATTGTTCCAAAGTTATCCATGCTACCACATTCCCTTTTTGTTGGACAGATAACTGAATGATGACCGGGAAGTAAAAATAAAATGAAGACAAAGTATTACATTGTCTGTTGCTACTTTCTGTAAGGCCTAATGGTCTGAGAAATCTAAAAGGAGCTTCCTTCCTTCTTCTGTCCTCCCTTCCTCTCTTCCTTTCTTCCCTACTCGAGAGGCAGAGTTATAAATGCAAAGTGTGACTCTGAACTGTATCCTCTTACTAGAAAGGACAGTATTGGGATAATCGCCAGAAGTCAAATGAGCTCTGAGGATCAGGCATTAGCAATGGGTCAGTGTTGACTTTCTGACTTTGGTGGTTGTCTTGTGCTATGCAGGAGAATGTCCTGGTTTGCAGGGATTACTCATGGTTGCATTTGGAAGTGATGGAACATCAAGCTAGCAATGTACTCTCAAATAGTTTAGAATTTTTAAAGTGCTTTGTACTAGTCATGCAAGTTTAGTTCAAGCTTGAAATTATAATAGAAAAAAATCTGAACGTAATAATATTTTTTTAAGAAAAAGAAGCAGCAGCAATGGCCAGCCCTTGAGAGTCTCTGGGTCTGCCTATTCCTCTGACCCTTCTATAAATATTGGTGTTGACCTCCCTAGGGCGTCAGAGCAAACCTCTCCAGGGTGGTCCACAAAAGTCCAGCTCTACAAGGGGTCACAGAAGTCCCTACTGCCACAGACAGTGCACCCCTATTCCCTCTTACTCAGCCCAGTTCCTCCTCTAAACTTAGGAACCATAGCTGACTCAGGATGTTAACTAAGGCCTGGCCCTCATGGGAAGCCAAACCACCTTCCCCAGTGAGCGCTGGCACTTCCGGCTTCCTGCTTCACAACCATTTCATATCTGCCTTTCTCCAGCCTCCACTTTTTGGGCACCAAAGGCTCCCCACAGTGCTACCTCAACTAATCTCTCTCTTCTCCTGGCTTCCCCTCCCTTAATCTCCTCCACAAACCCTGAGTGCCAGCTGAATTGCTTCTCTCCCCTCCAGATAAACCCTGGGTATTTCTGCTTTCTTCTGTCTGGAATATTCTGCTTTCATTCCTGTCGTTCTGAGCCTCACTTCTTCCCACATCCTATAAAGCCCATTTCAAGGGTCATCTCCTTCTCTGTGAAGCCTCCCCTAACCAGCCCAGCCCACCTCTGAATTCCAAGGTGCTTATTGTATCTGGTATGGCTCTAAACACAAGTTACCGATTGCAAAGTTACCTTTCTCTCTGGACATCTGGTCTCCCCCATTAAATGAAAGGTTTTCAGGGAGCAGGCATAATTTCTTACATCTCTTTATAGTCCTCACCATACCTGTTAGTGCCAGCTCACTAAGAATGGGCTGATTCAAAGAGTCTCCCACACTTTCTCAACATTACCTCCCTCAGATCACTAATACCAATTGCTGTCACTTGTTTTGGGGTGAATGCATGCGCCACACACACACACACACACACACTCACACACACTTTAGTCAAAATGGAAATAAACAAGTATGCCCTTCTTCCTGCTTTACTCTCACACTGAGCCAATTTGATTTTCCTATACTTAGAAGTCAAAGCAAAGCATTTAATTAATACTTCCTCATAGTTCAGTCTGGAACCCTAGGAAACTTGTGAAGGAGAGATTTTGGACTCTTCCTGCCACCCACATCATGGTCTGTTTCCTTAAAGAAGACCCATTCCCATCCAGTTTCCCTTAGATGCTTATCCTCACTTGCAGGCCCCACTGCCCTATCAGCAGCTGCCCAAGATCTTGGTAAGGTGAACAGCTCCCAGGGGAGTTTGCAAGATAACGAAAACCATAGAGTGGAAAATCTGCAAAGTCCCATAGAATGAATCCCTAAATGGCAGATGTCAGGCAAAGGAGCAGGTGGCAACTTTACGCAAGTATTTATCCCACCTGCTCATTCCTATCCACACATTACATGCCAGAGATGGGAGCATTCGAGGCCCAACCAACCAACAGAAAGACAAGAGAAAGGGAAGATTGTTTGCAGAAGGCAGCCGAGTAAATTGCAAAACTAGGGAGAAAACTTTATGAATGCTTATCACATGGAATTCTTCCATTTTGAGAGAGGCTTTAAGGAAAAGAATGACTTCATAGTGTTGGCGGAGATGGGGTGATGTCTATAATGAAGACGGACAAAAGTCCAGAAGGTACATGATTGGCAGAAACAACAGACAAGAGAGGCAAAGATGAACTATGAGAGCCCGGCCACAGTGTGGGGGTCCCCAGGTGGGTGTGAGAAGCTCATGTGGACACAGCTGCCCCTCTTGGCAGAGGGCAACATTAGCTTATGCCATCTTCAATATCTATGATGCTAATTCAGGATTGCTCAAGGAAAATAGCCCTGTTCGGGCCCATCTGTTCTCTACATCCCAATGGCTATGTTCTTTGCAGATTTAAACAAAATTTCCAATACAAATACCTTTTTTGGATGTGGCAAATCCATAAAACAGACTCTTAGCTATAACCTAACTTTATTAAATAATATTTAATATGCCAGTGTCCAAATGGCAAATGTGATGACCTGGGAAATTATATGGTCAGATTCTGACATAAATCCCTTTGGTGTTTCGGATAAGACATGAACTCTTGAGCGGTCTATTACATTCCAAAATCCTTCATAAAACTAGTGACTTGGTAACTGAGAAGAAACATTTTATTTTACTTTATTATCACTATTGTTTTAGAGACGGGTCCCTCTCCGTCACCCAGGCTGCAGTACAGTGGAGCAATCATGGCTTACTGTGGCCTCAACCTCTTGGTCTCAACTGATCCTCTCACTTCAGTCTCTGGGGTAGCTAGGACTACAGGTGTACATCACCAGACCCGGTTATTCTTTAAAACTTTTTGTAGACTTCTCGAGCCAAGATGGCCGAATAGGAACAGCTCCGGTCTACAGCTCCCAGTGTGAGTGATGCAGAAGACGGGTGATTTCTGCATTTCCATCTGAGGTACCGGGTTCATCTCACTAGGGAGTGCCAGACAGTGGGCACAGGACAGTGGGTGCAGTGCACCTTGCACAAGCCAAAGCAGGGCAAGGCATTGCCTCACTCGGGAAGCACAAGGGGTCAGGGAGTTCCCTTTCCCAGTCAAAGAAAGGGGTGACAGACAGCACCTGGAAAATCAGGTCAATCCCACCCGAATACTGCGCTTTTCCGACGGCCTTAAAAAACAGCGCACCAGGAGATTATATCCCGCACATAGCTCGGAGGGTCCTACGCCCACGGAGTCTCGCTGATTGCTAGCACAGCAGTCTGAGATCAAACTACAAGTTGGCAGCGAGGCTGGGGGAGGGGCGCCCGCCATTGCCCAGGCTTGATTAGGTAAACAAAGCAGCCAGGAAGCTCGAACTGGGTGGAGCCCACCACAGCTCAAGGAAGCCTGCCTGCCTCTGTAGGCTCCACCTCTGGGGGCAGGGCACAGACAAACAAAAAGACAGCAGTAACCTCTGCAGACTTAAATGTCCCTGTCTGACAGCTTTGAAGAGAGCAGTGGTTCTCCCAGCATGCAGCTGGAGATCTGAGAACGGGCAGACTGCCTCCTCAAGTGGGTCCCTGAGCCCTGACCCCCGAGGAGCCTAACTGGGAGGCACCCCCCAGTAGGGGCAGATTGATACCTCACACGGCCGGGTACTCCTCTGAGACAAAACTTCCAGAGGAACGATCAGACAGCAGCATTCGCGGTTCATGAAAATCTGCTGTTCTGCAGCCACCGCTGCTGATACCCAGGCAAACAGGGTCTGGAGTGGACATCTAGCAAACTCCAACAGACCTGCAGCTGGGGGTCCTGTCTGTTAGAAGGAAAACTAACAAACAGAAAGGACATCCACACCAAAAACCCATCTGTACATCACCATCATCAAAGACCAAAAGTAGATAAAACCACAAAGATGGGGAAAAAACAAAGCAGAAAAACTGGAAACTCTAAAAAGCAAAGCGCCTCTCCTCCTCCAAAGGAATGCAGTTCCTCACCAGCAATGGAACAAAGCTGGACGGAGAATGACTTTGACGAGTTGAGAGAAGAAGGCTTCAGATGATCAAATTACTCCAAGCTACAGGAGGAAATTCAAACCAAAGGCAAAGAAGTTAAAAACTTTGAAAAAAATTTAGACGAATGTATAACTAGAATAACCAATACAGAGAAGTGCTTAAAGGAGCTGATGGAGCTGAAAACCAAGGCTTGAGAACTACGTGAAGAATGCAGAAGCCTCAGGAGCCGATGCAATCAACTGGAAGAAAGGGTATCAGTGATGGAAGATGAAATGAATGAAATGAAGTGAGAAGGGAAGTTTAGAGAAAAAGGAATAAAAAGAAAAGAACAAAGCTTCCAAGAAATAAGAGACTGTGTGAAAAGACCAAATCTACGCCTGATTGGTGTACCTGAAAGTGACGGGGAGAATGGAACCAAGTTGGAAAACACTCTGCAGGATATTACCCAGGAGAACTTCCCCAATCTATCAAGGCAGGCCAACATTCAGATTCAGGAAATACAGAGAATGCCACAAAGATACTCCTCGAGGAGCAACTCCAAGAATCATAATTGTCAGATTCACCAAAGTTGAAATGAAGGAAAAAATGTTAAGGGCAGCCAGAGAGAAAGGTCAGGTTACCCACAAAGGGAAGCCCATCAGACTAACAGCAGATCTCAGAAACTCTACAAGCCAGAAGAGAGTGGGGGCCAATATTCAACATTCTTAAAGAAAAGAATTTTCAACCAAGAATTTCATATCCAGCCAAACTAAGCTTCATAAGTGAAGGAGAAATAAAATCCTTTACAGACAAGCAAATGTTGAGAGATTTTGTCACCACCAGGCCTGCCCTAAAAGAGCTCCTGAAGGAAGCACTAAACATGGAAAGGAACAACCAGTACCAGCCGCTGCAAAATCATGCCAAAATGTAAAGACCATCGAGACTAGGAAGAAACTGCATCAACTAACGAGCAAAATAACCAGCTAACATCATCATGACAGCATCAAATTCACACATAACAATATTAACTTTAAATGTAAATGGACTAAATGCTCCAATTAAAAGACACAGACTGGCAAATTGGATAAAGAGTCAAGACCCATCAGTGTGCTGTATCCAGGAAACCCATCTCACGTGCAGAGACACACATAGGCTCAAAATAAAAGGATGGAGGAAGATCTACCAAGCCAATGGAAAACAAAAAAAGGCAGGGGTTGCAATCCTAGTCTCTGACAAAACAGACTTTAAACCAACAAAGATCAAAAGAGACAAAGAAGGCCATTACATAATGGTAGAGGGATCAATTCAACAAGAAGAGCTAACTATCCTAAATATATATGCACCCAATACAGGAGCACCCAGATTCATAAAGCAAGTCCTGAGTGACCTACAAAGAGACTTAGACTCCCACACATTAATAATGGGAGACTTTAACACCCCACTGTCAACATCAGACAGATCAACGAGACAGAAAGTTAACAAGGATACCCAGGAATTGAACTCAGCTCTGCACCAAGCAGACCTAATAGACATCTACAGAACTGTCCACCCCAAATCAACAGAATATACATTTTTTTCAGCACCACACCACACCTATTCCAAAATTGACTACATACTTGGAAGTAAAGCTCTCCTCAGCAAATGTAAAAGA
The DNA here is from genome assembly GCF_000001405.40 of Homo sapiens. NCBI lineage: Eukaryota > Metazoa > Chordata > Mammalia > Primates > Hominidae > Homo > Homo sapiens. Next base: position 56,528,329 of record NC_000018.10, read on the forward strand.
ACAGAAATTATAACAAACTGTCTCTCAGACCACAGTGCAATCAAACTAGAACTCAGGATTAAGAAACTCACTCAAAACCTCTCAACTACATGGAACCTGAATGACTACTGGGTACATAACGAAATGAAGGCAGAAATAAAGATGTTCTTTGAAACCAGTGAGAACAAAGACACAACATACCAGAATCTCTGGGACACACTCAAAGCAGTGTGTAGAGGGAAATTTATAGCACTAAATGCCCACAAAAGAAAGCAGAAAAGATCCAAAATTGACACCCTAACATCACAATTAAAAGAACTAGAAAAGCAAGAGCAAACACATTCAAAAGTTAGCAGAAGGCAAGAAATAACTAAAATTAGAGCAAAACTGAAGTAAATAGAGACACAAAAAACCCTTCAAAAAATTAATGAATCCAGGGGCTGGTTTTTTGAAAGGATCAACAAAATTGATAGATGCTAGCAAGACTAATAAAGAAGAAAGAGAGAAGAATCAAATAGACGCAATAAAAAATGATAAAGGGGATATCACCACCGATCCCACAGAAATACAAACTACCATCAGAGAATACTACAAACACCTCTACACAAATAAACTAGAAAATCTAGAAGAAATGGATAAATTCCTCGACACATACACACTCCCAAGACTAAACCAGGAAGAAGTTGAATCTCTGAATAGACCAATAACAGGATCTGAAATTGTGGCAATAATCAATAGCTTACCAACCAAAAAGAGTCCAGGACCAGACTGATTCACAGCCGAATTCTACCAGAGGTACAAGGAGGAACTGGTACCATTCCTTCTGAAACTATTCCAATCAATAGAAAAAGAGGGAATCCTCCCTAACTCATATTATGAGGCCAGCATCATCCTAATACCAAAGCCGGGCAGAGACACAACCAAAAAAGAGAATTTTAGACCAATATCCTTGATGAACATTGATGCAAAAATCCTCAATAAAATACTGGCAAACCGAATCCAGCAGCACATCAAACAGCTTATCCACCATGATCAAATGGGCTTCATCCCTGGGATGCAAGGCTGGTTCAAGACATGCAAATCAATAAATGTAATCCAGCATATAAACAGAACCAAAGACAAAAACCACATGATTATCTCAATAGATGCAGAAAAGGCCTTTGACAAAATTCAACAACACTTCATGCTAAAAACTCTCAATAAATTAGGTATTGATGGGACGTATCTCAAAATAATAAGAGCTATCTATGACAAACCCACAGCCAATATCATACTGAATGGGCAAAAACTGGAAGCATTCCCTTTGAAAACTGGCACAAGACAGGGATGCCCTCTCTCACCACTCCCATTCAACATAGTGTTGGAAGTTCTGGCCAGGGCAATTAGGCAGGAGAAGGAAATAAAGGGTATTCAATTAGGAAAAGAGGAAGTCAAATTGTCCCTGTTTGCAGATGACATGATTGTATATCTAGAAAACCCCATTGTCTCAGCCCAAAATCTCCTTAAGCTGATAAGCAACTTCAGCAAAGTCTCAGGATACAAAATCAATGTACAAAAATCACAAGCATTCTTATACACCAATAACAGACAAACAGAGAGCCAAATCATGAGTGAACTCCCATTCACAATTGCTTCAAAGAGAATAAAATACCTAGGAATCCAACTTACAAGGGATGTGAAGGACCTCTTCAAGGAGAACTACAAACCACTGCTCAATGAAATAAAAGAGGATACAAAGAAATGCAGGAACATTCCATGCTCATGGGTAGGAAGAATCAATATCGTGAAAATGGCCATACTGCCCAAGGTAATTTATAGATTCAATGCCATCCCCATCAAGCTACCAATGACTTTCTTCACAGAATTGGAAAAAACTACTTTAAAGTTCATATGAACCAAAAAAGAGCCCGCATCACCAAGTCAATCCTAAGCCAAAAGAACAAAGCTGGAGGCATCATGCTACCTGACTTCAAACTATACTACAAGGCTACAGTAACCAAAACAGCATGGTACTGGTACAAAAACAGAGATATAGATCAATGGAACAGAACAGAGCCCTCAGATATAATGCCGCATATCTACAACTATCTGACCTTTGACAAACCTCACAAAAACAAGCAATGGGGAAAGGATTCCCTATTTAATAAATGGTGCTGGGAAAACTGGCTAGCCATAGGTAGAAAGCTGAAACTGGATCCCTTCCTTACACCTTATACAAAAATTAATTCAAGATGGATTAAGGACTTAAACGTTAGACCTAAAACCATAAAAACCCTAGAAGAAAACCTAGGCATTACCATTCAGGACATAGGCATGGGCAAGGACTTCATGTCTAAAACACCAAAAGCAATGGCAACAAAAGCCAAAATTGACAACTGTGATCTAATTAACTAAAGACCTTCTGCACAGCAAAAGAAACTACCATCAGAGTGAACAGGCAACCTACAGAATGGGAGAAAATTTTTGCAATCTACTCATCTGACAAAGGGCTAATATCCAGAATCTACAATGAACTCAAACAAATTTACAAGAAAAAAACAAACAACCCCATCAAAACGTGAGCGAAGGACATGAACAGACACTTCTCAAAAGAAGACATTTATGCAGCCAAAAAACACATGAAAAAATGCTCACCATCACTGGCCATCAGAGAAATGCAAATCAAAACCACAATGAGATACCATCTCACACCAGTTAGAATGGCAATCATTAAAAAGTCAGGAAACAACAGGTGCTGGAGAGGATGTGGAGAAATAGGAACACTTTTACACTGTTGGTGGGACTGTAAACTAGTTCAACCATGTGGAAGTCAGTGTGGCGATTCCTCAGGGATCTATAACTAGATATACCATTTGACCCAGCCATCCCATTACTGGGTATATACCCAAAGGACTGTAAATCATGCTGCTATAAAGACACATGCACACGTATGTTTATTGCGGCATTATTCACAATAGCAAAGACTTGGAACCAACCCAAATGTCCAACAATGATAGACTGGATTAAGAAAATGTGGCACATATACACCATGGAATACTATGCAGCCATAAAAAAGGATGAGTTCATGTCCTTTGTAGGGACATGGATGAAATTGGAAATCATCATTCTCAGTAAACTATCGCAAGGACAAAAAAGCAAACACTGCGTGTTCTCACTCATAGGTTGGAATTGAACAATGAGAACTCATGGACACAGGAAGGGGAACATCACACTCTGGGGACTGTCGTGGGGTGGGGGGAGAGGGGAGGGATAGCATTAGGAGATATACCTAATGCTAAATGACGAGTTAATGGGTGCAGCACATCAGCATGGCACATGTATACATATGTAACTAACCTGCACATTGTGCATATGTACCCTAAAACTTAAAGTATAATAATAATAATAAAAATAAATAAATAAATAAATAAATAAATAAATAAACTTTTTGTAGAAATGAGGTCTTGCTATGTTGCCCTGGCTGGCCTCAAGTGATGACCTTCCCACCTCAGCTTCCCAAAGTACTGGGATTACAGGGATGAGCCACCATGCCCGCTACACCATAAAAACATTTTCAGGGCTGGGTGCAGTGGCTCACGCCTGTAATCCCAGCACTTTGGGAGGCTGAGGAAGGCGGATCACGAGGTCAGGAGTTCAAAACCAGCCTGACCAACATGGGGAAACCCCGTCTCTACTAAAAATACAAAAATTAGCTGGGTGTGGTGGTGGGCACCTGTAATCCTAGCTACTCAGGAGGCTGAGGCAGGAGAATCATTTGAACCCAAGAGGCGGAGGTTGCAGTGGGCTGAGATCGTGCCACTGCATTCCAGCCTGGGCGACAGAGTGAGACGGTGTCTCAAAAAAAAAAAAAAAAGTTTCAAAATTCACTCTGACCACCAGTTTTTCAAGCCTGCACAAGTGACACTGAGCACATTCACAGTCTCCAGCACACCCATGTTCCCCTTTGGATGTTTTTACCCCTTTCTCTCACCCAAGAAAAAATGAGACTCCATTGACTTCAGGCCCACATGGTCAGGAATGAGTCAATGTCAAACCACATCACAGTTCCAACTGGCACAGAGATGACTGTACGCAGACTACAAAGTACTTCCATCTACATTATCTCATTTGAGCCCTGTACTTGCTCTCCCAGGGGTAAGAAAAATAAATATTTAATAAGCCATATGCCAAACACTGTGCTGGGTAAACACGGATTTTAATTTGTTTAATCCTCACAAGAACCCACAAGGCTGGTGTTCAAATCCCTCTTATTACAGATGAGGAAACTGAGACTCAGAGAGGTGACAGATCTGGCCCGGGGTTGCATGGCTAGTTGTGGTCAAGTTAAGATTCACAGCTAAATCATCAGGCTCCAAAGTCCATGCCTGCTTCACTGTGCACTACAAGAGCAGCAGATTATGACATGTCTTTCTGCATAGCCACCAGGCAGGCTTACTCAGGTGCAGTCTTGTTCAGGCCCTTTGGGGCTTCCTCTAGAACTTAGGTGTAGATGCCAAGAGTCATTTGGTGAGGAGATCAGCAACCTTGGATGAGTTGCATACTACGTTTCCACCTCCCATTTTTCTGGCCTGGAAATAGGTTAAAGTGCTAGTCTCATAACAGAATGCTGAACTTTGTGAGCAAGAAGAATGCACGTCTCCATGGCAGGGGAGAGGTGAAGGAGTCTGCTGTTACTTTTTGCCCAAATGCTGTAGGTTTCTGAGCACTTGTATACTTAAACCATTTCATTGTTCCCATCGAGTGTCTTTGTTACAAGGAACTATTTCAAATTTCTAAACAAATTGTATACAAATAAAACACTATTTGTATATTTTATAGATAAAAGAATTGCATTTAGTTTTGGAGAAAAAAAGGCATCTGCTCCTTTAAAAAAATAAGTTTGAGGCTGGGCAAGGCGGCTCACACCTGTAATCCCAGCAATTTGGGAGGCTGAGGTGGGTGGATAACCTGAGGTCAGGAGTTTGAGACCAGCCTGTGCAACATGGTTAAACCCCATCTCTACTAAAAATACAAAAATTAGCCAGGCGTGGTGGTGGATGGTTGTAATCCCAGCTGCTCAAGAGGCTGAGGCAGGAGAATCACTTGAACCCAGGAGGCAGAGGTTGCAGTGAGCTGAGATTGCACCATTGCACTACAGCCTGGGTGAGAAGAGCAAAATTCTGACTCAAAAAATAAAAATAAATAAAAATAAATTTGAAAACATGGTCCAGAGAAATAGAACCTTCAAAAGCACCTCTCAAAATACTTTTCATGTGCTGAAACCTTGAATAAGTATATTAGTTTGCAAGGGCTGCCATAACAAATAGCACAGACTAGATGGCTTAAACAACAGAAATGTACTGAGTGTTGTCAATTTATGATTGGAGAGTCACGGTCTGAGATCAAGGTGTTGGCAGCAGGTGGGCTTTTCTGAGACTTCTCTCCTTGGCTTGTAGATGGGTGTCTTCTCCCTGTGTCTTCCCACGGTTTCTCTTCCGTGTGCATCTGTGTTCAAATGTTCTCTTCTTATAAGGTGAGTTGTATTGGATTAGAATCCACCCTAAAGGCCTCCTTTTAACTTAATTATCACTTGAAAGACCCTGTCTCCAAATGCAGTCACATTATGAGATACTGGGGGTTAGGACTTCAACATATGAATTTTAGGGGACAGAATTCAGTCCTTACAATAAGTATTGGGCAGCCCTCATCTGGTGCTTAAAGCTGCCAGCCACTACCTAAGAATGGGATATTCTCTGCAACCAGTTAAGAGAAATAGGATTCCAAACAGACAATTAACTGAGCTGGACACAAGACTAACAACTCCTTATAAAAATCAAAGGGTTAGACAAGGACAAGGGCCTGAATACAAAGCTGCCCAGCGCCTGTTTGGATGCAAGTGAAGGACAATCCCAGGCAGTGCAAGGTCCTTCACTGTGCAAATTTTTCTGTAACTCATGTATATTTCTGCTCATATCTGAAAATAATTATAAAAATAAATATTTCTAAAATTGCAGCTAATAGCATTTTCCAAAGATGACCACAATGATGTATTCCATCCTACATGGCTTTACTTACAACATGATTTTAACCCTCCTCCCATTGAGAGGCAGGGTCTATATTCCCTCCCCTTGAATCTCTGTAAGCTTATAACTATGGGGAAAGTGATATAATGTGACCTCAGGTGAGGGCATAGAAAGCAATTCCACTTCCACTTGATTCTTTTAGGACACATGCTTTTGAAGAGTTGCACCCTCATGTAGCAGTTTGACTTCCCTGAGGCTACTAGTCCATGTACAAATTACAGGGAAGGACCCTAAGACTTCAAGAAGAAAGAGAGCAAGCCCACCAGCCCCCATTGCATTGGCTTCAGCCACATGTAACTGCAATGACTTATAAGACCCAGAGCCAAAACCACCCAGCCAGGCATCCCCCAAATTGCTGACCCACAGAATCTATGAGCATAATAAAATAATTGTTGTTGTTTTAAGCCACAAAGTTTTGGGGTAAATTGTTGCACAGCAATAAATAACTCGAATGAAAATATTCTGATTAAGTCTTTCTGATGCTAATTTGACTTTGCTTCTTCCAAAAATTAGTCCAAATGAGTAAAATGATCATTTCCTCTTGGCATGTCTATAGATTTTCTACTTGGCATCTTCTCCATCTGCAAATGACAATATGCCTTTGGTTTTCTGGTATTCCATGGAAGCTACATGTGTCAAGAAGTCAATACTGCATGAGTTCCGCAAATAAACCATCCCACTCACCATCACTGTTCATGCATTTCCTACAACAGCCTATATCTAGTTCATCCATGTCCGCTTCTATCTTTTCTCTCCCAGGTTTCTGCAGCAATCATACTCTCATTTCTTTCTAGGGGCTCTAACTTCTGCTTCTCTGCTTGTAGGCCTATGTCCTTCTCTTCTGTTAATGACATTGGGCTTTTCCCCCTCTTTATGCACCTGCAGTCAAGGTGGGAAACAAAAAGATTCGAAACTATTTTGACTCAGACCTAGGAACTTGTAATGTCACCATAAGATGAGATTCCTGTCTCCAGCCAAATCTCACCTTGAATTGTAATAATCCCTATGTGTCAACGGAGGAGCCAGGTAGAGATAATTGAATTATAGGGGTGGTTTCCCCCATACTGTTCTCATGGTAGTGAATAAGTCTCACAAGATCTGATGGTTCTATAAATGGAAGATCCCCCGCACAAGCTCTCTTGCCTGCTACCATGTAAGACATGCCTTTGCTTCTCCTTTACCTTCTGCCATGATTGTAAGGCCTCCCCAGCCAGGTGGAATTGTGAGTCCATTAAGCCTCTTTTATATATATATAAATTACCCAGTCTCAGATATGTCTTTATTAACAGTGTGAGAACAGACTACAACCTGACCCTGACAATCCTTGTGCTTCCCTCATCTTGCCTCTTCTATTTCCCCACTCTGCCTCTGATTAGAGAGAGGAATGCTTCTGGGGTAACTGCTAATTGAAAGTAGGTTAGTCTCTTCCACATAGCGAGAGCTAATCACCCATGATCCACAATTCCAGGAGCATGAACATGTATCTCCCTCACCAGCCTGATGCCTGAAATTCAAATGCAAGAGATTCATTCCTTGAAATTAGATATTGGCTCTAAAGATTCTTTTAAAGTGGGAGGTGGCCAGAATGAGATGATTGCTATAGTCAGGTTTAACAATCAACTGAAATACCCCAGAATCTGAAAAGGTTACCTCTAAGAAGGAAAACTAGTAAGTGAATTCTATCAACATGCAAAATTAATCAACATATATTGAATCATACTAGCTGCTTTGGTAAACATCTTATCCTAGAGTTTTAATAGTGTTCTAAAAAGTTGTCTATAAAGGTGCACCCGAGGCTGGGCACAATGGCTCCTGACTGTAATCCCAGCAATTTGGGAGGCCAGGGAAGGTGGATAACTTGAGGCCAGGTGTTTGAGATCAGCCTGGGGAACACAGAGAAACCCCATCTCTACTAAAAAACAGAAAAATTAGCAGGGTGCTGTGGCGCGCACCTGTAGTCCCAGCTACTCGGGAGGCTGAGGCACAAGAATCGCTTGAGCCTGGGAGATGGAGGTTGCAGTGAACCGAGATCACGCCACTGCCCTCCAGCCTGGGCGACAGAGTGAGACGTCTCAAAAAAAAAAGAAAAAAGAGAAAAGTGTGGCTGAAGAAACACAAGAATACCTAATGATAAATGAGGCAATTGAGAGGTCATTTCAAATAAGGTAGAAGACGATCGTGACTTTTTCTATGAAAGCTGAAACCTCATCAGTGAATTATAGAGTTATGCATTACATAATGACATTTTGGTCAATGATGGACCACATATACCACAGTAGTCCAATAAAATTATAATACTGTATTTTTATTGTACCTTTTCTATGTTTAGATACACAAATATTCACCATTATGGTCAGTTGCCTACGGTATTCAGTGAAGTCACATGCTGTACAGGTTTGTAGTCTAGGAGCAATAGGCTGGACCTTATAGCCTAAGTGTGTAGCAGGCTACGCCATCTAGGTTTACGTAAGTATGCTCTACGATGCTCGCAGAATGAAGAGATTGCCTAACAATGCATTTCTCAGAACGTATCCCCATCACTAGGTGATGCATTACAATACTCTTTATTGGCATCACCAAATTTAATATGTCACTTAACAATCCTGATGGTCTATGACTTTTGTTAACCTATTATTTTGCCAAGGCCTGAATTTGAACTAGACCCACAGTGAGATCAGTCTGTGACTCTGAGTCTTTGACTAAAGAAGAAGACTAATCAAGCACCCAGCATCCATCTATCAACCAGGCTCCACTGTACTCACTCACCGTCACACCGAAATTCATCCTTACCAAGAGGCTAAAGACTTGCTTAAAATTTTAAGCTGTTCTTCACCACATTTTATGGGGAAAATTATATACAATAATGACATGTACAGATTTCATGATCACTGACATCTTGAGTACATTCCTCTCAAGATTATGTAACTTTAATGTAATTTACATGAAGGACAAATAGTTCTAAAAGAAAAGATAGCTGCATGAAGCAGATGAAAGGGAGGCCCAGAATCCTCCTGGTTAAGATTTGGGCTTGAGGCTAGACAGCCTTGGATCTAGCCTGGTTCTACCACTTAGGAAGAGTGAAAGACACTGGCTGTGGTCATCAACAAGATGCCCCAAGTGATGAAGCAGGGAGAATTTGCCAGGCTTCCAATGGGCTGGAAAAAATCTCTCTCAAGCCTATCATCCTCAGCTGTGACTCCACACTCACCATCTAACTTGCACTAACTAATGTTGATCTCCAGGAACTCTGATGCTGGCCAAAGTGAATAGAGAAGCAAGAATGCTGGGCTTAAGAAAAAAGGGCAACCCTCACTTCTAGCTTCAGGTTTTTACTTCCATCTCTAGTTAGTTTAGTTATTGTGAGTCTCTGAGAATCTGCTCAGCTCTGGCTGCACTGATGGAATCAAGTGCCCGGGTTTTTTTTTAATTTGACCAGAACATGAGCCAAAGACATGATGATCATAGTAAGTGCTCCCCTGTGAAACTATCCTGCGTGAAGGCTGGCTGCCCTCATGCTCAAGTACACCATGGCCTCTATAAGATCTGTTCTGAACTGAATTATGTCCAGCGTCCCTGCAAAATTCTTCTGTTGAAGTCCTAATCCCCAATGTGACTAAATTTGGAGATAGAATCTTTAAAAAGGTTATTAAGGTTCAATGAGGTTATAGGTGGGACTGGTATCCTCATAAGAAGAGACCCCAGAAGTGCATGTGCACAGGGAAAAGCCATGCAAGGACATAGGAATAAGGCAGCCGTCTACGAGTCAGAAAGAGAGCCCTCACCAGAAACCACCCTTGCCAGCACTTTGATCTTGGACTTCCAGCCCTTAGACTTGTGAGAAAATACAATTCTTGTTGCTTAAGCCACCAAATCTCCAGAATTTTATTATGGCAGCCCTTGCAGGCTAATACATTATGTCTTCACATTTTCTAACTCTAGTTATTTTTCAGTTATGCTGTTTAAAATGCAAATAAACCATTATCAGTCATGAGTAACTTTTTATGCATCGGTCTGTCTAAACTTTTCCAGTGGTGGTGGTGTTCAGAACAGATTTTGTTTGGGTAAAGGAAGAGGGAAGGTGGGTATGAGAGAGAGCCAAAACACAGAATAAGCTAAGGAAACCTGATCAGGCACAGGTGGCAGGTGGGGAAGAAGCAGGTGGAACATCAAAGTCAGTGCAAGGGCTCTGGGTGCTGGGAAAGTCATATTAAGCTAACGTTTATTGAGCTCTAAGTGCCAGGCACAAAGCTCATGTGTTATCTATTTATTCCTTTCTAACAGGCTATTATAGGCAGTATAATATCCTCACTTGACAGATGGGCAAACTAAGGCACAGAGAAATTAAATAGTTTTAGAATCAGAACTTGACCCAAAGCTGTCTGTCTTTAGAGCCTAAATCTTTTTTGTTGTTGTTAACAGCTTTATAGGAATATGATTTTATGCCATCAAAATCACCTGTTTTAACTGTACAGTCCAATGATTTTTTAGTAAATTTACAGAGTTGTGTAACCATCACCATAATCCAATTTAAGAAAATATTTATCATCCCCAAAGATTCCCTATGCATGGCTCAAATCTGAATCACTAAACCACACTGTCTCCTACACCACAGCAGAAGACACCACAATGTGGAAGACTTTGATAAAAAGCAACTAGGCGTTCTTTTTCTTTTTTTTTTTTTTAAGAGACAGTGTCTCTCACTCTATCACCCAGACTGGAGAGCAGTGGTGCTTTCATGGCTTACGGTAGCCTCCAACTCCTGGGACTACAGGCACCTCCACCATGTCCAGCTAATTTTTGTTTTTCTGGGTCTTGCTATATTGCCCAGGCTGATCTTGAACTCCTGGCCTAAGCGATCCTCTCACCTCAGCCTCCTGAGTCTCTGGGATTACAGGCAACATATCCAATTACCCAGCAATTTCTCTTCTGGACAAATGTTCCAGGGATTCTCTCCCATCTTCATAGGAAATCACATACAGAAATATTCACTATGGCAAATCCATTGTAAAGCGGCACTTTGGAAGCAACTCAAATGTCTATCAATGTGAATGAACAAGGTGTAGTATATTTATGCAGCATGATATACTTAAACCACCAATGAAGTGAATAAACTATAAGAATCTATAGAAGTAAATCTCAAAAAACATAATATTAAGTAAAAAAAGGAAGTTGCCAAATAATATGTATAGTAAAACACCATTTACATCAAATGTTAAACCATCAACAGCTCAGGCTATCATAGGTCTATGTTTCAGTTCTACTCCTTTGGAAAAAAAAAATGTGAAGCAAATATGGCCTAAAGCTGAGATGTTGATAAGGCATAAAGTTAACATTCTATACTTCTCTTCATAATGACAATAGTATTTTAAGAAATAAAAGGAAAGTGTCTCTTAAAATTATAACAAAACAAAACAAAAAAACACACAAGTCAAACTTCTTTGAGTCCACTAGCTCATAACTGATTCTTTAAATGCTAAGAGTTGTTCTATACTGAGCAGGTGCCACACACAGTGTTGGGTACATTCAGTGTTTATTTCATTTCATCCACAGGCCAGCTCCTCTAGACTTCTGGGTTTTGGGGTACACTTTTACCTAAGACTGCACACTGCACACCTCTACCCCTGCTGCTGTTTAAACAAACTCATCCTCCTCCCCTATTCAATGGCCGAAGTGTCTGAGGAAGACAGACGATGTCTTTGTGTTTGAGCAACAGAAAACTAGAACTGTTGGTCTCATATAAAGCTAATTGAGTCTTTAGCCATTATTGAATATGGCAGGGGGGAAAAAACACACAACATTCACCCGGCCTTCTCAGAGGCCACCCTGGGAGGATGAACAATCTAGGAAACCTTAGACCAGACAGGATGGATTTAGACATCTTTATCTCTACGGTCTTTGCGATGGACTGTCTGTGTCCCCCCAAATTCATATTGAAACCCTAATCCCATGATGGAGGTATTAGGAGGTGGGGCCTTTGGGAGGTGATTAGTTCGTGAAGGTGGGGCCCTTAAAAAGAGACATCAGAGGCCGGGCACAGTGGCTCACGCCTGTAATCCCAGCACTTTAGGAGGCCAAGACAGGCGGATCACCTGAGGTCAGGAGTTCGAGACCATCCTGGCCAACATGGTGAAACCCCATCTGTACTAAAAATACAAAAATTAGCTGGACGTGGTGGCGGGTGCCTGTAGTCCCAGCTACTCAGGAGGCTGAGGCAGGAGAATCGCTTGAACCCGGGAGGCAGAGGTTGCAGTGAGCCGAGATCGCACCACTGCACTCCAGCCTGGGTGACAGAGTGAGACTTGGTCTCAAAAATAAATAAATAAAAAATAAAAATAAGAGACACCAGAGAGCTCACTTGCCCTCGTTCTGCCGTGTGGGGACATGGCAGGAAGTGGGCAGTCTGCAGCCTGGAAGCTGGCCCTCATCAGCGCCTGACCATGCTGGCACCCAGATCTCAGACTTCCAGCCTCCAGAACTGTAAGAAATAACTTTCTGTTGTTTATAAGCAATCCAGTCTATGGTACTTTGTTATAATAGCCAAACTAAGACAGTCTTCCATCTAGATAAAACATTTTTCATCCACACATTTTTTTACATCAACACATTCCCAAATTTTCCAAAGGAAAACTGTCTCTAACAATGCCCCCTTTACACAGCTGACACAAAATGTAGTATCCTTGTCTCCTTGTACCAAAATGCAAGACCTTATCTAACCCTTTGCTCCATACAGGCCGGGAATATGTAGACCACACCAAAACTTCTCGCTTTCCATCTATTCCCCATGTCTTCCCTCTCCCAGCCCTGTTCCCACCAGTGTTAACACCCTTCCAGCTTCTCTTCTCCCGGCCTTCCCCAACACTCACATGGTGCAATTCTTCCCAATCATCCCAAGAAGCTCAAATGTCCCTTCCTCCTCAAAGCCTTCCCCCCAAAATGTATTACTAAACTCTGGTTGCATTTTGCCTGGACAGCTCTTGTGAATCAAAACAGATTTTGCTATATATTATTGTTATTCATTTTATATTTTTTATAATTCCAATGACACTATGAAGAGAGATTGTGTCTTGTTAAGTCATTCTTATTGCCTAAAACAGAGCCTACAGTCGATGCTTAATAACCATTTGTTAAATGAATACATATTTTGATCTTGACCCATCAGCACTTCAGTCTGTTTCATTTTCACTTTAGTGGTTGGCATATGTTGACAAATTTGCTGTGTAGGGAGTCAAAATAAGTCTTTTGCTTTCCGGTGACCTAAATCAACCTGTTTATATAAATCAGAGGACCCATATGATTAAACAATTAATAGTCTCCTGACCAGTGGTTCTCAGCCCTGGTTGCATGTTATAACAACTTAGGGAGCTTTGAAAAAAAACACTGATACCCAGACCCCTTCTCTGATGCAGCCAATCTGGGATAAGGCCTGGGAATCTGGAATTCTGAAAGTTCTGCAGGGAATTCAGGGCTGAGACCAGAACCTTCATACCAGGGCTCTGCACAGCCCTTTGAACACACTGGGCCGAGGTTGGAGTACACCAGCTTTGAAAGGAAGCATGAACAATGTGGTAACCAAAGAGAATGTCAACCCTATTTGCATCAAAGCCCACAAACTGCTTAAGCACCACCTTCCCAGCAGTTTTTATTCAAACGATGGGTGAGCTTATTTGAAGCACATCTTATCTGTTAAAGCACTTACAGGAGACTCTTAAATGCATAGGCAACTTCAACTTTTCCACTTCCCCTTGTCCTGTCAGCAGTTACTGCATGAATTTGAAAACATAAAACTCCTTTCCTCATATTAAAAAAAAAATTCTATAAACTGTGTATCTACTAAAAGAATATGAGTACTGGACCATGTAGCAATAAGCAAATACAGATACAAAATCATGTCCAGTGAAAAGAGCAGAATATAAAACAGTACTAAATGTGACCACATACAAAGTGACATAAATATTGGGTTCTTTTTAATGGAATATTTTTCAGCAATAAGTCGCAACATAAAATGGAGGTTCAAAATTATTTTTAAAGTGCTACAAAACTCAGATATATTCTATAAGGTTAATTTGTCACCTAATTATGACATATGATCATCGGTGTTTTTACAATATTCTCCAGACAATAGCTGCTCTGTGTTTCTGTCTTAGATGAGTTTCTTCCTCAATTGTTCCATTTAGGCATCTCCTGACTGTAGGTCCTCTAGGTTTTCATTCTATGATTGTTTTTTATTGTCCCCTTGAAAGTTCCCCTTCTCCCTTTAGTGACATCATGTAATTGGCCAACCCTGGAACTACATTCTTGCTGATCTGTCAGCTGTGGGAGTTAATTCCTTGCAAACTGAGCAATTTTGTCAGCTCACCACGGTGAGGTGACACAGACTTTGCCTTAAGAATAAGCTATTTAAGCTTGAACAAAATTTGGTTTTTCTTTTGTCTTTGAAGGAAACAAAATGGCAACCTGCACTGTTTATAAAATGTATCTTTTTAGAAAAGTAGGTATCAATCGAGTTGCATTTTAAAATCTTTAAGCAGCCTAGCTGGGAACGCTAAGATTATTTCACTGGTAAGGGAATACATCTTTCCTGACTAAAATAACTGCCCTTAATTAACATTTAAGGAATTGTTTGTTTGTTTGTTTGTTTTTCAGACAGGGTCTCGCTCTGTGGCCCAGGCTGGAATGTAGTGGCACAATCAGAGATCACTGCAGCCTCAAACTCTTGGGCTCAAGAGATCCTCCCACCTCAGCCTCCAGAGTAGCTAAGACCACAGGTACACACCACCATGCCTAGCTAATTAAAAAAAAAAAAAAAACTGTAGAGACGGGGTCTCCTTTTGTTGCCCAGGCTGGTCTCAAACTCTAATAAATGTTATTTTTATTTATTTTATCTTTAAACTGGCCTGTAAATTAAGAATAATGTTCTCAAATGGTCAGTTAAGTGGATTCATAAATCTAGTTCCATTCAAGTAGAAAATGTCAGTGTTTCCAAGTTGACCTTAACATGAGGCCTCTTCAAAGAAGTCAGACAGCAATAGAAATGTCAAGTTTTCTTCATTCTTTCCTTTGCCAATGTGGAAGTCATGGTCAACATTCTGATGGCTACACAGGATTCATGAAAGGATGTCCAGATGCTCTTGTTTGAGTCCTAGAGAGTTCCCTCAACTTCCAGAGCTGCTGTGCACCTGGTAAGACTGGGTGAATTAAGCGTCTACCTCACACGTTTGTGATTAGATCAGTGGCTATTGGTGTGCTGTCATCATTGTTAATGATGTGAATTCATTCATTCAAAGAGCATAGAATGAACAGTTACCATGTGCAAGGCTCATAAAGACTATTGAGTTGGAGTTCCTCTCCCTAAAAGGTGCACAAATTGCTGGGGGCAAAAGATGAGGAATACATTTGGAGGCTTCAGGAATTTAGTCACTCATTCTGCGCATTTTGAGACAAGTATTCTGCTGGTTGTTAAAGACAAATTAATAAATGACATAGGCATGCTCCCTGCTCTTCTGGAACTTGAAGTCTATCAAAAGAAACGAGTATCGCCAGGCACAGTGGCTCACATCTGTAATTCCAGCACTTAGGGTGACAGCAGCAGGAGGACTGCTTGAGCCCAGGAGTTCAAGACCTGCCTGGGAAACAGAGTGAGACCCAGTTCTCCACAAAAAGTTAAAAAAAGAAACAAGTAGCAAAGTACCAATTACATAACTAACAAAATAATTGTGATTAGCAACAGGGAGAAAGGCTTAATTTTCCCAGATTTTTGTGTAAGAAAAGGCTATGCAACTGGCCCAACCATTCTTTCCAAAACTCATATTCTGTTTTTTACATGTAGTGGCTAATTATAAGAGACTACACAGGATCCAGATTAAGAGATGCATACAGCACAGTGTGGGGAAAGGGGCATGGAGCTTCCACACCCTCCCCAGCAGGCCATCCTCCAGGAATCTCACATGTCCAGCTATCCAGAAGCCCCCAAACACTGTCCTCTTGAACCTCTGTTCAAGATTCCTGCTATCACTACAAACTTCCTCTCCCTTAAAATCCCAGCCCAGGGATGGATAAAATCTCTAATTTTTTTCCATCTTAGCAGAACAGATTATTTTCAAAAATTCACTGTGAACTAAAGTGGATGAGAGGAAGAATATTTACCAAAATTGATTTGCAAATGCATTTTAAAAGCAAGCTTCTATAGTACAGGTTTCTGATCTTAAAAATTCCCACACATCAGGGGAAAAAATTAGAAAGTTGTTTAATAGAATCTGGAGGAAAGTAAAGTTGGATTCTTACCTGACACCTTGGAACAAAATAAATTCCACGTATATGAAGTTTTCAAGCATAAAAAAATCATAAAAATATGTGAAAAAAACATGAAAAATTTTATTACAACCTTGAAACAAAAAGGGCCTTTCTGAAGCATGTATGAAACAACACAGAAGCCATAAAGACTAGACTGATAAATTTGACAACAACAAAATGAAACCCGTCTAGTGAAAAACAAAATTACTATAATCCAGTATCAAAACACAATGACAAAGTGGAAAATAATATTTGCATCTCATATTACAGAAATCAGGCTTGTTTATTTAATATAGAGAGACTCTACAAATGAAAATGCTAACAACTCAATAGAAAAATGGACAAAGAATATCATCACCATTTACAGTAAAGGAAATATGCAAGGCTTATTAATAGAGCAAAATGTGACTGAGCTCTCTTATAAAAAGAGAAATACAGAGAGAGAGAGATGTCAAGTAACATTAAACCATTTTTGTCTCTCAATTTGGCAAAGATCAAAGTGTCAGGTCATGTACTACAGTTGACAGAAGTGTTGCAGAACAGGCACTCTCATTCATAAGACAGTGTGCACTGTTAGCAAGAATGTAAAATGGTATAGCCACTGTGGAAAACAATATGGCAGCTCCTTAAAAAATTAAAAATAGAATTACTGTATAATCCAGCAATTCCACTTCTGAGTATACACTCAAAAGGTTTAAAAGCAGAATCTCATTTCCACACCTATGTTTATGGCAGCATTATTCACAATAGTCAAGAGGTGGAAGTAACCCAAATGTTGCTTAACAACAGATAAATGGTAAACAGAATGTGGTATATCCACACAATGGAATATTATTCAGCCTTAAAAAGAAAGGAAATTCTGACACATGTTACAGCATAGATGAACCTTGAGGACATTATGAAATAAGCCAGTCACAAAAGGAAAAATATTGTATAATTCCACTTATATGAAGTATCTAGAGTGGTCAAATTCACAGAGACAGAAAGTAGAATGTTTGTTGCCAGGGGCATGGAGGGAAAGGAAATGGGGAATTGTTGTTTAGTGGGTATAGAGTTTCAATTTCGCAAGACACCAAAGTTTTAAAGATTGCACAATGTGAATACACTTAAAGCTACTGAACTGTACAATTAAAATGATTAAGGTGGTGAATTGTAGATTATGCATTTTTTACCTCAATAAAAAAATTAATGTTTTAAAAGAGTAGGGGCTGGGTGGCTGAGTGCAGTGGCTCATGTCTGTAATCCCAACACTTTGGGAGGTTGAGGCGGGTGGATCACCTGAGGTCAGGAGTTTGAGACCAGCCTGGCCAACATGGTGAAACCCCATCTCTAGTAAATATACAAAAAAATTAGCCAGGTGTGGTGACAGGCTCCTGTGATCCCAGCTACTTGGGAGACTAGGGCAGGAGAATTGCTTGAATTCAGGAGGCGGAGGTTGCAGTGAGCCAAGATCGTGCCATTGCACTCCAGCCTGGGTGACAGAGCAAGACTCTGTCTCAGAAAAAAAAAAAAAAAAGAGTAGGAATGTAAATTGATAAAATTCTGATGAACAAAAATTTAGCAAATACCTCTTCATAGATATATAACATAGATATCTATTTACAAATATATAGTATGTGCAAAATTTTAAACTAGCATACTTTGGACTCAGTAATTCCACTTATGGAAATTTAAACTACAAATATACCACATATGTACAAAATTAGATATCTAAGTAGATACTCACTGCAACATGGTTTAAAACAGCAAAAGACTGGAAACCACTTAAGAAAGCCATCCATGGGGCCCGTAAATAATAAATTTAAAGAATTTATTTAGATAATATGCTTTTGAAACCATTCCAATATAACTTACATAAATTGTGATACATTCATAAAATGCTAAAAAAAAAGGCAACTCTATATGAATTTTCATCAAATGATCCTAATTATACTGTTAAAGGGAAAAAAGCAAGGACAAGTATGTGTTTACAGAACGCTACAGCATGTGGAGGAAAATGAACGTACGTTTATAACTTTGTATATGCACATGGCTATCAAAATAGAGGAAACTGATAACTGAATGCCTGGAGTCCAGGGGTGAGAGGAAGATATACTTTTCATTACATATTTTTTGTGCCACTGTAACTTTGTAACATGTATTTTGTATTTGCATCATAACAAAACCACTGGGCCCCCAAATATTCTAATCTTAAGAAAATCGTTGCTGTCAAAAGTAGTTGTTTTGCCTGCCTTCCTTCCCTCTCAGCTTCCCACTGATCTTTCAGCCCCATCTCTCACAGATACAATCTTCTTCTTTTTTTTTTTTTTTTTTTTTTTTTGAGTTGGAGTTTTGCTCTTGTTGCCCAGGCTGGAGTGCAATGGTGCAATTTCGGCTCACCGCAACCACCACCTCCCGGGTTCAAGCAATTCTCCTGCCTCAGCCTCCCAAGTAGCTGGGATTACAGGCATGTGCCACCATGCCTAGCTAATTTTTCGTATTTAGTAGAGACGGAGTTTCACCATGTTGGTCAGGCTGGTCTCAAACTCCTGACCTCAGGTGATCCACTGGCCTCGGCCTCCCAAAGTTCTGGCATTACAGGCATGAGCCACTGCGCCCAGCTGCAATCTTGTCTTACCAAGTCTCAGCAGTTTACCCACCCACTTTGTTTGTCTCCTAAACAAGTACATCCTTTTCAATAGCAATTGACTTAAATTCAGCACACAATAATAAGGGGTCATGTGGCCTTTCAGTTTAACAATATTATGTAATAATACCTTACCTATGTACAATAGGATAAAAGGAATATACATTCAGTTATAGATGTGTGTGATTAAAAAAACTGTATGTTTTTAACACTTTCACAAGAAACTGTAGTATATATTTTAATTGCTTTCCAATTAAAGCAGTTGAAATTGGTGCAGGATCAATATTTATTTGAATGCCACATAATGTGAGACGGGACTATGGGGGAGCCAGGTTTTATATGGGCTATATACGCATAACCATTACATTCTCTGATACACTCATAACATCATGAAAGGGCATTGTTAATAGCTAGACGAAGTTGGGCGCAGTGGCTCATGCCCGCAATCCCAGAACTTTGGGAAGCTGAGGCAGGCGGACTGCTTGAGGTCAGGAGTTCGAGATCAGCCTGGCCAATATGGTGAAACCCCATCTCTACTAAAAATACAAAAATTAGCTGGGCGTGGTGGCAGGTGCCTGTAAATCCAGCTTCTCAGGAGGCTGAGGCACGAAAATCACTTGAACCTAGGAGGCGGAGGTTGCAGTGAGCTGTGAGCTGAGATTGAGATCATGCCACTGCACTCCAGCCTGGGTGACAGAGCGAGACTCTGCCTCAAAAAGAAAAAAAAAAAAAGTTTTAAAAAAAGTAGCTAGATGACTTGTTATCAATTCAAACTCTTTCCCATCAAATAATCAATCAATATGTTAATTTATATTTTAAATTAATAGGACGAGAAATAGAGGATTAAGTATAATATTCAAAATTATACTTATAGAGACCAAAAGGTCAACACTGGTTAGAAGGAATTAGTAAAAATGAGGTAAATTCTCAACTTTCACAAAGCAGAGTCAACATATATTATCTAATTATAAATCAAGAAATAGCTGTGTAAACAGACTGTCTAGATAGAGTTACAGAGAGAACCACCGATAGAACTAAAGTCTGAAACTGTTTTTTGTTTGTTCTTGAGAGTCTCACTCTGTCACCCAGGCTGGAGTGCAGTGGCAATCATGGCTCTCTGCAGCCTTAACCTCCTGGGGTCAAGTGATCCGCCCACCTCAGGCTCCCTGAGTGCCAGGATTATAGAGACAAGCCACCACGCCCTGCTAATTTTCTGTGTGTGTATTTTTGGTAGAGACAGGGTCCTGCCATTGTTGCCCAGGCTGGTCTTGAACTTCTGAGCTCAAGAGATCTGCCCACCTCAGCCTCCCAGAGTGCTGGGATTACAGGCGTGAGCCACCACACCCAGCCTAAAGTCTGAAACTGTTGATGAGAAGTAGAGCAGGAGACTGTTGCTTTCTAGCATAAGCTCTTCTTTATTATTAAATGTATTATCACATGCATGTTTCTGATACATTTTTTGAAGCAGTCAACAATTTTCTATTGACAAAGAGTATATTACAAGCCTGCAACTGGGCCAAGCACAATAAGGATACCCCCAAAATCGATAAATAGATAACATTAATTTAAAATTTTAAAATTGGAAACAGGAATTCGATCCTCAAGGAGTTCATGCTCTCATAGGAACATTTGAAATACATGTGAACACACTCATGCATGAATGTATATATACATGTATATGCATATGTGTGTATTCATGAAGAAGTGTGTGTGTGTGTGTGTGTGTGTGTGTGTGTTTCTGTATATGCAAATGAAAATGGAATGTTGTTTAGGGGACGAGGAGACCGGCAGTGGGAGCATGCAGAACTTCATTGAACAGCTGGGCCTGAAGGTTCTGGATAGGAGAAGCGGGTGGAGGATGGTTATTCTAGGCAGGCAGTTGTGGTGCAAAGAAGGGCCTAGCAGGTTTGTGGGACAGTGAGGAGACAAACCTGACTAGAGTTGAGTTGGAGACTAGCAAATAAGATTGGCAGAGTGGCCTAGGGAGGGGGATAAGGAACCAGATTACAGAGATCCGTGACATCCAGACAGAGGACCTGAGGTTTGATGGAATAGGATATGGTGTTTTCAGATACTGGGCAATGGAGTGAGGTTGGTTTGACAATGTGGAGTGGAGGTTGCCACTGGTAGAGGAGAGGCTAGGTGCCGGGTAGAAGTAGGTATGGAGTGATGATGCGATCTAAGGAAGGGGGAAGAGAAACAAAGAGAGACACCCCTCTACTCTATGATCCTTGTAGTCAGTAGGCCCCAGATGGCAACTCAGCCTTCCCTATTTCTGTAGTGCTAAATGGCGGTGGTGGTCTGATGTCAGCAAAGAAATACCCCCACCCTTCCTATAGACAGACACCTCAGTGTCATCCAGGACAGAACTAAACAGCCACACATCACTTAATGATGGGAATATTTTCTGAGAAATGCATCCTCAGGCAATTTCGCAGTTGTAAGGACTTCAGAGTGTACTTACACAAACTTAGACTGTGTCGCCTACCACATACTTAGGCTACATAGTGTAGCCTATTGCTCCTAGGCTACAAGCCTGTACAGCGTGATACTGTGCTGAATACTGTAAGCAACTGTCACACAATAGTAAGTATCTGTGTGTCTAAACATATCCAAACATGGAAAAGCTACAGTAAAAATACAGTATTATAATCTATGGGACCACTCTGCCATATATGTAGTCCCTTATTGACAATTTCATTGTGCAGTGCATGTCTGTACTTGTAAAACAAAAAGGGGTCGGGATAGCTAAGGATTTGGTTAGATGATCAGTAGGTGATCCATTTGTATTTTATTTTATTTAGAGATGGGGTCACACTCTATCACCCAGACTGATCTTAGCTCACTGCAGTCTTGAACTCCTGGGGTCAAGTGATCTTCCCACCTAAGCCTCCCAAGTAACTGGGACTGCAGGCACACATCACCACGCCCCATTCTTTTTATTTTTCTTCTTCTTTGTAGACTTGGTGTTTCACTTTGTTTCCCAGGCTGGTCTTGTACTTCTGGCCTCAAGCCATCCTCCCTCATCGGCCTCCTAAAGTGCTGGGATTACAAGCATGAGTCACTGTGCTTGGCCAGATAACTGTTTTTGGATGTTAGTTAGATGCATGGAGAATACTAGCAGAGTTGAGAAGGCATAGGTTCAAACCCCAGCTCCGCCACTTACTAGTGTGCATCATTGGGAGCATTACTTCACCTCTCTGCATCGCAGTTCACTCATTCACAAAATGGTGGAAATCAAGACCTCCTCCAAGGAAGAGTGTGAACTTTGCATGAGAAAAGGTGAACGAACCAAACACCTCATAGGTGGCACTCAACACATTTTAGGTTCCCTTCTCTAGTGCCCATTGCTGTGTTTTGGTGGTCCAGCGTCCATTCCTGTCTACACACTGTCCTTGTGCTTTACTGCGTCTGGCTCCACCGCCAGCTCTAGGGCTGCTGTGTAACCCAGACCTAAGCAATCAGCACACTACATTCTCCTGGCTCAAGGTTAAGTACATGACCCAATTCAAACCCAGGAAAATTAGGCCCAAGATTTTTTTTTTGTTCAAACTGTTGGAAGAAAATAGGCTACTTTTGCAGCAGGCAGGAATCTGGAATGCCATTGGCCTGAAGGTACTGTCAGTCATCACACCACCACATTCAATTCAAGAATGAAGCTATCAGGGAGGCGAACAGAATGGAAAGATGCAAAAATCCATTTATTAATGACACACTGGATACAGCTATCCCCTGTAGGCAGAACTGCCCCTGGACTTCTATAATGCAGCCAATAAATTCCTTTTTTAAAGTAAGCTTCAGTTGGGTTTTTCTGGCACTTGCAACTCAATGAGCCTTAACTGATATATCTTCTTTCCCATCCACTGCCTTAGATCACTGCAATTTAAGTTCTCCATGGAAAAAGACAAGGAGTTTTTCTATATCCTCCGTCTTCCCAGCAATAGAGCAACACATAGAACAGCTTGCCAGATTGCTCTGACTTACCTTCTCAAATGAGCACCTCTAGATCACACTGGAAGCAAGTCCACCTAGAGTCAAAAATAACCACCTGCTTTTCTCTTTATCATGTTGGAAGGGGTAGGCATATTTCTCATGCTTTTCTCATCACGTTTCTTTGTTGCCTCTCTCCCACACTGGTTTCCCCATCAGGGAAGGTCCCCATATGGACAGACTGATTCTAGCATCGTCCTTTCCCTTTGCAGTCTTTTCGTACTGCCATCTATGGCCTCAGTTGCAACTGCCATACGTTTCCTCTCCTCCTCCATATTTCAGGGCCGGAAGACGCTTGTTAAACATTTGCTCCCAACACCTACCAGTGGATCTTCTTTTATTAAGGAGGGAGCTCTGTGTGGTGGTGAGATGGTTTAAGTCAACCTTGAATTTATAAATAGCTAACACTCCAATTGGTTGTGAGCCTGGCAGAACGGGTAACATATGCGTGCCCCCATTTGAGTGGGCCCAGCTTATGTTATGTTGAGCAATTTTTTTCTAGAAAGGAATAAAAATTAAATTATGACAAAATGCCTTAATTCCCTATTATTCATCTCAGGTTCCAATTTTTAATCAGACACTCCATTACTTTAATCCAAATCCCCATGATTTGAAGACAAATAGCAATTCTCCATTGAAAGGAGCTGCAAAACACACGTGTATGCCCTAAAATTTGTTACAATATATTAAAATTGTAGTTTGGGTTTGTGTTTCCCCTAAAACCCTGAAATAAAAACAAAATGACAACACATAAAGCAAAATGAGCCCTCAAGAACTGAAAAAATTTTAATCAAATTTATTTTCCCTTTACCTTCTTTAAAAATATTACAAATCCTTTTGAAAGTCCAGCCAAGCTTACTCTAATCTCTGATAATTAGGAACAGAAAGAGACTGAACAAATAAGATTCACCAATCCACCTCACCTTATCTGTTAATTTTAACCTCCTCTCTCTCTCTCTCTCTCTCACACACACACACACACACACACACACACACACACAAAATGTATAACTCCTAGAAGTAGCCAAATTGACTGACATTGGGTTTGTTTGCTTGTTTGTTTGTTGAGACACGGTCTCGCTCTGTCACCCAGGCTGAAATACAGTTGCGTGATCTCGGCTCACTGCAACCTCTGCCTCCCAGGTTGAAGCAATTCTCATGCCTCGGCCTCTGAGTAGCTGGGACTACAGGCAAGCGCCATCCCGCCCAGATGATTTTTTTGTATTTTTAGTAGAGATGGGGTTTCGCCATGTTGGCCAGGCTGGTCTCCAACTCCTGACCTCAAGTGATCCACCCGCCTTGGCCTCCCAAAGTGTGACTGATATTGTTTCCCCGCCTCTCTCCACTCCCAGCCCTTTCAGATCACACGGAAGCAATAGCATGAGAGAAGCAAAGAAAGAATGAAGGCTCTGTGGACACAGGCCTGGATAACTTGCTGAGTCTCCAAGCTGAAAAATTGATTCCCGGACAAATGACCTAGCTGAACGGAATATTGATAAACTCAAAGAATATACAAACAGACCTAAAGGAAGCCACCAGCAAGCCAAAAGCTTCTATGCCAACAGGAGGGAAATTCACCACTGAAAAGAGAAATTTCCTCTTTTTAATTTCTTTTAACAATTGCTCTACCTCATACTCGCAGAACCCTTTATACTTATCAAAGTGCTTTTATAACTACCTGAAAGTTAGCTATTCCTGTGATCATGAAATGCTCAATGCCCGGAGTACCCAGAGAGTTAGTGGCTACGCTGAGCCAAGTGCCTGACTGCACAAGACAGTTCCAGTGGATGCTCTCCATGATCCTGCTGTCCCTATAAAACATCAGCATTCTTTGCAGGGATTCTGTCTTGGGTGGTGTGCTCCAGCCATTCAAATATCTCTCTTTCACAACAATCCTCAAATTTGATGAGAATGACAAAACGGAGGAACAGCTCCTAGAGAGAACACTGGCTCCGGAGTCAGGGCACCCAGGTCAGTCACGGGGCTGCAGGGCTGGTGAGCATCCCCACCTTCTCTTTGCTTTTCTTTGCTCAACCTTAAAATCAGGATTCTACTCTCTCTTCACTAATCTCATTAGAATGAACTGAGGACAAAGGACACAACGTCAGGAAGCATTCCTAAGGCCATTCTTTGATGATTATTACATTTATGGTTTAGCACCTGCAGATTCAAACCAAAGTACAGTCTTTATATGCAAGAGCATAAAAATAAAGTTCAAACATAGGTTCACAGTATTACCACTAGTGAAAAAAAAACCCGTGGGTCCTTCAGTTCTCAAGACAAAGCCATATTTTTGGTTCATACATTTAAATGCTAAAATCTATCAATGTTCCAGCAGACAACATATCATCTAATTATTCTTAACCGGACTTATGTTTACTTCTGTTCTCATTACTAATCATTTGCTTAATTAAGGTTCTTACCTCAGAGGTTCTTAGAACAAATGCAAAATTTGTGAAATTGAGATAGATTCAGGAGCTATAATCACTCTTCAGTGTATATGGCCAAGTAAAAGACCAAGTAATGAAACAGATCCTCAAACAATTAGGCTTAAATGTAGTCATATGTTTTTAAAAAGTCGTTTGTACTGGGATGCAAATTGTGTGTATGCCAGGTTGTAAACTTTAGGGATATCCATTCTTTGACCATAGAAAAAAATTTAAAAAATTAAGATATCAAATCGAAGCTACTTTAAATTCATTTGAGAAATAGGCTATACATAAATGCATAGAATATACATAGTATATCAAAACTAATTCCCTCCTAGACTTGCCTATTTCTGTCAGTTCTTTATTTACAACTGTTTCTGACTCTGCAATCTGCTTATCTCTCCCTCGGCCCCCACCTCCAGGTTTTTGTGCCTTCACCTCTGTGGGTGTGCCATGGTGCCTAATAGCATGGATTCTGGAAACAAATTGCATGAATTCGGATTTCAGTTCTATTACGGTGTAACCTTGATCAAGTTACATAACCTTTCCTAGTCTCCATTTCTTGATCATCAGGTGGAGACAACAGCAGTATCTATCCTATAGGATCTTTGCAAATGAATGTAGTGTGCATTACAGTACCTGATACAGAGAAGGGATCCACAAACTACAATTGTGGTGGTTCATATTTGGACTCCTCCCTGGCCTTTGTCTCTTCAGTCTGTCTCTTCCAATCCCTATGGGGCATTTTTGCCAGACTCTCCCCCTTAAAAAATCGATGTGTGTTTTGTTTTGTTTGGTTTGGTGTTTGTTTGTTTTGAGATGGAGTCTCACTCTGTTGCCCAGGCTGGAGTGCAGTGGTGTGATCTCAGCTCACTGGAACTTCTTCCCCCTGGGGTTCAAGCAATTCTCCTGCCTCAGCCTTCTGAGTAGATGGGATTACAGGCACCCGCCACCACACCCAGCTAATCTTTGTATTTTTAGTAGAGATGAGGTTTCACCATGTTGGCCAGGCTGGTCTCGAACTCCTGACCTCAAATGATCTGCCTTCCTTGGCCTCCCAAAGTGCTGGGATTACAGGCGCGAGCCACATGTGCAGCCCAAAATCCATGTTTCTGAACCCACTGAGCAGTTGGCAGCAGAGACAAGAGTGCACATGAACCATCTCATCTCCCCAGAGACATAGGCAATGAATCATCAAGGACCTCAAGCTGCCAAAGAACACTGAAGCCTTGGCGGTCAAGGAAGAGCTGACCCCAGCCCTCTCAACCCCACGCTCACCTCTGCCCTGTGCTTTCCTGGCCCCAGCTCAGGTCCTTGGACCAGGGCTAACCCTCTTAATTGGCTTCCCAGCAATTGGCCTAGCCTATCACACCGCTGTATTAACTTGTTCTTAATAGAAACAAGCCCCTAAATAGTCATTTTAGAATTGGATTAGAAAACATGGGCCACTCTAATCAGAACTCTAAACCCAGGGCATATTACAACCCCTTCCTGCAGGGGATTTCTTTTATTTAACTCTATCTATGCTTCTAAAATAAGCCATTTCTCCCGAAAGACAGTATCATAGATCAAAAGAGCCAAATGCATGCTAGAGATCTCCTCTGGCCTTCTGTTTTTAGAGATGAGGTGACTTGTGCTACAATAAGTTCGTGATTCTCTTGCAGTCATGGTAACTGGGCCAGTTTATTAGTCCGTTTTCACACTGCTGATGAAGACATACCCAAGACTGGTTAATGGACTCACCATTCCACGTGGCTGGAGGTTAATGAGCTCATATAGTTAATGGACTCACAGAGGTTAACGGACTCACAGTTCCACATTGCTGGGGAGGCCTCACAATCATGGTGGAAGGTGAAAGGCGCATCTTACATGGTGGCAGGCAAGAGAGAGAATGACTATGAAGTGAAAAGGGTTTCCCCTTATAAAACCATCAGATCTCATGAGACTACCACGAGAACAGTATGGGGGAAACTGCCCCTGTGATTCAATTATCTCCCACCAGTTCCCTCCCACAACATGTGAAAATTATGGGAGCTACAATTCAAGATGAGATTTGGGTGGGGACATGGCCAAACCGTATCAGCCAGGAAAAGTCCATCTTGATTGTCGTACACACATAAACAGGTATTTTCCATGTTGGTTAAGCCCAGGAAGGGGTGTCTTATATGAAATTTTGCATTGCTTTTATTTTATTTTATTTTATTTAGAGACAAGATCTTGCTCTTTTGCCCGGCTGGAGTGCAGTAAAATGATCATAGAGCACTGCAGCGTTGACCTCCCAGGCTCAGGCATCACCTCAGCCTCCCAAGCAGCTGGGACCCCAGGCGCACATCACCATGCCTGGCTAATTTTTTTTTTCTTTTTTTTTTTTTTTTTAGAGATTTAGAGATAAGGTCTCCCTATGTTGCCCAGGCTGGTCGTAAACTCCTGGGCTCAAGTGATTCTCCCACCTCCGCTTCCCAAAGTGCTACGATTACAGGCATGAACCACCACACCTGGCCTCATTACTTTTATAGAACAGTAATTATAGACTGAAATTCCATGTGTATCTCTTAGTCCTCTCTTCTGTTTTGTTGTTGTTTTTAAATAGGCTTACAGGGTCTAGCAAAGATTCCAAAGATATACTCACTTGTTATTGTAGTATTTTTTCTATCATTGCTATTTTTTTATTCTTAAAGTTATAAGAATTATTTTGCCTTATAAATATACATATATATATTTTGACACAGAAAGATATTGACACTATAGTGCTGAGTGAAGAGTTTACAAAATAATTTATAGTTTGATCTCATATTCGTTTGTTTTTGCATATTACAAAATCTAGGAGATTAGTAATCAGAATTTCAACAGTAGTTATTTCTAGGAGGGTAAAGATTACTGGGCTTTTTTTCTTTTCTTCTAATAAGTTTACATTTGTTCAATTAGCTATATAATTAAATACATTTACTTATAATTTAAACTTTCAGTAAAGTTTAAAATATAAACTTTACTGAAAGCATGTTTATACCACTCGTTAATCTTGTTAATCTTTTATCTATTTTTTAATTGACAAAGAAAAAATTGTAAATATTTATGATCTACAACATGATGTTTTGATATATGTATACATTACATGATGATTAAATCAAGTTAATTAACATATCCATCACCTCACATACATATCACTTTTTGTAATGAGAACATTTAAAATCTACTCTCTGGGCAATTTTCAAGTATACAATACATTAATCTCTTTTTGAAGTCAGTTTGGAAGTGTGAGTTTCACCAACCACACAGAAGACCTCTGGAAGCCCAGTGATGTTAAAGTTAATAAAACCCTGTCGCTGAGAACAACACCTTATTTCCAGTTCCTTAAAATGGAACTTGGTAATGCATTTGTCTGACTTAATTACTTCATGCTTTCTGCCTGTAGGCAGTTACCTGCAATTCTTTTCTCTGAAGAAGCAAAATATTTTCTAACTATAATTGGCAGTGATTACTCACTCACCCTGCAAGCTTTGGCCTCCCCTACTCTCTGCTGCTGCACTTGGCCCCAGCAGAATTGATCACTCTCCTGTAGCCCTGGCTTCAAAACTCTAGTGACATATTTGACACAACTTGCCTGTTTGTCTTTCCCCATGTAAAAATAGCCCCTTGGGCTGGGCACAGTGGCTTTCGCCTGTAATCCCAGCACTTTGGGAGACCAAGATGGGTGGATCACCTGAGGTCAGGAGTTCAAGACCAGCCTGGCCAACATGGTGAAACCCCGTCTCTACCAAAAATACAAAAGGTAGCCAGACGTGGTGGCACACACCTGTGATCCCAGCTACTCAGGAGGCCAAGGCAGGAGAATCACTTGAACCCAAGAGCGGAGGTTGCAGTGAGCTGAGATCATGCCACTGCACTCCAGCCTGGGCAACAGAGAGAGACCATGTCTTAAAATAAATAAATAAATAAGAAAAATAAAAATAAAAATAAGCCCCTTGAGGGCAAGACCTGGTCCCTTGGGTGGACTCTCTTTGCATCCTCCCATCCAAAAGAATGTGTGGCCATGGCATGGGCTCCATATCTGTTGGCTAAATGAATGACCTGGATTAATGAATCATTCCAGCAGACCTTTCTCAACCACCCAGAGCAACCCTAGGTACAGGTGAGTGGCATTTAAGGGCAGGGAGGCTTAGACTCAAAGGATTAGAATCAAAAATAATTAAAATTGATCTTCAAAATCCCTAAATCTCCCATGAAGTTTAGTAAACATGAGTGTGAATAAAACCCAAGTTTATAATACAAGGGTATAAATTTATAAGCTATATAATAACATAGACTATATGATAGGAAACATATGAAAATATAGTTCCCCAGCATATGTAAGAGAGAACACAGACCATGCATGGTTTGACTTGTGAAAGTGAAATCTGACTTTACTGCTTGAATCCCTGTGCCCTTTTAGCACATTGAGCCAGCTTCTATTACGGCACATGTCACACCGTTTTACAACTGTTTGTCTACAGGTCTGTCACCCCCATGTGATTTAGTGAAAGAACCTCGTTTTCCTTTTTGTCCTCAAGAGCTTAGCACAGTGCCTACCACAGCTTAATAACAAAACCTAAAGTTTATTGAGTGCTTAATGTGTGTCAGACACTGTACTAGGTGTTTCTATGTCCTTTATCTCATGCTGTACTTCAACAAGCCCAAGAGGATTATTATCTTAATTTTACCGAGATTTTAATTAACTTGCTTAAGGCAACCCACGTAATCTAGGAAAAGCCAAGATTCAAACACAAGTTTCATTGAATATCCAAATCCCATTCATGACCATTGTAGTATTCTGTCTCTCCATTATAAAGAATTTGATTTAATGCACATTTAATGAGCATTTACTGATTCATAACTACTTAACAGAGAAGCTAGGAGTGGGGACATAGCTACGAAAATTAATAACAAAGGTGATCAATTTGACTAGAGTAAGAAGACATTATTAAGTCCAATCATAAATAGGAATAATGGCAGAAAATATAACTCAGTGAGAAGACAGACAACTTTAAAAAACTGATTGCTCACAATCCTTCAGTAACACATCCACTACTTGAAGTGGGTATTGTTTATATAGGAACAGCAGTTATTGTATGAAAAGCACAAAGTTAAAGATATAAAAATTACTAAGGTATATTGGGAGTGGCTGAGTGGTATAAGCACATTTGTTGTCATACCATCATAGGAAAATGGTAGGTAGCATCAATCAAGATAGAGAAGAAAGGATCAAGAAATGTTATTAACACATTTCATTTTCAGGCAGGAAAGGACCCAGCCAGGAATTGGAAGTCAGAACCCTAGGGCCCTTTCTGCTTCAAACAAAGCTAGCTCTATGACCTTGGGCACATCTCTGAAGCTCAGGTTACCCATCTGTGAAGTCGGGATAAATTAAAAGGCGCAGGGATTTTTGTTGACAGCCATATGCTTCCTTTCTCATGTGCATCTCAAATGGTCCTATCACAGGAAGCATGGTCCACATCAGAGCACAGTGGAAGGCCGCTGAGCTCCCATGGCCACAGCTCATCTGCATGAAATAGATGCAGGTGTAATTGAGTTTCCTTGGAACAGAGCATTGGCTAGCTGGCTGGCTGGCACGCTTGCTATGATGACTCAGATGCAAAGCATGGTGTGTTGCATGGGCGAGCCAAGGTGAGGACCCTTTAAAACAAGCGTTTATAGGCTGCATGTGCATTTTCCCCATTTGTTAATATTAATTTATATATTATATATAAATTATATAAAATATATATATTACATATATATATACACACACACACACATAATACCCCTCAGTGCTCTGGCATAAGCAAAATTTTCAGCTTCATGTATTTCGTGCTTTGTGCTTGGGTGAATTTGCTAAACATAGAAAATGTTCAAAAATAACTTCTGGATCCACTTGAAAGACACTAGAGGTTTGTACTTGGACAGCCAGAACAGTGACTAGAATACAGAAACCTGCTAAGGGAATCAGGTTGAGGAGCAGCCGCAAGAGGGAAGAAAATCGTCAATTCTGGGGTCAGACCAAGGCTGGAAACCCAGTGTATGGGTGTCTCTTTGTTTCTGTCCTTCTCCCACCTGCAGCCTCTGTATTCGGTATTTGACTACTAGACTCCTTCTCAGCATGGCAGGAAGGAGGAAAAGAAAGAAATTGAAAACCACATTGATCAGTGTTGCTTCTCGTCGGCAGTTGTGAGAAAACATTTTAGAGGAAAAAAAGAAGCTGAAAGCTGTAAATATGTAAGGATTTGCAGATGGTTGAAGAATTTCATTACCTATGCTGTGTTCTTGACCCTATCAGCCCAATCTTGCAGAACAGTAACAGAGACATCAAGATTCATGTCCTCCAACATAAGTGGAGTTTGCTAGATGTGTGTTGGTTTAATGCCACTTCTTTAAGGCAGCCTATAAGACAGTTCTGGAAAATGGCAGGTATTTGAAAACATATGAACAGTCTAGAATGTTTGTGGATCCGAGGCACAATGGAGTGAAATGATTTAAACTAGGAATTCTACAGATGTTCTCCTGGCTGGTAACTAGACTCAATTCCAGGTCTGTGGATTTGTCAATCATTCATCTATTCTGCCCCATCATTTTTTATCAAGCAAGGACATTGTGCCAGGCAGCATGCTGGTGCCACACCATGCTTTCTGTACCCATCTAGTCAGAGTCATACCTCACCCGCTAGAGAAGAGCAGAGCAGCATGAAATGATGAGTCTTCCTCTAAATGCAAGCAGGGGCAGGTGACTCTGTTTGCCAAAGCCAAAACGTAAGACAAGAAAACTGGATGCCAGCATCTGGGATTCAAAAGGGCGTCTGGATTAGTGGAATGAGCGCTAACCTGAGAACAGCTCTTCACCACCAATTCACTGTAGCTTTGAGTAAGTTAGCTCACTTTTCTGCCTTAGCTTCTTCATGTGTAAAATCAGAAGGTTCCTTTTACATATTTCATTTTTACTGAATATTTACCTAGCGTGTACTAAGAACAAAGTTCTGTGTTAGTTGGTGACAGAGATTCTAGAAAATGTATGTGAAAGCACTCAGAAGAGTATACAAAGGAACTATCATTATTGTTAACTATTTTGACAGTTAATGTTTCCAGAATGTTCTATGGAATCTGAAGACATTAGGAATAGACTACAGGAAATGGCAGGGAGAAACGTATTACCTGATCAGAGAATCGGGAAAAAACATGGGGAATTTTACTGGTGATGAGCAGAGAAGACATGCTGGATAAGCCGTCTCAGTTCAGACACACAGATCAAAGAAACGGAGAAGAAGATAAAGTTCAGAGACTGGTAAAGGGAAGAAAAAGAGAACCTCAGTTCTCTTTCAACAAAAGAGCTTCAGGCAGTTCAACACGGCCCTGCAATTTCATAAAACCTGCTTAGAGCTGTGGAACTTGAGTTATCAAATAGTCCAACGCCTTACTTACTAGGTGAGGAAACTGAGGACCAGAAAGAGGAAGTGCTGCCCCAGGGGATCAGTGGCAGAGCCCAGCCTAGGAGTCAATCACATTTCCTGACTCACAGGCATCTTCTCCCTAGCCTGCAATAAAAGCTTTTGGAGAGTTGATTATCATTCTATTATACATTGCTGAGCTAGGATCATTGCCTAACCCAAGGAGGCAGTTATCTTTAAGTTTAAGAGAGAGAAGAAATTCTAAAAACTATGAGCACAGCCACACAAATCATACAGGAGAGGACTACAGAAAATTTGAAATCATTGAGGCCTCTAAAAAAATCACTCAGATGAAAAACAGGAGGTTAATAGGAAGCTTTTTGGCAGCAGGAAAGAAAAACTGGTATTCTTTCTGCTTATATGTCACTGTTGCAATTTAAAAAAAAAAATTAAGATGATGCTAAAAGGCTGGAATTTGGATTTTCTAATCATCCATCAATTATTCATAATGCACCTTGAGTAAATTCTGGTAACAAAAATAGAAACTGGAGAAAGAGGGAAGATGCTCAAATGCTCCAAGGTAAACTGAAAGACAACTCCAGTACCATTGTGAAAATGAGGTGATGGCATGCCAGCCTTGGTAATCACTCTCCCGCCCTCCTGACTGCTGGCCTGATTAGTAGAAAGAGGGCAGACCCTTGCCCTCTTCTTTGAGCATCCCAGGAAGGGCTGTCAGGTCCACAGGGTTCTCCTGTGAGAGGGAGCTCAGGGCATGGGCCCTCATGTCCACATCCCATCTCTGCCATTTCAGCTGCGTGACTTTAGGCAAATGTCCCTGGTTTGATCAACTGTGGAATGAGGGTAATAAATGTTCCTGCCTCATACACTTATGATGAGGATTTTTTCAGTTAATATGCACGAGGCACTTAGAATAGGGCATGGCACACAGAAAGTTAACCGGCCGGGCACAGTGGTTCACACCTGTAATCCCAGCACTTTGGGAGGCAAATTATGAGGTCAGGAGTTTGAGACCAGCCTGGCCAACACGGTGAAACCCCGTCTCTACTAAATATACAAAAATTAGCCGGGCATGATGGTACGTACCTGTAATCCCAGCTACTCCAGAGGCTGAGGCAGGAGAATCGCTTGAACCCGGGAGGCAGAGGTTGCAGTGAGCCAAGATTGCACCACTGCACTGTAGCCTGGGTGACAGAGCGAGATTCCTTCTCAAAAAAAAAAAAAAAAAAAAAAAGAAGTTAACCAATGGTAGCTATGATTATTGGCTATTGCCCAGTTCTTAGCATTTCCTCTCCACAAAATAACCAGTTACACTTCTGAAATTGGACTTTAATTATATTACACAATAAGGATATGTCCCTAGCTAAATTGTACTTAGCAGTGAAATTGATCATAGACAATGAATTACAGGATTTTCTACATAAAATTATCTACAGTATTTATGGGTTGAATTGTGAGTCCCGATTTCTCTCAGCATAAAGGAGTGGCTCATCTCACACCATTCCTCCCAGCATGCATGGCTCGTCCTCCCCCTGCAGTCACTCAGCCGGCTGCTGGGGATGTCTTCGTCATTAAGGCTCTGTGCTCTGGGAGGAACTAACACAAAACTCTCAATTCCCGATCACCAGGACCAATTGCCTTTCCTGTAAATGCTTGCAGCCTCACACTTGCTGCTTTCTACTGCTATACCCTCTTCTCATGCTGCTGCTGTAGCCACCCAACAACCTTCTCAGAAAACAGTAGATTATTTCCAAGGCTCTCAATCCCGCTGGCTCCTCCCAGGGAAGAGAAGCTTGGAGGGAGAGAGGTTTCATAGATTCCCCCTAGACTGCAAGGTTTTGTGAGATGGGTAAGAGTACGGACCCACTCCACATAATGCCCCGGGCAGAATCCCAGGGAGAAAAGGCTTTGTGGTGCACCCGGGGACACAGGGACCAACAGGACCAGCCTGGGAGCCCCAGCTCCTGAGACCCCCCAGACCTGGGCTCAGAGGGAAAATCTAGTGAAACTGCCTCAACTCGAGGGACCGGGAGGACAAAGCTGGGAAGGCCTTTCCCTACGTGTTTATACCGCATTCCAGCCACCTTGGACTCCAATGTCTGGGATCATTTGTCCGTGTTGAGTACAGGGTCCTAGGATTCAGCAAGAAAGGAACAATCCTTGCCCTCCTGGAGCTTACAATCTAGTCTGGGGTAGAGACGAGTGAGCAGACAATTACAGTAAGTCCTAAGGGTGGCGGAGACTAAAGGACTCAGGGAAGTCTCTCAGAAGGAGATGGTTGCTAAGCTGAGATTGAAAACAATAAACGGAGTTTCTGTTCATCTCTTGCATAGCCCCTCCCCCTTGCATGATATTTGGGCAGAAAAGAGTTGGCAGGGGACAGTACCACCAAGAGGAAATTTTGCCATGGGAAGGGGGCCTGCGGACATTCCCCTATCCCTTCACTGTTCAATTGCTTTTCCTTCCCCTCCTAAAAGCTAAGCAGTGGAATCTTACAGGCTAAAACCAGAGACTGCACACAGTGCTTATTTCTAACCCTTGACTATCCGCTACCCGCTACCCGTGGATTAGAGAAGCAGGGTAACTTGACACCAGGCAATTTGACCCCGTTGGGAACACCCACAGATCAGGCCCAGTTCCCCTGCTGGCCGCCATGTGGCTGCCTGTGCCCCTTGCAGCCAGTCAGCCCCCTGGTGGCCCTCACCAGACTGTCCCACACCCCTGACACGGGGCTGCAGATGTTGCCGTTCTATTTTAGACCACAGCACAAGGAGGTGGAGGGGACAAATGTGCCTCACACCTCATGCATAGTACCAGGACCTTGGCTGCCTCTGCTCCTTGTTTCAGGACTTGGGGTGGAGTCCTTGAAACACTTCACACAGCACTTTACACTCTATAAGGCATGGGTGGCTCTTGCCATCTACCAAAATGAAAAGCCAGCAGCATTGAGGCCTTGAAGTGAACTGCCACAGATCACACCACCAGTAAGAGACAATCTGGACTTGCACACAGTTCTCTCTGGCTTTGGCCCACTGTAGTGATCCATTTTAAAGGAAGAAACTTTAGGCTGGGCACAGTGGCTCACGCCTATAATCCCAACACTTTGAAAGGCCGAGGCAGGAGGATCACTTGAGGCCAGGAGTTGGAGACCAGTCTGAGGAAAACAGTGAGACCTTGTCTCTACAAAAAAATTACAAAACTTAGCTGGGCATGGTGGCACGCACCTGTAGTCTCAGCTACTTGGGAGGCTGAGGCGGGAGGATCCCTTGAGCACAGGAGTTTGAGGCTGCAGTGAACTATGATCATGCCACAGCACTCCATCAAGGGTGACAGAGCAAGACCCTGACTCAAGAAACAGAGAGACTTAAGAATTATCAACTCATGAAACAACTACTCCTACTTCTGGTTTTATAGTTCAGTTCCAAAAACAGTATATTATATTTCCCTCTATACTTTCATCTAATATAGTTCAAATTTGAAAGTACCAGTTTTACTGGACCACTTAGTTGAAATACATGACCCAAGAAACCAAATACTCTTACCAATTACAAATGTGTTTTTACATATTAACTGCCACTTTGGGTCTGTAATCAATTCAGAGCTTGTTAGATAAACAAAAAGTCATCTCCTTTGTTTGAGGTTTATGTGTAAGTTAATAAACGTATTATTCATTTCCAGCGCTGTCAGCATTTGGTCTTTAGCTCTGATGTATATTAAAAACAACTGCATGAATGGTACGTGTGTGTAAGAACATATACAGCTCATATATTCATTACAGAGATACATGCAAAAGCACAGAGCATATTTTTAAATCCTGGGATCAATATAGTACCATATTCTTAAGTAGCTGTTGAGATGAAACACACATACCCTAAAATTTGTACAGCTTCTCAGTAGGAGAAAGCTCCAGAAACAGCATGAAAAGTCACACCAGCTGCTGAAGAGGAAGCTGCCTGGGCCTTGAAACACGCTGCAACTGGACTAATGTCTTCCGATATTATGTCATTAATAAAAATCTATCATCTCAAACTTACGCATCTGAGTCTCATTTTTTAAATGTGCTCTTTATTTTTGTCCTCAGACTACCCTGCAGCTCCTAGATCTTGTTTCGTTCTGGGTGGAAAGGAGAGAAGAGGTGGGTCACTCCCCGGCTAGCCCACAGTCCTGGAACTCTTAGCCATTTTGTCTGGTGATGAATGCAGGCCTGAGAAATATCTAAGGAAAAAACTGCGGTGATCCAGATCATAATATATGATAACAGTTTGTAGGTTTAAAAAAATGCAAAGAAACAGAAAAGCCAAAAAAATCTAATCAGACCTGGTTTTGATGTGTGCAGTTTACTTTTATTTTATTGGCAGTTAAAACTCGTCTTGTATTTGGAAACATTTTGAAATTTGTCCCTGTAATGTTTTCAATTAGAAGCTTTCTTGCATGTGATGCATCAAGGGAAAAACAACACTTAGAGTTAGAACTAAGGTACTCCCAGAGACAAATATGATTAATGGGATAATCTTGTAGATTACAATAGTTAGAGGCAGTTCCTGCCATTCCCTGCTCTCCAAGGACTGGGACTACTCACTCCAGTACAAACAGCTGCACATTCCTCAATACCATTATTATCCAACGCAAGGCCACATTCAGCATGTTAAAATTCCTATAATATCCACATTTGGCAATTTCCTATTGTGCAACTTCAGTTTCAGAAGTTAAAGCTTCAAGTTCCATGTGATTACTTGATAGAGTTTACAAATGGAATTGATTTTCTCAAGCGCCATTAAAGGTTGCTCTGTGAGAAACCAAACAAAGACTGCCCCAACAAGCAAAACAGCTTTTATGTGGCACATTGAAAATATAAAGGGCAGTCCTGTCATCTACCAGTCAGTCCCCCAGAGTCCCCCCTGAGGGGCAGGTGAACGTTTTTATTCCTGTTTTACAGGGAAGAAACAATCACAGAGAAGTTAAGAGACTTGTGCGGGGCTTGGCTGAACTGATGGTGGAGAAAGGATTAAGAAAGCCAGACTCCCTGTCTCTGGCTCCCATGTTCAATCCACCAGGAAAGCCAGCTGCTTCTAAGACAATTGCTCAGCTCCACCACAAGGAAAATATAAATTCCCCTCTATCTCCACAAACGATGCAAGCTATAGTGGTAGTGGGCAAAATCTGATTGTAACCTTTTTCTTTTTTCTTTCTATGGTAGAGATAAAGAAAGCCTTTGGAGAGGCCAGGAGCCTTGGCTCATGCCTGTAATCCCAGCACTTTGAGAGGCTGAGGCTGGTGGATCACCTGAGGTCAGCAGTTCGAGACCAGCCTGGACAACATGGTGTAACCCCGTTTCTACTAAAAACACAAACATTAGCTGGGCTATGCACCTGTAATCCCAGCTACTCGGGAGGCTGAGGCAGGAGAATTACTTGAACCCAGGAGGCGGAGCTTGCAGTGAGCCAAGATCATACCACTGCACTCCAGCCTGGGTGACAGAGCGAGACCCCATCTCAAAAAAAAAAAAAAAAAAAACGGCCTTTAAAGAACCCCTAGTAAATTATTTCTGGGCAACAAAATTCCCTTTTAGATGTGTCCCACTCAATTTCCCAAATTAGCTTCTTTTCTTCCTTAACATTTTGGGGATACACTGACTAATCTACACTTTCTCAACTCTAAGCAGACTCCTCCTTGATTAATATGTTGGATCCTTCAATATTTTTTCTATTTGCCCAGAAGTTTTTAGCCTCCTGACATTCGTCTGCAAATTGGCTCCAACGACAAGACATAAAGCTGGCTCTAAGGAAAACTGTAACCCAAAGGAACTTTTTCCTCTGTACCTTGCTTCCTCCTGGTGGCACCATTTTCCACCAAAAGCTGGAGAGAATCCTCCCAAGAAAATCAGCATTTTAGGTCAGTTTTTCTAGTAAAGCCAGCAAAATACAAAACTGTTCATATTAAGATATAAATAGCTGATGCCAGCTTAAAGTGCTCCTAGGCATTTGCATATTGCAAGACCCAAAGCTTGAAACTGTGGAGAAGCTCTGGTGTGTAACAGGTGGAGGGAGACCTCGTACTCCCTGAAATCATCCCATATGCCAGGGGCTCCTAAACTTTAGAGTGTATTAGCATCACCTGGAGGGCTCCTTAAAGCACAGATTGCTGGTCCCACCCTTAGAGTTTCTGATTCAATAGGTGTGGGATGAGGCCCAAGAATTTGCATATTTAACCAACTCCCAAGTGATGCCACTGATTGGTGGGTCACGCTTTGAGCAGTGCTGATTTCAATACTGCATGTTCCATGGACACAGGAAGACAGTCCCAGCAAGAACTGTTCACAATGCCCAGAATCAAATAAAGCCATAGCCCCAACCTGGGGGCAGGGCATGGCATGGGGGATGACCTAAGAGAACCTGAGTGGGTAGAATGGAGATTTTGGCTAAGTGGCCTTGCTTTGCAATTCTTTCTGACCCAGGCCAACCAGGAAAAGAGACCCTTGAGCTTGGGGCACTTTATCAAGGACACCTTTTCAGAGTGTTTAGATTTGAGGATGGCTAACCAGCACTCTAATTGACCTCAGCTGTCACATTGGTACACAAAGATGTTGCTCAGTACCCAGGGACCCACCATCGGGGGTTTATAGATCAATATCCACACCTTGAACTGCACTTGAAAGTAAATTAAAACCCACACAAACTGCACCGTGAACAAGCCAAGGTGTGAGCAATGATTTGCAAAAACTCTTCAATTAGAGTTAATCGGAAATGTCTCTTGCTTTTTTTCTTCCATTCCACCTAGAATGCTAGTGATTTTATTTTTCTTTCAGACATCGCAGATGTTGTTTGGGGGAATCGTACAACACTATCTAAAAACCTGAACTTTGGAGAGTGTATACAAATTGGAACCTATTATCAAATAGAAAATATGTAAGTCAATTTATGTACCCACAAAACCTAAGGAAAACAGTCACTAAAATCCAACTTGTCTTCAACATGGATGTTAGTGATGTCACTCAGCATCCATATTATAAGGGGGTGTGAGAGAGAGAAATTGAGAGGCGATATACAAACTGCCTCCTTACTTCTCCACCTATAAAAAAAATAAAGAATAGGCCGGGCACGGTGGCTCACACCTGTAATCCCAGCACTTTGGAAGGCCAACGCAGGTGGATTACAAGGTCAGGAGTTCAAGATCAGCCTGGCCAAGATGGTGAAACCCCGTCTCTACTAAAAATACAAAAAAAAATTAGCCGGGCATGGTGGTGGATGCCTGTAATCCCAGCTACTCAGGAGGCTGAGGCAGAGAATTGCTTAAACCTGGGAGGCGGAGGATGCAGTGAGCCGAGATCGCGCCACTGCACTCCAGTTTGGGTGACAGAGCGAAACTCCATCTCAAACAAACAAACAAACAAACAATCTATATATATATACAAACAAACAAACTACATATATATATATATATATATATATATATATGGTTTCAATTTCATACAGTGAAAAAATTTAAAAATGTGAGGGGGTTGCCGGGGGGGCGGGGACAGAGAGCATCAGGATAAATAGCTAATGCATGCTGAACTTAATACCTAGGGGTTGGGTTGATGGGTGCAGCAAACCACCATGGCACACGTTTACCTATGTAACAAACCTGCACATTCTGCACATGTATCTCGGAACTTAAAATACGATGAAATTTTTTTTTAATGTGAGACATACTTTCAATGTCTCAAGTATGTCTTTTGGTATAAAATACATCTAAATTAATTTTTTGTCTCCATGGAATTGGAGGGCACACCACATAGGTTTTTCAGACTTGGAAAAGCATAGCTTCTCTCTGCTACTCTCTCTTCAGCAGAAAACTTCCTAAGGAACTTTTGAAAGTCGAACTTGGCTATAACTTCTACTTAAACACACATGTAGACTTTTGAATGAACATAAACATCTTTTCTACATTTTGTTTTCTTCTTTTACTCTAGTGATTTCCACTGTGGTTTCAGGCTGCTCAATGCCAAGCTGTGGGCAATCATTTGCTAAATCAGTTAAAAGGCCTTCAAGTTAAGCAGTAATTTGGACTACAATAGTCTGTGGTGGTTTCCCAATACAATCTTGGAGACGGAAAGACAACACGTCACTTCTCTAAAAGTTGCTTCTGTTTTCAGAGCTCAAGTGCATTTTAGGTGCCTGGAACCATGACTATCCCAGAACTATAAAATTTGGCGGAAAATTAGATCAATTCACTTTTTATATATTGTTCATATTTTGGAAAATGAATAGCTTCCCTTTTCTAAGCTGGAAAGTGTGCAGAAATGATACATTAAAGTGTTTGGGGTTAAGAATCTTACATTTCTTGAGTCTATTTAGATGCAAAAATAAGAGTCAAAATCTCCACCACCAACTCATTCTTGTAAAAATCCTTAAATGGAAACTTCTCTTCCTCACCAACTTCCCTAATCTAATGTTCATTTTTTTTTCAGAGAGGTGGGAGACAGGAAGTTGAGAAAGCTTAAAATTCTAGTCTCCCAGAAATGGTCACGCAGTAGTTTAACAGCATTCAGGAAACTGAACCCATTTAGCCAAACAATTCAGTGAGGATCCACTGAATGCCCAAAACCATGGTAGGTACTCTGAGAAATTAAAAGCTGTTTAAAGAGACAAGATTAGCACAAATGTAGAAATGGGAGAATGATGGTTGATGGTATTTGATCATGTACTACATTGTGAGATGTTATTATAAGGAAGAAAATTTGAGTTTTTTTTTTTTTTAAAGAAACAAGATCTCACTCTGTCATCTGGGCTCGAGTACAGTGGTATAATCATAGCTCACTGTAGTCTTGGACTCCTGGGCTCAAGCAATCTTCCCATCCCAGCCTCCTAAGTAGCTGGGACTACAGGGACATACTAATTTTTAAATTTTCCTGTAGAGACAGTGTCTCGCTATTTTGCCCAGGCTGGTCTGCAACTCCCAGCCTCAAGTAATCCTCCTGCCTCAGCCTCCCAAAGTGTTAGGATTACAGGCATGAGCCACCACGCCCAGCCCTGAGAATTTTTGTTCCTATAAAAATTCCAGACTTTGTATCTAGAATCCTACCACAGAATTCTCTCTTACTTGGCTGAGAATGAATGGAAAGCAGGGTCGGCGGGGGAAAAGGAATAGGTTTGATGTCCCAGGCACTATATATAGGTACTTGAACTTAATCCCTTAACTTCTCTAAGCCTTGGTATTTTGCCCCATGAAATAGAGATCAGAATACCTACCTCAGAGTGTAGTGAGGATTAAACAACCCAGCTAAAACCCATAGTATGGAGCTCACAGTTGAAAGTAAAATAGGGCTGGGTGCCATGGCTCACGCCTGTAATCTCAGCATTTTGGGAGTCTGAGGCAGGCAGATCACTTGAAGTCATGAGTTCAAGACCAGCCTGGCCAATATGGTGAAACCCCAACTGTACTAAAAATACAAAGATTAGCCAGGCAGAGTGACACATGCCTGCAATCCCAGCACTTGGGAGGCTGAAGCACAAGAATTGCTTGAACCCAGGAAGCAGAGGTTGCAGTGAACCAAGATTGTGCCACTGCACTCTAGCCTGGGCAACAAGCGAGACTCTGTCTCAAAAAAAAAAAAAAGTAAGTAAAATAGACAGTAGTTGTTATTATTATGACATGATCTGATCCTTCTCATCACTTGGCCTAATGTGTTTGGAGCAAAGAATATTTCACCTCTCCAGCCAGTGCTATGGGTCTCCAGTGTGGGTCCAAAGACCCAAACTTTCAACATCCTCTTCTTAATTATTTCTGTTTGGGGTTTGACATACTGATCATTCTGTTCTATTCCTTCTCTCCTTTCTGTATTTCCCCCTCAGTACTAGATTTAGAACCTCTCTTCAGTCTTTCTATTTTGAACACATTTAATTTTTGAAAGAAGAACTTCTTACATTTGAATAGGCTAACTTTTCAAGACGCTTGTATGCCCCTTTTCATTTGGCTCTTATAAAGCCTTGTGACAGAAATAAGGTCAATATTTGTTTTCTCATCTGTAATGTAGGAACAAGGCACAGAGAGATTTCACAATTTGCCTAAGGTCACAACATGAGACTCTAGCAGAGCCAGGATGACAACCTGCTTTTTCCTCACCCACAGTTCTGCGTGATTTTCCTAAAATGTTGCACCTAGAATTTACTGCAGTATTTTGTTACTTTGCCCGGAAACCTTTAAGATCATAGCCTGATGCTGTATGGAGCATAGTGGGCATTCATACACTTGTTTCTCAATAAATATCTCCTGACTAGGTACCAAGCACTCTTTTAGGCACTAAACATAACCATAAACAAAAGAGACAATTTCTATCCTCATAAAATTTACGTTCTACTTGGGAAGAAAGACAATAATGTTTTGTTTATTTAGCAAAATATTTGGGTTCTTAGATATTGATAGGGAGAAAAATAAAGCAGAGAAAAAGGATAGAAAGTGAGGGAATTCAGCCGGGAGC
This sequence comes from Homo sapiens, assembly GCF_000001405.40. Taxonomy (NCBI): domain Eukaryota; kingdom Metazoa; phylum Chordata; class Mammalia; order Primates; family Hominidae; genus Homo; species Homo sapiens. The sequence continues at coordinate 56,571,593 of NC_000018.10, forward strand.
AGTGGCTCACGCTTGTAATCCCAGCACTTAGGGAGGTCGAGGTGGGTGGCTCACTGAGGTCAGGAGTTTAAGACCAGCCTGGCAACATGGTGAAACCCCATCTCTACTAAAAATACAAAAAATTAGTGGAGCGTGGTGGTAGGCGCCTCTAGTCCCAACTACTCAGGAGGCTGAGGCAGGAGAATTGCTTCAACCTGGGAGGCGGAGGTTGCACTGAGCTGAGATGGCGCCACTGCACACTAGCCTGGGCTAGAAGAGTGAAACTCTGCCTCAAAAAAAAAAATAAAATAAAATAAAGTGGGGGAATTGGCCCTGGTGAGCTTGTGGTGGGGACTAGGGTGTTGCAATTGTAGATGAGATGGCCAGGAAGCTGGTGGTGAGAAGGTGACATTTGAGTAAAGAATGAGGGAGGTGAGTGAGCTGGGCTTTGAGTCCAGCCCGGATACCTGGAGAAGAGAGCTCTAGGGAGGGACAGCAGCAAGGAAAAGGCCCAGAGTTAGGACCGTACCTGTAAGAGGTGACAGCGTGCTTGCTGGCAGTCCTCACAGCCCTCGCTCGCTCTCGGCGCCTCCTCTGCCTGGGCTCCCACTTTGGCGGCACTTGAAGAGCCCTTCAGCCCACCGCTGCACTGTGGGCGCCCCTTTCTGGGCTGGCCAAGGCCGGAGCCGGCTCCCTCAGCTTGCAGGGAGGTGTGGAGGGAGAGGCGCGAGCGGGAACCGGGGCTGCACGCGGCGCTTGCGGGCCAGCTGGAGTTCCGGGTAGGCGTGGGCTTGGCGGGCCCCGCACTCCGAGCAGCCGGCCAGCCCTGCCGGCCCCGGGCAATAAGGGGCTTAGCACCGGGGCCAGCGGCTGCGGAGGGTGTACTGGGTCCCCCAGCAGTGCCAGCCCACCGGCGCTGAGCTCGATTTCTCGCCGGGCCTTAGCTGCCTTCCCGCGTGGCGGGGCTCGGGACCTGTAGCCCGCCATGCCTGAGCCTCCCACCCCCTCCATGAGCTCCTGTGCGGCCCCAGCCTCCTCCACGAGCGCCGCCCCCTGCTCCACGGCGCCCAGTCCCATCGACCACCCAAGGGCTGAGGAGTGCGGGCGCACGGCGTGGGACTGGCAGGCAGCTCCATCTTTAGCCCTGGTGTGGGATCCACTGGGTGAAGCCAGCTGGGCTCCTGAGTCTGGTGGGGACGTGGAGAACCTTTATGTCTAGCTCAGGGACTGTAAATACACCAATCGGCACTCTGTATCTAGCTCAAGATTTGTAAATTTGTAAACACACCAATCAGCACCCTGTGTCTAGCTCAGGGTTTGTGAATGCACCAATCTACACTCTGTATCTAGCTACTCTGGTGGGGCCTTGGAGAAGCTTTGTGTCCACACTCTGTATCTAGCTAATCTGGTGGGGACGTGGAGAACCTTTGTGTCTAGCTCAGGGATTGTAAAGGCACCAATCAGCCCCCTGTCAAAACAGACCACTGGGCTCTACCAATCAGCAGGATGTGGGTGGGGCCAAATAACAGAATAAAAGCAGGCTGCCCGAGCCAGCAGTGGCAAGCTGCTCGGATCCCAGCCCACGGTGTGGAAGCTTTGTTCTTTCGCTCTTTGCAATAAATCCTGCTGCTGCTCACTCTTTGGGTCAACACTACCTTTCTGAGCTGTGACGCTCACTGCGAAGGTCTGCAGCTTCACCCCTGAAGCCAGCAAGACCACGAACCCACCGGGAGGAACTAACAACTCCAGACGCGCCGCCTTAAGAGCTGTAACACTCACCGCGAAGGTCCGCAGCTTTACTCCTGAGCCAGCGAGACCACGAACCCACCAGAAGGAAGAAACTCAGAACACATGCGAACATCAGAAGGAACAAACTCCAGAGGCGCCACCTTAAGAGCTATAACACTCACCGCGAGGGTCCGCGGCTTCGTTTTTGAAGTGAGACCAAGAACCCACCAATTCCGGACATGCGTGGACTCACTGAGAAGCAGCAAGTTGGCGTTGACTTAGCCCGCTCAGTGTGCAGAGTGGGTTGAAGAAAAGAATAGACCACATCAGAGGAGTAAAGGGGTGGGGGCAAAAGCCAGAGAAGGTGGGACCTTGGAATCACTGGAATGACTTTGCTTCCACTGTGAGTAGACGGCAGAGCCATTGCAAGTTTGGAGCAGAGGAGTGTTGAATGACTTTAATAGCTGCTCTGTTGGGCATAGATTCAGGGAGGACGGGGCAGGGTAAAACCAGGGAGATAGTAACAAGGCCATTGCAATCATGTAGATGCTAGATGGTGGCGGATTGTAACCTCACCTCACACTGATTCCATGATGAACCATGGTTAACTCAGGGAGGGGCGCTAATGAAGTCAAGGCCAGGGATTCTCGTGAATAACCTTTGGGTAGGTGATCTGGAAGCGAACCTGAGCTTCCAGACCTTTGGAGGGCCTTAGCTGTACTACATTTCAGTACTCCTAAAGCAAGTTTTTCAGAAGATTGCTCAGGCTAAAACACCAAACTTCTTTGCAGTGAGCTGGGCTAGCATCAACTTGAGGCTGAAACCTCGGCTTTCTGTACTGATCAGAAGGTTGAGGTTGATAGCAATACCTGTCTGCAAGTCATTGCAGTAACAAATACTTAACAAATGGGGTTTGTTTTGTAGACCTAATCTTTGAAGACATAAGGCCCACTGTGAGGGGAGCAGTTACTACATTCAGCCCTTGGTAGTAAAATCATAAGAACCATCGATGTAGATGATGGCAATAGATCACATTTCCACTCCCACCCACGCATCTCTGTTCATGATTCCCTGCAGGGCCAGGTGGAGATGTGTGCCTGGGTCGGTATAAACCTCTCTCTGTGTTTCAAGAACACACCTTTGGGAAGGTGACAGTGTGGTGGTGGGACAGCAAACTGCCAGTCTAGAAAGCTACTCCAGGCCTCAGTTTCTCATCTGTGGAATTAAGACATTGGCCTGTAGATCCATGGGATCCATCAGGGATCACCCCAGCTCTAAGCATCTATGATACCGTGGGAATGGAGATGAAGATATTTCATTTAACATCTGGTCAAGAGTCCAAGTAAACAGGTGAGCAACTCTCTTGCATACCTAGAGAGTGTGAGCATGAGTAAATCCTTTCACTCTTGGAATGAGAAGGAAATAGTAAACCCACTTTCTAGGCTAATCATGTGATATTTTACCAAACTCTGAGTTTAGAAAGATGTTATATAATCTGGCTTTTATTGCATGTATTTAGATCGATTTTATCAAGCCATGTTCCCTGATACATATTAGGATTGCACCTCAAAGTCTTGGGTAGCCTTAGGTCATATTTCAGCTGTGGTTCTTTTGTTTAGAGCAAGAAGTATGTGGAAGTATTTTGTTTTGTTTTTATCAATCTTGGTAGCTCACGTGATGTCCTTCAAGAGCCAGCCATACTCTGGGGCTTATCGTCTTGGCAGAAAAAGCAACTGTCCAGAGGTCAAACAAGGGCCTGTTTCCTCCCCTGCGAGCCAGCTGAGACCTTCCATTCCCAGACTGAGTTTCAGTCCTTTAGTTTAGCCTTAAGGCTTTGTTCCCTAATAAAATGCAACACACTGGAAAGACTGCCACTAAGTTACTCTCAGATTTACTTTACAAGGATGAGTTGAGATCAACTTTTGATGAGCAGAGGAGGGCCAAATAGACCATGTGTCCTTGGGAGGGAAGAGCTGTGTCCCTGGGATGGGGAGCATTTTGGAACCAGAGGTTGGAAGCACCAAAGCCGAACAGTTCCTTCTCACCAGTGCTTCCCAGGCAGAGCCTCACAAAACAGCACAATTGTGGCAATTCCCCTGTGAGGCTTCTTTAAGAACCCTATTTTCCCTGGTTTAAGTAAACTCAAATATTTCATTTGTATTTCTGTAAGCACACATTTTCAACTCTTGCTGCCTTCTTGGCTGTTGAATGACTGTCATCACCATGTGTAGAATCATGGATCTAAGAATCCTCAGTGTCACTTAGTCCAACTTTCTTCCCCAAATAGTCTCTTCTAGGATATCTTCCCCATTGATGGCCACTATGTAGGTGCTTGAACCTTTGCAGTAACAAGGACTTCATTGCTTCATAAGGCACTGTGTTACATGATGGACTATTGTATTTTTAGGAAGTTCTTTTTATTGAATCAAACTTTATCTCTCTAAACATCAATTGATCATTTCTAGTCTCCCAGAATTACTTTGGTTAATGGATCTCAAAGTCTAAATTCAAACATTGTCACCTAAGCATTGAGGTCCTCCCCTTTTTTGTTCCTCTCACTAGTCTAGTTTTATGAACAATCCTATGAAACCTCGATGACCACACATCTGACAAGCCCATTACTGTTTCAAAAGGAAAGGAAGGTAGGGATCTACAAGCTAATGTCTCCAAAGCAGATCTTAGCACAATTCTGATTCTGCATCCAGCACATGACATTCTCCCTGGAGATAATCCCAATGCCTGCTTAATAGGTTAGAGTCCCAGCGTTTAATATCTGACCGCATTAAGAGTTTTTAACATCTCACTTAAAATTAATCCATAACAGATATTTTTGACATAAAACTCAAAAGGAAATAGCTTCCTACCCAAATTAACTACAAAATCGGGAAAAACTTTAAAAGTTTCTGTATTAGACTGTACACAAGCCTGCCTACTGTATTTAACTGGACTCTTCATGACATCTAGTGGCGAAATCTGGAAAAGTTTCCAGTACTCTAAACGTGGCAGAAGGTGGGAAAACAATTTTTAATCCTATTTGATATTCACTGTTTGAATATTATGTTTTGTGAAATCGTAAACTGAATTCATCTGTCAATCCATTATAATAGTATACTCATTTTTATTTTAGGCATATCTGTGGCTTTATACCTTTTAAATTTGGGCTGACTTTGAAATCAATCACATCTATTTTTTCACGGATGTCAGAAAGAACCACATTGGTTTAGGGGGAGAAAAACATTCTGGATAAGCATAAATAACAACATTTTTAGCTGGAAACACACCACAAAAATGTTTTGCATAACTGTATTCATCTTCAAATGTAGTTTTAAGACTCAATTCCTGTGAAATCTGAGTCATTTATAGCTAACCTTGAATGTATTGTTATTCACAATTAGAAGTAGATAAATTTCACAGGCAGAGAAGCTGACAAGTCTTTAAGACTTCACACTTAGTTTTGCAGGAAGAGCTGAAGTTAATTAGAAGTGATTATACATACATTGCATGTGTGTGTGTATTTGTGTTGTTGCACACAGACACCACGAAGGCCTTGGGAAGGTTGCATTTTTTATGTTTTAAAAATAAACATAATCTCCTTCCCATGTGTTGCTATAAGCCCAGTAAATCTAGGAAGCTCAGCAGGGTTGAACAAGGTCATTTCTCGTCAGGACTCCAAGGGGGAGCAGGAAGCAACCCTGTGCATCAGATGCTGGCATCCTAATCCCTGCTCAGCAAGAGCTTCCCAGGCATGTGGGACAGGTCGTGCCAGCGCCGACACACTGGCAGACCGAGGCTCTGACGCCAGCCACGCTCCGTATCAGCACTGCGGCTCCCTACCTACCGTGCCCCTGGAAGACGAAAATATATCCTCACTCTCACAGTAAAGGCAGGATTCCAACCGAGTCTGCTCACTTCTTGGTTCTGGTAAACAGGAAAGTAGTCATGAAAAGATACATCTAATCACTATCTCAGAATCAGGGAGGCTTTATTGATTTGGTTTTTTGTCGAATTTAAATATATGTTAAATAAATATATAAAGATATGTAAATTATTTTGTTGAATTTAAGATATATATTTAAAACAAATGGATAATTAATGCATATTTAAATTCAACAAAACCCAAAACAAATGAAGAAAAAAATATAGATATATATCTCCATAGATCTTCTGCTACAGAGAAGAAACAGAACATATACCAAAAGACATTATAAACATGTAGGTAAAAACAACTCCAAAATAATATATAAGAAACAGAGAGTGGTGTTTCCCTGTGAGAAAGATCTGGAGACTAGAAGTGAGGGTAGAGATATGGAGATGAGGAAATCATTTTTCTCTGTATACTTATACTCTTTGAAAACTAGCTGTATTACCTAGTAAGAAATATATTTCAGCCGGGCGCAGTGGCTCATGCCTGTAATCCCAGAACTTTGGGAGGCTGAGACAGGTAGATCACTTGAAGTCAGGAGTTTGAGACCAGCCTGGCCAACATGGCAAAATCCTGTCTTTACTAAAATTACAAAAAAATTAGCCAGCTATGGTGGTGTGCACCTGTCATCCCAGCTATCGGGAGGCTGAAGCAGGAGAATTGCTTGAACCCAGGAGGAGGAGGTTCTGGGTAGCCAAGATTGCACCACTGCACTCCAGCCTGGGTGAGAGTGAGACTCTGTCTCAAAAAAAAAAAAAAAAGGTATTTCAATTTTGAAATACCATAAATAATTTGGCCCAAAATTTGTCCTCACCTTGGTGTGAGGTGATATAGGTCTTTGGATATATGATTTTAAAAATTAATAAGGTGACTTCTGTTTTCTGGTTTAGACTATAAGGTGCTTAAAAGTCACCATTCTGGCCAGGCATGGTGGCTCAAACCTGTAATCCCAGCACTTTGGGAGGCCGAGGCGGGCAGATCACCTGAGGTCAGGAGTTCAAGACCAGACTGACCAACGTGGTGAAACCCATCTGTACTAAAAATACAAAAATTAGCTGGTCATGGTGGCACACACCTGTAATCCCAGCTACTAGGGAGGCTGAGGCAGGAGAATCGTTTGGATCAAGGAGGCAGAGGTTGCAGTGAGCCGAGATCACACCATTGCACTCCGGCCTGGGTGACATCTCAGAAAAAAAAAAAAAAAAAAAAAAAAGTCACCATTCCATCCAAACAACAAGTGAAAAACTAAATATACTGAAAAATCAACAACTCTTCTTAGATCCATCAGCTCCTCACAGAGATCTATCAGTGAGGTCACAGGGGAGGCCACCGCCCCAAAAATTGGAGAGAGAGGCAGATACAGGGAATCACAATGTACCAGAGCAGAAGCCTGCACAGAAACCAGCACCAGGGTAAGAAAATCTAAACTGTGACTGATGAAGTGATGGAGGCTCCATGTGGATAAGCCTGAGAGATAAGAACACAAGGGGACCCAGTAATAGGATGGGACCCCACATTTTTATTTTACTTCCAGGGGTCTCACGATGAAGATAGAGAAAAATCCCCTTGTGCTTCCCGCAGGAGGAGGGGAAAAGCAACCATTTTGAAATTTGCCTAAGTATGCTGTTCGTAACAAAGACTGCTCTCGGTAGAAATTATTTTACCAGAGCTTAACTAGCTGGGGTTTTACTGGAGCTTATCTGACCTGGGGGAGGGGGAATACCCAACTCCAGCCCCCTTTAGCCACCCTGTCCCACCCAAGGAGGGCAAGGGGGTACTAAGAAGAATTTGTGAAGTTCACAGGGCAGAGGCACAGGCTCACTGAGACTGAGACCTACTCATAGGACTATAGAACATCCCCCTCCCCTGCACCTTCCATGATATTACTAAAAGCCTATTTACCACAGTATCTTTTACCTAGTACCTCGTGTCCACCATACAATAAAAAATTACAAAACATACTAAAAGATAAACAACATAACCTGACGTGACTAAAAGAACATCAGAACCAGAGCCAGATTTGGAAGGAAGGTTGGCATTATCAGAGCACGAATTTTGTACAACTGTGATTTATATGCAAAGGGTTTTAATTGAAAAAGTAGACAACATGCAAGAACAGGTGGATAATGTAAGTAGAGAGATAAAAATTCTAAGAATCTAAAGAAATGCTAGAGATAAAAAGCACAGAAATGAAGAATGCCTTTGATGGGCTCGTTAGTAGACTGGCGATGGCTAAGAAAAACATATCTGACCTTGAGTATATAATGTTAGAATCTTCCAAAACTGAAAAGCAAAGAGAAAAAAGACTGAAAACAACAGTGACAACAACAAGAAGAAGAACAAAAAAACAGAACAGAATATTCAAGAACTCTGAGACCACTGTAAAGTGTAACATATGTGTAATGGGAATTCCACAAAGGGAAGAAAGAGGAAAACAAACAGAAGCAGTATCTGAAGCAATAATAACTGAGAGTTCCCCCATATTAATGCCAGACACCAAACCATAGATCCAGGAAGCTCACAGACTTTCTCAGACAGACAAAAACTGAGGGAATTTGTTGCCAGTAGACCTGCCTTGCAAGAAGTGTTGTTAAAAATAAGTTCTCCAGAGAAAAAGAAATTGATATAGGTCTAAATAAAGAGCATTGGAGAAGAAATAAGTGAAGGTAACATAAAAACTTTCATTTTTCATATTCTTAGTTGATCTAACAAAGTTTGTTAAAAATAATGCCAATAATATATGTTATTTTACGTATGTTTATACAGATGCACGCTTATTTATACTTATGTGTAAGTGAAATAAATGGCAAAAATGATACAAGGCATAGGAAGAAGAAATTAGGATTATATGCTATGTAAGAAGCGGTATAGTGTTTTTTGAAAATAGACTTGAATTAGTTGGAAATCCATATTGAAAACTCTCGGGCAAACATTGTTAAAAAATAAAAAAATGATATGCTAAGAAAGAAGAGAAAACGGAATTACACAAAATGCTCAATTAAAACCACAAAAGGAAGCAAAAGTGTGGAAAACAAAAAGGGGAACAAAGAGTAAGGCAACAAACAGAAAACAGTAACAAATATGGTAAGCATTAATCCAACTATATTAATAATCACTTTAAATATCAATGGTCTAAATATGTCAATTAAAAGACAGAGATTACCAGAGTGGACACATTATATAAGCTGTATCCAGTGATTGAAGAATACACATTCTTTTCAAGTATATTTTCAAAAACCACACTTACAAACATTTATGGAAATGTATTATATAGGGCCATGAATCAAATTCCAACAGATTCCAACAGTTAAATCAGGGAAATGTTTTCTGACCTCAATGCAATTAATCTAGGAATTAAAGACAAACATATCTAGAAAATATCCATCTGTTTGGAAATTAATAGATGTGTTTCTGAATAGCTAATGGGACAAAGAAAAGATTAGAAAACATTTGGTCTTCTACACCATAGTAAACAGGCCTTGTGTATGGTAGTTAAACCAGTTCCCCTACAGGTAAATATGCCTTAAAGCATATATTTAAATGAATGAGATAAGTCTCCACTACAAGTAGAAAAAAAGAATAAACTATTAATGCATGCAACAACATGGATGGATGGATCTAAAAATAATTAGATTGAATAAAAGAAGTCAGAAAAAAGGAATTCATACTGTATAATTTTATTTATATAAAATTCTAAAAAATATTTGGAAAATATCCTTTGGAAAAAATTCTAAAAAATGCAAACTAATCCATAGTGACAGAAAGCTGATCAGTACGTGTCTGAGAAGGAAGATAATAGGGGTTATGAAGGGCACAGGAAATACTGGGTGTGAGGATGTGTTCATGTTCCTCACTGTTGTCATGGTTCCAGAGACGTATACATAGGGTAAAACATATCAAATTATATACTAATTTTGTATAATGTGTCAATTATATCTAAATTGTTATTTAAAAGATAAATAAAAAGATCAAAAACATGAATAAAAATGAAAAGAAACAACAGTCCATAGAAACAGACTCAAAAGGACTCCAAATAATTGAATATTCAGACATAAACTTTAAAATAGCTATATTTAGACTGCTTTATCCAGCTATGATAAAGTAATTTCTGGCAAACCAATGTGCCCAAGAAAATAACTAGAAAACTAGATAAAATGTGATTGCATCTACATTGGAGCCTTCTTGAGGCAACCAAAACTTAAGAGGCTGATTTCACAGAGGGAGGAATTATTGAAAGGTAAGTCAACCTTCTGCAGATACATTTTTCTCTCACTGGATACAGCTGAAAGTCTGGACAAAGGATACAGGCAAAAGGCCACTTCTGGGAAGCAGAGAAACCAGAGACCCTTTGGCCATCTACCAGATCTAGACAGACAAAAGTCAGAGACTTGAGGATCCAAAATCTCAGCGAGAAGAGAGAAGTAGAGAACAAATGTTGACACATGGCTGATTTTTCCCTCAAGACATTTGCCAAATTATGAAACTGTGTTAGATTAGAAGTAAGAAATTAAGAAAACTCTGAAAAATAGAGTATTCCTCAGTCTCACAGTGTCAAGGAGAAACAGTTGAAGTTCAGTCTTACAGGGAAGGGGCCTCAGTACCTATTAGGTTGGCGCAAAAGTAATTTCAGTTTTTGCCATTACTTTTAAACCAAAATTCCTTTTTCACCAACCTGATACATCAGGCTGCCTGGACTCGGCTTAGTTACTCATCGGATAAGGTAACCTGCCCCACTACGTCCACTTAGCAGACAGTGTAAATCCATTCTGTAGGAAGATAATATTACCCAGACCCTTTACAATTGTTCATCTGCAATGTCTGAAATGCAACAGATATTAAATATTAATAAAATATATTAGGCATACCAAGAGATAGAACCAAATGACCAAAATCCAAGAGAAAAAAAAATAGAAAGTAGAAACAACCCCAAAAGTGATTCAGATATTAGAGTTAGCAGAAAAGGACTTTAAAATAAGTACAATTGCTATGTGGAAATGGACATGGGAAATTTTTTTAATTATATAAAAAGATGGAGAATATCATCAGAGAATTGGAATCTATTGAAAAGAATCCAATAAAAATTCTAGCAATGAAAAGTATAAATGCTGAAATTAAGAACTTGATAGATAAATTTAACAGAAGATTAGAACACCAGAAGACAGGATAAGAGAACTGAAAGATGTAGAAAATCTACATTAGAAAATATGTAGACTGCAATGCAAAAAAGTAAAAGGATAGAACACACAGAAGAAATGGTAAGATACAGTAAAAAGGACTGGTAAGCATTTAATTGGAATTAAGAAGGAAAGAAGAGAGAAAATGGAACGGAAAATGGGCAAATAATTTTTCACACTGTTAAAAGACTTTAAGTAAAAATTATAATTCTATATTGTGGATTTTATAACATTTAAATTATATGTGACACTATTAGCACAATTGATGAAGGCTAAGTAGAACCATAAAGTTACGAGTTTCCTATATTTTATGCAAAGTAGCATAATATGTTAAATCTAAGTGATACATTAAAGATACATGATGCAGTCCCTAGAGCAATCATAAAAAAGAAATTTAAAGGGAATTAGGATAAATTCTGATTAACACATAAGGACACAGGTGAAAAAGAACAGAAAAACTAAACACATATGAGACAACTAGAAAACAAATAGCAAAATGGTTGCCCTAAATAAATCATATCAATAAGTACTCTAAATGTAAATAGAATAATTCCAATTTAAAAAGCAGAGATTTTTCACACTGGATTAACAAAGAAAGACCCATCTAATTGCTTTCCACAAGAGACATATTTTAAATACAAAGACACAGATATATGGAAAGTAAAAAAATGGGAAAAGCAATGCCATGAAAACAATCAGAATAAAGATAGAAGGACTATACTCCTAACTTCAGACAAAATAAACTTCAAGACAAAGAGTATTACCAGAGATATAGAGAGACATTTATGATTAAAGAATCAATCCATCAGAAACACATAAGGTATATGTGCTTAAGTCAAATGTACAATCATAGTTGGAGTTATTACACTGCTCTCTCAAAATTTAACAGAATAGGCTGGGCCAGTGGCTCACACCTGTAATCCCAGCACTTTGGGAGTCCAGGGCAGCTGATAGTTTGAGCTCAGGAGTTCAAGACTAGCCTGGGCAACACGGCAAGACTCCATCTCTACAAAAAAATTAAAAATTAGCCAGGTGTGGTGGTATGCACCTGTACTCCCAGCTATTTGCTGGGGCTGAGGCAGGAGGATCACTTGAGCCTGAGGGGTTGAGGCTACAGTGAGCCGGGATCACATCACTGCACTCCAGCATGGGTGACAGAATGAGACTCTGTCTCAGAAAAAAGGAGGTGGGGCCAGGCATAGTGGCCCATGCCTGTAATCTCAGCACTTTGGGAGGCTGAGGCAGGCAGATCACGAGGTCAGGAGTTCGAGACCAGCCTGGCCAAAATGGTGAAACCCCATCTCTATTAAAAATACAAAAAGTAGCCAGGCGTGGTGGTGTGCACCTGTAATCCCAGCTACTCAGGAGGCTGAGGCAAGAGAATTGCTTCAATCCAGGAGGCGGAGATTGCAGTGAGCCAAGATCACGCCATTGCACTCCAGCCTGGGTGACAGAGCAAGACTTCATCTCAAAAAAAAAAAAAAGAAAAAAGAAAAAGAAAAAAGGAGGTGGGGGGATTTAATAGAATAACAAATATTGAAGTAAGGATGTAAACCACCTAAGCAACATCATCAACCATCTTGATCTCATTGATAAATTATAAAGTACTCAACAACTGCAGAATATACATTCTTTTGAAGTGCACATAGAACATTCATCAAGATAAACTGTTATGCTGGGACATAAAATGAGTCTCAAAAATTTCTAAAAGATCAAAACATTAGAGTATGTTCTCTTACAGATATGGAATTAAACCAAAAATCAACAAAAAAGATATCTAGAAAATCCCCAAGTATTTGGAAATTAAACAATAGATTTCAAAATTACCCAGAATCAAAGAATAAATTATAAGAGAAACTAGAAAATATTTTCATTTAAGTGATGATTTAAAAATATCCAAAATTTTTGTATGCAACTGAAGCTTAGCTCAGTAGCAAGCAAAGCTCAGTAGGAGGTTTATAATTTTAAATGCTTATATTAGAAAAGAAGAAAGATTACTATTTATGATCAAAGTTTTTACATTAATAAGATAGAAAAAGAAAAGCAAATTTAAGTAGAAACAAGATAATAAAAAGAAGTGTGTATGTAAATCAGTAAAATTTTAAAATGACAAAACGATTGAGAAAATTAATAAAATTGATAACTCCATTTACCAGCTTAATTTACAAAGAGAGAGAAAGAGAGAAAAAGATAAATGACCAAAAATGGGAATGAAAAGCTGGTCAGCACTATAGAGCTCACAGATATTCAAGGATAATAGGGGATTATTATTTAAAACCTTATGCTAATAAATTTGACATATGAAAGACAAATCTCTTGGAAAATAAAATTTACAATTTTGTTTACAACAAAAAAGTTAAACTCAAGGTCATATAGAAAATCTCAATAACCCTAATATCTATCAAATATATAAAATAGGTGTTTTTAAATGTACATATATTTAAAGATGTACTTCTAAATGTTTATATATTTAAAGATGTATTTTACATGTATATGTATTTTAAAAGCTTCTCACAAAGAAACAGGTGAGTTCTATGAAACATTTAAAGTATAACCAGAAAAACCCTGATATCAAAACCTAGTAAAGAAATATCCTTAATAAGCATAGTCACAAAAGATCCTTATTACACTATTAGCTAATTTAATTGACCAATATATGAAAATAATATTTCATCAAGACCAAAAGCAGTTAATCCAAGGAATGCAAGGTTGGTCTAATATTTTAAAAATTGATTTATACTATTCACCATATTGACAAAACAAAGAAACACATAATCATCTCAATAGATGCAGAAAAAGTACTCAGCAAAATTTATCACCAATTCATGATTCTTTTTTAACTTCAAGAAAATTTGAAATAGAAACTTCTTCAATTTCATAAAGGACTTTTTTTTAAAACTTAACAACTAACATCTCTTAGTAGTGAAACACTGAATACTATCCCCCTAAGATCAAGAATAAAGCAGGATTATCTACTTTGTCTACTTTTATTTAGTATTGTGCTGAAATTCCTAGGCATTGCAATAGGCAAGTAAAGGAAATCAAAGGCGCAAACTTAGGTAAACTGAGGAAAGGAATAATTAAAACTATTTGCATATGACATGATTGTTTACATAGAAAATAAGAAATGTATAAAAACCATTAAAACTAATAAAAGAGTTTATTAAGATGACAGACTAAAGGTCAATATACAAAAATGAACTGTATTAGTATATGCCAGCAACAAAACAATTGGAAAATGAAATGTTAAGTCTAATGAATGAAGGGCCTCCATGCTGAAAACTATAAAACAATGCATTTAGAAATTAAAGGTCTAAATAAATGGAAATAATTACACATATATATATACATCTACACATAGATACATATATTAATACACATATCTATATACTTATATCTACCCATGTATATGGGTAGATGTAGATACATACCTACTATATACATAGATTGGAAGACTCAATATAGTTAAGTTGTCATATTCAAGGTAATCCAACTAGAAAGCTTTTTTTTAAAAAAAATTGATGAGCTGATTCTAAAATGAAATGCAAAGGGCCTAGAGTAACTCAAATAATCTCAAGAAGAAAATTACAGTAATTGGCCAGGAGTGGTGGCTCACACCTGTAATCCCAGAACTTTGGGAGGCTGAAATGGTTGTATCACTTGAGGTCGGGAGTTTGAGACCAGCCTGGCCAACATGGTGAAACCTCAGCTCTACTAAAACTACAAAAATTAGCTGGGCGTAGTGGCAGGCACCTGTAATCCCAGCTAATTGGTAGGCTGAGGCAGGAGAATCACTTGAACCTGGCAGGCAGAGGTTGCAGTGAGCTGAGATGGTGCCATCGCATTCCAGCTTGGGCAACAAAGCGAGAGTCAGTCTCAAAAAAAAAAAAAAAATTACAGGAATTATACTACCTGACTTCAAGACACACTACAAAGCTACAGTAATCAAGACAGTGCGCTAGTCACATAACGGTGGACAAATAAGTCTATGGAACAGAATAGAGAGTCCAGAAACACATTTATGTAGTTAATTATTTTTTACTAAGTTGCAAAAGCAATTTAATAAAGAAAGGAAAGTTTTTCTAACATACTACAAAATTTGATAGTCTTGTGAATAAAAAATGAACCTTTACCTACTTGACACCACATACAAAAATTAATTTCACATGGACCATAAACATTGAAACAGTTAGGCTTACTCTCCCCACCCAAATCTCATCTTGAATGCAATCCCCATAATACCCATAATCCTCACAGGTCAAGGAAGAGACCAGGTGGAGGTAATTGAATCATGCAGATGGTTTCCCCCATGCTGTTCTCGTGATAGTGAATGAGTTCTCACAAGATCTGATGATTTTATAAGGTTCTCTTCCCCTTTCGCTGGGCATTTCTTCCTACTGCCTTGTGAAGAAGATGCCTTGATTCACCTTTGCCTTCTGTCATGATTGTAAGTTTCCTGAGTCCTCCCCAGCCATGCTGAACTGTGCGTCAATTAAACCTCTTTCCTTTATCAATTACCCAGTCTCAGGAAGTTCTTTACAGCAGTATGAAAATGGACTAATAGAGACATAAACTTAAAAAATAAAAGTTTACAGCTTTCAGAAGAATACATACAAGAATATCTTTGTGAATCGTGAGTAACCAAAGATTTTCTAGACAGGATCTAGAAAACTATAACTATAAAAGAAAAATATGTATAAATTAAATGCCATCAAAATAAAAAATTCTGTCTATTCAAAATTTTTGTCTATTCATTAACGAAATGAACAGGCAAGCCATTGGAAGAGGATATTTACAAAACTATTATCTAATACAGAATATGTATTCAGAATACAGATGGTCTCTGACTTACGATGGTTTGACTTAATGATTTTCCAATTTGATGATGGGCTTATGGGGGTATTAATTGAATTTTCAACTTAGCTTTATCTGTATATACCCCCTTTATAGGTCAAGGAGCATCTGTATATAAAGAAATCCTATAATGTGATAATAAAAAGACAAACTACCCAATAAAAATTATCAATTTTACAAAAGTACAGCTAGGTAGAAGGAATAAGTTCTAGTGTTCTATAGCACTATTGGGTGACTGTAATTAACAATTTTTTTTTTGAGACAGCATTTCGCTCTGTCACCCAGATTAGAGTGCAGTGGTTTGATCTTGGCTCACTGCAGCCATGACACCTCAGCCTCCCAATCCACTGGGACTACAGGCGTGTGCCACCATGCCCAGCTAATTTTTTAATTTTTTGTAGAGACGGGGTTTCACCATGTTGCCCAGACTGGTCTCAAACTCCTGGACTAAAGCGATCCTCCAGTCACAACCTCCCAAAGTGCTGGGATTACAGGCATGAGCCACCATGCCCAGCCATATAATTAACAATTTATCATATATTTTCAAATATCTAGAAGAACAAATCTTGACTGTTTCACACAAATAAATTATAAATGTTTGAGGTGATGAATATGCTAATTACACATGGTCTATACATGTATCAAAATATCACTATCTCATAAATGTGTACAATTATTATGACAAAACACACAATAAAAGCAAAAAAAAATCCAATCAACACATGAAGAGATACTTGGCATCATTAGTCATCAGAGAAATGCAGATTAAAACCATAATGAAACTCCTGCATATAACCCCTAGAATGGCTAAAGTTAAAAAGACTGAAACACCAAATACTGGCAAGGATGTAAAGCAATTAAACCTCTCGTACAATGTTGGCTGGAGTGTAAAATGGGCCATTTACTTTTGGAAAAGATGTGGCAGTTTGTTTTTAAAGTTAAACATTCGCCTATCCTTTGATCCAGTAGTTCTACAGAAGTTCTACAGATATTAGCCAAGAAAAACAAAAGCCTACATCCTCAAAAAGACTTGTAAAAGATAGTTCATAGATGCTTTATTAGTAATAGACCAAAGCTGGAAACAACCTAAATGTCCTTCACTGGGTGAATGTATAAATAAATTGGCATGTTCATACATACAATGAAACACTACTAAGCAATAAAAAAATAAACTACTGAAACATGCAACACCATGGATAATCTCACATACATTTGCTAAGGCACGATGTTGATACTGAAGAATACACGTTTTATGATTTCATTAATATGAAGTTCTAGAACAAGCAAAACAAATCTGTGGTGAAAACATCAAAAACAGTGGTTGGTTTTAAGGTTAGGAGGACTAATGGGGAAAGAAATATAATTAATTGGACATTTGATGCATATGACAATTTGTGCATTTCAAGGTATGTAAATTTTACTTTTATGAAACACTGAATAAATAAACTCTAGTTAGTAGGTTTCAATTTTCTGGGGTACATATTAGCATCTTTAAAACTACTTCCTGTATTCTTGGCTTGAGCAAATGTGTCAATATACTGAGGATAATGGTAGCCAGTTTTTCATATGAGAAATTGACTTGCAAATACAGACACGAGGAAGTCTAGAATGTTCTCTGTGCTGTTGGATTGGACTTGAAGGAAGGTATCAGTATGAAGTTGTTTTTTAAAAAAAGGATATTGAAATAAATAAAAATGTGTTTGTTTACATATGTGCATAAATATTTTACCCTATTCTATTCCATTTCCTATCTCTGCCCATTGAGAG
Source organism: Homo sapiens (assembly GCF_000001405.40). Classification (NCBI taxonomy): domain Eukaryota; kingdom Metazoa; phylum Chordata; class Mammalia; order Primates; family Hominidae; genus Homo; species Homo sapiens. The sequence goes on from NC_000018.10 coordinate 56,589,017, forward strand.
GGCCTAGAAGCAAAGACATACAAGTGGGAATAAACATAGCTAACACTCAGATCTTGGTTTCTCAGCATCATTCTCCACTAAAAGGAACCACTTATTGAATAAATCAGTGATTCCAGGCTTGGGTTAGGGGCAGGAGATGGGGGTGGCAGGGAGTAGAGAAAGAGCTTGGAAAACTTTATGCCACAAAGTTTAAAAAGTATTCAAAGAATCTCGGGGACGTGTCAAATCAACATGAGTGCCAACTGGCAGAGGCTCTCACAGAACAAATCTGGGGCAATATAAGCATCAAAAAAAAGATATAACCCATTAAAAAATTAGAATCCATAAGCCTGTGCTGATATAAATATTAAATGAATAAATCAATAAACAGGGGAAAAGGAAAAGGTCTTCCATATGGTAAACTATCAATAGAAAGATAGAAGGAAGAATGGAATTACAAAATCATTAATGGATGCTAAAATTAGCAAGTGAAATGTTGGTAAGGAAAAGGATATTCACGTATCTCAAATTAGCTTTCAAGAAAAATACTTTTTTTTTTCTTTTAGATGGAGCCTCACTCTGTCACCCAGGCTGGAGTGCAGTGGCACGACGATCTCAGCTCACTGCAGCCTCCACCTGCCGGATTCAAGCGATATTCTCCTGCCTCAGCCTCCCAAATAGCTGAGATTACAGGTGCGTGCCATCACGCCCAGCTAATTTTCTATATTTTTAGTAGAGACAGGGTTTCCGCCATGTTGGTCAGGCTGGTCTCAAACTCCTGACCTCAGGTGATCCGCCCACCTCAGCCTCCCAAAGTACTTATTAATTACAAAGGGAAAATTGGCAGACTCCACTTTTACCAAGTCATCAAATCTAATATCACCAATATTGAAACAGACACCATGTGCGTCCTGAAAAGATGTACAGAGAAAGGCACAACATCACTTTGGTAGTATTTCTGAAAATATATATAACCTGGATCTTATCATGAGGAAATATCAGAAAACCCCAAACTGTGGGTAATTCTCCAGAATCAGTGTCAGGTTAAAATATGTAAGTGCCCAATTTTTTTTGAAAACTTAAAAAAAAATACCTTTTTAAGTTACAGGCACATTATGGTGGATCAACAATACTTCCTTGCTTTGATATTTTTAAATGTGAAAGGATATTTATAGGCAGATAACCCGAAGCTGAGAGCTAATATCATAGAAGAGTGAACATTTTAAAAAATCATAGGGCCAACAGCATGAATTGAAGCTAAAAGTTTATAAGGTATTACATTGGCATGGAAACAATATTCCTACTGCTCTCCCCGGTTAAACAACACTAATTGAGGTACACTTGGAAACTAGAAGGTATCTGGGGATATAGTTCAGTGTGCAGAGTGAGAATTCTAGTTCATCTCAAATGTTGGTTTTAATTCTATCATTTCAATATTCAGCGAAAGTACATGAAAAAATTAAAGATTCAGCTTCAAGAAGTTTACACACAACTACATTTTTTCTTTTTTTTTTTTTTAAGACAGAGTCTCACTCTATTGCCCAGGCTGGAGTGCAGTGGCACTATCTCAACTCACTGCAACCTCTCCGCCTCCCAGGTTCAAGCGATTCTCGTGCCTCAGCCTCCCGAGTAGCTGGGATTACAGACACATGCCACCATGCCCGGCTAATTCACAACTACATTTTGAAGAGGTAGCCACAGTTTCAGGCAGCCAGGGGACAGCAAAGAAAATTAGACTGCCATACCAGTCCAAGGAAGATCATAAGACCAGAAGTCCATTGAGGAGGCAATTTCATGCAGGGAGAAAATTATCAACACCAAATACATCTACATAATATAAAAACTATAATTACTGTTACCTTTGTTGTTAGGGGTATATGTGTGTGTGTGTGACTGTCTAGATTCAGTGCTAGTTTTTAACGTTGGCCAAAGACCAAAGGCCATAGATAAAGCCTTTATCTAAAGCATTATCTAATGAAAAAAGCTTTATAAAGTATTCAATCTCTTCATTTTAAGTTATATAGAAATTTAGAATCTGCTGTGATAAAACTCCTGACAGATAATTTTCTTTACGACATTAGATTGAAAACAAATTCAGACCTATGTTCAAGAAAGGAACTTAGATGTTGATTTGTAACATGCCCATGTTATGATTTGTAATTTTAAAAAACACTATTTGTAATGTAGTCTTGTAGTTATCATCAAAAATGCCATGTAAAAAACTGTATGAAATCATAAGTCTGTAGATCAGGTTCTCAGTCTTCTTTTTGCCTACCTTTCTTCCTTTGAGCAAAGTCTTATTTAACAAATTCTGATTCTTGAAGTTCCTTGTCTTGAAATCATTAGTTTTTTTTTTTTTGTCTGTTTGTTTGTTTTTTTTGGTTTGTTTGTTTTTGGTACAATTTGGTGCCCAAAAATCCTAAAAAAGGGGCAGCAGGAGTTTGAACTACTTCAGCTCTGAAATTTAATTATGTGGATATAAGCCTCTCATTCTTAGGAGAATCAGCAATCTTTCGCACATCTGGCATGAGAAATATAGTATTTTAAGCCATTGGTGCTACATCTGTCAAAGCCATGTGCTTTTCCTAATTGTGGTAAGGAATAAGTAGTAATAATTGCATATAAATTCCACTCCCACCCCCCAGTTTTTGTTGCTTTTCATTTACTTTTTAACTCCTAAGAAAATAATGTGTCTAATTTTAAGGTGTAGGAATCTTAAGGTACTGTTCTTGGCTTTTGAAGTATAGTAGGTGATTTCCAATGATGAATGAAAATCAATTAAGCAGTTAGACCAATCAGGGAGATTAAAGAAGACTTACTTGGTTAAGGTGGAGTCTGCCTATTTTTCCCATGAAATTAAGTTATTTGGGGAGGTGTATTTTGAGATGTGTAAATATCATGTTTTTCCTCAAACTTTCATTCACTAGGTTTAGCATCCATGAATGATTTTCTAACTACATTATTCCTTACACATTTACTGGTTGATAGCCCACTTAAGGATTGAGACCTTTATTCTCCAGAAGGCATGAGCTAATCTTTATTATTTTATAGGTAAGACCAGCCTATCAGGAGAATGGTGACTGCATTAAATAAGCTAAAGTTTTTGGAAAACTAAGTACTGAAATAACTTCCTACCTGTAAACGTATTCTCCAAGTGGAAGATTAAAATATTCATTTGGCATGTAAAAGTTTAGTTCAAGAATTATAAATATTGAGCTGTGAAAATGTTCTATGTATATAAACACTTATAAAAGTACAACTGAATCACAAATTTCCCTGGGTTCAAACTAATCTCTTTTTTTTCCAATATCCCTTTCTCTTCTTTAAAGCCCTTTAAAAGCAAAAGGGGCAAGGAATCTCCTGTATTTCATTGATTCTGAGATTCTATAGACTGCAAGAAGTCTATTTAGAAAGAACAGTCAATTAAACTGTGATGACAAAAAATTGAAAGATGCATATCAACTTTAAAAGTGTTTTTTAAAAGGGAGAGAAGTTTCATCTTAAAATAGATGACAACTTTAAATGGCTTCAGAGACTCTAAGCCAAAATATAAACAGCAAAGTACTACGATGTTCATCCATAAGCTAGTAACTAGTAGTCCTTGAAAGGATACAGAGGAAAAAAAACCAAAAGGCAGAAAAGGCCCTAAACCCCTTTCTTTAGCTAAATTATTCTTTACAGAATTTATAAAACATTTAAAGATTTTCATTGAATTAAAATTTTTCATGAAAAATCAAAGAGTCATAAAATAGGAGGGCAAATTAAACATAGCAGAATTTCATATTTTGGTTTATAAATGATGCCTTTTATCCATGTGGGGTGTGTGTGTTTGTATGTATCATCACAAAAGTAAATTGCAAGTAGTTTGTCATTCATTCATGTAAGTTTCATTGCATAAAGATTATACTTTAAACATTTCTTACATTTCCTTTATAATTTAAAAAAAACCTCTTAAGTATGTAAAAGTAGAAATTGAATGTACAAGCGAACTTGTGTAGATTTTTTTTTTTTAGTTCAGATAACATTGCAAATATGAAGACCCCTGTATTAGTCCATTCTCACACTGCTATAAAGAACTAACTGAGACTGGGTAATTTATAAAGAAAAGAGGTTTAATTGACTCACAGTTCCACAGAAGTCATGGCTGGGGAGGCCTCAGGAAACTTACAATCATGGCGGAAGGGTGAAGGGGAAGCAAGTATGTCTTCATGTGGCAGCAGGGAAGAGAGAGTGGGCAAAGGGGGAAGTGCTACACACTTAAAAAAAAAAAGCAGATCTCATGAGAACTGTATCACAAGACAGCAAAGGGGAGGTCTGCCCTCATAATCCAATCACCTCCCACCAGGCCCCTCCTCCAATTTGACATGAGATTTGGGTGGGGACACAAATCCAAACTATATCAATCTCTAAACTGAGGGTCACATTCAGATGAAATCTTTCTCTCCCTAATTTACTATTATGCTAATCATGTATAATTTGCATTGTTTTTATTTTTATTTACTTTTTGATAGCCTTACTGAGATAAAATTCACATATCTTACAGTTCCTCCATTTAAAGTGTAGAATTCAATGATTTTTAGTATATTCAGATACGCACAACAATCACAATAAATTTTAAAACATTTCTACCACATTTAAAAGAAATCCAAGGCCGGGCGTGGTGGCTCATGCCTGTAAGCCCAGCACTTTGGAAGGCCGAGGTGGGCGGATCATCTGAGGTCAGGAGATCGAGACCAGCCTGGCCAACATGGATGGATACACCATGTCTTGTTTATTCATTTGTCCATTGATGAACATTTGGGTTGTTTCCACTTTGGGGCTATTATGAATAATGCTGCTATAAACATTCAGGTACAAGTATTTCTGTGGGCATACTATTTTTTCCCTCTTAGGCATATAACTAGAAATGGAACGATTGGGTCACATGGTAAATCTATGTTTCATCCTATAAAGAATTGTCAAACTGTTTTCCAAAGGAGCTGAACCATTTTACATCCCCACCAGTAGTGTAGGAGGGTTGTGACTGCTCCACATCCTCACCAACACTTGTTGTTGTATGAATTTTTGATTCTAGCTACCCTGTGGATATGAAGTGGTATCTCATTGTGGTTTTGAATTGCATTTTTTCTGATGACTAAGGCTGTCTAGAATCTTTTCAATTCATATTGCCTGTTTTTAAAATTGGGTTGTTCTTGGCTGGGCATGGTGGCTCATGCCTGTAATCCCGGCACTTTGGAAGGCCGAGGCAGGTGGATTGCCTGAGGTCAGGAGTTCAAGGCCAGCCTCGCCAACATGGTGAAACTCCATCTCTACTAAAAATTTAAAAAGTAGCCAGATGTGGTGGCAGGTGCCTGGAATCCCAGCTACTCAGGAGGCTGAGGCAGGAGAATCGCTTGAACCCAGGAAGCAGAGTTTGCAGTGAGCCGAGACTGCGCCATTGCACTTCAGCCTGGGCGACAAGAGCAAGACTTCATCTCAAAAAAAAAAAAAAAAAAAAAAAAAAAAAAAAAAATTGGGTTGTTCTTATTATTGAGTTTTAAGAGTTCTTTATGCAGTCAAAACACCAGTCCTTTGTCAGAGATATGATGTCCAAATATTTTCTTCCATTCCGTAGGTTGTCTTTTCACTTTCTCGATGGTGTCCTTTGAAGCACAAAAGGTTTCAATTTTTATGAAACTTCGATTTACTACTTTTTCTTTCTTTGTTCATACTTTTGGTCATATATAAGAATCCTTTGACAAATCCAAGGTCATGAAGATTTGCCTGTATGTTTTCTTACAGGAGTTTAGTAGTTCCAGTATGACACTGTCTTGATTGCTATTAGTTTGTAAAAAGTTTTCAAATCAGGTAGTGTGAGTCCTCCTTTGTACTTCTTTTTCAGGATTGTTCTGGATATACTGGATTCTTTGAAATTTTATATTAGATTCAGTTTGTCAATTTCTATATAGAAGTTGGCTGGAATTCTGACAGAGATTGCATCGAATCTGTAGATCAGTTTGGGGAGGATTGCCATGTTAATAAAGTTTTCTGATTCGTGACCACATGTGACCACAGGATGTTTTCATTTATTTATATCTTAATTTCTTTCAACAATGTTTTGTAATTTTCAGAGTATAAGTTTTACACGTCTTTTAAGTTTATTCCTAGTTTTTTTGATACTATCGTGAATTGTTTGCTTAATTTCATTTTCAGATTGTTCATTGTGTGTAGAAATACGATTTTATTTTTTTGTATATAGAACCTTTATCCTGAAACCTTGTTGAACTCATATTAGTGCTAGGTGGATTCCTTTAGGATTTTCTACATACAATATTATGTCTTCTGTGAATAGTTTTACTCCTTCTCTTCTGATCTGGATGCTTATTTCTTTTTCTTGACTTATTAACCTGACTAGAACCTCCAATACAATGTTGACTATAAGCAGTGACAGCAGACATCATTTTCTTTATCCTGATCTTAGCAGGAAGTACCCAGTCTCTTACCATAAAGTGTGATATTAGCTGTGGGCTTTTGATAAATGCCTTTATCAAGTTAAGAACGTTCTATTCCTCATTTGTTGAGTGTTTTATCATGAAAGGGGTTTGGATTTCTAGTGTGTCTATGTGCTTAAATAACTTTGCTTAATAACTTTGGATTAATATTGTACTAAGGTAATCAATAATCTATGTTTTATCTAAATATACCTGATCATGCCACTACACTCTAGCCTGGGCAACACAGTGAGACCCTATCTCCAAAAATGAAATAAAATAGTAAAATAAATCTGAGATACTGTTCTGGGTGAGAACTGCTATACATAACAAATGGCTTGTAAATCTTCTAAAGAAGCTTATCTCATTCCATAAAATAAGTTACCAGCTTATCAGGTTATATGTACATAAAACAGTTAATTCCTGAAATGGCATACATTTATTAAAGGGAATCATAGTAACAACTGCTTAGAGCACTCTGAAAAGCAAGTACATTGGACCAAAATGAGGAAGCAATGAAGCAATTATATAAAATGCGGGTTAATATTCTTATTCTAGGAATTTTTTTTTCTGTCTTTTTTTTTTTAACAGAGTCCCGCTCTGTAACCCAGGCTGGAATGCAATGGCGTGATCTTGGCTCACCACAACCTCCACCTCCCGGGTTCAAGTGATTCTCCTGCCTCAGCCTCCCGACTAGCTGGGATTAAAGGCACCCACCACCACGCCCAGCTAATTTTTGGATTTTTAGTAGAGATGGGGTTTCGCCATGTTGGCCAGGCTGGTTTTGAATTCCTGACCTCAAGTAATCCGCCGGCCTTGGCCTTCCAAAGTGCTGGGATTACAGGTGTGAGCCACTGTACCACGCCGGAAATTATTTAAAGGTAAAAATTGAAGCCCAAATGTAAACACCCAAATATCTTTCCCTTACAGTTGCTGGATTCAAATAAAAATCAGATGAATTTTTTTTTTTTTTTTTTTTGAGACGGAGTTTGGCTCTGTCTGAAGTGCGGTGGCACCATCTTGGCTCACTGCAACCTCCACCTCCCAGGTTCAAGCCATTCTCCTGCCTCAGCCTCCCGGGTAGCTGGGATTACAGGCACACACCACTATGCTTGGCTAATTTTTGTATTTTTAGTAGAGACACAGTTTCACCATGTTGGCCTGGCTGGTCTTGAACTCCTGGCCTCAGGTGATCTGCCTGCCTCGGCCTCCCTAAGTGTTGGGATTACAGGTGTGAGCCACCACGCCTGGCCGAGGAATTTTTAATGGGGTTCCAGTTGGCCTATGCATTTATGCCCAGGCTCCCTGCCATTGTCTGTTTTGAGTTAAATACCCATTTTTAAAAGTAAAAGTCACCTGCAGTCGAGGCTAAACTCATGCAGCAGCATCCTTAATACTGTCAATGTGTCAATTCCTTTGAGATAATTATATGACCAGAGAAATGAAACTATGATACTATCTCTACTATACTTTGTCACAGGGAGATTACAGGGATCTAATGAAGGAGTTCCTTTTTACTGGAAACCCCAGAAGAGCAGGTATTAACAATTAATATATTTGATAATGCCCCCCAAAATTAGAACCCTTATTACTAAGGCAACTCAATGACCCATTCAGGACTCTAACAGGAATCATCTTTGTGATGTGAAATTAGAAACTTTTAAGAGAACAAAAGCAATCAAGAAAAACAGTACTAGAATGACAGATAGGACAAAATTTATAAACAAAATACAAGAGAAAAAGCACCTGATAAGATCCTTTAATGACAACTTCAAAGCAGTGTTTCATATTCTCTTACAAAATAGTGCCATCCATCTCCAAGTTTTGCCAAGTGTCATGTAAAACTGTGTTCAATGGTAGACTATAAAAGCATCTACATTTCTTTGCCAGAGGGTTTTGGAATAATTATCTGCTGATGCTTCAACTGAAAGTTTATTAATATGATCAATGATTCCTATAATTAAGCACTAGAAAGACTGTTTCCACAATTTAATGGATTAAACAACTGGACATCCCAGCTAATTTCAATATCACATTTGAAGATGGTGACTGCTCCCTCTTGGATTCATTAACACTACTTTATTACCACCTCCTGTTTTTCCTCCCTTTCCTGTTTACTACTCTACCTTCCAGGTTCCTCTTTTCCCAATTCTTTAATATTTCTTAGGATTCCCTAACATTTGCTCCTTAGTTTCATTCTCTCCCTTTATATTCTAAAAATTCCCATTCATATACATATTTCAGTTTTCATCATCTAAACAACTCCTAGTTCCTTGCTTCTAGCTCTAAGCTCTAAAATCACATTCCTGGCTTTTTACTTACTAGACATCGCCACCCAAATACCAAAAATGCAATTTAAGGCAATGTACCCAAAACCATATTCATCTTCCCCTCTGAACGTTCTGCTTCTCCTAAGAGCTACTTCTATATTCAATTGTAAAAGTGAGAACCTTGTGAGACATCACAGACTTCTCTATGCTCGCTCCTCCCATAAATTAAGGAGAAAGTTTGATCTCTTTCACATGGCAAGAGGAGCTTCACCTTACCGTCTCTACTTGCTCTTTCAGCTTCTCCTTCACTTCCCTAGAATGTCTCTTACACTTAACTCCCACTCTATGAACACACTATGCACTTTTCCTTTACTTCAGCTAAATTATCTTCCTTACCTTCCTCAACTGCATATTCCTACTTTATCTCTGACTCAACCCAAGCATCTCCCCTTGGACCCTGAGAATTTTTTCAACATTGTATTTAATGATAGAAACCAAATAAACTGGCTTAATACTAGAGACAAAATACTTGTATTACAGCTCACAATCTAGTAGTCCAAATAAGACTACAGATCATTACAAGTAGCTTGATAAGTATCCGGATGAAATAATGGCAAGGTGTCATAGCAGCTGAGGAGGCGTGCACAATTGTTATGATTATTCCCGGTATCAGTTTTCCTTGGACTGAGCCTTGTAGATAAGTAGGAATTGGTCAGATGGAAAAGTTAGGTCAGAGGAAGGCATGCGATATTAGGGTACGTTCTGCTACCTGGTAATACAGCACAGCACACTGGAGAAATGAGGGGCATGGGGAGGCTAGAGGAGGAGAGATTACATTACAAAGACCCCATAAAGAAAAGAGAACCAGCGGCCATGTGGGGGATACATGAGAGAGGCCAGAGCAGAAACAAAGAGACAATTAGGAGGCACTGCAGTATGCCAAGCAAGTAATGATGGCCTAAAAAGCAGTGACAGCTGAGAGCAGGATACAGAAGATACTTATCCTTGTTCCAGATACAAAGTAAGGCGCATCTTCAGAACAAGTCTAAGAGATAGATGTTCCTATTTTTACACAAGAAGAAATTTGAGCTCTGAAGGATGTTACTTGCTCAAGATGACACAGCTAACAAGTGGAAGAGCAGGGATTCAAACTTCAGAGATTTTGCTCCTAGGTAGTATGATGAGCCAGTATCTCCAAATGCGTGTCCAATTATAAACCAACAGATCATGTTTTCACAATTAATTCTGGTCTGTTCAACTTAGAAATAATTCCAAAATAAAATTCCTCTTCCCATAGAGAAGCATAGCAAGCACGAAGGAAAAATACTCTAGCAGTTTTAACATTGCATATCCTTAAGATTTTAATATTCCAAGCTGTGTACAATTTTAGTACATTCAAATTCTAAAGGTTATCTCTTTATCTTATAGTTCTCTAATTACACATTCTCCAACTAATAATTTTACATGGACCACAAAGTTTAAAAGCGATCTTATTAGCCTACAAATCTCCACTGTCCTCTTATTCCTATAGTGCTGAGCATGTTAAAAAAAAAAAAAAACCTTATTGATCAAAAATAAAACTTGAATTTTGAAACATGCTTAAAATGACATCAGTAGTCTTCCTTAAGAAGTATAGGCTTAACTGGGGAATAGTCAATATTTTAAAATTTATTTACTATATGCATGTTATATATACTTGCTTTATGTGTATTATAAAGCATAATCTATATTTACAAAACTGTAAAATACACACCTCTAATAATGAGTTTTAAAGCTAAATGAGCAAAATATTCCTCTAGTTTTTCTTTAGCAGTTCTGTGAATGGATTTTTTTTTTTTTTCTTTTGAGACAGTCTCACTCTGTTGCCCGGGCTAGTGTGCAGTCATGCGATCTTGGCTCACTGCAACCTCCGCCTCCCGGGTTCAAGCGATTCTACTGCCTCAGCCTCCCAAGTAGCTGGGTGTGGCACCTGCCACCATGCCTGGCTAATTTTTTGTATTTTTAGTAGAGACAGGGTTTCTCCATGTTAGCCAGGCTGGTCTCAAACTCCTGACCTCAAGTGATCCAGCCGCCTCGGCCTCCCAAAATGCTGGGATTACAGGCATGAGCCACTGTTCCCAGCTGGATTTCTTACTCTAAGTTACTTATCTTAAAAAAAAAATAGTCTAAGATTACAAATTATCAGTTCCAGAAGAGATATACCTAACACAAAAATTAACCTACTAAATTGAACTATATGAGTATCAATACAAGCAACATGAGTAAGCCTTAAATTTCATGTTTTTAAAGCTTACAAAGGGTGTAACTAATTTATTCAACTCCAACACTTTATTCTTATTACAGAATCAAAGCTTTTAGACATTAAGAGGAACAAGGGAGGATCTGAACTATTTTAGGTTTAAAAGCCCATGATCAGGGATATTAATTGCAGCCATAAATAAACTGCTGAGGCCAAATAAACAACTGCATTCCTATAATCGCTGCCAAAAACACTGCATACATCCTCAAACATTGAGACAAAGGATGGCAGACAGGTTTCAACTCTAATTGTTAAGTGGCTGCCTCCAACAGAATATTGAGACTGGGGAACAATGTGGGGCAGGTTTCAACTCTAATTGTTACGTGGCTGCCTCCAACAGAATATTGAGACTGGGGAACAAAGTGGGGCAGGTTTCAACTCTAATTGTTACGTGGCTGCCTCCAACAGAATATTGAGACTGGGGAACAATGTGGGGCAGGTTTCAACTCTAATTGTTACGTGGCTGCCTCCAACAGAATATTGAGACTGGGGAACAACGTGGGGCAGGTTTCAACTCTAATTGTTATGTGGCTGCCTCCAACAGTATATTGAGACTGGGGAACAACGTGGGGCAGGTTTCAACTCTAATTGTTACGTGGCTGCCTCCAACAGTATATTGAGACTGGGGAACAACGTGGGGCAGGTTTCAACTCTAATTGTTACGTGGCTGCCTCCAACAGAATATTGAGACTGGGGAACAACGTGGGGCTTGATGTCAAAGAGAACTCAGAAGGATTATAAAAGCCTGTCGTGGGCACAAGAATGTGGTACCTTGTGCTACTCTTGGCTTCAGCATTAAGCTGACAAAGACTTCCTACTGCAATACCTGACTTTCGTTTCTATTATGAACACGATATTTCACTGTTGTTTCTCATCAAAAGCACCTGATGTCAATGTATCAAAATACAGAGATCATGAAATTCTTTTTTGCTATGTCCGACAAAATGAACAAGAAACTGAATACCAGTTTTCTAGATGCACTAATAAATAACTTCAGTTAAAATAACTAGAGTTACATTTTTTCAAATGCTCTTATTCATCTGGAAAATTCAGTGTTATATATAAATGTTACATATACATATGTGTGTATATATATATACTGTTTTAGGAGAAAACAGCATTTCAGTTTGATATTTTAAATGCCAATTATGCACATTTATAATAGTAAGATTTCCCATTAAGTGAAACGTTATAGTTACCTATAAACGTTCATTTTTCACTATTTACAATTTGAATTATGTAATACTTGCATACTGCAACTAATTGTTATAGAAGAGTCACATAGACAATATAAATCTGATGTCCAATCCTTTACAAATACGAAATTTGTTTCACTGGGTTTTCAAACTATCAAGTATAAATAGGAAAAGGTCAGCAATACTTAGGATGAGGCACTTTAACAATTACTCAGAAAGGTTAAGTGTACAAAACTGTAAACCAAAACCCTGCATATTAATCTTATCCTTAATTTCAGATGTGATTAATCTGAGATGGTCTATTTAAGGAGTGTTAAGATCATCACAGACCAGTTAATGTGCCCATATACAAATGAACTAAACTATCTAATGACACTTGGGTTTCAGAAAGGGACTCTTTCAACACTAAAACTTCTGTAGAATTTTTTCATAAACAAGTATAAACACACTGCTCTCACAAAGGCAAATGGTATCTCTACCATATTCCTAGACAAGAATGCCCTCAAATGTTTAACTGAATCACAATTTTACAGTCTTATGTACTCTTTAAAAATAGTTTTCAAAATACTCAGAAATTTTAAAATTAAAACTACCAATACTTTTTAGATTACAATTTTAAGATAAAAAAGGTAACGAATAGGTATTTTACCAGCCTTTTGTGAAAGACCTTTTAAACATTTCTATTTGAGCACCTCATTTTCAACCTTAAATCATGTTCTCTGTATATTTACACTGCACGTTTTGGTAGTTCAGGTAATAAATACTTGATTAAGGGTAATAATTCCCTTTTTTTTTTGGAGACGGAGTTTTGCTCTTGTCGCTCAGGCTGGGGCGCAATGGCGCAATCTCAGCTCACTGCAACCTCTGCCTCCCGGGTTCAGCCGATTCTTCTGTCTCAGCCTCCCAAGTAGCTGGGATTACAGACACCCGCCACCATGCCTGGCTAATTTTTGTATTTTTAGTAGAGACGAGGTTTCACCATGTTGGCCAAGCTGGACTCGAACTCCTGACCTCTGGTGATTCGCCCGCCTTGGCCTCCCAAAGTACTGGGATTACAGACATTAGCCACCACACCTGGCCAATTCCTGTTTTCTGAATTCACTATGCTGTATTTTTTCCCCAACTGTCTGATTTCCACATTCTTCTATTAGTTAAAAAAAAAAAAAAAAAAAAAAAGGCTGACTCAAATTTTAAAGTTTACCAGAAGAGATTAAAATCTTGATATATACCAAGAAAGAATCTGTGGACCCATTAGCTAAGTTTTAGGTAAGAGTAGCTAAATCTCATTAAACCTGTTTATTTCTTCTAATTTATAATTTGAGTAATTTCCATAGCTCAGATATACAAATGTCCTTTAATAAAAATGCAGTAATAATTTAACATGGTTAGCTGTTCCAGGTTCACTTATCAAAATAACTTGCCATGAATGTGTACACATGTACTTCTTAATTCCCTAGAACAGTTTCTCCTTTTCTAAAGAAACTGGCTTTCAATCAATATACTACCAGACACTTAAGTCTCTACTAAAATCAGAAGTTAACCAGTTTTCAAATACATGGAAAGAGAAAATACTGATTTAGAAAGACAAAAATTAAGCTTGGCAAAAGTGGTGACTTTTATTTACAATTGCATGTGTCAAGATTACAATGGAAACACTAGTGATACCATCTGAACAAAAGCAATGATTTATTGGTAATGGCAATGAATGAAACATTGACAGTCTCTGGCGAGAATCAAGCAATTATCCAGGAGCTGTAGATCTGATTGCAATATGGTTGTCCAGTGTCTTTTGTACCTTAGTGGCTTTCTCCTTTTTTGCCAACTACCTAGAAAAACAAAAATAAGTTTATATGTACATCCTATTGATTTTAAATATGAGTTATTAAAAATACTAATAATCAGTTTAAAACCTTGGTATTAATTTTTATCCTTGGATCTTTTCTGGCATGCAATGTATTTTCACTGTTGAAGCAAACTGTGACCTCCCCTCCAATCCCAGCCACAAGGAATTAAAAATAAAACACATGCAGGCTATTTTTGGTTTCACACAGTTTTTTTTTTTTTTTTAAATAGCAATTTTTAAAAACAAGGTTGAAAGTTTAGAGAAGTTAATTTAAAAAATGATGCTATATGAGTAAAACATATTTGACATACTATTTTTAGATAGTTAGAAATCAAATGTCGATCACAAAAGAATCTGGAATTAGAAGCGTATGTTAAACTCATGTCCTTCATGCCCAATATAGCAAATTTCCAGACTTTCCCCCTCAATACACTGACATGCAATGAAAACAGATTAAAAGTGACTAATTTTTTCTGGTTTAAGAAAAAGATCCTGGTTACTTTAAGAGTACTATTAAAAATGAAATGAATAAACCTTGTTTCTGTCAATGATTAGAAAAATCCTCTACTGGAGGATTATAAAAAACATTCTGGTTGCTATATATGTGGCAGCATAAAAATGTGAAGAATAAAAATTTGTTCTCTACCAACAAATCTAGAAAACAAATTCTCTGCAGGAGAGTTTGAAAACTATGTTCTAATTGAGAAATGTACTGACAACTTACAGTTTATCATTAGATAATGTATTCTTAGGGCAAAAATGCCTTGAAAGAAACCTACTTGCAAAATACTGAATGTATGTTTGTGTAGAAAGATTTCTGTGTACATTTATATATTTAATTTTCGTATTTTACATTGATTCTATTCTAAATGGCAGTATCTATACCAGCAAAACTCATAAAGGTCATCAGTACATGTCTGGTCTAAAATATAACATAGCTGGGTCAACATCATTCATGAGAGACCTGAAAGCTTTCCACTGAAATCCCAATCACACAATCCTAGAAATGTTTTTCCCACCCTAAGAAAACTCACTTCTAGTACCTTAAAAGAACTCCCCTTTGGTCCAAAGACACCATGTTAGAAAGCTCACAAGGTAGCAAGATGATAAAAAGGCAGTTTCATATAAAAGAATGTGGATAAGAGTAAGAAATTCAGGTTTTAAGAGCCACTAGAAGGGGAACTGGCATTATCTCTATCACAAGTAAATTTTGTGCTGATAAACACTGAGAGCATTATTGATCATTGTATTACTTGGGAAACACAAAACACAAAGCTATTAGATTAAGCAAAAGAAAACAAAAACAAATATTAAAAATTAAACTTCTAGCAGATGTGATACAGAAGACACAAATCTGCATACTGTTTCACAGGTTGATAACTCTCAACTTGCCAATGTGTATTTTCTGTAAAAAAGAAGAAATTCAACATTCCAACATGGATTGTCATCCCAAACGTAAAGCTCTTTTATTCATTCTTAAGTCTTTATATTACACCTCAGACAAACCAAAATTTAGGTACATAAAAATTAGGTGTAAAAAATATTTATTCAGTAAAGAGTCCATTGATCTTCTATATTAATATGTTAACCCAACCTAATATTCAGTCCATAAGTCCTTCAACTGGTTTTGAGCTCACTTGGGCAAAAGCAGAGGACATGCCCCAATCAATCATCAAAAGGACTTTGGGGCTAACATTCCAACGAGGAAAAGAAAACCAACACCCCTCAACTGAAATGTAATCAATATATTAAACTAGCACAAACATAAAAGAACTTGATGCAACTGCTATATTTGTTTTCCAAAAGAATTCTATAGTTCCTAGGAAATAAAATTTAAAGTTTAGAATGGATTAAAACTATTCAACTAGTTAAATCTAAAACATTTTATAACAATTTAATTTTATTGTGATGTTATGCCTCAAAATGTAATACAAAATTAAATATGAAACAGTAGAAAGTAAAAAAAAAAAAAGGCTAGTGAGCAACACGGTATGGTAAAAAATTAAAGCACCTAGTTGCAAGCCCAAAACAAAAGCCAAAACAAAATAAAAGGCCAATTAAGAAACACAACTAGGATGAGATCTGAAGAAAGAGATGATTGAGGAAACCTAGGTAACAAGGCTGATCCAGATGATAGAAGCTGTAGAAATCTTGCACCAACAATGGCGAGAACATGGGAAGGGTGAGAGCAGACAGGTGCTAGATGAGCAGAGAAGCAAGGAGGGGAGTAGAGTGAGACAAGGTCAATCTTTATATTACTTCATTTTAAAATATCTTCTGTTTTTAGTTCATTTGAGTTGGATTAAAAAAGCTGAAAAATAAACAGACAGAAATGTTACAAAAATAGCTGATACGGTGAATGGCCAGTTTAGAAAAGTCTATTTTTATTATAGTGATAAAAATCTTTTCACATGCACCTCATTTCCTAAGAAGCAGAAGCCCCTATAATTTTCTCATTTTTGTATTTTTATAAAATTGTAATTAAAAATTCTGTATTAAAATAAAGCAATCCATATAAAGAGCATATTTTAGCAAAAACATCTACTTCCAATTAAGATGGCAATGGCAAGCTTTTCATGCTGCAACACAAAAAATCCATTGACAACAACAAACAGCCAAAGTATAGATTATAATCTGTGCGTGATGCCTATAAGAGCCAAAACCAGACAAGTGGAAGGGGTATTCTAGTCTGTCAAACCTTAAAAGTCTAACCTTCAAAGTTGTAATAGCATGAAAGGTTGTCTAAGATTTCTGTCCACATTGGAGATTCAACAGCATTACCTTAGCTTCTGTCAGATATCTTAGTGACATAAGAAGTCAGTGACATACTAAAAACGGAAATTATCCAGAAACAGCTCACACAAGATAAAAATATAAACTGAAAATGCTAAACATTTGATCTACTTTATTATTCATTAAGCCATTTTATATAGCGCCCTTCACTACACAGAGGTCATCAAAATTTTCCTCCCTGTGCCTATAAAATATATGCCAAATCTATTTCAAAATTTTCAATTCTAGGCCAGGCATGGTGGCTCACGCCTGTAATCCCAGCACTTTGGGAGGCCCAGGCGGGCGGATCAACGAGGTCAGGAGATCGAGACCATCCTGGCTAACACGGTGAAACCCCGTCTCTACTAAATATACAAAAAAATTAGCCAGGCGTAGCGGCGGGCACCTGTAGTCCCAGCTGCTACAGAGGCTGAGGCAGGAGAATGTGGTAAACTCGGGAGGCAGAGCTTGCAGTGAGCCGAGATCACACCACTGCACTCCAGCCTGGACAACAGAGCAAGACTCCGTCTCAAAAAAAAAGAAAAAAATTTCAATTCTAATTACTATGTATATACTAATTCAGACTGAGCAAACAAGTAAAAGAAAAGACATGCCACATGTGACTTGTCCTTGAACGATTGAATCCTCCACCTTCCTAAGTTCATGTCCAGGTCCCTACTTTTCCATTCTATCAAGGGTGCCCATAGCTGCCTGTTGAACTGTCCAAATTCTACTCTCAAAACTTAGTTCAAGGCCCTCTTTCTTCACAAAGTATTCTCAGACTTTCCCAGTCGTTGGGGGAAAAGGAAAAGTCACCTAGCTGGTAACGTCTGAGAATACTCTGTGGACAAAGAAACCCTTGAACTAAGCTTTGATTAATTTTGATTAACTTTCCCTATGTTTGTCCCTATGTTATCTACAAGAATATAAACTGCTGTAGACAGAGATCATGACTGAAGAGTAGTCCCTCCTTATCCATGCTTTCACTTTCTGCAGTTTCAACTGCCTATGGTGCAGTACAATAAGATATTTTGAGACAGTGAGAGAAAGAGCAAGCATGGGAGAGACCATATCCATGTCAACTTTTAACCACAGTATATTGTTGTAATTGCTCTATTTTATTATTAGTTGGTGTTAATCTTTTTTATTTTTCTTTCTTTTTGATATGGGGTCTTGCTCTGTCACCCAGGCTGGAGTGTAGTGGCGTGATCCTAGCTCGCTGCAGCCTTGAACTCCAGGGTTCAAGCGATCTTCCCACCTCAGCCTCCCAGGTAGCTAGAACTACAGGTGTGCCCACCACCTTGCCTGGGTAATTTTGTGTGTGTGTGTGTGTGTGTGTGTGTGTGTATTCTTATAGAGATGGAATCTTACTATGTTTATCAGGCTGGTCTTGAACTCCTGGGCTCAAGTGATCTTCCCACCTCAGCCTCCCAAGTAGCTGGGACTACAGGTGCACCCACCGTCTTGCATGGGTAATTTTTTTTTTTTTTTAAATAGAGATGGAGTCTTACTATGTTTGCCAGCTGGTCCTGAACTCCTGGGTTTAAGTGATCTTCTAGCCTTGGCCTCCGGAAGTGATGGGATTATAGGCATGAGCCACCATGCTCTGGCTTTGTTGTTAAATCTCTTACTGTGCCTAATTTATACATTAAACATTATCAGCGGTATGTATATATGTACAGATGCTCCTCGACTTCCGATGGGGTAATATATCCCGATTAAACCCATTGTAAAGACCAGGCACGGTGGCTCATGCCTCTAATCCCAGTACTTTGGAAGACCAAGGAAGGCAGTGAGGTCAGGAGTTTGAGACCAGCCTGGCCAACATGGTGAAACCCCATCTCTACTAAAAATACAAAAATTAGCCGGGTATGGTGGCAGGCGCCTGTAATCCTAGCTACTTGGAAGGCTGAGGCAGGAGAATCACTTGAACCCGGGAGGCAGAGGTTGCAGTGAGCTGAGATCGCACCATTGCACTACAGCCTGGGTGACAAGAGTGAAACTCCATCTCAAAAAAATAAAAATAAGTAAACCCATTGTAAGGTGAAAATATTGTAAGTCAAAAATGCTTAACTGCCCCACACTTAAGAGAATGGTTTCTACTGAGTGCATTATCAATTTTGCACTATTGTAAACTTGAACCATCATAAGTTGGGAACCATCTGTATAGGAAAATACACAGTATGTACAGGGTTTGTTAGTGTCTGTGGTTCCAGGCATCCACCGGGGGTCTAAGAATGTATCCCCCCGCCCCGACAGATAAGGAGAGACTATTGTACTAGCATCGTACTACAGGGACAAAAGATACCATACCACATATTATTTCCTTCAATGAAAACCAAACTCAATTATAATTTTTAATAAGCAAATCTATCTGTACAAGGACTAAGCTGGCCAATTTCAGTTACATGTAAACCCTCTTTTTCTTTTTTTAACTACATTGAAGTTGTTACTTTGTACAATATAAAAACAATGAAATACTAGCTTACTTTTAAAGAATAACCCTAAAAGACAAAGAATAACTACAGTACAAATGTCATTCAGAAATATTACAAGAAAATGCAATATTAATATACCTAAGAAAATCACTTAATCAACTAAAATTTATTAAACATTAAAAGCAAGGGGCTAAGAAGCCCAGAACACCAACAAGGGAGTAGATTATGGTATTCAAATTATTCTTGTAGCAGTTCTCAAAGTGTGGTCTCCAAGACCCTCTCAAGGAGTCTGGGAGGTCAACACTATTTTCATAATGCTAAATCGTTTTTTGCCTTTTAGACTCTTATTCTCTTCACAAGTATCCAGGGGAGTTTTCCAGGGGCTATATGATGTGTGACAGGAAAGCTGACTGAATGCAGAAGCAGATATGAGAAGGAAAGGACACTATAAGGCTCGTAAACAGAGAAGCCTGGGCAACATAGTAAGACCCTGTCCCCACACAAAAATAAAACATTAGCCGAGTGTGGTGGCACACGCCTGTAGTCTCAGCTACTCGTGAGGCTGAGGCTGGAGGATCACTTGAGCCCAGGAGTTTGAGGTTGCAGTAAGCCATAACTGTGCCTCTGCACTGCAGCATGGGTGACAGAACAAAACCCTGTCTCAAAAAAAAAAAAAAAAAAATCATAAAATTCTGAATCAATGCTCTTCTTACCAAATTGGTTTTTCTTTTAGAAAATATGCTTATTTCTAATTTAAAAATATTCATTAACATGTGTTCATTATTTACAAATATTTTTTATATTTCCCACTTTTAACTTATAAATGGCAAATATCAGATAAATATAGCCCACATAAACAAAAGTTCTTTTTGGCCTTCAATAGTATTTAATAATATAAAGAGGTCCTGAGATCAAAAAGCTTGAGAACTGCTATCATATGGTAATTTAAAGTTAAAAAAAATCAAATGAATAAATGGCTGTTATAAAACAAGCACAAATACTCTCAAACAAAAAAGGTCTTACACCTTTGCTATCCTAAAGACAGCCCCCAAAAACGTAGTTTGACAGTCAGAAAAGAGAAAATACTAGGCTAGAAGGGATGTGAGGGGGATGTTAAACACGAGGTGGAGGCAGATAGTTAGATGGATAATTATTCATGCAAATTAGAGAAACTTTAACTGAATGGCTAGCTGGTAAGAAGGTAAACAAGATAGAATGGTGGTTACAGAAAAAAATGAAAATCAAATAGCATAAACTGAGGTAAGAAACAGGAAACTAGAGCCAAATTAATGAATGATATGAGAAAATAATAAGATAATAGTAATAGATCTTATAAAAAACTAAGTTAAGAATAAACCACACAAGGCACACTTAAAGCCAAGTCCAATGGCATCTAATTCAAAAAGGTAAAGCAGGCAGCCAAGACGTCTTTGTTGCTCACACATTTTCCCAATAAAACATATTTCATATCGTAAAAATGTAGATGCTTAATCTCTGCTTCTTCTGACCTGTCATAATACATATGTGAAACATCTAGACATAACAGCTCTAAAGTGCATAATTATTCCTGCAGTCCCCAAAAGGTAATCACGCTATGAGACAGGAAAATAGTAATTGGAAAACAACCAGTTAAAATACCTATTGTCCAGGTTTGCAATTTGGTAAAAACAGCATACAATTTTGTAAGATCATCCTCTGTTATGCAATCTAATACATTTTTCTATAATTGAATTAAAGTAAGATCTGTAGATGCACCAAAAAGAATGAGAGTGCTCAAGATGTTCTCCATCTTCAATTCCACAACAAGGGTCTCTTGGGAGCCTCTTCATCTAGGAATTGCCAGGCCTAAGGAAACTCTTCCTCAAGTTCTAGACTGCCTGCCAGATGCAATCATTAGAGACAGTGGGATACCTATGTATTCTGTGCTGCCACATTTAAACTGAGTATATAGCAACTAACGCTCTGTACTGATAAAGCTCTCAGTAGCACTTTGATAATCTCTGGCTGTATATTTAAGAGTGACGCTAGGGAACTGTTGCCCATTAGAAGTCGTTCCAGTAATGTACAGAAGGAATTAATCTGGATTAACAAAGGTCCCATGTACCCTATTAATTCTTTACTAACCTTATAATTGTGTCTTTTCAAAAGAAAATTATATGCACACACATAAAGATATACAAAAATACTTCAGAAAACTTGCCTGTTCATCATTATTTGATGAAATGTGCTATTTCAGCATACAAACATGGTTTGGAAAGTTAACATGTCAGTATATTAAAACTCAGTCCATTTTTTTTAAATAAAATTATTCAAGTAATTTAAAATTTCATCAGAAATAATCACCAGAATCTTACTATCAACTAAGTTATTTAATTCTCACAACTGCTTTCAAATGATTTTACTTTCATTTTTCCATTATTACTAACCACTTTCTATAACCAAGCCATTATTTTTACCCTTATGTTGATGTCATTCATTAAAAGACTCTTTTATCAGTTAAGACATCATTTTTTATTAAAGATTACTTTGTTGGATATCTAAAAATATAGTTAGGGGAACTTTCTATCCTAGTTTAGCCTTGTAAAATTTCATGACATGATATAATTTTGAATTATTTTGTTAAAAGAAAGTGTGACAGTTGAGATACATGAAATTATTCCATTAAAATTATATTTTTACTATCCCGAAGTATCATTTAAGCAAACTTACTCGTTTGAAGTCATTCATATTTGTTGCCTGGACTGGAGTACCAATAAAAGTAAAATATGAAATTCTTGTTGTTTCCTCTTCACCTTGATTCGACTGAACAAATATCTACCAAAAAAAAGTTTGCATTTATAATTACAATCCTTCTTCACAAACATGCTTTAAGTTTAATCAATTTCCTTAAATTAATAACATAAATATTCTCCATTCTTTGTAAAAATTAATCTAGGCTGGGTGCAGTGGCTCACGTCTGTAATCCCAGCACTTTGGGAGGCTGAGGTGGGCAGATCACCTGAGGTCAGGAGTTCGAGACCAGCCTGGCCACCGTGGCAAAACCCCATCTCTACTAAAAACACAAAAAAATTAACCAGGTGTGGTGACTGGCACCTGTAATCCTAGCTACTCGGGAGGCTGGGGCAGGAGAATCGCTTGAATCCAGGAGGTGGAGGTTGCAGTGAGCTGAGATCGTGCCACTGCACTCCAGCCCGGGCAACAAGAGCAAAACTCTGGCTCAAAAAAAAAAAAAAAATTAATCAAAATTATATAACATTAAGACTAGTACTCCTATAGGATAGGACTACTAATTATAGGGCTGTTTGCCCTGCTATTCTCACTTTCTCCAGAGATGTCATGGCAAGAGACCCATATATATAAGTTCATGGTAACTTGGTGTGATAGTATGGCAGAGTCACAATTAAATTCTCTCTCTATATGTATTTTTTGACATGGAGTCTCACTCTGTTGCCCAGGCTGGAGTGCAATGGCACGATCTCGACTCACTGCAACCTCCGCCTCCCAGGTTCAAACGATTCTCCAGCCTCAGCCTCCTGAGTAGCCCACCAGCACACCCGGCTAATTTTTTTTTTTTTTTTTTTAAGAGATGGAGTCTTGCTCTGTTGCCCAGGCTGGGGTGCAGTGGTGCCATCTCAGCTCACTGCAACCTCCACCTCTCAGGTTCAAGCAAGTCTCCTGCCTCAGCCTCCTGAGGAGGGGGGACTACAGGCACATGCTGCCACGCCCGGCTAATCTTTTTTTTTTTTTTTTTTTTTTTAAATTTAGTAGAGACAGGGTTTCACTGTGTTGCCCAGGGTGGTCTCGAACTTCTGAGCTCAGGCAATCCTCCTGCCTCAGCCTCCCAAAGTGCTGGGATTACAGGTGTGAGCCACCGCGCCCAGCAATTAAATTCTTTATAGAGAATGTTGAAAGGGTATTAAGAGTTACAATTACAATGGGACAGACTATCATTGGAAATTTTATTAAAATCATAGTTTTTCACTGAGGAAAATCTCTAAAGTGATATTCTTTCTGATATTCCTGTATCCATTCTATTTCCTAGAATATTAAAAGAAAAAATAGTATTGGGAATCAGCTCCTAAAACAATACTATGTGCCTCATTTTTTTTTTAAGCTTGACTCTATATTTAATAACTCCCCTCAGCACGATAAAAACTAAAAGTTTTACTCATTGATCCTTTGTCATACATTGGATTTTTGAAATTTGCTCCATTTCTAAAAACACAATATTCTAGGTGCTGTCTACTTTAAAATATTGCACCTATCTCTTTTTTGAGACAAGGTCTCATTATGTTACCTAGGCTGGTCCTGAACTCTTTAGTGCAAGTGATGCCCCTGCCTAAGCCTCCCAAGTAGCTGGGACTACCAGCGTACTCCCATGACCAGTTAAAAACTGCCTCTCGTGATTTAAACAACATACTTCTTTCATTCTGAGATGCCACTCATTCGTCAGTTTTTATTGTTTTCATAGGCAGCCATATGTTATTTCAAGAAAATATTTGATAATGAGTATACTAAGTTTAATATAACAATTTTCTTTGATTTCATTTGGGTAGGATATTTCTAATACTTAAAACTCAACTTGATTATAATTTTTTTTTTTTTGTCACCCAGACTGGAGTGTAATGACACAACTGCAGCTCACTGAAGCCTCAATCTCCCAGGCTCAAGTGGTCCCTCCAGAGTAGCTGGGACTACAGGCGCATCACCATGCCCAGCTAGTTCTTGTATTTTTTTGTAGAGATGGGGTTTCACCATGTTGCCCAGGCTGGTCTCAAAATCATGGGCTCGAGCAATCTGCCCATCTTGGCCTCCCAAAATGCTGGGATTACAGGAGTGAGCCACAACACCCAGCCAATTATAATTCTTCATACTACTACTATGTATATTCTGTGAAACTCTCAAAAACATTCTTAAATGAACACATACTTTAGCATTCTTCTAATTTACAAAAATAGAATTATTCCATCACAACAAACAAGCTGTACCAGTTTGGCATGACATTCTCAGTGGCTCTGTGCTGGTTCCTACTTTCTTTTTCTAAGTATTCTGCTATTCTTTTCTAACTGTCCTACCCATTCCTCTAAATGACTGTAGGTGAGAAGTGTGAGCTGGGTTTCAATGCTAAATTTTTTAAAAGCAATTAATAACTGCTAAAAATTAGCTGATTCTTGAGAGTGGCACTTTAATAATGACATCTAAAATACATCACTTAAAATCACCTCAAGCACTAGTCAATCTTCAGAAAGGCTGGGTGTAGTGGCTGAAGCCTATAAACCCAGCACTTTGGGAGGCTGAGGTGGGAGGACTGCTTGAGCCCAGGAGTTTGAGACCAGCCTGGGCCACACAGGGAGAGACTTCACCTCTACAAAAATAAAAAATTAGCTGGGTGAGGTGGCACGTGCCTGCGGTTGCAACTGCTCTGGAGGCTGAGGGAGAATCACCTGAGCCCAGTAGATCAGGGCTATACTGAACCAAGGTCGTGCCACTGTACTCCAGCCTGGACAACAAAGCAAGAACCTGCCTCAAAGGAAGAAAAAATTCAGATATACCTTAGGTCATCTTATAAAATGTAGTATTATCTTTTTAAAAGTCATTTTTAAGCCAGGTGCAGTGGTGCATGCCTGTAATCCCAGCTTCTCAGGAGGCTGAGGCGGGAAGATTATTTGAGCCCAAGAGTTCAAGTCAGCCCGGGCAACACAGCGAGACTCCATCTCAAAAAAAAATAAATAAATAAAAAGTCATTTTTACTAAGATCATGACCACCACACTTAAAAACTCCATATTCAAGAAAAGTAAATAAGATTTTACAAACACATCACTACTATACCAGGTATAAAGAATAAAGCACAAATATCTTCAGTTTTAGTATAAAGTTGTAGAATAAACTTCCAGCAAAACTTACCATATACATATAAAATAACTGACAAAACCCCACAAATATTCAAAAATCAATCTGTCCTTCCTCTTTAGGGTACATAAATTAAAAAGAAGAAAATTTATCCCATTAAACATTTTACTCATTTCAAACTGAGTGAATAAATACCACTTTAAAGAATCACTTAGACTTACCTAGGATACTGAAAATAGTATTGTTACTCACAAACCTATTAAATACATATGAACGAAATACTACTTACAGTTACACTGTTAACATTCTGAAACTTAACATAACGAAGTGGAACAATGCCATCTTCTTTAATATCATCCTCTGTCAGTTCCAGAGCTTGAGTTGGTTCACTTCTTTCTGCCTCTTCAAAATCCATAGATCGGGGTAGGTTGATAAAAATTTTTACATATTTAGGGCCCTGACCTATACAATGGTAGAATAAAATAAAATGTTTAAAAACCTCAAATATACTATACTCCCTTTACCACTACACTCACACTATACACAGACACACACAAATCAATACACATATACTTCAAATAACTCCATTATTAGAACTTGTACAAAAGTCTGAGTATTCAGGTAGCCAATCCTTTATTTTCCAAAACACATTTACTGGTTCCTTCTTGGCCGAGCTAACACTGTGGTAAATATTAGGAATATAAGATTTAAACAGACACACACACACAGAGGGAGTCCCTGCCCCCCAACTACAAAAGACATGCTACGATAAACAAAATACCACAGGAGAGGAGGTACAAGGAAGGTGACAATAGATTCTGACAATATATGCAGGTTAACAAAAAGTTTCATAAAAGAAATAGCATTTGAGCTAGATCTTATAGTTGCCAATAGTTGGTACATTCAGTTATTTAGGAGGAGAGCATTATCAGTGACAACATTTAGCCAAAAGAAAATTAATAAAAATTGCCAAATTTCATTTTAGGGATTAGATTAGGATGTGATAAGTGGTAAAGTCCCATGTATAGAATGCCTTAATCCCTTTAACTTCAAGGCACGATTTAAGACCCATATTTTGTGGCTGAAGAAGGAAAAGTAAGACTCATTTCTACAGCATTTGCTTATACAAATACTTTGTAATTTCAGAGTAAAAGTACAATTTTATTAATAAAAATTATTAACATGAAAATTTAGCAGAACAAATAAGAAAATGCTATCTTCTAAATAAGGCCTTGGTTATTTCTTCCAATCAATCGAAAAAAAAAAAAAAAATCAGAACCCTAGTCTCCATTCCCCTATTCCCCCTCAGAAAAAGCTTAACAGAAAAAGAAAAAATGGGGGGGGGCAAAAAAGGAAAATTCTTTATTTTACAAGAAGAGAAATCCTAAGTCTGCACAATCATATTTACATGTATCGATATAAAAAAATGATACTATTAATAGGGCACAAACAGGAATATCTGGAGCCTCAGTTTCCTCAAAATAAAAGGAATTTGAAATAAATCTTTCAGTTTTGATTCTAAAATACGGCTGCTCAAAAGCTACAGTTTTAGAACAGTTGGAAAAAAGGATTCAGCACTTCTCAGATTAAAAGGAAACAAATTTTAAAATGAAAAAGTATAAAAATAACTAAGTTCTCTTTCTTTCATACTTTCAGTACCTAATAATCTCACATTATTTACTCATTCATTTACATCTTGCTTCGTTCCAAAACAAGCCAGGTGCGGTGCTCATGCCTATAATCTTAGCAGTCTGGGAGGCCAAGGTGGGTGGATCACTTGGGGTCAGGAGTTCAAGAACAGCCTGGCCAACAGATGGTGAAATCCTGTACTAAACACAAAAATCAGCCAGGCGTGGTGGCGCCTGCCTGTAGTCCCAGTCCCAGCTACCTGGGAGGCAGAGGTGGGAGAATCACTTGAACCCAGGAGGCAGAGATTACAGTGAGCTAAGATTGCACCACCGCACTCCAGCCTGGGCAATAGCACAAGACTCTGTCTCAAAAAAAAAAAAAAAGAAAAAACAAGTACCTCTATTTAATAAAAAGTTTTAATTTTATGCTAACAGTTCTACAAAGCAGAAGTTAGTTTAAAGAAAAGCTATCCTTTACTCACCATTATCTGGCCCTTGAAATTTCATGGAATAAAGCTTAACAGGTTGATTGAATGCCACAGTAATAAGCAGCTGTGAAGATAAGAGTTTCATTTTAAAGGGCTCTTGTACACACCTTGAGTACATAAACTACTGAAGCAGAATGAAAATAACAGGCAAGAAAAAAAAAACCAACCTAATTCATCGAACAAAACCAACGTAATATGAAAAATCAGCAAGTGGAGAGTCACTTGATTAGATAACATCTGAGAACTACTACTATTAGTTATGTATATAAGGGAATACAAGAAAAAATTAATCAAGTAAATACTAAAACTATGCATAGGAATGTAAGGTCTTATGAGCTATAAACTGGCAAGCAACCTGCTTTCTAACAAATCAAACAAAATTCTCAAAATAAAATTTAAACTAACATTTTAGCACATAGCTCTACGATGGTTTATTTGTCAAGTATCTATCCACATCACTTGACGATTTAGAGGCAATACACAGGTTATGCAGAGACTAGCCCTGAAATGGACTCTAATCCCAAACTCAAGAGAATAGGGTTCTTATAGCTCTGAAGTAACCTCCAAACTTCCATTCTACATTTACTTGACTGACTGAATCTGGAAGGCCACATAAGGGAAGAGGAATATGAAACACTGTCAGAATGTTTCTCTCTCCGAAACTCTTCTGGATCATTTGCTCAATCTTCTTTCCAGCCAAAAGTGTGTTTGATGTACGTACCTATGCATCTACCCTGGGAAGATTTCCTGAGCAGGAAAATTTCATGAAGCCTGAACCAGTCCTGCTGATTAGCATTATTACATTATTTTTAGGGCACCATTTACAAGAAACACAATGTGAATGATACTCTCAAAGCTGAAAAACATGGTGGCTCTGGGGTTACAGCATGGAAAGATGGGGTTTGGATTTATGATTTCAGAATCATGTTGTGGTTTATCTGCCTAAGAAAATAACTAGGCTATTTCCTTTAGTTACACCAATACTTTTTATACTTGACCCATAATAGTGTATCAAAAAATAATAAGCATGACATTATTAGGGAACTGAACTGTAGGTGAAGAGCAGAAGAGATGAGAAAGTTAAAAACAGATCAAGTCAGCCTCCTCCTAAAGCCAGTGAAGAGTCATTTTACTCTTCTAAGGAATGGAAACATGCAACTTTATATTTTAGAAAAATAACTTCTGTTACCGTATAGAAGATGAACTGGAATGGGACAAATCAGTGACAATGGAAGAGAAAGTAAACTGAGAAAAGTAACAGCCAAAATGAAGATTTAAAAAGCTTGATCAAGGTGGTAACACCCAACTTACTTTGTGATAAGGGCAAGGCAGGGAAGCATAGGGAATATAATACAGGTTTCTATCTAGGAGAAAGGAATTAGCCACACAGGGAGTGCTCATTTCATTAGTCTCTATTTCTCATATACAAATTCATCTGAGTGGGAAGAAGGTATGGAAGTCAGGTTAAGGATGAACAAAAAGACCAAACAGTGGTAAGAGCTCAATTCTGCAGTGGGTCCCACCCAAGAGTTCAGCAATTTTTCTTAGTGCACCTGGCAGCCCACATACAAGAACAAAGAAGGTGGGTATGTATGGTCAAAAAACAAAAGTCAAAGAAACTAAAAGCTATAGAAATGAAAGGAAGAAGTGATCATCTGGGAAGGAGAGACGTAAGCCACAAAATGGGAACAAGAAACAAGAGCAGGCATAAATAGTGATAATCTCCACAAGCTTATCTTCAGCCCTCAATTACCTGTTCATCACAGTCAGATTCCAAGAAGGTTGTGTCTTTTCGTAAACAGTTGTCAAATCCATGCTCATCACTTTCATTAAGACATTCACAACCAGCTTTGTTAATAAAAGGCATTAAATCCATCTGAAAAAAAATTGCAAGATTTTAGGCAACATATTTGGATTAGGTATAAAAATGTTTAAAAAATTTAAATCTCTGATTCTCTTTAGGCAATTTTAAAGAAAACACTTTTAAAACAGTTCATAAAACTTTTACAGTAGTCCTTTCATTTGCATTTCTGACTGAGATCTACCATCAATTATTAAAGCCAAGTCTAGGCTTAGCCTACTTGATAAGGTATCAGAAATGATGTCTTTAAGATTATAAAATGTTGACTTATACTTTAAAAAATAAGTGTTTTACAGAAGAAAATATGCAAATTAAAATATCCGTAAGATCCAAAGAAAGCCTATTTCCCTCTTCTAGTGGTCAAGGACTCTTTATATCTATGAAGATGTCCAATTTAAGATGAGTAGCAAATAAGGACTTAAAGTTTTTATCATGAAAAATTTCAAACAGACAAAAATATAATAATATAGTAAATCCCATGTATCCACCACCTCCAGCTACAATAATCATCAACTGAAGGCCACTCTTGCCTCATCTTTAACCCCCAACTACATCCTAACTCTCCTCCTGATTAGTTTGAAAAAAAAAAAAGCATCTTTTCATTTCATTCATGAACATTTCAGTATGAATTTCTAAGCAATAAGAACTTAAAAAAAAACATTCTCAATATCATTATCACAATCAATAATTCCTTAACACCATCAAATCAGTGGTCAAATTTCCTCCACTGTCTCATAAATATTTCACACTTGAATTGTTACACGCAGAATAAAGATCCAAAAAAGTATACACCAATAATAGAGATAAAAAGAAAAAGGCCTGGTACGATGGCTCATGCTTCTAATCCCAGCACTTTGGGAGGCCAAGGTGGGTGGACAGCTTGAGCTTAGGAGTTCAAGAGCAGCCTGGGCAACATAGTGAGACTTTGTCTCTAAAAAACTTAAAAAAAAAAATTAGCTGGGTGCAGTGGCATGTGCCTTTAGTCCCAGCTAATTGGGAGGCTGAGCTGGGAGGATGGCTTGAGCTCAGGAAATCAAGGCTGCAGTAAGCTGAAATTGCGCCATTGTACTCCAGCCCAGGCAGCAGAGCAAGACCCTGTCTCAAAAAAAAAAAAAAAAAAAAAGTATAAACATTATATTTGGAGGCCGGGTCGGGGTGGCTCACCCCTGCAATCCCAGCATTTTAGGAGGCCGAGGCGGGTGAATCGCCTGAGGTCAGGAGTTTGAGACCAGCTTGTCCAACATGGTGAAACTCTGTCTCTACTAAAAATACAAAAATTAGCCAGGCATGGTGGCGGGCACCTATAATCCCAGCTACTCGGGAAGCTGAGGCAGGAGAACTTCTTGAACCTGGGAGGCGGAGGTTGCAGTGAGCCGAGATCACACCACTGCACTCCAGCCTGGGGACAGAGCAAGACTCTGTCTCCAAAAAAAAAAAAAAAAAAAAAAATTGTATTTGGTTAATATGTCTCTGAAATCTCTTTTAATCTAGTCATTTAGCTTATAGATTTCTCAATACTTTGGATTTTACCGTTTACTTCCCTGTGGTGTCAGCACATGCCCATCTCTGTATACTTTATTCTAACACTTCCATACCTCCCACACATCAGAGTTGTGTTAACAGCGGTTGGTCATGCTTGTCTTATTTCTGACTTTAGTAGGAATGCTTCCAATGTTCCCTTATTAAGATTTTACTGAATGCTTTAGGAATAAAGGGGTATTTAAATTTTGTCAAATGCCTTTTCTGCATATTTGGAGATCATGATTTTTCTCCTTAGGTCTATTAATGTGACAGATTAAGTAAATTTCCTAACATAAACAACTCTTACATGCTTTAAAAAAACTCAATTTTGTTATTATTATTATTATTATTTTTTTGAGACATTCTCACTCTGTCGCCCAGGCTGGAGTACAGTGGTGTTATCTTGGCTCACTGAAACCTCCACCTCCCGGGTTCAAGTGATTCTCCTGCTTCAGTCTCCTGAGTAGCTGGGATTACAGGCGTGTGCCACCATGTCTGGCTACTTTTTGTATTTTTAGTAGAGATGGGCTTTCACAATGGCCAGGCTGGTCTCCAACTCCTGGCCTCAAGTGATCTACCCACCTCAGCCTCCCAAAGTGCTGGGATTACAGGCATGAGCCACCACACCCAGCCCATGATGATATTATTGAATTTTGTTTACTAACACTTTATTTAAAAATTTTACATCAATATTCATAATTGAAACTGGTCTGCAGCTTTCTTTTTTGGTGCATACTTTGTCAAATTATCAGATCAATGTCACAGTTCAAAAATAAATTTAAAAGTTTTCTTTTTACTTAAGATCTTAAGTAGTTACAGTAACAGTAGATTACCTGATCTTTATACGGATTTGGCAACATTTACCTGTAAAGTCATAGAAGCCTTTAGGGAAGAAATCTTTACTACTATTTCTTCTATTTCTCTATGGTGCTGGTCTATTTAGGTGTTCTGCTTCTAGTAGAGTTGATTTTGGTAAAAGTGTATTTTTCTAGAAAAGTATCCATTTTATCTCCTAAACAAGGATTACTTTTCAAGTCTACCAAGTATTATAGATGAGTCACATGTTCACCTCTCTATCTCAAAGGGTTTTCATTATGTTTTTTAAAGATACAAATACATACATACATAATTCTCAAAGACTGAAGAAAACTTTGTATGTCAAGTAAATATGAAAATGGTAATAATCATTAGTATAGACCTCTAGTTACAGATAAAACAGCCTAAATGCTTTCAAAGCTGAAATGTTATAGTAAATGTATTACTCAGGGTAACGTATAGCCAATTTAAAAGATGGGGAGGGAAGAAAAAAGGGCTACAGAGCAAAGTTTTACTATAGCAGAATTATTCGGAGCATTATGAACATTTGCCTTAAAAGGGCAGTTTTGACAAAATCTTTAAAATGTTTTTGTCTTCCATCCTATCTATATGTCACTTCAATATGGTATCTAGGATTAAGACAACATTACAGTCAGACTTGCAATACCTAAATGATAAAAATAAACTAAGTGGGTAAATTCTTCTAAATAGTTTTTGTTTTTATTTATTGTGGGGCACACAAAACATATATATGTATTTTTTTTTTTTTTTTTTGAAACAAAGTCTCCCTCTGTTGCCCAGGCTGGAGTTGCAGTGGCGCAATCTTGGCTCAATGCAACCTCCGCCTCCTGCAATTCTGCTTCAGCCTCCCGAGTTGCTGGGACTACAGCAGTGTGCCACTGCACCTGGCTAATTTTTGTATTTTTGGTAGAGATGGGGTTTCTGATGTTGGCCAGGCTGGTCTTGAACTCCTGACCTCAGGTGATCCACCCGCCTCAGCCTCCCAAAGTGCTGGGATTACAGGCGTGAGCCACCACACGCCCAGCCCACAAAACATATTTAAAGGGGTGCATTAAAGTATTTTGTTATAAAAACTGTCTGGGACAAACTGGCATTATTACATTGCATAGTTGACATAACTGGAAACTGACATATTCTGAAAACCTGCAATGAGAAATAAATGTTGCTACCTTTATAATCAACATGCCAATCATGGGAAAATAATCAGGTTAATCCAGAATACGCAACAGTCTATAAAACAGATATCCTAGCTAGGTGCAGTGGCTCACACGTGTAATCCTAGCACTTTGGGAGGCTGAGACAGGTGGATCACCTGAGGTCAGGAGTTTGAGACCAGCCTGGCCAACATGGTGAAACCCCCTCTCTACTAAAAATACAAAAAGTAGCTGGGTGTGGTGGTGGGCACCTATAATCCCAGCTACTTGGGAGCCCGAGGCAGAACTGCTTCAAACGAGCGGCAGGGGCAGGGGCCAGGGGGACGGTGGAGGTTGCAGATCATGCCACTTCACGCCAGCCTAGACAAAAGTGTGAAACTCCATCTCAAAAAAAAAAAAAAAAAAAATTAATTAAATAAAACAGCCTAGACCCATGCTATTCAATATGATACTCATTAGCCACATGTGGCAATTTAAAATTAAATTAATTAAAATTAGATAAAATTAAATATTAAGTTCCTCAGTTGCACTAGTCATATAACAAAATGTTCAATAGACAAGTGTGCCTAGTGGCTACCATATTACTAGACCAGTGCTGGTTTAGACTTTCAAAATGGAAAACCATGACAGAAAAAAAAGGCAGAGAAAAGTTTCTAGACTAAAGAACATTAATTAGGACAACTTAAATGCAATGCATGATCCTTGATTTGATCCTAAATGGTGGGAAACAGCCATAAAGAATATTTTGGGGATAATTAAGAAAATTTAACTGTAGGATAATTAGAAATATTGTATCAATATTAAATTTCTTGGGAGTTATAATGGTATCATCGTTATATAAGATTACCAAATTTAAATACTGAATAACCCTGTGAGACCTAAATAGTTCAAAACTTTAATGTCTTGATTGACACCTGACAGAAAAAAAGGGACATTTAAAAATAACAGCTTTTCATATTTTATCCATAACATTTGCACAAAAACTAAATTTTTATTTCTTAAAACTTCATTTTTTCCTATTTCCTATCTGAGGCCAAAACACTCATACCACAGCGGATGTGTAAAGAAGTATGCCTGTAGCTAGGCAACAAGACTGCTGTGTTCCTAAGACTTTTTAATGCAAACACCCTTAGTAATAAAGGGAAAAAAATACAAAGATATAAACACAATGGTTTACAAGTTAAATGATTTCCAAAACTGTCCAAAAGATGTAACAACCCTGACATAAACGATATGTTGATACTTCCTAATTGGACATTACAATTTCAAATTACAGGTCTATTTTAAATAAATAGTAATTGTACTTCCTTAAATTAATGCTGGTATCACATTACTGATGCTTTCTGACACCCTTACAATCTCCTACTACACACCCATATAGAAAGAATCTCTCATTTTTTTTTTTGGACTATAGCATCTCTTCATTCGGCATGAATTTAGACTTACAGGGAGGACTTGTAGCTCCATGACACAGATCTGCTTTAATATGCCTGTTATACATTGTTTAAGATATTAGCTTTGGCTAGGTGCAGTGGCTCACGCCTGTAATCCCAACACTTTGGGGGAGGCCAAGGCAGGTGGATCACCTGAGGTCAGGAGTTCGAGACCAGCCTGGCCAACATGGTGAAACCTCGTCTCTACGAAAAATACAAAAATTAGCTGGGCATGGTGGCAGGTGCCTGTAATCCCAGCTACTGGGGAGGCTGAGGCAGGAGAATAGCTTGAACCCTGGAGGTGGAGGTTGCAGTGAGCTGAGATCGTGCCACTGCACTCCAGCCTGGGTGACAGAGGGACTCCGCCTCAAAAAAAAAAAAAAAAAAGATATTAACTTTAACTTGAGGTAACTTTTTTTAAAATTCATTCTTTGATCTGCCAGTGCAGTAACTTTGTAACCAGAGAAATTAAAAACTATATATATCTCTTAGTATACAAGATTTACCTATTTGTATAAGCAAATCTAATACCATGAAGTGCTACTTCCAAATTTTGCTTCCTTCTTGAATAGCTCTCAAATTAAAAATGCTGCATTCTAACTATTTATACTCTGCAGTTTCCACACACTATCCTTTAGATTCTTAAGTCTTTATGTTGTTATTTGAAATAACTTACTCTTAAAACCTAGAATACATGTGATAACAAAGTCAAATTTGATTCTAAAACAAAATCAGTAATTAGACTTTTTTTTTTTTTTAAATACAGTGCCAGAAAAGAGGGCATACATTTAAAAAGATAAAACTATAGGAAGTGAGTGACAGTAAAAGGAGTTAATGGCCATAACTAAAACCTGTAAGTCATTTTACATAACTGTCAAAAAGTGAAAAAAAAATTTCTAATGCACATTTCTACATTTTCTGGAAAAAAAAGTATAAAGCAAGTATTTTTAAATGGCTATTAAAATAGTTCAGAAAGCAGATTTTTAAAAAGTGGCAAAGAAAATTAGGAGAAATTTAGGAAAAATGATTTATGATAGAGGCTTAACACACACACAAACGTACACATACAGACAAAACTCAATAGTCAGCTAATAAATTTGAAAGCTCTTATTTAAAAGTATTCTAAACCAGTAAGAGATAGAAGATGGAAACATAGTTATATTTCATTTTAGCCCAATAATGACATGTACAAGATATTATACATTATGATTTCACTTTTCAGTCTACATACATAGCCTTTTGGAATATCTGTGTCCTCATTGCTTCCAGGGTCATTTTCTAAGTGCTGCTTGATTTTTTCTTCTAATCCCACAGCATCTGCTCCTTGATATTGATCAATTCTCACTTTGTTTCGAAAAAACAAAAATGTAGGTGTTGCTGATATATTGTTGGTGGCAGCTGTTCCCTAGAATTGGCAAGTTGGACAGTGTTATGAATTAAATCTTAAACCACTTTGAATATTCATTCTACACCTTTATGGAAGTTAAATACCATAAGCATGAACTAAAAACATGTAAAATACTGCATTTTTGTTATTTAAGGAAAAAATAGACCTATTCCTAAGAGAGTTCCCCTTTGGGCATAGCTACATTACCATCACACACACAATAAAGAACATTCCCCATGTTTTTATCATTTTTACTGGTAAATACATCATCCAGTAGAAAAATTAGCTTCCAATGCAGAAACTGTGCTTAATGCCAGACAGATCTTTCATAATTACAGGTATTTCTCAAAAAGAATAACCAAGAAGGGTATTGATAAAGTCAACACAAACCACTGCTACTAGAAAAAAGTGCAGGTCTGAAAACCGGTAGCCAATCTGCCTGTTAAAAAGAGCATGTAATGTATTTTGCACTGCAACCGTCACCCAATTTTTATTCTTACAGAAATGACTTTTGGTCACCCATCAAAACACATTCTAACAGCTATCTTTATAAATTCTGTCCTAGCTCCACAATTGTATAAGACTAACTACTGAATGGAAATTACCTAATAACCACCGAGTATCCTAGTTTAAGCTTTTCATGACAAGTATAAAGGAAACAGTAAAGCAAATATGGCACCTTATATATTCAAATATTATGAAAGTCACTACTATACTTTTTAAAGAAAAAGAACATAAAGATAACACAGGAATGTCTTCTCAAAGCCTCTAGGTGAAAAAACTATGACCTTTCAGGAAAGTGCTGCCCAAAACAATGGATATGTAGCACATGTGAGCTACACATGCAATTGTAAATTTTCTATTATCTATATTAAAAAAGCAAAATAAGTAAAATCAAGTTTAATATTACAGGAAATCTAATATATCCATTTTCAATCTAATCAACATAAAAAGATAATGCAATATTTTACATTTTTTATACTGTCTTTAAAATCTGATCTGTATTTTATACTTTCCGTACATATCAATATGAATTTGTCACAGTTAAAGTGCTCAGTAACCACACATAGCCAGTGGTTACAATACCTGACAGAACAGCTCCAGGAGAAAAGCATTTTCATTCTAGAAATAGTGATTAAATCAGGGGCCAATGATATAGTGCAATAACATGCAACTAAGTGCTGAAACATAAATGTGTGTAATGTAGGGTTTTCAACAAACCCCCAAAGTAACTACACACTACATAATATTCTAAAATTTTTTCCACACTCAGAAATTTAACAAAGATAAAGCTGCAGAGCTATAGAGTTGTTCCTTAGTTAGAACTAAAGACTCTACTTTTTAGTATTGGAAGGAGCTTTCCAATTTTTTTTTCCCTTAACAATTCCCCACATTTCTGCATATACAAATACAGAACTGCCACATACCATTCCAACTAAATAATCAGGGCAATTCACCTACAACACTGTGGCTCAATCAACAATAATCACCATTTTAAAGTTTCTGCTCAGTGTGTCCATTTGGAGATAAGATAACAAACTGATCAATTCAAACTACAACCAAGAACTCCTTGCCACTGCTATATAATGCCAATACCTCGGGGGTAGAAGATATAATTCTAGGTTTGCAAAACATAAGGAAATGTAATACACAGAACTGCTAGGTGACCTATTAACAACATCGTATTAATTTTATATCAGAAGGTGATTAATACAAACCTGAAGCAATTAATAATGTGCTACTCTTCTTAACTAATGCAGCCATAATGACATCTGTAATAATGACATCAACATAACATCTTCCTATCTTCAAAGGAATAAGTACTATGTGCATCAAGAGATAAATGAAGAATATTAATGTTGGATTTCAAATTTATTCAAAAGTAAATTAAAAAGAAAAAAGATTCCTTTCCCTTACCTGACACTGATGTACATCGACTTCCAAGAAAACAGCCTGTGGATATTTATTACTCATAGAACTGAATGCTGGGGCAATCCTCAAACATGGCCCACACCTGTTAGAAAAGGAAAATTAAGTAAAATAACACTAAAGATTGTAATTCTAAAGCACTCGTCAATTAAACATAAAATAGAACAAACACTGATACTGCTGGCTTTTGACTCTCTGTTTTTTTTGTTTTGTTTTGTTTTTTGCTTTAGACAGAGTCTCACTCTGTCGGCCAGAGTGGTACTCCAGGCGCCCACCACCACGCCCAGCTAATTTTTGTATTTTTAGTAGAGACATGGTTTCACTGGGTTGGCCAGGCTGGTCTCGAACTCCTGACCTTAGGTGATCCACCTGCCTTGGCCCCTCCCAAAGTGCTGGGATTACAGGCGTGAGCCACCAAGCCGGTCTTTTTTTTTTTTTTTTTTTTTTTTGGAGACAAGGTCTCATTCTATAACCCAGGCCAGAGTACAGTGGCATGATCATGGCTCACTGCAGTCCCAATCTTCCAGGCTCAAGCAATCCTCCCACCTCAGCCTTCCAAGTAGCTGCAACTACAGGTGCATGCCACCACACCCAGCTACCAAGCTACATTTTTTTTTTTTTTGAGAAGCAGGGTCTCACTATATTGCCCAGGCTGGTCTCAAACTCCTGGGTTCAAGTGATCCTCCTGCCTTGGGCCTCCCAAAGTGCAGACATTACAGGCATGAACCATAACCCTAGGCCTGATTCTCTGGTCTATTTGAGTAAGTTATTTACATATACTTGTATCAATACTATACTGTCTTAATGAGCCCAGATGTTACATTTAGTCTTCATAACTAATAGTGTTAAGTCTTCTAGCTTTGTTCTCACTGAGAGAAATTAAAGAAAACCTAAATAAATGGAGGAATTTACTCTGCTTATGAATTTGAAACTCAATATTGCCAAGATACCAATTTTACTCAATTTGATCTTTACAACTGATGTAAGATCTCAGCAGGTTTTCTTGTAGAAATTAACAAATTTCCATTCTAAAAATTATAGAGAAATGCCAAGGACAGCCCAAGTCGTTTTGAGGTTCTAATCTGAAAAAATTATATTATCAGATCTTAAGAACTATCATAAACCTTTATTAAGAGAATATAGTACTTGTACAAGAATAAGCAAAATGATCAAATCAGTTTTCCTTTGAAAGAAGAGTCTAGAAACAGACCCATCTCACATACAGTACTCTGATGTCTGAAAAACTTGATGTAGCATTGCAGTGGGAAAAGGATGGTCTTTTCAATAAATACTGCTAGATCAACTATATACTCATACAGGAAAAGAAATGAATCTCAACACACCATACACAAAAACCAATTCCAGATGGGTTGTAGATCTAAATGTAAAAGGTGAAACAAGGAGGGTTTTAGGAAAAAATACAGGAAGACACTTTCAAAACCTCAAACTAAGCAATGATTTCTTATACAAAACACAAGAAGTACTAAAAAAAAAAAAAGGTTTGACAGACTGGACTATATTTGATAAACTGGAAGATTAAAACCTTTTATTCATCAAAAAATGTCTTTAAGAGACTAGGAAAAAGTATTTGCAAAACATATCAAACAAAGGACTTATACTTCTAATACGTAAAGAACTCCTACAAAACAAGGAGAAGACTGAAACCCAAAAGAAAAAGAATGAACCCTTGAATAGGTACTTGACAAATGAGATTATCCAAACAGTCAATAAATAAAGTCAAAAACTTTCTATAAAGCAGGAAAGATGTTCTACTTCATTAGTCATCAGGGATACCCGGGAAATGCAGATTAAAACCAACTCAGCAAAAATAGCTACAAGAAGAATTAAGTATTGTCAAGAATGCAGAGCAACTAAACTTTTATATACTGTGAGAGTGCAAGCTGGTATTAACCATTTTGGAGGGAAAAAAACCAAACTGCTAAAATACACCAACCCATCAAAATTCCTGGGGAATACATCTAAGACACATGTTCACCTTAGAACATTTGAAAAAGTATTATTAGTAATAGTTCTAAGAGTCAAAAATCAGAAACAATTAAATTCTTATCAACAAAAGAATGGGTAAGCTAATTATAGTTATACAATGAAATACTACACAATAATGAAAATAACTGGTATAAAACCTCTTGCAAAAACATGGATGAACCTCACAAATAACATTGAGGAAAGAAAGCAACTACTAGCATATACTATATGACTACATACAGTTCAAATACAGACAAAACCAATCAATGGTATCAGAAATCAAGACAATGGTTACCTTAGTGAGTTACTGATAGAATAAGACTTCTGGAGGCTAGCAATGTTTTGTTTGTCTGGAAGCTGATTAAATAGGTGTGTTCAGTTTGTGAAAATTAATTGAACTATACATTTCTAATTGTGTGCCATGTATGTCTCAATAAAAGTTTGCAGAAATAAGAAATGCAAGAAAAAGCAAATCTAATGCACAAAATAAAAACAAATGTTAAAACTCAAGTTGTGATCAACTCCACATTCTTAACATTTCAATCAGCATTTCACCTTGTGTTATCCTGAAAGCCATACACCAAAAATCTAAGAAAATAATATTTACAGTCAACTAAAATTAGTCTTAAACTTTATAAATGGGAATATATATCACTACACTGTTTTTCAAAGGCCACTGATTGGGTCATATCTATTCATTTTAGATGAACACAAGCCAAGACCCAATAATTGCCCTTTTGAAAGTCTATTCCATTTTAACAACACTTACTCTATTTCACAATAACATGTAGTATAAGGAAGTTCAATGTAACATGTTTGTAATAGTAAAGTTAGAAAACAACTTAAATGGCAATTAATGGAAAACTAGTTTAAAAAGTTATGACAGGGGCCAGGCACGCTGGCTCACGCCTATAATCCCAGCACTTTGGGAGGCCAAGATGGGCGGATCACTTGAGTCCAGGAGTTCTAGATCAGCCAGGCCAACATGGTGAAACCCCATCTCTACTAAAAATACAAAAATTAGCCAGGCATGGTGGCGCATGCCTGTAATCCCAGCTACTCAGAAGGCTGAAGCAGGAGAATCACTTGCACCCGGGAAGCGGAGGTTGCGGTGAGCCAAGATCACACCACTGCACCCCAGCCTGATACTTTGCAGTGTTTAGGGGGGAAGAAAGTCTCATTATAAAATGTTCTCTAGGATCACATTTCAAACCTATGTATATATATAAATGCATAGGGGGTAAAAAGACAGAGACAGGCACAATGAACAGTTAGTATCCATAATTCTGCATCCTTTGCTTTTTTGTGATGAATAGGTATTTTCATTTTAAAATATTAAATGAGTTGAGAAGAATTTAGTGTTAACTGCATTTACACAGGTGTCACAAATTACAGAGGTATCCATTCTATAGTACAATATATCCATTCATGAAAACCACCCTCCTGCAAAAACACACACCAAAAAGAGAGAATTTATGGGAAAAATAAGTTTGTTGGCAAACTACTTGAAACCCATGCAATTTTGTAACAAGATCAGTAAGAAAGATAGTAACCAGACTGGGCCCGATGATGGCTCATGCCTGTAATCTCAGCACTTTGGGAGGCCAAGGCAGGTGGATCACTTTAGGGTGGGAGTTCAAGACCAGCCTGGCCAACAAGGTGAAACCCCATCTCGACTAAAAGTACAAAAATTAGCCAGGCGTGATAGCGGATGCCTATAGTCCCAGCTATTCGGGAGGCTGAGGAAGGAGAATCACTTGAACCCGGAAGGTTGTAGTTAAGCCAAGGTCACCAAGATCGTGCACTCCAGCCTGGGCAACAGAGCAAGACTCCAACTTGGAAAAGAAAAAAAAAAAAAAAGACAGTAACTAGGATTCAGGAAAAAGATGGACATCCCAGCATGTGGCTCAGAGCTGGAAGCGACCTTGGGGAATATTTGAAAAGAACAAAATCAACTGGAAATGATGCTTACAGGTGTTGTGACAAAGCAGACTGAAGTGGAGCTCTGAGCCAGTGGGGCTGCCATTAAGGAAGGGACAGGAGAAAATGCAACACTGAAAATAAACCCTTCTGGGGAACAAACGCTAGGTGTAGGCACTCTTATTTAACTTCATTAACTTTCTTAAAATAAACAAGAGAGGGAATTTGCCTGTGTGGCTGAGAGCTTTCTGCTTCCAGATGAAGGTTTTATTTCTATTTTTCACTACCTAGGAATAATCACACATGAACCAATACAACTTCCATATCACATTGACATCTCTCTATTCATCAATTATTTACGAGCTAACTGGTGTTACAGACACACATCTTGCAGCTGAACAGACTATTAAAATTATGGTTACTGTGCAAAAAACTGTTTCAAGATTTAACTTTATCTAGATTCTTTAATTTCAGTTAGCCATCAGAGGTTGGAACTTTGGTCAAAAATCAAAATGCATCAGCAGAGAAGCATAAATATATACAAACTCACAAATATATACAGCAGCACACTTTCACAAAACAATCATTCAAATAAATCGATCATTTTCTTTTTTCTTTTTTTTTTTAGGGTTTCACTCTGTCACCCAGGTTGAGTGCAGTGGCATAATCATGGCTCACTGCAGCCTCATTCCCTCAGGCTCAAGTGATCCTTCCACCTCAGCCTCCCAAGCAGCTGAGACTACAGGCACGTGCCACCATACCCTGCCAATTTTTGATGTTTTGAAGACACGAGGTCTGCCTATGTTGCCCAGGCTGGTCTCAAACTCCTAGACTCAAGTGATTCTCCCACCTCAGCCTCCCAAAGTA
The DNA here is from genome assembly GCF_000001405.40 of Homo sapiens. NCBI lineage: Eukaryota > Metazoa > Chordata > Mammalia > Primates > Hominidae > Homo > Homo sapiens. The sequence continues at coordinate 56,631,146 of NC_000018.10, forward strand.
CTGGGATTACAAGTGTGAGCCACTGTGCCCAGCCAATTGATCATTTTACATAAGATGTCTGTCTCCTTAACAGGAGCAGTTGAGAGTAAACAAATTTCCATTAGCTGAGATCATGAACAAGTCACCTGATTTCTCTGTATAAAATAAAAGGACTCTCCAAGGACTTTTCCCAGCTCTACAATATTATGCACCCAGTATGCTTGAATTTCAGAATTACACCTTTTTCTCTTGCACACACCTTGATTAGCTGCCCTTTGCACAATCTACGATTTCTTATTTCACTGCAAAAGGTTCAAGAGATCACCTAGTCCAGACATTTAAAATGAAGAAAAAAAAAAAGTTACTTTTCTACTCTAAACCTTCTGACTGAAAACTTATCTGCTTAGTCCAATATATAAAATGTGTATGTTAGAAGGATTTTGAGTTATGCTGTTTGAGAAAAAGAATACAGTAAACCGCTAGCTTTCTACAATGTATAAAGAAATAAACCCAGCCGGGCGCAGTGGCTCACGCCTGTAATCCCAGCACTGTGGGGAGGCCAAGGCTGGTGGATCACCTGAGGTCAGGAGTTCGAGACCAGCCTAACCAACATGGTGAAACCCCCGTCTCTACTAAAAATACAAAATTAGCTGGGCCTAGTAACGCATGCCTGTAATCTCAGCTACTTGGGAGGCTGAGGCAGGAGAATCGTTTGAACCTGGGAGGCAGAGGTCACAGTGAGACGAGATTGCGCCATTGAACTCTAGCCTAGGCAAAAACAGCGAAACTCTGTCTCAAAAAAAAAAAAAAAAAGGAACCCACAAAACTAAAACTTTAAAACAGACATAACCTAATATAATTAACCAGTAAGTAAGAAGTGAAGATCATAAGATGACCTGCCCAACACCAAACATCCTAGTTGGCGGCAGGGCCACCACTAGAACAGGCAATTCATAAATATAATCCAAGATCAGCTTTCTTTGAAAGAGCATTAGCTTCTTTTTAATACACTTTTTACTACAGTCATAATATAAAACAAATTCCATTTCATGAACTAGCTAACTGTCCTTCCCTTCAAGATAAGTGTCTTATCTTGAGCAACAACTTGTGTCAATATACACAACTGGTAAGTGGATAATATGCTTTCTAAAGCCACAGTTAAAGAATTTTTTTTTCTTTTTTCCTGCAGGGTAAAACTTTAAGCAATTTATACATGTGCTATGTTTACTAATCGGCAGGCTTAATCACAATTGGTATTATTAATTACATAAAACAGCTAGCATTCATTGGGCACTTACTGTATGTTACGCATTCACAAACTCATGTCACCTCATTTAAGCTTTATGACTCTAAAAAACAACAAATTAGTAAGTTTAAATTAGATCCCAGAACCCAACTCTTAACAGCTATGCTAAAAAGTCCAAAACAATGTCCTACACAGTGCCTTTCATTGTTATTTCCAAATCAATTGCCAAGATTAAACTGTGTTAACACTCTTGAAAGGTAGCCAGACAAACTACATAACTGTATGATTCTGTTTCTATAAAGTTCAAATACGGGCAAAACTGATCTATAGTGTTAGAATTCAAGAGTAGTGGGAAGAAGCTTGGGACAGTGCGAGGAGTCCGGAGTTAATGATCTATTTCTTGCACATTTTTGTATATTTGCACTTCAATAAAAAGTTAACAAATAAAGCAACTCTGTTCTCCAGGGCTTCAATATGCCCTAGTCTTACAGCTACTTGCTAACGTTTTCTGCCTGGTTCCTATGGACTACTGGGCCTGCTTACTCTGTACTTCAATAAACTTCCTTCAGTTATCAGTAATTTTGCGGTATGTAATTAACATATGTTTAATATACAATTATTTGGACAAGCTATTGTAACTATTAGAACTCAACATCCTAATATACACTGACATCCTTCTTAGATTGTAACAAACCCTAACAAACTACAAAGGCAGATCTGCTTTAAGAAAATTCAATGTATCTCCAGCCTAAGCAACACGACAAAACCCCACCTCTACAAAAATTTTAAAACTTAGGCAGGGCACGGTGGCTCACGCCTGTAATCCCAGCACTTTGGGAGGCCGAGGCGGACGGATCACGAGGTCAGGAGATTGAGACCATCCTGGCTAACACGGTGAAACCCCGTCTCTACTAAAAATACAAAAAATTAGCCGGGCGTGGTGGCGGGCACCTGTAGTCCCAGCTACTCGGGAGGCTGAGGCAGGAGAATGGCGTGAACTCGGGAGGTGGAGCTTGCAGTGAGCTGAGATTGTGCCACTGCACTCCAGCCTAGGCTAGAGAGCGAGACTCTGTCTCAAAAAAAAAAAAAAAAAAAAAAATTAGCCAGGCATAGTGGTGCGTGCCTGTAGTTCCGATTACTGCTGGGGCTGAGTTGGGAGGATTGCTTGAGCCCAGGAGGTCGAGGCTGCAATTGAGCCATGATCACATCACTGTACTGCAGCCTGAGCAACAGAGCGAGACCCTGTCTCAAAAAAAAAAAAAAAAAAAAATCAGTGCATGGTAAACATTATCTACAAAAGTGATACATTCATCAATTCAAGATAAAAACCATTGGCTGGGTGTGGTGGCTCACACCTGTAATCCCAGCACTTTGAGAGGCCGAGGCGGGCAGATCACGAGGTCAGGAGTTCGAGACCAGCCTGACCAACATGGTGAAACCCCGTCTCTACTAAAAATACAAAAATTAGCCATGTGTGGTGGCGCATACCTGTAATCCCAGCTCCTCAGGAGGCTGAGGCAGGAGAATTGCTTGAACCTGGGAGGCAGAGGTTGCAGTGAGCTGAGATCATGCCACTGCACTCCAGCCTGGATGACAGAGCAAGACTCCATCTCAAAAAAAAAAAAAAAAAAAAAAAAAATCATTCACACTGTTTAATGGTGGGGAGGGGGGAGACCAGGGACAACGAACGACACAATGTATATTCTTTTAACTCTTTAGTAACAACAAAACTGGTACTACTCATAACCACTAAAATGTATCTGGGCATAAGTAACAATTTGGAGACACTGTTTAAAAATATTACCAAAAAGAATATCAGAGAGTGAAATGAATTGCAGGCAGAGGTGTAAATTATTTAAGGAAAGGCATATTGAAAATTGTCAGGCTCTGTGCAGATACACAGAGATGAACGTGCATTTCTTTTCTCCTTAGGCTGGAAAGATCAAGAACAGCACTTTATAATTCAAACGATGCATTTATTAACGGGACCTTAAACAAATTATTTAACCTCTCTGTGACTCAATGTCCTCAACTGTAAAACAAGGATAGCTGTTAGGGTTATTCTGAGGAATGAATTGAGTCAATATAAGAGCTTAAACAAGTTCCTTACACAGACTAAGGAATATGTAAGCGTTGACTATTTTAATCCTTAAAAAATACTCTGGGAAAAGGGTGCTGATCATTCAATGAGGAAAAGACAGTGTTTTCGATAAACGGTGTTGGAAAAATTGGATATCCACATGCCAAAAAATGAACTGGACCCTAACTTTATGACATATACCAAAATTAACTCAAAATGGATCAAGGACCTAAACTTAAGAGCTAAAACTATAAAACTCTTAGATGAAAACATAGGGAGAAATCTTCATGACATTGAATCTTGCAATGATTTCTTGAATATGACACCAAAAGCACAGGCAACAAAAGTATAGATAAATTGGACTTCATCAAAATTTAAAACTCATGCATCAAAGGACACCATCAAGAAAAAGACAACCCAAAGAATGGGACAAAGTATTTGCAAATTAAATATTAACATCCGGCATATATAAAGAACTCCTGCAACTCAACCCAAAAACAAACCACTCAATTCAAAAATGGGCACAGAAGGCCCAGCGCAGTGACTCACACCTGTAACCCCAGCAATTTGGGATGCTGACGTGGGAGGGTCGCTTGAAGCCAGGATTTAGACCAGCCTGGGCAACAAAGTGAGACTTAGTCTCTAAAACAAAAAATAAATTAGCGGGCATGGTGGTATGTGTCTGTAGTCCCATTTACTTGAGAGGCTGATGTGGGAGGATTGCTTGAGGCCAGGAATTCAATGCTGCAGTGAGCCATCGTCTCAAAACTGCACTCCAGCCTGGGCAACAGAGCAAGACCCTGTCTCTAACAAATAAGAAAAAAGAAAAGCAAGCAAGTAAGCAGGGATCCCCGCATAGCAATGTCCCCTAGCAGCATTATCCACAACAGCCAAAGGAAGACACAACTGGAATGTCCATCAAAAAATGAACAGGTATACAAAATTTGCCATATAAATAAATGGATTATGTTATGCAGTTATAAAGAAGAATGAAATTCTGAGACATACTAAGACATGGATGAACCTTGAAAATACTATGCTAAGTGAAGTCAAAAACAAAAGGACAAATATTGTTACGATTTCACTTATATTAGGTGCCACAAATTGACAAATTCATAGAGACAGAAAGCAGAATAGAAGTTACCAAGGAGGTAGATGGGGAGGGGCAAATTACTGCTTAATGGGTACAGTTTTGTCCCTTTGGAGAAGTAAGGATGGGGAGTTATCCTTTAATGGATATAGAATTTCTGTCTAAAGTTATAGGAAACAGTGGTGATGGTGGCACAACATTGTGACTGTATAGTCATGTCTGGGTATCTGGGGGATTAGTTTCAGGACCTCCAGCAAGACACTAAATCACAGATGCTCAAGGGCCTAATAGAAAATGACATGGTATCTGCACATAACCTACGACCATTCTCCCATATACTTTAAATCATCTCTAGATTACTTATAATGCCTAAGGTAAATGCTATGTAAATAGTTGTTATACTGTATTGTTTAGAAAATAATGACAAGAAAAAAGTGTGTACATGATCAGCACAAATGCAATTTTTTTTCTCCAAATATTTTCTATCCACATTTGGTTCAATCCATGGATACAGAGGGCTGACTGTCCTTAATGCCAATGAATTATACTCTTACAAATGGCTAAATGGTCAATTTTATGTTATATATATTTTATCATAAGCCACTAAAGATTCTTACACAGGAGAACAATCTATGTATCATTTTAGTAAAATTTAGACTGAGAGTGCATAAAGCATAGAGGTTAAAAAAAAAGAAAAAAGGTTTAAAATAGGGTTGGAAAGGAAATGAAATAGGTGCTGGAGAAACTATGCCCTCAGTCTAAACTGGGACAGCATTAACTTTGATCTAAGAGGATTCTTACAAGATTTTACTGAATACAGTTGTTTCTGAGTCTAATACTGACCCGTCATATACATAATTCTGGGGTTCTATTGACAATGAGTTTAGACAGGATGTATTAATGGCCAATAAGTTCGAGGAATATTAAAGGTAAATACAATAATCTTACCAGATTTGTAAACGTAATATAAATATGCTTTTGAACTTACTCTAAATCCAAACATTAATTTTCCCTCGGTTTTTACAAAGAAAAAAAATTTTAATTCCACTAAAATACCTTTTTAAATGTAACAGTTCCTTACCAATCAATGTCTGCAGTTATGCTTATGCTTAAGTGACACCACACTGATAGAAAAAACCTTCCTTCGCAGCAATGTTTCCCCAGTTTTCTCACTTCAATCAATATTTATTTATTATTTTATTATCTCTCCCACTGCTATGGTAAGGGAGAAAAACAATATATCATTGAGGGACAAAAATATAAAAGCTTCGACGGGCCAGAATTAGAATAAGTGAACTAAAAGTGAGGTGAGGTTCCTTATTGAAATCCTATCTTCCCTTTTCTACTGTGGCCTAGATACTTAATGTACTACAGGTATTCCCCTATTATTAAGAATACAGACATCACAAAATTGCTAAAAATGAGAAGACACATTTATAGAATTCTAACATTCCTTTTAGGTGTTTTATATATATGACATCACTTATCCTTTTAAATTTAGTAAATGCAAAATTCCGTATATCATATGGGTACTCTAGCCCACCATATGAAATGCAAGGTACTATCCTTTTTCAATTCAGTGTAAGAGAGACTGGTCCAAAAATAAGTCTTAACTTGTTTTCATATCTATCTGCATCCATTCCCTAAAACGATATAATCCTAATGCCACCATTTATATACTCAACATTTAGTGAACCATCTAGTAGAAACTTTGTTTTTTGCTCTGAAATTCAAAATGGAATTTTGTGTTTATACAGTTATTTGGACAAGAAAGTGTGTTACATAAACAGTGATACCAGCAGTAGACTGCTCCAAGTTAGATGTATAAATAACGCCAAGGGGTCAAGGAAAATAAAGCGGAAACCTCTCATACTTCTAACTAAATACTATCGACATACACAAGGAGAGATCTGTGAAACACACACACACGCTGAAATCTTGGTTCTCAACGCCGAGTTCCAACATGTCATTCTTACAAAGGAACTTTACTACACATCCACTATAAAAGGTCCACCTTTTCTACGACCTATAATTTTGTTGATATTTACCAAAGACAGTTAACATTTTTCAAGATCCCTGTCCTCTTAAGTGAAAAAACAGAGCCGGGTCAAACTAAGACATCCGGCCAACTGTCCACCTGAAATATATTATATATGTACTGTCGTGTGTGACCAGTTGCAATCGCATACATAGGGGAGCCTAAGCTACAAGTTAGTGGCCGAACGAGGAAGAAAAAAGTTCAAATAATTTAAAAAGCACCCTAACCCAACGTTAACTTAGTTCGAAATGCATTAGCAGAAATTCAGGACTCAGAGCTACGCATATTAGTTAGATCGCCCCATCTGAATCTTCAAAGGCTTTAGAGAGATGTAGGTGGTGAAGAGAAACAAAGTGTTCGGTAAATTAAGCTTTTGGAGCTCTGGAGATGCAAATGACAGCTGGCTCTGCAGAAAGAAGGGGTCAGGCTCAGGCAAGGGTGGCTGCGGAGACTCCCACAGGCTGGAAGGAATAGGGGCGGGCCACCCCCAAAACCAGTTTGTCAAAGAATTGAAAAGGAGCAGGTGAGAAATCTCCTGAGCTGGAGAAGCCGGCCAGCCAGGCCCCCGAGCCCGTCTAGGAACCCCTGTGCATAAATGGGGGTTCACACCCGAGAAACGAGGCCTAATTCCGGCAGCTCCTGGGGCTGCGGCGACTGCCGGACACTCCGGGGCAGCAGACGGCTAGGAAACCAGGGCCAACAAAGAGTGAAAGGAAAGCAAGGAAGGACAGACGGGGACCCACAGAGCTCGAGCCTGGCCTCACCCTCTCATGGTGAACTTGACCACGGCGAGTCTGGAGCCCGCGCCGCTCAGCTCTGGCTGGAAATCCGGGTCGCTCCCGACGGGCTTCACCCCCACCATCCTCACAGAGAGCCCGGCAGGGTGGCCGCGACGCCACTGGCTTTGAAACTGAAGGAGAAGACGATCTGGGAGAGGAAGGAGAGATGCTCAGGAAGGCCGAGGCCTGGACAGAAGAGGTGGCGACCGCCGAGTCTTCTCCCGGGACTCTCAGTGCCGAGTCACGCCAGGGAGCGGAGCGGCCGAGGGGGCGGGGAGGGATGGGGGAGGGGAGAGGAGGAGGATGGGAAGGCGTGCGGCACCCAGCAGCCACCGCGCGGCAGGGCCCCCGGCGTGACGTCATTTCCGCGTCGTCCGGTTTGGCCTTCAGCGCCCAATCCCAAAACGCGAAGCGTAGTCCCACCCTCGACTGAGTAGCCTCGCGCTAACTTGAGCGGCGCAGGCGCAGAGGAGACGTGTAGAGGTCACGTGCGCAGGCGCAGACTGAGACTCAAAAGTTGGCATATGCATCCGCGTTTCCCAGATCTGAGGCTTTTACGGAGGAGGTTTCTGATTTGTAACAGTAGAGAGGAAACTCGTTTTACCCCGGGGTTCTTAGCTGCTGTCCAGGGCACCCACTGGAAGTACTTTGAAGATGCTCCTGTACTGTATTCGGGGCAGGTCTACATACAAGACAAAATAACGTTTAGGAATATTTATTAACAGACTTAATTACATATGGGGCGCTTTCTGTGCAGTCATTCAGAAAGTATCGTGCACCTGTCTTTAGGTTTTGACCAAAAAGATGAAGACACTATCCCTCCTTTAGGAAGTTCACGGTCTAGTGACCGACGCAAACAATAATTTGAATAGGAAGCGGTGGAGACTAACGAGATGGAAGGGTGGGGCAGGGTAAACTTGCTAGGAATCTGACTCCTGGATTGAATCTTTAAAGAGAAGCAGGGGTTAGATGGATGGTGAGAGGTAATATTCCAGGCAAGGGGACCACCAGGTGCAAATGCATGAGTTGAGAGGGTGGATAAGAAGAATAGCTAATATTTACCACATGATGTACCAGGCAAGACATAAGTTCTTTATATGTGTACTAGTTCATTTAATCCCTGTGAAGTAGGTTCTGTGATTTCAAGTCAAGGCAGGCTAACGCCAGTGTACTCTTTTAAATATTAGGCTAGGTGGCAAATTATCTGTCTTTGGATTTAGCTGGGGAGATGAAATTGGAGGGAAGGCCAAGGTCAGATAATGACTAGCTAAGGAATTTGGATTTTGTCGGGAAGAGAATGGAAAAATCATTTCAGGGCAATTTTGCAATTACAAGTGTGGTGAAACTCCCGTCTCTACCAAAAATACAAAAAAGTAGCCGGGCGTCATGGCGCGCACATGTGGTCCCAGCTACTCGGGAGGCCGAGGTGGGAGGATTCCTTGAGCTGGGGAGGTCAAGGCTGCAGGGAGCCATGATTGCGCCACTGCACTCCAGCCTGGGCAACAGAGCCAGACCCTGTCTCAAAAAAAAAAAAAAAAGGAAAAAGAAAAAGTGTCTTCAGAAAAGCCCTCAGGTAGCATCAAGGAGGATGGAAGGCAGTGAGATCCATTTAGGAGGATACTGTGGTGATCCAGGAACTAAATTAGGAAAGCATCTGCAGTGGAAATGAAGAGGAAAGAACATGTTTGAGAAACAATTATTGGTCCAATTTAGTGAGATGACAGAGGAATTTAAAATAACTCAAAACATTTCAATCGTGTAGCTTTTTAAAAATGAGTTAAAATGCCTGTAGGACATCCAAGTGAGAGATATAGTAGATCGTGAGAGGGATGAGCCTGGAACTAAAGAAAAAGGACTAGGACGACGTTACAGATTTGAGAGTCATCAGATTGGGTGATAGTTGAAGCCCAGGACATGTGAAAAGAGAAAGCTAAAGGTGTTGCAGAAACATATTAAAATAATTAATTCTTAACTGAACCCAGCCACACCAGAGGCACAGTAATTACATTCCTTTTTCATGTGGTATCAGCACATTGTAATGGTTTTAATAGACAGAAGTCCCCATAATAAATATTTGCTTTTTTTTTTTTTGAGACGGAGTCTCACTCTGTCGTTCAGGCTGGAGTGCAGTGGCACAATCTCAGCCCACCACAACCTCCGCCTCCTGGGTTCAAGCGATTCTCCTGTCTCAGCCCGCCCTGGGTAGCTGAGAATACAGGCACACACCAGCACGCCTGGCTACTTTTTTGTATTTTTAGTAGAGACGGGGTTTCACCATGTTAGCCAGGCTGGTCTCAAACTCCTGACCTAAGGTGACCCGCCCGCCTCGACCTCCCAAAGTGCTTGGATTACAGGCATGAGCCACCATGACCGGCCTTGCTACTTAAATTTTATGGCCATGCACAAACTACTAACCTCTCAGAACCTCAGCTTCCTTGTCTGTGAGCCTTGGATTAATAACACCTGCCTTCTAGGATTGTGATGGTAAAAGGTTATATTGGATGATGTTTATAAAGAACCAAATCATAAGATACTTGATAAAAATGTTTATAAACAGTGGTGTCTATTCAGCTAGTCAGCTAGGGTTGCTATAACAACTCAGTCTTTGGCTATAACAATACCAAAGACTGAGTGACTTAAACAGAAGAAATGTATTTCTCACAGTTCTGGAGACTTGGAGTCCAGGATCCAAGTGCTGCTGGTATTGGTTTCTCCTAAGGCCTCTCTTCTTCACTTTTAAATGGCGGCCTTCTCACTGTGTCTTCACATGGCCTTTTCTCTGTGCACACACACACACATGCACATACAGTACTAGTCTGTTTCTCTTCCTTACAAGGACACCAGTCCTATTAGATTAAGGATCCACTCTGATGACGTCACTTAACTTTAATTACCTCCTTAAAGGTCCTATCTCCACTTAGCGTCATATTGGGGGTTGGGGCTTCAACCTATGAATTTGGGTGGGGTGAGGGAGCACAATTTATCCAGAACAGATGGATTATTATTATTCTCAACTGTCCTTCCAGTTTTGCCTAAGAAGCAAGTAGAAGTGGTCTCCACTACAGCAGCTATAGTAGATATGAAGGGAGGAACAGGGCTTATGAAAGCAAGATAGATTATAGATTCTTGAGAAGCAAGATGAAAAGAGGCATTGTAAAAGTTAGCTCTGATAGAGACACTATGTGTCCCTCCAGATCTACTCTCTACCTTTCTTCCCTCTGCTCTCAGCCCTAGGAACCTGCCTACATGGACTGCATCAATAGGATCCTCTGTTCGAGCTTCTTGAAGAGATTGGAGGGTAGAAGAAAATGAGATCCAGTTAGTAATTCCCTTAGCTCCCTTCCTGCTGTGTTGCCACAGGTTGTCTGTGTCTCCACCAAAGGCCACAGCTCTTGTCATACCATTATCCTCTTTGAGTTCCTGCAAACACTGTCTTCTATTGTCTCTTTAGACATAGAAGTAGAAATCACTCCTGGGTGTTGGCAGCACCAGGATACCAACAGAGAAACTCCGGGTCAGTCACCTAGTGTAAGGAAAATGGATGTGATTTGGTCAAGAATAGGCCAAGGTAAACATCCTGTGTGACTCATTGAGTTTGGAGCACAGACACATAACTCCACTTGTTATATAATCACAGCTATGTAGCTATAACATGGGAAGGCTCATCGCCTGGTTTGGAGGCACTATTGTTTGTAAAAGGTATAACTGCCCTGCTGACACTGTACATACAGCACGGCATGGCTCGACTCATGCCCAGAGAGAATTAAGCTGCTGACCCTGTAAGGGAGAGCTGGCCTTGCAGACCAGGGAATGCAGCTGCAGGCGTGGGAGTGGCAGAGCCGGAGCAGGCAGCCGAGACAAAGACACACAGTGTAAGAGAGCTGCTGAGTAAAACCATCTTTCACCGGCCTATGGCCTCCCAAGTGTTCTTTCAGCTACCTGCCACCCATCAACCTACTCCCTTCAGACCTCAGCATGGGCTGGAACCAGACACTGGGCATGACAGCCTGTTGATGCTACCTAGACCTGACTAGACAAGACAGTACTGAATTGGATAGTTCACATAAAGAGCAGAAACACTTGCCACTGTAATCCCAAGGCAGGCACCCATAGGAAACAGAGGTACCTGGAAGCCATAATTCCTAAATGGACTTCCCAGGCTTATAGCATGAACTATCTCCAGCCACCTAGCACTAGCCTAACTGGTAAGCCCAGATACCACCAGCTAATGGGCAACATCCAGAAACTTCACTCTCCTAATACCAATAAGGATCCTTTGGTTTAAAAAGAACCACCCTTCCCACCCAGAGCATAGTTGTGTGATGAATCTAGTCCCCTACTTTACAGTTAAACTTTTCTACTCACTGCTCAATCCTTGCTGTCATTGTCTTTATTTTCTCTTTAGCAACACCATTGCTTTTTTTTGGGTGGGTGGGGACAGACCTCTCTCCTTCTGTCACCCAGGCTGGAGTGCAGTGGTGCGATCTTGGCCTACTGCAACCTCTGCCTCCTGGGATCAAGCAGTTCTCCTGCCTCAGCCTCTTGACTAGCTGGGATTACAGGCGACTGCCACCACACCGGGCTAATTTTTGTATTTTTAGTAGAGACGGGGTTTTACCATGTTGGCCAGGCTGGTCTCCAACTCCTGACCTCAAATGATCAGCCCGCCGTGGCTTCCCAAAATGCTGGGATTACAGGCGTGAGCCACTATGCCCGGCCCACCATTGCTTTTTTGATTTTCCTAAACTCTATCTACACGTTTGTTAATACCCTCCTTACCAAATTATCCTCGATTACCCATTTTGAATGTGCTTTTTCCTTTTGTGACTCTGCCTGATATAAAAATTTAAGAATTGTTTAACACCAGGGAAATTGGAGGTTAGAGGATTAACATACAGGCTAGAGATAAATATATGAGAGTTTGCAGCATAGCGGTCATAGATGATACCACTAAAGTAGATCATAAGGAAGTATACAGAAAAGCAAAGAGTTACAACAGAAATTTAAAGACAAATACAAATAGGGAGTAAAATGAGAAAAGTTAAGAGAAGCAGAGAATCAGGAGGACTATCACAAAAGTAAAGTGTCAAAGACCAAAAGGATGAAGGATGTCAAAGACCAAAAGATGTGAAATGCCTTTGAATGTAGCAAGGGAGTCATTGGTTTTTATCTGAACAACCCGCACAGTTCAGTGAATTAAGATTGGAATCAGCTCACTGACAACCACAACAAATTCTTCAGGACCTCCCGTATGGCAGGCACTGTGCCATAGCCTCAGAAGTTAAACATGATTATTACATGTTCCTGTCCTTTGGAGTACACACTTTTGTGATAGCTCCATGTCCAGGGGTACGGGCTAAAATGGAAGGCACAGACATGTGATCAACCCATAGTTGTTTCATATATATATATATATGTGTGTGTGTATATATATATGTATATATGTGTATGTATATATGTATATATGTGTGTATATATGTATGTATGTGTGTATATATATGTGTGTATATATACTCACTATGTGTATATATGATTGAATGATGTGTTCAATTTTCAAATTCAAAGCATACAACTAGACAGAGTTTGGAAATTATGAAGCAGGATTTCCTCATATATATGTATATACATATATATTGAGTAAATATACTTACATAAAATTTAGCATTTTAACTTTTTGTTTTTTGAGACAGGGCTTCACTTTATCACCCAGGCTGGAGTGCAGTGGCATGATCATGGCTCACTGCAGCTTCGACCTCCTGAGCTCAACTGGTCCACTTGCCTCAGCCTCTCATGTAGTTGGGCTGACAGTTGCATCCCACCATGCTGAGCAAATTTTTTATTTTTTTGTGGAGACGAGATCTCACTTTGTTGCTGGTCTTGAGCTCCTCGAGCTCAAATAATTCTCCTGCCTCAGCCCTGCAAAGTGCTGGGATTACAGATGTGAGTCACCACACCTGGCCCATTTTAACCAGTTTTAAAGTGCACAAGTCAGTAGCATTAAGTGCACTCACTGCTATCCATTTCCAGAACCTTCTCATGAAGGGATTACAGGCATGCGCCACCATGCCCGGCTAATTTTTGTATTTTTAGTAGAGGCAGAGTTTCACCATGTTGACCAGGCTGGTCTCAAACTCCTGACCTCAAGTGATCTGCCTGCCTCAGACTCCCAAAGTGCTGGGATTACAGGTGTGGGCCACCGCATCTGGCCTGGCTTATTTAACTTAGCGCTATGTTTTCAAATTTCTTCTGTATTATAGCATATATCAAAATTTATTTCATTCCTTTTTAAGGCTCAATAATATTCCATTATATGGGCATATCACATTTTATTTACTTATTCATTTGTTGATGGACACTGAGACTGTTGCCACCTTTTAGCTGTTGTTAACAATGCTGCTGTGAACATTGGTGTACAAGGATCTCTTCAAGTCCCTGCTTTTCAGTTCTTTTTGGTATATACCTAGGAGTGGAATTGCTGGATCATATGGTGATTCTGTTTAACCATTTGAGAAACGGCCAAACTGTCTTCCACAGTGCCTGCACCATTCTGCATTCTTACTAGGAATGTATGAGGGTTCCAGTTTCTCCACGTCCTAGCAACAATTGCTAATTTTAATTTTTTTAATAATAGTCATCTTTGTGGGTGAGGTGATATCTCACATTTCCCTAATGACTTAAGATGTTAAACATCTTTTCATGTGCATAATGCTTATTTCTTTATTTTCTTTGGAGAAGTGTCTGTTGAAGTCTTTTGCCCATTTTTGAATCAGGTTGTTTGTTTTTGCTGTTGGGTTGTAGGAGTTCTTTATATATTCTGGGTATCAATCCCTTATAGAGTAAATTACTTTCAGATATTCTATTCTACGGGTTGTCTTTTCACTTTCTTTATGGTGTCATTTGATGCACAAGTGTTTTAAATTTCAATGAAATTCAATTTACCTATTTTTTCCTTTTGTTATCTGTGCTTTTGCTGTCATATCTAAGAATTCAAGCTAGGCATGATGTTATACACCTGTAGTTCCAGATACTTGGGGTGGCTAAAGTGGGAGGATCACTTGAGCCCAGGAGTTTAAGGCTGCAGTGAGCTAGGACTGAGCCACTGCACTCCAGCCTGGTGTAATTTGTGCGATATTTATGTAATATAAATATTAAATAAAAAGGAAATCCTGCTTCATAATTTCCAAACACTTTCTAGTTGTATGCTTTGAATTTGAAAATTGAATACATTATTTTCCCAGGTGTCCCTAGGTGGCGCAATATATTTTTAGTCAAAAGGATCTCATTTCCCCTTTGATAGCAAGTGTCTCTTTAGATGCCATCAAGTCTCCAGATGTACCATTTATCGCGCTAATATTATATTCTTTAGTTTTGGACACTAGGCTATGCCTTGGAGGAGAGGGTTTCCTTGGAAGCTGTAGAGTGTTCCACACTGTCACATACATGCTGCAATCTCCTGCAGCATACTAAAGAAACTCACTGGCAATTCTCAGAGTCAGTTCGGGTGTTTGCCAAATATGTAAAATAGTTTTTTATTCTTAAATTTATATCTGATGTCATTAAACTGCTTAGAGTTTCTATTAAGAAGCCCAGATATTTAGAAAAATATTTCTAACACCTCAGCCTCTGTAATAAAAACTGCATTTTAAATTTTATTTTAATTTTTTAAAGGAGTATGTTAAGGGTTTTGTCTTGGTTCAGGCTACTCTAACAGAGTACCATGGAGTTGGTGGCTTAAACAAACATTTATTTCTCACAGTTCTGGGGGCTGAGAAATCCAAGATCAAGGTGCTGGCCCAAATCCAGTGTCTAATGAGGGTTCTCTTGCCAGTTTAAAAGGGCTGTCTTTTTGATGTATCCTCATACAGTGGGGAAGAAGTGGGTGAGAGAGAGAAAGAGAGGAGAGGAAAAGGGCAGGCAGGAGAACAAGTATTCTGTCTTGTCTCTTCTTTCATAAGGGCTCTACTCTCATGACCTAGTTACCTCCCAAAGGTCCCCATCTCCAAATCCATCACACTGGGGTTTCAATATATGAATATTGGGGAAATGAACATTTAGTCTCTAGCATTATTAGAGTTAACTCTTTGGAACTGAGAAACTACACAAAACTTACAATCTGTGTTTTCATTTAATCACTAGCTATAAAAGAGCTCTTTTTGCTTGTGGTATTGTAGATATTGTCTAGCTAGGAAAGACAAACAAGGAAGGAAATGATAAAATTCTTTTTTTTTTTTTTTTTTTTTTTTCTGAGACAGGCTCATGCTGTTGTTCAGGCTGGAGTGCAGCGGCGTGATCTTGACTCACTACAACCACTGGCTCCTGGGTTCAAGCGACAATCCTACCTCAGCTTCTCAAGTACTTGGGATTATAGGTGCATGTCACCACACCTGGCTAATTTTTGCATTTTTAGTAGGAATGGGGTTTCACCATATTGGTCAGGCTGGTCTCAAACTCCTGACCTCAAGTGATCCACCCACCTCGGCCTCCAAAAATGCTGGGATTACAGAGATGAGCCACTATGTCCAGCTGATAAAACTCTTAACAGAAGCTTCACTTTATTCAAAGCCCTCTCTCAGGCATGCCCTTGAGCAAACACACACGTAACACATACACACGCTCATCATTCAGTCCATTCTTAAGTAGCAGATATCTGAATATCTGAGTACATCTGAGGGCCAGATACTGAAGAAATCCAATAAAAGTCAAATGTATGTTAGTGGTTTCTGTACAATAAGGAAGTGGCTTTTCACACAATGTTAAAAACAATATTTCCCATCAAAATTCAGAACATTAGTATTACAAGGTCAGTAGGAGGATCAGCCCCATGGCAACTGGTGGAAAGCACCAGGTACATCACTCCTCACAGTAGTGGGTCTGCCTGTCTCCCTGCCTCCCTGCCAGACTGAGTAACTTGACCACAAGAACCAAGTCTCTGCATTTTCTGTATGTGTAGCTCAGCATAGTGCCTAAAACCACTGGATGGTGAATAAGTGATGTTTTTCACCTTGATGAATTAGAATTAGAAGTAAAAGAATGTACTATTTCATGAAGATGGAAGTAAAGTTAAGGTAGCTATTGCCACTGTCTTCCTTACCTCAGATTATCATGGAGCAAATGCTAGGCATCTGACAATTTCATCCATAAATATTTCAGCCTGCACATCTGGAAGATGAGGAATCCTCTAAAGACATAACCGAAATATCATTATTACATTCTAATATGTTAACAAGGCTTCTTTAATATCATTAAATATCCACTCGGTTAAAATTTCCCATTTTTCTCCTAATTTATTTTATAGCTTACTTGAATCAATATCAAAATAAGACACATGCATTGCATGGGTTGATAAGTCTGATGTCTCTCTTTTATTAAAAATCAGTAAAAATCAGTTTAATCTTTGTTTCTTTTTTTCCAACTTTTTATACGGAAAAAAAAAAAACTGAGGGAAAAGTTGCAAAAGTACAATGACAGCTCCTGATTGTCAATTGTTAAAAATGGTGTCATGGTGCAGGCTGGGTTCTCTGGGAAGCTGATGCTGAGATGGAGTGAGGAGTCCAAAAGGTTTATTTCTCTCACATCTGTGAGAGGAAAAGGGAGGAAGCAGGATTGGGCCGAGGAAGGGAAAAAGCAGATCTGACAAAGTCTCTACTAACCCAAGAGGAAGCTCTAGTACAAAGATTGCCTGTTAAAGGAGTCCCCCATGGGAGCAGAAATTCCTATGCCTTGATACCACCCCCTAGAACAGGGGCCTCCCCAAGAAGAATGTGCCCTGGACTTTCCTCACCCTGCTCAGTCATTCATCAGAGGCTGCCTCAAGATTAGTGTGATCTCAGCTGGAAAGCCCAGGTGACCCTGAAGAAGCTAACAGCAAGAGTGTGAGCAAACCACTCTCCTTGCAGCTAGGAAGTGGTTCTTTCTTGAAGGGGAATCTGGGTGGTGCTTCATGTGTCTCCCATAGTCCACTATTTACACAAAAATGAGTTCCCTTCTCTACACAGGTTTGGGGAGCAACTCCTCCAGGTTTCTGGTCACCCTCTCTTCCTTATGGGAAACCTAGAAGAGGGAGGTTAGTAGACGATCTACAGCCCTGTTGCTGCAGTTGGTGACCAGGGCTACCACTAGGACTTATCAGCTCCTCCTTCATTATCTATTCTAATTTTCCCTTGCTAGTCTTGCTGGTTTGGTGAGGGGGGCTGTGAAACCCTCATTTGTGAGGAGGCTTAACACCCTAAACCTTATCACCTTCACTCCTTCCTAAAAGGCCTGAGTATGGAGTAACTAGAGATGTTTCTAGAAAAAGACATTTTGTTACTTGGAAAGAAATGGTTTGAATCATGGAAGTCATGAGACAGGAAAAAAAGAGAAGTATCAACACTTGACTTTTATGTCATGTGAGAAAGTGCAAAAGGAATCTCTTAATTGCACAAAACAGTTTTAATTACACAAAAATCATGCAAAAAACCCTTATTAAGCCTCTTTGCCATTTGGTATTAAAATAAAGCCATCGACCATGATAGGACTTTTCTGGGAGAGGGTCCAGGAAGGAAAGGGGAGTATTAGCTGAGTACTAGGCACCATGGGGAATACCAAACTACGACTGAAAACCTCGATGAGAAAAAAATAACAGCATGCATGAAGTGATCCGAAAATAACAGTAGCAATAAAGTCACTGTTAGGCCACTGGGCTATCTCCCTCTTTTGAAATTTGTAAAATGGAAGAACAAGCCTCCTTGCCTTTTGCAGAGCTAACCTGGAGCTTAAGAAGTCCAGAAGGTACTGGTGTGCTGTAGGGTAATTTGCTACTAAATTCTCAAACCCCCAACCTTGCGATCTGCCTGCCTCGGCCTCCTAAAGTGCTGGGATTACAGGCGTGAGCCACTGTGCCCAGCCTGCTACTAAATTTTAAGGACAGAGTAGTACTTAAGTTTTAAAAATGCCACTAAAGCTGGGTGTGGTGGCTCACGCCTGTAATCCCAACACTTTGGGAGGCCGAGACAGGCCAATCTTGAGGCCAGGAGTTCGGGACCAGTCTGGCCAATAGAGTGAAACCCCATCTCTACTAAAAATAAAAAAAATTAGCCAGGTGTGATGGTGTGCACCTGCAATCCCAGCTACTCGGGAGGCCGAGGAAGGAGGATTGCGTGAACCCAGGAGGTGGATGTTGCAGTGAGCTGAGATGGTGCCATTGTACTCCAGCCTGGGTGACAGGGCAAGACTCCATCTCAAAAAATATATATATATATGCCTCTAAAATGGTGAAATTCCCGATTTTATCCTGTGGGTCTCATTTATGATTCTTTTGCAGTGATAACCATACATTTTTGGTTACAACAACAATGACGACATCTCACTTGTCTCCTTGCTTCCCTGTATTTCCCACCTGATTTACATGGCACATTGCTGCCAAATTAATATTTGTGGCTGGCCCATCTTAAGTGACCCCGATAAGTCACACTCTTGTATAATCCTTTCTCCTTGAGTACAGATAAAACCCGTGACTTACTTTAACCAATAATATATGGCAAAGGTGATGGCTGTCACTCCCTAATTTAGGTTATCATCTACATCCATTTCCATATCTATGTCCATGTCCATATCCATGGCTGTATCTATATCTGTGTGACTCCTTTCTTGTGCTCAGTAGAGAGATTCTCCTTGCTAGCTTTGAAGGAGTATGCTGCCATGTTGCGAGAGAGCCTTTAGTAAGGCCCATGTGGTAAGGAACTGTGGGTGGCTGCTAGGACCTGATGGCCACTTCCAGTTCAGAGCCAGTAAGAAGCCAGGGCCCCTAGTCAGACAGCCACAAGGAACTGAATGAGCTGACAGGAGTTTGGAATCAGATTCTTCCCTAGTTGAGCCTCCAGATGAGAATTGCAGTTTGGCTGACATCCACTTGTAGCCTTGTGAGAGCATGAGCACAGGACTCAGCTAACCTGTTCCTGACCTCCTTGCCCATGGAATGTGAGGCAATACATATGTGTTGCTTTAAGCCACTAAGACACTAAGACTGTGATAATTTGTTGTAAAGCAATTTTAAAAACCTGAATACCATGTGGTTAGGAAAAGTGCTACACTATTTATTAGTCAAAAGTCTTCAATTACTTTTCATTGTCTTTGGAATAAAGACCAAAAAGCTTATATGGCCACTAAAAGCCTCTTGTTATCTACATTATTCTATTTTTCCATGTTACTTTTTTATTACCTGGTCTAGGCCGAATGTGATGAAGTCTCTATCAACCCACAAGAGAGCTCCAGGGCATAGACTGCCTGTTAAAGGAGCCGCTCACGGAGCAGAAACAGCTAAGCCCTGATACCACATTTTCCCACTTCACCTACTTCACGTCCCTTGTATTTCTTCCAAATTTAACTTTCTATTTATTGCATATATTCATGTTTTACATTTCAATGCTGGTGACAAAGTTGTTTTCCTTTCCCAATTATTATTCCAAATCTGACCAATTTTTCTAGACTTCCATATGACCTAATGTGATTATCCTTCCTTACCCCAACCTAGAAATAATTCATCTCTTTTCTTCCTTGCTCCTTATTTGGCATTTCTCATCCTGCACTATACTATAGCTTATCTATCTTGGGGGACATTTGTCATTCTTTTTAGCTTTCCAGCATCCAACATACTTTCCAGTGTTTAGGGAATTCCCTACCTCTTGCATCTCAGTGGGAAGCAGTGTGATGGGGTCAGAAGTGTAAACTTGCGCAACATCCTGCTCCCAAGAAAGACGTGCACTTGCTACTTCATCCTTCGCTCCATCTTGGTCCTCCCAACTGGAGAGAGGACAGCCTAGACGAGACTTCCCACAACCAAGATGGCGGCCGTGCACTCCTTGCCCACAGCTGGCCTTTTCTCCACTTTCGGTCTCCATCGTAACGCGGCTGGCTCTCTCGGCGCCGGCTTAGGCCTTGCAAGTAGGGAAATGGTGAGTCTTTCCCGCCCCCTCATTTTTGCGACAGTTGCAGCGAAAGTCACGGCAGTTGGGGCTGGTGTCAGCTGATTTACTGCAGTGGCGGCGGCGGCGGCACCGGCACCTTGCAGTATCACTGGGGAGACGGCGGCTGTATAGCGCTTGCCGCCCCACGGATTATCCCAGCAGGATCTACGCACCCCGCATCCTCCGTAGTTCCGCCCTATCCTTGTCCTCCTTGGCTGGGGCGCCCACCGGCGGTCTGATAGGCTACATCGCGGCATGAGATGAAGCTGTGACAGGTAAGGGGGCTTTCAAGCTTCTCCATGGGAAACCACAGGGCGGGATGTTCCTGCACCGTGGAGGTCAGGGGTCAGGGGTCAAAGGTCACAAACCCGCTCTAGCCGGGGGCGGTGCTAGCTGTCAGATCGCTGCGGCTGCAAGCCTGCAGGTCGGGCCCAAAAGTAGGCGCCGTTACCAAGAGCGTGGGGGCCAGCCGGGGGTCTTTGTGGCTCCCTTGCCTGGTGAGTGATATTTGCTACTTGTGACAGTTGCTTTGGTCTTGAGGTGGGACTGCCTGGTTCCCAGGTGCAATCTAAACGGGATCAGGTGATTGGTGATGATCGTTGGTGGTTATTGACAGCAATTTTGGGCGATGTGCTTGCTTTTGGGGTTCATATAGTCTTTCCTTTCCTGTTGGTACTATTTTTGCCCATGCCCAAGGTACTGACACCACTGTTAGAATTTCATTTTTGAGATGCCATCTGCCAGTTCTTATCCCTTTGCCCTAGTACTTGTCTGAGCGGATGCCAGTCACTCCCATTCACTTAGTGATGGGTCCCAGCGTTCTGAAGCTATGTTTGAAGTCAGCACTACCCTAACTTTGATTCAAAAATTGCTGTTTTATGTTTTTTACCCACTTAGTATGTCACTTTTTGAGGCAGAATTTGCTGGGTTAGATAGTCTGAAACTAGGGAACCTACCGTCGCATGACAGGCTGCATTGATATTGTTGATGCTGCTGAATTTAGGGTTCGGTCAGTGGCAGCTATAGCTTCCTCTCACTGTAATATTTGCCATGAGACAAAAAAAGGCAAACTGACTCTTTCAGGTGTTTATGTCTTAGGATTTTATGGGCAAGGTTGCAGGAATTGCCTGTTGTATGAAAGAAATTAACTGAGTTTTTGACATTTTGTAAAACAAAAATTTTAGTTTGACTCTGCTTCTTGCTTTATAAACAAACTCGTGGCTGTATGAAGGTCAGCTTAAAAGTGAACATAATGTGTTGAAATGCCCTCATTATTACAAAGAATAAAAAACTGTCTAGTTCCATCCAGAACAATACATATTAGTTATTATAAATTGGGAAAACGAACCACTATAAATATAATTAATGCTTTATTATTAATGTCAATTAGGGATTATGGTAGAAAATTCATTTATTTTACTGCCAATCCTTATTTTAAGAGTGTTTCAGAGAAATACTTTAAGAGAAAAATGAGAGTATGCCCTTTATTTTTTCTTATTGCCACCTGTAACTAAATTTTAAAAGATCTCGGTGACTGGGTGAATCAAAGGGACTGGGCTTGGCTTGGTTTGAATATCCCTGTAAGAATTTAACTTAAATTTTAGGGGTAGTGACCCTTGTATCTTACAGTTTCCTTTTATCTTTGATATATGTTCCGTTTTGAAGTTAAAGGAAGTTGGGTGGTTTCTCCATGTAACACACTTAGCATCGAAAATCTTCAAAGTAGTGAGCTTGTTTTGTGTTTTCTTCGTGAGAGGGGTAGGATGACATTTAGCTTTAGTGGTGTGATGTTTATTAGATGTATGAGTCCTTAAAGTTCATTTTGGACCTCAGGTGCAGAGGATGGAGTTAATCTTACTCAATTCAATGGGCTGTTCAAGGCATCTCCCCTGCCTGCATTTTTCGTTCTTCTTTTTTTTTTTTAGATGGAGTTTCGCTCTTATTGCCCAGGCTGGAGTGCAGTGGCGTGATCTCAGCTCACTGCAACCTCCCCATCCCGGGCTCAAGCGATTCTCCTGCCTCAGCCTCCTGACTAGCTTGGGATTACAGACTGTGCCACCATGCCTGGCTAATTTTTGTATTTTTAGTACACATGG
The DNA here is from genome assembly GCF_000001405.40 of Homo sapiens. Classification (NCBI taxonomy): domain Eukaryota; kingdom Metazoa; phylum Chordata; class Mammalia; order Primates; family Hominidae; genus Homo; species Homo sapiens. The sequence goes on from NC_000018.10 coordinate 56,653,398, forward strand.
GGTTTCACCATGTTGGTCAGGCTGGTCTCGAACTCCTGACCTCAGGTGATCCACCAGCCTTGGCCTCCCAAAGTGCTGGGATTACAGGTGTGAGCCACCACATCCAGTCTCATTCATTGTTTTTTGTTTCTAATTCCCGCTGTTTTCTCTTGCTCATCAACCCATATGCAACCATTCTGTATGATGTGTATTCTTCTGTTTGTATGTGTTATTAAATGTATATTGTTCTGGGTGCCCACATTTTTAATTTATAGAGATGATATCGTGCAGTTTTTTTGTCTCACTATTATGTTTTGAAGATCTATTGCATTGCTGTTCTTTGCTTCCAAGTGCTGCACAATATTTCAGAATGTACATCTACTACAGTTTATCTGTCTGCTCTCCTATTTGTAGATACCCATGTTATTTTCATTTTCCTACCTCTACAGATAATACTATGATAAGCATACATTTTAGACCTCTGTGATACTTTCAGTGAGTTATAGATCCATATGTGATTCTGGATCATTTGGTTTTCATATATTTTATTGAAGCACCACCAGATGATGTTTAGAACAAGCAGCAATAGTCTATACACCTGCAGGAAGCTCGTGAGGGTTCCTTTATCTTTGTTTCCCCACAAATGCTTGGTTTTATTCAGTGCTCCAATTTTTCCAGACTAATAGATACAAAATTAAATCTCATTTTAAATTACATTTCATTATTTATTCAGATTCATTCACTACTAATGAATCTGAGCATTTCTTTTTTTTTCTGAGATGGAGTCTCACTCTTGCCAGGGTGGAGTGCAGTAGTGCGATCTTGGCTCACTGCCATCTCTGTCTCCCAGGTTCAAGCGATTCTCCTGCCTTAGCCTCCTGAGTAGCTGCAACTACAGGCACGCGCCACTACGCCCAGCTAATTTTTGTATTTTTAGAAGAGACGGAGTTTCACTATGTTGGCCAGGATGGTCTCGATCTCTTGACCTTGTGATCTGCCTGCCTCAGCCTCCCAAAGTGCTGGGATTACAGGCATGAGCCAGCGTGCCCTGCCGAATCTGAGTATTTCTTCATGTGTGTTTTATCTTTTTTAATTTTTTGTTTGTGAAATTGCCTGTTCATCCCTTCACCCATTTTTATTTTGGGGTTTCAGTTCTTTCTTGTTGATTTGCGGACATTTCTTGTATTCCATAGATACTAATCATTTAAGTATTACAAGTGTATCTGTTCCTAATCTGTCATTTGTCTGTAATCTTTCTCATGATGTTCTTCATTGAACAGAAATCTTATATTTTGATATAATCAAATTAAAAAATCTTTTGGCTATATGGTTGTATTTTGGAGGTTTTGTTTAAGAAATCTTTCCCCAGTGCTGTGCCACAAAGTTACTCTGCTATGTTATGTACTGCTAATTCATAGTTTTCTTTTAAACTTATTGGTCTTTAATACATGCAGAGTTTAACTTTTTATGTGTCACAAGTTTGTGATCCAGTTTATTTTCCATGTACTGTGCCAGTTTTCCTGGCATCTTTCTTCCCTTTTCCCATAGATATGGTGTCACACTGTGTATTAAGTGCTCATATATACTCTGAATATTGAGTCCTTTCCTTTGGTTTGTCTGTTCTTGCTCTAACACTATACTGTTTTAACTCTATGGTTTTGTAGTAGTATGTTTTTTCCTCCTATATAAATAACTCTTCCCATTTATTTTGTTTTAACTTTATTTTGATATAATTATAGGTTCATAGGAAGTTGCACAAATAGTAAAGAGAGGTCTGGTTTCCTCCAGTGGTTACATTTTATGCAGCTTCACCCAAGGAACTTCCCTCAATAGTTACAATTTATACCACTGTAGTACAGTATCAAAACCAATAAATTGATTTTGTACAATGCCTGTGTATAGTTCTGTGCCATTTTATCACCTGTGTGGATTCCTGCAACTACCTCTGCAATCAAGATACAGAGCTAGGCTGATGTGGTTGACCATGCCCGTAGTCCCAGCACTTTGGGAGGCTGAGGTAGGCAGATTGCTTGAGCCCAGGAGTTTGAGACCAGCAACATGTCAAAACCCCGTCTCTGGCAAAAAATACGAAAATTAGTCTGGTGTGGTTGTGCATGCCTGTAGTCCCAGCTACTTGGGGGGCTGAGGTGGGAGGATCACCTAAGCCTGGGAAGGTTGAAGCTGCAGTGAGCTGTGATTATGCCACTGCACTCTAGCCTGGGACAGAGTAAGACCCTGTCTCAAAAAAAAAAAAAAAAAAAGAGGAAGAAGATATGGAACTATTCTATCACTACAAAGATTTTCTTCATGTTACCTCTTTCTAGTTTCATCCACCTCCCTTACCCTCACCATCCCTTAATCAGTTTAATCAGTTTCTATCTCTATAATTTTGTCATTACCAGAGTGCTATATAAATGGAATCCTATAGCATGTAATCTTTTGAAATTGAGATTCATCCAAATTGTTGAATGAGACAGTTCTTGAGATTCATCAACATTGTTGAATGAGACAGTTCTTGAGGTTCATCCAAATTGTTGCATTTATCAATAGTTTGTACTTCTTAATTGTTGAGTAGTATTCCATGGTACGTATGTATCCAAGTTTAACCATTCACCTGCATATCTGGGCTGTTTTTAATTTTTGGCTGTTACAGATAAAGCTGCTGTGAACATTCTTGTACAGTTTTGTGTGTGTGTGTGCGTATGGATTTAAATTTTCATTTTTTGGGGGATAAATGCCCAGGGACATGGTTGCTGGATGGTATGGTAAGTGTATGTTTAGTTTTTGAAGTAACTCCCAAAGTGTTTTCTGGAGTGGTTGTACCATTTTACATTTCTACCAGGAATGTATGAGAGATTGCATTTCTTTGCATCGTCTTCCACTAGCATTTGATACTGTCACTGTTTTTTTTTTTTTTTTTGGAGATGGAGTCTTGCTCTGTCACCCAGGCTGGAGTGCAGTGGCGCAATCTTGGCTCAGTGCAACCTCCGCCTCCCAGATTCAAGCAATTCTCCTGCCTCAGCCTCCCGAGTAGCTGGGACTACAAGCGCATGCCACCACACCTAGTTAATTTTTTGCATTTTAGTAGAGATGGGGTTTTACCATGTTGCCCAAGCTGGTCTCGAACTCCTGAGCTCAGGCAATCTGCCCGCCTCAGCCTCCCAAAGTGCTAGGATTATAGATGTGAGCCACTGCGCCCGGCCACTATTTTTTTTTTTTTTAACTGTTCTGATGTGTGATGATATCTCAGTGTGGTCTTAATTTGCATTTCCCAAATTAGCTAGTGATGTTAAATATCTGGTAGAGCACTTTCTCTCATCTTTGCCCATTTTCAAAGTTTGGCTCAGCTATTTATGTATTTTTATTCTTTCCTATGTATTTTAGAGTTAGTTTGAGTTTCTAAAAACAATACCAGTAGAACTTTGACTTACAGATTTATTTTGAGGAAAATTGATATCTTTATAATATTAGGACATTTTATCTGAGAACATGGAATGGTCTTTCACTTATGACTTTGAGTAAAATATTGTAGTTTATAAAAATACTGTGAATGGTATACTATTTTTTAAGTAGATTAGTGCTGATACAAGAAAATGCTATTGATTTTCATATATTGATAATCTACCTTTGTCTTTTTGTGTTCTACTAGACAGAAATCAAAATTCATAGTGTAAATCTTGAAGTAATTTTAGTGCGTGTAGAGTGAGGCCTGGAACTATGTAGTGCCTTTATTCCTGGGTTTATCTGTTACATCTCCCTGTGACAGTTTTTTAATTTGTTGGGACTTTTTTTTTTTTTTTAGATGGAGTCTCACTCTGTTGCCCAGGCTGGAGTGCAGTGGTGTGATCTCAGCTCACTGCAACCTCCAACTCCCAAGTTCAAGCGTTTCTCCTGCCTCAGCCTCCCTAGTAGCTGGGATTACAGGTGCCCGCCAGGACACCCGGCCAATTTTTGTATTTTTAGTAGAGATGGGGTTTCACCAGGTTGGTCTCAAACTCCTGACCTCAGGTTATCCTCCCACCTAGGCCTCCTGAAGTGCTGGGATTACAGGCGTGAGCCACCATGCCTGGCAATTAAATTATGGAGTTAGTGAGGTTTGTAGGTTCTGTTCTCATTTTTGTCCATTTAATTCATGCACTTTTTGAAGAATTAATAGTCTTACATATGTGCATGCCATTGATCATAGGCAAAATCAGCTGAGAGCTATGGATAGCTCAGTGAAATTCTGCCATCAATAAGAGGACATGTTCTCACTGACAGGTACTATGATAGTAATGTTAACTTACAATTTGAATTCCATCCATATGGTTCGTTTGTCTTTGTCTGTATCTGATTCTTAAAGCTGCTTTGCTGAATACAAAAGAACACAAACAATTATGTTGGAAGAAGAAATCCTACATCATGACTGCATTCAGAAAGTCCTTGTGAGTCCAAGGAAATTTTTACTTCCTTTCTATTAAGGAACATATATATTACATTCATGAAGTATTTACTATTTTAAATAAAATTGGATTTTTTTTCAAACTATGTTGGTGACGTTTAATGAAATTACAGGGGTTTTTTTTTTTGGCTGTTGATTACTTGAGTTAGTGGGAGCCATAAAATGTTGGAACAACGAATGTTAGGGCACTGGTCAGTTTAGGGGAGGGAAGATTTCTGAAGTGCTAAGCGTTATTCTGTAGGCTCTTTAAAATATAACATTTCTGGAGATATGTGACTTTGTTTTTTTGTTTTGTTTTGTTTTTGACACAGAATCTCGCTCTGTCGCCCAGGCTAGAGTGCAGTGGTATGATCTCGGCTCACTGCAACCTCTGCCTCCCCGGTTCAAGCAATTTTTCTGCCTCAGCCTCCCAAGTAGCTGGGATTACAGGTGTGCACCACCACACCCAACTAATTTTTGTATTTTTATTAGAGACAGGGTTTCACCATGTTGGCCTGGCTGGTCTCAAACTCCTGACCTCAAGTGATCTGCCTGCCTCGGCCTCCCAAAGTACTGGAATTAGTCATGAGCCACTGCGCCCAGCCTGGAAATACATGACTTTGAAAATGCAGTCTCCCATTCAGCTTAGCAGTTGTAATTTATGACCCTACAAGCTCACTGAAGATAGTTTTTTGCACATCATGTTTCTCTCTGAATGTTGGTAGTTGGTATATGTCAGTGATAACAGACTGATAGAGTGAGCCAGTTACCTTCTGTTTTCACATTCAAGTTTATTTCACATTTAAGCTATCTTCCTTAAAGGCTCTTCTTTTTTCTAAATGTTTCAAATACAAATAAACAGTATAAACTTCCATTAGTTGGAGCAAAAAATTCACACGAATGAAATATCACTGTACTTACTTACTTTTTTTTAACGACAGAGTCTCACTCTGTTGCTCAGACTGGAGTGCAGTGGCATGATCTTGGCTCACTGCAACCTCCACTTCCTGGGTTCAAGCGATTCTCCTGCCCCAGCCTCCTGAGTAGCTGGGACTACAGGCGTGCACCACTGTGCCCAGCTAATTTTTGTATTTTTTTTTTAGTAGAGATGGGGTTTCACCATGTTGGCCAGGCTGGTCTTGAACTCCTGATCTTGTGATCTGCCAGCTTTGGCCTCCCAAAGTGCTGGGATTATAGGCTTGAGCCACCGCGCCCGGCCCCCTGTACTTACTTTTAAGAAACAGTGTTGTGATTAATTACTAGGCCTTAGTGACTGTAGTAGTGATTATGTCAGCTAATTTGCTTCATAGGCCCTAAGATATATTTTGCTGTGTATATGTCACGATAGACTAAAAGAGGCAGGAGCGTAGGTAAAACCTGTAGCTGGGGAAAAAAACAATATGTTAATGACATTTTGATTAAGGAGGCTTGTATTAATTGTTGACATTATTATAGAAGAACTAGTTGACAAGAAACTGCCCTGTGAAATCCAAAACATATAAAATCGGGATATACTTTAATTTGCTGATGGGTGCAACTTTACTTAAACCAACGCAAACATATTTCATTCACTAGTTTGTTTATTTATTCAAGTATTTGGATTCCTTCTATGTGGAAGGAATTTTAGGCACTGGGAATACAATAGAGAAGAAACCAAACACAGATCTTTACCATCATAGAACATACACCAGGAGAGGCAGATGATAAATAAATAAAACATATGGTATGTTAAATGATTGTAAGTGTTTAGTTTGAGTGGTAGATTTTGCAATTTATGATGGTCAGGAAACTCTTCACTAAAAAGGTAATATTTTATAGAGATTTGAAGAGGGCAAAGGAGTGTGCCAGAAGGAATCTGGGGTGGGGGACACTGTTCTGAGGTAAGATTCTGTTTAGTATCTTTGAGCAACACCAATGAATCAGAGCAGATGGAAAAGAGTAAGCAAGGGAGAGAACAACCACCTCACTCATATAGGATAGGCAGTTGTATGTAGAGTTGGCTTTTGCTATGTGTGAGACAGGAAGCCATTGGAAGATTTTGAGATGTGATCACAGCATGATTTTTTTTTTTAATAGTGTCACTCTATATGCTGTGTTGAGACTGCAGGGGAGCAAAGATGGAAACAGGGAGACCAGTTAGAGGGCTGTTGTGTTATCCCTGATGGAAGATGCTGATTGAGAATAGGGTGGTTGTAGTGAAAGTGTTGAGATGTTGCAGGATTCTGGATATGATTTGAAGGTATAGCCAGTGGAGTTTACTGATGGATTGGGATGTGGAATGTGTATGTGTGAGAGAGTAATAGAGTAACTAAAGATGATTCTAGGATTTTGGTCTGTGTAGCTATAAAACTGGAGTTGCCAATAACTAAGATGGGTAGACTGTGGGAGGGGCACCATTGAGGAATGATCAGGGGCTCACTTTTGGACATGCCAAGTTTGAGAAACTTATTAGCTATCCAAAAGGAGATGTTGAGTAGGAAGCTGGACATACTGATTTGGATTTCAGAAAAGCATCCCACACAATAAACTGGGGAACTGTCAAAATCTGCAATCCAAAATGCTCCAAAATCCAAAACTCTTGAGCATAAACATGACACTCCAAAGAAATGCTCATTGGAGCATTTTGCATTTTAGATTTTTCAGATTAGAGATGCTCAACCTGTAAGTATAATACAAATATCCCCAAATTTGAAAAAAATCCAAAATCTAAAACACTTCTGATCCCAAGTGTTTCAGATAAAGGATACTCAACCTATAGATGGTTTAAAGCAATGAGGCTTGATGAGATCATTGAGGGAGGGAGTGTTGCCAGAGAAGAGAAGTCTAAGGACTAAGTTGTGGGAATGCCAATATTTAAAGGTTAAAAAAAAAAAAAAAGAAAGAAAAGAAAGAAAGGAGACTAAAGCTAGAGAAGAAGAAGGAAAGTCAGGAAAAAGTGAAGACTTTGAGGCCAGGTAAAGAAGTATTTATTTCAAAGACGGAATATGAACTATGTCAAATTGCTGGTAGGTCAAGTAAGATAAGGGTTAGAACTTGATAATGGATTTAACAGTGGGGAGGTCATTGGTGACCTTGTCAAGGGCAGTTTTTGTGACAGGCAGAGCAGGAGGAGGGTAATGTTACAAATGAGAAGTTTAACTTGAGACATCACATATTTCCTCAGAGTTTAAAATGGAAATGGAGAGCTGGGTTCCTCTCTAGTTAGTGTGACTTTCATACCTTCACAGTTGCCCATCTTATTTTAGTGATTCCAAGACTAATGTGACAATTCAGCTTCAAATTTGGGGAAGCATGTTTGTTTCTTCTTTTTCTGTTTAATTCAATTTATATACAACGAGAAAGTTCAGTGCTCAGTTTAGACTTTTGATGGCAACCTAAGGGAAGAAATTGGAATGACTGGAGATGCAAATGAGATTAGAGGTGGGTGGCAGGAGAAAGTCGAAGTTGGTTCAACCAAATGGAATTTCCTTTAAAAAGTAAGGTCTTGGTGGGCATAATGGGCTTTTAGCTTAATCAGTAACTCTTGAAATTGCTGTAGGTTGGTGATGGATACAGCATAAGCAGAAGAGTTCATTCATTATAATATCACCTGCAGAAATTTAAAACATGATTTATATGCCTCAGCATCTATGAATCACTTTTAAAATGTGATTTATTTTTGACCAGATAGTTCTGCAGTTCTTCAAAATCTGTCTCTCATGCACTCAGGGCTGTTTAGCAATAAGAAATAAGTGTAGTCTCCTGTTGCCATCTGCTCATTCCACATGTTCCTTTGAAACCGAACACTGGGGCTTCCTTTAACCAAGCAGTCCTAAAGTGTCAGGCTCATTGAGAGTACAGTATATTTCTTAACCACCCAAATAAGAAAGTATAATCTTGTCAGCTGCTTAAGTGTTCAGAAGGTTGTGTCCCTTACAGCCCTTAAATTCTGGAAACACTTTGTTATAAGGAAGCAGCCGAGTAGTTTCTTTAGTGTGTTTTTATGACCTAGCTGTTTCATAGTAGTATAATAAACAGAGTCTTTATTATCTGCTTCAGGTTTGTTTTCCAAGTCTTCAATTGATTGGTGGTAAATGCACAAGCACACACACACACACAAAATACATCATCTTAATCATCATGTCCTCATCACATCATACTGTGATCTTGACTTGGGTACACTCTTTTGACAAATGACATAGGAATGTTCTCTGAGAATTTGAATAAACCTTTACAAACTTCTCATTCTTCTTTCACTGCAGCTGTGGCAAATACATTTAGCTGTTTAGGGTTTAGTACTTGCTTCTCATATTCCCCATCGGTAGGTGGGTAGCTAAGGCCTGTGCCAATTCATGTATGCGCATCCTCGTGAGAGAAAATTTGAGTTTGTTTTTGTCTGCAAGTCACAGGGGGCCTGCCTGGGACACAAGAAGTACATAGACTGAGAACATATTGACTATCCTGTGAAAACACCCTGTTGCTAGGATAGAAATACGTCCTGCTTTTGCATTTGAGAGCTAGACAAACAGTGTGGAGGAATTAACATTGATCTGATACTAGTTTGTATATAATCTTAACTGTTTATAGCTTTTAGAAATCATGTGTGCTACCAATATTACATGGGATAGTGTGAAACAGGATGGTCTTATCAGAATATCGCCCCATAGGTCATTGATAGTTTCAAAAGGAAAAACAAAAACAGTAGCAGTGAAAGTAATCTGGTAGTCACCATCTGAATCAAATGGTCGAAGGTAGCATTGTTGCTCATAGACAATGTGATGTTGTGTGCTTCCTGAGGTGGTGCAGTGTGAAGTGTACATCAACATCTATCGAGTATTCTTGCCCACAACGTTCACTTGAGGCAAACGTTAGATCCAATTTCGTTTGTAGTAAAAACAGGTGATGGAGGAACAGGTGTAGTAAAAACAGGTGATGGAGGAACAAGGAAGAAGTTAAATGATGTCATAAAAAACAATCAGAAAGGAACAAGTTAAATGATATCATAAAAAACAATCAGAAAAATCTTCAGATATGGAACATTCTACAAACAATTGGTTTGGCTTCTTAAAATTAGTATTAAAAAAAATAAGGTGGGATCATTCTAGAACTAAAGAGACATAACAGCTTTTTTAGCCTGTTCAGGCTGCCATACAAAATACTACAAACTGAGTGGCTTAAACAACAGAATTTTATTTTCCCACAGTCCTGGAGGCTAGAAGTGCCCCAGATCAAGGTCAGAAGGTTTATTTTCTGTGAGGGCTCTCTTCCTGGCTTGCAGATGGCTGCCCTCTCACTGCGTCCTCACAGTGGTGGAGAGGGAGAGAGCTTTTGTGTCTCTTACCCTTCTTACAAGGACACCAGCCCTATCACAGTAGTGTCTTGCTCTTATGACCACATTTAACCTTTATCACCTTCTCACAGGCCTGACCTCCAAATACACAAATACACTGGGGGTTAGGGCTTCAACATATGCGTTTTGGGAGGACATACCATTCAGTCCATAACAACAACCAAATGCAGTGCATAAAACTTGAGTATTTTGTTTACAGGTCTGAGGGAAAACATTATAAAAAGCATTTTGTAGATTATTGAAGTGATTTGAATATGGACTAGTTTGTAGATGCTATTAGAGAATGATTATGGTGTTGATAATAGTGAGTGTGATAATGGTATTGTGTTTATGAAGGAGAATGCCCTTATTTTTAAGTTCTGTCTTTAAAAGCATTTAGGGGTGAATCATCATGGTATGTATAAGTTACTTTCAAGTGGTTCTACACACACAAAATATGTACACATATAGATGCACAGACTTTTTAAAAACACACATATATGCACAGCATATATACACCACATATATGCACAGCATATATACATATATATATGCACAGCATATATACATATATATATGCACAGCATATATGTAGATATACCACATTGCCAAGGGAAATATGACACGATATTATTTTTTGAGTGATTGTTATATTCTTCTTTGAACTTTTGTATATTTGAGATTTTTCATAATAAAAATTTGGGAGGAATCACACGGAGAAAGGTAATTTCATTAAAAAAATTTTAAAGTCATATCAAATTAAAAAAAAACAACAACAACATGAGGTAACAGGGTTAAGTCTTTGGAATTTTTCTTAGGGCTTTTTGGGCCTTCACGTGTCTAGGTAGAGGAAAGATGAGAAAATAGGAAGAAGATAATGGGGACAGTCTGCTGTACCAGAAAAAAAGAGAGTGCATTGCAAAAAATCAGCAATGTCACACTAGCAGCTATAAAGTATATATAAGATAATTGGACTTAGGAAGAATAGGTATCAACAATCGATTAATGTCAAAGCATCCTCTTTTCTCACTTGTCTTATAAGGTATTGCTTGTCTCTGCCATATTGGAGAGCTCTGCCCTGGAGTGTCATTTTAGGATTGTTGACCCCTTCATGTAGTGGGAGATCTTGAGTGTCCTTAAATTAAGTCTTTTTGAGGGCGCAGACTAGAGTACATGAGGCCTTTATACTAAGGAAATGGAAGCACCAAGTTAAAGACCACAGATTTCAAAATGCTAATTGTAATGAGAGGGAGAGAGATTGTTAGGGTTACAAGTAGAGGCCAGTGAAGGTATTTGGATAAAAATGAAATGTAGACATGTTTGAAGGGCAAAGGTCAACTTATAAAATAGATTGAAATGGTAGACGGTGAGAACATAATTAAAGGAGGAAGATTTTTGCAGAGTTCAGAAGTTTTTTTTTTTCTCCTTTTTTTTTTTTTTTAAGAGACATTTTTCCTCAAAAGAGTTAAATTTGAGTTGTACATGAAACCCTTAATACAGCCCTTGGCACATAGTGAGGGCTTAATAAATGCTAGTTATTGTTATTCTCTGTTTATTCATTCAATAAATACATATTGACCCCTAGTAAAAGTCAGCGTTTTAGGTGCAGATATGCAGCTTACTTGATAATGCTTAGATAACAAAGGTGCTAGATTTATAGATTTTATCCTTGAGAAACATAGGCTGTACAAATGAATGAGTGGTATGCATCAGGCATTTGGAAGGTGTAGTGAAAATAGTAGTAGGAGTAGTAAATCATGTGGCTTAGGACAGGGCACTCACAGTGGAAGGGAGCTAGCATTTGAAAATATTATAGGCTAAAGATAAATACTTGTTAAAGTTAAATGTATGTTCAGAACGCCATGTTGTGTGCATATGTACAACTTTAAAACAAAAGAACTTGGTGTGGCTGGGCATGGTGGCTCATGGCTGTAATCCCAGCACCTTGGGAGGTGAGGCGGGTGGATCACCTGAGGTCAGGAGTTTGAGATCAGCCTGGCCAACATGGCAAAACCCCGTCTCTGCTAAAAATACAAAAATTAGTTAGGACTAGTAGCGGGCGCCTGTAATCCCAGCTACTCAGGAGGCTGGGGCAGGAGAATCCCTTGAATCTGGGAGGCAGAGGTTGCAATGAGCCGAGATTGCACCACTGCACTCCCGCCTGGGTGACAAGAGTAAAACTCCATCTAAAAAAAAAAAAAAAAGAAGAAGAAGAAGAACTTGGTGTAGGTGTATCTAGGCCACTTTATTTAACTGTATTATAATGGAAAACACAATGATGGGGCAAAAACAAACAAACAAACAAAAAACCCAAGAATTTATCTTGAGAATTAGGAATTCTACTCAGCCCAGTCTCCTCTTCCTAGTCTTCCTCTTAAAAGGCAGTCATATTACTGATTTTTTTTGTACGTTATCATTTCAGAATTATTCAAAGTGTGTGTGTACCCACTGTATATTTTGGTGTTTGTTTTATATCTCATACTGCAGTGTTCCATTATAAAGCTCTATCATAATTTATTTAATCCCTGATTTGTGGACATTGAAGTTCTTTCCAGGTACCCTTTAAAAATTATAGACATTTTCAAATATATAAAAGTAGAAAGAACAGTATAATGCACACTCTTGCACTAAAAAGAGCTTCGATACTTACTTTCACAGTTTGAGTTCCCTGGTGAGCGGACTCTGAGATGGAGACTCAGGCTTATTAGGGAGTGCTCTTGGGATCAACACCCAGGGAAAGGAAATAGTTTGGCCCTGGGTTAAAGTTGAGTCGTGATGAGTCTCAGAGGAGTCTCAGTTGACCCTGGGGGAAGTTCTGAAGATGGGATGACCCTTCAGTGATATCCTGATTTGTGAGGGGGTCTGGCCTTTATATTTCCATATTGATCCGTCACTGGATGTGGGCTGTCCCATGGGAAGGGTACAAGAGCTTGGACAAGCCATCTCTCTTGGGCTGAGGCAATCCTTAGTGGTGCTGACAACCTGGGCTTGTCTGCTGGGAGCTCTCTCACCAGTTGGGTCCTTCCTTCCTGAAGGAAGATTTGGGCACATAGCATCCATCATACTTAGGATACTATTTCATCTTCATTCCTTCGTCTTTTTTTTTTTTTTTTTTTGAGCCGCAGTTTCACTCTTGTTGCCCAGGCTGGAGTGCAACGGCACAATCTTGGCTCACTGCAACCTCCGTCTCCCGGGTTCAAGCGATTCTCCTGCCTTAGCCTTTCTAGTAGCTGGGATTACAGGCATGCGCCACCATGCCCAGCTAATTTTTTATTTTTAGTAGAGACGGGGTTTCTCCATTTGGTCAGGCTGGTCTCAAACTCCCAACCTCAGGTGATCCACCCACTTTGGCCTCCCAAAGTGCTGGGATTACAGGCATGAGCCACTGCGCCCGGCCTCATCTTCATTCCTTCTAACACCACTTAGCCCATATTCTCTTTCCTCTCCCAGGAGCCACTGATCACAGACATCATATGATTTTATCTGTAAACACTGCAGTTCCATTTATCTTTTAATGAGTACTGTGTTTTGGCAAAATCTTGATTAACCAGAATGCCTGGATAATGAAGCTTTCTGATAAATGGAATTTTGTGGTAAATGAAGACAATATAGGAGAGTGAAAAGTGTTGCATTAGGACCCTGGAGATCTGTGTTTGCTTTTGAGCTCTGAGATCAGTTTGATGTGTGATCTTGAGAGAGTTGCTAACAGACCTAAATATCCACCCAAATAAAAAATCCCCTGGATGGTAACCAGCTATACTCTCCATTCTGGATTGGGAAACCAGGCTATTTTTTTTTTTTTTTGTCAATTACAAAAGCGTTTCTTTTTTAAATGCTTAAATATAAAAAATAAAAGCAAAACAGCAGGAGACAGAGCGTTATTTCATAAACTTTTGAAATGACTTGGTTTGGCAAAAGCTCATTGCTTTTTTACCATTCAGAACAGTTTTGTTGAGGTCTCTGGTATCATTTTATGAAAATACTTTCTGAGTTACAATTTTTTAGAGACCAGATTCCTCTTTAGCGTCATTGCACTCTCTTTCCTTCCTCTGCCTCACTATGCTTCCCTCCTACCTCTTTCCTTACCACCCAGTTTGGAAAGCAATAGTCTTCTTGCCTGTGGCCTTACGTATTTCGCCAAACCCCATGACTTATTGTTCTTCCTCTGTAATGTCTCCTATTTTTCTTTCAGTACTCTAACTTTAGCTAAGCTTCTTCTCACTTAGCACCCAGGCTTTTTGCAGTAGCATCATATTTGGTTTATCTGTCTTTAGTTGTTTCTCTGTGGTAATCCAACCCTCATACTATCTCAAAAAGTTTGAGCATGTTGCTTCTCTATGTAGATATCTGCTTATTGGACCATTAAGTATCTTTACAATGTGGCCCAACTGAAGATCAGTGTGGAACCTTGTATTTTCTCTCATCCCCAAACCTAGAGTTAATAAATTATGGTTAAGCATAGAGTAATTTATCTTCCATGATGGAATCTAAATTGTCGATACTTCCCTAGGCATCAGTATTGTAATAATAATGCCCATCCTTTACTTAGAAAGCTTTCAGTATTTAAAACTGCTTTTTCTTTTCTTTTATCCTCAAAGTACCTTTGTGTGAAACTTGCATCAGAATCCATGTTGCATCCTGATCACCTTGGTGTGTTGAAAATCAAGTCTTATCTATTATATCTTTAGCTCTCATATCAGTATTATTATTAGTACTATTCTCACCATGAACACCCTTCACCATATATTTATTAAAGATGTCCTATGTGGTAGATGTTGTGCTAAGCATCATTTGGTAGTGAGTACACAGAGTGTGCATCTTGTAACCAGGGAGCTTGAAAGAGTGGTGGTGGAGACAGCCATTAACAGAGACGCCCCAGAAATAAGTAATAAGAGATTGTGATAAATTTAAGCACCACCATTTCTCTTCTGCAGAACTCCAGTAGCCTCATTGGTCTTCAGGTCCTCAGTTTTATCCCTCTCTGTTATATCACAGCTTGAGTGATCTTTCTGAAAAGCAATGTCAGATTTAAAGCACTTTACCTGCTTCCCTTTGCTGTCAAATTAAAGTCCAAACTCTTGAAAATGTCTTACCAAGAAGCCCCTTGTGATCTGATGCATGTTGGCTATTGGTTGTTTTTTCACCATTCTGCCTTTTTACTTTAAATGTCAGCCCTACTATTTACTGTTTAGAAAGAATTGAGATTACACCTCTGGCCCTTAGAACATGTGATTACCTGAGCCTATTCCGGTTAATTCCTACTCATTCTAGTCATCATTTCTTCTAGGAATCCTTCCTGGACCCATTGAAGTCTAGGTTAGGGAATCCATCTTTTGTGTTTCCATATGTCTTGAGACTTCTCTCATGCTCTGTGGTAATTGTTTACATGTATGTAAGCCCCACTGGATAGCTGAATTGTGTCTATTTTATTTATTATTGTAATACTTATACCTACCATGGCATTGGCATGAACTAGAAACCTGAGAAATGCTGCTCTAAAATGTATACTAATTATTAGGAGTTTGGAATTTTATTTGAAAGCCATTTTAGTTTTGGGATGGAAGTTGGTAGTATTATTTCTAATAAAGTAATGCAGAACTAAATTGTTATATTTGCATTGCACAATTGCACAATTTGAGTTGTTTGACAAGCATACACAGTAATACTTTTATACTTTGGCAGAAAGTCAATGAAAGGTATTAACCTGTTGGAAAGTCCAACCTTATTGAATATTAAGTACTGGAAAAAGCCTGTAGATGTGTAAGCAGAATGTGAAGAAGTAGCAAAATCTGTGTTTTTTTTTTTTTTAAATAATATTTACTGAGCATCTGCCATGTGCTAGGTATTGTACTAGTTGCATTACATATATGGTCGCTTGATCTTATGACATCTTTCTGAGAGGAGGAGAATATTATTATCCATCTTTTACAGATGGGGAAACTGAGACCTAGAGAGATAACTTTGTCAAGATCACATAGAAGGGCCAGGATTTGAATATAGGTCATCTGATTGTAGGCCCAGTGTTCTTTCAGTTATTATTTTTGTTGCTCTTGTTGACTGGAGTATAGTATTTTAAATTATTTCTATACAGAGCTGAGAAATAAGTGAAATTAGGGGAAATAAAGCAATACCTGAAATTAATCAAAAGAGATGACTGAAATTTTATCTCTAAGATGCCTGTTTCCTTATGATTTGTTAACTTAAAAATGATTCAATATTAATTTTAATAACAATGAGAAAACTAAGCCTCAGAAGTGAGATATCATCAAAGACTGCATAACTAGTGACAAAATGAGAAGTAGAATCTAGAATTACTGATATTTGTTGGCTCCAGAGCTTTATCTTTTAAACATTTCAATTGAATAAGCAGTCTCTAAATGTAACTTTAAGCCAGATTTTGATACAAACATAAATGAAAACTCAATGTTCCTAATATTATTTTGTTTTTAGAAGCATCTAGTCTAAGAACATATCAATTTGTAAGATCATGTTGAGATCTGAAAGATAGCATATGCCCTCAATGTACTAGTTGCAAAATCTGAATATATTATATATATAATATTTTGGAGAATTAGTAAGGTAATTTTATTTGAGAGTTTCTATTAAAGTTAACAGATTATTCTAGTCATTTGTTCAATCACTTTTGCTTTTGGCACTTTCCATAAAAATATAATTTTTTTTATCCCAATAAATCCTGTCCTGTGACTTGCTTACTTCCACTTAATATAAAGCTTTTGGAACATATTGAAGTTTTTTGCTACAATAGGTGATAATGTTGGGAACGTTAAGCATGGTTTATTAACTAATACATAGACTGGTTGAATGCTGATGGCTGAAAAACTGCATGCTCTGGATTTACATTGCCCTTTTTTCCCCTTAAAAAACTTCCTTGTGTTGGCAGTTTAGTGTGTCTTGGCTCATCCGTTATTCATTTTAAAGAAATTCAAACTTAGATTCCTGTGATCTACCTGATTAAATGGTTAGGTCCTGGCTAATTTGCCCTTTTTTTTGTTTTTGTTTTGATCAGTTGCTTAGAACTAGGTTTATGTGGTTGCCAATTCGCTGGTAGTCCTTTCTAGAAGTATTTGATTGTCATATACTATTCTATCATCATAAGCGATGTTATCCTCTATTTCACATTATTTCATTAGTGCTTCTGGTGGCTTTTCTGAAGTTTCACTTTTATTAGGTTTTTAAGATATTAGAAAAAAATGTTTTGGGCCATTTAGTACCCTATACTCCGTAGTCCTGAATCTGTTTGCATTCTCTTTAAGCCAGGCAGTATGTACTGAGTACGAGTCGCCAACTAGCTAGAGAAATGGTGTTCTTTCCAGGTCTCACCACGTTGGATTCAGTGTTTAGTACTTATTTACTTGAGAGAAATCTTTGGTGATATAAATTATTATTTTATTTTATTTTATTTTTGAGATGAACTCTTGCTCTGTTGCCAGGCTGGAATGCAGTGGCGCGATCTCGGCTCACTGCAACCTCTGCCTCCCGGGTTCAAGTGATTCTCCTGCCTTAGCCTCCTAAGTAGCTGGGACTACAGGCACCCACCACCTCGCCTGGCTAATGTTTGTATTTTTAGCAGGGACGGGGTTTCACCATGTTGGCCAGGCTGGTCTTGAACTCTTGACCTCAAGTGATCTGCCGACCTTGGCCTCCCAAAGTGCTGGGATTACAGATGTGAGCCACCGCACCTGGCCATCGCCTCATTTTGTCTTTAATGATTATACCTTTTGATTGGCCATCTGTCAGGCTATAGGTGACTTCTAGTGTCTAATGAGATCTGAGAGTACTCTCTTCTATGCAGCTTTCTTTGACTATTCCAGTCTTCTTTTTCTAACTTCTCTGAACTCCTGTTATCTAGGTCTTTGACCACAGTTTTTAACCCCTAAATATTGTTTTGCCAATTAGATTTTAATTTTGTTATATTAAGGAATACTTCCTCATATGTGCTCTCCTGCAAGAGGTGCACTCCAGGATGCTCTGGTTAATCTATTACTATCTCAAATTTAAATCCCTTCACCAGAAGCTACATTTTTTTCTTTAATGGAGAAATGAGTTTACAAAGACATTCTTTTCTTCCCTCAATGTTCAGAGTTTACAACAAAAGACTTTCATGACCTTCAGGCATAACGGGTTTGGAGTAAGTGTGGTTGAATGGGTTTCACACTGAGCAAAGTGTTTTTTTTTTTTTTTTTTGAGACAAAGTTTCCTGTTGCTCAGGCTGGAGTGCAATGGTGCGATCTTGGCTCACTGCAACCTCTGCCTCCCAGGTTCAAGCCTCTCAAGTAGCTGGGTTTACAGGCACCTGCCACCATGCCTGGCTAATTTTTGTATTTTTAGTAGAGATGGAGTTTCACCTTGTTGGCCAGGCTGGTCTTGAACTCCTGACTCAGGTGATCCACCCACCTTGGCCTCCCAAAGTGCTGGGATTACAGGCGTGAGCCACTGCGCCCGGCCCTGAACAGAGTTTTGAAAATGTTTAGCTCAGTGTGAAACAGGACTGAGTTTTTCTTGGGCGTTGGTATTTATTGCTGGTTTGGAAATCTCATTTGTCATCAGTAGCCTAGCAGAGTGAGAAAGACCACAGGTTCTGAAGTCAGGCTGCCTGGGTTCTGATCTGGGCTCCATCACTTATCGCTTTGTGCCTCAGTGTCTTTGTCTATGAAATAGGAATGATAATAGTGTTTACCTCCTGATTTGTTGTAAGGATTAATGGAGTTTATATATGTACTTACATTTATACACACACATACAATGTTCAGAAGAATTTCTGGGACTTAGAAAATTCTTCATAATTACTGTCTAGTGGTAGTGGTACAGTACAGTCTGTGTGTACCAGACTTTCTGAGAACGGTTTGACCTGTCTTTTTTAATGGAGGCATACAACTTGGGATCTGAAGGTCAAGATTTGTATTTGAGTTTTATGACTTGCTAGTTCTGTGTCCTAGGGCAGGTCATGTTTATGCCTCAGTTTCTAGTCAGCCAATGTCAAAAGGCTGTTTTGAGAATCAAAATGAAATAGTATACATAAAAGCGCTTTATAAACTGTGAAATCCTAGATAAATATGAGGTACTGAAGTCATTGGCCTTTTATTAGTAAATTTTAAAAACTGTGAATGCCTGGGGTAAAGACCTGTTTATTATTATTTCGTTATTTCTTTCTTTTCACAGGTGTTGATTGTGTATTATTTTGTAAGCACCTGAATCTAGAGTAGTTATAATAAACTAGTCGTTTTTTTTTGAAAATAATAAATATTTAAGTAGCTGTAATTCACTCCCAGGAATATATGATTATTTTCAAATTGTTGGTTTTATAACAAAAATATATAACATGTTTTCGAGAGAAATATTGTAATATCTGACAATTTTTATAACATTTTCAGGTTTGAAAACACAAACACAATGGCAGGAAACAGCCTTGTTCTACCCATTGTTCTTTGGGGTCGAAAAGCGCCCACACATTGCATCTCAGCCGTACTTTTAACAGATGATGGGGCCACGATCGTAACAGGATGTCACGACGGACAAATATGTCTCTGGGATCTTTCAGTAGAACTGCAAGTGAGTATGTGAAATGCCTATTATACATTTTAGATATAAAAATCTACTTATTAGAAGATAATATAGTCCCCAAATGATGCTTTTGGGCCCACAGTAGATTTTCTGAAAAATGTGTTTTGACTAAAACTAGTAGTATACAGATTCATTATTTACACTATTCATCAGAGTTGACTTCTGAGGGCTTTTGGCCATTTTCAATTGTAATATCTACCCTAAGTGACTTACTGTTTTGTTACATTTAAGATTTTTCAAATGATGATGACCCATACTGAAGAAGGTTTTCCAAAGAGGTTTTAGAAAATTTAAAACACTTAAAACCTTCTATGGTAAATGCTTTGAAGAGGGCAAAACTTTTTACAAAGTATAGATTTTGTTGTATTGATTAATGACTGTGCCTTTATTGTCATTCCTTACTACTATGGATTGCTCAGTGTGCTCTGCTTCCAGGGCTGTCAGTGGACAGAGCTAGGGAAATAGGAGCTGGGGACACACACACACACACACACACACACGTTCACACTGATACGTCTAATTCCAACATAACACCACAGCGTTTATCCTACTTTTCTCCTTTCCATATTTGTAACTCCTTTCTCTGACAACTCTTTCCAGGAATTTGTTGTCAAAGGAAAAAGAGAAAATGGAGTGGTAGCTGGTATGGAATGTGGGGTCAAGAAAGGTGATTTTTTAAATTACTTTTTTTGGATAATAGCCTTATTGAGATATAATTCACATACTACATAATTAATCTGTTTCAAATGCACGTTTTGACGTTTCTTAGTACGTTCATAAAGTTGCGCGGCCATTACCAAGGTCAATTTTAGAACATTTTCATCACTTCCAAAACAAACCCTGTACCCTTTAAATGTCCCTCCTGGGCCAGGCATGGTGGCTCATGCCTGTAATCCCAGCACTTTGTGGGGCTGAGGTGGATAGATTGCTTGAGTCCAGGAGTTTGAGACCAGCCTGGGCAACATGGTGAAACCCCATCTCTACTGAAAATACAAAAAACTAGCCGGACGTGGTGGTGCATGCCTGTAGTCCCAGCTACTCCAGAGGCTGAGGTGGAAAAAATCACCTGAGCCCAGGAGGTCCAGGCTACTCGTACCACTGCACTCCAGCCTGGGCAATGGGAGTGAGACCTTGTCTCCAAAAAAAAAAAAGTCACTTCTAATACTCATTCTCCCTAGACCACCACTAATCTACCTTCTGTCACTAACGTCGTGATTATTCTGGACATTTAATATAAATGGAATCATATAACTATAATATGTGTTTTTTTATGACTGGCTTTTATCATGTAGCATAATGTTTTTAAGGTTCACCCACATTGTAGCATGTATCAGTACTTCATTTCTTTTTATGGCCAAATATTTCTGGCCCTTATGAGTAATGCTGCTATGAGTATTACACATTTGTGTATGAGTTTTTGTGTGGACACATGATTTCAGTGCACTTAGGTATACACCCGAGCGTGGAATTGTGGGATCGTATGGTAGGTACCTCTATGTTTAACCTGTTATTTAAGGAACTGCCAGACTGTTTTCCAAAGTAACTACATCATTTTGCATTCCCATCAGCAGTGCATGAGGGTTCCAGGTTTTCCACATCCTTGTCAATCAATAGCTGTTATCTTTTTGATTCTAGCCCGAATTTTGTGTGTAAAGTGGTATCTCATTGTGATTTGGGTTTGAATTTACCTGATGGCTAATGATGTTGAGCTTCTTTTCATGTTCTCATTGGCCGTTTGTATATCTTCTCTGGCAAACTGTCTATTCAGAGTCTTTGCCCATTAAAAAAATTTTTAACTTAAAATTTTTTCCTTTGCCCATTTTAAAATTGGGTTGTCTTTTTATTATTGAATCGTAAAAATTCTTCATATATTCTAGATACAAATCCCTTAACAGATATAAGATTTACATTTATTTTCTCCCATTTTATCAGTTGTTTTTTCACTTTCTCGATTGTGTCCTTTGAAGCACAAAATATTTTAAGTTTGATAAAGTTCAGTTTATCTTTTTCCTTTGTTTGCTTATGTTATTGTTGTCATATCTAAGAAACCGTTGCTAAATCTAAGGTCATGAAGATTTATCCCTGTGTTTTTTTCCTAAGAATTTTATATACTAGTTTTACTTCTTACATTTAGGTCTTCGATCCATATTAGTTAATTTTTCTGTGGTGTAAGAGAAGGGTTTGACTTCATTCTTTTGCATGTGGCTATCAAATTATCCTAGCACTATTGGTCAGAAGGACTGCTTGTTCTCCATTGAATGCTATTGGACTCTTAAGAAAAATCAATTGACCATAAATGTCATGGGTTTCTATCTGGGCTCTCAATTCTATTTTATGGTTCTTTGTATGTGTTCTTATCCATATCCTCTAGATGTCTATACTCGCTGTCCTAATTACCGTTGTTTTATATACTCACTGTCTTAATTACTATTGTTTTATATTAAGTTTTGAAATCCAGATATGTGAGTCCTCCAGTATTGCTCTTCTTTTTCAAGATTGTTTTGGTGGGGTCCCTTGCATTTCCATATGAATTTTAGAATCAGCTTGTCAATTTCTACAAAGAAGTCAGTTGGAGCTTTAATAGGGAATATGTTGACTCACTAGATCAATTTGGAGAGTACTGCTATTTTAACCATATCAAATTTTCTGACCCATGAACATTGAATGCATTTCCATTTATTTAGATCTTTAGTTTTTTTTCAGCGATATTTTGTAGTTTTCAGAATATAAGGTTTGTATTACTTTTGTTAAATTTATTTCAAAGAATTTTATTTTTTGAATCTATTAGATATAGAATTTTTCCATTTATTTTATTTTCAGATTTTTCATTGCTGGTGTATAGAAATACATTTGAGTTTGTTTATTCATCTTGTATCTTACAACCTTATTGGACTTATTACTTCTAATAGTTTTTTAGTGGATCCTTTAGGATTTTCTGCATACAAGATAATGTCACTCTCCAATAGAGATAGTTCTACTTTTTGCTTTCTAATAGGGATGCCTTTTATTTCATTTTTTTGCCTAATGTTCCTGGATGGCACCTCCATAACAATATTGAATAGAAGTGGCAAGAGTGGACATCCTATTTTCGTTCCTAATCTTTAGCAGAGGGAAAGCATCTAGTCTTTCACTTTTATTTTTATTATTTTTATTTTTTTTGAGATAAGGTCTCACTCTGTTGCCCAGGCTGGGGTGCAATGATAGCTTACTGCAGCCTTGATCTCCCAGGTTCAAGTGATCCTCCTGCTTCATCCTCTTGAGTAGCTGGGTCTACAGGTGCACACTACTACACACCTGGCTATTATTGTATTGGGGCCTATCTCTCTTGTTAGCTCTAATAATATTTGCTTTATATATCTGGGTGCTCTGGTGCTGGGTGAATATATATTTAAAATTGTTATACCCTCTTGCTGAATTGACTCCTTCATTATTATATAGTGACTTTCTCTGTCTCTTCTTATAGTTTTTGTCTTGAAGTCCTGTTTTGTCTAAGTGTACCTATTTCTGCTTTTTTTGGTTTCCATTGGCATGGAATATCTTTTTTCATCCCTTTATTTTCAGTCTATGTGTGTTTTTATAGGTGAAGTGTGTTTCTTGTAGGCAAGAGATCATTGGGTCTTGTTTTTTCATCCATTCAGCCACTCTGTCTTTTGATCGGAGAGTTTAGTCCATTTACATTCAGTGTTATTATTGATAAGTCCTCGTTATTATTGGTAAGTAAGGACTTATTTCTGCTATTTTGTTTTTTGTTTTCTTGTTGTTTTGTGATATTTATTTCCTTCAGGTCTTCCTTTCAGTGATGGTGATTTACTCAGGTGATACGATTTATTTTCTTGCTTTTTATTTGTTGTGTATCCATTGTATGTTTTTTGGTTTGAGATTACCATGAGGCTTGCAGATACTATGTTATAACCCATTATTTTAAGCTGATAATAACACTATTTGCATAAACACAAACAAAAAAGGACAACTAATAAAGACTCTACACCTTAACTTCCCTTGCTTTTTAACTTTTTTTTTTGTTTTTTTGGTTTTTTTTTTGGGAGACAGGGTCCCACTTTGTCACCCAAGCTGGAGTGGAGTGGCATGACCTTGGCTCACTGCAGTCTGTCTTCCTGGGCTCAGGCAATCCTGCCACCCCAGCCTCCAAGTATCTGGGACTACAGGCCCATGTCACTGTGTCAGGCTAAGTGCTGGAATTACAGGCATGAGCCAGGGGCCTGTCAGCTTTTTAACTTTTTATTGTTACTAATTATATCTTATTGTACCGTCTGTGTCTTGAAACGTTGTAGTTATTTTTGATTGTTTCATTTACTCTTTCTACTTAAGAGTAGTTTACACAACATAGTTACAGTGTTGCAATATTCTGTGTTTTTCTGTGTACTTACTATTACTGGTGAGTTTGTACCTTCAGATGCTCACTAACATCCTTTTCTTTCTGATCGAAGTACTCCCTTTTGCATTTCTTGTAGGATAGGTCTAGGATTGATGAAATCCCTTGGCTTTTGTTTGTCTAGAAAGTCTTTATTTCTCTTTCAGGCTTCAGGGATATTTTTGCTGGATTTACTATTCTTTCCTTTGGTACTTTAAATATGTCATGCCACTCTCCCCTGGCCTGTAAGATTTCCACTGAAAAGTCTGGTTCCAGACGTGTTGGAGCTCCATTGTTTGCTTGTTTATTTTGAGACAGTATTTCTCTGTTGCCCAGGCTGAAGTGCAGTGGCGTGATCTCAACTTCCTGCAACCTCTGCCTCCTGGGTTCCAGGGATTCCTGTGCCTCAGCCTCCCAAGTAGCTGGGACTACAGATGTGTGCCACCCCACCTGGCTAATTTTTGTATTTTTAGTAGAGATGGGGTTTTGCCATTTTGCCCAGGCTGGTCTCAAACTCCTGGCCTCAAGTGATTCACCCACCTCGGACCTCCCAGAGTGCTGAGATTTTAGGCATGAGCCACTGTGCTTGGCCCAGTGTATGTTGTGTCTTTTCTTTTTTGGCTTTTAGGATTCTTTCTTAATCCTTGACCTCTGGGAGTTTGATTATTAAATACCGTGAGGTAGTCATCTTTGGGTTAAATTTGCTTGGTGTTCTATAAGTACTTGGATATTTGTATCGTTCTCTAGATTTGGGGATTCTTTGTTATTATTCCTTTGTATAAACTTTCTACCCCTATCTCCTTCTCTGCCTCCTCTTTATGACCAGTAACTCATATATTTGCCCTTTTGAGGCTATTTTCTAGATCCTGTAGGCATGCTTCATGGCTTTTTATTCTCTTTTCTTTTGTTTCCTTTGACTGTATATTTTCAAATAGGCCATCTTCAAGCTCACTATTTCTTTTCTCTGCTTGATCATTTCCGCTATTAAAAGATTCTGATACATTCTTTAGTATGCCAATTGCATTTTCAGCTTCAGAATTTCTGCCAGATTCTTTTTTATTATTTCAGTCTCTTAAATTTGTCTGATAGAACTCTGAATTCTTTCTCTGTGTTATCTTGAATTTCTTTGAGTTTTCTCAAAACAGAGAATTCAAACCCTATTTCGAATTATCTGTCTGAACAGTCACGTATTTGTTTCTCCCGGATTGGTCCCTGTTGCCTTATTTCCTTCATTTGGTGAGGTTGTGTTTTCCTGGATGGTCTTGATACTTGTAGATGTTTGTCTTGTCTGGCCATGGAGGAATTAAGTATTTATTGTATTCTTCACTGTCTGGACTTGTTTGTACCTGTCCTTCTTGGGAAGGCTTTCCAGATATGCGAAAGGACTTGGGTGTTGTGTTCAAAGCTGTATCTGCTTTAGGGGAGACCCAGTAACACTGTGGTCTTTTTTTTTTTTGAGACGGAGTCTCACTCTGTCCCCCAAGCTGGAGTGCAGTGGAGCGATCTCGGCTCACTGCAACCTCTGCCTCCTGGGTTCAAGCGATTCTCCTGCCTCAGCCTCCTGAGTAGCTGGAATTACAGGTGCGCGCCACCACGCCTGGCTAATTTTTGTATTTTTAGTAGAGATGGGGTTTTACCACATTGGTCAGGCTGGTCTTGAACTCCTGACCTCATGATCTGCCCACCTTAGCCTCCCAAAGTGCTGGGATTACAGACATGAGGCACCGCACCCAGCAGCACTGTGGTTCTTGCAGACTCGTAGAGGTACCGCCTTGATGGGCTTGGACAAGATTCGGGACAATTCTCTGGATTACCAGGCAGAGACTGTTGTTCTCTGTTCATCCTTTCCCTCACACAAATGGAGTCTCTCTCTCTGTCTCTGTTATGAATTACTTGGACTGGGGGGTGGAATGACACAAGCACCCCTGTGTCCACCTTCACTAGTACTGCACTGAGTCACACCTGAAGCCAGCATAGCACTGGGTTTTGCTTAAGGCCTGTTGTAACCACTCCCTGGCTACTGCCTATGTTTGTTTTAAGGCCCTGGGTCTCTACAATCAGCCAGTAGTGAAGCCAGCCAGGCCTGTGTCTTTCCTTTCAGGGCTAGAAGTTCTCCCAGGCGGCTCCAGCAGTGCTTTGCAAGAGCCAGGGGCTAGAATAAAAAATCTTAGCAGTCTACCTAGTCTTCTATTTTACTATGGCTAAGCTGACACTCAAATAGAAGGTTAATTTTTAAGTTTGGTACTTAAACTAGCATATTTTTGCATTTCTAGATTAATCCTCGAGCACTGTTGTTTGGTCATACAGCATCAATCACTTGTTTGTCTAAAGCTTGTGCTTCCAGTGACAAACAGTATATTGTGAGTGCATCTGAAAGTGGGTAAGTATTTTCTCATTTGCCTCTTTTTCTCATGAGTCTTTATAACTAGCACCAATGCCTTGTAAGTAGCGAGGTATTTTTTTTTTCTTTTAGAATATCTCCTAAATAAATGCTTTGTATTGTCTAAATCTAAATGTAGATATTTAAAATCTGATTTTAGGGATGTAAATTTTATCTGTGTTAATGATTTTATAATACTTTTATTGTAATTTATGATTATGTCCTTTGGCTTGCTTTTAAGGAACTCAGAATACTATAAAAGTTAAAGCACGATCATTCATCTCCATGTTGTTTTTATTGAGTTGCCAGACAACTTTGAGATTTCCTTTTAAAAACCTGAATGATGCTAGGCTAGCATAAATTTTGAAGATGATGCCATGAAAAAGTTCATAACGTTATATTGATATGTATTAATACACTAACATAACTATTTGTGTTCCCAAGTCTCAGAATGCAGCTTGCTTTAGAGAGGCAGGTCATTGAACAGTAGTTGTAGAGCCCAATGTTATTAAATGTTTAAAAAGATTTACAAACAGTTTTCAAAACATTTTTTGGTGCTTAGAAAATTACATATATTTATACAATATACTATTGAAGAAAGTTGGGGAACTTGAAGAGAATTATATAAGAAATTGTTGCTATGTGTGGTGGCTCACTCCTGTAATCCTAACACTTTGGGAGGCTGGGATGGGCGGATCACGTGAGCACAGGAGTTTGAGACCAGCCTGAGCAACATGTTAAAACCCTGTCTCTACAAAAAAATGCAAAAACTAGCCGGGCATGATGGCGTGCACCTGTAGTCTGAGCTACTTAGGAGGCTGAGGTGGTAGGATCACCCGAGCCCAGGAGATTGAGGCTGTTATGAGCTGTGATTGTGCCACTGCACTCCAGCCTGGGTGACACAGTGAGACCCTGTCTCAAAAAAGCAAAACAAAACAGAAATTGTTCTCCCCACTGAAGAGAACCTTGTATAATTCACTGGAACAAAAAGAAGCAACATAAGCTAAAAATATAGTAGCTGTTGGTCAATTAAAGGATAATTCCCATTAGAATGCATATTTTAAATTGAATGCTCTTTGAAAAATTGTCTTATATAATACCATATGAGATATAGAAAATGGTATCTTAAAGAAAACTCTAATAATATCAGGATCATTGCATTTTATTAATTTTTTTTGTTAAATGTATTTCTTCAATAGACAAGGCATGTTGACATTTCTAATTTTCAATGTTATATCTTTCAATCTTATATCTAGTTTTTTTGTGTGCATTCAATAAAATTACAATACATACAGAATGAAAACTGGAATCTGGTATTTTATTTGCAAAAGTTTGAAATTCAGTTGACTTTAACTTTTGTTTTTTGCAGTTTGAAATTCTCTAGCTACCTGGATGACAAATATAAAATCTCAGTAGTTTAAATTAGAAGTTTATTTCTTGTTTTTGTCACTTGTCCGTCATGTGTCACTTGAGGCCTCTACTCTGCTTCACTGTTATCCTTACTTTGAGGTTCAGAGTGAGGGAGCAACCTCTGTGTGAAGCAGCCAGTCTCTGGAACAGAGCTCTGGAAAGCCTTGCATTGGTTCCGGCCAGAACTACTTACAAGACTTCATTAACCAAAACGGAACCAGGAAATGCAGTCTTATTATGGGCCTACAAAGAATGTGGACTATGGTGGGGGGTGGGCAGTTTGGAAGGGGTGTTAGGAGGGTCGAGGGAGGACTGGAAATTTTGATGAACAACAGTAATAACTGTATGCTACTTTTTCTGAAATATATTAGTTTTAATGGAAGATTAATTTTAAATCACTGTGACAAAGTTGAATGGTGCTTTAAAAAGTCACACTCAAAGCTGACCATTATTTTGTTTTATAGAGAGATGTGCCTCTGGGATGTGAGTGATGGCAGATGTATTGAATTTACAAAATTAGCTTGCACACATACTGGCATACAGGTTAGTTTCTATTTCTGTGACTCTAAGTACAAACTATTATAAGTATATAATTTAAAATATTTTTAAAACATTGAGCCTATATTTTTATATGAAAAATGGTGGGTGGTAGTAACAAGACAAGAAAACTAGAATTGAAGCGGTAAAAGTGTTCCTCGTAAGATGGTACAGTTGGGAGGGGTAAGAAAGGAGAGGAGACTAATGGGGAAAGATACAGGGCAAGCAAATTGCTGCTGCTTCTGCTATTCTGGGCTACCTTGGTTACCCAAGTGAGAGCCCCTTCACTACTTGGGAAAATGCTCTAGGTCCTAAATAATGGAATTCTTCCTTGCAAAATCCTTTGTGATTCCACTTGTGATTGACACAAATTGACCTACTTTTTGGACCATATCTTTTTTATTGCTCATGCAGTTGGTCCTTGGACATGTATTTTTAAAACTTTCCAACTCTTCAGAAGACATGACTGTTTCATATGCCTGGCTTAATATGTAGAGTGTTACACAGGAATTTGTAGTTTCTGACTTACATTCCTGGTATTCTTTTTTACTTTTTCATAGCTGTCTAATTCTCTGTACTTCAGTTTACTAATTGTTTACTGTGTTGAGTGTTGGAAAAATTATGAATTATATTAAAAATATGATCAATTATGATTTCAATGGGAAAGGAAGAGAAGGTAACTCACATTTATTGAGCAGATACAGTGTAGGCATTTCTTGTATTGTGTTTGATTTAGTCCTCCTGACACCCTTACATATTAAATAGGAGTATATCATTTTACATATAAGGAAGCTGAGGCCCTGATTATGTTTGAACATCAATCATCCTTCTAAATTGTATTTGCATAACTAGTAATTATAAGCTTATATTTCCCTATTTCTACTTATTTGAAATTCATGTTATTTTTGTGACCCACCTGAGCTTCCTTTTGATGTGATTTGTAAAGCTGATTTTATTCAGGTGTTTTATTAATTTATTCAACAGTTCTGTTTTAGATGCTAGAGGGGGATAAAAACAATTATCACGAATTCTATTTCAAAATAATTCAAAAGGGAGGATAAGATGTTAGGAAAATAATTTTTGTTAGCTATTTAAAAATTTTAATATAACTTAATATATGTGTGTGCACATACACCCATATAATATGTACCATTTGGTAAATATCTAAAATTCTTACCGAAGAAGTTGAGCTTTAGGAGAATATTGTAATAACCTTGATGAATGCATATTAATCAAGTATCTAAATTAAAGGAGAACACTCAGAAATCTTTTTTCCTTTTGGCATGAATGTAGTTCTACCAGTTCTCTGTTGGGAATCAGCGAGAAGGAAGGCTTTTATGCCACGGACATTACCCTGAAATCCTTGTTGTGGATGCTACCAGCCTTGAAGTATTATACTCCTTAGTATCAAAGATATCACCAGACTGGATTAGCTCCATGAGTATTATTCGATCCCACCGAACACAAGGTCAGTGTATTATGCCTGTTAGGAGCTTTAGCACCATGACTTAATGTTTAGTTTACTAGAACATTCTACAATTTATCATAAATTAATACTTTGGGATATATTCTTCTATGTAAGAAATAACTACACCAATAATTTATGGTCTGTTTCTTCCTTCATAAAGAAATCTTTGATTGAATGAAGACTTAATTGTTGGCTTATCTCCATTCCATGATGTATAGATCATCAGCTTTTGACAGAGTATATGGGTGATTATCTGAAGTGGAGGAAGAATAGCTTAACCTTTGGGGGTGTAGTTTTACCTTTGGGAAGAGCTGTAGTTTTACCTGTATATTTCTGGGGCCTGGTTCTGTCACTTGCTTAAGAGGCATAGGGAATGTTTCCATTTCAAATGGGGACAGTGAAAAAGGAGAGATTATACACAGTTAAATTTAATGAAAGTTCCTGGAAGGGGCTGATATGTACTTGATGCTCAATAAATATTATTATCTTTTCTTCATTTTTGTTGAAACCTCTTAATAACAACCATAAAAGCAAAAGTAAAGTTGTCAGGAAAAGAGTAATAGTTAATGCAGAACATTGAATGTCTACTTTTATAAGCCTTTTAAGGAGCATTCTTTTACTTTCAAATGGCTTCATAGTTATGTGCTTCCTATAGAGGCCAGTAAATAACCACCACCACTACCACCGGTATCAGCAGCACCATCACCATGAGGACTTTCATTTACTGTGTGTTTACACTACCAAGCACCATGCTAAGCATTTACATATGATCAATTCTCACAATACTTAGTGGGGTAGGTACTGTTAATATTCATCATATAGATGAGGAGAATGATGAGAGTTAGTGTGATGCCATCTTTGCTAAAGGACCCCGGAGTAGTTACTTTAACCACTGTGTTACACTGCTTCCCTCCCATTAGTGAATTGCCTTCAACTTTATAGGAGCTTTTGCTTTGTAACCTCTTAGGGTAGGAAAATCAGCACATAGCTTTTTATTCAGTAGTCATTCAGCAAATATTTATCGAATGCCTACAGTCTTCCAGGTGCAAGGGATTGAAATATTAATACTTAAGGGAGTCAAATTCTAGTAAAGGACAATGATATATAAACAAATAACAGTTTAGAGTGCAAAGTGTGCAAGATGGAAAAATAGTATGGAGAGGATGGCAGTGAGGCTGATTGAGGGCAGTAGAGGGCTGTCCAGATCAGATGAAGTCTGATCTAGGATTTGGAAGATGAGAAAGAGTTTAGCAGACCTGCGATCAGGATGTTTCTGGCAAAGGAGATAGTCTGTAGGTACAAAAGCATTAAAATTATGATAGGTGTATATGTGAAACTATAGATTATCTTTTTCTGGGACAAGAAGTATGAGGGAAGGAGTGGCAGGATATAAGGCTGGCAGAGCTGGCAGGAGACAGGTCTTGAAAGCCCTGTGTATCAGCTAGGGAATTCACTTTGTGGATCAGGGGTTGTCAAACTTATACTGTAAAGGGCCAGATATGAAATATTTTAGGCTCTGCAGGCCATATGGTCCATGTTTCAACTACTCAACTCTGCTGTTTTAGCACAAAAACAGCCGCAGACAATACATTAGTGATTGAGCCTGGCTGTGTTGCGATAAAACTTTATTTACAAAAACAGCCAGTGGGCTGGAGTTGACTCATGAGCTGTAGCTTGCAGGCTCTCACTGTAGATGATGGGCAGTCTCTGAAGGGACTTATGCTTTAAACTTCAAAGATGGGAGGAAATTAAGAGATTAGTTGCCCAGCTGAGAGTGGTGCAGGCCTGCACTAAAGTGGACTGTCGGAATAGTGGATGCACTGGCTTCATTTCCTGCCGCTGTTCTTCAGAGTGTTGGTTCTGAAGTTTGTTAATAGGTATTTGTCAAAAAGGTGGGATCTCTGGTTAAATATATTTGGGAGATGTTTGGTAAAATAAAATTCAGCAGGCTTCTCTAATGTGAACCTTCTCAGAGAGGTTTTTTATGCATATTAGAGAATTACTGCTTTATTCCTAAGCATAACAGTGAGAATGAGATTTGCGTTAATTTTCCAGGCAATAGGGAACTAATCATTCATATATTTATCTCTAATATTAGTTACAATGAATCTTTTATTTAAAACAGATCTGTATTTGTGACCAAGCGGTTTGCCTATTTAAAATTTTTATACTCCTTTTATATATGTTTACACTGTAGTCTGAACAGAATAGACTGTAACTTAAATCAATTAATTTCAATGCCTTACAGTGCCTAGAGAACTATGTGATATTGATAAGGTTTTTATTTAAAGATAACAATTTTTTAAATAACAGTAATAACTCAACTTTATTGAGAATTTAGTATGTGCTGAATGTTTTCCCTTGGCGTGTCTTAATTTTTATAACAACCCATTAGGATAGGTACTGTTGTTATTCATTTATATTTGCTTCCAGATAAGAAAATTGTATTTAAGATAGTTTGTTATCTAAAGTTCATTGGTTAATTAGTGAAGAAAAATGTGATTTTGCTTTTAACATTCCCCTCCTTCACTCTGGAGCCTACGTTGACTGCTTTCCAATGCTCATCCTCTCAAAATTCCTGTACGTGACCCTGGTGCTGTCACTAGTCCCTTACCTGAAGCTTAGGAACTTAGATTTTATATCATATCTTTCTCTTGATCACACTCTGGGGAGGGTGTAATGTGCAATGAAGTATCTGGAAGGTGGCAAGGTATGTGGGAAAGGGGGAGAAATTTGTGCCTTGAAGAAATGAAGTGCTTGAGCTCATCCATGATAAAGAATTAGAAGTTGTAAATTTTGAAGTGTATAAGTTCATTGTTAACATAGTAATCAAGAACATTTGAAATTATTAAAAACTTCTTGATTAGAAATAAAAAATTCAATTAGCTAGAAATAATTTTCCTTGAATTTTAAGTTGTTGGCCATCTTTATTAACTTGTGTTTCAAAACCTGGTTTCTGTTTCATGAAATAGAGAATTATGTTTTTCTGCTAATTGTAAAACATGCTATTGTTTAATTTTATTCAAGCAAAACATCTTAATATTTAGAAAAAGCGTATTATGTTCGTAACCTGGGCTGCTTTTTTGTCCCTTCTCATTTTAGAGGACACAGTGGTAGCACTCTCGGTGACTGGCATCCTGAAGGTCTGGATTGTTACCTCGGAAATAAGTGACATGCAGGTGAGAAAAAGGAAACTGGGGTGATTTCTCTGTTTTTATTCTCTGTAGCTCAAAATTTTAGTAATGATATGCCCCTTCCATTTTTTTTAAGGGGGAAGGAAAAAGTGATTATTTTTTGATAATTTTCTTATAGGCATAGTATGGAAGATTCTCTAGTATGCTATGGGAGTGAATTTTTTATTTACTTTTAATGGCAACATCTGCTCTATCATGGATATAAAATAGAGAAACATATTGCGCAGGATATGTAGAGGAGAAACGTAAAAGAGGTGAGGTTCTCCTCAACTGCTTCTGTTTAAATTGACTCAAAGGAAAAAAAAATAAAGCAAATCACCACAAAAAATATACAAAGCCATTTTTAGTCATCTATTTCAGTTCTTTGGGCTTGAATTCCTTGTTCTTTTTTTTATCAATGAGAAAGATGAAGTCTGACAATTTTGATGCTACTCTCTTCAGCTAGGGAATTTTTAGGCATGGAATTCAGGAGAAGATAGAGGAATTAATTGGATTTTTTAAAAAAGCACATATAGCTACAAAAATTAGGATTAAGGCAGACTTTATCATCTGTCATTACCAGAGTGATGATACTCTGAGTATCATCAGAATTGAAATCTCAGGGGATTTTGTAGCAACAGTATTTGTGTCTAGCTGCTTTTAGGGTATATCTTTGCTGCTTTTTACTACCGTGGCGCTTACCTGAGGGGCTAAAATGATGAACATATGAAGCGATGCCTTTATTTAATTTTGTTGCCTTTATCATTGTGTGATAATTTTAATTGACAATCATGCTATTCCTAAATTTTTACAAATCTTTCTTTTCAGGATACTGAGCCAATATTTGAGGAGGAATCCAAACCAATTTATTGTCAGAATTGCCAAAGCATCTCTTTTTGTGCATTTACACAAAGGTCACTTTTGGTTGTGTGTTCCAAATATTGGAGGGTAAGATAATTATATAAATAAGAAGCTGTATTTTTATCCTTCAAGACATTGGTTTATCAGATTTCCAAAGAACCCTAAAGAAGTACTTGGTGCAAGACTATTTTCATCATTTAGAATTCATGTCTGCTTTTGATATCACATTTTGAGAAGTTGGGACTTGGCTATATGTAGTTGTCTTTTTTTGTTTGTGTTTATGGAATGATTCAATTAGAGACTGTATTTCATTGGTCTTAATTTCTCCTTTTTGCTACTGTTTTAGTCACTGTCTTATCAGTACAATATAAGCAGTAGTAGGGAGTTTTCTACAGTTTGGACATTTCTTTGTAGGGTGTTATTAAAGCTAATAGTCAATATTTTCCCTGGCTTCTTGCAGTTGGAAAGTCTTCTCATATCACTTCAGAGCTAATGATGGAAGAGGTATATTACTTCCACATTGCCAGACTTTAATATTTCCATAATAGAAAAATAGCATGTTTTGGGCACTTGCTCTGTGACTAGCACTTTTTTCAAAGCTTGCCATGTATTATTTCTTTTAATCCTTACAACTCTCTGAGGTTAGGTGGATTAGCTATTTAATTCTGAATAACAAATCATTCCAAAAATTATTAGTTTAAAACAACAAACATGTTTTATCACCCAGGTTCTTGTTTTTGTTTTTTGTTTTTTTAAAGAGATGTGGTCTCATTCTGTAGCCCAGGCTGGAGTGCAATGGCACAATCATAGTTCACTACAGCCTTGAACTCCTGGCCTCAAAGGATCCTCCCACCTCAGCCTCCTGAGTTGCTAGGACTACAGGCACGCATTACCAAGCCTGGCTAATTTTAGAATTTTTTTGTAGAGATGGGGTCTCACCCTGTTGCCCAGGCCGGTCTTGAACTCCTGGGCTCAGGCGATCCTCCTGCCTCAGCCCCCCAAAGTGCTGGGATTATAAGCATGAGCCACCATTCCTGGCTACATTTTGTTCTTTAAAAACAGTCACAAAATGCAACCTATACTCAGGGGAGAGGATTACACATGGGTATGAATACCAGGGTTTGGGATCACTGGGGCCCTGTTAGAGACTGCTTACCACAGGAGGACTTGTTACTTTCCCCATTTTGCAGATGAGGCAGCTGAGGCAGTAAAGGGATGAATAACTTGACAAAGGTTATATAAATGGCAGCGGAGTTGCTGAGTTACAACATGGGTATCTGACTGCAGCAGCTGCTCTCATTACTACTATGCTGTACTGTGTCATAATTAGAACCTGGAATGGGCTGGTTTCCTGAGCTTAGAACACAAGGGGATGGGCCATATGGTGAAAGGAATGACTAGGGAAGCAGCACCTTAACCTTATCGTTGTCACTTACTATATTAGAATAAAATTAGGAAAAGCTAGCTGCTGCTTGCTTAGAGTAGGTTTTATGGGTTTCTTCCTTTGTGTTAAAATTTAAAACAGATGCAAATAGTAATAAAAAAACAATCTGGGCATGGTGGCTCATGCCTGTAATCCCAGCACTTTGGGAGGCCCGAGGCAGGCAGATCACAAGGTCAGGAGTTCGAGACCAGCCTGGCCAACATGTGAAACCCCGTCTCTACTAAAAATACAAAAAAAAAAAAAAAAAATCAGCAGTGCATGGTGACGCACACCTGTAATCCCAGCTACTTGGGAGACTGAGGCAGAATAATTACTTGAGCCCGGGAGGCAGAGGTTGCAGTGAGCCGAGATTGCGGCACTGCACTCCAGCCTGGCTGACAGAGCAAGACTCTGTCTTGGGGAAAAAAAAAAAGGGGCAAGAGGATACAGTGAAAAATGTGTCTCTTCCCCGCTGGAACTTCCCTTTCCCTTCCAGATAAGAGTATCTAGTACCAGTTTCATTTGTGTCCATTATAAACATTTTGTAATTATGTGAGAACAGCTTTTTCTTTCTTAAAATGCATACATAAGAGTAAAAAGACAACTCACGTAGTCAGAGGAGATAATTACAATATACATAGATGATGAAGAATTGTCCAGTATTTATTAAAAAACCCAACTCCTGCAAATCAGGAAGAAAACTACGGAACACTCAGCAGGAAATTGGACAAAAATATTTCACAAAAGATGAAAGCCAGATGGCCAGTAAATGTATAGAAAGGTGCTCAACTTCACTAATCATCATATTAAGACAATACTGAGATAGTACTACAACCCACCAGAATGGCTTTTTAAGATACTTATTATCATGAAGAAGTTTTCAATTGGGCTTACCATAAGCTGAGATTCAAATCTTTCATTTTCCCCTAATTTTTATATGGTTTTATTTTTAATTTTGTCTGTTTGTTTTGAGACAGAGTCTTGCTGTCGCCCAGGCTGGAGTGCAATGGTGCAATCTCGGCTCACTGTAACCTCTGCCTCTCAGGTTCAAGGGATTCTCCTGCCTCAGCCTCCCAAGTAGCTGGGATCACAGGCATGGACCACCACGCCTGACCAATTTTTGTATTTTTAGTAGAGATGGGTTTCACCTTGTTGCTCAGGCTGGTCTTGAACTCCTGGCATCAAGTGGTCAGCTTGCCTTGGCCTCCCAAAGGGCTGGGATTATAGGCATGAGCCACCGTGCCTGGCCTATATGGTTTTGTCTTACATACCTTTGAATCTTTAATCTGGAATTTATTTTGTATAAATTGTGAGATATAGATCCAATTTTATTTTTATGTCAGATGGACCCCCCCAGTTCCTGATGCCATTTGTTGAATAATTCATTCGTCTGTTGTCCCTTGATAATATACTATATTCCTACATTATTGGAATCTGTTTTCAGACTTCTGGATTTGTCTGCCCATTCATGAATTAATACTATATTGTTCTAACTTTTATAGTTGTATGATTTGCTTTAACAGATAATAGGGCTGGAGGGCTAGTTTCCCTTCCTTACTCTTTCTTGGAGTTTTCTTGGCTATAATTGTAGTGCTGATGTTATACACTGATAAATATTATAAGAAATCATGGTAAATGCAGCTAGGATGTGTTCTAACTTCAAGGCTGTATACAAGCAACTTCATTGTTTTCTTTAAAGAAAAGTAAAATAAAACCTCTGATCTATTGAGGAATGAGGAATTACTCATTCCTCCTGGGAAAATTTTCTAACAACATTTAATGTACTTTTTTCAAATATTAAAAGTGATAGAATAATTCTGCTAGGAATTATAAGAGCAGAGTTTTTAGCTTTGGCTCTATCACTTACTGGACACATGACTTTGAGCAATTGATCAAATCTTTATTTGTGTCCATTTCTTGTCTGTAAACTGGAATAGTAACATCTGCGGTGATTCTCAGGGTCATATGAGATAATAATTGTAAAGGTACTTTGTAAACTTTGCAGTGCCTTGCAAATGTAAAGCCCTATAAGGTTAGTAGCCTTTACTGCTGGTGAAATTATAGGGATTTGAATTTTATATGTGAAAATTATTACATAGTAAAATTGAGCCTGTTAACTATAGTATTTTAGAACATTGATGAAATAATGTAGAGCAAAGTAACTCCCTTATAATAATGAGTTATTCCCATGCCAGAGTTTATTGTTAGAAATGTTGC
Organism: Homo sapiens; assembly: GCF_000001405.40. Taxonomy (NCBI): domain Eukaryota; kingdom Metazoa; phylum Chordata; class Mammalia; order Primates; family Hominidae; genus Homo; species Homo sapiens. The sequence goes on from NC_000018.10 coordinate 56,690,528, forward strand.
TACTGGGCCAGGCAAGGTGGCTCATGCCTGTAATCCCAGCACTTTAGGAGGCCAGGGTGGGAGGATCACTTGAGCCCAGGAGTTCGAGACCAGCCTGGGCAACATGGTGAGACCCTGTCTCTACAAGAAATAAGAAATAAAAAAGTTAGCAGGGCATGGTGGCATGCTCTTACAGTCCCAGCTAGGCTGAGGTAGGAGAATCACTTGAGCCCAGGAGTTTGAGGTTGCAGTGAGCTCTGATTGTGCCACTGCACTTCAGCCTGGGTGGCAGAGCAAGACTTTGTCTCAAGAAAAAAAAAAAAATGCTGTTACTAGACATAGAAATAAAACAGGGCTCAAGCCTGTATATTTGAGGTTGATTCCCTATTATTTGCAATTCTTTAATGGAATACTTTCACTAGATAGAAAGTCTGAGGATAACTGTTCCTGTAGTGGGGAGCACCCTCGCTCCACTTGTCATAGCCTATTCCCTGTCCACAGGGAGGTTACCCATAACTAGGGGCCTAGTTGTGTCTTCCCTATTGAAGGTGACCTCTCCCAGGGCTTATTGACAAACTTTCTTTATCTGATGCAGCAAACTGAGTTTTCTAAATACATTTCCAGGCTTTTTTTTTAAACTTGAAATGTCACTGGATCTTACTTTTTACAACAATATGGAGTAGATTGTGAATTTCTTTCTTCCTTGCAGGTGTTCGATGCCGGAGACTATTCCTTGTTGTGTTCAGGTCCTAGTGAAAATGGACAGACATGGACCGGGGGGGACTTTGTCTCATCAGATAAAGTCATCATTTGGACAGAAAATGGGCAAAGTTATATTTACAAACTACCTGCCAGGTATGCAGCAAGTAATAAATTAGGACAGTCATCAAAAGTAAAAGATTCAGAATTTAGGGTACAACCTGACTTTAAGAAAATGTATGTATTATAAATATTTAACTTTGATAAAACACTTCAGAACTTCTTAAGTTAGATTTTTAATTCCAATTTAACTTCTAAGTGCAAAAATTAGGTGGATTTTTATTTGAAGGACAATATTTTTATAACATTATTTAATTTAATGCCTGCATTAAATTAACTATAATTTAAAAATCCCCTTTTTGTCCAATACCAACAAACCTTGTCATATGGAATTATAAAGTATTTAATGTCAGTATTTTAATTGAATATTGTATTTTTCCCATATTCAGTTGCCTTCCAGCTAGTGATTCATTCCGCAGTGATGTGGGGAAGGCAGTTGAAAATTTAATTCCTCCTGTACAACATATCCTCTTGGATCGAAAAGATAAAGAGGTAAAATTCTTGAGGTGTCATTTATAATTGAAAGTTACATTGAAAAACTTCTACAACTGTATTTATTGTCTTGTGATAGGTTTAAAAAATTTGATACAATTCAAAGCACTGTGTTAAATGTAAAACATTTTGAGATGGTCAGTTATAAGGACATTTCAAAATCTGCTTGTTTAAAAACATATAATATGCCTATGAAATAACATTCGTTTTTCTAAGAGTACAAGTGATCTTATGCTAATTGCGTATTGAAATTGACTTTTTGATGAAGTTCATATTGATGGTGTAAATTATTTTACATACTATCATGCAATTATAAACATAGTGACAGATATATTTTTAGAAGAGCACACATAGTTATGTAATAATGCTGAGTAATAATAGTTCCTTTGTTGAACAAGGCATTGCAATACCTCCACAAAATCATGTAGCATTTTAAATCATTAGAAACTAGAAATAAAGAATAAAACATTTTTTCTCTATAAAAATAAAAGTTTATTGTGATTTCTGAAAACGTGCTTAATATCCACTTAATGTTGAAGTACAACAGCACTTAGTACTGGGTTTTCAACTCTATATTGAGCAGTAAGAAAGAAGCTTTGGCTTTGAAAGCAGAGTTTTTTTTGTTTTTTTTTTTTTTAATTGATGTTCTAGGTTTCCATGGCTTTATCATTCTGAACATTACGTCTCACGTTTATGTGGCCGGGTGGCTAGGGGAAGGGAATTGTTCTTTCCATGAATATTTTGAATATATAGAATTTGTATATCTATGTACAATTAAGATCATCTTTAGCCTGTCTGTTCTTTATTCAAACTTCCACTTACTGCTCTTCAACCTAGATAGTCATGTCCAATTAACCTAAGGAATAATGACTTGTATAAAAAATATACATAAGCAAAACCAAAAAAAAAATCATTTTCTTTAAATATCAGCTCCCTAATACGTTTTAAATTAAAAATGTGTATTTTGTGGTGTGTTGAAATGTAGAATATTGGTTATTACAGCTGCTGTAGCAATTTTTCCTTGTTAAATATATAGTTTATCAATTAAAAATTTTAGTCTGGGCGACATAGTGAGACCCCATCTCTACAAAAAAAAAAATTAGCATGGTGTGGTGGTACACGCCTGTAGTCCCAGCTACTTGGGAGGCTGAAGTGGGAAGATCCTTTGAGCTGGGAGGTGGAGGCTGCAGTGAGCTGTGATCGTGCCACTGCACTCCAGCCTGGGCAACATGGCGAGACCCTGTCTCAAAAGCAAAAAAAATTCAGTAAGTAAAGTCAAACGATTGGTTATGCTTAATATGTGTAGTTTCCATTGGCTAATGCTTTTAGCTGTTAATTACTGTATTTGATTAACCAGTATTTGAATACAGTAATTAGACTATTAACTATAATTGTCAAAACTGAAGTCAAATTTAATATTGCTTTTCAGGCTAAGATTCTGTTCTTTAATATTCCAGTATTTGTGAAGTAATCCTCCGAATTTTAGTAGAAGTCCACCACACTATTTAGTATTTTCAGATAGTACTTCATTGAAGGCACAAAATCTTGAGCTGAAAATGAAAGTACACATAAGATCCTAATGAATGGTTTTTGTTCCTGGTAGCTGGTAGCTAACAGAGGCTAGGTTCAAATTGATTATGAAAATATGAGCAAGTAAAACATGATATGCTATTAGTTGAAAAATATACTAATTTTAACAATGGGGTCCTCTAGTTGCACAAGCTTGATAGTTCAATTTTGTTGGTTTTTTTTTTTGTTTTTTTTTTTTTTTTGAGATGGAGTCGCCCTTTGACTCCCAGGCTGGAGTGCAGTGGTGTGATCTCGGCTCACTGCAACCTTTGCTTCCTGGGTTCAAGCGATTCTCCTGCCTCAGCCTCCCGAGTAGCTGGGATTACAGGCACGCACCACCACACCTGGCTAATTTTTGTATTTTTATTAGAGACAGGGTTTCACCATGTTGGCCAGGCTGGTCTTGAACTTTTGGCCTCAAGTGATCTGCCCGCTGCAGCCTCCCAAAGTGCTGGCATTACAGGCATGAGCCACTGTGGCCAGCCTACTTTTTGTTTTTTTGAGGCAAGGTCTTGCTGTGTCATCCAGGCTGGAGTGCAGTAGCGAAATGATAGTTCACTGTAGCTTCAAACTCCTGGACTCAAGTGATGCTCCCACCACAGCCTCCTGAATACCTGGAGCTATGAGCCTGTGCCACCATGCTGGGCTAAGTTTTTTTTTTTTTCCTGTAGAGACAGGATTTCGCTTAGTTGTCCAGGGCCGGTCTCTGACTCCTGGCCTCAAGCGATCTTCCGTGTCATTGTTGGGATTACAAGCATGAGCCACTGTTCCCTAATTTTGTTGCTATTCTTAATGATTAATCAGGAGTGGGCAAAAAAAGCAGGAATAGTGAGTTCTCTCATCTTGACCTTTTAAGTGAAGACTTTTCTTTTTGATAAAGCTTAGCTATGTGTTAATTATTTAATAATAGGCAGTTAAATTGCATTATTGTGGCTACACATGAGTTATTATAAAGTGGTGAAAAGTAGCATAAATGCTAACTTTAGAGAAAGGCTGTAAATACAGTTTTTGTTTCATTCAATGTGTGTGTTATACTAGATTAGAATATTAGTTGACATGTATGTTAGTGCTATAGAATTACATTAAAATATTGTTGAATAATCATGCTATAAACACTTTTTCAACTTGGCTACTGGGACAAATTACCTAATATCTTTGTTTGAAAAGCATTAATGTGTGAAATATTTTGATTAAAAATACAGCTAAAGATATTCAAATACTTTTTTTGGCAGTTGCTAATTTGTCCTCCTGTTACTCGGTTCTTCTATGGATGCAGAGAATATTTCCATAAACTGTTAATTCAGGGTGATTCTTCTGGAAGGTTGAATATTTGGAACATATCAGACACAGCTGATAAACAGGGAAGTGAAGAAGGTAATAGTAAATCATGTGTAACAATTTCTTAATTAATTTAATATCTTAAATACCAACTACTGAATAACATTCATAATGTACATATATCATTTTCTTTGATTACTGGATCAATCAACATTATTTTAATGTTTTAAATTTTTTTTAACATGCACAAATGTTTTTCTTTTATACAAAACCAAACCTCTACAGGGCTGGCAATGACAACTTCTATTAGTTTGCAAGAGGCATTTGATAAACTGAATCCTTGTCCTGCTGGAATTATAGATCAGCTGAGTGTGATTCCCAATAGTAATGAACCTCTTAAAGTAACTGCAAGTGTGTACATACCAGCACATGGACGACTTGTTTGTGGTCGTGAAGATGGAAGCATAGTTATTGTACCTGCCACACAGACGGCCATAGTACAGCTGTTGCAAGGGGAACACATGCTCAGAAGAGGTATACTGAAGAGCTCCGTATGTCTAAAGTGTTTTGACAACTCTTACCCAGAGAGTGAAAATGTCTCTGTTTTTTGTTTTTAAATAAATACAGTGAATCAGTGTAGTTAGTTGTTGGGGTGCTATGTAGTTGGTAGAGTTTAATGCACAGATAAAATATTCAGTGCCTGTTATTAGAATTAATACAATGTAATGACTGTAAATAAAGAAGTATCCAATTTTATCTCTTTGAGATATGTTAATAGTTTCATCTCTTAGTTATCTCTATGGATTACTAAATAATTACTGTATTACCAGTAATTCTGAAAATCCTCCAGAACAGTACCATCCAATAGAAATCTTTTTTTTTTTTTTTTCCGAGAAAGAGTCTCACTGTGTTGCTCAGACTAGAGTGCAGTGGCATGATCTCGGCTCACTACAATCTCTGCCTCCTGAGTTCAAGCAGTTCTCCTGCACAGCCCCCCAAGTAGCTGGGATTATAGGCATGTGCCACCACACCCAGCTAATTTTTGTATTTTTTGTAGGGACAGTTTCACCATGTTGGCCAGGCTGGTCTCGAACTCCTGACCTCAAGTGATCTGCCTGCCTCGGCCTCTCAACAGCCAGTGGAAATCGAATGTCAACCATATATATATAACCATACCTGTAATTTCCTAATAGCTGTGTTAAAAAATAAAATGAAACAGTTGAAATTGACTATATTTTATATAACCCAATATAGCAAAAACTATTTTCATTTCAACTTCTAATCAATATGAAGATTGTTGATGAAATATTTTAGGTTTTTTGTATCAACTCTTCAAAATCTCATGACTAGTTTAAATTCACAGCACATAGGAATCTGGATTACCCCCATTTCAAGTGCTCAGTAGTCTCATGTGGCTAGTAGATACTGAATTAGGCAGAGTTGTGTTAGAAGATAAAATTGGAAGCCTTTGCTGTGATATAATTTGTAGCTATTCTAAACATTCATGTTTACTTTTACTTACTGAAACTTGGTAAACCTTTAATTTTCCCATTTTAAATCCAAACCCTCATTCACAGGTTGGCCACCTCACAGAACACTCCGTGGTCATCGGAACAAAGTCACATGTTTGCTATATCCTCATCAGGTCTCAGCTCGGTATGATCAAAGATACCTGATATCTGGAGGTGTGGATTTTTCAGTCATAATTTGGGACATATTTTCTGGAGAAATGAAACATATCTTCTGTGTTCATGGTGGTGAGATTACTCAACTTCTAGTTCCACCTGAAAACTGTAGTGTAAGTTGATTTATATAAAAGATTATTTCACTATGGTAGAGCCAAGTTATATTACTATCAGGAATGTAAATGGAATCTAGACTAACTTAAAGGAAGTGTGACAAGATAATTAAGAAAACCCTTTCAATTTTAAAACTAAAATAATAGTAACATTTAGGCAAAGTTACGGCCACTAACTATTGGGGCACATAGAAACAGAAGAGAGACATAGTGTTTTTTTACTAGCTTCAAAATGGTCTGGCTTCTTTCTGAAACATAGCAGCAGTTGAGAAAATGTTTATTGAATGATGTTTCAATTTTACATTTTAAAATAATTTAAGTATGCCTGAAGACATTGTACAATCTCATTATTTTTGGGTCCATCTGAGCAAAGACAATGAATATATATGTTGGTAAAGGCAAAATACTTATCGATAGAGTTCACTTAAATAAAAAATTGTTGTTAACAAGGGAGACAAAGCCTAACAGTCACTGATGATGATTTTGGAAAATTTCATACATACCTTTGTGGAACCAGATTGCTTTCTGATGCATTTTAAGTTAGGCTGTGATGTCTTATAAATAGAAATATGAGATTTTAGGAGGGCTTAGGACTGATAACAGTACTTTTTTTTATTGTTTATTAATCATGGGACTTATTCATGTGATTAGTCATCTTTGTGTGCATAATCACTGTCTCCCAACACTCACTCATTTGTTTGCACATATAGAGACATCGTCTTCTTGTAGACAAGTCATGCTTATCATAATTCATTCACCGTCACCAGCTCTGGTATTACTGAAATTGAAAACAGTCTTACTGGTGTATCTGCTGCAGTATCTACAAGATATCTCATTTCAAAATCTACAAAATTTTTCTTGGCCCTTCTGCTTACTTGCTTAATCTTCCTGATAATTTATTTTATCAACCATGTTCTGCCAGTGCTAGATTTTGTTTGATTTGATATTGGTGGCTTTGTAAGAAATCCTAGTACCAATGTTTCTCATTATTTTTCCTGGCAGATTTGCAAATTTACCTCCTTAATTGTTCTCTTCCTTCTTTTTTATTCCTTTCTTCCAATTAGGTTGTTAATTTCTTATTCACTGTGAAAAACTGCTATGTATTTAACCAATTTTATGTCATATTTTGGTGAAATAGATATTATTGTAATTACATTAATAAATTAAGGTATTGTTACAACCCCTCTCCTAAACTTCATTTTATAGTAGTTATGTCCTATGGTGAAACATGACAATTTTCTTTTCTGAATGCACATTTGGTGAAATATCTAATTTTTCAATGCAAAAATTGATTATTTAGATAATTCTATACTAGTTTAGAACAACCATTTCTGTTTTGATTGATTTTGTGTGTGTGTGAGAGAATAAAATATTTAAAATAATAGAATATTAGATAGAATAAGATATAGTTTTTCTTTAAATTACAAATGTGATTAAAAGTTTGGAATGGGCCAGGTGCGATGGCTCAAGCCTGTAATCCCAGCACTTTGGGAGGCTGAGGCAGGCGTATCACCTGAAGTTGGGAGTTCGAGAACAGCCTGATCAACATGGAGAAACCCCTTCTCTACTAAAATTACAAAAAATTTGCCAGGTGTGATGGTGCATGCCTGTAATCCCAGCTCCTTAGGAGGCTGAGGCAGGAGAATTGCTTGAACCTGGGAGGCAGGGGTTGCAGTGAGCTGAGATCGTACCCTTGCACTCCAACCTGGGCAACAGGAGCGAAACGCTGTTTAAAAAAAAAAAAGTTTGGAATGGCTTACACAAGGTCATGCTCTCTATTTGAATATGTTAATTATACATTTTTTTAGCTTATATATTCCCTTGTGTTTTTTAAACAAATTTCTTTTAAAAAATTTCAAGTGGGCAGGGCATGGTGGCTCATGCCTGTAATCCCAGCACTTTGGGAGGCTGAGAGGGGCGGATCACGAGGTCAGGAGATCAAGACCATCCTGGCTGACACGGTGAAACCCCGTCTCTACTAAAACTACAAAAAATTAGCTGGGCATGGTGGCAGGCGCCTGTAGTCCCAGCTACTTGGGAGGCTGAGGCAGGAGAATGGCGTGAACCCAGGAGGTGGAGCTTGCAGTGAGCTGAGATTGCACCACTGCACTCCAGCCTGGGTGACAGAGCAAGACTCTGTCTCAAAAAAAAAAAAAAAAATTCAGATTGGTATTTAAAATAATAAAATGTTTTTGACTATTTGTATTTAAAAATAAAATGTAGTGAATAAAATACTAATAGACATATATGCAACTAAACGGAGAATGGGCTCGCTACTAAACTTGGACAAGCCAAAAGCGGTAGTTGGCCTGGAGAATATGAGGAAAAATGATCTAGACAGGGAAGTCTAGTACTTGAAAAATAATGTATTTGCAATTTGTAATTTAGTTATTACATGCTTAACAATAGAAATTTTCTTGGGTGGGAGGACGGAGAGGATTGGGAAAAACAACTAATGGGTACTGGGCTTAATACTTGGGTGATGCAATAATCTGTACAACAAACCCCCATGACACAAATTTACCTGTATAACAAACCTGTGCATGTACCCCTGAACTTAAAATGAAAGTTAAATTTTAAAAAATTGAAATTATAAAAAGGAAAAAAAAGAAATTTTAAAATTCTTATTCAAAAGTCCTGATAAAGACAAAGATACTTGATTTTAGCTGTGGGGTAATTTAGCAAATAAATAATGACTGCCTAGTTAATAACCTGTTCAGTTAGCTGGTTAGGTGGTTTTATGCACATCAGCAAGTATGTTTAAAGATCAAAGAGCCTAATTGCTTAATAAAAAGCAGAGTTTGATGTTTGCTAAATGTTTAGAAAATGTGTGGCTGAGATTAGAGTTTGCTACATCATATACTGATTCTAATGCTTGAATAGTCCCTCTCATAAATTGACCCAGTGTCCTGTTCTTTTTAGCAGAATATATTTTTATTTTTGTTTAAACGTTTTGATTGGGCAATAGTAGTTGAGATAGTTGATCAGCTAATTGTAGTTGAAAGATTATAAATATTTACCAAAAGTAATGATTAGAGATAAATGCTGAAGAGTTTGTCATCTGTTTTGTTTATTAGAATAGTTTTGGGTTTTAGGTGAATTCAGGTGGAAGTTGAGTTTGGACTTCTTGTAATTATTTGTTCAGGAAAGATATTCTAAAACAGAGAAATGTCAGTTGTGTGTAAAAATTACTTTAACTGTGAATAAGAATGTACAAAGCTGATGATTTCTCCTCTCTTTATAGTCACACTTCACGTTTCCTAAAACGTACAAAGTTGTTAAGAAAAAGTACTCAGCTAAATAATTCATTATTTGTCTCCTAACTTAGGTAGATAGTAAACAAAAAGTGAAAAACTGTCTGCTAGGTAGAACAGATGCTGCAGCTGGAAGTTGGAGATGAGCTCTGAAGACAGACTCCAGACCCCCTTTTCAAACTCCACATACATGTCAGTAGGTATTTATCATCCTTTCTTTCCCCACTCCTTCATTTTTGAGCTGTTTTTAATATCTTTTTATCTAAAAGTCTTTCCAAATTCCTACTAGAGATTAGCATTAATTTAGTGGCAGACTTAAGTGGTTTTGTATGCTTTATTTTTAATGAACTATTTTTCTATTCTTTTGTTAGTGGGACTTTTAATTACTTAAAAAATTTTGCATATTCAAAGATGACAAATATTGCCTAAATATAGTATTATGTAGAGTACTTAAATTGAATATATTTTTCCTTTTATTTTGTGTTAAAGGATTTTGGTTTTTCATTTTTTAAAGATACTGTTTATTTTTCATTTTCTTTTTTTTTTTTTTTTTTTTTTTGAGATGGAGTCTTACGCTGTTGCCAGGCTGGAGTGCAGTGGCATGATCTCGGCTCACTGCAACCTCCACCTCCCGGGTTCAAGTGATTCTCCTGCCTCAGTCACCCATGTAGCTGGGAATAAAGGCATGTGCCACCTTGCCCAGCTAATTTTTGTATTTTTAGTAGAGACAGGGTTTCACCATGTTGGCCAGGATGGTCTCGATCTCTCGACCTCGTGATCCACCCACCTCGGCCTCTCAAAGTGCTGGGATTACAGGTGTGAGCCACTGCGCCTGGCCAATATTGTTTCTTTTTTTTTTTTTTTTTTTTTTGAGACGGAGTCTCGCTCTGTCGCCCAGGCTGGAGTGCAGTGGCGCGATCTCGGCTCACTGCAAGCTCCGCCTCCCGGGTTCACGCCATTCTCCTGCCTCAGCCTCCCGAGTAGCTGGGACTACAGGCGCCCGCTACCACGCCCGGCTAATTTTTTGTATTTTTAGTAGAGACGGGGTTTCACCGTGTTAGCCAGGATGGTCTCGATCTCCTGACCTCGTGATCCGCCCGCCTCGGCCTCCCAAAGTGCTGGGATTACAGGCCCAATATTGTTTCTTAAAAAAGCAAAAGTTCATTTAGGAAAAGATCTTTGAAATTCAGTATTGATTCGTTGAATAGTCTGGTTAACTGATATTTAGCTTTTACCTGATACGGATTATTTTAAAGAATTAAAATGTAAGAAAATTAAAAAATCTGAAGGTACCCTTTAAGATATAAAATTTTGAAATAATTCAGGATTGTGTAGTTCTGAAGGGTTATTGAGAACAGTTGAGGAAGTAATGTGTTTAAATGTTCCAAGAAATATAAGCTTACATTTTAGAAGGAGGATAAGGTAAGTATTTAAGCCTGGTACAGGCAGACTATAAATCACAAATGTTTTGGTGATGATGGCAAGGGCGTATTATAGGTACCCAGAGAAACAAGGAGCTTTGGTAAACTACTTGAAAAGACCTGAGAGGTTTGACTAACTACATATTGACTTCTTGAGAGGTGTTGGAATCTGTGGTTTTGAGGTTTCTAATATTAGGTTATTTGCCATTTCTGTTTTTTTAAGAGTATATAAAGGTTCAGTTTCTTGATAAAACAAACTACTATATATCATTTGCTTGAAATAAAGCTGTTCACAGTATAAAAATTATATGACAGATATAAAGTCCTATACCATTTTTATCATTCCAAGTTATGTTTATTATTTTTAAATGAGTGGTTTTCTCATGATTTATTGCTATTCAGATGTGACAGTTCTTATGAATTTTAATAGGATTCAAATTTAAACTCGAGCTTTTTATGTTGTTATTAAATTATATTGCCACTTCAAATATTAGATATAGGAGATGTATTAGAAACTTTTTTTTAAAAACAGCTAAAATTTAAACTGGGCTATTAACTTTTCATCTGTACTTGGACTGTTTACTATGGTACCTTAAAATATTTCATAAATAGGTAGTGATGCACATAGTATAAAATGCAAAAGGTATAAATATTACTAAGGAAGTGCAAGTCTCCCTTTCTCTCCTGTTCTCCAGCTTTTTGGTTCCCTTAACCTTGAGTGCAATGTCTTATTAATCCTTCAGATATTTTCAATTTTACAGTGTTTTAATGCTTCAGAACTATAGAATATTAGCTTAATTTTATTCTGACAACTACAAAATTTACACAACACAGCGTGGTTAGAGAGAGAATGATTTTCAGATTGGAGTAGTTGTGAGAGGTAGACTTGGGTGAATTAGCAAAATCTGAACTCTGGGATAGGGGAGGCCAAGAGTGTACCAGTTGCCTGGGGAATCTGAAGAGAGCTGGTGAAAGGGAAGGCAGATATTTTTAATGCCTTTGGAGTGCTGCGGCAGGAAACTTCCTCCAACGCTCCATCATTAGAATTATGTAGTTACAGATGAGATGATCTGACATCGTCCCTTCCACCTCCCTCCCAGTTTATTTTACCTTTCCCTGTTGCTTATCGTTCTCCTTTTATTATAGATTTTAGCTTTAAAGAGTCTATTGTCCAAGATCCAGGCACTTTTTCTTGTATTTCCACATAGGTTACTCTTAGAGAAAGAAACTAGGTTTTGGAAAAAATACTGAGGGAATAAAATTATTTTAATATATCAAGAGTACGTTATAAAACATTTTCCTTAACAAACCAGATAGATATGATTGACAGCAGTGAAAATTCATGAATTAAAAAATAACACTAATCACCCAGTATAATATTGCCAACTTATTGAATTGTGGTGATATTTTACATGAAACTATCCATATTTTCTTAGTTGATTTTCAATTGTGGTAGGTAGCTGGATTTAGAAGTACAGTTTGTGGTATGAAACCTTTGTGTGTGTAATACAGTGTGATACCATTTATTTACATTTTAAAAACACAAATCCATACTGCATATTTTTGGATACATGTATAGGTAGTAAAAATATTAAAACCGAAGGGAAAGCTAGTGCCAAATTCAGACCCTGGTTTACTTTTGAGAGTGAGAGGAAGGAGTAGGGAAACTTATTAAAGTGTCATGTTTTATTTACTTTTAGTATTATAGCTATTTAATATTTACTATTTATTTTCCTCATTTACATTGACGATTAAATTCTCAGAGCTGTCTTTCTGTTGTTAGAATTATTCAGAACAGAAGTTTTCGAAAATGCCGAAAAATAAACTGTTTAGTACCAGTGATATGTTTCTACATGTAAGCATATAGGCTAAGTTCTTTAATATATTAGTTAAAGAATGAATACTTTTTGTTTAATTTATCATATTAAACTTTTGGTCACGTAATCTCCAAAAATACCCAGAAGGGGGCAGCATGGATTTGTGAAAACAGGAATGTGCGTCATCTAACCTGAACACTAGTGTTTGTGCCTTCAATTGACAGTATTAAAACCAGTATTAGATTCCCGGCTCCTAGAAACAGGTATGCTAATATGAATGGAACACGTGACTGTGTGTATACCAGTGTGGCTAATGTTCACAGCCAGTAAGGGCAATTGACAAATTAGATATTCTTTTTAATATATCATACTATTATTCTGACAAAGTACTGAAAGCTTTTGCCTGAATTTGCTCTTATCTCCCATTTTTGATTCTAGATTTTTGTTATTAATTTAATTTGAATATTGCATTTAAAAAGCAATGTCTATACCTATAGCTTAATATCTGAAGTCAAGCAGAGCAAACTTTGTGAATACAAACTAAGCAAAAACAGGAAGCAGAACTAACATTATTTTCTTAAAATACAATGTACATAATGTTCTGTGTCATCCTTTTTCCTTTAACACTTAATTCTCTTTGATTTTGAGAACATTTTCATATATTTTTATGTATTTGGCACCATCTTTTTGATATTAATTTTATTTTTAAAAATTAAATAATACATAGTTATAGAAAATAGAGATATTTTCTAAAGACATCATATTTGTCACTAAGAATATTCCTACAACATCATTTTAAATGATACTCTGTAATTCATTTTTATTGGACATTTTAGAATGTTGCTTTAAAGTTTTTTTTTTTGCCTGTTATCAACGGTGGGAATGATAATTAGTACAGCTAAATATTTTTGTAGCTCTAGAATGGTTTCTTAGGATAAGTTCTTATACTTGGAGTTGCTATAAAAAAGGGCATATTAATTTTTAAAGGCTTTTGAACAGGTATTGTCAAATTGCTCTTCAAACAATGAGGAATAGGTTTGTACAGTCACCATTTTACTACCGTAATCCTTCATCATCCTGTTTATAATCTTTTAAGCCTTGCTAATTTTCTAGTCTTGAAAGCAGCTGTATGTAGAGCATATGTAACTATAGCTCTCACGTTCATTTTAAAGCACAAATGTATTAATATTACCAATACTATATTAGTTGTACATTCTGGTTGGTTTTATATTCTTGATAATTTTATGTTTTCCAAATTTGTACTACTATTCTATACTATTGTTTAAAGATAAAAAGTTGAGGCTGAGCATGGTGGCTTACACCTGTAATTTCAACAATTTGAGAGGTCAAGCTGGGAGGATCACTTGATGCCAGGAGTTCAAGACCAGCCTGGGCAACATAGTGAAACCCTGTCTCTATCAAAAAAGAAAAAAAAAAAGCTGGGTTTGGTGACATGGGCATATAGTTCTAGCTACTTGGGAGGCTGAGGTGAGAGGATTGCTTGAGCCCTGGAGTTCAAGGCTGCAGTGAGGCATGATTGCGCCATTACACTCCAGCCTAGGTGACAGAGTGAGACCCTGTCATGCTATGAATATTATGTATACATTCAAATATTAGGTTGTGCAAGTAATTTTTGTTATTTTAATGGCAAAACTGCAATTTAATGTCTTACACCTGTCTCTTGTGTAGGAGGCCAGAAAACTCAGTGCTAAGGGACTGGCAGTGAGAGGCCCCTTTAACAGTAATGAGAAAGACTGCATCCTTAGCTGACTGTGCTGATATCATGCCAAACATTTTAAAAAATTAGAAATTCTTACATTTTGGAAAGATTCCTTAAAATCTTAAATCATATTGCTGATTAGGCATGAAATTTACTTTTAATAATGGTCAGAAGTGATTTCATGCTAAACCTAGTGAATGAAGTAGCTGATTAAATTGACTTTTTATTTTGGACTGGAGAGAAAGTATTACACAACAACTAATTTTTCTTGAGTAACACAATCATAGGACAATTTCAAAATGAGTTTACATTTCATTTTTTTAATTTAATTTTTGTTTTTTAGAGATGAAGTCTTGCTATGTTGCCCAGGCTGGCATTGAACTCCTGGCCTCAAGTGATCCTCCTATCTTGGCGTCTTAAAGTGCTAGGATTACAGGTGTGAGCCACCATGCACTGCTCTCTATATTTTTAAATGGCAAAAATTGCTAGGAAGAAATGAATTACCTTTTAAGTGTAGTATTCAGTTTGGTGCAACATATTTTTGATTAGACATTCATTGGGCAAATATCTGACTATCTGCCATATTTCAGGCACTTTCTAGAACCAGAGATAGGGATAAGATATCTTTTTTTTTTTTGTAATATTTAGTCTAATGAGGGAGCCAGACCAGCAAACAGCAGTTATAAAGGAGTATGATAAATCTTATGGAAAGGGGTTTTTCAAAGCCCTCAGGGAGTACATAGGGCACTTAGGAAGTCTACTTTGGGTGATTTTGGAAGACTTTAAGGAAGGTCAATATATATGATATTTGAATATATTAGTTTTGTGGATATTTATAAAATCATAAATGATACATTAACAACCTCTGTTTGCAGATGCTCTTAGCATTATGCATGTTATGTGGAGGTGTCTGGAACAATTGATGTTTTCCTGACTAGTACCTGATGGATCTGTCTACAATAGATAGTACTTGATAATACTTGGATTTAGGCGGATCCTGGCAGGAATTGGACATACATACATTACTTTGAAAATAATGACTGGCCTGGCACGATGGCTCACGCCTGTAATCCCAGCATTTTGGCAGGCTGAGGCTGGCAGATCACAAGGTCAAGAGATCGAGACCATCCTGGCCAACATGGTGAAACCCCATCTCTATTAAATACAAAAAAAATTAGCTGGGTGTGGTGGCGCGTGCCTATAGTCCCAGCTACTCGGGAGGCTGAGGCAGGAAAGTCCCTTGAACCTGGGAGGTGGAGGTTGCAGTGAGCTGAGATTGCGCCACTGTACTCCAGCCTGGGCGACAGAGGGAGATGCCGTCTCAAAAACCACAACAAAAAGAAAATAATGACCAACAGATCAGAGTGATGGTTTTGTATGTGCTGCAGTCTAGCTGCAATAGGATACTTTATTTCAGCCTACTTAGGTAGGGAAGAAAAAAGTAAAGATAATAAAATATGGGACTGTACTGAGAGGGAAAATGTTCATGTTATTTGTCTAAAGAAAGATTTGACAAGCTGGTAAAATGAAATGAAAATGGATGATAACATCTTAGAAAAAAAGAACAAACAACAAAGTTGACTTTTGTATGATGATTCTCTTTTTGGAGTCATTATCAATGATTTTTCTTAGTCATTGGTGAAGACTTTCTAAAGGAGTTGGAGAGCACACTCTGCTGTAGGCATATGGAGCTTGAAATAATGGAACCGTCAATTGGTCAGTGAGAACAGCCTTTAGAACCAAACAGACCTGGATTTGTGTCACCCATCTTGGAGTGGCATTAGCAGGTTACTTAACATCTCTAGGCCCTAGCCACAATTTCTGTGAAGTGTTGGTTTAAGGTTTAGAAGTAACGCTTGGCCTGTAATGAGAGCTCATTGAATCATCATTATTGTTGCTATTATTTCTATTTTCAGTTATCTACATTGTCATTTGGATGATAAATGCCTAAATCTGGGCAGTTTGTACGTTCATTTTCAGTACTCAAATGACTTTTTAGAAAAATTTTATTTTTATTTTTATTTTTTTTTTGAGATGGAGTCTCGCTCTGTCACCCAGGCTGGAGTGCAGTGGTGCCATCTTGGCTCACTGCAACCTCTGCCTCCCAGGTTCAAGTGATTCTCCTGACTCAGCCTCCCGAGTAGCTGGGACTACTGGTGAATTCCACCACACCCAGCTAATTTTTGTATTTTTAGTAGAGACGGGGTTTCACCATGTTGGCCAGGATGGCATCAATCTCTTGACCTTGGCCTGTCTCAGTCTCCCAGATTGCTGGGATTACAGACATGAGCCACTGTGCCCCGCCAAATTTTTATTTTTTTTTTTGAGAGAGAGTCTCACTCTGCCACCCAGGCTGGAGTGCAGTGGTGTGATCTCAGTTCACTGCAACCTCCATCTCCTGGTTCAAGCGATTCTCTTGCCTCAGCCTCCCCAGTAGCTGGGATTACAGGCGCGCACCACCACACCCAGCTAATTTTTTTATGTTTTTAGTAGAGATGAGGTTTTACCATGTTGGCCAGGATGGTCTCAAACTCCTGACATCAAATGATCCACCTGCCTTGGCCTCCCAAAATGTTGGGATTACAGGCATGAGCTACCATGCCCAGCCTCAACTGACTTTACTGTAGATATACTTTGTTCCTCTGTTAGGTACTTTTCATTTGCTTGTTTCCCAACTATGGCCAGGTGGTTTTAAAACCCGTACAAATTAGGGATGACTTCTCTTCCTCTGACAGTCTAACTTTGCGTTTTGTTTTTTTTTTTTTTTGGCATGAGATAGAAGTTTCAAGATAATTAAGAACCAACAACTGGATAACAGGTTTTTACTCTCCTCTAATTCCTTGGAAATTATAGTCCTAAGTACCATTCTTTCCTGCTCATTGCCTGAAAATTGGGGTTTTCAACTGTCTGAGAAGCCCAAACTGGGTCATGTTTTTCTGGACATTTGTGGGTAGATTACAGTGGGGTATTACACATGCAAAGCGTTTGTCAACATGACCCCAGATGATCAAGGGGGAGGTTTGACCCCATTTATTGCTCTTCTTAGGACATAAATTATGGGCTAGGCACAGCATTCTTGCCAGCCCATAGTGTTTTGTGGACACTGAAGGTTAGGTTTCTCTGCGTTTTTTTGATACAGGCTTAAAGAGCAAGCCAGCATCCTTTCAAAACAAAGAGGTGCTTTTAGCATATTGTGTTCTGTTAATTTACTGCCAGGAAAGAGATATACAGGTTTGTTCTGCATCTCCAGTTAGAAAAATGAGGACAGTATCTGTCAACCCGTTTGTTTCCATAAGAAAGGAAAGAGAAAGTTTTCTGTGGCTGTATCAGAGGTGTGTGAATTCAGTGTTTATTCCTTTTTTTTTTTTTTTTTTTCTGAGACAGAGTCTTGCTCTGTCATCCAGGCTGGAATACAGTGGCGCTATCTCTTCTCACTGCAACCTCCGCCTCCCAGGTTCAAGCGATTCTTGTGCCTCAGCCTCCTGAGTAGCTGGGATTACAAGGGCTCGCCAACACACTCAGTAAATTTTTGTATTTTTAGTAGAGATGGGGATTCACCATGTTGGCCAGGCTGGTCTCAAACTCCTGACCTCTAGTGATCTGCCCACATCGGCCTCCCAAAGTGCTGGGATTATGGGTATGAGCCATCATGCCTGGCCCAGTGTTTATTTCTTGTAATGATATAGGTATGATTTGCAGAAACAGGTAAGGCCAAGCAGACAGATTAAAAATCGCTTGGTCAGATGTGTGGTTGCCATTTAAGTTCTAAGTTGAGGAGTGAGAAAGTAGAAGGGCAGGACCAACAGAAAGCTTTTGGGAGTTGTAATACCAGGCAGTCTTTTTTCAGAAGGTCTAACTCCCTGAATGTGTGCAGCCCAAGGTTTGTGGGCATGGACAGATGACAGCGGACAGCTGAATGGTGTGTGGAGAGTGGAAAGGGGCAACACTTTGAGTTCCTTAACAAACTTTAGAATATAAGGTCAGGCGCGGTGGCTGACGCCTGTGATCCCAGCACTTTGGGAGGCCAAGACAGGTGGATCACCTGAGGTCAGGAGTTTGAGACCAGACTGGCCAGCATGGTGAAACCCCGTGTTTACTAAAAATACAAAAAAATTATCCAGGCATGGTGGCATGTGCCTGTAATCCCAGCTACTTGAGAGACTGAGGTAGGAGAATCACTTGAACCTGGGAGGCAGAGGTTGCAGTGAGCCGAGATCGTGCCACTGTACTCCAGCCTGTGCAACAGAACGAGACTCTGTCTCAAACAACAACAACAACAGCAACAACAACAAAACTTTATAATTTTAGAGCTTGCAGATTTAACCATCTCAGTCTCTAAAACCCATAAATATATAAGTGAAATTAAAGAAAGCATTTTAATATTTTAAAGGCATGAAGTGAAAAATAAAGTAAGTTCAGTAGAAAAACATAAGAAATATTCAGAGAACAGTGGAAGCTGGCCATTGAGGAGTTGTATTTTATTTATTTATAAATTGTTATAAAGCTTTATTAATGTAATTTATGGTAGCATGTGAGTGATACTGATGATTATGCAGATGAAACTATTCAGATTAAATTAAAGCAGAGGTATTAATATGAGAAGAAAGTATTGAAAAAGGGAAACTTATGTTCTTGAAGAATTATGAATGTTTTCACATTTTCTGGTAGATACCTAAACTTCAGCAACACTTAACCCCTTCAGAAAATAAATACAATTACATTCTAAAAGATAGAATCTATGGTATATAATTACATAATAATAATAATGATGGAGATAATATTATCATCTTTTGTATTCATGACATGTTAGTCACTGCATGAATTTATATTTCGTGTTATTCACACAGCAATTCTGTTAGGTATGTTACTGCTGTTAACCACATCACATAGAGAAAAGAGACTCAGAGAGGTTAAATGACTCATCCAAGTCAGACAGTTAGCAAATGGCAGAGCTCGAATTTGATCCTGAGTAGTCTGACTTCACAGGCTGAACTGATAAATGCTGCCCTCTAGCAGATTTAGTAGTCTATTTCAAAGTAAGTAGTTTTCTCCAATTTTTGTCATTTTTCATTATTGATTTGCATAATTTATCTTTTAGTTTTTCATCTTTGATTATTCAAGTTTGGAGTTTTTCAGTTTTAGTCCCCTTTTATTTTCTTTTACTTGTAATATGTTACTTGCTCTTTAAAAATGTGGTATAGTTTTCATTCCACCTTGATTAATGTATACCCACTGTTAACATTTTTGAAAGTAGAGATAACTAAGAAGGTAAAAGGTCACCTGTTATTCTTCTACAATTAAGAGAACCACAATTTATATATATATATAGTTGTTTTTTTTTTTTTTTGTGATGGAGTCTCGCTCTGTCACCCAGGCTGGAGTGCAGTGGCGCAATCTCGTCTCACTGCAAGGTCCACCTCTTGGGTTCATGCCATTCTCCTGCCTCAGCCTCCCGAGTAGCTGGGACTATAGGCGCCTGCCAGCATGCCTGGCTAATTTTTTGTATTTTTAGTAGACACGGGGTTTCACCGTGTTAGCCAGGATGGTCTTGATTTCCTGACCTTGTGATCCGCCTGCCTCAGCCTCCCAAAGTGCTGGGATTACAGGCGTGAGCCACCGTGCCTGGCCAATTAATATATTTTGATACACGTTCTTCTAGGCTTTTAAAATCCATTTTATTATATCCATGTGATTATACTGTAGATACAGTTTCCTGTGCATATTGCATCTTCATTTAATATTATGACAAATATTTTCCGACTTATTTTGCTTATTCATGAAAGTAATTTTCCATTACATTGTGTGAGCATACCATATTTACTTAGCAATTCTACCTTGGGTATTTAATTGTTCCCAGTATCTTCTACTGTAAATAATACAATATTGAATGTGTTTGTATGTAAATATTTTCTTTCATTTAGGATTATTTTCTTTGGATATAGTCTACTCAATGAAAGTATCAGAACCTCAGAAATTTGATATAATAGCTTATTAACATTTTTAAGGCTGCTGAATTATATTATGAAATTATTTTCTACTCTCAGCGCCCACTTCATTGCCGCTTGCCAGCACAAATGTTAGTTACTTATATGCTTCAGTTTCTACATCTTTAAAAATGGAAATAATAGTACCTACCTCGAAGGGTTGTTATGAGACTGTAATGAATTACTGCCAAGCAGTTGGAACATGCCTAGCAAAAAGTATCAACCCCCAAAATGTTAACTATTTGGCATTGTAATTTTTAGAATCTTTGTCCAAGTTGACAGGTAAAAATAGTATTTTAATGTTTGAATTTGCTTTTCTTTGATACCTAGAAATATTCAAATTTTTCTAAAAGGATTTTAGTTTTTTTTTTTAAAAGACATTTTTCTTTTTGTCCTTTGCTTTTTTTTTTCCTCTCCAAGGGTTATTAGTGTTTGAGCTCTTAACTAAAATATTAAGCTTATGTGGCTTCTGTTGTTGCTGGAATTTCTAATTTATTATTTACTGTTGAATTTTTTAACCTACACGTATTTTCAGTTTTTATGTAATCAAATTTATTTTTTTATTTGTAGTTTCTTCCACATTTTTTGAAGCTTGAAATCTTATCCCACCCAGAAATGTGATAAGACTTGATAAGAAACAATGGCTAAATTAAAAACAAACATAAAATAATATATCTGAAATGTATTTATGATTGTGGGGTGATGTAAGGATAAAAAATATCTGCTCCTCTCTAAGCTATCACAATGTTATTTATTAAATACATGTTTTTTCTTTGATAGTATTTTCTTAATCTTGTATTAAATCCTTCATATTTCTTTACCATTTTATTAATAAGGAAGCAGTTGAAGAATTATAGAGTTCTAATTAGCCCACTATTTCTTCAGTGTTTTTTTTTATACAGTGAATAAAGGAAGACATTAAAACTAGTCCTTAAAAGTTTTCTTGTTCACGTAATTATCCAATTAGTTTGTTAATCGGTGTTTTGGCTGGACCATATGGCCTTTTTTTCTAAAACATGTATTAAATAAACAGTCCTCTACTTTTTTTTTTAAATGAAGTTTGGATTTTTAAAGCTTTTTTTAAAGGTCTAGTTTTGTGAAAGTGTAGAAGTGAAATTAACATTTAATTTCATAGGCTGTTTTTTCCCCTTCAGGTAGAATATTTAACGTGATAAATGATGCATCTTAACTGCACATTTATGTTCCATAGCAAGAGTTCTGGGAAGTACAAGAGATAATGATTAAGAGAATAGTGGGATTGATTTATGAGCAAAAGAAACTGGTCATTTACAGCATGTCTAATGATGGGCATGTTTAAAAGGAAAGACAATAGAATGTTCATGTGTTTAGCGACTATTCAGGCCAAGAGAAAAATTGTTTTGGGCACATAAGACCATTGCTTCTGAAATGATATGAAGAAAAAGAGTAATTTAGTTTAGAAAAACAAATTAGCAAAAATAGAAAATAAAAAATATCTATTATTTACACTGGGAGCTGTTGGAAAGTGGAGTCATCTCCCCAGAGAGCTAGTGGATGGGATAAACTAGCTGTCTCTGATTTCTGTAATTCATGGCAGATGCTTAGGAACAGGTTACATAAGAGGTTTCTGGGAATGGTTTAAAATGAAGTCTTGTAAAATGTGTAAGGTCAGACTGGGTGACCTAGGTGGTATATTCTGACTCTGTCAGATTCTGTGATAGCTTGTGGCATTCTGCTGTTCAGCACTACTGAGGATTATTTACTGGCAAATCCAATGAGCCTTTATTTGGCTTAGGATGATAATTATTTGAAAAATAATAATTGACCTAAGAATATACTTGTTTTGGGCCAGTATTTTCTCCCCTCTCCTTGCTTTTTCATAAAATAAAAATAGAGTTTTTACTTGGTTAAATATTCTGTTGATTGTTGTTAGCCTTTACTTTTAATTGGCATTTGATGTCATTGGTGCATATTGCATGTAGGGCAGAATGAATACAGTGTTTGGAACATGAATTTGAATAGCTTTCACCTGTAAAATACTATCTAAGTTGATAGAATACTTCATCTGTGCTGCATAAGTTCTGTTCCATAACAATACAAATTTTTAAGGGGAATTTTATGTTTACATTCTTTAAGTCAGTTGATAGCAGCGGTTACTGAAGTAGAATAGATGAGACAGTCAATGGAGGTATAGGAAGAAAATCTTAGAACTTTTACTTACTTATTTTTTAATCTTAGGAAATTGAGCTTTATGAACATTTACTAGAAGGAGGGGCATTGGTGGCCTCACCTGTTTTGCATACCAGAGGGACACGCATCATCTCAGGCAAGAGTGGGTGAGCCTCAAGTGGGGTGCCAGAGTTACTTTCATCCTGTTTGTTTCCACTTAAAATGTGCTTGCTTAAGGGATTTGCAGATTATATTATATAGTTCTAAACCTAGCCATCACAAAATGGGCAGGGAAAATATGGATGGGAGATATTTCTAATGAAAAATCTCTTCATCGGCTATATTACAAGTTTTAATGATCATTTGATCAGTCTGGCAGGAGGGCAGCAAAAAATTTATAATTATATGAAATTTGTATTTACATCCACTGTCATTAATAAGGAAACCTTCCTAAGGATCTATTTTGTGACATGAGATATTGGCTAATGTAATGTGAAGTTACTCACATTAATGAGACATTTGAGAAATGTTTATTCTTAAATCTGTTTATTTAAACCTTGAGTCATCCTTTTGAAATATATGTATTTGTGCATCTATTACAATTTAGGTGATACATTGCACAGAATTACACATATACAATTTATAAATATACAACTATTGGGAACACATTTCAAAATTATTTAATGCATGTGTAATAGGAATAATTTGAGGCATAAATATTTTTCAAATAAGTTTAAAGATAAGAGGTTCACATTTTTTAGTTGTTGTATTATTATTTTACTTATACAGTTTAAGTGTTTTATACATTATCTTGTTATAATGCCATTGGTGTTAAATCATGTTTAGGTGACTTTTCGAGGTTGAAATGGAAAAAGATGAAGTAGAATGGAATTAATCAAATTATAGAATGAGTCATTGCAGGTGAAATAGGTGTTCAGTAACCCAGATCTCTAGAATTTAATAATAAAGGAATTGTGCTAATTTAACTCATTTGTGAAGAAGCTGGGTGTAAATCAGGAAGAAATATGAGTTATAAAGTATTCTTTAAGAAGTGCTTTAATAATTTTGAGGACAGATAAGAGGAAACCAAGTTGTGTTTTATCAGAACTTTTAAGTGCTTTTATTTAACAGAAAGCTGAGAATTATTTATTATTACTCTGTTCATTGTTTAAAATTAATATGAAATGTTGCTTGAATAGTCTTTTTTCCTTTTACACTTAAATAAGCTAGACATTTGCTTTGTTTATACCATTAATTTGTTTTCACACAGGCTGCAAAGGTAGCCATCACCTCAGAATTAATTAGTGAAATCAAAATTAATGAGGTTTTACTATATTGGGTCATTTCCACTTCAGGCCAGTTTTCTTTATATGAGTTGGACTAGCATTTTTTTGAAAGAAGAAAAATTAGATTTATTTTAATCCATATTTAAAAAGCACAGAACCATCTTTTCTTGTGAGTTAAGTACCTCTAATAACTATGCTTTCTTGGGCTTAGTAATATTGATTTTTTTTTGTTTTCATTCTTGATTATTTTGGCTACTTCCAGTCTTTCTTATTACAGTAAAGCTAAAGTTAACTCTTTAGATACTTATTATCATTTACAGAGATGGTATATCATGTTTACTTTGGACGAAACTTTTTTTTTTTTTTTTTTGAGATGGAGTCTCACTCCGTCATCCAGGCTAGAGTGCAATGGTGCGATCTCGGTTCAGTGCAACTTCTGCCTCCCAGGTTCAGGCGATTCTCCTCCCTCAGCCTCCCCATCGGCTACTGTTTTGTATTTTTAGTAGAGATGGGCTCTCACCATGTTAGCCAGGCTGGTCTTGAACTTTTGACCTCAGGTGATCCATCCCCCTCGACCTCCCAAAGTGCTGGTATTATAGGTGTGAGCCACTGTGCCCGGCCTGGACCAAACAGTTTTTTGTAGATTGAGCTTGTTATTTGCAAATTTTCATTATTACACTATGTGAAAGGGGAATAAAAGTATTCTTTAAAACATATTTAGTTAAATATATGTGTCAGAGGAGAATGTGTCATGTAGAAATGAAAAGCTAGAATCTTGGTGTTAAAGCTCTTTTTTTTAACCTTCAGAAAATTACATCTCATAATCTACTTTTTAAAGCAGATCCTATGCTCTTATTTAATATTCATTTTGTATGTCCTTTATTTTTACTACATGAGAGTAATAATGTAGAGTTTTTAAGTCTTATGAAGATAGATTACGTTTTCTTAAATCTTTGAAATTATCTGCCTGTGTATCTGTGGGGAGGGTGAAAGTTCTGACAGGGAAACTTCTCATGAGGGGTTGATAATGCGGAAGGTCAAGTTTCTCATAAGAATGAGAAAACCTTTTTTCTTTGCTTAATGGCTCTAGTCCTCTCTCTGCTAAATTACAAACTATGGTAAGGAGATCTTTGACAGAGAGAGAGAGTATGCGTAGCTCAGTGGTTGTCAGCAGCTTTGTGTCACCTCAGATGTTGAGATCTCCAGTAGGGCAGAATTTTAGGAACGCCTAACATAGTAGAGAATATTGGCAAAACTTCATATTGACTCATACTTCATTTTCTCTACTTTTTGGAAAGGAATGACTAGAGTATATGTGAGCATGAATGAAATGACTTTCGACGTGGGGACTAGCAAATAGGTCAGTTAGATGTGTGGCACTAATTAGGGATTAGCTCTTTATAAAGAAGATTTTGGAGAGTTTGGGAGTCTAAGTAGCAGAATCAAAAGTAGGGTCAGTGGCCAGGCGCGGTGGTTCATGCCTGTAGTCCTAGCACTTTGGGAGGCTGAGGCAGGCGGATTGCTTGAGCCCAGGAGTTCAAGACTAGCCTGGGCAACATAGAGGCTCTATTAAATATTATAGATATAAAACAGTAGTGTTGGGTGTGTGAATACTGTGACTGATCAGTGCCTGATGGGAGGACATGAACAGATTAAAAGGAATACTGTTTAGGCATCATTCTTTAAGTTAATTATACCCGTAGAAAAAGATAACTGTTTCTTTGATGAGGGCAATAAATAAAATGACCACTTTTTGGCAGATCGATGTTGCAAAATAGAATATTGTATTTAACCATTAATGTAGCAACCAACCCTTTTTATAAAATGAATAATGGATATATTTGACAAAGTCAGTACTGATGATAAGCTGTAGAAATGCAAAGCATCCATTGTATTGAACTCTCTGTTGCTTTGAATTAGCAACGTACATACGTAGCAGTGTGTGTGTGTGTGTGTGTGTGTGTGTGTGTGTGTATTTACCCAGTTTTGTTCTAACATACCCAAATTTAACTATTTTTGTAGTTTGCCATTTTGTTTTGATTTGTTAATTATAAAACTAATTTGTGTGTGTCAGAATCAACTACCCCTCAGTATTTAATGTCTTTTGCTAAGACATTAAGAATCACATTTCATGTTTCAACTGAATGTTTATCAGGAAAATAAGTAAGCTTAAAACATGCTTAAGAAAATTCTATTAACGTTTTAATGAAGGTTTGTAATACTATTTCTCCGAACTTAGTTTTTTTTTAACTTGTAACATGAGTAAACACCTGTTATGCTGATTATAGTGTGTAATTATAATACACAAAGTACAAATGAAGCTAACAAAGAATAAAAATAAAACAGTTGAATTTAAGAATAAATAGTTAAATATTACTGTTATTTTTGTTTTATTACTATGCAGCTTCATTCAAACATTGATTTTAGGTTGTTTACAAAAGTAAACATTATGCTAGTAAGATAAAAATAAAGCTAAATCATGGTGAAGAGAATGTAAGGGGAGAAAGCAAATGAGACCATTGATAGACCATATTCAGATACTTATGCCCAAGATCCAGCACTGTTATAGACAGAAAATTCAGTTCTGAGTTTCCAAAGTGTGTTCATCTAAAACTAGGTCTTAATAAGATTACTGTGGTCAAACAACTTTGGAGATGAATGGTGTTGTATCCCCTTAAAGAGATAATTACAGTCACAGCATTCTAAAGGTTCTTGGAAGTTCTGTGGTTAAAAACAACAGCTACTACCCAACCTCAGTATTGTCAGTATTTCCCATGCACATTTGACCACACTTTCCTCCCTTTTTTTCACCTAATACCTATCAACGTGTCCCATTTGGGAAAGATATTGAGATATTGATCTTTAGTTTAAAAACAACCTGTTTGCTTAGGAGAACCCCCAGCAGGGTGAGGTTTGACGTGTTTTTTCTTTAGATCCCATACAAGGGAAAGAGTATATTTATAGTGCAGTGGGCCTCCCCCTCAATAAATAGCCACAATATGTACAAGAATGAGTTTCTGATGGCTGTTTTTATGTGGTTTCCCTCAGTATGACCTGAAAGCATAAACCAGTAAGTCACTGAAAAGTTAAGTTTTCAATTGTTTATAAATTGTTTTATAGAAATCTAGACTTTAATTTTTAATTTTTTAGGTCATGGGTTCAGTTCTCTCTTACCAGAGAAAATCTTTGATTATTTATATCTTGTCTTGTTCTAAAAAGGAGTTGAAGGGCAAAAACTAGAGGTGAGCAGAAAATACACAGCAGAACATTTAATTGGCTATTGTGTGGCTACTTGAGGTGATGCATCTGCTGACATTATAGATAGAAACCATGAAGGAAATAGGAATGCATATCTACAGATAATGTGAATATCTATGACTCCTAAGAAATGATCGTGGCAGAGGGACGGTGAGGGTATTGTTTTTGATCAAAGGTGCAGGGAAGAGCATGGGTCTAAATGAAAGAGTCACAGACAGAAAGAAGCACTGCAGAAAGCAGCTCCCACAGCAAACAAAGGAAAGTTCACACTGTGGAAAGAGCACACCTAATAACAGATCAATTTTTTCTCAGCTTTGCCTGCTCCAATATAGCAATCATTGTAGTGAGGTCATCTTTAAATTTGAACAGCAGTTTTTCCAGTGTACCTTTTGCAATCTTTAATCTAGAATTAATTTAGTATAAAAATATTTTGATGATTGATCTGGGTTTTATGTATAATATAAAGGAACATACTTTTCAACATGACCTAATATTGTGGTGGTTTTTCAGTGGCAGCAAATGTATAATTAATTTTGCCTTAAGTTATTGAAAACAGGATCCATTTTATTCTAAATTTAATTTAAACACAATTAAGGTTTATTCTTCTTTTCAGGCAAGAGTACAGCACTGCATCTGCTCTGTAGCCAGTGACCACTCAGTAGGACTTCTAAGTTTGCGAGAGAAAAAATGCATAATGTTGGCATCTCGTCACCTTTTTCCTATTCAAGTAATCAAATGGAGGCCTTCTGATGATTACCTGGTGGTGGGGTGTTCAGATGGTTCTGTGTACGTCTGGCAAATGGATACTGGTAAGAACAAGTATGAAGAGATACTATAGAAAATTAAATGGGTGTATTTCATTTTCTAGAAATGAAAATGTCTTTTATATGAAGAAAAAAGGCTTGAAATGTAAAATAGTTGCTACTTTTATTTCTAATTGTTTAAGTGGCCTCTTTTTTGTTCTGCTATGCCAAATGTTTGTAGAATATTTCACGAATCTTTAAAAGCATGTAATTGAGGATAATATACAGATGAGGACAGACATATGGACAACAAAGTATATATGTTTTCTATATAATTCACAAGTAAACTGTGGACAAGAAGAAGAAATCATTTTTATCTCAGGTTTACATACGGTGAAAAAGATACAACCCTTTTTTCTTTGAACAGCAGAAAAGCAATGCTGGGCAGTTACTTGTATGAGGTAATTAAAATGAAGTTTTCAAGTTCTAGAGAGAACATTTAAAATTTCGAGTTTCAGAAAGTTTATGTATTGGGGGTATAATGTAGAAATAGTAATGCTTAGCTTAAAAGCACAGACAATGATATGTAATGTTTATACACAGACTGCTGTGGTTTTCCCTCAGAAATTTGTAAGTATATAACTAAATGTTTATTGGTTTAGGCCTTTTTGAAACTCGTTGCTTTTTTACTTTCACAATTTTCACTAATCATCTATCAGTTATTAAAGTCTTTCTTTTAATTCCTAGTTGTACTAATATTTCTACTAGATTTTTTCCTTTTCTTCGTCTTTGTTTTAAATAGCATTTTTTGAAATCAGACTATATACATATTTGTGCATGCACTATTGTGCGAACGGGAGTTCTCTTAAGCCTTTTGGGAATAAATAGCCATAAGCTTCGGTAATCTTTTATTTATTGTCTTCATTTTAACTGGTAGTACATAGGCAATCTTGACAAGAGGAAGCATTCTTGAAGTCTGTCAAACTTCCTTGCTTTTGCATGTAACCTTTCTTTCTCTTGTCTCTCATTGTAAAAGAGATTCATACTTTTTGGTCAAGTTTTAAAAGCACAAAAGTATTAGAAAAGAAGAAAGATGAGCCCACATCTCATTGCTCATTGGTAAATGTTAACATTTTTGGCACATGTCTTTCTAATCTCTTTCTGGGCATTTTAAAAAACAGAATTGCTGGCCGGGCGCGGTGGCTCACGCCTGTAATCCTAGCACTTTGGGAGGCCGAGACGGGCGGATCACGAGGTCAGGAGATCAAGACCATCTTGGCTAACACTTGAAACCCCGTTTCTACTAAAAATACAAAAAATTAGCCGGGCATGTTGGCGGGCGCCTGTAGTCCCAGCTACTTGGGAGGCTGAGGCAGGAGAATGGCGTGAACCCGGGAGGCGGAGCTTGCAGTGAGCCAAGATCGCGCCACTGCACTCCAGCCTGGGAGACACAGCGAGACTCTGTCTCAAAAAAAAAAAAAAAAAACAGAATTGCTGTCATACTACATATGCAATTTTATATCTTTCTTTTGTGTGTCTTTATGTTATGTCCTATCTGCTGAATAGCAGTCTTGTGTTTTCTTTTTTGGTCCACTTCATAAACTGAATATATGGAATTTGTCTTTAGTTCTAGAGTCAGACTGTTTAGTTTGAACTAGCTAGGATGGACTCCTAGCTAACACTGTGATCTATTCCAAGTCACTGGATATTTGTCCCTCAATTTCCTCATCTGTAAAATTAGGGTAATAATATTTTCTATCTTAAAGCATTTCTGAGAGAATAAAATGAGATAATATTTCCCTGGCATGTGGTAAACAGAATGTAAGTGTGTTTATATGTATGTGTATGTGTGTGCAATTGTAAGCTTGTGTGTGTGTGTATACATGCATGTGTATCTATTTCCTACTACTGTTATTAAAGAAGCATGCTGCTTAACTTGTTACTTTGTTGAACTTGGGAATATGACTTTATCTACATTTAGAAATAATTTTTTGGGAATTAGTATTAAAGAAAGTTCTTATAGCAATAATGGCATTTGCAAGACACTGTATTAAAATACTATCAATATTAAGACTGGGTGCAGTGGCTCACACCTGTAGTCCTAGCACTTTGGGAGATGGAGGGGAGTGGATCGCTTGAGCCAAGGAGTTTGAGACCAGCCTGGGAGACATGGCCAAACTCTGTCTCTACAAAAAAAAATACAAAAATTAGCTGGGTGTGGGGGCACATGCCTGTGTCCCATCCACTCAGGTGGCTGAGGTGAGAGAATCACTTGAGACCAGGAGGTCGAGGCTACAGTGAGCTGTGATTGCACCACTGCACCCCAGCCTGGGAGACAGAGAGAGACTCTGTCTTAAAAATAAACAAACAAAAAAAACCCTATAACTATTAAATTAATAGCTGATGTATATTAAGTGAAAATGTATAGTAAACTTGTCTGGGACTTGTTCAAATTAAGTATGATGAAGAGACTATCATTTTTCTGAACTTTTCTGATGCTTAGATAATACTTGAATATTTCAGATACTATAAATATATTTGTGAAGAATATAAAATGAAATTATTTACAAATGAGGCCTTACTGATAGACAAAGTTACTGTTCTAGTGAGTTTTCTAGAAGGAAATGACAAATAGGCCCTAACTGTAGGGGTACTGGAAGAGGTTATTGTTATAATCAGTTTAGTGTAATTAAGCCCAATTTAGATAAAATACAGCATGTAATATTGAAATTACATGCTGAAGATTTGGGTAAACAATCAGTCAATATGACATTCAAGATAAATGCTATAGAGAAGCTGGATTTATTTTGGATTTCAACCATAATGGGAGGCATACATTGTTTTTTTCCTCCTTGCTGTTCATGCTGTAGCTAGTGATACAAAGTTCCCTGGGGAGTCAGTAAGGTACATCCTGGAGGTATTGACATTATTTATTTATTAAATTTATTTATTTATTAAATAAATAAAAAATGAAGCTAGAAAAAATCAGATTCAGCCAGGGTTTGATGTATGAAATGTATTTAAACTCTGAGGAGATACTTGATCTCTCTTGTTAGTGTTTCAGGAATGTATTTTTCCAAATGCAGCCATACCACATTAACCCTGTTTTGCATATTGGGCAATTTTCTAGTTATTGTTTTGAGTTATACTGATGTTTCTAGTGTAAAACACTTGAAGTGTCTTTCCTTTATACGTTTATGCAGCATGTTTAAACATTTTTTTCCTTCAAATGAGTACTTTGTGTTTTCAGTTTATAGTTCCCTGTGAAATCCAGTCAAAGCTAGTAATACAAAATGTAGAGAGCTGGAGTTCTAGAATCTTTTGTTCTTTTATTGTGACATTTTCTTATATGTAATAGCAATGTAATAGTGATGTAATGGCCATGGAAATTATTCTTTCACATCTCTAAATAGTTAAAAAACTACCCAAACACTAGCAACAAGATTTAGCCAGATGAACCTCTTGCTTCCCTCTTACGAAGTTATTAAAGGTGGGTCACTGACCTAGGTGGTTTCTGTGGAGCTGTTGATGTGCTTCTGGGATCAACCGTCTCGTTCTTCACATTTCATATTCCCAGTAAGTATGCAGTGCCATTCTCACAGGCCTTTGACAAGGTCAGAATCCTGTCTGTTTGGGAAACAGGCATGCTGAAAGTAATGACTGATGTTACAAAATGTTCTTCTTATCTAGCCATTACCAAGCCTAAACCACATTCTCATCTGGCTTCTTTTTATCATTCTTGCTACACAACAAAAGTGATTCCCACATCATATTTCTATTCCTTATGTATAATTATTAGATGTTCTTATACAAATGCAAACACCATTAATGCTTGACAAATATCATCAGAAATTAGTGTATGAGGACTTGTGAATTTATTTGTTCTGTGATGTTTCTTTTTATGTTCTGCACTCCATGTTTTCTGATATTTCTCTTTTTGCATGTACTTCATGAAATATGCATTTGAGTCATCTTTTTGAACTTAAGTACCTAATAAAATCTAGCAGGGAATTATGAATTAATGTATATTTGTATGTCTTTTGAAAAACATATATAAAACATGGCTAACAAAAAGCATGTGTTTCAGGGGCTCAGATTGTCATACAAGTAAAGTCTTAGTGACTGTTATTCTTCCTTAAGACTAATTTTTGAAAACGTTTTTCATGCTTTTATTTTGATACATTTAAATTGATGTTTTTCTCTTGTTACTAAAATTGCTGAAGAGAATCAGGAGGTAGTGTTGAAGTTCAGTCCTTTGTTATTAGTGGAGGGTTTTAGTAGCAAGTGTTTTCTTCACGTATTTGACCCTTTGCCAGTAGTATCTAATACAGTGGAAATTAGATCTTACATTTGTATTTCACTATATATTGCCATTACATCATCAGCTTTTCTGTACATTTTTGCTTTTCATTCTGTTACAAAACATGCTATAGGACAGGGGAAGACACAGAGAATGAATGGGTTAAGAAAAAGAGGTAATTGACTATAACCTTGGTAAAACCAAGTATAATCAGAGAGTTTCTTTTTTCTCTTTTAATGATTGACTTTATGAAATCTTACATATTTACCTACCTCTGTAGTTACCATTTTCATTGCTTCCCTTTTTGAAGGAAGGGGTTGTTAGAGTGGAGATATGACTGTGCTTACTACTCCCTCCTCTCACAACCCCTCCATGCAATTAATCACTAAGTCTTTCCCATTAGGTATCCCTCAACTACTTTTTTATTATTTCCAGTGTACCATTGTAATTTATGGCCATATTTTTCCATACCTAGGCTATCTTTATTGGGTACCCTGCCTACTCTTTCTACCTTCTAATTCATCCTTTACTCTGCCGGGAAATTAATCTTAGGAAAGAAAACACTGACAACACTTGCTTCATATTAATGTCTTAATGAATAAACCATAAACAATATTAGTTCATAAAGCCTTCAAGACAAGGTCTTCCATAGTGTGGTACTTTCCTACCTTCTGTCTTTACCTCTTACTGTTCTTTTACACAGACCAGTTGCTCTAGTCAATAATAATTGGGTCACTCCCAATTCTTCTTGCTAGTGTCATCCATATTGTTTTCGTGATTTTCACTCACTTGGAACATTGCTTTTTTCTTTCCTTTTTTTTTTTGTTTAAAACAAACAAAAGTATCTATGATATTTTAAGGAAATTTGAGTAATAAGAATGCAGTCTTGCATATTTACTTATGTAGTCACCATTTCCATTGCTCTTTATTGCTTTGTGTAGATATAGATTTTGCCTGGAGTCATTTTTCTTTTGTCTAATACTTAATTTTTCTTTTAGTGTAGGTCTGCAGGTGATGAATTCTTTCAGCTTTTGCATGTTTGAAAAAAACTCTATTTTATCTTCATTTTTAAAGGCTATTTTCTCTAGGTATAGAATTCTAGGTCAACAGGTTTTTGTCTTTTGCTGTCTGTACTCCAGCTGTCTTCTGGGTTGCATTATTTTCAGCAAGAAATCTGTCAACCTTATGTTTCCTCTGTATATAACATTTCTTTTCTCTGGCTCCTTTTAAATTTTTTCCTTAATTACTGGTTTTGAGCAATTTGATTGTGGTTTTCTTTCTATTTCTTGTTCTTGGGGTTTGTTATACTTATTGGATCCGTGGCTGTGTAGATTTTATCAAATTTGGAAAACTTTTGGCCATAATTTATTCAAATATATTTTCTCCCCTCCATTTTCTTTTCTTTTCTTTGGAGACTCCAATTATATGTCTTTTAAGCCATTTGAAGTTGTTCTTCAGCTCACTGTGATGGTATTTTCATTTAAAAACTTTTTTTGGTTTCATTTTATATAATTTCTATTGCTATGCCTTCAAGCTTACTGATATTTTCTTCTATAATGTCTAATCTAATTGTTCCCATCTAGTATATTTTTCATCCCAAACACTGTAGTTTACATTTCTCAAAGCTTGATTTTGGTACTTTAATATCTTCTATTTCTCTATGCAAAACCTTTTGAACATCTGGAATATAATTATAATAACTTTTAATGCCGTTGTCTTCAAATTTTAATATGTTTATCAGTTCTGGGCTTGTTTTTCTTGATTTGATTTTTTTTTTTTCACTCAGTATTGATCATTTTTTTGACATGCCTGGTAATTTTTTTTTTTTTTTTTTTGAGACAGAGTTTCACTCTTGTTGCCCAGGCTGGAGTGCAGTGGCCCAATCTCAGTTCACTGCAGTCTCTGCCTCCCAGGTTCAAGTGATTATCCTGCCTCAGGCCTCCCAAGAAGCTGGGATTATAGGCACCACCACGCTCAGTTAATTTTTTGTATTTTTAGTAGAGATGGGGGGTTTCATCATGTTTGCCAGGTTGGTCTCGAGCTCCTGACCTCAGGTGATCCACCTGCCTTGGCCTCCCAAAGTGCAGGGGTTACAGGCATGAGCCACCGCTCCTGGCCATGCCTTTGTAATTTTTTATTAGACACCAGATATCGTGAACTTTATTTTGTTGGGTATTGGATATTTTTGTATTCCTGTAAATTTTTTTGAGCTTTGTTGTGGGACACAGTTAAATTTTTTTTACCTTTTTTTAATTTTATATATATATATAATTATACTTTAAGTTCTAGGGTACATGTGCAAAATGTGCAGGTTTGTTACATATGTATACATGTGCCATGTTGGTGTGCTGCACTCATTAACTTGTCATTTACTTTAGGTATATCTCCTAATGCTATCCCTCCCCCGCTCTCCCACCACCCCACAACAGGCCCTGGTGTGTGATGTTCCCCTTCCTGTGTCCAGGTGTTCTCATTGTTCAGTTCCCACCTATGAGTGAGAACATGCGGTGTTTGGTTTTTTGTCCTTGCGATAGTTTGCTGAGAATGATGGTTTCCAGCTTCATCCATGTCCTTACAAAGGACATGAACTCATTCTTTTTTATGGCTGCATAGTATTCCATGGTGTATATGTGCCACATTTGCTTAATCCAGTCTATCATTGTTGGACATTTGAGTTGGTTCCAAGTCTTTGCTATTGTGAATAGTGCTGCAATAAACATATGTGTGCATGTGTCTTTATAGCCGCATGATTTATAATCCTTTGGGTATATACCCAGTAATGGGATGGCTGGGTCAAATGGTATTTCTAGTTCTAGATCCCTGAGGAATCACCACACTGTCTTCCACAATGGTTGAACTAGTTTACAGTCCCCCAACAGTGTAAAAGTGTTCCTATTTCTCTACATCCTCTCCAGCACCTGTTGTTTCCTGACTTTTTAATGATTGCCATTCTAACTGGTGTGAGATGGTATCTCATTGTGGTTTTGATTTGCATTTCTCTGATGGCCAGTGATGATGAGCATTTTTTCATGTGTCTGTTGGCTGTATAAATGTCTTCTTTTGAGAAGTGTCTGTTCATATACTTTGCCCACTTTTTGATGGGGTTGTTTGTTTTTTTCTTGTAAATTTGTTGGAGTTCATTGTAGATTTTGGATATTAGCCCTTTGTCAGATGAGTAGATTGCAAAAATTTTCTCCCATTCTGTAGGTTGCCTGTTCACTCTTGATGGTAGTTTCTTTTGCTGTGCAGAAGCTCTTTAGTTTAATTAGATCGCATTTGTCAATTTTGGCTTTTGTTGCCATTGCTTTTGGTGTTTTAGACATGAAGTCCTTGCCTATGCCTATGTCCTGAATGGTATTGCCTAGGTTTTCTTCTAGGGTTTTTATGGTTTTAGGTCTAACATTTAAGTCTTTAATCCATCTTGAATTAATTTTTGTATAAGGTATAAGGAAGGGATCCAGTTTCAGCTTTCTACATATGGCTAGCCAGTTTTCCCAGCACCATTTGTTAAATAGGGAATCCTTTCCCCATTTCTTGTTTTTGTGAGGTTTGTCAAAGATCAAATAGTTGTAGATGTGTGGTATTATTTCTGAGGGCTCTGTTCTGTTCCATTGTTCTGTATGTCTGTTTTGATATCAGTACCATGCTGTTTTGGTTACTGTAGCCTTGTAGTATAGTTTGAAGTCAGGTAGCATGATGCCTCCAGCTTTGTTCTTTTGGAGGATTGACTTGGCAATGCAGGCTCTTTTTTGGTTCCATATGAACTTTAAAGTAGTTTTTTCCAATTTTGTGAAGAAAGTCATTGGTAGCTTGATGGGGATGGCATTGAATCTATAAATTACCTTGGGCAGTATGGCCATTTTCACGACATTGATTCTTCCTATCTATGAGCATGGAATGTTCTTCCATTTGTTTGTATCCTCTTTGATTTCATTGAGCAGTGGTTTGTAGTTCTCCTTGAAGAGGTCCTTCATATCCCTTGTAAGTTGGATTCCTAGGTATTTTATTCTCTTTGAAGCAATTGTGAATGGGAGTTCACTCATGATTTGGCTCTCTGTTTGTCTGTTATCAGAATATAAGAATGCCTGTGATTTTTGCACATTGATTTTGTATCCTGAGACTTTGCTGAAGTTGCTTATCAGCTTAAGGAGATTTTGGGCTGAGACAATGGGGTTTTCTAGATATACAATCATGTCATCTGCAAACAGGGACAATTTGACTTCCTCTTTTCCTAATTGAATACCCTTTATTTCTTTCTCCTGCTTGATGGGACACAGTTAAATTACTGAGAAACAGTTTGATCCTTTTGGGTCTTGCCTTGTCAGGTAGGGCTGGAGCAGGGTTAAATGTGGAGCTAATTATTATCCACTGCAAATGGAACACCTTCCTGAGAACTGTACCCAGTGGCTCATGAATTTGAGGTTTCCATTCTGGCTGGTCAGAGTAGGTACTATTCACAATCCTGTCTGAGTCCTGGGTACTGTACCCTGTAATCTTTTCAAGTGGTTCTTTCCTTGGCCTTGGGTACTTTCTTCATAGTCACACAGTAATCAGTACTCTGCCGAGTATGTAAGGAGGACCTTCTGCAGGTTTCTGTGGAGCTTTCTTCACCCTGGTAGTCTATTCTGCAAACTCTAGCTGCCTGTACTCTAAGCTATCTGTCTTCAACTTAAGGAATCTGTTAGGCTATTCAGACAATGGATGTTAGTCAGTGTTCAGACAATGGACATTAGTCAATTAAGGATTGTCTGAAAAAGCATTGTTTCAAATCCTTACATCTATTTTTTTCCCAATTATTTTACGTAAAAGGGTAAATTCAGTTCCTATTACTCCATCTTGGCTGGAAGCAGAAGTCTTTTCTGCTAATTTGAATTTTCAAAATCTTTAAATATTCAGGCAGAGTCCACTCTTTCCCTGATATTTTTAAAAACAGGTTTAGTTGGGAATGGATTTTTTTTTTCTATCTTTTGAACCTCTGTATTAGTCCATTCTCATGCTACTGTGAATAAATACCTGAGAGTGGCTAATTTATAAAGAAAAGAGGTTTAACTGACTCACAGTTCCGCATGGTTGGGGAGGCCTCAGGAAACTTACAATCATGGTGAAAGGCACCTCTTCACAGGGCAGCAGAAGGGAGGAGTGCTGAGCGAAGGGGAAAGCCCCTTGTAAAATCATCAGATCTTGTGAGAACTCACTGACTATTAGGAGAACAGCATAGAGGAAACTGTCTCCATGATTCAATTATCTCCACCTCGTCCCACGCTTGACACATGGGGATTATTACAATTCAAGGTGAGATTTGGGTGGTGACTCAGGGCGAAACCATATCAGCCTCTTTATTATTCTTTTTGGCTTGTGTTGTTGATTGTCTTCTTATGTGCAAATGTTTTGACCCTCACTCTTGGGGTATACATTTCTCTCCCACCCCAGGAAGTTAATTACCATTGATATGTTACAACCATTTAATCTTCAGACTTTATTCCAACTTTTCCAGTTGTTCCACTACAGTCTTTTACTGCAAAAAGATCCAGATTAGAATTATGCATGGTTAGTTCTATCCCCCTTTCAATTTAAAATAATTCCTTAGTTCTTCCTTCACCTTAAAGACTGAAAGTTTTGAATATTTCTGGCCAGTCGTTTTATAAAATGTTTCCCAATTTCCGTTTATCTGATGTCTTCTCATGGTTATTTTCAGAATATGTATCTTTGGCAAGAAAATCACTGACATTTTTCTCATTACATCTTATCAGTTGGCATATGATTTTAATTTGTTTCATCACTAGAGTTTACTTAGGTCACTTAAGGTGTTTTTTGGCTTCTTCACTGCAAAGTTATGTTTTTTCTTTTTGTAATTAGTAAGCATTTTGTGAAAAGATACTTTGAAACCATGTAAATAGCTTTTCTTTATCAAACATTTAAGTTACTCATTTATTTGCAGTTGGATCTCTATTTTATACAACAGATTACATTCCTAAACTCTTATGTGATGTCTTGGATTTGGTCAGTGGGAGTCCCTTCACACTGGATATTTTTTTTCTTTCAGCATTGTCTTGCTTTACAGCTGAAGTAGATGATGCTGCCTCCTCGTGTGGATGTGCTTTTTATCCATCCTGGCTGATACCCTGTGACTGATGTCCTCTCTTCCCAGCATAGTCATCCTTTCTCCCCTTTTGGGATCTAGCACCCTGTGCAAAGCTGCCTACCTGCATAGATGCCCTCTTCTCTCTTTGGGCCCCATCCCATCCCCACTCACCATATGGATGCCCTTTTCATACCTCTTAGACTTCAACCTTCTGTGCCAGGTTGCTTTCATGTGTTGATTTCTTAGACCCACCTTTGGGATCTGTACTGGGCTGCGTCACTGTGTGAACTCCCTCCTCTCTCCACTCAGGTTCCAACAGTGTCTCTTGATGCACATGCTTCTGGGGCTAAACCCTGTGCCAAGCTGCTGCCACCACTTCCCTCTTGTTTAGCTTCCCTCTGCACCCTCTCAGCCTCTGACATATTGCTCTGGGCTGCTGCAGGCCCGCTTTTCACCACCATGCCCCTTATCTGACATGGGCTCCTACCTTTGCTCAGGTGTATTTACTGACTTTGGGCTCGGTTGTTCAGAAGAGAAGAGGAAGTATAAACTTTAGACACCAGAGATCAAATTAGTTACTTGGAGCTTTTGCAGGTAGTATATTCTCACTTATTTGTTGATTAATGATTTTATTTTAGATATCAATAAGGGAAAGTCACTTAAGCCTTTCCATTATAACTACAAACTACATTTAATGGAGAATTAAGAGCTAGAGCAGTAAATTCTAAATTTATTCCTGTGAAACTTTAAGATATCTGAAAGAATATCATATTATTTTCAAAATTGAATTAACTTTAATTTACTTAAAATAATCTTTTCCCACAATATTTAAAAACATAATATGATATACATTTGTAAAAAATTGATATGTTACAAATCTTCATGTACAAGAATATGAAGTTCTATACTAATTCAACCATGTAAATATATCCTGTTAACCAAGTAGTGTACATCTATTGAGAGTATTTTTCTGTGACTGTAATATCCCTTCCCCCACTTTATACTATGAATACTCTTCTCTAACTTGTTATTTTCATTTAACAGTATGTTGTGGCTTTTATTCTATGTTAATATATATAGCAGAGCATGCTTTTAAACATTGTTTTTGTAACTTCACAGTACTCCTTTTAGTGGATACATCATAAATTATTGACACAGTCTACTAATGTTAGATATTTAGGTTTCTGAAAAATTTTTCTATTACGATTAAGACATTTATAACCCAACCACACACATATATGTTTGGATATGGTATCATTATTTAGCATAATCTTAGAATAGGAATTCCTGTGTTAAAGGAAATGTGAGTTTTAAATTTAATAGAATTTGTTAAAAAAATTACTAATTTTTATTTGTACTAAAAGTGTATTACCAGTTTTCTTACATACTTGAGAATGCTGAATATCTGTACGGTAAGATATAAATAGTATTTCATTATTGCTTCAATTTGATTTCTTTGATTATTAGTGAGGTTGACATCTTTTTGTATGATTACTACCTATTTCAATTTCTTTTCTTGATTGTTCATATTCTTTAAACATTATTTTGTTGGCTTATTTTTTTCTCATAGATTTGTTAGAACTCTGTATTTTGAGGCTGCTAACTCTATCTCTATTTAATCAACAAATAGTTACTCTGTGCCTCCAATGTGCTGGGCACTGTTCAGTGTACCAGGGATACAACAGTGAACAAAACATCTGAAACTCTCTAGCTTTTGTGCAGTTTACATTCTGGGTGGAGAGAGGCAGGTCAAAAATAACAAAAACTTTAAACACATAGTATGTTCTCTGGTGTTCGTGTTATGGAGAAAATAAAGCAGAAAAGGGAGAATTTGATAAGATGGCCAGAGAATAACTCATTGAAAATGTAACATTAAGAGCTTGAAAGGTGGGTGAAGGAGGTGGTGAAGCTCACATTGGAGGAAGTTTTTGCTGTGACTTAGACAAGAAATGCATAGATGGAGATAAACAGAAAGGATAGCCAAATAAAGAAGCGTTAAAGTAGTTGTAGGCCGGGCGTGGTGGCTCATGCCTGTAATCCCAGCACTTTGGGAGGCCGAGGCGGGCGGATCACGAGGTCAGGAGATCGAGACCATCCTGGCTAACACGGTGAAACCCTGTCTCTACTAAAAATACAAAAAATTAGCCGGGCGTGATGGCGGGCACCTGTGGTCCCAGCTACTCGGGAGGCTGAGACAGGAGAATGATGTGAACCCAGGAGGCGGAACTTGTAGTGAGCCAAGATCGCGCCATTGCACTCCAGCCTGGGCGACAGAGCGAGATTCTGTCTCAAAAAAATAAAAAATAAAAAATAAATAAATAAATAAGTAAAGTAGTTGTAAGTAGAAGTAGTGGTAATTTCCACAAACATACGAAGAAACATTTGGCTGGATGGTGAGAGTAAGAGTCAAGAATTTGCAGACAAAATGTAGAAATTATAATATTTTTTCTGTTTTGTGGAAGTTTCTTAGAGAAGCTTCAGCAATTATTCAATGAGGAAAAAAACAAATTTTAGTAAGACTTTTTTCGTTTAAGATTGATATACAACTTAGAGGAAGGTCAAATCATAGATTTTAATGTTTGTAATGGTGCGATGGGACAGGAGTAGTCAAGAAAACCATCTGGGAGGTAGAAAGAGTGGAAAAGCCTGGAGAAGGTTGTTGGAATCTTAGCTCTGAACTTGACTTTATTGGGAAGTTGCATCAGGGACTTTGTGGGAGAGGAATTCATTGAGGTGGTAGGTACTACATGGAAGATTGTTAGAGGAAGGAAGTACAAAAAAAAATTTCCAGGAGGCATTGATAAAACATGTTTCTACTTAAAAAATTTTCATACCATTTTTTCTTTACTTAAACTATTCAAAATGTTGTAGTGTTATGAAATATTTGTGAATATATTTTTCTCGCAGGTGCATTGGATCGTTGTGTGATGGGGATAACAGCAGTTGAGATTCTAAACGCTTGTGATGAAGCTGTTCCTGCTGCTGTTGATTCACTTAGTCATCCAGCAGTCAACCTAAAACAAGCTATGACGAGACGTAGTCTTGCTGCTCTTAAAAATATGGCCCATCATAAGCTACAAACCCTTGCAACTAACCTCTTGGCTTCTGAGGCATCTGACAAGGTAAGTTTTATATGTGGGCCCATGAAGTGTGTAGACCCCATTTAACTTCATTTAGTAACATGGCTTTGGCATATCTTAGAAAATAATTTTTGAGAAATGACCCTTGAAAAATAAACTTTTGATTTTCATTTAGGTTTATCCAACATGGTTTGAGTTTTTCAAGTACTTGGCATTTTGGAAAAGTATATTATTCTTACCATTCAAATATTTTTAAATTCTTCCGACTGAATTAAGTGACTTTAGTTTCTGAAATTAGGGCAAACCAACTGTATATAATCTGTCTTACTTTTTGGTAGTCTTTCTGTTGAAAGATTGAGCACTAGCTAATGTCCTAAGGAGGGAAAAAAGTAATTTAGGTACAATTAAGATGTCTGTAATTGTGATGTATCATTTGTTTTAAAATTAGGTTCTGATTTTAGTAAGGTTAAGCGATTGTAAAGATTTAAGAAAATGTTTCAGAATACGTATGATGGTGTTGCAGAAGTACTGAAATTTTTCTGAGACCCAAGCTCAAACACACTTTCCTTACTGACACTTAATAAAGTATAAGTTACTTCTTCAGTTAACAGAAGATGATCCTATTAAAAAAACCAATCCCAATTCATGAATTGGTTACTTATCTTTAGTTTTGTAGAGTCTAGCCACTGTTTGGTCTGTGGTATTTGTGTCATGTGGTATAATTAGCACTAGTTTGTCTCTAGTAATGGATAAATCAAACCTAGAGACAATCTCAATATTTCATCTCAATCACTACTTAAAATTCTAGTTCCATCTAAATATTCATTAGAGTTATTAATGAATAGGCACAAATACTTTTAATTTTAGTCTCTCCTTGATTTTCATTTTTTTAAATGGTTAGACATGTGAATAAATAGTAAAGGGGTTGAAAGGCTCATCTGCAGACTTGAAAATTAACCATGAGTTCGTGCGTGCTGATGATACATGAAATACTGTAGGCAGTTCCACTGACCCACATCCTCCAGTAGTTCGCAGTAATGTCACCCTTTGATCATTATTTCTTCCCTCAAGATATAAATGTTTTATCAGCTATGTTGTATTGTATATTTCAACAACTGGAACTGTGAAATCATTCTACATTTTTCCTCTGTGCTTTCAGTAGCAAACCCTAAAGTTTGTGAAGAAATCACAGCTGAAAGCATTGGCCATACCTTCAGTTACTTCCAAGGAATCTTGTAGCTGTCTCTAGGAATTCAGTGTTCATAGCACATTTTCTGACATGATATGTAATTTGATTTTGAGCAAATTTATAAAACAATATGTTTAAGAGCATGCATGCATGTGGTGTAACTCCCAGATATATTCTTTTTCTTGATGGTATCCCCTAGAAGTAAAAATTTGGAAAAATAATTATATAACTTGAAAATTAAAGAAAAATAAGTGGTACAGTAACAGTTATGAATGGCTTTTGTAAGTGGTCGTGGTCCATTATGTGATTTTTACAATCTTGTTTGTCCCTGTTTTAATAGCGTATTTTATAGCGCAATTAGTGATAAAAGCACCAGATATCAGAGACACTACACTTATGTATTGTAAAATATATTGCTTGTGAACCTCCTTAGTCTTGTAGCAGTGGTAATTGTTGCCTGGCCTACAAGGAAAACAATTATAGAAGGGAGGAAAAAGGCTTAGGAAGCTGAAGCTGCAGGAGGATAATCACTTTATAAAAAATGTATGTTGGCTGGACCATTAGGGATTTCTCTAACTATTTTCTCATGTTGAGTTTGAGGTTCCTTCTGAAGAGAATATTTAAAGAGCTGTCCTCTGGATAGCTTTCTAACCTCAGGAGAAATAAACCCACCCAAAGTAAAAAACAAACAACTAAGAGCTTCTCAATGGTACAGGACTTACTCTAGGATATTGGATCTAATTTTTTACATGAGTCTTTCAATGGAAAGCAAAGCCTGTATTGGGATACTCTATAGAAAGTGCTGCTTTTTGTCTTG
Organism: Homo sapiens; assembly: GCF_000001405.40. Classification (NCBI taxonomy): domain Eukaryota; kingdom Metazoa; phylum Chordata; class Mammalia; order Primates; family Hominidae; genus Homo; species Homo sapiens. Next base: position 56,733,562 of record NC_000018.10, read on the forward strand.
GTAACATAGTGTTAGCAATCAGGGCTATATGGAAGTAACAGATATTTTATTTTGCTAATTATGTTAATTATACTGGACATTGAAAACTTCACAAAGATGGAGAATTTACTATCCTGTGATTTTTTTCTCACAGTAGAAGATCAAGAGGGTATTAAGTAAAATACTTTATTACTGTGAAGGAGTCTTTTGTAAGATTGTGTATATTTGAAACCCTTTGCATTTCTCTTATGACATGTATTTTTTTCTTTATATTATGATAACTTATATATTTATCTAATTCTCCCTACTGAAATTCAGTCTTTTTGAGAGCAGGGATTTTTGACTTATTTATCTCTGTGCTTTTCCATGACATCTAGCAGCAGCTGCTGTGCAATAACTATGTGTTGAATTGGATGATGTGGAACAGAAAGTGCAGAGAGCCTTTTCTTTCGCTGTTTTGCCCTTGTCTTTGCCATTCCCTCATAACTGATTGTCTTAAGACCCCTGCATTGCAGCCTCAAGGCTGTGTTCATGAACCTTTAGATGTGGAGCATTCATTAGTAACTTGCATTCTTCCTTTGCAAAAGGAAGTTTTGCTCAGTTTTGCATTCTTCCTTTGGTTTTGGTGAGTGAAGTTGTGTAGATATAACTCATTCTCCTTCCTTGCCTTCTCTGTATTATCAGTGTTCTAACCCATCCTGGACTTATCTCAGCTTTATCCTTTCCTTTATTCCCGTTCCTTTTGACTGTAGACCATGATAACTCATTTGTGACAGATTGACATTTTGGGATGGGTAATTCTTTCTTGTTGGAGGACTGGAGTCTATATAGTAGGATGCTGAGCATCATTTCTGTCTTCTACCTACATCACATCATGCTGGTAGTAGCCTCCTCTTTCCAGTTGTGACAATCAGATGTCTTTAGACGTTGTCAAATTTCCCTTAAGAGGCAAAAATTGCCCCCGGTTTAAAACCACTGCTTTTGAAAAAAAAAAAAAAAAAGCTTGAAATAGCAGGAATCCTGCATCCTCTATCCTATCCCTCTTTTCCCTTCCCTACCCTTGTTTTTTAATCTCACTCTTCCTCAGGACAGTGAAGCCATTACCAACCCTTAGCCCCTCCACCCATTTTGGCAGAGTTAGTTCTTACATTCTTTTTATGCTCACATTTTTTTTGTTCATACGTTTCCCAAAACACTTTTCCCTTTGTATGGGGTATTTTTTGTTCTTTATATTTGTCTTCCCTACTAGATTTTAAACTTCTTCAGGACAGCAGTTCAGTTTTTCATCTTTTTATTTCCAATACTCAATGTAGTATAACTATATTGCATTGTAGTATAACTACACATAGAGTATGGTACATACTAGTGAAAAATGATAATTGCTCAAGCAATTTAGTAGGAAGTTAGTTTGAGGTGTCAATTAGAATTGTGTCATAGAAGAACTTGAATGCAAAGCTGAGGATGTAATTTAATGGGTGCTGACATGATGCTGAATACTTTTAAAAGGATACTTTTGATTGCTTAAGAAATATTTTGTCATATCTAACATTTTAATGTAAGACACTTACAAATATTGATTTGGGAAATGAATTGTGAGGTTACTGGAATGATAAAGTGAGAGGTCATGGGGACTGGAAATAGGATTAGGCCCTGGAAATGTGGAAAAGGGGATGGTTAGGAAGCTGTTGCATAAGTTGAATAAATAGGACTTCACTCTGGTCTTGAAGAGTTTGATGTTCAAGATTATTTCAGAAACCAAAACCCGGCTGAGGGGAGAATGGCAGTGCTATTAACAAGAATGTACAGGCCATGGAATAGGCTTTGAGGATGATTGTAATAGGAGACGTGCATCTTATTGGTAGTGTTAGGAGTTGGGGTGTGTGCAAGTCAGCAAAATACCTTTGAGAAATAAGTGACATGATGGTGAGATAAAATGGAGATGGTATTATTTTTTTCCTAAATAGATGCTGGAGTGTAGAGCCTGACTTAGACTGCAGTTCACATTTTTGGGTGCCTGCTGTCATTTGATTTTTTTCAGATATGCTCTTTTCCTGAATTGTCACTGCAAATAGGTGAGGTAGTTCTTATTGTCCCCAATTAGCAACTGATGCACCTAAAGACAGTTGGATGGAACAAAGATTGACAAACTCTTTCTATAAAGGGCTAGATAGTAAATATTTTAGGCTTTGTGGACTGCCTCTTTCACAGTGACTTAACTTTGCTTTATAGTGTGAAAGCAGGCATAGACAATATGTGAACAAATGAGCATGACTGCTTTCCAATAAAACTATTTACAGAAGCAGGTGGTGAGTTGGATTTGGCCCATGGGTCATAGTTTGCCGACCCCTACATCAGAAGATAGCATTGTTAATATCAACTACATCAGAAGATAGCATTGTTAATATCACGATCGTAAGTACAGTTCTCTGGTGGAATGGCTTTTGCTTTATTTTTATAAAAGCAGTTCAAAAGAGTGGTTAAGAGCCTGGGTTCTGGTGACAGGCATGTCTGTATTCAAATTATGTTTCTATAACTTGCTAGCCGTGGGTGACCTTGGGCAGGTAAACTCCAGTGGTGTCCTGTCATCTTTAAAACAAACTTTAAAACAAAATTCAAAATTCAGAGTTGCCTCTGAAACTCTATGTGATCAGACATGTGCTTCCCTCATTTAATTTTATTCTTCAATCCTTGATTATTCCAGTTCTAGCCAACTGACTCTTTTTAAAAATATGACTATTTGTTGAATGGATTAATGAATGAGAAAAATGAATGAATTATACTTAGTACATTTTGACAACTGGTAATGCATTGCAAAATCTTGGTATAGAATTACAAGATAGAAATTGAGAGTTGTTTGTAAAGTTTTCCTTTAAGAAATTCTTTTTAAGCCACATCTTCGTATGATATTATTGAGAGACAGAGTATGGAAATGGAAGAAATTTGAAGACAGAATGCCTGTTTAGATATCAGGGAGATGAAGATGAGCCAGTGAGAAGCAGAGAAAGAGAAATCATACAGACGGATTCTAGATCACACATACCGTTGAAAACAAAAGTAAAAGGTCTACAGTTTGTCAGAGAAATGAAATAACATTAAGAATTGGGGTGTGTAGGTTTAGTAATTAGGAAAGCCATTGGTGATTATTAAGAGAGCTGTTTTGGTAGAGTTGGTTTGGTCAGAAATCAGGGTACAGTGAGCTGAGTATAAGAAGTGGAGGTAAAGAGTGTGGAAGAAATTAGCTTTTGATGGAAAAAGAGGAGGGTAGTAGCTTCAGTGTCTAGGGATTTAAGATCTGGGTTTATGCTCTGTTTAGGAGATCACTGAGCATTTATGTTGGTGGGAGGATAACAGGTGGGACAATGCAGGAGGACATGGTGTTAAGAACAGAGCTGGAGAGTTTACCCTTACTAGAAATTGTTTCTTTGTAATTGGTAATGATTAAAGAGAGGAAGATGAATGTACCAAGTCATTTTCAGTGGAAGAGAATGAAAGTAGGCTGTGATTTCTGTTAAAAGGAAGGAAGAGATGCTTATAATTCTTTGGAGGTAGAGCCATCTTTTTTTCTCTTTTTTCTTTTTTTAAATCCCAACACCACCCAGCATAAGCAGTTCAGTGGATTAGGAGTTAGAAGATTTGTAAAATATAGATAACCAGTCATTTATAGATTGCACATGATGATATTTGGCGAATGCATACATGCATATATTTAGAAGATGGGCTGAGCATATCCGGTGATGTTTCTGACATGTTTTTCTCATAAAGCATTTGCTACATACATGGTTCTTCGTAAAGAGATCTTGGGCTAAAGGGATTTTATTAGTGAAGCTAGAAAACCATTACTGCCGTGAAATTAATTTCTTCATCCTACTGTGTGTAATTTTCTGTTCTGCAGCTTTACATCTTGAGCATTGTTGTGCCAATCAGAATCACCTTATTTATAGGGGAAAATGATGAGGTTGAGGAAGTGGAAAAATGACCAGGATGATTTATCTTTTACCTTACATTTCTCTCATGTTGTCTAATTAGTCAAAAGTCTGAAAAAAAATGAATGTGCTATATTTGCAAAGGTCAGTAGCTTTGTATTCTGTGTAACGAGGCAAGAGAATGGAATTTAGAAGTCAAATATAACCTACTAAGAACATAGTCTGTGTTCTTTGCTTGCAAAATTCACTCTAAAAAAATTTGTACTGATTGAATAGACTTTATGATTCACTGTGAAAAGGGCACTGTAAGGTACAGACAGGGACAAGCCAAATGACATTGTGTACGGGATACCAGGCCTTGTTTAGTGAACTGTTTTTGTCCTTAGAAGAATTCTTATGATATGTATGACCTTTGAAGAATCAATTAAATTTGTTTAACATTCTGTCCCAAAACTTTAATGAATATTTTAATAGAAAATATGAGTATGTTGATAATATATTATTATATATTCATAAGTATGTAAGTTTTGTTTGTCCTCTGTGGTTATTGGGACAAAATTTTAAATTACGCCAATTGTTGTCTAGTCCCTAATAAATAAAGGAGCCTTAGCTAAGCTGTCCAGTCTTAAGAAAACAAAGGAGTAAATGCCTGTGACTGTAAGAGGGGAAATACATTTTCTCAGTCAAATAAAGGAAACGTTTGTCCCCTTCCATTCTGGAGAGATACTAGAAGTAATATTAGTCCAGTAATAAAATAATCATGATCTTCTAACATGCTTCTTATTAGCTTTGGTGATTATATGATATAGAGATATTTAAAACTTGGCCAGGCACGGTGGCTCATGCCTGTAATCCTAGCACATTGGGAGGCCGAGGTAGGCGGATCGTTTGAATCAGGAGTTGGAGACCAGCCTGGGCAATGGTGAAACCCTGCCTCTACAAAAATTAGCCAGGCTTAGTGGCACACACCTGTGGTCCCAGCTGCTCTAGGGGCTGGGGTGGGAGGATTGCTTGAGCCCAGGAGGTTGAGGCTGCATTGAGCTGAGATCATGCCACAGGACTATAGCCTGGGTGACAGAGCGAGACCCTGTCTCAAACAAAAACAAACAAACAAATTATTTTCAGTCTCTCACATGATAACAGAGATGATACTCTGAAAGAATAATGTTTGGGTATCATAATAGTTACACTCATAATTTTGATTGCTTTCTGAATCCTGGCACTTATAAGCTAAGAATAGCAATCAGGAAATTTCGCCTCCATGATTTGGCATATTAAAATATGGACTTTGTGGATTCTCTGAAATGTCCAGATCATTTAGATAGCATAAAATCCTTTTTTTTTTTTTTTTTTTTTTTTTGCAAAATGTGTTGTTTAACTTTTTGAATAGGAAACATTATGATTCCTATCTTTTAATTAAGATGTATTGAATGTTAACTCTTTTTTGGTAACTCAGTGCAAACATTGGTTATAATAATGCGTTCTAGATTTATCTGTTGATAAAATATTATCCACATTTACTTCCTTTCCAAGTTTCCTAGACTGCTGGATTTTTTTTTTCTAAATTGCTTCTTTATAAACCTTTTATCTCTTTGCTCTTCTCTTGACTATTATGGCCACTGCTAATCCCTGCTACTCTATCTCTGTTTTTCTCTGAAAACTGATATAGTAGTGTTTAGATCTACCATCTTAACGTTTGAGTTCCATTTCACTGTTTTTATGTTTATTTCTATTTTTTCTTGGCCTCTTTCAGATTCAGCAAATATATTTAAATTTTACTTTCCCCTTCTTATACTTGTTAGCTATAGATTCTGTTAGTATTCTTTTAGTTTTTGCCCTAGAGATTGTAAGTACATCTTTGACTTATTACAGTCTAAAACAAATTATTCCTATTAGAATTTCTCTGCTGGTGCTAGAGCCTTAGAACACTACAACTCCATTTGCCCCCCCTTCTTTTTACATTTTAGTTGCCATGCATTGTAACTTTACATATACTTTAAATTCCACTAGACATTATTATTGTTTTGTTCAGTCAATATTATTTAATATTCTTATATTTAAACTCTGTTCTTTTTGTACTTTACATTTTTATGTTTTCATCTAAGATCATTTTCTTCCTCGAAAGAACTACTCATTTCTTTTAGTACAAGTTTATTGGCATTGAATTTTCTCAGTTTTTGATTGTCTGAAAATGTTCTCTGTTTTTGAAGGATATGTTTGCTGATTATAGATTTTTAGGTTGGTGGTCTTTTGCACTGTAAAGATTTCATTATCTTCTCATTTCCATCTTTTTTTGGGGGGGGGAATAAGCTATCATTCTTATTGTTATTCCTTTGGATCCCCCCATTGCTATTAAGGTTTTCTATTTTTCCCTTGTTTTTTAGCAGTTTAAATATGACATACCTAGATGTGATTTTTTTTTTTTTTTGTATTTATACTGCTTGGAGTTGCCAGAGCTTTTTGAATCTGTAGGTTTGTGTCTTTCACTAGTGCAGGAAAATTCTTGAGGCCATTATCTTTTCAGATGCTATTTTCTTACCTCTCTTTCAGAAACTCCAATAACATGTAAATTAGACTGCCTCCTTTGCCCGTTTTTAAAAAATTGTTTTTCGTAGGTTTCATGTTCTTCTCTCTATTTTGTAATCTTTGTCTCCCTCTGTGTTTCAATGTATATATTTTCTGTGTTCCATAGTACTGTTTTCTGCTGTTTTTCCACAAACTCCTTTACTGAGTTATACTTTTAATTATTATTACTGTCTTTATTTCTAGGCTACCTACTTGATCCTTTTTTAAAAATTGATTTCAGTTATCTGCTGAAATTCTTTATCTTTTTATCTTCTTTTCCATCATTTTCTATATTTTCTTGAACATATTAATCCTAATTTTCTTAAAATCTTTATCTGCCAACTCTAATATCTGTATCACTGGTGACTCTCTTTTAATTGCCTCTAATTTCAGTTATATGCTGTAATCTCTTGGCATGTGTAGTAATTTTTTGTTAAATACCAGACATTGTAGGTAAAAAAAGTAGCTTGTTCAAATGATATCCTCTTCTAGAGGGGGCTCACCCTTTCTCTGCTGTTCAGATAGAATAAAGGCTGACCAACTTAATATAATCAGGGACTAACCTGAGTCAAGGCTAGGTTGCAGTATTTTAAATCTCTGCCTATCTGTGATTCTGCTTCTACTTCTCTAGTCCTTCCAGGGCTTCCAACAGAGAGCCCAGAATATTTAACGGGGTTCTTTTGCTTGTTGAGTCCTGAATCCTACTTCTTATCTTCTTAGCATGAGAACCCTGCCAAAAACTCCATTTTGCTTTCTAGAGACATTCTTAGTCTCCCCACACAGCTTCAGTATTTGGCATTTAACATGAATGGCCCTGTGTCAGCTTCTGTTTTCTTTCCCTCCCTTCTCTCTAGGATCTTGGTCCCTTGAATATTCAATTTTCTCTTTAGCCCCACAAGACTTTCAAAAGCTCTGTTGCTTTCTGTATTCCCAGTGATGGTCCTACTGCTTGCTTGATCTCTGCTTTATCCAAGGTACTTTAAAGCCAACATGTCTAAGATTGAACTCAAAATCATGTCCCATAGAACATTCCATTTCTCATTATTTTCTACTACCTAGTGGTGCAAACTGTGGCCTACAGGTCAATAGGGCCCTTGAGCTATGAATGCTTTTTATATTTTAAAAATATTATTAAGAATATGTGACATAAAGCTTTGTGGCCCTCAAAGTTTAAAGTATTTGCTATGTGGCTCTTTACAGAAAAAGTTTGCCAATACTTTTTCTGTCCTAGTAACTGTCATCACTGTTTGTCCCATTATCTATATTACAAATCCTAAATGTTATCGAATCATCTTCTCTTGAAAACCAATCCAAAATAATCTTTTGTCATTTTTATCTCCTTCTGAAAGCAGTCTTCTCTCTGCCTCTGCCACTCTTCTAGTTTATGATCTTTCCCCCAGATAATACCTTATGATTGATCTTTTTGTATTTAATCGGCCCTTCCTGCTCCTACAAATCTGACATCTGCTCCAAGTTCTCCATTAAAATAAAAGTCCACTGTCATAGGACTCACACACGTAGAAAATTACACTATATGTGGGTTGTGAGTGCATGTGCTCCTTTATGTATAAATGTATGTGTGCATCATGTGTGTATATTTCAGAGAGTTTGGGATGGATACTTTGAAAATTTCCAACTCAGGGTACCTTTCCACCAACTCTTCTCCAGTTTGAAGGAAATGAGTTTTAGGTTACTATGAATGCAATCTCAACCATTACATTACGGAACAAAACTAAATTCTCAAAACTAACTAAATATTTAATTCATATTTGCTAAGTTTCTGGTGATTACAGGATTTTTGGCTCTTTTCCCTTTTTAAGGATCCTTGAATTAGACATGACTGGATTTATTGTGATGATTGCATAATACCATCAAATAATGACATATACAACAGAACAACTCTTCCTGAAGCCTAATAAATCCTGTGGTTCTAGTGCCTTATTGACCCTGTGTGTTACATATAATAGGTGTTCAATGGATTTATGAATGGGATTCAGAGTTCATACTAAATATAATTCATCATATTCTGAGCCAAGGGGAAGCAGTCTTGTTCTTTGATGGTTTTAAATTCAGAGCAGTTTTGTTTTTCCTTGCAAATACATTAACAAAAATACACTATATTAAGAAGAAATATAGATTATTGTGGAATGTAGGTTAGACACAGCTGAGGAGAAATTTCTTTTACTATCTCACATCATAAATCAAATAGTAGAAAGCTGAGAGAATAGGGAGTGCTAGGTGGATTAAACCCTATGACTTTTCAGCAGCCAGATCTTTCTAGCCCTTGTGTATAATACTTTAACTCTTATTTGAGAACTCAAAGGTATTGTGAAGTAATTTATAAAAATATACATATTTATGGCAAAATGCTAATAATTTAGTATTTTGGGAGATGAAATAATTTATTCTCTTCTAATATGTTTGAAAATCTGCTCTTTATGAGATCATATAGAAGTTTTCAAACTTCTTGACTTTTAAAGCCTCTGTTAGAAAATAATTGAATCAGTCAAGTTCAGTTAAACATTTATTGACTACTAGGTACTGTGTTAGGTCCTGGGGAACCAAATGAATAAGACATATTTACCTTCAGAAAATACACTCAGATAAATACAATTGAATAAAGTAGCGGGGTTGGCTGAGACATGCAGAAAGTATTGCGGAAGCCTGTCTCAGCTTGAGGTGATTAGGACTGGCTTCTTGGAGGAGGTGACATTCAAGGATGAGTAGATATATTCAGATGATGGAAGCAGATGGGTTGCAGTGTGTTCTGGGAGAACTAGGTGGCCCAAGCAAAGTGGGAAGCAGGAAATACCACGTGCGGGGAGACAGGTGTGGTGGGAAATGAGGCGAGTCCATTAAAGCACCATGTGAAGGTGCTTAAGCTTTATCTTTTATCTCAGTGGCTTTCAAACTTTAAAAAAAATTAGCTTCGTAACCCTACTCTCAAAAGGAATTATATATGAAAGCCAGTATGTAAAACAGATAATAGGTAATAGGGAGGAGAGTTTAAATTCAAGAGCTATTTGTGAGTTAGATTCGGTGAGACTTCGTGATTGCTTAGGTATGGGTGGTAAGGAAGGTTGGCTCACAGGTTTTCTGATTGGGTGATAGAATAGAAAGTAGCTCTATCACGTGTGATATCGAATGTAAAAGCAGGTTTTGTCCGGGATGATGAGGAGTTGCTTTGTTCATGGTGAGTATGAGGTTCTTATGGGACATCTATGTTGTGATGTCTGCAAGACCTTTAAGAGAGTGAAACTTGAGGCAGGGCTGTGGTGATGAGACATCCAAAAGATGGTTCTTAATACTGTGGAAGTGGAGGAGATCATTCAGAGCTAGACTCTGGGCTTACTAACCTTAAGGGAGGAGGAAAAGGAAACGATTTAGAGAAGGAGTGGTGTGAGGCATGTGAGGAGAGCCAGGAGAATGGGCTAACCTGTAAACAGAGGGAATCAAGAGTTTCAGGCAGAGTAGAGAGTAATCACTTGTGTCAAATGCAGTAGATGTTGGGTATTAGAAGGATCGAAATGTGTTTGTCAATGAAGTCATTAGTATTCTTTTTAAGAACTGTCTTCCCAGGATGTTGGAAGGAGAAGGTTCACTGTGGAGAGTTAAGGAGTGAAAGGAAAGTGTGGAAATAGAAATAGTAACAAATGTATAATACTTTTGAAATGTGTGTATGAGAAGAGAAGGAAAGAGAGTAGCTAGAGGGAGATGCAGTTTTGAAGACAGCTGAGAGTATTTGTGGGCTGAGGATGATGATCAAGTAGTGAGAGGAACGTTCTCGATCAGGATAGGGAGGAATTGATAATTGATGAAGCTAGGTTTCCAGGGGATGAGAGAGTGGGCGATTTCAAAGGTAAAGGGAAGGAAGGCAGTTGGCCTTGATGTGGAGGAGGAAAACCTTATTTCTGAAACTGAAGGGAAAGAGCAGAGGCTGGGGCCGGGCGCGGTGGCTCACGCCTGTAATCCCAGCACTTTGGGAGGCCGAGGCGGACGGATCACGAGGTCAGGAGATCGAGACCATGGTGAAACCCCGTCTCTACTAAAAATACAAAAAGTTAGCTGGGCGTAGTGGCGGGCGCCTGTAGTCCCAGCTACTCGGGAGGCTGAGGCAGGAGAATGGCGTGAACCCGGGAGGCGGAGCTTGCAGTGAGCCGAGATCGCGCCACTGCACTCCAGCCTGGGTGACAGAGCGAGACTCCGTCTCAAAAAAGAAAAAAAAAAAAAAAAAAAAAAAAGAAAGAGCACAGGCTGGGTGTCTGGATGGATATATGTTTCTGTGGATAGTGGATGGGGATTGAGGAGAGAGCATTCCTAAAGCCTTCCCATTTCTCCCAGAAGTTGGAGCTAAGATTGTCTGTGGGGAGGAAGGGAGTGATCCTGAGTAGGGGACCTGATGAGAGTGGTAGAGATTAGGGAAGGAGGGGTCTAAGAGCAAGTGTAAGGATTCACTGAATTTGTATTTGAAATGCAGACATAAAAGGGAATGGAGGGTGGTTGTGAAAGACTGATTGCTAGGACCGACTGTGGTTGGACAGGCAGGGAAGGGGAAGAAGGGGCTGATGGGGATGAAATTGTGGAATCCAGGGCCTGAATGCCCCATGATAGTGGTTCCCAAACCATGCTGCACCTGAAATCACCTAGGGATCTTTTGAGACTACTGGCACCTGGCTCCTACACGAGGATTTTCTGATTTAATTGGTATGGGGTGCAACCTTTGCGTGGGAGGTTTCAAAGGTTCCCAGATGGTTCCCACCTACAGGTTACAGCAGTTTGTGCTCCAAGAGGCTGAAGAGCAGATGTGGGGGAGATCTGGAACTCTAGAAGGTGTGGCCAGAGTGGGGATATTAGCATTTAAGGTTTCTCAGGTAAGGACAGGACCCAGTGTGCATGGCCATGGGAGTGGCTGGCTGAGGTTGAGTGGAGTGGAAGTTGTGAAAGTCACTATGGCTTTTAGTATTTGGTGGTGCACTTTCCTGGTCTTTTCTCCTCCCACTGGATAAAGAGCCTTGTGATAAGAATGCAGTGCCATCTAACAGGCTAATTTGGGAGTAGGGATTAAGTTATGACTTAACAATAGGATTCATACATGCCTTATGAATGTGTTTTGGAAAATTATAGTTTAAAATATTGTTGATGCAAGTACAAATCCCCAAACTAAATGATGAACCTAATAGGAACTTGCAATTTGAAAGCAAGATAACAGCATTTGAAAGCCCACACTTACGATGCACAGAATATCAAGGCATCCCTTATGTGACACTGTCCAGTGTTCATATGCAGTAAAATATTTGTACCATTACTCTACGGTTCATAATAGTGTGACATCTAATTAGAATGCTGAAAGTCTCCAGAACAGCACGCCCCAACCTTTTTGGCACCAGGGACTGGTTTCGTGGAAGACGGTTTTTCCATGGCCTGGGGTAGATGGTTTCGGGATGAAACTGGCGTTAGAGTCTCATAAGGAACGCACACTGTAAATCCCTTGCATACACAGTTCACAATAGGGTTTTCACTCCTATGAGAAGCTAATGCCACTGCTGATATGACAGGAGGTGGAGCTCAGGTGGTAATGCTCACTTGCCCGCCGCTCAGCTCCTGCTGTAGGACCCCGTTCCTAACAAGCCATGAACCTGTGGACCAGTACCAGTTCTTGGCCTGAAGGTTGGGGACCCTTGTTCTAGAAAATTAGTCACATGCTAATTTAAGTTTATAAATAGCAAAATATAAAAATAGCACTTGTAGCATAATGAGCAAAAGTAACCTTAGTAACTCACTTTACTAAATGACCCTATGCTTAACATTGTGTCATTTGCCCTCCTACTTTGAATCCTTTTACATCCCATAAAGAAGCCCCTTGACCTCCAACAACTGCAGACCCTAAGTTGAAAATCACTGACCTATATGGATGTTGAACTTTCCTAGGACAATGGTTGGCCAGCAAGTGTGTGAGTCAGGGACAATGATTTCAAGGTTTAAACATTTTTTTCCAGTGTGAATCTTGTAAGATGATTTATATGACATGGTATTGCAGGCCCTAAAATTAACCTTGAATAGAAATATATTTGTCAGTTATCTCAGGGAGACAGTTTACTGCATTGTCCAAGTATAGGAAGTATAACTGGTACATAGTGGTTGTGACTGAAATTCTATATGATGCTGTCAGTTGAGTACAACAGGTAAAATATCCAAAGATCTGTTAATGTCTTCCACTGATCTCTCTCTTATTTTGTATTAAAATACTTATTTTTCCTAATTACATTCACACCTCAATCACAATCACACTAAGCAGCAATCAGCTCTGGTAAAAGTGATATTTTCTCAGGCAAATAGATGGGTAGAAAGGACGGGGTAGGAAAAAGGATGGGAATGGTAAAAGGGGAGCAGATTTATCAGCATAGCCCAGGATTTTAGGTTGTTACAGTGTAATGTTACTTGGTTTTTAGTCTCCTTCACTTCTATTTCAGTAAGTGTAGTACTTGCTATATGCTTGTGCCACCCTTCACCTGGCTAACTCCTACTCATCTCATGAGCATGAGTTCTGTGACCTCTGTCCCTGCAAAGGCTACCTGAATTTTTCAAGTATAATACAGCCAGATCAGACAGGGGCAGTTGGGTCTTCCTCTCTGATCCTCTGGCACTTGGATTATATTGCTATCCTAGTACTTATTCTATTGTACTAGTATAAGTAAGCAGGTAGATGTATTTGTTTCCATCTCTATTTCTCTGTATCAGAGTTTCTCAACCTCAACACTATTGTCATTTTTGGCTTGATAATTTTTTCTTGTGGAATCCTGTGCAGTATTTTTAGCACCATCCCTAGCCTCTACCCACTAGATGCTATTAGCACCCTTCCAAGTCGTCACTAGCAAAGTGTCTCCAGACATTACCAAGTGTCCGTTGGGAGTGAGGGGAGAATTACCCCTGCTCAAAACCACTGCTCTATATCAGACAAAGAGCTTCTCAGAGGACCACACCATATTGCTTCTTGTATTTCCAGTGCTCAGCACAGTGTTCATTGAATCACTAAATAACCCAGGATTTGAAGGTTCACTAATGTGGAGTGGATTCAGTCTTTCCTCTACCACCTCCCTTCTCTCTCAAATCTCTACAGAATGAATGTTGAGAGTCCCCTGATAGCTAGAATTATTCAAAACATGGAGGAAGTGGTGGGCAGATAGAGGAGGAACCTGACTTCCTCCTGTATTGTCACCATTGACTTGCTGTGTGACCTTAGGTGACTGACTGACTTATCTCTCATCTTCAACTTGGTTTTAGTTTTAAAATTGGTATAATAGGGTTGTAATGAAGTTAAATGGGATAACAGATTTGAAAACATTCATCACAATAGTTGTTCAACATACATAGTTTAATACTCTTGATTGATTGATTCATGCATTCATTCAGCACATATTGAATGCATACTCTAAGCTAGGCCCCAAGCTACAACCAGCTGGAGAGGGCATCAGTTACACCCACACCCAGTGGGCCCTGGCATTGGGGAGTTCCTACCTGATGTGGGAGAAAAGTGCGTAGTTCATTGTGTTGAGCCTTTTACTACCTAAGGTATGAACCAAGTGAGAGAGAACCCCAAGAGCCAAACTGACCTGAAGGGTTGTTGGGAAGGCTTTTCAGAAGAGAGAGGCTTGACATTAGGAGGACGGTGGGGAAGAACACCCCAGGCAAAGGGAGCAGCCTGTGCAGATGCAGGTGGGCATGGCCACTGTGTGGAGAGAATAGTGAGATGTGGGCCAAGTTGGATCGTGATGAGGGAAGAGGGTTCAAAATAGCTTAGAATCTACACGAGCATGAACATTTCTGAAATGAGGGCTTGTTCATCACAGTGACCCAAGGTTGATTAGGGCAGTTTTTTTTTTCTTCTTTTCATTTTCTCATTATCAGTCTTATCCTTGTTCTTATGGAGTGGAGCCTCCCAGAATCTCACCTTGTTTCCATTCATTTACAAGTGTGTTAAGGGTTTCAGCATATCTAGAAGGGTGTGTTATACTAGGAGCTCTTTGGACTTTTGCATTTTCTTTCCTTCACTTGGTGTAAACTATGTTCACATGTATCTTTGATACATTCATTTGAGATGAAATGAGCAGGGTTTTGTTATCTGTCCCTTACCAGTGAAAGGAATACTGCTTGTGTTATCTGTTTGCTGTCTACAACACCTTATTGAGGTAGGCAGTCTTTTCTTTATTTGGAAGATAGAAGGATTGATACTAGGGAAGCTGAGTCTTGTAAAGGTCTGTACAATGGAGGAACACTCCTGGTCTTGTTACTTTGGTAACTTGGCCCTTTGGGAAGAGTTGAAAATCAATCTCTTTTGTGCTGCTGTTGTGGAAGCTCTTAATATATTGATCTTCTAACCTCTTAATATATTAATACTATTTGGATATTATTATTCAGGCATTATCCAGTAAGACATGGTCTACAGAAATATCTTTGAAAGATATTTTCTTTATCAAAGGCATGACCTAAACATCTATACTTAATGGTTACAACTTACTGTAATTAAGTGATTTCTATTTTATTTATATCATATTAAATTATAACGTAATATGAAACCTTAAAACCTCAGTCAAATGTCTCTAGTTTATGCTTATTAACATACTTGTTAATGAAAACATATGAAAAGTCAAATAACATGAAGTCTGTGACTGTATTGTCATTCACACCTACCCATGAAGTCTTATCCTGTCTAAAATAAAATATTTAAGATGAATAATAGTATATATTGTCTAATTCCAACATAAATGGATTCTCTGATGAAACTCACTTGTATTATCCTAACTCTTAATGTTAAGTAACAGCAAAACAACAGCAGAGGGCACCAAATATCCATTTCAGTCTCCACAGTTTCTTGATATTTTCTAATTTTTATGCCTCCCTTTTCACTCTCTGCCTTTCTCCTTCTTCCTTCCTTCCTTCCTTTTTTCTAGTACTTAAAATATTTAATATTGAAACATTAATATTGTGCATATTTTTTAGTAGATGATGAGGTTTTTCCCTTAGCTATTTAAAAATTACATCAAGACATCAATTTGTTTTTATTCAGTGACCGTTTTACATTTAACATGCATCAGAATTTCAGAAATTCTTTTAAAAACTTTTATTCAATAAATATACTAAATCAAGAGTAAAATTATAAAATATTTAATTTATTTTTCCTGCCAAAATATTATTAGGCAATAAACCGTTTTTCACATTTAGGAAATTTAAAATTATTCAGAACATGCAATGTAATATGGCTACATAATTTTGTAAAACAGCATACTAACATTTGTCAAGTGTTTTTTGTTTTCCATTTCAAGACTCAAAGTATTAATATCTATAGAAGTGTGTGTGTGTTTGTGTGTGTGTGTGTGTGTGTGTGTGTGTTAGATTTGTAATATTTCCTAGCTTTGTTCTTAGTATCCTTAATCTCTGCTTTCAAAGGAGATTCTGATTTTTTTTTAAATTATTAACTCTTCTGCTTTATACTTTAGCATGAAAATCAGCCTATGTCTGTACTGCTTGCTGGTATAAATAAACTCTTTTTAATTAACAATAGGAACCATTTGATATCACTATAGATTGGACTCAGTGCTCATTCAAGATAAATAGTAAATTATTTTATAAGGTGTTTTAAAATCCTCTTGAAAACTGTAATATTAAAAAATGATTCTGAAATAAGTAAGCTTTGAGTCAGGATCATTGAAGTGAATGGTGGAAGAGTACAATTATTGCCATTGTTTTACGTTTCTCTTTGTCACAGGATAAAATGAAATACACTGAAAATATCATTATAATATTGGTTTTAGGAAAGAAAGCTTTCAGGTATTTCATCAGACATGATTTAACCCTAGAATATATTAAAATATTTAATAATAAACATTATAAATATATAATAATGATAAGGATTCATCAACATGTTTTCCTCTGCAGATTCTAAGTTATTGCTTTTTTGTTGCTGGAGGCTACTGTGTATGGGTGTGTGTGTGTGTGCGTGTGTGTGTCTGTGTGTTTATGTGCCAAAAAATATCCATGCTTGAATACAGGTTAATCTCATGAATCATAGTTCTGTTGTTTTCCTTGGGTTTTCACTTGACAATTTTACCTGCTACTCTTAACCTGTAATTGTCACAGGTTCACTTTCAGCAATGAGGAAGCAATCCAATATTTTTTTCCTGTGGCTTTATTTCTGTAATATTTTAAGTCAGATTCCTTATTTAAAATCTGAAATGGTTAGATCTGTATTTAAAGTTACAACTGACTTGGTTCTTACACTGAAAATGTCAAATATGTCTATCTTACTACCCTTCTAAGTAAGTGTGTGTAGATGTGTGTATTTTGCATTTATCGTTGAATCTTACTAGCAAATTTGAGGTCTTTTCATTTGTATATACCTTATAATTTAACTTTCCTAGTTGGCTTTCTTCATAAGGACAGAGGCTTTATTTTGTCCCAAGCATCTTGCACATAAAAGGCACTCCACAAATATTTGTTAAACTGAATTTAATCTTCTTCCACGATAATGTAAAGGTGAGTTTGTGAGCACACATTTCAAATGTTCTTAATAAAGGTAGCAGCGGAAACATACTAAGCTTCCTGCTAGAGAATTTTCTGGATCCGATAGTCCGTATTTGACATTGTTAAGAATATAAGCTCATTTGAATGAATTAGTGTGCTCTAGACATGAATATCTTATGACTAAGCCAAGAGACTTATGAGTTTGATAGATGTTTTAATTTCCCTATAGATAAGCTTAGTGTACTATATTACAATATCAGACATGTTGGTGATTAATGCTGCCATCTCCATGCATTTAGCCAAAATATCCTCACAACTTTGCTGCATACCTATATTTTGTTGTAACAAGACTTTGTTGGGTCAGTTAAATCTATTGTCAGGTATTACAAGTTATGCAGGACTTGGTGAAAACAGAAATTATAGTTTATCTGTAGGACTTGGAGGTTACTCATTTTCTCTCCTTTTTAGTCTCCTCCTGTTATCTTCTCATCTGTTTTTGTTCCTGTTTTTTTTTCTTTTTTTAAACTCTTTTTCTGTGGATTACTGTTAGCTATAGTTTTTGCTACAATGACACAATCAGTGCACTAAGAAGCTCTAATAAGAGGAATCACACGAAATTGCATCCCGATATCATTGTCCCAGACACTAGATGACCTTTCAGGTGTCCATGCACATGGGCTGTCTGCTGGCACACCTCCCAGGAAGGGACAGAAGCATTCACAGATCTGCAGGTGCCGAAAGCGGGCATGTGGGGTTGACACCAGGTGAGAGAGCTTAAAGGGCTATCTTGAGGCTACCACTCTTGCCTCCTTTTTTCTTCAAGTCACTTGTGCTGCTTCAATAATTTCTTTACCAAGCATGTTTGATTTTATATTCTTTGGTAGTAATGGTCTTTATCTTTATCCTAAAAGAATTTTGCAGCTATTTCCCAGAGAGGCAGCATCTGCCAAAGCACTGTGGTGGGCTCTTCTTTTACCTAATGTTGTTATTACCTATTCCTTCATACCCAGTGTCAGGTCTGTCTACCTAATATTGATATATGATGATATTTTATCTTTTGCTGTGACATAACCAGCCGTAATACCTAGTCTGGTGCCTAGGCCATAACAACAGCTTTGTATGTGGTAGCTATCATTATTAATAATAATTTTTGTATCAATATTATTTTAGATAAGATATTGTATGTAATTTTATGTAGTATTCACTTTAACTAGTGTTGGTAGGTAAAAATCAGTAAGCATAGTGTCTGACATTACTCATTCAGCATTTGAAAAAGAAAATATCAAGCACAGTGCTATGAGAAATAAAAGGGTAATGTACACATTTTTCAATCTGTCATGTTTTCTACATGCTCAGTGCTATTGCATACTTTTATCTTCCCTCATCTGGATGGTTTCAGTTGCCTTCCATTTCACATTCATTAGTGATCTTGCTCCCTTTAGCCAACATTGCTGGTAGATAAATGTTTATACAATTAAGTTTGATCATGTTACTCCCCTCATTAAAGCCTTTAGACAACAGTTCTCAAACTTTACTGCATAAAGTAGTCTGGGGTGCTCATTAGATTCTGACGCGTTCCTAAAGATACTGGTTCAGGTCTGATATCAGGCCCAGGAAGCTGTATTTAACAAGCACTCCTGGTGATTCTGAGAAAAATACTGCTTTAGTGGCTCCCGAGCCTGCAGGATAAAGCCATGCCTTGCATTCTCCATCTTGGACACTTGTTTCAGCAGTATCCATCATGTGATACTTCTGTCTTTGTCCTGTTTCACATCTGGCCATTGTTCTGCCAGGAGTGCTCTTTCATTGCTCATTACATCTTCCATGCGGGTTTCCCGGTCACCCGAGATGGAGCTGGTACTTTCTCCATTGCGTCCCCTTCTTGTGCCTTGCCATCTCTCTTTATGGCACCATTCATCCAACATTATAATAACTTATGTACGCATCATCATCTGTTTTGAGTTCCATGACTAGAAAAACCATTTCTGACTCGTCTTGGTTCCCTCAATACCCTGCGCAAACACAAGACATAATAGGTGTTAGGCAGCTGGGGGAATGAATGAATTAAATACGAGAATGAGATTTGGAAAGTCTTGATTTTTTTCTGCATTTGTAACTTTATGATTGTGTAGTGCAAATTTATCACATTATTTATGTATTTTAGGATGCTTAACTGTAGTATAGAAATACTTAGAACAGAAGTTTACCCACAGGAAGTAGTGATAGATCTGCTTGAAAAATTTGTAAGTAATTTTCAGAAGAGAAGCCACTTGAAATACTTCTTGCAGGATGAGTAGAAGTATGTATGACTTGAGTGGCAGAAGAGAGATTCCGGAGGGAGCATGATTCTGGCATAAGCATATGCAGAAATACAAATGTCTGAAACTACTTGGTTCTGAAAGTACAAGTGGTTTGATTTGGCAGAAGTTATAGGGATTGTGGTGAGAGATGAACTTGGAAGGGTAAGCAGCAGTATATCTTGAAAGATGTTTTGTGCTTTGCAGGTAAGTCTGGATTTTATCCTTGGGTTCAACAGAATGTTGAAGTCTCTTAAGCTAGAAAGAAACGTGGTCAGATGGGAGGAAATTAAGACAGAAGGGAGACCAGTTAAGGGGATTTGTGGTAATTTTATGTCAGAAGAGCTGATTGGCAATTTAAAATAATTTTCCTAAAAAAATTTTAAGGCTAGTCAAGTGAAGCAGTGGGAGTGGAGAGGGAACAAAGAAATCTGTAACTGGTTGGACCAATTAGTTCTAAACACCACTACACTTGGACCAGCCAATTTTATATAATTTTCATAATAGTCTTTGTTCATTCTGCTAGGTGCTGTAATAGGTTTAAGACTCTACAAGATGAGTAAGACATGATTGGTCCCTGATTTTGAAATGTTCCTGTAGAGTATAGGAAAATGCAAATATCTAGAACAACAAATTATATAAATGTGGCAAAGACATACAAATATGTGATACATAGTAGACATAAAATGTTGTGGGAGTTGGATTCACTGTGGACTAACTTCCTTGGCAGAATTAGTCTCTTTCTCCCACCCCCCTCCCCCCACCAAATTTACTGGGGGACAACTGACAAATTGTCAATTGTGTATATCCTAGGTATAGAGTGTGATGATTTGATATACATATATTTGTGGAATAATAGGGTGTCGATGGAAGAGAAGGGATTGGAGTGGAGTAAAGGAAGAGCATTTTGGGAAGGGGAATAAGTAAACGTATTTATATGTGAGGGGCCATAGTTTTGGTACTAGGGCCTATTTGTTAAAGCTCGGAAGGTATTTGATGTCAGACTGTAATGGACCTTGAAGATTGTGCTAAAGGAGTTCACATTTTATTCTAGAGCTTTATTTTCTAATTATTAAAATATATATTGATTATATGATTATATACAATCTAAGAAATATATAGCAATACAAATTAGATTGTATATGATTATATGTAATCTAAGAAATATATAGCAATACAAACAAAATGTTCTATAATTCCATCACAAGATTGTAATTACTATTAATATTTTCACACATTTCTTTCCAGTCACATATATATGTATGTTTGTGTGTATATATGTACACACACACTTTGGTCCGGGAAAGTACAAGTGGTTTGATTTGGCAGAAGTTATAGGGATTGTGGTGAGAGGTGAAATTGGAAGGGTAAGCAGCAGTATATCTTGGAGGATGTTTTGTGCTTTGTGTGTGTGTGTGTGTGTGTGTGTGTGTGTGTGTGTGTATATGTGTGTGTGTGTATGTATATACATATATATGTGTGTATATATACGTATATATGTGTGTATATATGTGTGTGTATATATACACGTATATATGTGTATATATACGTGTATATATACACATATATACACACACAAATATATATAAGCAGTCTTTCTTGCCATGCCATATATAATGTGTGTGTATGTATATATGTATATATACTTAAGCATTAAATATGTGAAATTGGAACCATAACTGGTGTGTGTGTGTATGTGTGCACGCGTGTGCGTGTACGTGTGGATGAGTGTATAGTTTCATCTCACTTAAAATTCGACTATGGGTATTTTTCTACATGGTTAGATGTGCCCAGAAAAGATGATTTATAAATTCTGCAATATTTATTATATGTCAATGCATAAATTATTTACTAGTTTCCTTACTGTTAGATATTTAGGTGGTTTCCAATTTAAAATATTCGATACAGTTTCACTGAACATCTTTGAACATAAATCCTTGTCTGTATTTCTGACTGTTTAAGATAGGATCCTGGAAATAAATATATTGGATCAAACAATATCAATCATAAAGGCTTATAAGGTATTTTGCCAAATTACTCTTTTAAAACTATTCAAATTCACAGCTGCAGTGTATGAGTTTGACTTTCTCTATACTGTTTTTAGTGTTTACTGTTTGCTAATAAGTTAATAAGATAAAACACTTATCTTGTAGTTATTTTAACTGTTATTTACTTGACAACCAATTTGAGCAGGTTTTCCCTATATTCTCCCTTTATGTTTCTTTTACTGTCTTTGGTCTTCATAGTTTTTTTCTTTTTTTTTTCTTTTGGCAATAGTATTATTGCTTTTAAGAAATGTTTGTATCTGTTACAACTCTTCATTAGTCCTATTTCTGGAACATTTTATTCCTATTTTTTAGTTGTCATTTAACATGTTTTTTATCGTAGTGAACTTTTAAGTATGTTTAGAAAGTCCATTCTCATCTCAAGATCAGTTAGATATTCACCTATATTGTGATTTAGTTTTTAAGAATTTTGTATTGTCTATTTTTCTTAATAATTCATGATAATGGAAATTTTTTGGTAGAGTGACATGATTAGATTTTTGCCTCAGAAGGAAGTCTGTAGTTCTGTGGAGGTCACATATGTTGGAGTAAGAGACCAGGGACAGTGAAACCTGTCTTGAGGAGCAAAGATAAGTGGTCTGAATTTCTGTCGTGACAGCGGGATAGGAAGAAAACAGAATGATTTCCAGCTGATGAATCAGGAGGCCCAGGAGGTTTAGTGAGGGGTGGAGATGAGAACGTAAAAATGTGAGGTAGGTACTGTGGGATATCCCAATACAAGCCATTGGAGATACAGGATTGAAACTCCTTTAGGAGACTGGTCTGGCTGATGATGGAAATTAGAGAGCCATCTACATATAGGTGATAGTTCCCATGTAGGGGGAAGAGTGAGTTATCA
Source organism: Homo sapiens (assembly GCF_000001405.40). NCBI lineage: Eukaryota > Metazoa > Chordata > Mammalia > Primates > Hominidae > Homo > Homo sapiens. Next base: position 56,755,748 of record NC_000018.10, read on the forward strand.
GGGCAGCTGCCTGAGAGGGAGAGATTGACAGAGGTAGAAGACTTACCAGGAGGTACTCTCCAGATAAATCTTTATTACCCTCCAGGATGCTGGAGAGGTGGCTTCTTATTCTTTCTTTTAGTTCTTTCTTTGTCTCTTTATTTTTCTTTCTATCTCGGGAAAAAATAACAATGTCATATACTGCAAAGACATTAAGGAAGAGAGGGACTGAAGAATTTTCATTGGAGTAGTCTACTACTTTCAGTAAATTTTGCTAAAAGGGACAGAAATTTGGCTAGAAGAGGAGAGAAATAGAAAAGGGAGCATGGTCAAAAGATAGCATTTTTTAAAGGATCTAAGTAGACTGTAATATGTTCTTTATTCAGGGAATGGAATCTTTGAATAGGGAGAGATTGAAGGTAAAATGGAAAAAGGAGGGATATGATGGTTGTAGCAACTTAAAGGATCAGGAGCCACGATAAACGGATTATTCCATCAGGTGGAACAGTAGTTTATTTTCAGAGACAGGATTTGCTCATAAATTATTGAAACACATTTTAATCATTACTGTGAGTAAAGAGACTCCCTGCTTCAATAATAAACTATTATTTTCTTGGTTTTTAAACTAATTGGCAATTTTGTGATTGTTTCAGCATAAAGTTCTTCTAATTGTGTAAGCTGATATCTTTTACATGCTGCTGATTGGCAAAGTTAGTATGTTACTTTTCATGATATAGGTTCCTAGAAGGACAGCTTAATAAGCATGTTAATTCCTCTGATTATTTATTGTTTATTAATGAATGTATGAAATTAAGCACTTTTAATTATAACTATCTTTTAAAAATATTTATTACAGGGAAATTTACCTAAATATTCTCATAACTCCCTGATGGTTCAAGCAATAAAGACAAACCTAACAGACCCGGACATACATGTGCTATTCTTTGATGTGGAAGCGTTGATTATTCAACTCCTGACTGAAGAAGCCTCTAGGCCGAATACTGCTCTTATTTCCCCAGAGAATTTGCAAAAAGCATCTGGCAGTTCAGACAAAGGGGGCTCTTTTTTAACTGGAAAACGAGCAGCAGTTCTCTTCCAACAAGTGAAAGAAACGATCAAAGAGAACATCAAGGAACACCTCCTTGATGATGAAGAGGAGGATGAGGAGATAATGAGGCAGAGAAGGGAAGAAAGTGATCCTGAATATCGGTCCAGCAAATCAAAGCCATTGACCCTATTAGAATATAATTTAACTATGGACACTGCAAAGCTGTTTATGTCCTGCCTTCACGCCTGGGGTTTGAATGAAGTACTGGATGAAGTTTGCCTGGATCGCCTTGGAATGCTGAAACCCCACTGCACCGTATCGTTTGGCCTCTTGTCAAGAGGAGGCCATATGTCACTGATGCTGCCGGGTTATAATCAGCCTGCTTGTAAACTGTCACATGGGAAAACAGAAGTAGGAAGGAAGCTGCCAGCGTCTGAGGGAGTAGGAAAGGGAACTTACGGAGTGTCCCGTGCCGTCACCACACAGCATCTCCTGTCTATCATTTCTTTGGCAAATACTTTAATGAGTATGACCAATGCAACTTTTATTGGTGATCATATGAAGAAGGGTCCTACCAGGTGTGACCATGATAGTTTGATTTTATTCTTAAGTTTCAAAAAAAGAAACCTGTTTTATTTTTTCATTGTTGATTACTCTTTTTTGGCTCTACACAATTTTATTATTTCAGTGTCATCTCAGTTGTTTCCCTTTTACATTTTAAAACACCAGTTTCAAAATGCCCGATTAAAACATAATAAAATTAAACAATTTTATGTATGATTGGCATACTTAGATGTTTTTTAAAAATTTGGAATGAGGGAGTTGGTCATATAGACTAGCTCTTGTAAATATAATTATAAAATTGTATACGTACTTGAAGTTTGCCCTAATATTCAATTCAAAATATATATTTGAGGCTGGGCATGGTAGCTGACACTTGTAATCCCAGCACTTTGGGAGGCTGAGGCAGGAGGATCACTTGAAGCCAGGAGTTTGAGACCAGCCTGAGCAGCATAGACCCTGCCTCTGCAAAAATAAAAGTAATTAGCTGGGCATGGTGGTTACATGCATGTAGTCCCAGCTACTTGGGGGGCTGAGGTGGGAGGGTCGCTTGAGCCTGGAAGTTCGTGGCTGCAGTGAGCCACGATTGTGCCACTGTACTCCAGCCTAAGCAACAGAGTAAGACTCTGTCTCAAAAAAAAAAAAATGTATATTTCATTAAATGCTTCTTCTCATTGTAACATATGTAATGATTGACGTGTTCAGAGATTTGGCTTCAGAATTTTGTGAGAAGTATAGTCAGAATTTTTCAATAGAGAAAGAAAAAACTATTTAAAATGCAGGAGAATACTATTTTAATATTTCCAGAATACTTAGCCTCAATTTGTCTTTTTATGGAGACAACTTTTTATTATACTCTATTGAGCATTTACCATATGAAGAATTAAAAACAATTCTAACAAATACTTATATAGCACTTACTTTGTGTCAGTCTCTGTTGTAAGTACTTTATAAAAACTAATTTGTTAGTTCCCTTAACCCTATGAGGTATGTACTTTTATTATCCCTTTTATTACGGAGAACAAAACTGAGACACAGAGAGATGATGTAACGTGCCCAAGGTAACATAGCTAGTAAGTGGTAGTGTCAGAATTCACAACTGAGACAGTCTGCCTCTATAGTCCAAGATTTCTTAATGCCTGAAGACTGTTTTCAGGTTTTTGGGTTGAATGTTTTTAATCTATCTTTCTATGAATTCACTTGGATTAATGCTGTGGAGTAGACTGAAATCTCAGCATCTGAATATTGAAGAACAAAGGGTTAAGTATGATGTTAGAAAATATTTCTTAAACTAATATGAAGCACAAATTGCACATGTCAGATTTTTACTTGCTAATCATTTACTCATTTGAAATGGAAAACGTTAATAGGTCCAAACCAAAAAAAATCTTTCTGGAATGGTAAATTGAAAATGTTCTATATATGTTTCTTTTGTGATTCGTTTAGAAGTAGAAAATTTTTTATTTTAAATAGTTCTGGAAATATGACAGTATCAAAATATATCTTGTATTTTTTTCTTCTTTTTTAAGGCCACCTAGACCAAGCACCCCAGACCTTTCTAAGGCAAGGGGTTCCCCTCCAACTTCCAGTAATATTGTGCAAGGACAGATTAAACAAGGTAAAATTAAATCTTATTAAGTAATTGACATGACATTTCAGCTCTAGAAACTGAGGAGGCATAGCTAATGTATAATCATAATATTTGTTTGTCTTGGATTGTTAAAAGAGAGAAAAGTTGTTATATTCCAGATGTAAATATGGATAATTAAGATGTCAGTTAAGGATAAATCAGATTTATTTAGAAAGTGATAAATGAGCATATTTCAGATAATTTTATTATACTGTCTTTGGACTAATTTTTATGCATTGGGGCACCTTAACTTGACAACAGTAGTGTTTTAATTGTGTGTTTCTTGAGTTTAAAAGTTATACCTATTTTAAACTACATTTATAAATGCTTAAGTTCATAGTTCCATACTACAACTAATCTGCCATTTTCCCATAGTTCATGTGTTGTGATTCATAAGTGGAAATCCTTGTTAAGCTATTCTTTTTATCTTTTCTTTTTATTTGAGTCATTATATACCTTAACTTTCACCTATAGCTTTGTTTTTCATTAGGAGATGGAGGAGAAGAAAGGTTGAGTTTCTCTTCCTCTACTAATAATTTCTACATATTCCTGAGTATAATTAATTAATATACTTAGATGTATCTGCATATATCTTTTATATTCCTATTAAGACTGACAAATGAGCTAATCAAGAGAGTTGGGGAGTTATGTCTACTTAGAGAACTTCACTTTGGACAAAGAGTTAATACTGACTCTTCACAGAATGTGATAGAGAAAAGTAAAGAAGTAAGCAACAGATGGGTTGATGCAGCTTCTGCTTATAAATGGTGGCATACTGGCATTTTTCTTCCCTACTTTTTTTTAAGTTTGAAAGAGTCAAACAGTAGTTTTACAAGGTTTGTTAAACAGTAGACCCCCAACTTTATATCTGTAGTTTTCCTCTTCCACAAGACAAGTACTTTTATCTCTCTTAGCTGATTATTTGAGACTTACTTTAACATCCTTAAATGGTGTGCTTGATTTTCAGCGTTAGGCACTGTCAGATGGTTCTCATTGTGGAAGATAAACTCCCACACTTTCTATGCCATTTCTATCCATCATTTCCAAACCCACACAGTCACCCTTCTCATTTCTCTGACCTCTAATTAAAGTTATAAGATCATTATGTAATAGTGTATATTAAGCTATATAAAAGTTTTATAATAGTTTTGGTTAGATAACTTTTTTATGCTTGCATGTGTGAAATATAATATACATACAGAAACATGCACAAAACAGAAACGTACAGTGATTTTTAGAAGCAGAACACCCTTGTAACTATGTCCTTGGCAAGGATTAGAGTATTGCCAGCACTTCAGAAGCATCCTGCTTGTTCCTTCCCAATCATCATACCTTCCTCTTCTAGAGGTAATCACTATCTTGACTTTTGTGAAGCCACTTCTTTTCTTTCTTTTACAGTTGTACCACCTAAGTTTAAATTTCTAAACTCTATTGTTTAATTTTGCCTATCTTTTAAGTTTTATATAAATTTAGTCAATTAAACAGTATATATTTTGTGCTTGTCTTTTGTGACATTTATCAGTGTTGTTGCATTTGACCATAGTTTGTCCATTTTCATTGCTGTGTAGTATTCTGTTGAATGAATAGATCACAGTTTATTCTCTTTTTTTGGTCATTAGACATTTGGATTGTGTCCAGCATTTGGTGTTTATAAATGATTCTGCTATGAGCATCCTTGTATTTTAAACTTAGTGCATATTATAAGCGTTTCTGTTTTGTATATAACTAAAAGTGGAAATTTCTGAATATCTTCAGCTTTAGTAGGTAATGTTAAAGTGTTTTCCTAAGTGTGAGACTGATATACATTCATCACAATGGCTAAAGTGAAAAAGAGAAAATATTAAGCGTTGACTAGGATATGGAGCAATGAGAACTCTTATATACAACTGATGAGATACCCTAGCCAACACCTAATATTTTCCTTCTTTTTCACTTTAGCCATTTTGATATGTGTATAATAGTGTCTCATATGTTTAATTTGCATTCCTTTACTACTGTTTAAACACATTTTATATGTTGATTACTCATTTCTATATTTTCTTTTGTGAAGTAAATGTTCAACTCTTACATATTTTTCTATTAGACCCAGGCTGGGGTGCAGTGGCACAATCACAGCTCACTGCAGCCTCCACCTGCCAGGCTCAAGCAATCCTCCCACCTCTGCCTCCCGAGCAAGTGGGACTATAGGTGCACACCACCATCCTGACTAATTTTTTCTATTTTTAGTAGAGATGGGGTTTTGCCATTCTGCCCAGGCTGGTCTTGAACTCCTGAGCTCAGGCAATTCACCCACTTTGGCCTCCCAAAGTGCTGGAATTACAGGCATCAACCATTGCATCTGGCCAATAAAATTTCTTTATAGATGATAGTATGTTTCTGGGCTGTTTGATTCCATTGATTGGTTTGTCTAGCCTTGTGTCTTAATTACTGTTGCTCTGTAATGAGACTTGATATTCAGTAGATGAAATCTTACCACCTTATTTTTTTTAAAGTGTGTCTTGGCTTCTTTTGTCCCTTTGAATTTCAATATAAATTTTAGAATCAGTTTCTCAATTGCCTCAAAAACCTGTTGTGATTTTAATTGCAGTTATATTGAATTTAGATAAGTTTGGAGATAATTAATATCTTTATGGGATTCACTCATTATACATCAACTTGATATATCTCTGCATTTATTTAGGTGTTCTTTATCTATCATAACTCATATGGTTTTATGTGTAGAGGTTTTATATATATTTTAGATATATAACATATATATCTAAATATTGGATTTGGATATTAGATTTAAAAATTTTTCTTAACTGGTAATGTTTAGCTATTTTTCATTTCTGTGCCCCAGTATAGAAATGCAGTTGATTTTTGTATACTAATATTGTATCAAGCAATCTTGCTGAATTCACCTATTAATTAAAATAATTTATCTGGGGATTCCTTTGAATGTCAGGGTAATCATATGAGATAACCTTTTCCCAGTTTCAAAGGGAAAACTTTTAAACCTTTCATAATTATGATATTTCCTATATGCTTTTGTAGATGTTAAGAAACTAGCTACCTTTTATTCCTTCTTTGCTAATGTTTATCATCAGTGTATTTGGATTTTATCATACCTTTTCTGTATTGATTGAGATGATTGTATAACTTTTAATTTTCCTCTATTAATGTGGCAAATTTAGAACATAAACCCAATCTTGCATCCTAGAATAAAACCAATTTTGTTTTGATGTATTATTTTCTTATAAATTATTGTATTTGATTTAATATTTTTTATTTAGGAAAACTTTTTTTTTCTGATGTCCTTAGAAGCTTTCAGATTATTCAGGTTACAAAAACTGAGTTGTGGAATGTTTTCTTTTTTTTCTATTTTCATGAAGAGTTTGTATAAGATTGGCAACATTTCTTTCATAAATTCAAACTCTAGATTTAAATTTGCTGGATTTAGATCTAGAGTTTTCTTTGTAGGCAGTTTTTAATTCTGGGTTCAACTTATCTCATTGACTTTTCAGATTTTGTTTCTTTGGTGTCAGTTTTGTTAAGTAGTACATATTTAGGAGTTTCTCTGATTCTAAATTTTCAAATATATTGACATTTGAGATTATAATATTGTCTTTTAATCTCTCTGGTATCTGTAATATGTCCTTGTTTTTATTCCTGATTTTAATAATTTATGTCTTCTCTCTTTTTGCTTCATCAGTCTTACCAGGGGTTTATCAATCTTATTAGTCATTTTAATGACCTCAATTTGACTTTATCCTTTCTAGTGCATATTTTTCCCCACTTCCTTAAATTCTGCTCTTTATTTACATCCTCCTCCATTTTTTGGATTCAGTGTGCTGTTTTTTGTTTTGTTTTGTTTTTTGTTTGCCATCCATATGTCCATTTTGGCGAAATGCCTATTTATATCTTTTGTCCAATTTTTCTTACCTTAGTAAGAATTTTTTTTTTTTTTTACCTTGGGTTGCCTACGAATAAAGTTTTTTTTTTGTTTGTTTGTTTTTTTGTTTTGTTTTGTTTTTGAGATGGAGTCTGGCTCTGTCGCCCAGGCTGGAGTGCAGTGGCGCGATCTCAGCTCACTGCAAGCTCCGCCTCCTGGGTTCATGCTATTCTCCTGCCTCAGCCTCCTGAGTAGCTGGGACTACAGGCGCCCGCACCACGCCCAGCTAATTTTTTGTATTTTTAGTAGAGACAGGGTTTCACCGTGTTAGCCAGGATGGTCTTGAGCTCCTGACCTCGTGATCCTCCCACAGTGCTGGGATTACATGCGTGAGCCACCACGCCTGGCCTTCTTCGATGTTCTTTATCAGGTTGAAAAAGTTCCATTCTATTCTTAGTTTGTCGAGATTTTAAAAATTATGAATAGATGTTAGATTTTATTCAGATGTTTTTTCTGCATCTATTGAAATGATTATTTGATTTTTGTCTTTTATTTTCTTAATAAGACAAAGTATATTGACTTTTAAGTTTTAAAACAACCTTGCAATATAGACCACATTTTGAATTACCAATTTTATAGTTTGTTAGGTACAATTTGCTAAAATTTTGTTAAGGGTGTTCATGTGTAAGTTCATGAGGAAGTTTGGTCTTTAGTTTTCATTTCTATTAATGCCTTTGTCCAGTTTTGCTGATAGGATAATGCTGGCCTCACAGAATGAATTAGGAAGTAGCCCCTTTCCCTGTATTTTCTGGACGGGTGAGTGTAGGTTGATAATTCTTCCATATTTGGTTGATCTAATTCACTAGTGAAAGCCCAGGGGTTTTCTTTATGGGAAGGTTTTTAACTACGGATTTAAAAGTATTATAGATATAGGGCTATTCTGCTTGTTTTCAAAAATGTCTACTTGGGTGAACTTTGATCATTTGTGTCAAATTTATCAGCAAAAAGTTGTGTGTAATCTTTTATTTTGCTTTTACTATCATATTTGTAGGATTTGAAATTATATTCACTCTTTCATTTCTGTTATTCATAATTTATGTTTTTTCCCTTTTTCTTGATCAGTCTGTCTTGTAGTTTAGCAATTTTATGGATCTTTTCAAAGAACTAGCCTTCTATTCATTGATATCTATTATTTTTCTATTTCACTGGTTTTTGATTTGATTATTATTTATTTTTTCTATTTTAAATGTGCTCTTATATTTTTAATTTCTTAAGGTAAAAGCTGAGATCATTGATTTAAAACCTTTCTCCTTTTCTAATATAGGCATTCAATGCTACAAATTTTCCCCTAAGTATTATTTTAGTGGCATTACACACACTTTGCCATATTGTACTTTTAATTTTCCTTTTGATTTTTTTCTTTTACCCATGGATAATTTAGTAATCAGTTAATATAATTTCCAAACACTTGTGGATTTTCCTAGGATCTGTCTGTTACTGGTTTTCATTTTATGGTCAGATACTATATTTTGTGTGGTTTGAATCCTTTGGCATTTGTTTCAATTGATTGTGTTTATATATGGGCCAATAACATTGCGTACATTTATAGTGTACAACATGATGTTTTGATACATGTGTACATTGTGGAATGGCTAAATCTAGCTAATTAACATATCTATGACCTCATATATGTATCATTTTATGTGTGTTGAGAACACTTAAAATTACTCCCTCAGCAATTTTTAAGTATATAATACATTGTTACTAACTATAGTCTCCATGTTATACAATGTGAATCCTTTTGAATTTATTGAGACTTGTTTTATGGCCCAAAATATAGTCTGTCTTGGTAAATATACTGTGTGTACTTCAGAAGAATGTGTATTCTGCTGTTGTTGGGTGGAATATTTTATAACTGTCAGTCAGGTCAAGTTGCCCGTGTTCAAGTTTAGTATATACTTGCTGATTTTTCTGCCTGCTTGCCTTTATCAATTAAATAAGAGTATTGAATCTGCAGCTATAATTATGGGTTTGTTTATTCCTTCTTGCATTTCTATCCCAGTTTTTGCTTCATGTATTTTGAAGCTCTCTTATTAGGTGCATAAACCTTTGGAATTTTTATTTCTTCTTGATTATTTGACCCTCGTCATTATGAAATGACCTTCTTTATCCTTGGTAATGTCCTTTGCTTTGAAATTTACTTTGTTTATAATAATACAGTAATTTCAGCATTTTTGGCTACTGTTAACATAGTATAATCTTTTCTCATCCTTTTACTTTTTACCTATTTGGCTCTTTATATTTAAGATGTGTTTCTTGTGGGCAGCATATAGTGGGTCTTATTTTTTAATCCAATCTGACCTGCTTTTTACTTGAGATGCATAAGCCGTTTACATTTAATGTGATTGTTGATATGGTTAGGTTTGAATCTGTTATCCTACTACCTTATTTTTCTCTTCGTTGCATTTATTTTTTGTTCTTTTTCTTTTTCTGCTGTCTTTTAGACTAAAAAGATTTTTTTTATGATTCCATTTGATCTCCTTTATGGCTTTATAAGCTAATTTTTATTATTTTAGTAGTTTTTTTAGAGTCTGTAGTCTATGTCTTTCCGTTATCACAGTGTACATTCAAGTGCTATTATACTATTTAACATTTAATATAAATGTTAAACCTTATAATATTATATTAGCATTTCTCATCTCCTGGTCTTTATGCTACTGTTGTCCTGCATTTTACTTTTATATATGTTATAAACCTCACAAATTATTCTTGTGATTTGTGTTTAACAGTAATTATATTTTAAAGAGACTGAAATAAGAAAAAATACATATTTACCCACGTAGTTACCTTTTTTGGTATTCTACATTCCTTTGTGTAGATCAAGACTTCTATCTGGTAAAATTCTTCTAACAAAAGGACTTACTTTAAGCTTTCTTTTTATGTATGTATATATGTATGTATGTATGTATCTATCTATCTATTTATTTATTTATTTAAGTTCTGGGATCCATGTGCTGAACGTGCAGGTTTGCTACATGGATACACATGTGCCATGTTGTTTTGCTGTACCTATCAAGCTGTCATCTAGGTTTTAAGCCCTGCATGCTAATCTTTCTTTTAGTGAGCGTCTGCTCTTCAAGTTTTTGTACATTTGAAAACATCTTTGTTTGTCTTTGTTTTTGAAAGCTTTTTTTTTTTTCTGGTATAGAATTCCAGGTTGACTTTTTATATCTTTTAATGCTTTGAAGATGATATTCTGTTGTCTTCTTGTTTGCATTAGTTCTAACAAGATCTGATAGCATTCTTATCTTTGTTCCTCTGACTGTAACATTACTTTATTAATCTTGTTGCTTTTAAGATTTTCCGTTTATCACTGGTTTTGAGCAGTTTGATTGTGTGGTTCTTCAGTGTAGTGTTCTTCATGTTTCTTGTGGTTGGGGTTCATTGAGTTTATTAATTTTGAAAAATTTTCAATAATTATTTCTTCAAATATTCATTCTGCCCTTTCCTCCCTCCTCTCTCTAAGGGACTGAAATTACATGTACGTTAGGCTGATTGAAGTTGTTTCACCTATCACGGTGCTCTTTTATTTCGGGATTATTTTTCCTCTCTGTGTTTTGATTGAGATAGTTTCCATTGCAATGTCTTCAAGTTTATTAGTCTTTTCTCAGCAATGTGTAATATGCCATTGGTCCCATCCAGTGCACTTTAAAAATTTATTTTTATTTTTTTTTATAGAGACAGTGTCTCGCTATGTTGCCTAGGTTGGTCTTGAACCCCCAGGCTGCAGCAATTTTCCCTGTTTGGCCCCCTCAAAGTGCTGGGATTGCAGGCATGAGTGACCATGCCCAGCTGTCATCCAATTCACTTTTAATCTCAGACATTGTTATATGTGTCCCCAGAATTTTGATTTGGGTCTTAAAATTTTTTTTCCTTGTCTCTACCTAACTGCTTTGAATACATGGATTGCAGTTATAATAAATGTTTTAACACCCTTCACTGATAATTTTGATAGCTCTGTCAGTTCTGGGTTGGTTTAAATTAATTATTCTCCTCCTTGTGGACTGTGCTTTCCTGCCTCTTTGCGTGTTTGATAATCTTAGAATAGATGGGAGATGTTTGAATTTTGCCTGTTTGGGTGCTGGACACTTTTGTGTTCTTAAAAATCTTGAGCTTTGTTGTGGGATGCAGTTATGTCATGTGGAAACAGTTTCTTTTTTTTCCTGGTCTTGCTTTTATGACTTGTTAGGTGGATTTGGAGCAGTGCTCTAAGATGAATTACTCCCTATTACTGAGGCCAAACCTTCCAGAATATCCAATGCCCTGTGAATTATGAGGTTTTCCATTTAGGCTGTTGGGAGCAGGCACTGTTTCTGGTCCTTTAGATATTTTCCCCCCAGCTCGAGTAGTTTCTTTACAGACATGTACTGATTGGTATTCTGCTGTATACTTGAGGGAGATCCTCTGAAGAACTTTGATCTTTGCAGCTCCCTTCTTTCTGTACATTGAATTCTAGCTGCCCTGGTTTCCTGAGACTCTCAGCTTTGTCTCCTGAACTCAGGGAAACTGCTGGGCTGCTCACTTTGTTCTCCATGTAGCTTCACCTAGGAACTCTCTTAAGGCAATAAGCTGGGGTAATCATAGGATCACAGGGCTCACGTTGCTTGTCTCCCATCTCTCAGTCCTTCATTGCATGATGCCCAGTGGCTTGAAAACCATTGTTCATACATTTTGTCATTTTGTTTGTTTGTTTTTGGTTGTTTTGGGCCTGACTGCAAATCTGTTTCTTGTTACTCCATCTTGGCCAGAAGTGGAAGTTCCTTTCCCTTTATTTAAAAATGTTCCAAATATCTATTATTTTATAAAGTAAATATTATTTGTATATATGGAGTTGTGATATTTTTAGAGTGTTATTACTGGTAGAAATGGAAACAGGCTTATACTGGCAAGGGACTTGTTTAATGTATTCTTAGTAATGGTAGTATGATTAGGACACAACCAGCACTTTTTAACTCTAGATCCCGTGCTTTTTCTGCAACAGTATATGTTTTATTTTTCTGAATTCATTGACAATATTTTCCAGGATATACTCAACGAATCAATGGTGGGACGATTCAATATTTATTTCTGTTAGAGATATTATTTGTTATCCTCCTCATCATCTTCATTATGATTCTTAACAGTTGGTGATTCTTCTTGAATTACATTTTTCCTTCTCTGTAATCATAATAGATGGAAACATTCTCATATAATTTGTGACATTGTCATGATGCATTATATATTCACCACCATGATGGTGTTAGATTTGCTCACCTGGTCAAGTCTGAAGATTTTTAAAGTTCGAATACTTTAATATTGCTTCTCTCAGAAAAGCATTGAGTTTTGAGAGCAGTGAAGGCGGCTTTGAAAATTGGGTCTTTTTAAAAAAAAGCATTTATTTAAGGCAATAGATTTAGGAATTTTCATTTGGAAAGCATATATACTTTTCTTCTAAAGTAAATGAAGGCCAGCAGTTCCTACTGAGAGAGAGCTACATAGTAAAATACTTTAGAATACCATTATGAAGCTCACTTTCTATTTTAATATTGAAATAAATATATAGTGTTAATTGTTTTCTCAAAAATATTAAGTTATTTTTGTCTCCTAACAACTCTTGTTAGGGAGGTTAGAGAGATTGGTCTGACATGTACTCTCTTGAGTAGTATGTGTCTAGTCGGTAACATGAACATAAATAACCAATTTAGGGTTGGAAGTGGTAAGAGATACAAAGGACTCTGAGTTGTCTAATATTTCAGCAGTTAGAGCATTATTTTTTCATCTTTCTACTTTGGCTTTTCTTAGCTTGGTTTGCTTCTAAACATTTTCCTCTTATGTTTTTTATTTCCTGACTTCCTCTACTGTGCACATTGACTTACAATGTCTTTTTAAGTTGTATTGCAAACATGAATATGCGTCTTTTCAATAAGCTGTCACTTGCATGTTGGCTAATACTTGTTCAGCTGCCAAATAATCTATATGAAGTAAAGACTTCAGCTGGGGATTGGAACTTTGATAGACATTTGGGTTTGAGAATAAAGATAGTTAAGATAGTTCAGCTTATATAATTTTCCATAACCAATATTAGGGCACTTCATTGGAAAATAGTATCTTCACAAGAGGTTTATTTTGCCTAACAGTGGACTTGTTAATTCAATGTTTGTCAATAATTAACATTTATTGTCACTTGTCTACTTTTTTTTATACAGTTTATTTTTTTTGACACTTGATTTTGCGGTTTATGAAACATGCTACTTGAGAAAAAGGGATTAGAGTTATCAAATAACCACACTTTTATTCATGGTAAATATAGCTGTAAGTCTGCTCATGGCTTTAGGCTTTTCTGCTTTTTTTTTTTTTCCTTTGAGACGGAGTCTCACTCTCTTGTCCAGGCTGGACCGCAGTGGTGCAATCGTGGCTTACCGCAGCCTCGACTTCCAGTCGAGGCTCTTGAATAGTTGGGACTATAGTCAAAGGCCACCATGCCCAGTTAATTTTAAATTTGTTGTAGAAATGGAGTTTCACCATATTGCCCAGGCTGGTTTCGAACTCCTGGGCTCAAGTGATCCTCCCACCCCAACCTCCCAAAGTGCTGCGATTACAGGAGTAAGCCTCTGTGCCTGACTGTTCTACGTTCTAATGTACTGTATTTCTCTCTATTCATTAATCTCATGACGTAAGTCTCTGGTCTGTGTCTCTAGTGCTTATCTTGATTGTGACCATATCTTTATGTTTAGTAGTTGCATCTTTACTCAGTGGGAGGTGCCCAAGCAAGTTTAAGCAATGTAAAGTTTAAGATTATGTTATGTTCTTTGCAACTTTATTTTTCAGAAATGGGTTCAATTTAGGTTGTCTAAACTTAGAAGTAAGAGGTGGTCATTGTTAAATTATCTCAGGAAAGAGTTATATAAATTAAACAATAGTTTAATCACTATTCTTTTCCAGGATTTATAGAGAAATAAACAGTACTTAACATAGAGTCCATACATCATATTAAGGAATGTATCTGAGAATCCCTTAAAATTTGGCGGATTTGACTTTCTGTGCCTTTATTTTTTTTAATTGGTGTACACCTTTGATTTGCTGTGGAAGCTCAAAGGGTAGGGACATTTTTTTTCTGCTTTGTTTAGTGATTTATCCCAAGTGCTTGGAACAGTGGCTGATACATAGAAGGAGCTCAGGAAATATTTACTGAATGAATGAATCTACAGATAACCTTCTCTTTATGTTTCTGGAGTCAGTATGTCAATAACTACGTGCTGAGGCTGTAAGGGCTGACAAATCTCTGCCCTCAAGGTGCTTATTATGTCTATTGGAGAAAATCCACAGGAGTGCAATTTATGATAATATTTTAATTGGTTATTATATGCTTTTCTAGACAATGAGTGCCTTGAGGGCAGACACTTTGTCTTATCTTTGTGTGTTTTTGTGTGCTTAGCCCAATATCGACATATAGTAATTGTTACTTATTTAGTGTTAAGTGAAGTAGAAAATTTTAATAGCCTTCATATACCAAATTCAAGTTAGTGTTTATGTTATACATTTATCTTTTACAATGAACTCTCTCCCCATGGTTCTTGGTCTTAGAGAACTCATTGGTTTATTTTGGACGTTAGTAATGAGGGAAACCTTTTACAGAAACTTTGTTTTTTGACTTTTTGATTTGAGTTATAGGCCAAGGTAAAATTTTCATCACATCTGTGTTTATTGCACTTCTGATATAATCCAGTGGTGATGTACAGGTGAAGTAGTGTGACTGTATTTTTTAAACATTATGAGCACCTTCATGTGTTGTCTTGTGTACCTGTTGGGCTGCTAATTCATTCTGCTCTGGTAAGTCCTTACCTTTCTGCTGCCTGCACCTTTGTACTGCCCTATTTCCCTTAGTTTTTTGTGGTCTTCTTTTATGGTGTTTTAAGGATATCCTTTTTTTTTCCCTAAGAATCTTTGGACATTGCATTTCTATATTGCTTCTAAACGTGTTCAGTTGGTGGTTTCCTATCTAATGGAAAGGGTCTATATTATGAATGAGTCCATCACTTAAATAAGGTTTGCATATATTGTTTGTATCAGCACCATGATGAATGGTATTAATGAATTTATAACATGACTAAATATATTTACTTAGTACATACCATGCACTTTCCTCTGTGTTTTTCATTTATTCCCTACAACAACTGACCCAAACAATTATGTCCATATTGCCCAAGAACTCTGCAGTGACTTTTTAGGATAGGAATTTGTTTATGAAATGCAGTGTCCAGAAATACCAATACCACCAAAACTTTAACATTGTGTAAGTAGCATATTTGAAATTATCATAGCTGCTAATATAATTGCTTTTGTCATTAATTTCCAAATACATCTCTGTTTCATGATCATAGTACTTATATGATGTTCATTTTCTCTGTATGGTTTCTTGTAACGTTTGGACTAACTTTAACAGTTTCATTAGTTATATGTAAAGAGTAAAAATGTTATTGGCCTTCTTAATAGTAACCCTAAGCTAAAGAGAGGATGATGAAGATTGGTTAGGAGATGTGTGTTTCTTAAAAATGTGTAGGAAAGGTGGAGCGTGGTGGCTCATGCCTTTAGTCCCAGGAATTTGGGAGGCTGAGGTAGGTGGATTGCTTGAATGCAAGAGTTTGAGACCAGCCTGGGTGACATGGCAAAACCCCATCTCTACCCTCCCCCACCCCCCCCCAAAAAAAGAAAAAAAAAAATACTGGCCGGGCACGGTGGTTCATGCCTGTAATCCTGGCACTTTGGGAGATTGAGGTGGGCAGATCACCTGAGGTCTGGAGTTTGAGACCAGCCTGACCAACTTGGAGAAACCCCATCTCTACTAGAAAATACAAAATTAGCCAGGTGTGGTGGTGCGCACCTATGATCCCAGCTACTCAGGAGGCTGAGGCAAGAGAATCTCTTGAACCCAGGAGGCAGAGGTTGTGGTGAGCCAAGATCATGCCATTGCACTCCAGCCTGGGCAACAAGAGCGAAACTCCATCTCAAAGAAGAAGAAAAAAAAAATACAGAAATTATCGGGGTGTGATGGTGTGCACCTGTAGTCCCAGCTACTCAGGTTGCTGAGGTTGGGAAGATGGCTTGAGACCAGGTGGTTGAAGCTGCAGTGAGCTGTGATCACACCACTACACTCCAGCCTGGGTGACAGAGCAAGACCCTGTCTCAAAAAAAAAAAAAAAAAAAAAAAAAAAAGCTAGAGAGAAGATAATTTTTGCATTTTTAGAATTCTGAATGCAAACCATCAGTCAAAAAGGCAGAATAATAGCAATTTCAGACACTCATAGTCTTAAAAAAATTACTATTACTATATAGAGTACCTTTTCTCAGCAAAGTTTTGCAAGATGTGCTCCATCAAAATAAAGAAGTAAACCAAGGAAAAATAAAACATGGGGCCCAGGAACTGGGAAACCCATTGAGGGGAGCACTTGTGACCTGACATGGTCATCAGTGAAGGATTACAGTGAAGGAAAGTCTCAGGATGGTAACCACGTGGCAGATACAAGCAGGGCTGTGAGATGGCTTCCGAAGAGATGGTTCAAGGAAAAATGACACTGCTCTGTGAAAAATCATTGAGAAGCTATCGAGGGGTTTAACTTAGAAGAAATAGGTACACAGAAAAGAAGACAAATGGGGAGAAAATATAATTTTTAAATTCTGAAAAAATCCCCAGCAAGGTGTCCAAGGAAAGAAGTATGATCTTAGTAAGCTATTTGAGTCAACATTGAACATTATTTCCATAGACATAGAGATATTTATCTCTCTATATAAATGACTATTCGTATAGAGATATATATCATATAAAATATACCTATATAATAGAAAAATCTAAAATAATATATAGATAGTATATATATTTATATTGGGAGTAAAGGAAAGGAGATTGGTTAGGAGATGTGGTTTGGCAAAGTTAAATCATCTTCCACAGTATTGGTGGAAACCAATAGCTAATGTTTAGATTTGGTAAAGCAAGAAATTGCAGGATTAGCATATTATTTAATGATATAGAAGTAAATGCTGTAAGAAACAGTTAAAATGTTTGAAAATGGTTTCCTATCAGAAGCCATACTTGGGGATGGGGCAGGGGAATCCTGTATTCAAAATGAGCTTTTTAATACTGTTTGACGTATTAAAACTGTGCTTATATTATTGCCCTTTATGTTGCATGAGCTGCCAATTCTATTGGACATATTAAAACATGCAGAATTAAAGCACAGTGCCTTCTTGTATAATAACAACAAAATAGCTCTAGCTTATTGGACATATTTTGTAGATTAATTTAATGAGGCAGGGTTCCTGAAATAGAAATAGGGCCCCTTATGAAGGCACTTTTGTTTTTATCTGGGTCTGGTAGTACGATGCTAAAGGGTAGCATTGTAACGGGGCTTCAAGACAGTCTTTATGATTACTACACATACAAGGTTGGAGGCTTCCTTTCTTTAAAGAGAAGTTTTTTTTTTTATCATTCATTACTAATGTATTTGTTTTCAAACCTTCTATTCATGATGATAGTTAAATGTATTGGTATAGCTTTTTGTAATCTTTTTGGCATTAGGAAATATCGAATGGGAATTTTTCAGATAACAAAAGGAATTGGAAGGAGAATTAGTTTTCTTGCCAATATTGCATTCATAGCAAAGTTAGTGCATTAATTATGGCAATTGCATGAAGCATTGGAGATATGATATATTATACATAACCAAACAGGTTGTTGCATTATCTAGTTTTGTACCTCAAAAAGTCAAGCATTAAAAAAGAGGCAATGAAACCTGAACTAATGATTTATCCAAATGTTTCATGTTGATTTATAAGGTGGCTAAAATGCCCATCTACCTAAAACATAAAAGTATTGACACAAAAGAAAACTTATAAAAAGCCAAATGTTGCTCTATAATATCTGGACTAGATGCAGACTCAGTGCCGAATGCCTTTATGTTAAGTACGTGGTGGTTAATTCTACAAAGCTTCTTAACTTCTAATTTTTTCATGTTTTCTCTTTCTTCTCTTCCTTCTTCTCTCCCCTCACCCACCCTCCCCATAACATCGTGATTACCATGAAATACTTTAAAAGGACTCATCATTAAATAATTGTATTCTTTTTTTAGTATTAAGCTTTGAAAAAAACTTACTTTTTTAAACATTGCATTTTTTTGTACTTTAAAAATTTTTTTCTCTGAAAAATGTATTGAAAAGGGCTACTTGTGTTTATGTGCTAGGAAGATAATGAGATTTAGACCAATATGTATGGAGCACCCGAAGTATGTTAACTTTCTGTCCTATAAATATTTTAATATCACAATAGGAGTAGTTTAGAATCAAATTTAAATGGAGTTTAGAATCAAATTTCAATTAAAAACTCAAATATTCCTGTTGAGAAGCAGAATCTAGGGATGTTATAATATTGGATATGTATGTGCTATGTAAGGGGAGGCCAGGGCAGATGTGTGCATATACACGTTGTCACACACGTTTATTTATCTTCACCTGTCTTTTCTTATGAGAGTAAGCAGTTGAAGCGGCTCAGATAAAATAATGGAACTGTGTTAATTTTGTCACTATGTTGAAGCTGTGCTACAGCTGTTTTCCCAATCCTTAATAAGAGAAGCAAATTGATAGGTGACATAGCAGCTTTTCTGTTAAGAAATCAAATGCTTGATTATGTTTTATGGTGTAAATCTTTCATATTCAGTGCCCCATGCAACTTCAGATTTATTATTTATTAAATCTTGAGCTTTTTATCTTGGAAGTAATTTTTTCTGCTAATTGCTGATTTTTCTTATGTAGATAGTTGTGAAAGCTGTAGCAGAGTTTAATTTCCTGATGAATTTTGAAAGTGCTGTAGATTTTGCCATTTCAGTTGTGAGGTAGTGTGAATGAAGTATTTTTTGGTGGTGATGCAGAGATTTTTAAAGCATAGTAAATCTGATTCTTTGATTTCTATTACAATATTTTTCTTGATTTTTAGTGCCCATAAAATTTATTAAAGGATGAGTGTAAATGCCTTTTTTTCTAAATGAAATGTCATTTAAATATGACTTCAAAAATACAATATCGAGAATCTGTTTTTTTCTTTCCTTAAAAATAGTTAATATGTTAAACAATATTCTATTAAGACATACGCCTATTCTAGCATTTCTGCCAGTAACGTTTCTAGTTTCCTTTTACACTTGTTCCTTATAGGAATCATTAATCCCACGACTTATTTGACTTGTGTTAGGGTAATGACCACTCAATCCTAAACTTTTATTCATTTGTATTGAATTTCCTCACCCTCTCATTCTATTGTCCTTTCAGAATTAAGAGTAAAACCATGCAAAATTAACACAGCCTTTCCAGGGATAACAATTTCTCCCCATTTTTGAAAAAGTGAAATTATGGAAAAGTCCTAACTGAAGCCACCAGAGGAACATTTTGGCAGAACAAAAATTAAAACCTGCAAATTTACTCCTGGCTACCAAGGCTTACCAACTTTTTGCATGGAGGATGAATAATTTATAAGTCATAATCACTGAATTTGTAATTAAAAATGATAAAATTATTCCCTGGAATATAGAAATATTTGGGATTTCTTTGCAAGATTACTTTGTAATGGAGTTTGTAGGTCTTATGAAATATAGAATTAAAAGTAGCTCTATTTATTTCATAAGTATAACATTGTAAAATAATTTTAATTTCATAAGGAACAAAAATCAGATCTCTTATAATAATAAAGAATTATAATTTCCTAGATGAAACTTTCATTTGTGCAAGACGTGCTTCTTAGGGTTTATGGAGTTAGAGTTGCTTTTTGTGTTATTTTTCATGGACTTCTTTTCGTTCTACTGTTTACCTCACACGTGCCTGATTGACATTATGATGCATTCGTGTGGAAATTATGAAAAAGTTGTTTTCATGCAGCTGTTCTGTTGTCACAAAAGAACTTCACTGCATGAAAAGCAAACATATCATTCAGCAGACAATGCTTAATCTGTTCAGGAGCCCAAACCTATTGCTGTTCAATGACAGAAGAAAGGAGAGGGATTAATTTGAAGATGCTTGTGCATGACATATGGTAATTTCGCCATAGGAAAGAAGTGTCAAATGGTGACCTCTAAATCTTAACATTGACCTCCAGTTGTAGAATGTGTGTGCCATACGGTCCTTTTGCTTTTTCGTATGATAATTTAAGCTGAAACATTTTCTTGGCAACATAACTTTCTTGAGGGGTTAGGGAGTGAATTGGTACCTCTATAAGAAATATAAAATTCACAAAAATTTTTTTTTAGCATAGGGAGTATTTGTGAAATAATTAAAAAAAAAAAACTCCAATGAATGAACCTGTTAGGATTCTTTTAACAAGAGTTAAACATGGTATATATATTCTTTGCAAGTTGGGATATTTTAAATTGAGTTTTCATAAAATAAGTGTGAAAAGTTGAAATGATCTTAGTGAATATTGGTTTGAAAATTTAAAAATAATTTACACATAATGTCAGAGAATAAACTGTTAGGAAAATGTAACTGACAATATGAAGACCAACATAAAGCTTTTTCATCGTGATACATTTTAAAAATTGAATAACATTTTTGCTAATTTTTACTGTCATTTTTTCATGATGGCTCTAGTTGTTTTAGAGCTATGTTTTGCATTAGTCAATACATTCATCAGAATATTAGATTTTGACTCTAAGATGAATTTGAACTATATTGTGATTACTGTTCAATAAAATATATCATTTTTCTGCTGTAATCTTTAATGATCATGCCTTTCTGATGAAAACATCGTTTCAGTTCTACATTCTCTGTTTTGCCTACTTTGTTTTTCATTCTTCACTAATACTAAGCTTTTTTTCAGAAACTGCTGTACTTCAATTCTCTCCTCTTTACTTCTTCTCTTTTCCTCTGCAAGTTGCTGCACCTGTCGTTTCCGCTCGGTCTGATGCTGATCACTCTGGCTCTGACCCTCCTTCTGCTCCTGCTTTACATACCTGTTTCTTAGTAAATGAAGGTATCTCTCTCAACTTCTAACAACTTTCTCTCAATCTGTGCTTTATTCTGACAGACATGTTCTTTTTATCTGAGTTACACATTCATCTGCTTTGTTATGTATGAGATTCTAAAGTTCCCATTTTATGACTTTATTTGCTAATGTCAATGACAAGAACCAGTTTTAAAAATGTAATGTTACCTCTGGCTGGTATAATCCATGTTTTCTATAATCTAGACTACTGTTAAGTGCAGAGATGCCAATCTTTGATGTAAAGTCAGTGATAAAGGTGGATTGGTTTTTGTAATGATGTTTGCCATTTGATCTCTGGCATTAGAGCTAATGAATTTATTTTATATGTATCATTACTTGGTGGCAGACACACTTTGCTGCCTTTTCACAATTGTGTATGCCAGTTAGAGGGAGTTGTGAGGGAATCTCTTAACATTCTCATTGGAAAAGTCTTCAGATTGATTATTGGCACCAGTGATTATAGACTGATAGGAATTTACCTATTTACCCTCTTTACTATTTCTGTTTTAAGCTCAGGCAAAAATTCATTATTTCAGTATTTAAGGCGTAGTTGGGCTACCATGTTATCTCTGTGGAGTTACACAAGTCGAAAGTATTTTTGGAGCCCTGAAAATGGGAATGGGACCTACAAACCTTTATTCCATAAGACCTATCTAGGATTATTTGTACTGCCCAGAAGCTTAATGAAACGTGAGCTCTGAGTTACATCCACTGTCTTCATTGCGTTTGTAGTTACCACTTTGCATAACATAAAAAGGAAGACATTTTCAAAATCAAAAATATAACAGTAAGACCTGGCTCTTCATGAAAAAGCATTTTTCAAATGGAAGGAATCTTGCAATCTGGAATCTTCCAGTGGCCATAAAGTACAGAGCCCATGTTGCAAGCACCACTCCTTTGGAAAGAAAACATGGGGACTTAAAAGTGTAACTTCATTTTTGGTTTCCTTGTCATAGAACTTTAATAAGGTTTGTATGTTAAGACCGAATTTTAGCAAAATTCGAACTTTACCAAAATAATTTGGGTCATATTTGTTACACTATTTGTTAATTCAAAAAATAAGCTGTTTGGACCTTGGTGAGAATCACCATATGTTAAAATTTAGCTCATGAATACACTTTATACTTATATGAAACATTGAAATACTTTAGGAAATTACTAGGTATATACATATATGTATATCTAAAGTATATCTCCCTCTATTATAAAGAAGTTATAATCTAAAATGTGTTTCCATCACCTTAATTAATGTAATTACATGTTTATTATCAGTTGATGAGAATTTCCTCACTGAAAGGATGAATCTTTAGATAAGTGGCTTGTCAGTCTGTCTCTCTCCCGCTCTCATTCACTCTCTTTGGCAATTCCAATAATTTAAAATTTTATGGTAAGGTTTTTGTCATTATTTTAAGAAGATTACAGTTTAGATTATTTCAAAACACTGATTTGCTAAAATTCTATCTTCACAGATAATTCATCTTGTAACATGATAGCAGACTTTTTTTTGCACCCATCTTTGATTACTTGTCTTTAAATATTATCCCTAGGAGGTAATGGTAATTATCATGGGTTAATAGTGGCCTCATCGATAATTTGGTAAGAATGAGGAATTTATTGTATATGTATTTTCACATACCTTTAAAATGGGGTTGCAGTGATTATTTGGGAATGTCTGTTATCTAATACTTCAGTTATTGTGTATCTATTTTCACATACCTTTAAAATGGCATTGGAGTGACTATTTGGGAATGTCTGTTATCTAATATTTTTACACTTTGCACTGGCATACAGTGTTTGTCTTTTTTTCCTATAATCAAGTTCCATATTGTGAATTAGAATTTTAGAAAAAGTCACTTTTATTGTCATAGATTAGGTTTAACAATGTTTAAGATTTTGTAAATTTTGAATTGTTAGGTTTTTATTTTGTGGAATGTCTGAATTCATTTTTTTCTTTCCAAATTGGGGGTTATGTTACTTTAAATATTAGATATTATGGTTAGATATTTAATCTGATTCATTTTGTAAGAAAAGGTACCTTAATGAGAGGTCCTCTGACAGAAATGGAGGACATCTCTTTTGGCTGACACAGTGGTAACACACAGATGGCCATGCCTTAAGTGACATGAACCTATTTTTGGATATCTGTGTGAATGCCCTTTTAACTGACAGTGGTTTCAAATCTATAGCTCTAGTATGTGTTTATTTCTGTGTTTTGCCATTCTTTAATATATATTTTATTTTAGAGGGACTGTTAAGAAATGTGTTTTTCTTGTGAATTTGGATATACTTCCAGTGGAAATTTATTTTTATTTCTTTTAAGATGTTGAGAATTCTTATAGGCACCAATTACATGATTTAGGGATGAAATACGTTTAGTATAATTCTTTGCACAAAGTGTCTACTATTAAATTGAAATCATTTGTAATATAACTTAGCAGATCTGCCTTTTTTTGTTTTTGGTATACTTACATAAAGAACTGTTGACTTAGGGAATGCCAAAATGGTTAAAGAATTTGTAATATATTACATTTTTGACAGGTTGGAGTCAGTTAGCTGCTATGCACTGTGTTATGCTGCCAGACCTACTGGGATTGGATAAATTTAGGCCTCCCCTTCTGGAGATGCTGGCCCGAAGATGGCAAGATCGATGCTTGGAGGTAATGCTAAAGTGATAAGGATAGAAAACAAAAATATTAAAAAGGCATTGGTCAAATGTAAACTTGAAACAAAAATGATTACTGTTTATCTGATTTATCATCTGTTCATTATGTGATAGAAAATGTGGATTCATGATTTATGTTTTCTTCTTTGTCAGCTTTTATACCAACCAGTAATGCTCCAGCTGGTTTATTCGTTTACTTTTAAAGAATTCAGTGACTGTTTGATGAAGTCTTATATACTTTATGGAACTATTTCTTAAGTTTGGTTTCTGTACGGATCACACACACTCATGCATAAACAAATACATAAACCTGCTTCCCCCAGAATTACACACTCAGTGTCATCACATAAATTAAGTTCTAATTCAATTGCCATATTTCAGTGAAAGGTAGTGTGTTATTGTAAAAGGAGGCCTTGGAATTAGAAGACACCTGGGTTTAAATATCAGTCCCACCAATTATGAACTTTGTGACCCTGGGCAATTTACTTAACCTATTTAAAGCTCATTTATAAAGTGGGGATAATAATATATTCCTCATGGGATTGCCGTCAGGATCAAATCAGATGATGCAAGTAAAACAGGAAGTACAGTACCTGACACATGGTAGGAGCTCACTAAATGGTAGCCACTATTTTGTGTTAATGGCCTTATTCTATATTAGATATTACTTGGAATATAATATTACCAAGCACTTGAAAATGTTTAATAAAGATTTTCCTTATTATGGCATTCGACCTGTATAGCCATAGCAGTTTATATTATCCAGGATTCTTAATTTTCCAAATATAAGTACGAGTAATATAATTGCTTCTTTCCTAGACTTTCTCCTCTCAACTCCAAATGGGATTGCAGAATACTAGCATTTTCATT
Organism: Homo sapiens; assembly: GCF_000001405.40. Classification (NCBI taxonomy): domain Eukaryota; kingdom Metazoa; phylum Chordata; class Mammalia; order Primates; family Hominidae; genus Homo; species Homo sapiens. The sequence continues at coordinate 56,780,425 of NC_000018.10, forward strand.
GAATAATATTTTGAATTCACTTCAGAAGTCACTTATACTTAAAAGTACCAGTAAAAAAGTTGTTTTTATTTAGATGCTGCTAAGTTATCTTTTCAATTATAAAGAGTTAATAGGCCGGGTGATGTGGGTCATGCCTGTAATCCCAACGCTTTGGGAGGCCCAGGTGGGTGAGACCAGCCTGGGCAACATGGTGAAACCCTGTCTCTACTAAAAATACAAAAAAAAATTAGCCGGTCGTGGTGGCATACGCCTGTAGTCCTAGCTACTTGGGAGGCTGAGGCCCAAGTATTACTGGAGCCCGGGAGGTGGAAGTTGCAGTGAGCCGAGATCACGCCATGGCACTCCAGCCTGGTCAACAGGGCAACACTTGGTCTCAGAAAAAGTTAATAAATTGGTACAGCACTTAATAATTGACTAGCTTTTTTGACTTCATGCCTGTGGCATTTTTGCCAAAATAACACTAAATTAAAACTGCAAAATAAAATTTGTATGCTACATTGAAAGAAAAATATATAATTTTGAAAAATGATTTCCTCTATAAAACTAAAATAAGTTATGCCTTTATACAGGAATATTTATTTGTCAAAAACATTGTTTAAGCATGTCTTAGGTATACGTGAATCATGTTAACTTATACGTATTTGTTTGTATAAATAGTATCTACTTAGCATATATAATATAAAGAAATTAAATAGATAAGGTTAACTTCAAGCTAAAAAAACAATAGCTCTCACAGTGGCTTAACAATAATGTTAATATAGAAATTTTAAAAGTAAAATGCTACATTAAAGTTCAAAAATGCTTTGGAAAATGCAGTTTTAAAGTTCAAGAATGCTTTGGAAAATGCAGTGATTAAATTGTTGAAACCTAATTCTTTCCATTAGTGTTAAAATAGTTTTCAGTGAAATCATTAATTAAAATATCTTTGATGATTTGCTAGCATCTGATTTTTAAGTAGTTAACTCATTCGGTTAATAGTGTTTTTCATGTAAATAAATATGGTTTTTATGTTTTCTAGCCTTATTTCATTATAAATTTTCTAGTTTATGAATATTCACCTCCTCAACTAATCTGCTTTCTGCTTTTACATTTGGGTCTGTGGTCTTAGGTGAGAGAAGCCGCGCAGGCCCTGCTTCTGGCGGAACTGAGAAGAATTGAGCAGGCAGGCAGGAAGGAAGCCATTGATGCCTGGGCTCCTTACTTACCTCAGTACATAGACCACGTCATATCACGTAAGAGTTCTCATGCTTCTCTACAAAGCTTTGCAGGAATATGTAGAAAAGGTACCTGTACTCACAAATATATATGCTACTACCCATCAACAAAAATGAGTCACTGACCTTAAAGTGAAAAGAACAGATCCTCAAATTCACTTTATTATTTTCTGAATCTCTGTAGTTTGGAACTTGCTTTAAAAAACAAAAGGCAAAGGCTGTCTATATCAAAATATTCATTAATGAACTGACTTTTATAAATGAATTCCCCATCAAACATCCTACTCTAGTACTAACATGTGCCTCCGCCCATTGCATTATTATGCTTATGGATGCCAGCTTGTTCGATATGGATCTGATGATATGCAAGTGCAGATACAAGGCAAACTCTCTTGCTAGTTAAAGTTGGGATTGTGAATCCTTAGAAAAACAAAGATCTGATAGAGTTAGACTCAGGCAATATTTACAAAGAGAAAATTGGGAAGGATTTTGATGGATAAATCTTTCAAAAGAGTATAATTTGAAAGGATTAGAAAAATTGTTGAAATTTTTTGAATATTCTTTTGCAAAATAAAAGCTTTATAATTATGTTGCTACATTGAATGTGCATTGGAAAAGAGTTGTATTTTGCTATCATAATGAGCATACTCATTCCCAGTTCATCATTTGGTTGGTTTTGTATTTTTGTTTGGTTTGTTTTATATTTTTCTAAAAACAGTTTAGTTACTAAATAATTTTTTTAAGGTCCCTCAGTTACTAAGTGACTAAATTATAATCAATATAATTGAGTCAAATAAAATTTTAATTTTGCTCTTAATTATATTGATTAAAAAATTTTACCCTAAATTATATTGAATTAAAATTAAAATTTTACCCTAAATTATATTCATTGTAAGATAAATTTTCAGTTTTGCAAGATAAAGTGTGAGTGAAACTTTAAAAAAAACTTTTTATTATGAAAATTTGGCCTGGGTTTTAGGTGGACTCATTTTAAATGACCTTTTGCCAATACCAGTTATTCTTTGTAATGAAATACTCATTACACATGTCAAGATGGACAGTACATTATTATACAAGAAGGAAAATGAAAACAAAATTCAGAAAGGTTTATAACTTTTATATCTGGTTTAAACTCTACCAGATCTTTGCCAGTGGTGACTCTAGTGGATGTTTAATCAAGCATGTGACCTTGGGCACTTTTCTTAAGCTTTCTTAGTCTCAGTTTTATCGCAGATGAAATAAAGATGATAATAGGACTTTATAGGGTTATTATGTGTGTGGCATGAGTTAATCTTTGTTAAGTGCGTAGAACAATTCCTAGCCCATAGTAAGCATAATACTTTTGTTAAATACTTTATAATCTATAAAAATGCAAATATTTATTTCACTTATAGCCGAAGTATCACACATTAACAGCTCCAGTGAAAATTCTTAATTGTTTGAGCAATAAAATATTTACTTAGTGAATATAGGTTATCATTTGCTTTCTGGAAATTTTTCTATTTTAATAAAGCAAATTAAGTTAAAAAAAAAAACAAGGCATCTAGACATATAGACTCTAAGTTATTAGGCTTAAGATTGTTTTAAAAATATGTGCAGATTTTCAAATTTCCAGAATATAAAAAAGAGTTTCAAAAAAATAAAATTGGGATGAAAAGAACTTTGTCTTTGAGTAGATGAGAAGGTAGTCCGGAAAAAGTGTTCTTTGTTCATAATTTGTGGGCATTAACTTTATAATATTCCAGAAAATATAGTTAGATGATCATCTCATCATAAGCTTTATTGAATATAAGATCCCCAAAATTAAGGACAAACTATGACTATAGTATTTACAGAGTTGTTTGAAGGTGAAAATAGGCAATGGCAAATCACTAAAGAATTTTTTTAAAAATAAGAATGCTATTATGGAAATATTGAGACATTGGTGCTTTTAAGACATCTTTATTCCAAATGGACTCGTGTGAAGTAGGGAAATTGATTAAAGTAGAATAACTAGCTGGCAGGCTATTGCAGAAGGGAGGTTATGGGAACCAGACCTAAATGTAGATAGGGTAGAATAAAAGATAATTTCTAAGACTTGATTATTGATTGCTTATAAAGGTCTAAGAAAAACACCAAAGATTAGTACAGGGTTGTATTCTTGACAGAGAAAAACGTTGGGAAAAAGAGATGCCATTAGCAATTGTAGTGGATGCCTTTTTATTTTATTCCTGGGAAGAAGAGAATAAGTTAGCTACAAGGTAAAGGCAAAATATAGCCACAAATTACTCCCTGAAGCAGTGCCAGAACTGTGTATGTTGTTTGGAGAGAGGTGTGTTAGCAGGCCCAGAGAGAATAAAATATAAGTAAAATAGTAATACCTACCATTAATTGGACACTTTGTCTGCGTCAGGCTTTGCTAAGTATCTGGTCTACGTTATTTCATTTAACCATTACAATAACCTTGTAAAGTACCCACTATTGCCATCACGGCCTGCCTCTGCCCCCAGCCTTTTGTTTTCTTTCAGAGGAGTAAATGGGAGGCCAGGAGAGATTAAAGAATTTTCTGAAGGTCCCTCAGTTACTAAGTGACAGACTCCAAAACTTATTCTTGTAACCACTATTTATTCCTTTTTTTAAAAAATTATTTTTTATTTCAATAGCTTTTGGTGTATAAATGGTTTTTGGTTACATAGATGGAGTGTAAGGTGGTAAAGTGTGAGATTTTAGTGCAGCCTTCACCTGGAGGGTAAAGGTGCACATTGCTGTACATTATACCCAATACGTAGCTTTTTTTATCCCTCACCCTTCCTCCACCCTTCCCCTTCTGAGTCTCCATAATCCATTATATCACTCTGTGTGACTTTGCATACTCAGAATTTAGCTCCCACTTATAAGTGAGAACGTATATTAATCACTATTTATTCCATCTTGCTTGCTCTGGCATCCTTGGATCTTAAATGGGGATGAAGATGGAAGAATGAGTAGATACTTAGCTTAACTAATATTGCTTTCAGACACTGTTCTTTGCAGCCGTGTTACAGTTAACGACAACAAAATGGAGTCACAAAAATTGTAAGAAAATGACTCTTTGATGGGTCTGGTCACTGTTTAAGTATAAAGTAGGCTGTTCTTATGTCATATTTAAACCTTTCTGTTTATGTATTATGTTTATGTTGTATATTTAAGTTTTGTATTTATGTAAGTCTTTTGTATTTGATTATAGTATCCCAGAGTACTTCATATATTAGCTAAATGCTGGCTTACTTAAAACTTTGATCTTGTCATTTATTGTTGTTGTTTTTTTTTTTGTGAAAGACAAACATGCATTCTACATGTAACTGAAACATGCACTGACAACTCTTGATATAATACATTAATCTTTTCTGGAACTTCTACATTGACTGAGTGTTAAACTCGTTTTAGTTTGCTTTACTGTGAGCTTTCTATTTTAATAAAAGGGTGTCAGGCTAAGGGAGTAGGGATTCTGAACGTATGAAAGGAGAAGAAAGCTTACAACAAATGAGGAATGACCACATAGGGCTGTTGAACAGATTTGCTGTCCGAAGGGATCAAAAGGTTATGGAGCCAGCTGGTAGACAGCCCACACCTGCCATCAACGTGCTTGTACTGAAATCGCCTCTACCATTGTCATTAATGTTTGAGATGATCATTGTGGCAAGTTACATCGTAAAGTATTGCTTTAGAAATGCAAAACCTGTTTCTAGCATAAGAATCTTCTTTGAAAATGGGCAAAATATTAAACAATATATCTGACAAATATACCACCCATCAGATATTTTCTTATAATTTAATAATTCTAGGCACTTTACAAAATGCAATAATTCCCTAAGCAATCTTGGCAGCTCCTAACTTAAAATTGAGCTTTGTCTAAGAGTCCTTTTCTTACATATTTGTCTGAAAATCAGAAAACGCTCTTACCTGAAGAGCAGAATGGCATACTGGGCTGATGGACTGTGATAGCTCTTCATCTTAGAGATGAAGTTTAATGTGGGTGGTAACTATCTCTACTTCACAGTCCGTAAGTGATTGGGCTGGGACTAAGATGATAAAGCATCTGGTCTTACTGACTGGGATCTTCTATATTTTATTTAGGTACATTATGCAATAAAAAGCCGTTTGCAGGTTAGTTTGAGAATGTAAGGAAAACAATGAGCCAGTTGCTTTTCTCAGGATTCTTTTTTTCTTTTTCTTTTTTTTTTTTTTTTAAAGAGACAGGGTCTCGCTGTGTTGTCCTGGCTGGACTTGAACTCCTAGGCTCAAGGGATCTTCCCGCCTCAGCCTCCTGAGTAGCTGGAACTAAAGGTGCACACCACCATGCCTGGCTCTCAGGACAGGAGAGCATGAAAAGAGAAACTCTTTGTAACGCTTTTAATGTAAAGTGCATAATACAAGTACAGAACGTTGGCTGGCTGTACCTTTCCTTTTCTATGTTGGTTTCTATAGTTTTGTTCTCTTTATTGCCACTGCCTCAGAATTCACTTTAATTTATATTGCCCAGGGATTCTGGCAGATCACTGCCAGACTGGAGATCACTGGGGAAGAAAAAGGAGCAATAGTCTGTCTTAACTGAAAAGCCAGCTCACAGATTGTTATAAGAATAAAGTCCTTACCGGGCGCAGTGGCTCACGCCTGTAATCCTAGCACTTTGGGAGGCCGAAGCGGGCGGATTGCCTGAGCTCAGGAGTTCAAGACCAGCCTGGGCAACAGGGTGAAAAACAGTCTCTACTAAATACAAAATTTAGCCGGGCATGGCTGCGTGCACCTGTAGTCCCAGCTACTCGGGAGGCTTAGGCAGGAGAATTGCTTGAACCCGGGAGGCAGAAGTTGCAGTGAGCCAAGATCGCGCCACTGCACTCCAGCCTGGGTGACAGGAGCGAGACTCTATCTCCAAAAAAAAAAACAAAACAAAGAAACAAAAAAGAGTCAAGCCCTAATTGAGTACTGTGAGAATTTTGTTTCAGATAATGGTGCTCTGTTCTTGAACCAGTCAGGAAATACTATTTTATCCTTTAAAAATATCGTGAGTATGTAAACTTTTGCTGCTTAATTTCTGATAGATAAATTGAGGATAAGTGCATTGTGATTCCTATACTAATGGTAATGGACTTAAATAATATGGCATACGTTCTTGTAATACTGACTTATAGAAATATAATAATTCTTGTCTGAGCCCTCAGTCTTTAGCATGTTTGTTGCTTTTATGTTCCAAAAACACTTTTTAAAAATTTTATTGGTTATTGTTACTATTAGGTTGGTGCAAAAGTAAATAGTTTTTGCCATTAAAAGTAGTGGCAAAAACCACAATTACTTTTGCACCAACCTAATAAATAGGGATTAATGTTATTTTCTGAAATTTTTGCATTATAATTCAGATGAAGATAAATATTATGAGTTGTCTCAGATTTATTTTGAAGTGAAGCTGTTTGGCAGAACCCAGTTTTATATGTCTCTTATTTGTGATATTCTACTTGTAGCATTTTGAGAATTGACTTTTTTATGAGGTCAAGCACCTGCTGGTTTATGAAATATGCCCACACTTGCCCTTCATTTCAGTTGGTGATGACTCTGAGGCAAATGCTGATGGTTCCTGATTTCCTTTGGCCTGCAACGCAGAGTGACCTTACAGGGCATGAGGTCACAAGCGTAATTATTTCTTGTACGTTGTATTCTGCCTGCTCACAGGGGCTCATCTCCTCTTTTAGTTTCAGAAACATTAAACACATAAAAGTCACTACCATTATATAAATCAAAATCTCTTCTAAAGAGGGTGCCGTTGTAATTTTATGCAGTTATGGCCAACATAGTATTAATTTGCAAATGTATCATCTCAGATATTGATAGAAGGATGTGTAACACATCGTGTTTAATACGTATTGATGTCATCAGAAAGCACAATCCTTTGTTCTTATCGAGTCCCTGCCTTTTTAGCTTCCTTTTGTGTTAAGGTTACCAGGGTTAGGCTCGTCTTTTTATCCCCCTTGGAAACAGAATAGGCTTTCTTTGTTCAATGAAAGACACTCCTAGTAAATGTTTTGGGTTTGACTTTCAACAAGCCACACTGTAGTACCTATTTTAACCTGGAATTGAAGTCACTTTTCTGATGATTATAAAGTAGTGGTCATTCTGAGCACAAATGTGGATGGACCAACACTATACAAGAAGGTAAGATGAAACTGTGTTACAGAGGGAGTTGAAAAGGATATTGTAGCTAGTAAAAATAGTTTAAATATTAGTGTATTCTTTGGTAGGCCGATATTTTTAGGGTTTGTTCGTAGGAAGAGGACGGGGGGAAGGATAGGGAGAGAGTTTGATAAACATGGTATGAGTCTTTCCCCCGCCCAAAGGCCTTAAACTACACAGCGTTCTTCCTTCTTTCTCTTTTTATATATGCCTCAGTGTTTGCAATTCTGTGAGATAGTTGTTTTTAAGGAATGGTTTTCTAGATGACTAAGGGTTTTTTAATTACTAAATGCTCAGGTTATTTTTTAAAAATACATCCTTTTTTTGTTGAAATATTTCAAAAAGTCTTTGGCTTTTTCATCCTCTATTCACTAGCCAGAGTTATTGTTTTGGCCTATGCTGTGAAATTACCACCACTTGCTTATTGAAGAGAATATACTTCTTTATTTGAATGGAAAAGTCCCCAGATTGATAATGCCTCTTACATTTTATATAGTAGTTTTTACTAATTTTCCTTCCTCCTCTTTTTTATTGTCTAGTAATTGTTACCAATTTTTATTGCTATTGGGCTGCTACCTTTCACCTTTAGCAGCTTTTACCCTGATTTCGAATTTACTGTTTCTAGTGTTGTAGGGGTGTGGATGCCAGGCAACCAAGCTTGAGTTAAATGTAAAATAAGAGTAAACTGGCTAAGAATAAGAGCTCTCTGATAAAAATATACCTAAGCTTTAGGTAAGCACCCTGTGCTGTCCCTCTTGGTTCCTCACTTTCTGCTTGCTGGACTACTTTCCTATCTCCTTTGTGGTATTCTGGATGTCTTTTCTTTTTGAGCAAGAGTATTCTAATTGGTGAAAGAACGGGAAAGTTACTCATGAAGAACTCAATAATTCTAAAATACCCCTTTTGTAATGCCTGTTTTATGAACCAGCTAAAACTAAAGGATGAGGTTTCTTCAAAAATATTTGTAATAGTTGTCTTATAGTGTTCACAAAGCCAATTGGAAATGATTATGCATTGTGATTAGAAGGGGAAGTACTAAATTATGACTGAGTGATATATATGAAAACTACTTCTGTGTGATACTTTATATTGTGAGGCAGAAAGAGTTTGTCTAAGACAAACTATATTATGCAAAGCACACTGTATCCGTAGTGTATCTGTTTGCAGTGTTTCATTGGGACCTGAGAGATTTGTTCCTCTTTTTTCTTCCAGAGAGTCAGAGCTATTGAGCTTAATTTTAAGCGCTCTAGACTGATCACGTATTTAGCAGCATTAAACTGTTCTACTTATCTATATTTGGCCACTAACCTAATGGAATAACAATGGAATTTGTTCTTAATCAGTCATGACTATCTAAAAGGGAAATTCGTTCCATGTGACTTGGGTTCTTTGAGTTAACATTTAATATTCTCGTGAGTTTTCTTTTATCTTTTTAATAAGTCTTGAACATTAGTCAAGTGGCAAATTAAAAATGAAAGTATTCTTGGATGGATTGGTTATTTAGACTTTACTTCTAAGTAATAAACAGAAAATTCCCTGTTATCAAGTTAATTCTGTATGTTAGGAGCTCCGCAGGATGAAGTCACTTCCTGCTACCAGGGAACTCCTCCGCACAAGCGGTCCTCTAACAATGGAGCCAACAGCCTGCGCTCAGGATGTCAGTAGAAACCCCATGACAGTTTGCCATTTTGTGGAACAAAGCAAGGAGTGAAGCATGTGGAAATTCAATCACATGTCCCTTGTATAGCAGTGAGGAGATGGGGGAGTCCATCCAGTGTGATTTTCACCTGCCTCTCTCTCTCTCATCCCACTTAGGCCCCTGAGGCAAAACTGCTGGGCTTGAAAGGCTTTGAAATAACTTTAGATCTTTCTTCATGTCCCCCTTTTCTCATTCACAAGTCTCTCCCTATCTTTATACCTTCAGTGCAGAAATTCATTACCTCTCCTATAGTTGTAGTTGGTGGCAAGGCCCCTAGGAGGCGTAGCTGACTTTCTTAGAGGTGTTCACTTACCATCTGCTTTAAGAAGTTGTACATACTTAAGTCTAAGAGGACTGTTTTATAAAAGAAAACACTCATTCAGCCTGTGACACATTCATTTTAAAAAATGGTGTTCAAATGGAAATGCCTGATATACCTTTAGCTGAGATTCTAGTGGCCTTTGCTATAATAAATGACCTAATATTAGTTTCTGTGAAGAGTACAATATTGATTTGTGCCATTATTCTGTAGCTGATTTGCTGAAGAACAAAAATTTATAATGCTAATGGAAATAAAGTACTTTACAAAACACTGCACATGAATACCGGAACGTGTCTTTGTAATAGAACAAGTGTCTCGTAAGCTTTTAAATATAAATTTTCTTTATTCTAGCACATGGTATTCCAGTACAGATACTCAGAGTCATGTCCAACTTGTTTTTATAGAGCAAAAAGCTGAGTTGATAATCTTGTGATGTTTTACCACTTAGACACTGAATATGCATATAGAAATCCAATTTTGATTGGATTGTGAGGCATTTATAATTTTGTACCCTGTTTCTGATTTTCTTATCTCTTTATGTTGATTGGATGGTATGTGTATTTGCCTTGTTTTTTTGTTTGGCCTTGTGATCTGCATATGACAGAATAGATCTTACGGATTGGAAGGAAAACAGTAATTTAAAGTCATTGCAAGAAAATTATATTAACCTATTTTACCTGTAATATTTTTATTATATTAGCTAATGATAGATTTTGTTCTAGTATTGTTTATAAATTCTGGGATTAAAATGATCAAATTATACCTAAATATCTTGCTTAATCCATTCTTTCTCTTCCTGCTTTTTTTTGTGGGGGAAGTATGGTATTTTATATTTTATTTTTCCTTAGTGATATTGTCCTAATGATATATTACATCTGCTATCTGTTTTTATTAACCAGATTTTGATACAAATATGTATTTTAAATATGTTTTAATATTTATAAATGGTTTCATCGTGCATGACATTTGCAGACTTGGTTAATATTTTAGCACCTCTAGTACACAAACATAAAGAAAAATTTTTTTTTTATTTGTTTGAGCACCTGAATTGACCCCAGCAAGATTGAGATTGATCTGGTTTCTTTCAGCCTGTTAAATGCCAACCCAGTCATCTGTAACAGTACTTAGTGTTTTTGTAATTTTTCTGTACAAATTTTCTGTGTTTGTTCTGTAAAACTTACCTATCACTTGAAAATATTTTCCTTGATTTAGAGATGAAAATAACCACAACCACTTATTTTATTGCTTGTTTTAAAAAATTGTTTTGACAGTCAATGTCCATGCTATAATCACAGGGTTTTTGTGTGTGTGTGTATAATCTTAATGAAAAGAGTTTACATTTTACTAGGAAAAGATGATGAAACTTAACATTTGAAATATGGTCTTGGAATAAAGAACATCCAGCTTTAGGGAATGGAAATGGAAAAAGAGGTGGATAATTCTTAATACATGAATATTCATGCTGATTTAAAACATATAATTAAATTACATCTTTCTAATAATTAAACATTTTCAGATAAGTTCTGGCATATCTTATAGATACAAAGATGTAAATTATCTTATTTTTATATATCTTTATATCTTGGATATGAAGTAGAGAAAGCTTTTTCTTTACCCCCTTCTAGCAGGTGGCTACTATGTCTTAGGTTCTATTTTGATTTTTATCTGTTTGTTTTTTTTCCTTAAGCAAGGATCTGTCTTCAAAGCAAATAAATACCAGTCAGAGAAACTAAATGAGAAATGAGTCTCTGAATTTTGGGTGATGGCTGGAGGATTGGGCCTTTTCAGTCTTAATCTAAAGAGCCATGGTGCTTTTCATAAAATGTTTACTTAGGGTTTAAAGTAACCACATAGTCTCAGATGTCACCTATTTTAAAGGTGTGATCAGGATTCTGAGACCATCCCAAGCTTTTCCCATTTAGAAGTGGATGCATACTTGGGGCCAGAAACCTTTCCTTCTCCGTTTTGTCACTACCCAGTCTTGTGGCGAAGGGACTCTAGCATGATGGTTCTCAAAAGGAAAGTGAGAGGCAGGAGGGATGAGTTTCAAAAGACGATTCTTGTAAGCCTTGTCTCCTCAACCAAGAATCTGTATTTTTTCATTTTATAGTTTCCAAATTAGATGACAATAATTAGGGAGAAAAATACAATTTTTTTTTTCCTAAGGGGTTTTCTTTTCTTTTTCTTTCTTTCAAGATAGGGCCTCGCTCTGTCACGAAGGCTGGAGTGCAGTGGCACGATCACGGCTGACTGCAACCTCAACCTCCTGCGTTCAAGCAATCTTCCTGGCTCAGCCTTCCACGTAGCTGGGACCACAGGTGCACGCCACCATGTCTAGCTAATTTAAAATTTTTTCTTTCGTAAGGGGTCTTCCTATGTTGCCCAAGCTGGTCTCCAGTTTCTGGGCTCAAGTGATCCTCCCTTCTTGACTTCTCAAAGTGCTGGATTACAGACATGAGCCACTGTACCTGGCCAAGGATTTTTCTAATGATATATAAGTGATCATTTACTGAACCAGGTTATTGGTTGGGAATTCAGTGGAAAGAGTAGTATCTCCTCTTCACCATGTGTTAGCTGTAACCCCAGAGAGATCACATAGCTTCTGCACTAATCTTAACTACATCATAGTTTCTTCTTGTGTAAAAGGAGGGGAGCGAATAAATCCATGTTTTTCAAACATTTTAGGTAGTAAACTTACACATGAAATCTTAACCAGAGTTCCAATACGTAAAACCAATAAAAAGTATTTCTTTAGGCTTTTAAATCTTTGTTTTTTTTTTTTTTTTGAAAAATGTTTCATTTCTTGTACAATGAAACCTTCATGCTGTTCTTTTGTCTTTTGGGGTTCTATCTAGCACAATTGAAAACTGCTTAATTATCTGCTCCCTAAAAACCTTCTTGCTTTAACAAATTATTTTCTTTAACACACACACACACACACACACACACAGACACACATGCACACATACCTACACTATGACACAGGGCAGAATTAGTAAAGAGTTAATACAATCTTTCCCTTATATATAGGGCAATTACTAAAATTTGTTGTCATGCGGGACAACTTTTATTTCTCTGTAACTCCTTTGGTTCTGTATGGCAACTTGGGAAATATATTCTTGCTACTTCTCCAGAAAATGACTGCGCTCTTTGTAGAGCTTCATAGTAGGTTGCACCCAGCAAAGTACACTAACAGAGTGCCAGCTCAGTATGTGCATTCAATTCAGTATGTGACTAAAATAGTTGTCTCCTGGAAGCACAGAAACCATTTTGAATGTGCTACATTAATGTTTGATACATACTTCAGTCTACTGCCATACCACCCTGAATGCGCCTGATCTTATCTGACATATACTTCATTATTTTGAATTAAAATGTGATAACCTATCAGACATGGATTGGCCAACTATCTGGTTTTAGAACTTATTTGTTCTTATATAACTGTCATTGTATAATATGAGTGCAGATTCATATATATTCAGTCATCTTTTAATAGCCATGCTGCACTTGACAAACCTCTATAATCACTTGCCTGTTCAACTTAATGAATTGCCTGTCGTTGGATGAAGTTAAATCTGTTAATTTGGTTTCTTCTCTTTTCAAGGCATAGTAAGCACACTAAAGCTTCTGTGACATGTTCTGTGTAGAATCAGTAAATCAATTTCTAGAAAGCACACTAGTTGAGTTTTGATTTTCTTTCACACTAAATATTTAAAAGTATGTGCAAGAGATTTTGTTTCAGATTAAATTTTTGGTTGAGGAATTCTTATGTAATTAATTCTGCACATACTTGCTTTTTCTTTTTATCATTGGTTATACATGCCCCATAGCCCTGTGGTATGCATAAGGTGATCATGGTAAAAAGCAGAAACATTTATTCTTGAAGTTTATCATTGAAACACATGAATAGGATAACAGAGACATATTCCTCTTATATATTTGGCCAGAAAACATTTAAATGCTTCTTTAGAAAGCGGGCTTACATCTTTCTATTAATTATATGTCAAACGTCCTTAGTAGCGATTGGTAGGAGGGTAGGTATTTGGGGAGAAAACACATCAAACAGGGACCATTTCAGAGAAATTGTATTAACCTTTACTACTAATCAGTGAATCTTTTTTTCTTATTTCTCTTCGAGTTGCTGCATAGAGTTATTAGGATGATTTGTTAAATGATCTGTTTGCCAAATTACAATTTTAGAGACTGGTTTTGGATAAAACCAATGTGTTTTCTATTCTGTTTTAAAAACATTTGTATCTTAGAATATATCAAACGTAGAGAAAGGTGGAGAGTAATGTAATGAACTTTCATATACCTGTTGCCTAGTTTCAATGGTTACTGACTCCTGGGTAATCTTATTTTCTTTATCTCTTCATCTTTTGCCCCACATTATTCCCAAAGCAGTTCTCAAATGCAATATTGCCTTATCTGTAAATGTTTGTGTCTTAAAAGGTAAAGTCTATTTTTTTTTTTTTTTTTTTTTTTGAGACAGAGTCTCACTCTGTCGCCCAGGCTGGAGTACAGTGGCGTGATCTTGGCTCAATGCAAGCTCTGCCTCCTGGGTTCACGCCATTCTCCTGCCTCAGCCACCCAAACAGCTGGGACTACAGGTGCCCACCACCATGCCTGGCTAATTTTTTCTATTTTTAGTAGAGAAGGGGTTTCATTGTGCTAACAAGGATGGTCTCGATCTCCTGACCTTGTGATCTGCCTGCCTCGGCCTCCCAAAGTGCTGGGATTACAGGCGTGAGCCACCGTGCCCGGCCAGATAAAGTCTATTTTTAAAAAGCCAAAGCCTACACTACACTTTGAATGCCAAAAAATTAAAACCAATTTGTTAATATTATTCAGTAACTCAGTGTTTCTATTTTGCCAATATGTTTCATAATTTTTTCAAAGTTTGTTTATGCCATTTAGGATTCAAATAAAAGTTCATATATAACAGTTGGCTAACATGTTGCATATTTCTTTTAATCTATAGAGTTTCTATCAATCAATCATCTACTTGTCTTTAGCTCTTTCTCCTCCCGTTCTTTATGATTTATTTGTAGAATAAATTAGGTTTGTAGTGTGATGAGTTTTGCCTTTCTTTTCATTAGAGTAGCAGATCCCAGTATTATAAATTCTAACATTCCTTCCTCATTTGTTAGCTAGAATACTTCTCTAAGGAGAATCTTATCCTCATCAACTACTCTGCACCCTGGCTACACTTCAGAAATGACAGAACAAAGACTCGAAGTGATTTTTAAAGTATTTAAATATTAATATGAATTCATGGATTGAAACGTATTTAGGTTTTGGTCCATTATAATGATTCATATCATTTTACAAATTTTCCTATCTTTGATCAGTGGAAGCCTCTTTAGTTGACTCCTGAATCCTTTTGATAAGACCCTGGTAATCTTTGGTAGCCTAATTACTGACATTCTGTGCCCACCTCGTTTCCTGACTCAGACCTGAGTCAACTCATGTAAGAATCTTGGTCCTTTTAGTGGGAAATTGTGTTTTAAGATCGCAAAAAGTGCTAGATATGCGTCTTGCTGTTTGTTCACTGTTGCTTGCCTTTTTGGTAGATGCATGCACACTTTCATTTGAATCTTAGAGTATATAAAATACTTTGAGTTTATACTGATATTCCCCAATAAATTTGGAACTACAGAAGTTTTACTTAATTTGATTAACGTTACATCTGTATTTACTTTCCCTCACAACATCCATGTAATGACTCATCTGCTCTCCCCCACAATACACACACAACAGTTTGGAATACTGTCAGCACTGCCATACATGATATGATTACCAAAAATAATGTGTGGATGTTCTTGTTTGTTTGTATTCACTCTGTTGCCCAGGCTGGTCTCAGATTCAGATATGCACCCCAATGCCTAGCTTTATTTGTATTTGTTTGATTTTATTTGTTTGTTTGCTTATAGTTACTTTTTCTTCTTAGGGTATAAACCACTGAAGATGAACAGTTAAATTATTGTGCTTAAAGGTCACTGGAAATAGTTTCTCTCTGTGGGATCATACCACCAAGTTGATAACACAGTTACATTCATTTGTTTCATTTTAGTTGCACAATTATATTAGCTAATATCTCCAACATAATGTTAAATAGGAAATGTGAATACAACAATGATTTTATTAGATAACACGATGACATTATAATGAGTTTCTGTACTTCGAAGGTTAATTTTTTTACCTGGAAATCACAACAGTACCATTTAGCTAATGCACTAAACATATTTATAACCGAAATCATAGATTATTGGATGTATATCAATGCAATTTCTATAGAGATATAATCTTAACACCCATAGTTCTCCCAGCTGGTGGAATTTGTTGGATAGCTATGCACATAGTGCCACTGTAAGGGATGCCTCATCTTCAGGCAACTAAGAGGTTTCACTGTGAGGATATCTTCCTCCTTCACCTCCATTTGAAGATTTCTTTACTACCCTACTGGCTCACTCCCTCTCCCCACTGCCCCACTCAAGTGATTGCATGACTTTGGGAAGTTAATCTAGTTAATATTCATTTGAAAATGAAGAACTTAGACCCAGAGATGTATATCTACTGATTGTGTATGTTTCTTTAAGACTAGTGATTTCAAACTCGTCATGTTTAGAAAACTCTACAAAGCCTCAGCTGGTATACAAAGATTTCTGCATTGATAACTGTGGTGAGATTTTACTTGAAATATGCTAATGTTTCTAAAAGTTAAATTTCCACTAAAAAAACTTAATAGCATTTTGTTGCTAAAAATGAGGTGTCACTATCTAATTGCCCTCTGTTATCAAGTTTGCAGGTGCTCAGTAATTATGTAATAATACACAAGAAGAAAAAGATTTAATACCTACTAAATCCATGAACTATGATCAGTTCTTTTACATTTTCTTTAATTTTATTAGATTAAAATGTGCAAGTGAATGATGTAGAAGAAAATGACATTTCTTCCATGGCATGGAAGAAAAAAGGAAACGTCACCTTAAATTAAAATCACCTCCAAATTTTCTAACGTAGTTCTTTAAGAAATTTGAGGGGAGTTTGTTTGATTTTGCTCTATTTTGTTTTTTAATTAGAGGAAAAAGAAATCAAACTGCAACCCTAGGACCAAAGACTGTCTTTCCTTTGCTGGGACCTTTATAGTGGTCCATCAGGTACTGGCTCACAGACATCATCATGCCTTTCTTTCCCTCCCTGAGGCACCTTGGCGGAATCATGTGATCCTGTGAGCCAGGTGCATCAGCTCTGCTTCGGATCACAGAGATTAGACAGACTCATGAGTTGCTAGAACTCTTTGGTATTACGTGTTTGAATCCATGATGGGCCTTTGGCAAGTAGTGTTAGCTCTTTTTAAATGAAGTTGAACTGAGCTAAGGATGCACTTTCTTCTAATCTTGTGGATGTAGAAGGGGCCCCTGTGAGGCCCTCAGTAGGCTTCCTAGTTGCTGCTTTACCTGATAAGGCCCAAAGAGATTACATTTGGACCTGTAAAAAGGACAACAACAACAATAACAACAAACCCACCTTCTAGTAGTTTACTAGAGATAAATGGAAAACTTATCTCTAATTCTTCTCTAATTGATTCATTCCCTAATTGATTGAATGGTGATTAATTAGTTCCATGTAGTTTTTAAAATATAAATGGTATATTTATATACCATTTTATATTTTATATTTATGATATAAATATAAAACAGGTATAAATAGGATATGTAGGAAAAGGGGAAGAAGCAGTTAATTTTGATTGAACACAAAGTTCATTAAGATATTCTGATTTCAATTCTTTATCTGATTGGTGATTATTCCTAGCATACTGGATCCCTTCATTAGAATCATAGTTTTCCCCATTCCCAAAGAAACAACCCCATCTTGTGGATTTATCAGAATACACTTTTATCTATCTATCTAAAAAATAAGTCAGCTAAAACTTAAACGTAACATTAAGTCAGTTAAACAAATTGTATTTTGCACATACATGGAGCACAGCATTGTTCTGGATGCTGGATATGAAAAGAAATGAGATTCCATTTCATTCAGTCATCTTCATCTTCCCTTGGGCGTTTATAGCCACTTCAAACCTATCATCTTTACCTGTAAATATTCTTTTCTATTTTTCCACTTTCCATCACTACCATCACTTTTATTACATATATGTCGCAGGGAAATGTACACTAATTTTGGAAATGTTTCTGTAATCTGTTACATGATGATTGGTGCTATATTGATGGACCAAAGATGATAATATTTCCCTGGTTAAAAGCATTTTATTTTTAAAGGATGTAATGATTTTACTTGACTTTTGTAATAGCAAATTTAATTATATTGACGATAATAATCACTGTAGAAAGCACATCAATCTGCTTTGGTAGGGCAGCACATTTCTATCAATAATAGTGGTTATGGGGTGGGGCAGAGGGAGTTGACTTTCATGTGATTCTTTTGGATATAACATAACTCAGTTCACTTGACTTGATGAGTTTACTTGTAGCTTTGAGACTCATTTGACTGGCACAGTGGTTCTTAACCTGCAGCGATTTTACATACCCTCACACCCCAACATTTGGTGATATCTGGAGACATTTTGGTTGTCACCACTAGGACAGAGGCCAGGGATGCTTCTAAACAGGACAGCCCTTGCCACTGCCAACAAAGAATTATCCAACCCAGAATGTTAGTAATGAGTTAAGATATCCTGGGCTAGAATAATTAAACGTGAAATTTGTTGCCTTTTCTCCAATTACATTTCTAAGGAATAGTCTGTTTATGCTTATGTTATTGAGGGTGATACTGCGGTTAAGTAGGTAGTATTTTTCTATGTTATTTATGTAAAATTAAATTACCCAATTTATTTTCTTTTCCATTTAGTATTTGCTATTGCTTTATAAAAGTTTTCTTAATAAATGGATTATATAATTTGTATTATAGACTTTTTGATAGATACTGAGAATATATAAAATAGATCTTATACATGAGACATTTGTCAAAATTTCATTTATAAACACTGCATATTTGCATATAGAATTGCTTCTGGTGAATAATAAAAGATTAAAACAATGTTAAGTAAATGTCCTGATCAATGTATGTATCACAGCTTGTTTTCAATCCTTCCTCCCTTTTTCTTTCCCTCCCTAATTCAATAGCTATTTATTAACTGCCAAACAGCTATAGGCTGGAGAATATAATGATAAACAAAGTAGTCATGGTCCCTGTCTTCATGGAGCTTATAGTGTATTAGGAAGGCAGGTAATCAAATGAACAATGAAACAGTGCAGTAAGAACTATTATAGAGATGGTGAAGGACTCAGTGTCCAGCATAGCCAGTCACTTAAACAGCTGGAAAATAGAGTATTTGGAGGTGCCAAGGAATTCATTTAAAAGAGATATTTTTAGAGTGAAATATTAAAACTGTTTTTGAGGGTGTAGTACTCTTGTACTGTATAACTTTTAATTTTTATCTAAATGTAGAATCTCTGTGAAATATATGTAAATAAAAAGGATAAATGGAACAGGATGACAATATCTTAAGTATTACTTGAGGTCACATATTTGTGGCTTTTATATCAAATATTTTGGTTTTTTTTATTCATCAGAACTATGACATTTTAATACTTGTTACTGATACTCTATATTACAGTGTTGCTGATAATATTTTATGTGCTGTGGGGGTCATAAAAGAGCTGACAACACTAACATATTTACAGTACAGTAGTACTGTTTGTAAATATATAAAAATATATAAGACTTGGTATGTACCACGCACAGTTTCAAGAAGTATTTTACATATTATTAATGCCTCATTAAATGTTATGTGAAACATTATATGTGTGCTAGCCTGATAACATGTGGGTGTATATTTATGGTGACAGAATTAAACACATTTTTAAAATGTGCTGTGAAACATTCTAACTGAAATCAGTGGTTGCAAAATCAAATATGATTCTCATGACACCAAGTGGATAGGGATTATTCATTTAACCTCCTTTAAAGCATAATTTTTTATTGCTGGCATTCTCTGTAAGAGTAATTGATCTACTTTTATTAATCTTTTCAAGTTTTCTTTAATGCCAGTTTATTTGCAGTGACTCAACTTCCTTTCCTGGTTTCCCTTGCTCACTGCCAGAGTAAGGAAGAAATTAGAGTTGTAGCCTAAGAGTAGGCTGCCTTGTTTAAAAATAGACTTTGCTATGTTTTTATTTGTGGGACGGGGTTAAAAATGAAAGTTTATATTCTCTTTATACACTGTCGTATCTCTGTGGTCTTCTTACTGTCTGGCTCATTTTTCATTCTTTTTATAACTTTGTTTGCAAGTTAATTCTTTAAAAGCTCTGCCAGAGGCAATGATTGGTGCTCCCTTACTTAATTCAACTTTTCATTCTCTAAATCATTGGTTAGATATGAATAGTCTTTAAAATGAATTGTGAGGTTTAATCACTGTAATGTAGTGGAATCATGATGTGCTTCTATAGATGCATTATGCTCATTACAGTGTATGCATGTTTATATCTTCACCAGTTTGATCCCACTTTGTCATGTTTCCAGGCTGAACTCAATATATTTCATGCATGTGCTTACTTAGTTTTCTCTGAAGCTTGCCATTTTACTTCTTTCTTTATATCTTATATATAAATACATATCTACATTTTGAGACATAATTTGTGTTCCATTGTGATATTGAACCATATAGTCTTCATAAAAATAAATACATATAGAAAGTGCTCCACTGAGATCTCCTTGGGGCCAAGATCCAGGACCTTATATTTTGTCCCCAAAGACCCAGCGCCAGACCCTCAGCAGGCTCCTAATAACTGTCTGAGGAATATAACTTTTATAATGCCGGTTCATTGCTCAGATTATCCTGGCATTGGCCATAGGGAGCTCTTTTAAGTTTGCTTCAGTGTCAGTTTGATATGGCCTCATCTTTTTTTCTTAAAGCACTTTCTTACTTTCTGGCACAGGCTCCCTGCTCATCTGTATTTTCCCTGCCTTCCGTAGAATCAGTCATTTCTCTAAGGAACCCTGGTTCCTTTTAATGGAGGTATTAGACACTAAGATCTGAGTGCTAGGTGTTCTTGTTACTACAGGGATTTCACTGCTTCTGGGTCCTGTGAGTGGACAGAACTGGGAAACATATGTATGTGCACTAGCCCATGTATCCCCCACATATCTAGAATTATGTCTGTATTTGTGTGTGTCTGTATATTAAAGTGGATATGAGTTCATACTGATATTTCTCATTTTCATCCACTACAAAAAGATTTAATCTTTTTCCTTTGCTTATTTGTAATTACTTTCTTTGAATTTGAGAAATCTTTCATTATCTACAATATTTACTTATTTTTTCAACCCTAGAAGACATTAAAGGTAATTCAGAATTGCTAACTCATACCATGTGAAAAACCAGTTTACCAACTATAGTGTAGTATTGTGTATAGTTATTTTTGTCTTTAGCTTTACATTAACCAGTTTTTTGGCCTGTTTTCCAAAGTTACTTAGGTCAGCTGTTTTTGTTTACACCTTCAGTGAGGTTATGTCCTACATTTGTAATTTACTTAGACTCATTTGTCAGAATCTACAGTTCATCCTGGGTTCCCTCGGCATTTTGGTTAATTCATTATTTTTAAAAATTTGTATACAATAAAGTTTATTCTTTGTAGCAGATAGATCTTTAGGTTTTGATAAATGGTCAAATATCCATCACCACAGTACCATACAGAACGTTTGTAGCACTTCAATAATTTCCTTATATAGCCTCTTTGTAATCAACTCCTCTCCTTTCAATCCCTGGCAATCACTCATCTGTTTTCCATCCTTACAGTTTTTCCTTTTCCAAAATTCCATATAAATGGAACCTAACCTGTAGTCTTTTGGGTTTGGCTTCTTTCACTAGCAAAATACACTTGAGATTCATTCATGTTATTGCAGGAATCAATAATTCATTCCTTTTTATTGCTAAATAGTGTTTTATTATGTGGCTGTACCAAAGTATATTTATCCATTCACCTGTTTAGGGACATCTGGGTTGTTTCCAGATTTTGATGATCATGAATGAAGCTCCAGTAGCTATTCATGTACAGGGTATTATGTCAATGTAAGTTTCCAGGTTTCATAAATTTCATGTTTTTTCACTTGAGCAACTACCTAGGAATGGAATTGCTTAGTTATATAAGAGTAAGTATGACTAAAAATTCAGTAGAACTGTCTTCCAAAGCAGTTGTGCCTA
The DNA here is from genome assembly GCF_000001405.40 of Homo sapiens. Classification (NCBI taxonomy): domain Eukaryota; kingdom Metazoa; phylum Chordata; class Mammalia; order Primates; family Hominidae; genus Homo; species Homo sapiens. The sequence goes on from NC_000018.10 coordinate 56,802,069, forward strand.
CCAAGAAGGCGTGAGTTTTCCTATTGCTCTGCATCTTTGTCAGCATCTCATATTGTTAGTATTTTTTTAACTTTAGACATGTTAATAAGTATGTGGTTATATCTCACTATGATTTTAGTTCATATTTCCTTAATGACTAATAATGTTGAACATACTTTCATATGATTATTTGCCATCCATATGTCCATTTTGGTGAAATGCCTATTTACATCTTTTGTCCAATTTTTCTTACCATAGTTAGAATTTTTTTTTTTTTTAACCTTGGGTTGCCTAACAATAAAATTTTTGTTTTGTTTTTGGTTTTGGTTTTTGAGAGTCTCCCTCTGTTGCCCAGGCTGGAGTGCAGTGGCATGATCTCGACTCACTGCAAGCTCTGCCTCCTGGGTTCATACCATTCTCCTGCCTCAGCCTCCTGAGTAGCTGGGACTACAGGCACCCGCCGCCACACCGGCTAATTTTTTTTTTTTTTTTTTGTATTTTTAGTAGAGACAGGGTTTCACCATGTTAGCCAGGATGGTCTCGATCTCCTGACCTCGTGATACACCCATCTTGGCCTCCCAAAGTGCTGGGATTACAGGCATGAGCCACCGCACCTGGCCCAACAGTAAAGTTTTAAGTGTTCTTTGAACTTACTGGATAGAAACCCTTAAATAAATATATAATTTTCAAATATTTTCTCCCAGTCTGCGGGTTGTTTTTCATTCTCTTAACAACGTCCTTTGCAGAGCAAAAGTTTTTAATTTTGATAAAGTCCAATTAGTTTTTCTTTTATGACTCATGCCTTTGGTGTTGTATCTTAAAAACTCATTGGCAAATACAAGGTCATGCAGATTTTCTCCTGTGTTTTTTTTTTCGAGAGGTGTTACAGCTTTATCTTATGAGCTGTCTTTCCATTTATTTCTCTCTATAAGTAACATTCTTGCTTGTTTCATGCTTTTTATCATGTATCTTCTAGGTCATTAACTTACTGTCTGTACTTAATGTATCTTATTAGTTTTGCCTATATTCTTACATGGTACTCATTACTGTCCATATATAACACTTCTTATGAGTTTCATCCATCTTATTCTTATCTATAAAATAACTGAATATTCTCAAATAATAAAGTCAGAGCACATTACAGTGTTTATCTAATTTATTACTGTGATAAGTTATTGGAATATCCAAAATGCCTTATAGTGTGATCTCATAGCATATTGTTGCCAATTAAATGTGTCATCTGCTAGCACAATATTAAAACCAGATTCTTGTGTATTTATTTTCAAATCATTTATTCACTATGTGTAAAGAGGTTAAGAGTCAAAAGCGTTCCTATTTGTGTGTTTGTGTGTGTATGTGTTTAGATATTTGAAAATAACATTTTTTGGCAGTGAAAGAAAATAAGATACATTGGTTCTGTGAAAGGTAAATATTCTGATTTTTTGCCATCAAATATCTTATTTATAAACATGTATCGTAAGACGTCTGGAAATGTGGCTCTAAAAGGAGGGAAATAATACTAAAAGTTTTTAAAAAGGCATAAGTAAATGGGTTCATGAAATGGAGAAAAAAAGCTGAATATTCAGTATTTTCCTGAAGTTAGGAAAAAGAGAATAACAATAAGCAAAAATTGATAATAACAAAAGCAATGGTAATAACTTTAATGATACTATAATGCTACTTATTGAGCACTTACCACATCTCAGGCACTGTGCTAAACTCAACCCCTTGTATCCATCATTGAATTTATCTAATTAATTAATTAATTTTTTGAGACAGGGTCTTGCTCCGTCGCCCAGGCTGGAGTGTAGCGGTGCCATCATGGCTCACTGCAGCCTTTACCGCCCAAGCAATATTCCCACCTCAACCTTTTCAGTAGCTGGGATTACAGGTGTGCACCACTGTGCCCAGCCTAATGTTTGTATTCTTTTGTAGAAATGAGGTTTTGCCAAGTTGCTCAGGCAGGACTCGAACTCCTGGCTGAAGAGATCTGCCACCTCAGCCTCCCAAAGTGCTGGGATTACAAACGTGAGCCACCACACCTGGCCCATCATTGAATTTAATGTATGACATATCACTGTCTACTATCTTGTATTCATCAGGTTTTATACAATGACACAAAGGCAGCCTGGCTGGGTTGCCAGAAATTATTGCTTTTTATTTGTTACCTCTCTGGGATTGTCTGCTAGCAGATTAAACTGGATTTGAGCCATAATCTTGAAACACACAATCTCAAACTCTAAAATTCCAAATATTGAAATCCCAAAAGATTAGAATCCTTAAAGTCTAAAACCCTGAGAATCATAATTCAAAAGATCAAAATCCTGAAAATATAATTCTGGAAAAGGTAATTTAAAATATAGTTTCTACGTTTTTATAGAGAATTTATTTGAGAAACATAAAAAACGTGTCAGAACACTTCATAGTCCACTTCACACAATAAAATAAGCAACAATAACATCTGTGTTTTGTAAGCGTAAAAACTCTGGTATGCTAATGACAGTCATATGGATATAACAGTTATGAGTCAGTGAACCTATTCATAAAGAAGTAAGTCAAAAAGTGAAATGTATTAATGCATATCACTGTGGTTGGTGATTGTGTGTACTCAGCTTTATAACAGTGGTCCGCTGAGATACTGTGTTAGACAATCTAAGTCTTTTGATGAGAATGATCAAAAACTGCGACAGATCATCACATAGGCAATGTGAATTTGAGAGCTGAGATTTTGAGACATTTTATTTTTCGCAAATGCAAATGTACAAAGGAACATCTCTTCATTTATTGAGGAACTTTCACCATTTTTACATACATGCACAAATGCTTATACACAAAGTCAATGTTGTGATAATGCACTTTCGTAGCGTCAAATTTCTGATGTTTAAGGCAGCAGAAGAGAAGTCTGTCCCAGCTCTCAGAGACCAATTTCCCTTCTGCATTTGTTCTCCCTGGACCCTGGAAGACCAATTGGATGGTTTCTGCCAACACTGAGGGCAGACCTTCCCCACCTAGTCCACTCAGACTCTCACATTAATCGTCTCTGGAAACACTCTCACAGGCACACCCTAAGTAATGCTTTGGGTTGGGTTGGGTTCTAGATGTTCCTTAATCCAGTTAAATTGATACCAAAATTAAGTCCACAAGTCCACCCCTTGTCAGGCTGTTACCCATCCACACCTCCTTAAACCCATTTAATTTCCAAGTGAAGACAATAAAAAGGTAATACTTCCTAACATGATGTAACTAACATGATGTAACTATCCTGCATACAACCAAAAAGCGCACTGATCACTTCCCCAGAATCGGGCTTTCAGGATTTCAGAATTTGGGATTTTACTGTTTTGGGATTATGATTTTGGGGATTTTAGACTCTAGAGATTTTCGTCATTTGGAGTTTTAGATTGTAGACCTTTGATTTTTGGGAATTTCCATCTTTCGAGATTTCAACATTTAGGATTATGGCATTTGGGATTGTGTCTTTGGAGATTATGATTGACACTACATTAAACTCTCTGCCTTCATAATTGTCTTTAACAACTGCTTCTGGCTCTACCCAAAACTGAATTCCTGAACTATTCTGATGACCAGAAAGAGAAATCATAGGATTTTTTTTTTTTTTACTTATCCCCAAATCTCAGGTATTGAAGTTTTTATTTACTTTCATTGCATAGTCACTTGCCCTAGCAACCTTGTAATTATATTTACCAGTGATTCTACTTCATTTTCCATACTGGAACCAGGCATCTGTTTTAAAGAATGAAAATTTCTTTCTTGCTTCAAATTTTCTGTTAGTACCCTGTTTCTCATTGCCTTTGGGGCTCTAGCCTCAAATGTTTTATTAGCCTCATTGCCTACCTCTTCTCACACTGTTTATGCTCCTGCTACCCGCTCTGTAGATGCGCCAGGGACTTTTAGCATACCCTTTCTTCCTTGAGTTTTCTTCACCTAGTGTCATTTCTTTGTGAATTCTTATACATATTTCAAGACCCAATTCAAATATTTCCTTCTTGTGAAATTGTCTTTGACATGTATTTCTTCCTCTTCCCATCCTAAGAAGAGCTGATTTTTCTCCATATGTGAACTATTTTCACTTATTCATTGATAAATCTGTATTTTCATTATGGCTATTAGATTCTCTAGTGTAAAGTCCTTGTGTTTCCCTACCTTCATTTTTATTTTCTTTGCCTAGAATAACTATCATTCAAAAAAGTTAAATGAATAAATTTTTCCTCCTGCCTTCGCCATGCTCAGAGAACAGCCCTACCATTCTGTGTTTTAACTGAAAACTACTCTTGATTTTCTCTCCATTAAGTACTGTCTTTAAAAAAATATATAGATCAGTGATTTTCAGACTTTTAGAAAAGCGGTATCCTTTCTTCAAATGAAAACTTCTGTAAAACATGTGGACATGTGTGTGCATGCATGCATACACACAACCACATAGAGGTAAGGATGGGGAGGGTAGAGGTCTCCCTTCTGGCACTTCTAAGGAAGTACTAGGGCTCCCAGTAGCACGGTTTTACATCATTGGCCTCATTGCTACCTTCATTCACCGAGTCCCTCCAAGTCATTCTTTACATTGCTACAGGAGAGCCCTTTCTAAACACAAATAAAATTAAGATATTTTCTGTGCTTAAATTTATTTAATGACTCCCTCAGTTTACATATAAACTTTTTGGAAGCTAAGGGTATGTCTTTGTACTTTTGTGTCTCTAATCTCTGGTATAGGGCTTGTTGCATAATAGCCTGGAGGCTCCTTGAGTGTTTAGTATAATGAGGGAACATTGCACTGTTTCCTATACCATTGCACAGTTATTATACCTATTGCACGGTTATGTTTACCATTTTAATGGCTTGCTTTACTTATATTGGCAATGCCAGCCTCTCTGTTACTCAGATCTATCCCACCCTTCATGCCCAATACACATCTTAACATCCCCTTTTTAAAGCCATCAACTTCAGCAGCCTTCATCAGTTTCCCTTTGATTTCCAAAGCAGCTTGCTGTTATAAATAACAACAGGTGTAAGGTACTGAATGTAGTGAGTGCACTGTTTTTGTCACCACTTGATGATGTAACCTCTGCCTAGGTGATCCTAGCCAAAAAAAAAAAAAAAAAAAATTCATGAAGGATTTCAAAGGTACCTTCTTATCTAAAAGAACATACTTTAAGCACAGTTCTGAGATATGTAATTCTGCTTATAGTTTGAGTTTCTAAATCAGCCAGAGGTTATAATGTTAAGCTTATGCTTTAGTACAGTTGTGTATCAAAACGGTTTTTTCTTTGTTTCATAACAATTTATAGGTTGAACAACATAGTCTTTGGTTTTTTTGTGTCTTTTGAAACCAAAATTGGTGTTGTCAGCTCATATCCTGCAAATCTCACAGAAATTTTTGAAAAAATACATGCAGTAATTAGAAGCATCAGGCTTGATTTTTTAAATGATGGATCAATTTTTAGATATTTTTGGGAAAGAGAAATAATAAAGCTTTATGCTATCCCATTAATATTCTATTGATACAGTACACTTCCTGTTTTCTATTTTACTTACATATTTTTCAGTAAATGTTTCCCTTTTGTTGCTTTCAGAATTGCTAATAATTACATTTTATATGAGAGCAGTTTTCTAAAAAAAAAAAATACTAGTTAGGAAAAAATGTATTTCATTTGTTCATAAACAAAGATCAAAACTCGTGTTACCAAATAATTCTTACATTGTTATTTGAGCTTGAAGACATTCTGCTTATTTTAAATTATATTTTTATTTCTCTAATTACTTTGTGGACTTTAATAAACTAACTTTATTGTTTTTGATAAATTGAAGTGGTCTTTATTCAGAATAAGGGATAAATTTCTTACAGAAAGGCTTTTCTACAAGACATCTATACTGTTAATTTCATATTTTTGATGTTATTGCAGAAGGAAAAGTGGATACTGTGTCTTTAATGGAAAGCAAAAGGTTATCTTTCTATGGCCTTTGTGTGTATGTGCTGATGTGGATGTAGGCAGCCAGACAGGCAATGTGTGCAGAGAGACTAGGGAACCGGCTGTGGATCGATAGAAGTGGTGTGAAGTGAATTAATGTGAGGCAGGCTGTCTGTCTGTCATAAGGATTGTGGGGAATGTGGGGCAGTGTTGGTCAGTCACTGCAGAGATCTGCTTCCAATAAATTCAGGCCTTCTGCCTGAAAAGAAACTGTAGATACTCACATACTCCCTTATTGTTAAATTTTACCTCATTCACAGTAAATGTTCATATCAAATTATTGCCTCCAGTGTACTTTAATTGGACGACTGGAAAACCACAGTTGTGAGGAACTGATGAAATAAAAATATCTGCCATTCTTTTGGATCTATTTTTCAATCTCAGTGGAAATCTATATTACTGAGAATGAGAAATAGAATTTTTGTTAATATTTATAAATATCTTTCTCCATTCTTAGTCCTAGCAGTGTTTATCACTACCATCTAATCTTCAATAAAAAAATGAAACTATAATGAACTGAAGTGGTTTTATATTTCCATATTGGTTAAAGTGCTGGTTTTTACATGTTACTATATTAAAAATTAGTATTTTGTTCTCGCATTTCATGTTAATCACATGACACTGTAGTCTTGTGAGTTCATGTTATTTATTATTACTCAGATATTGTTAGCCAGTTGGAAAAAAATTCATAAAGGTAATTTACAAGCTTATGAAAGATAATTTTTAGAATACTATACCCAATTTTACTGGTGGGGCTAGTTGAGTGTAGTTTAATTCCATTGATTTTGAAGATGGCATATCCATATTTATATTTTAAAAAACTTCTGAAGTGGCTTAAAAAATATTGCATAAAATTGGGAAGTTTTATGTATATAGATTTTTCGTAATGAAGAGTTATCTAAGCGTTTAGAAATCTAGATGGCGTGAGGATCTCATAGTCTTTCTTGTCCTCTAATTCTCACTTCTACTAGCTACAACCCTCCCACTTCCCTTTTACTGTTGTGTCCAGACTTACTCATACCAGCTTGCTGCCCCACTCCATTCCCCCTCTGCCCCCATTTTCCTCCTGATGCATGATATAAAACTCATTTATTGAGAACTGTTGTTTGGTATAATGTACATTGGTTTTTTATTTTGTGAAATCTGGATTTGGATACTCACTGGTTTTTTACCTGCCTCATGTCTTTCTGTTAATTGTATTTCTTTTTTATTATATCTCTTTACTCTCCTTATTTCCTTATTATTCTTTTTATCATATCTCTTTCCCCAAAGTACCCTTACTGTTATTTTCTAGTATATTTAAATAACGCAATTTGTGCCATGAGATAAAGTATTCAGTATTTATTGAACCTTTATGAGATTTTCATCACTGTCAAATATTTTGGAAATACTCAGAAAGTAAGTAAACCGTAGCTTGTGTGGTATAATTTGACAAATAAGCTCACTTATGTCAAGTACAAAAGAATATACCAAAATATCACCATATAATTAATTGACAATATTTATAACTTTGATATACAAAATACCCTGAAATTTCCATAAATATATTTTCCTAGTGGACTCTTATTTTTTTTTGCAAGGATATTTCATTTTCTTTGGTAGTGGATAGTACACAAAGGCTAAGCTTTTTGTAGCAGGGAGAACTAAAACTATTTTTTCTAGTCTCTGTGTTTTGTTGAAAATAGCATTGTATTCTGGCATAGTCTTCAATTCTCTTTTGTGACAGTGATGTAGTGCCTTCTATTGTATGTTTTTTTAACAAGCTAAGTTTTTGGAAGTATATATATATATAGTAAAATGCACACTTTTAAACATATTGTTCTATGAGTTTTAAACACATGTAAATAGTCATGGTATAGATTATTTTCACTGTTCTAAAAATTTTGCTTTACCTCTTTATAGTCAATCCTTTTGTCACACTCCTAACCCCTGGCAACCACTGATTTCATTTTTGTTTTGCCTTTTACAGAAAGTCTACTGTTATCTCGATCCATTAACATAAGGTCCTGATAGAACTAAATAATGTAGAAAGTAGAAATAGCCAGGTTTATGGCTGGGAATTTTAAAAAATATTATTCCTTCTTTTGCAGATAATGACTACCTTGCTTAGAAGTATTAAATAATGGTTTTTAATAGTCTTCTACCATAACTATATGGCTGAAAACTTCAAAAGTTAAAAGCACCTATCAGATTTTCCTTAAAGCAAATGGTTAAAATTAGTTTTAAATGAGCTGTGCCATTTGGATTTGAGAGTTGAGTGTGGTAATTTGGGCTGTCCATTCTCAGTTTCTCCTACCCCTTTACTGTCTTCCAAAAAGGTTAGAAATCGCAAGTAGTCTGTTGCTATCACAGTGCCCTGTATTATGGGAGTTAAGAATATTTTGCTGATCTTTAAAAAATGAAATATATATATAATTTTGAAGTAAACAAGTCAATCACTTCTTATTGATTGGGAACAAAATAATACAGAAATTTTGACTGAGGATTAATATAGTTACAAATATGGTCAACATAAAGAATATAGTTTAATTTTTAAAAATTTTAAGTAGAAAATTATGCCTTTCTGAAACAAAATATTTGTGGCGAATTTTGCTTTCTTATTGTATAAATGTTCTATGTGACTCTTTTCCTCCCTTTTTTTCTTCAGCTATATGGCAGAAAAAAGTATCAAGAGAGTACACTGAGGTGGCATGGATACCTTGGTTGATCTGGAATGTTAGAAAACCAAACTTTTAAAAATTCAGCTTTATTGACACGTAATTCACTTAATATTAAATTCAACCTTGAAAGTGTACAATTCAGTGGTTTTTTAAGCTGATTTAGAGTTGTACAAGCATCTCCACAATCAACTTCAGGACAGTTTCAAACACCCCAAAGTGAAACCTCAGCCCCCATTAGCATTACTCCATGTTCTGTCCACCCACCTCAGCCCTAGGCCAATCTACACATTTACTTTCTGTCTCCATAGGTTTGCTTCTTCTAGACATTTCATGTAAATGGAATCATAAGGCATGTAATGTTTTGCGACTTCTTTTATTTAGCGTTAAAATTGTTAATATTTATTCATGCCATAGCATGTATTGGAACTTCATTTCTTTGTATTGCTATATAATATTCTATTGTATGAATTTATCATTTATTCATCAGTTGATGAACATTTGGATACTTTCCACTTTTTGGCTTTTATGAATAATGCTGCTGTGAATGTTCGTGTAGATGCTTTTGTGTGGACATATGTTTTCATTCGCTAGTACTAAAATTGCTGGGTCACATGGTAACTCTATGTTTAACTTTCTGAGGAAATGCCAGATTGTTTGTTTACTCTTGAGTTTTGAGAGTTCCTTAAATAGTCCAGGTACTAATTACTTGTTGGACGTGTGATTTGTGAATCTTTTCTCTCGTTTTGGAGCTTGTCTTTTCATCTTCTTAATAGGGCCTTTGTAGAACAAAAGTCTAAAAATTTTAATGAAGCCCACTTTGCCAATTTTTTCTTTTGTGGATTGTGCTTTTGGTATCAAGTCTAAACTTACATTTCAGAGATTTTCTCCTGAGTTTTTTTGGAAAAATTTTATACTTTTATGTATTAGATTTCAGTCCATGATCTACTTTGAGTTACTATTTATATAAATTATGAGCCTTAGATCAAGGTTCATTTTTTTTGCTTATGGATGTTCAGTTGTTCTAGCCCTGTTTTGAAGAGATTATCCTTCCCCCATCGAATTGGTTTTGCACCTCTGTCTAAAATCATTTTGGCAGATTGGTGTTTGTCTGTTTCTTGGTTCTCTATTCTGTTACATTAACATAATGTTTATTACTTTGCCAAAGTCACATGGTTTTAATAACTTTATATGTCTTAAAATGGGGTAAAATGACTTTTTTCTACTTTATTCAGTTTCAGAATTGTTTTGTCCTAATTCCTTTGTCTTTCATATAATTTTAGAATACTTTTGTTGATATCTACAAAAAACTTACTGGGATTTTGTTAGAAATTGCATTAAATCTGTATATCAGTCAATTTGTGGAGATTTGGCGTCTTTCCTGTTTTGAATCTTCCGATTCCATGAACACAGTGTAATTCTGTTTCATTTGTTTAGATCTCCTTTGATTTCTTTCATCAGTGTTTTGTAGTTGTCAGCATACAAGACCTGTTTGTGGTTTTTCAGATTTACATCTAAGTATTTTAGTTTTTATAATTACTGTTAATAGTATTATGGCTTTAAAAAAATTAGGTGTCCATTGTTCATTACTAACATATAGAAATAGAATCGATGTTTTCCATGTTTTTTTCTTATATTTTGCAGCCTTGCTGAACTAACTTATTAGTTTCGATAATTCCTCTGTATTTCCCTGTAAACAATCATTTTATCTTTGAGTGGGGTGTATTAGAGTTCTCCAGAGAAACAGAACCAAAAGAATAGATAGAGAGAACAGGGGACTTATTAGGGGAATTGGCTCATGCAATTGGCTCATGCAATTGCAAAGGCTGGAATGTCCCAGGATAGGCCATCTGTAAGTGGGAGACCCAGCGAAGCTGGTGGTGGGGCTCAGTTTAAGTCTAAAATCCTCAGAATCAGGGAAGCCAAGGGTGTAATTCTCAGTCCATGGCCAAAGCCCTGAGAACCTACAGGGTTGCTGGGTGTAAGTCCTGGAGTCCAAAGGCTAGAGAACCTGAAGTTCTGATGTCCAAGGGCAGAAGAAAAAGGATATCCCAGCTCCAGGAGTGAGAATTTGCTTTTTCTCTGCTCTTTTGTTCAGCGAGGGCCCCCAGATAATTGAATGGTGTCTGCCCACATTGAGTGCCGATTTTTCCCACTCAGTACACTGACTCACACACCAGTCTCCCAGGAAACACCGTCACACACATAACCAGAGGTAATACTTTACCGGCTCTCTAGGTATCCCTTAATCCAATCAAGTTGACACTTAATCATAGGTGGGAATTGAACAATGAGATCACATGGACACAGGAAGGGGAATATCACACTCTGGGGACTGTGGTGGGGTCGGGGGAGGGGGGAGGGATAGCATTGGGAGATATACCTAATGCTAGATGACACGTTAGTGGGTGCAGCGCACCAGCATGGCACATGTATACATATGTAACTAACCTGCACAATGTGCACATGTACCCTAAAACTTAGAGTATAATAAAAAAAAAAAACATTAAAAAAAAAAAATTAACCATCACATAGGGCAATTACATCGTTCTTTCTAAAATGTGTGTATGTGTGTGTATTTTCTTGCTTTGTGGCATTGGGTAGAACTTCCAATGATATGTTAAGTAAGAGTGGTGAGTGTGACTATCTTTGCCATATTCCTGATCATAGGGCAAAAGCATTCAGACTTTCACCATTAAGTGTAATGTTAGTTGTAGGCTTTTAGTAGATGCTGTTTATCAAGTTCCTCTGTATTCTTATTTTCTTAGAGGTTTTTTTTTTCTTTTTTAAATCATGAATGGATGTTGAATTTTGTCAAATGATTGATATGAGCAGGAATTCTTTTTTTTCTTCTTCTTCAGCCTGTTAATATTTTGGATCTTAATTGATCCATTTTGGCCAGTTGAACCCCTTTCATGCTGTGAATAAACCCTACTTGGTCATGGTATATAATTCTTTTCATATGTTGCTGTATCCTATTTGCTTTTATTTTTGTTATGAATTCTGGAGACTATCTTTATGAGAGATACTGGTCTGTAGTTTTCTTTTCTTTGTATTTTTTTTTCTGGTGAGGATTTTATAACCCTTACTAAGTTTTGGAAAGCATCAATCAAAGAACCAGTTTTAGCACAACTCCCTGGTCTTTCAGCCTCAGTTACTTTGAGATGTACTTGTTTGTTCCTTAAGCTCTGTTCCAAAATCCTGAATTCCCTTGGTTGAATAGTTAACTGGCACAGCACAGGAGCTCTATGGAATGCTTGGTAGTATTTATAATCAGTATTGTGTGATTCTGTGGTTTCTCAAGGTTATGCTGTGATGTTCTGTGACACCTCCCACCCTGTCCCCAGGAGCTTAGTCCCTGGAAAGACTTGGTGGTAAATTGATATTGAAGTTTGAAATCAAAAGACCTACGTCTCAATTCTGGTTCCTGAATTTAGTAGCCATATTATGTTGAACAATTACTTAGCCTCTCTGATTAAATGAGATAAATGTAAATGGATCCATAAACTTGTTACTACATAAATGCCAGCTTTATTTTCATTGATCCCTTAATTTTGTAGGAAATGAAAATACTAATGCTGATTGTTACTATCCAAACTATTTAATATTTTTTCAATGTTTCTCTGATCATTTTAAAAATTATCAAGTTCTAAGCAAGAAATGGAGACTCAGATATTTCAAAGATTTATATATTGATTTAATATGAAATAATGATTTTTGATTTTGTATTTGAGCAGTATCTATTTAGGAATGTGATGTTTACCTTCTCATCTCCTCTCTGTGATTATTTTACTGATAGCTATCTTTAATAAAGTAATATTATTTTTCTAGTACATCCCCTTCTTTATGTTAAAATTGATCATATAAATCTAACAAAGTGCTTCTGTAAGTTAAACATTGAGTACAGATGGACACAAAGAAGGGAACAACAGACACCGGGGTGTACTTGAGGGTGGAGAGTGGTAGGATGGTAAGGACTGAAAAACTACTTCTTGGGTACTATGCTTATTACCTGCGTAATGAAATAATTTGTACACTAAACCCCCACGACGTGCAATTTACCTATATAGCAAACCTGCACATGTACCCCTGAACCTAAAATAAAAGTTAAAAATTAAAAAAAAAAATGCTTCTGCAAAGTGGTGAGTTTGTCATTTTTTATTCATCAGGGATCATTCTTTAGCATTATTATTATTATTATTTAAAGCAACTCTGAATAAGTAGTGGTACCAAAATGGTGCGTTTTAGTCCACAAGTTTAAATCCTTAGAGCTTGGAACTGCCTACTGGTAGGTCCATTTCTGGATCTGTTACGGTGGTTTGTGACTAAGGTTCTTCCTCTTTTGGTGCCTTTGGTTAACCGGAGGTAGCAAGGCTGAATTTCACATAAATGTTTAAGTTAATACCCCTTGTTAGAAAAGAAGTCCTTGAACTAAAGAAGTGTTTGGTCTTTAAAATATTTAAATGGATTCTATGTAGGCAGTTATTGATATCCTTTTAAGATGATTTGGTTAGAAAGTTTAACTCCTAGAGTAGCTTCTAATGGGGAAATTTTTATATTATCATGATTGAGAAATACCTTTTGATAACCATGTGAAAAATATCGATGCACCCTAGTATCTGTTGTGAAATTGAGAAATAATGTGACAGATGCAAGATGACAACAAATATGTATCATCAAAGATGAAATGATAGATATGTAAGGAAAAGACATTTGTGTGAGCTGGCAAATTCTCAGGCGATTTACAGAATGGAAGCTTTTGGCCTCTGAACTTCTTTGCCTGTCTGCTTTCAGTTAATTTCTTTCATTGTGATAATTACGTGACCTTATATCGAATTCCTTCATAGAGGGAGATGTTATACTTTTTTTGGGTAGTGTGTTTCAGGTCCGTTACTTAGCCCCAGGGCACAAATTCTTCTGTCTTCATCTTTCCTCCCAACTCCCAAGTTATAAACAAACTAACATTAAAAAGAAGTAAACTTTTAAAACAATCCACACTTTCCTCTTTGTTGAATAATTGTCAAAATCAGCCAAAGTAACTGTAGCAAAAACCTTGAAAGGAATCGAGTAAAAAATGTAATACTTCAGCATCCTGTTTCTGTTTTTCCCAGATCTTGGTTAAAAGTAAATACAGTACATACCCATGTACATATATACATGCAAATAAATAGAGCACACGTGAATGTTTTATTCATTGATTTGTGTCTCTAATTTTGGTGAACATATATATTTTTTAATGTATTGTGTTTATGTCCATTAAGTAAATTAAAAATCTTCAAACTTTCTGTTTGCTTTACTTTTCATTTTTTGAAGTGAAGCCTTGTGATTCATATTTGTTTTAGCTGGAGTCACATCAGAAGCCGCGCAGACTATCACCACGGCTCCTGATGCCTCAGGGCCTGAAGCAAAAGTCCAGGAGGAAGAGCATGACCTTGTTGACGATGACATCACCACTGGTAAGCACAGACATCTTTAACGTCTGATTGGAGCTTTGTTTGATATTGCAAAATGTTTTCTAGGTTATTTGTGGTGGGATTAAGTATTTCGACGGAAAGGATGGAAACTTGTACTGATGGTGTATTTAGTTTTATGAAACTGTTCAGTGTCCTCTTTAATTTTGAGGTGAAAAGAAGTGGAACTGTTTCTTTGGTCCAGGTTTGCTCATTGTAGTTCTAACAATAAACCTACTAGCTGTGCACTTGTTTTCTGGAGACCTTTTAATTCAGAATCTGCGATCATTGCTAAAGCCTTGGAATGTATAGAGGAATATACTCATTAAGTTTTGAAAGATTTTGCAACTATCAGGTAAACTAAAAAATACTAAAATTTAATCACAATATATACAATATAAGCTGTATAGGAAGACTTACTCTTTATACCTATACTGTAGAAGTGAATGCTGCTTTTTAATTGTTGGGCCACTGAACATTCTTATCTGTATTACCTTTCACATGAAGTGAAATTTAGGTGAAAAACATAAAGCAAATTTTAGGAAACTCACACACTATAAATGTTTAGCCCGTCTTTTTATACTCTTAAGGCAGTTTCAGTTACTGGATCTCCAAATACATTCAGCTCAATTTCTTTGAATGCACAGAGGTTAAAAATAACCTAGTATAAATACTTACATTGGTATTAAGAATAATAAGCTTTTGTTTTGGGTGTGGGTGGTTAAAATTTAAAATTTGATCATAAAGTGTATAATTGTTGTGAAGCAACAAATATTAATTTAATAGTAAAAAATGTTAATTTACTACTAATCAATATTTTAGAAAGAAGTACGCCCAGAAAATATTAATTTAATAGTAATCAATAATTTAGAAAGAAGCATGCCCAGAAAATAACAGAAAATTTTTAACAAAAATTAAAGGGAGGGCTGGACACAGTGGCTCACACCTGTAATCCCAGCACTTTGGGAGGCCGAGGTGGGCAGATCACCTGAGGTCAGGAGTTTGAGACCAGCCTGGCCAACATGGCAAAATCCCGTCTCTACTAAAAATACAAAAATTAGCCAAGTGTGGTGGTGGGCGCCTGTCATTCCAGCTACTCGGGAGGCTGAGGCAGGAGAATCGCTTGACCTGGGAGGTGGAGGTTGCAGTGAGCCGAGATTGCACCTCTGCGCTCCAGCCTAGGCAACAGAGTGAGACTCTGTCTCAAAAAAAAAAAAAAAAGAAAAATTAAAAGGAGAAAAGAAAGGGGAGATTTCCTCCTTCCCTCCCACCCTCCGTGATAGGTAGGTTACTGTTACATGGGAAGAAGAAAGTCTAAGATCTCCCTTGAAAATTTACAAAGTGTATATTTAAAATACCTATAGCCTTGTGCCACTGCTGCCTAATATTGCCAGAGTTGGGGAACATCTGATTTTCAATAAAAATGAGATGATGATGGTGGCTATTACTTTTAAATTCTTTTTAGTGTGTAAGTTCATTGATGAAAAATATTATCCAACCTAAATATGAACGATTTCAGGAACTTCTAATTTTTCTGATAGTCATTTAGCACTTTACAATTATAGAATTTGTTTTGGTAGCTGCTAAAGAAAATCTATTTTCTTTGCAGATTTTTTTTTTTTTTTGAGATGGAGTCTTGCTTTGTTGCCCAGGTTGGGGTGCAGTGGCGCGATCTCGGCTCACTGCAACCTCCACTCTCAGGTTCAAGCAATTCTCCTGCCTCAGCCTCTCAAGCAGCTATAACTACAGGTGCATACCACCACGCCCAGCTAATTTTTGTATTTTTAGTAGAAACAGAGTTTCACCATATTGGCCAGGCTGGTCTCAAATTCCTGACCTTGTGATCCACCTGCCTCGGTCTCCCAAAGTGCTGGGATTACAGGCATGAGCCACTGCACCTGGCCTATTTGCAGATTTTTAAGCCAGTCCGTGTTTGTTCCGTTTTCACTGCTTTTCATACTGTCATATGTATGTTTTTTGTTATATTTTAATTCCCTGTAAAGTTTAAACACCTTCCAATCTATAAAAAGTAGTTGTTTAAGTCATAGCAAAAATAAATTTGCCTTTGCAATAGTAGAATAACTCAATTTGCATTCTGGAATAAAAGCTGAATTTTTGAGCAGTCAAGTAAGCATTATTAAATCAGTACATTGAAATTTTGAATTATGCACTACCAAAGTCATGAGATAGCATTACAGTATATGATTTTTTAATTTTATTGTTAACAAAATCAAGAAACTAAGAATGCAAATCTAATTTGAAGAGTCTATTAATGCTACATACACTATATTTTAATCTGTAAGTTTGGTTAAACATATGTGACAAATGGCTTTTATCTGCTGATTTATCCATTTCCTGTCATGGGTACTAGAGGCAAGAATGTTCAATATCCGAAGAACTTAAATAACTAAAAAATGGCTTCCTTACCATGTTGTCAAAGCAACTAGTATGTTGCAGCCTGTAGATCGTTCGGGTTACCTTTAAATTGTGTGACTCGATTAAGCTATGGTATAGATTTTTGTGAGGGTTTAGAAGAAAACCATATTTCTTTTCATTGACTAGAATCCTATATAAATTGCATTATGAAAAATATGGTAGATGCATTGAGAGAAATCTGATTCAAGCACAATAATCTTGTTTTGGGGTAACTAGTGTTGTAGAGAGCCAGTACTACAAAAGGGAAAGCTGGCTAGTGCAGCCATTCAGGTGATTTTTCCAGTTATTTTAGAGGAATTGTTCTAATATTTCTTCATAAAATAAGTAGTAATTATATCATGACAGGTATTTGCCTGCATTTTCAGGGAATTCTTATTTGAAAGCTATAGTTAGGCTAATGTGTATAGTTGTATTACTTTTATTATTGTAGTAATCTGGATCTTAATTTCTAGAAACAGTCTGAGCAAGATAACAATTAAAATATGAGGTATAATATAATGCTTTCACTAAAGGCAGAATACTTTTTGAAATTTTTCTTTTGGGTACAAATGGGTTAGGTATGAATACTGTTTTATGACAGTTGAATCTGAGCCTAGTAGCCTTTGTTAGCATTTGCCTTATCAAAGTAAAGACACATGGATTAAGCTGTACAAGTGTTGGCTATGATCAATTGGAACTAATTAAATTTATTTGAAGCGAAGAATCTTAACTGGAAGAGAACAGCTGGAAAGACTAGGAGGAAAAAAATTGGGTCTTGATTGATACAATTTAAATCTTCACTCTGTCATTTAAAAAATATGCTGCAGCTTCTTTCTCTATCTCTCTTTTTAAAGCTAATATCTATTGATCGGCTCTACAGAGTAATGCCAGTGTGCCTTGGTCAACACACATACTCAGTTTTACTTAGCGTTCTGTCTTGAGGTTCATCAAATTCTTTCCTTTAACCATAGGTTTTAAATTATATATCATAGACATATTAGCCCTCTTGGCGGATTAATGTTGTTTTAAGTAGAAAAATATTAAAACCTATTTCATATTAAAACCTATTCAATATTCAAACCTATTACATTCAATATTAAACCTATTACATTCAATATTAAAACCTATTACAATATGCATGGGAAATGTACTTTTCAATGACGTTGCTTTAGGATTTATAATACTCTGTATATTTAGAATCTGTTTTAACTGCTTAATAGAATTTAAAACAAAACAATAGTGTTGATTCTAGATTATAATTTGAGTCACAAGAAGAGTACTGTATACCTGTGTGTTTGCTTTTATATGTATACTTTTATTTCCAGTATTATCACTTAATTGCTATGTAGATATATAACTGACATTTATAAATAACACTTTCCTATTTATAGTATGTTATTAATAGGTCATAATTATACTAATGGAGTAAATCTCACTAAAGCTGACGTACATAGAAGAAATTTTGGATTGATCATAATCTGCTTAAGTGAGACCTTCCTGTGACTTAGTTAATTTTATGTGTCTTTTATCATGGTACAGTATAGCATTCTGATTGTGGGTGAAGTGATACACCCTCTAAATACTGCATCTAAAAACAACCTCACCTTAATTGCAGGCTGAACAGAATTTTGGAAGGGTTTCATTCACAAACCTGCATGTATGCCTTTAAGAAAGTTCCTATATTCTTCTGAGGGTCATAGTTTGGTGTCTTACCTCTTGTTCAATACAGCAAGGACACAAACTGACCAAAAACGATGATAAAGGGTCAAGAGTCACTGACATTGTCAAAAAAAAAAAAAAAAAAAAAAAAACCACCTTGATACTAGATCAGCAGCACAGTTGACAGATTCAACTACAAAAGCAGCAATGATACGTGGATCCCAATGGGTGGGTCGACTGTACTTATTTTACTTTTTGATGCATTTTTTGTTAAATTATAATTAGCTACATTTTGATTACTCATTCAGGAGCAAATATATATCTTCCCATTACTCATTAATAGATGCAGAGAATAATGTATTTTGCTATTCCTGTGTATTTAGTGCTGACAGAACTTACATGTGTCTGTATCCCTCCTCCCCCTGCCCTCAGTTACGTTGTACAGACATATATTTTAAATCTAATTCTTTACAGCTGTGTATTTTACTGATTTAAGGTTTTAAGTTTCTGAGAAGATGTCCTGTCTTACAGTAAATTGATGTAAGTTTTCTATAAATGTGCTTTTGTTTTTCTTGGATTATAGAATCAAATTTTTTTTGTAGGTATGATCTTAGAGACTAGCTTATGTTCTCCTTTTACAATCAAATAAATTAATATCATTCTTTCTTAAAAAACTTACATGATTGATACCTAGTGTCCCAAAACATATGATTTGACCTTTCATTCAAAAAAGTCTATATAACTGAATGAAAATGAAAAGATGTAGTAATGATGAAAAGTAATATTATATAGTATCATTAATAGTGTGTAGTAATCCTCTCAGTAGTCATCTACTCATTCAATCAGTAAATATTTTTGAGTACTTTACTGCCAGACACTGTTTAGGATATGCCATTGAATAAAATAGGCAATCACACTTGTCCTTGTGGAGCTTACATTTTCATGGAGGGAGGCAGACAATAAGAAGAAGAAGAAGTAAATAAATATGCAGTATATTAGAAGATGAGAGCTGCCATGGAAAGAAGAAAAAATAGAGAAGGGTAAGAGAAGTTAAAAGTAATATCACTTGACAACTTTCTTTTATCAAGCACATTACACATGAGCCTTATGAAATTACTTTGAAGTAGATACTAATATATTTCCAGATATGTAGTTGAGGAAACAAGCTGAGAGAGATAACTTTTACAGGGTCACATATGTACCAGGTAATAGATCTGGGATTAAAGTGAGTCCTACCTGATTCCAAAGCTGATGTGTGGTCTTAAGCCCTACTCTGCACTGCCTCACATTCTCAAAGTAACACATTAAACTTTGGAAGATTTTCATTTTCTTTTGAAATATGAGATGATGTCACAGTTTACCTTGATTGTTTATGATAAGAGGTAGTTACTTTGCTGGATATCTAATCTCATCATTATTCCCCCTGCATACCCCTCCTTTTTTTTTTTTTGACATGTGGTCTCTGTTGCCTAGGCTGGTCTCAAACTCTTGGGTTTGGCTGGGCATGAATAGTGGCTCACACCCATAATCCCAGCACTTTGGAGAGCTAAGGCAGGAGGATTGCTTGAGGCCAGGCATTTGAGACTATCCTACACAACAGGGAGATACCCTATCTCTACAAAAAAAAAAATTAAAAGTTAGCTAGGTGTGGTGGTGCGCACCTGTGGTCCCAGCTACGTGGGAGGCTGAGCTGGGAGGATCACTTGAGCTCAGGAGGTCGAGGCTGCAGTGAGCCATGTTCGAACCACTGCACTCCAGACTGGGTGACAGAACAAGACTCTGTCTCAATAAAAACAAAGGAAAAACTGGGCTCACGCTATCCTCTCTCCTCAAACTCCCGAGTAGCTGGTACTACAGGTGTGCTACTGTGTCCATCTAGTCCCATTATTTAAAATGCAAATTTGTTATTCTAAATTTAGACCAAGAGATTATCTCCATTAGGAAAAAAATCACCGCATATTCGTTCTTTAAATTTTCAAACATTATTTAGGACTGTTGTAACATAATAATATAAATAGAAGTATTTTTCATTACTAAACTGTCAGTTTATTACATACGTGTAAATGTTCATTGTTGTGTCCAGCTTTTTGAAGTCATCAGTATAAAACTGATACATTAATATGTTTATACACTAAAGTCAACATCTATTTTAAAATAGAACTGAAAAAGATGTCTAGTCTGAGACTAAATATTGATTTGTGCATTTACTTACTGAAGGTCCTATTCATAAGATGTTTTTACATTTGTTCTGAATGAAAGATAGGAAATTTACCCTGTTAAAGTACAGATAAGCTCCAAAGAACAAAATACGGCATATTATGTATTCAGAAACCAGACGTTCTTTCCTAGCCCGGAGTCAGAGGCTGTATAATTTGTAAACTAGAATAAGAGACTTCCACCCGCACCCTCTGCCTTTCTCATTCTTTAACTGATATTTAACAGCCTAAAAAGTAGTTTAGATGTATGTGAATTTTAAGTCACTTCTAAATTATCACTACCCTTGCTTTTGACTTCAGAATGTTAGCTACTACAAAATATATGAGTTTACTATATTAAGGCTCTTAGTAATTATAAATTACTAAAGCTATGGTTTTTGTTTTTTAACTCTGCAGTTTTCATGAAAACAGATATTAAGAAAAATAAAAGTGTAAATTTCATAGTTTTCTGAGTGAACTATGTCATTTCAAATAATTTACCTTTTTGTCCTTTTTTAAAAAAAATCTGGGAGAAGAAACCGTATATGAAAATATTTCTTTCTTGTTTAGTGTTTAATGCTCAGCTTTAGTTTGTGTTGAAGGACAAGTAGAATGTTTCTAAATACAGTATTTGAGAAAGTTTTTGACATGAATATTAAAATACAGAAAAAAATGATGCTGTGTAAAACTGAGATACACTTTCTTTTCTCGTATTTTCTCTCTGGGTGATTTACTTTTTCTGTTCTTTGGTAACTACCACTTGTATGTTAATGACTGTCAATCAAATCTGTATCTCCAACCTAGCCTTCTCTTTTCAATATCAGATTCGTATGTCCTCCTGCCTGAATGTCCTGTAGATACCTAAATACCAAGTGCAAAAGGAGCTATAGGCCAGTTCGGTGGCTAGTGCCTGTAATCCCAGCACTTTGGGAGGCCGAGGCCTGCGGATCATCTGAGGTCAGGAGTTCGAGACCACCCTGGTCAACATATAGTATAAACCCATCTCTACTAAAAAATACAAAAATTATTTGTATTCATAGTGGTGGCAGGTGCCTTTAATCCCAGCTACTTGGGAAGATGAGGCAGGAGAATCGCTTGAACCCAGGAGGCGGAGGTTGCAGTGAGCTGAGATCACATCCCTGCGCTCCAGCCTGGGCGACAGAGCAAGACTCCGTCTCTCAAACAAACAAAAAAACAAAAAAGGAGCTATGTTTCTTCCTAAACCTCACCTTCTTTCATATGTATACCTCAGTTAAAGGCACATCACTAATGGTACCGTTAATGACCTGACATCTCAAACTTGAAGTCCAAGGATAATCCTGGCTTTCCCACTTTTTAACAATGTCCACATACGGTTGGTGTAAGTTCTTGTAAAATGTGCCTCTTAAATATCTCTCAGTGGTTTTTGTCTTCTCTGTTTCCACAGAGAATACCTAGATCCAGCCTTGCATTTTTTCTTCTTCAGATTATCGTTGCATTTTCCTGCAACCATCTCCCTGTCTTCATTCTCTTATCTCATCCAGATCATGTCTTCCATGACTCTGAGAGTTTAAGAAGCCAGTTCATCACCCTTCACCCTCATTAACAGCTACTTAATGACTTCCCATTGAATATAGCTCCAAATCTAAATACCTTGGTGAGATATCTAGGGTTCTTCAAGGGCTGACTTATATCTCTGATGTCATCAGCTAAAGCAGTACTTAACTTTGTTCCCCAGAGTACCCTGCTATTTTGTGATTCATACTTTGCATGTGCCCCTCCATCTGACTGGCATGCTCTTAACTCTGACATATGGGATGAAATTCCAAGAATTCCCCTCAAATTCAGCTTGAGTGTCGTCATCTTCATGGATCCTATCTGGACCCTTCTTATATAATATCTCCCTGTTCATTGTACACACTTCTGCTCTTGCAGCTTAATAATATGTAGCAATAATGACATCTGTAATTTTGTTAAGTGATCATTTCACTTGCACTTTCTGAGTCATGTGGGCATGTGACTTTTACCTTCTTGTATGCCTAGCACTAGAATAGCTGGTACATAGCATCTTCTCAATAAATGTTTATTGAATGAATGGTTGAATTAATCCATAAGGTTACTCATATTTCAAGCAGCACTCCTTATACACTGTGTATTTACTTAAACACATTTGCTATATCCTTCCTATACTTACATAGTTTATATCTCCTTAACCTCCCTGCCCATCTTCTTAGTGGCTATTTAAATGACTCAAAACATCTTGGTAACACATTAGTGAGGTGATGTAGGCTTATTTGTAGATAAATTATCTCTTGATATTATGAAAATGAGACTGGGAACACATCTAAGAACATAATTAGCTCTACCGAGTTAGTCACTATTGTTTCTGTTTAAAAGTTTATCTTTTTCTCTTGGAAAATAATACGTGTTCAAAATTAGGAGAAGGATGTGATACATAGATTTAAATAAGAAAAGATAGAACAAAAACCTGGAACAAATGTGCTTTGTAACTTGTCTTAATGAGCAGGTGGAAGTTGGGATGTGCTATTGGAATTGCACGAGCAGAGAACTAGACCTGATAGAATTCTCAGAGAATCCCCTTTCTGTGGTCTGCCTTGGCTCTTGCAGGTTTGGTAGACAGTGGAGATGTACTTGTGGATGATGGTCCCAGTTTCTTCAAAGTCTGGGAATCCCTATTTGGTTGCTGCCTCTTCAGTCACCCTTTTCTTCCTTGCTCTGGTAACTGTGCCTCCTCGTTTCTAGGATGGATTCTGTCAGCAAAAGCCAGAGTCTTTAATCAACTGTTGCCTTGGCACCAAATCTTTCATAATACTATTTTCCAGTAAGGGCACTTTTATTTTTTGTGTGTGCATGTAAAGGTTGTTTGCATGTAATATTTTTGCAAGGGGTTTGGGCAAATAAATAGTAATTAACACCATCTTTGCAAACTTATGTAAAAGAACACATTGCAAAATCAAGAACTTAAAGTAATAACTATCTCAATGACTTAGCAGCATTTATTGAGTACTTAATATGTGTCAGACTGGCTCTATGCTCTTTTAAATCCTCACACAATTCATGTGATGCCTTCATTATTGCTTCCGTTTTACAGGAGAAGAAAATGAGGCACAGAATGGTAAAGTTACTTGCCACATAAAAGCCACAGATAGGAAATGACAAAGTCAGGATTTGAAGCTGGGCTATTGCTTCTAGATCTTGTGCTTTTAAATTGAAGTAATTTTTAAAAAATCAAGTCATTTATAAACCTTACAAGAGAAAAAAGAAACACATATATTATGACTTGTCATTTTCTTTTTGTGATATATAGAAATTTCTATTTTAATTTTTAATATAGCTTAACTTTTTTGTGTAGTACAAGGAAGTGTTTGAAATGTGAAGAAAATACTTCCTGTTTTCTTAAAGGAGAAACATAGAAATTCAGTATATGAAGATAATTTTATGTATTGTCTAGATAAACTAGAATTTCTACCTCGTGTTCATATAAAACCACACACATAAATACACCAACACATAAACAGTATTAGATCAGAAAGCCTTAAGTTTTGAGTTTCGCATTAACTATTATATATTTCTTTTGCTAAATTTAGACCAAACAGGAAAAAAGCAGAAATACTTAGTTGGATAATAATGTAGATGCTGCATTGGGGTTGGGGGAGGGCAGGTGGGTGGTAGAGGGAAGCCATCCTTGTGAGTGAATAACCTTCAGGATGAACTTAAAGTCTGGCCTTTTGTGAGCTGTGTAATAATAACTCATGGATAAGGGTGAATTACATTAGATTGTGGCACACTATTATATATCTATATATTACATGAATTGCCCTTATAATTGATATCAAACTCATATGACCAAAAGTTGTAATTCACAAAAGTAATGACAACAATGTCTCATAATTCACAGACTCTATGTCATACCTGTGAATGATTGCTTTTACTGTGCAAACCATGTTAAAGGGGAAAAACAGGTTTTAAAATAGATGTCGGGTTCTGAAGACTCCTTCTTCCTGATACTTCATAGTCATTTTTAATACACAAAAAGATAATTAAATTTACTATCATCTGTGACTTTCCCCATGATTTCTTGGTTTCAAGTCACTTGCAAGTGTAAAAGCTTTTGCTCTTAATTTGAAGTTTTAAATTACAAATGAAAGGTAATATTTAATATTTGAAGTGAAGATAGCCATAAACCTGAATGTATTTTCTCCTCACGTGACATACTAGAAAGAGGAGTCCTCACTCATAGGTAGGATAAATATTGAGAGTATTTTCTCATCTTTTTTGTTATAACTATTTATCCTAAATAAAGATGGATGAATTAAATCCAGTGTGAAAGGATTCAGGGAATCAGAACCAGCTACTCTTTCTTTGTTTACCCTTTCTGTAAATGTATTTTTTCAGTGTGGTTAGTACCACTGAAAAGGAGTATAAGGAATATTCAGTTTTATTCAATAAAACATGAATAAGTGCCTTATGTCTTCTATCAGCACATTCTATGGGGGATTTAATAAAGCAAGCCTCTAGATGAGAAGGCAATGATCAAATTTTAGATATGTCTGCATGCAAGTGCACAGATGACATATATGTGCATATTCTCTGTAGCTGGGAGAATTCAGAGTACTGAGCTTAGTTAAGGGTAGGAGTTATGTAAGAGGTAAGCCTGCGCTTATTGCGGAGGTGGAGAGACATGGGAAAAGCTTCCAAGCTCAAGCTGTTAGTTTACAGACTTAGAAATAATTAGCTGTGGAGGGAGTGAGAAGAAGAATGGCCTTGCCCAGAGCAGACAGACTGTAAGGACAGCTTCCTTACTTGTTCATTGTATGCCCTTATTTGAGTTACTTGACTGTGCTAAGCCTCAATTTTCTCACCTGAAATATGAGGATAATAAGGTTATTAGGAGACAGATGAATGGCTACAGAAAATGTGGGACATAATCACAATGGAGCAATGGAGTACTATTCAGCCATAAAAAAGAATGAGACCAATCATTTACAACAACCTAGGTGGAACTGGAGATCATTCTGTTAAGTGAAATAAGGCAGGCACAGAAAGACAAATGTCGCCTGTTCTCATTTATGGGATCTAAAAATCAAAGCAATTGAACTCATGGACCTATGTCCATGAGTAGAAGGAGGGTAGAGAGCCTACCAGAGTCTGGGAAGGGTAGTGGGGGTTGGGGGAGGGGTGGTTAATGGGTACAAAAATAGGTAGAAAGAATGAATAAGACCTATTATTTGGTAGAACAACAGGGTGACCATAGTCAAAATAATTTAGTTGTACATTTAAAGATAAGTAAAAGAGTGTAATTGGATTGTTGATAACATGGAGGATAAATGCTTGAGAAGATGGATATTCCATTTCCCATGATGTGATTATTGCAAATTGTATGCCTGTATTGGAATATCTCATGTACCCCATAAATATATGCACCTACTATATACCCACAAAAATGAAAAATTTAAAAAAAACAGCAAAAAACAAAAAAGATTGTCTTGAGGATTAAATGAGATGATGCATGGAATGTTTTTAGAAGAACTGGAGCATAGTAAGTGCTCAATAAATATGATAGGCTTCTTGCCTCACTTCCCTTCTCATTACCACCATCATCCTTAAGTGATTTGCTTTAATAACATAAATGGTTGATAACTAACATCATTTATAAATCAGTTTTGAGTGACTTAGTGGTGTTTATTCTAGGTAGTTTGACTATCCTTTACAAGGATATAAACTTGCTAGAAACATTTATACTTTACAGATCAAGAACTAAGCCATATCCAAACTACCACTTCAAATTTTCACAAATTTATAAAAGTTGGCTCGTGAAATATTGATAAATTATATTTTCTTAAACACTTTTATATTGATTTCTTTTATCACATTTATTGTCTGAGTTGAATTTGACCATGAAGGTGAATTATTTGACGAAACAGACATAACTGCAGCTTTAAAAGAAAAAGTAGCTGAGGAAGAGTTAATTTGCATATGCATAGCTGAGTTCAGCCAATGGTGAAGTGAGGGGTAAAAAGGAGAGATAATGGAGACAAGCTTTCCGAATGTTCTGATGTGGCCATTTAGTTGACAGTCATTACTAGACTTTAGAAAACATGTTTGAAAAATAATAGACAAGACGGATATGGTCCATGGAGAAAGATACCTTAAAATATTAAATATTAATTAAAATATTTTTTAAAATCTGAAGGTTAAAAGAGGATCTTCACCATACTATCATTAAATAGTCTTGCCGAGAAAGATAAAAGGGGGAATGTTTAATATAACTCTCATACTTGCAAAGGATGGTTTGTCATCAGCTCAGTTTTTAAGAGGGTGTGTTCAAAAACAGAGCACGGTGTACCACAGCAAAATTCAACTAAATGTGAGAGTAGAATATAGACAGTTTTAGAAATGCAGGTTATCAAAAAATGTGCCTCCTATGTCTTAAGAACTAGTGGAGGATGTGTGCCTCCAAAATTGAGAAAGTAAACCAAGAAAGAGGAAGCTGAGGATCTAGTGATCCAGATAATCTTTATATAACCCTTTATATAAACCTTATAAAACCTGTCTTGCCCCTTGATACTTTCAAACCCCCATCTCATTGTTTTAGGCAACATCCCTTAGGAACATGCTGCTCAGGGCTGAGCACAGTGGCTCACATACGAGGATAGCTTCAGACCAGGGGTTCAAGATTAGCCCGCGGCAACATAGTGAAACTTCACCTCTCCAAAAAAAAAAAAAAAAAATTTAGCTGAGTGTGGTGGTGTGCACCTGTAGTCTCAGCTACTTGGGAGGCTGAGACAAAATGATCACTATGATTGCACCACTGCACTGCAGCCTGGGTGACAGAGGGAGGCCTTCTGTAAAAAAAAAAAATAATAAACAAACCCCAACCTCCCCCTACCACACACACACACACAAAATAGGACTGTAACCCTCAGAAACCTAGCCACCCTGAGGGTTACTTGGAAAAGGGAAATCTGAGAGAGAAGCATTTAGGCTGCAAAGTCCAGCACCCCCTCCCCATGTGGAAAGTCTCCGTGACTGTATTGATTTAATAAGTTTCCTTATGTTCTGGATATTTGGCAAGTTCTAACTGTTCCATTTTCCAGGGTAGGCTTGATTTCTGCTCCTGAATCTACTCCCTTGTATAACAGATTTACACTTCTGGGTGAGAATTTGGGGATAAATTACTGAAATATAAAGAGAATCAAGTAAATAACAAAAGACAGTTATTGACTGCAAGGAGGGAAAAAAAGCAGTGCTGATAAAGTTATCAAAAACCACATGATTGAGTTATGCATAACATGCACAGATTGTGAAACTATCAACCTTAATTATGATGTAATTTTATTAAGAACTGTGATATAAATTGGGAGGCACAGGAGGAAGAAGGCAGGAGAAAGCGTGTGAATGTGGTATGTGAATGTGTGAATGTGGAGTGTGTATGTGATGTATGCAAGTTGTGTTTATGTAAAGGAGAACCCAATTTTTATTGACCATAGTTGAGGATCATAAGTTTAAAGATAGATAAGTCTAAAATTGAAAAGTTAGAAAATAACAACACAGAGTTTTCTAAAGTCAAATGTCCAACAAGTCTTTGTTTTTTAAAAAATGGGGAAAATTGGATCCAAGCAGCTCTAAATTGGTTAGTGTACTGTCCACATATACCGGAAGTCTGCAGCGAATTGTTAAATATGATTTGGGAGCACTTAGAAGAAAAAGTGAGATGCAGTACAGGTGCCCTGAGTTTACCACACTCTTGAATTTTATCACAGTGTTTCAGTTGCGTTGATTTTGTTGCCCTTCATGATCTAAAATAATTTTGATGTTTTGGTGTAAAATGTATACGATTCATCATAAAATGACATTTATACTCTTATGGGTTTTCACCATACACGGCACACAATAGAAGGGGTCATTCTTCTGTTCATGGAAAGCTATTCTTCATGATGAATTTTTTTAAAATTTGGTTTGGCATTACTCACTACTGTCAAACTTGCTCAAGCATCATTGCTAATGCCCTCATTATTTTCTCATGATGAATTTATCAATTGACTTAGGAATTAGGGAAGAGGACTTCTAAAAAATAGGAAAAGATCTGTTAAGAAAATTCCGGCCATACAGCCCAGTTCAGCGTGTCACTAGTAATAATCACCATCATGGTGCTACCTCTAGATCACCTCTGGGCGCTGCACTATACATCTTCGATACTTGTGATACTAAGGGTGTCTGACTCACTCAGATATATTTGTGTGGAAGTTCTGGCAGATGCCCTTAAACAAGTGATCTTTCAGCGGGTCTGGCTTGCTGTCCCAGCACACTTTTTTTTGAGATGGAGTCTCGCTCTGTCGCCCAGGCTGGAGTGCAGTGGCACAATCTCGGCTCACTGCAACCTCTGTCTCCTGGGTTCCAGCGATTCTCCTGCCTCAGCCTCCTGAGTAGCTGGGATTATAAGCACTGTGCCACCATCACAGCTAATTTTTATATTTTTAGTAGAGACGGGGTTTCACCATGTTGGTCAGGCTGGTCTTGAACTCCTGACCTCCTCTAGCACACTTTTTACTGATATGCAGGATGTGGTATTCACTCTGTGCAGCTTAATGGGATATCTGACAGATGACTGCCACTGTAGAAGCATGATCTTCAGTGTAGCCAGACTAAACTTTGTACATCAACCCAGCCTGGGAGAGTCCCTGTAGGAGTTCATGATACACCGGCTGAGCATCTTTGAACTTCAAGGAATTAGCTAGGAAAAAGGGGAGAGTGAAAGAGTTTTCAGAAAGAGTCAAATCCTGGGAGGGAGAGAGAGCAAGAGGTGGTACAGCCATTTGGGAGGAAGAGTAAGTGGTTCCCTGTGAATGTGTATAGAGTGGGAACAGGGTCAGGACTAACAAGAGGGGATGCTAAAGGCAGGCCAGATGATGAAAGGCTCTGTTTGTTGGCTGAGCTGCTTTACTCATATTCAGGGGACTAGCTGGAATGAATAAAGAGTCTAGACCACTCTGACAATAGATGCTGAAAATACTGGGGAATGATGCTGGGGCAAGTCGGGGTAAGCAGTGGTCTAGGTTCCAGCTGGCAGGGGCCCGAACAAAGGTAGCGCAAGTGCTTGAAATGGCATTTGTTTATATTTATTTAAAACATTCTGAAGATGGCCAAATAGGAACAGCTCCCATCTGCAGCTCCCAGCGAGACCAACCCAGAAGGTGGGTGATTTCTGCATTTCGAACTGAGGTACCTGGTTCATCTCACTGAGACTGGTTAGGACAGTGGGTGCAGCCCATGGACAGTGAGCAGAAGCTGGGTGAGGCGTCGTCTCACCCAGGAAACACAAGGGGTTGGGGAACTCCCTCCCCTAACCAAAGGAAGCCCTGAGGGACTGTGCCATGAGGGACAGTGCTGTCCAACCCAGATGCTATGCTTTTCCCATGGTCTTCACAACCTGCAGATCAGGAGATTCCCTCGTGTGCCTACACCACCAGGGCCCTGGGTTTCAAGCACAAAACTGGGTGGCTGTTTGCGCGGACACCAAGCTAGCTGCAGGATTTTTTTTTCTTTCATACCCCAGTGGCACCTGGAACATCAGCACATCAGAACCGTTCACTCCCCTGGAAAGAGGGCTGAAGCCAGGGAGCCGAGTGATCTTGCTCAGCAGTTCCCACCCCGACAGAGCCCAGCAAGCTAAGATCCACAGGCTTGAAATTCTCACTGCCAGCACAGCAGTCTGAGGTTGACCTGGAATGCTTGAGCTTGGTGGGGGCAGGGGTGTCTGCCATTACTGAGGCTTCAGTAGGCGGTTTTCCTCTCACGGTGTAAACAAAGCTTCCGGAAGCTTGGACTGGGCGGAGCCCACCGCAGGGCCACAGAGCCACTGTAGAAAGACTGCCTCTCTAGATTCCTCTTCTCTGGGCAGGGCATCTCTGAAAGAAAAGCAGCAGCCCCACTCAGAGACTTTAGATAAAACTCCCATCTCCTTGGGACAGAGCACCCGGGGAAAGGGGCGGCTGTGGTTGCAGCTTCAGCAGACTTAAACGTTCCAGCCTGCTGGCTCTGAAGAGAGCAGCAGATCTCCCAGCACAGCGCTAGAGCTCTGCTAAGGGACAGACTGCCTCCTCAAGTGGGACCCTGACTCCCGTGCCTCCAGACTGGGAGATACCTCCCAGCAGGGGTCAACAGACACCTCATACAGGAGAGCTCTGGCTGGCATCTGGCAGGTGCCCCTCTGTGACGAAGCTTCCAGAGAAAGGATAAGGCAGCAATGTTTGCTGTTCTGCAGTCTCCACTGGTGATACCTGGGCAAACAGGGTCTGGAGTGGACCTCCAGCAAACTCCAGCAGACCTACAGAAGAGGGGCCTGTTAAAAGGAAAACTAACAAACAGAAAGGAATAGCATCAACATCAACAAAAAGAACACCCACACAAAAACCCCATCTGAAGGTCACCAACAGAAAACACCAAAGTAGATAAATCCATGAAGATGAGGAAAAACCAGCGCAAAAAGGCTGAAAATTCCTAAAACCAGAATGCCTCTTCTCCTCCAAAGGATCACAACTCCTCGCCAGCAAGGGAACAAAACCGGACAGAGAATGAGTTTGACGAAGAGACAGAAGTAGGCTTCAGAAGGTGGGTAATAACAAACTCCTTGAACCTAAAGGAGCGTGTTCTAACCCAATACAAGGAAGCTAAGAACCTTGATAAAAGGTTACAGGAACTGCTAACTAGAATAACCAGTTTAGAGAAGAACATAAACGACCTGATGGAACTGAAAAACACAGCACGAGAACTTCGTGAAGCATACACAAGTATTAGTAGCAGAATTGGTCAAGCGGAAGAAGGCATGTCAGAGATTGAAGATCAACTTAATGAAATAAATTGTGAAGGCAAGATTAGAGAAAAAGGAATGAAAAGGAATGAACAAAGCCTCCAAGAAATATGGGACTATGTGAAAATATGGGACTATGGGACTATGGGAGGAATAGCATTAGGAGAAATACCTAATGTAGATGAGGGGTTGATGTAACCTATGTAACAAACCTGCATGTTCTGCACATGTATCCCAGAACTTAAAGTATAATAAAAAAAATAAAGCATTCTAAATATCTAAAGTCCTCTAGGTTTATAATTAATATAAGCTAATTGGTACCTAGTATTAAATAAAACATTCCAATAAAATGAATGTCTGCGTTACAAACGTCAGTTAAATTGTTGTATAAGTGGGTTTTTATGAATTTGGTGTAGAGAATATTAGTGTCATTCATGTGCCATATAAAAATCTTTTCTTTAACCCCCACCTCATTTTGCTATATAGTTTCTTAAAGTTGGAAAGACTTATTCATAATCTGGTAGCTAGATTTTATATTCTAGACCAATCTTTCCCGTCTCAAAGAATCCTTCATACCACATCACTGAACATAAAGGTTACCGAACTTTTGCTTACACACTGTATTAATTTTCCTATTGCTACATAATAAATTAGCACAAATGTAGTTTAAAATACCCACATTTATTATCTCATAGTTTCCATGGGTTAGGGAATCTGGGTTCAGCTTAGCTATGTCCTCTGCTCTAGGACACAAAAGGCTTCAGTCAAGGCATTAACCATGGCTAAGTCTTATCTGAGGCTTTTGGTCCTCTTCCAATCTCACATTCTTAATGGCACAATTCAGTTCCTTGCAGTTATAGGATTGAGGTCCTCAGCTCCTAGAGGCCATCCTCAGTTCCCTGCCGTGTGGCCCTATCCATAGGCATTTCCCTTCATAACAGCTTGCATCTTTGAAGACAGCACAACAATCTCTCTACTAGGTGCCAGCAAGGTGGAGTTGTATATAGATTGAAACCTAATCATGAGAGTGCTGTACAAAGTAATCTTATTATGGAAGTGGCCTCCCATGACTTTGCTGTCGTCCACTGGTTAGTAGTAAGTCACAGATCCTGCCTTTACTCAAGGCCAAGGGGTGGTATAACGATGTGACTCACTGGGGGTTGGTTACCTTAGAATAGTCTCCCTACATACACACCTATCCAGTTGTGGGGCTCACTGCTTGCAATTTCGTTCCTTCCATATTTTGCTTGTTTTGTTTGTGTGATAGAGCAAGAGATCTCCCTCCTTGTCTTCTCTTTGTCCTTCAACAATATCTCGTGTGACCTGATTTCTAGACCCTTCTCTCTTCCATTTGTATGTACTATGTTTTATCAGTGATATTCCTTAGAAGGTGGTACCCAGAATGGACCATGCCCCCACTAGCAGACCAGTGCAAGTATTACACAACTATTTTCTTCCTTTATCTGGATGGTGTATAATTTTGAAATTAAACTGGTTTACTTTAGAAGGCATCCCACATTTTTGTCTGCTAAAAGTGGAATCGTTTAAAATGTCAGATTTTATATGAAGTGCTATTAATTCAAGTCTTCCCAGTTTAGAAGCAGGGCTTGATATTTGTTCTTTCTGCTTTCCGTCTTATTGGTTTGAGCCCATCATCCAGACTTGGAATCTTTTTCAGTGCATTAGTTATTTCTCCCTGCTTTATGACCTCTGTGAATGTGATGAACAAGCCTTCTGTGTTGTCTGTGTTGACTAGTTAACTGCTGAGCAGGCCCCAGTAAGACTTCTGCAGCACAAGGGTAGGGATCTTCTCTACCTTTTCATCAGCCCTGACGTCACTCTCCAATATGGTTTTTCAACTCAATATAAAGTAACCCTTTTGCAGTGTCTCATTAGCTCAGTGTTTAAGAGGGTATGTTCAAAAGTAGAACAAGGTATACCACACCAAAATATCAATGAAATGTGAGAGTAGAATAGAGACATCTTTAGAATATCAAAAAATGTGCCTCCCTTGTCTTAAGAACTAGTAAAGGATTCACTAATTCTTCATCTTGTTCATAATTCAGATTTATTCATCTTGTTAATAATAATACTCTAATAGATTTCTTCAGATGCTGTACTAAGATCAGAATATGTGCATTAGTGGACAGTGTAGGTCTATAATTTACATTTGTAGTATTGTACCTAACTTATAAGTGTATAAAGGGATTTTAAAACATTCTTGACATGCCTTGAGTTGCAGTAATTTTGGAAATATGCAATTTTTAAATAAGCAACAGCATTAATCATCATCAGGATTTTCAGAGGTCACCTAGAGAGTTATTGCCTGGATTATTGTTGTGGGATAGGGTAGGTATATGTAAGTATCTGGTCAAGGAGATTAGGAAGTTATACATGTCTCAACAGTATGTGAAACTCATTTTGCTCGCTTTGCATCTGCTGTCATTTTTGTGACAAATATTTATTGGTGGAGTATTTATAAGAATGTATAAGTTCTTGATTTAAAACTTATGTCTTATGTTACTAGGTTTTTAAAGTTGACAAAAAGTTATAGTAAAACAGGTAGGTATGAGATTATTCACATACTGTATTAGTTTTAAATATCACTTTAAGAAAAGTTGGTTTGGGATAAAAAATAAAAATTCAGGTTCCTCTGGTATTAAAATTGTGATTCTTCTTGATATTTAGATATTTGCAGTTGACTGTATATGATTCATGAAGTGAGGCACCTGATGTATAAGTGTACTTTATACTTTTCTAAGAATAATTTTCTTTGAATATGAGATGCTTTCTTTAAAGCTTTATGAGTTTAGTTTTAATTTTAAGGAAAATTAAAAGAAAAATGTGAAGATTAATTGAAAGCTTTGTAGTCATGTACAAAGTAGTCATGTAAACTATTTACAATGTTTTGTTGAGTGGTTAGAACCAAACTTACACAGATATTTTCTTATTCTCTTCCAACTGGAGTTCGTTCTTTTTGAAGTAAATGTGGCAGGTGCAGTAAGGCCACTTTCCTCTCATGTCTGGCCAGGATTCACCTAAATTTTGGTGAAGAGTGAAAATATACAACAAACGAAACCGTCTGCCACTCCCAAGCAACCAGCCCCTACCTCACTGTTGCTGACAATGTAGGGCCTCACCAGTCAGCCCCTGGACAGGGCTCCTGCTGGGCCTCATTTCTGAGTTTTAGGGCGGATCCTGTCAGCACATGTTTTGGGATGTGATTCCTTCACCAGCCAGTCACACAGAGATCAAAGACGTTTTTAATTTGCGTTTAACTACTTTTTGAATAGCCATCACCATACTAGCAATTGCTATTGTATATCAGTCAACCCTAGACATGCGTGCTTTTTTGAAATCTGAAACAGACTTAACCTCTCCAAATGCTGAATATGAAAATATTCATTTTCTTGCGTCTATTTTCATCTATTTTCCATAAAATTATCAATAAAAGAAGATAATATGAACACAAAGGATGATTTTATTTTACTTGATTGATGCTTTGTAATGATTTTCATTATTTGAAAGAAGCCTTTCAACTAAAACTTCTAAAAAGATAGTCCATTAGTCAACGGGAATTTTTATATTGGCATATAACTTCAAATTAAAATAATTTAACAGCATTTTCAGTAATACCTTTTTGTCATTTTAATAGGATAATTATTAGTGTATTAATTCTTCTGCATATTTTTACAGTTTAACAAAAATCACTCATTGAATATCTTATATTCAAAGATGACTTCTCAGAGCTGTGACTGATAAACATCTGTCACACAACAAACGTGTAAACAATTTGTCCTTTGTCAAGTTTATGAGCTGACATCTGTTTGAATGACAGATGTCAGTGCAGTTAAGATGCAATTTAATTTGGGAAGGTTAATCTAAAAGTCACTCACATTTTAACCATTTGCATTTGAAAAACAAACGTGACCATTGCTGTCAATATAATTGGCTCTTTCGACGGTGAGAAAGGATGAACACACAAAACTAGCAACTATTCAGATAAAGCTTTTTATGGTTATGACTTGTAAAGAGATCTCAAAATTAGTCATTGTGACCATTTTGTGAGCCATTGTGACCAGTCAGAAGTGTATTGATTAGCAATGGCTGACATTTTCAAAATGGCCGTGTAGAAAAATGTTATTGGATTTATTAATGTTTCTCATCAGCTGTCATCACCAACAAGTTTAAGTAAAAATGTCACAAGCTGAATCTGTTTAATAATTTGCTATTGTAAAATTTTAAACAGGTTTTATTACCTCTAATTTTGATTAGTATATTAAAATGCCACTTTGTCAAATCATTATTAGTGAATTTAAGAAGAAACATAAGGGAAAAATAAGTGAAAACATAGCTTGGGAATTAGTTGAGATATTGAAAGATTTTGATTTATTGAAATGAAATTTATATAACATTAAGCATTTTATAGTGAATAATTTGATGTGTTTTTCTTTTTTTTGAGACGGAGTTTCGCTTTTGTCGCCCAGGTTGGAGTGCAATATGCGTGATCTCGGCTTACTGCAACCTCTGCCTCCTGGGTGCAAGCTATTCTCCTGCCTCAGCCTCCCAAGTAGCTGGATTACAGGTGCCCACCACCATGCCCAGCTAATTTTTGTATTTTTAGTAGAGACGGGGTTTCACCATGTTGGCCAGGCTGGTCTTGAACTTCTGACTTCAGGTGAGCCACCGTGCCCAGCCGATTTGTTTTTAAGAATAGAAGAACATTAAGAGCTGACCTACTACTATTCCATAACTAAGATGGGTACATATCAGTATAAAATGAAGGACTAGTACATTTCTATTTAGACAGAATTCTGAGATATTTACGCATTTACATCTTAACCAGCATTATGAACAAGAATAAGAGTGAAGAGTGTTTCAACAAAAGCACTGCATTATGATGATATATAAAAGACACATCTGGGTTTGTATTATTTAAGTCTAAGCACTCAGCATATGCTAACATTTGTGTGTCATTGTTGCTTTATTATTATTTTTTTTTTGCCTTTTATTTCTTTATACCTGAAAGTATGTTCTTTGATCCTTATTTAAGTTCTTAGACATTTTATGCTAAAGCAGGGATATACAGCTTAGAGAATTTTAGGTTTGTATTCTTTGCTGTTTATTGAACTGTTGACTGATTGTACCAAACTGGATCTCCTGCCCTTGAATAATGCAATAGTTTGAGGAAGTTAAGTATAGTTTTCCTTAACATTTTTGGACATCTGCTGATAGAGTATGGACACAAAATCTTTAGTGACTAAATTTCTACTTCTAAATTTGTACATTTTATATCTATTTAATTTTGATCCTGGGACACCCAAGAATGTGAACGACAAAATTGTTTCCATAGCAGAAAGTTTTAAAAAATTGTTTACTGATTTAATTGTTTGGTACTAATTTTAATTTTGCTGTATATACTCAAAGCTGGGAAAAAGACACAGCCTGTATTTTAAGGTCAGTCATATAGATTCTCATGAACTGGAATTAGAACTGAGTGATGTTTATATGCGATGCTGTATCTTAAGGAGCTTAAGCTAAGTGGGATGTGAATTGTTTTGCGTATTCAATGTGTAGAGCATGTTAATCATCAACATCATTTTTAAGGGTTTGAAATTTCATTAGCTTTAAGTTTTTTTATAATTAGATACAGGATTAAATAGACAAGCTAGAAATATATAAAAAGAAATATGTTAAAGCAAGACTTTTATTACTTTCAAATAAAAACTGTGTATGATTATTTTAAAGATTATTAAGGCTTCTTTGTAATTAGCATACATTTATTCACATAAAAACCTTAACTTATTCACCATTCTCCATATTGTTTATGCTCTATACTTGTGTGTTTAACAAAGCTAAATTAACACAAAAGAAAGCCAGTTTGATTCAGCATAAGTTTTCTCATAATTCATATATTTTTATTGATATATAAATAGTTGTACATATTTTTAGGTACATGTGATATTTTGATACCTGTATACAATGTATAGTTATCAAATCAGGGTCTGCATAAATTATTTGTATTATGGAAATTTGCAAGCACACACAAAATTAAAGAGAATAATATAATGGACGCCCATTTACTAGTTACCTTCTTTAATAGTTGTCAGCATATAGTCAGTCTTGTTTCATCTATTCTTCCCTTCACTAGATTATTTTAAAGCAAACTCCAGATATCATATTATTTTGTCATTAATGTTTCAGTGTGTATCTCTTACTTATAAGACTCAACTTATATGATTAATAAGTTGACTCAACTATGACTCGTCTATAATGTTATTAAAATTATTACTATTCTTTAATATTATCTAACATTAGGTCAGTGAATTGACACAAACTCTATAGTATTAGCCAAGCTATACTAATCTAGGTTCTTCTGTACCAGAAAATCTCATGGGAGAAAAAAATAGTATAAAGCAGAAGACCATGGCAATCAGCCACTTATTTTTGAAGTCGATAGAGTATTTATGGCTTATAATTAGATGTATCTGGTATGATTTTGTCCAGGTGGAATATTTTAAATCATGGGGTGAGCCTATGGAAATATAAAACTGAAAGGACTCAGCCAGGCGTGGTGGCTCACGCCTGTAATCCCAGCATTTTGCAAGGCTGAGGCAGTCAGGTCACGCCGTCAGGTGTTAGAGACCAGCCTGGCCAAAATATTGAAACCTCGTCTCTACTAAAAATACAAAAAATTAGCTGGGCATGGTGGCAGGTGCCTGTAATCCCAGCTACTCGGGAGGCTGAGGCAGGAGAATCTCTTGTACCCAGGAGGCGGATGTTGTGGTGAGCCAAGATCGCGCCACTGCACTCCTGCTCTGACGACAGTGTGAGATTCCATCTCAAAAACAAAACAAAACAACAACAAAAACAAACAAAAAAATAAGCAAAAACACTGAAAGGACTCATGATGGGGAAGGAAGCTATATAACATTTTTATTAGGAGAGGAAGAGGGATTACCCTAAGACAAGGGGGAAAGGGGAGAGATTTTGAGAAGAGTGAGCCATCCGTGACAGTGACTTAGAGGGTTTCTCCAGAGAAATAAATAATTCTAAAATGGAAGAGCAATGGAAAACTATAGAAAATTATGATTGAACCAAAATGATCAAGATATATGAAAGTAAAAAGGAAGAATAAAATATCGTAAAAATCAGAGGCACTGATAATCCAAAAAAGGAAGATAAATATTAATAGAGAATAAATATTCAGTGTTATCAAGTAAAAAGTTTTAAAATAATATCAAACTAAGTACTTAATTAAATTAATACTAACTGAACACTAAGTGTTAAATATTTTTGAGAAACATAAAAGACCATGTTTGACTGGACACAGTGGCTCACTCCTGCAATACCAGCATTTTGGGAGGTCGAGGCAGGTGGATCATTTGAGCCCAGCAGTTTGAGACCAGCCTGGGCAACATGGCAAAACCCTATCTCTACAAAAAATACAAAAGATTAGCTG
Source organism: Homo sapiens (assembly GCF_000001405.40). NCBI lineage: Eukaryota > Metazoa > Chordata > Mammalia > Primates > Hominidae > Homo > Homo sapiens. The sequence continues at coordinate 56,840,680 of NC_000018.10, forward strand.
GTAGTGGCGTGTGCTGGTAGTCCCAGCTACTCTGGAGGCTACAGTGAGAAGATCATCTGAACCCGAGAGGTTGAGGCTACAGTAAGCTGTGATTGCATCACTGTACTCCAGCCTGGATGATAGAGTGAGATCTTGTCTCAAAAAAAAGAAAAAAAAAAGACCCCATTTCCCACATTTCTACAATTTTGTTATAAAATATGCATGTTAGTAAACTATAAAATGGAAAAGGGCTGGGCATGATGGCTCATGCCTGTAATCCCAGCACTTTGAGGGGCCAAGACAGGGGGGATCACATGAGGTCACAAGTTTGAGACCAGCCTGGCCAACATGGTAAAATCCCATCTCTACTAAAAATACAAAAAAATTAGCTAGGCTTGGTGGTGGGCACCTGTAATCCCAGCTACTCGGGAGGCTGAGGCATGAGAATCACTTGAACCTGGGAGGTAAACGTTACAGTGAGCTGAGATCGCACCACCGCACTCCAGCCTGGGTGACAGAGTGAGACTCCATCTCAAATAAATAAATAATATAAAATAACATAGAAAAGTTGTCGTAATTTACAATTAGAAATAAAGGGAATGGCTGGGCGCGGTGGCCCACACCTGTAATCCCAGCATTTTGGGAGGCTGAGGCAGGCAGATCAGTTGAGAATAGGAGTTTGAGACCAGCCTGGCCAACACGGTGAAACCCAATTTCAACTAAAAACAGAAAAAAATTAGCTGGGCGTGGTAGTGTGTGCCTATAATCGCAGCTACTTGGGAGGCTGCTTGGGAGGAGAATTGCTTGAACCTGGGAGGTGGAGGTTGCAGTGAGCCAAGATCACGCCACTGCACTCCAGCCTGGACGACAGAGTGAGACTCTGTCTAAAAAAAAAAAAAAAAGATACAACAATGGGGATGTTTTGTCATGTACGTAATGTAGATTGATGGGCCCTAATAGAAAACGTAAATTTAAAAATATTTTTCCACCACAAGTTACATAACTCTGTTGAATTACTATTACCACACTGATGTTTATGTAGATTTTGTTACTTTATAGCAAGAGTCATTTGAGGTACACAGCTGATTGGATCTATTCTTGACATTTTTAACAGTTGGAAAGAGTGTAATGTCATGGTTAACAGTACAGACTCCAGAGTTAGGATGCTGGGGTTGAATCTTGGATTTTTACATTTCTCTGTATGTGTGCATGCAGAGATGGAAGGATAATATAACTTTTCCTACTTTTTTAATAAAAATGTTTTATGTTACAGATTCAGTAATCAGATATGCTTCTACAATTAAATGTTGAAATACTGATTACTCACCTCTTTTTCAGGAGCCTAGATTATGGAAGGAACATATCATACTCAATGCTTTTCATTTCTTGTGAAACAGTTATTTTCCCTCACTGCTTCATCTTCCCTGACCCCCACGCTAGTCATCATCAACATATTTGTTTTCATTTTAACATTTAGTTGAAACCTATCTTAGTCCCTTTTGTGTTGCTGTAACTGAATACCTGAGACTGGGTAATTTATAAAGAATAGAGACTTATTTCTTGGTTCTGGAGGCTAGGTCAAGGGGTCTGCATCTGGTGAGGGCCTTCTTGCTACATCATTCCTTCAGAAGGCGGAAGAGCAAGAGAGTTCCCCTGTGTGCATGTAAGGGTCGGGGGAGGGGGACCAAATCATCCTTTTTTCAGGAACCAACTCTCAATAACAGCATTAGTCCGTTCACTAAGGCAGTGCTCTTATGATCTAATCATCTCTTAAAGGTCCCACACTTCTCAACACTGTTGCATTGGGGATTAAGTACATTTCAAACAATAGCAAGGACTGACGCCATGTTGCAAGGTTTGATATTACAGTAAACAGAAAGGTATAAGGTTGTTCCCTGATTCTAAGCACTTGACAGTCTATTGTATAGGAGACTGTAAGTAAAGGATTCGTAGTACTTCGGTATAGCCTATTCAAAATTCCCATTGAAGTATGCTAAATATAACATCCTTTTAGTGTTTTATTCATGTTTTCTCTCTTACACACACACACACAGTGATCAATGGCAAATGCACATAGGAAACTACTAAATTACCGTGGAAGTATTTTAACGTTTTAGAAAAACTTTATTTGAAGATTTTTGATAGCTTTTAATTTGGTTATATACTTTTAGCTTTAGAGCCATACTGTCAGAATTTTGGGGAGAGAAGAGACATTGCAGACCAAAACAGTGACACATTTATGTGCTACTAGAAAATTACAGACATTTTACACCAAAAAAGAATTAACCTGCTGCCTATTGCTTCTCTTTTTTTTTGGCATTTGATGTTGTTGCTGTAAGACTATTAATTTTAAACTAGTGCTATAAGCAGCTGGAAGCTTTGATTCTGGTGATTCATCCCGTTACCTCTGAACAGATGAAAAGAAGTAAATGAATTTTGATGTTGAAAGTCCCCTTTCTTACAAAAATCCATTAATGATGTTAATTAAATGAATATTTGCCTCTTTCAGCTGTCTAGCTATTGAAAATTGGGCATTAGATCACTTTTTTAAACTGTGAAAGTTTCTTTATTGTGCCATTTAAATTATTTTTAAGTGGCCAAATCAGCGGTGTTAAGTATGTACACATTGTTGTTCAGCCATCACCACCAATCGTTCTCCGAAACTTTTTCATCTTCTCAAAGTGAAACCTTATACCCATTGAATGCTAACTTCCCATTCTTTCCTGCCTCCATCCTCTGTCAACCACTGTTCTGCTTTCTGTCTCTATGAATTTGGCTAATGTAGGTAGTTCATATAAGTGGAATCAAATAAGTGTCTGGCTTATTTCACTTAGCATAGTGGCTTTAAGGTTTATCCATGTTAGAGCTTGTGTCAGGAGCTTACAATTGTGTTGATCCATTCAACAGAGTGGATCTGTCATTCTACAGACACTTGGGTTTCTTCTATCTTTTGGCGACTGTGAATAATGCTGCTATGAATATTGATATAGAACTATCTGTTCAAGTCCCTGCTTTCAGTTATTTTAGGTACACAGGATTGGATTTGTTGTAATACATGGTCATTCTATCTTTAATATTTTGAGGAACTGTCATACTGTTTTCTACAGTGGCTGTACCATTTTACATTCCTACTAGCGGTGCATTATAGTCTCAGTTTCTCCACATCCTCATCAACACTCGATATTTTCTTTTTTCTTTCTTTTTTTTTTTTTTTTGTTTTTTGAGATGGAGTCTCGCTGTGTTGCCCAGGTTGGAGTGCAGTGGTACAATCTTGGTTCACTGCAACGTCTGCCTCCCAGGTTCAAGCAATTGTCCTGCCTCAGCCTCCTGAGTAGCTGGGATTATAGGCATACACCACCACGCCTGGCTAATTTTTGTATTTTTAGTAGAGATGGGGCTTCACCATGTTGGTCAGGCTGGTCTCGAAATCTTGACCTTGTGATCTGCCTGCCTCGTCCTCCCAAAGTGCTAGGATTACAGGCATGAGCCACCACACTCAATCTATTTTTTTTTTTTTAAATAATAGCAATCCTAATGAGCGTGAAGTGTGAAGTTATATAGGTATCTCATTGTGATTTTGATTTGAATTTCCCTAATGATTAGTGATGCTGAGGCAAAAGAACATTATAATAATTATTGACCATTACTTTAACTTTTTAAAAAATAGATACATCATTTCTGATGCTTATGTTCAGTGTCCTATTATTAGAATAAATTTTTCCTCATTGGTATACAATTTCTCAACTTCATTTATATGAGAGTGGCTTTTAAAATGATCCATGGTGTTTATTGTGTTACACCCTACTAAGGACAGTCACAAAAAGATTAGACTCTAAATTGAAATAAAATTGTTATTCTTTTCACATGTAGTTTAGAGAATATAATTTTGGGCTATACTTTTGAGCTTAAGCTTTTAATTCATTGCTTTAAATTTTAAATGCTTATGGTAAGAGAATAAAGAGCTACCGCTCTGCAGCCATAGAGAAACCTTACATTCAACAAGGTTCAAACAAGGCCTTACAAGGCTAAAGGCTACTGTTCACTAGAAATGAATGATTTATCAGAGGGGAAATATGCACACATAGGTTGGTAGAGATAATGAGAACTGAGGAACTAGCAAGGCTTAAAATTGTCCTGCTAGTTATATTGATTTAAAGACTCTTTCCTGGTATAGTAGTTCCTCCTTATCTGCAGTTTCAGTTACTCATGGTACAATACAGTAAGATATTTAGAGAGAGAGACCACATTCATATAATTATTACAGTATATTATAATTGTAGTATTTTATCATTAGTTATTGTTAATGCCATTCTGTGCCTAATTTATAAGTTAAACTTTATCATATGTATGTATAGGGAAAAAACATATATAGGATTTGGTGCTATCTGAGGTTTCAAGTATCCACTGGGGTACTTGGAATATATCTCCTATGGATAACCAGGGGCTACTGTATATTTTCCTCTTGTATAGATACAATGATTTGGTTGGAATGAATTGATCTGATATGTCCCACTCTATGCAGTTATGTTAAGTATTTACAAAAAGGGATCTTTACTAACCAAAAGATTTTCTCTTTTAATAATACCTTACTTGGTTGTATATGAAAAGTTGCAAAGCTCTGTAGTGTTTCTATGCATAAAACTTACTTTATTTTTGGTATTTTGAGTATTTTTTAATTTTTCTATAATATGTTATTTTTTAGGAAATAATAAGATCTATGTAAATGTATTTGTATTTTAAATATCTTTTCCACAGATTTGTAATAGAATTTATAAAAAGTAAATGAGTAATATTTCTGGAGATTATAAATCTCTGTTTACTAATAATGTAGTTTACGGGGAGTAGAAATACAGCGTTTTTCATGGAATCCTAACATTCCATCACTGTTACATTTAGCAGATATATTAAAATTATGGTTTAAATTATTTAGTTGGTAATTTCCAATTTAAAATGGACAAAACTCATTTTCTTGTGAATCCTATCTACATTCCATTGCTGTTGTATTTAGCAGCTCTATTAAAATCATGATTCAAATTATTAGCTGGTAATCTCCAATTTAAAATGGATTAGCTTCATTTTCATGTGTCTTCATGTATTTATAATTCAGTATTAGATATAAGTTTCTTTCTAAAAAACTGCATATATGTACTTTAAAACAAGAATCGACAAAGAAACAATTGTTTTATTATTAGTCCTACTAAAATTGAAATTTGCTTGAAAAAATGTTATTATGCTATGTTTTTAAAAGTTGGTAACCTGAAATAATTAAATAAGATTATGTATTTAATAGCCTGCCCTCAACACTTACGCATTTTTAGTGAACATTGCTTTTTATAAAAATATAAAATGTTCTCTTCCCACGTTCTTTATTGAGAGACTAGTTTGTGCCAGGTACTGTGGAGCATACAAATAGACATGAAATCATTGATATATTGTGACAAGGCAGAATATTGACTAACAAAAATACTTTTATTTTCTAAAGAGATTATGTGATAAGGTTTGGATATTTGTCTCCTCCAAATCTCATGTTGAAATGTGACCCTCCATTGTTGGAGGTGGGCCTACTGGGAGGTGTTTGGGTCATGGGGATGGATCCCTTATTAATGGTGGTATGGTTTGGCTGTGTCCCCACTCAAATCTCAACTTGAATTGTATCTCCCAGAATTCCCACATAATGTGGGAAGGACCCAGGGGGAGGTAATTGGATCAGGGGTGCCAGTCTTTCCCTACTATCCTCATGGTAGTGAATAAGTCTCACGAGATCCCATGGGTTTATCAGGGGTTCCCACTTTTGCTTTTTCCTTATTTTTCACTTGCTGCCACCATGTAAAAAGTCCCTTTCACTTCCCTCCATGATTCTGAGGCCTCCCCAGCCATGTGGAACTATAAGTCCAATTGAACCTCTTTTTGTTCCCAGTTTCAAGTAATCTTTACCAGTAGCATGAAAACGGACTAATACAAATGGCTTGGTGCCATCTCGATGGTAATGAGTGAGTTCTCATTCTGGTAGTTCATGTGAGAGCTGGCTGTTTTAAAAAAGTCTGGGACCTTTTTCTTCTCTCTCTTGCTCCCTCTGTTGCCAAGTGATGCACCTGCTCCTCCTTCACCTTCTGCCATGATTGTAAGTTTCCTGAGGCTCTCACCAGAAGCAGATGTGGACACCACATTTCCTATACAGCCTGCAGAGCCATGAGCCAAATTAAGCTTCTTTTCTTTATAAATTAGCCAGCCTTGGGTATTTCTTTATAACAACGCAAAAATGGACTAACATAGAAAATTGGTACTGAGGAATGGGGCATTGCTTTAAATATACCTGAAGATGTGGAAGCAGCTTTGGAACTGGGTAACAGGCAGACGTTGGAAGCATTTGGAGGGCTCAGAAGAAGACAGAAGATATGAGGGGAAGTTGGGAATTCCTAAGAGACTTTTTAAGTGGTTGTGACCAAAATACTCACAGAAATATGGACAGTAAAGGCTACACTGATGAGATCTCAGATGAAAACATGAAAGTTATTGGGAATTAGAGTAAAGGTTACCCTTGTTACACCCTAGCAAAGAACTTGGTTACATTGTGTCCAGACCCTAAGGCCCTGTGGAAGTTTGAACTTAAGAATGGTAATTTAGAGTATTTGGCCAAAGAAATGTCTAAGTTGCAAGACATTCAAATAGTGGCCTGGCTGCTTCTAACAGCCTGTGATTAGATTCAGGAACAAATAAGTGACTTAAAGTTGGAACTTATTTAAAAGGAAATCAGAGTATAAAAGTTTGGAAAATTTTCAAGCTAGCCATGTGGCAGAGAAAGAATATTTTCGGGGGAGGAATACAAGCAGACTGTGGAGCAACCACTTGCTAGAGAGGTTAGTGTGACTAAAAGGGAGCCAAGTGCTAATATCCAAGACAATGGGAAAAAGGCCTTGAAGGCATTTCAGAAGTCTTCAAGGCAGCCCCTCCCATCAAAGACCTAGCGACCTAGAAGGAAAGAATGGCTTTGAGGGCCAAGCTCAAGGCCCTGTTTTCCTGCTTAGCCTCATGACAGTTCTCCCCATATCCCAGCCACGCCAGCTCCAGCTGTGGTTCAGGTGCTCAGGTACAACTCAGGCCATCATTCCAGAGGGCGAAAGCTATAAGCCTTGGTGGCTTCCACATCGTGTTAAGCTTGCAGGTGAACAGAATGCAAGAGTCAAGGAGACTTGAAAGATTCCCCCTAGATTTCAGAGGATGTATTGGAAACTCTGGGAGCCCAGGCAGAAGCCTGCCACGGGGCACAGTCCCTGCAGGAAACCTCTGCTTAGGCACTACAGAGGAGAAATGTGGGGTTGGAGCACTGCCTAGTGGAGCTGTAGGAAAGGGGCCACCACTGTCCAGACCTCAGAATGGTAGATCCATTGGCAGCATACACCCTGAGCCTGGAAATCCACAGGCAGTCAGCTCCAACCTGCGAGAGTAGCCACAGAGGCTGCACCTTGCAAAACCACTAGGATGGGCCTTGCGAGCCTACCCCTTGCACAGTGTGTCCTGGATGTGGGGCATGGAGTCAAATATTATTCTGGAGCTTTAAGATGTAATGACTGTTCTGCTGGGTTTCAGACTTGCATGGGGCCTATTGCCACTTTGTTCTGGCCAATTTCTTCCTTTTGGAATGGGAATGTTTACCTTATGCCTGTAGCACCATTCTCTCTTAGAAGTAAATAACTGATTTTTTATTTCACAGGCTCATAGGTAGAAGGAACTTGGCTTGAGTTTCAGATCAGACTTTGGTCTTTGGGACTTTTGAGTTAATGCTGGAACGAGTTAAGACTTTAGAGGACCATTGGGAAGGCATGACTGTATTTTGCAATGTGAGAAGGACATAAGATTAGGGGGCCAGGGATGGAATGATATGATATGGATTTCTGTCTCCAAATTTCTTGTTGAAATGTAATCCCCAGTGTTATAGGTGGGTCCTGGTGGGAGGTGCTTGAGTCATGGGGGTGGATCCCTCATGAATGGCTTGGTACCCTCCTCATGGTTATGAGTGAATTCTGGCTCTGAGTTCATGTGAGAGCTGATTGTTTAAAGAGCCTGGCACCTCCCCCCACCTCCTTGCTCGCTCTTTCTCTCTCACCATGTAATATGCCTGCACCTGCTTCACCTTCTGCCATGAGTAAAAGCTCCCTGAGGCCTCCCCAAAAGCCAAGAAGATGCTGGCACCATACTTCCTGTACAGCTTGCAATACTGTGAGCCTATTAAATCTCTTTTCTTCATAAATTACCCAGCCTCAGGTATTTCTTTATAGCAATGCCAAAATGGAATAATACACTATCTTAACTTTTCCCACTTACTAAATAATTAAATGTTCCCTCTTACAGTTTCCAAGCTTCGTGGCTCTTTCCTTCTAAATCAGACTTATATATCAACTTTTAAAATTGCAATGTCTTCTCTTAACCCAGTGTACCCTTCATCTATCTCCTTATCTCTCTCTCCTTCACAGCTGATACATATGCTTCTTCTTTAGCCATTCATTCCTTCTAACCTTGTGTAATCTGGTCTTCTGCCTGAGATTCCATTTTACAAACCCTTATCAGGATCACTAGTGACCTAGAGTTTAGTTCTACTCTATTTTGTGACTAAATTAGGACTCCTTGGCTCTTCTGACTACTTTTAAACAGAAGCTTTCCTTTACTCCCAGGACATGGTTCTTTTGCATTCCTTATTCCTCCTCTGTTTCTTGTAGTGATTTCTCTTTTGCTGCTCATTTCTTAAAAGGCAATATTCCAAGGGATTTAATTTTTTGTCCTTTTCTAAGCTTCCTTGTGTCCAACCACTTGTGATTACTGATTGCTACTAAATCTTTAGCCCAGTTCTGGGGTCATCAATTCCCATTGTCTCTTTCTGCTTTCAAAATAATCACCTAATTCTACATTTTCCACTTTTCTTCAACTCCAGGATTACCATCCTAGTTGACATCACTTTGATTTGTAGTCTCTGATGTTCTTGTGGCTGCTCTTGTCTTCCTATAGACCATTTGCTACACAGAGTGATTCTTTAAAAACGTAAATCAGATCATTCAAATCATGTCACTTTCTGCTTAAAACTTTCCAATAGCTTTTTTAAAACAAAACAAAACAAAACAAAACAAAAAACAAGATGAAGTCTCACTGTGTTGCCTAGGCTGACCTCAAACTCCTGGGCCTGAGTAGCTGGGACTACAGGTGCATGCCATTATGCCTGGCCCTGTAACTTTTTATCCCACCTGAGACTAAGACTTGGACTTGCTACTATTGACGACATGGTCTTATGTATGATCTGCTCCTGTGTGCCTCCATCCCTTCACATTCACCATGACACAGACACATTTGCCTTTTTTTTGTTTCATGAATGTGGCCTTCATGAATGTGGCCAAGTCTGTTCCAGTTTTAGGAGCTTGACACTGTTTCCTCTTTCCCAGAACTTCACAAGGCTGGCTGATGATTGAGTCTGAGCTCAGGTGCCAGTTCTTTCACATAGCCTTCCCAGATTGCCCAATCTAAAGTACCCCTTCCCCTTCTAGTCACTTTCTCTGGTACATAATTCAGTTTTATTTTCCTTATAAAATGTGTAACAGTCTAAAATTATTTTTTTTATTTATTTGTTTACTTCTTTATGTTCTGGATGTAAATGCTGTAAAGCAGGACCAGGTTTCATTGTTGATCATGGCTGTGTAACCCCATTCCATATAGCAGCACCTGAAAACTGGTAGGTGTTCAATAAATATTGGTTAGATGATTGAATAAATTGATATTCCAGTTGCCTATTTGCCATGTATACGTAGATTATTCTAAAATGCAGTGTTTTGAAAACTGAACTGACCTTCATTATTTATTTATGTTTCTATATTTATTTATTTATAGAGATAGAATCTCCCTCTTTTACCCAGGCTAGAGTACAGTGGCCTGATCATGGCCCACTGCAGCCTCAACCTCCTGTGTTCAAGCAATCCTCTTGCCTTAGCCTCCTGAGTAGCTGGCACTGCAGGCACATACCACTATACTTGACTAACTTTTTTATTATTGTTTATAGAGATAGGGTTTTGCTCTGTTGCCTAGGTTGGTCTTGAACTCCTGGCCTCAAGCAGTCCTCCTGCCTCAGCCTCCCAAAGTGCTGAGATTACAGGTGTGAGCCATTGTGCCTAGCTTGAACTGACTCTTCTAAGCACCAACCAGCTTCCTTGACCTATGTTTCTTCTCTTGTTCTAGGATACCACCATTCACTGTTTATTCCAGCCAGAATCCTGGGAATTATCCTTAATTCCTGCTTCCTCACTGCTCCCAAATCTAGTTTATTGTCATATGTTGTTGGTTCTCTCTATTAAATTTCTGCTCTCCATTCCTGCAGCCCATTCTGTTTAACCACTTCAGGGTTCTATTGTTGCTTATGATGTAGCCATAACCTGTTCAAATCCTCCCTGCTGCCAAAATGATCTCTATAAAATATAAATACTATCACTGTTACTCCCCTGCTTAAAATTCTTCAGGGCGTCCTTTATGCCTTTGTAGTAAAATTAAAAATTTTCTAGGACCTTCATGATATGACCCTCTGGCTTCATTTCTCAGCCTCTGACTTTCTCTGTGGTTAGTTCTCCAAACATGTCTTAGTCTTTCATTCTTCCATGCCTGTTCACATGCTTTCCTCTTTGAAACATTCTTCTCCAACGCTGTTCCCACCCTATATCACCCAACTATCTCCTACTCATCTCACGACACTCAGCTCTTACATCTTTTCTGAAACGATTTTCCTGTCCCTAGAGCACGCTCTCGGCTAGACTGGCTGTCACTGGTATTTGCTTTGCCTCCAGCTTAGCTTAGTTTAACATATAATATATCATACTTGTCTCTTTACTTGTTCATCTTCCTTTCTAGATTTTGATCTCATTGCATTTTGATGACCTACCAAAGCACCCAGCCCACAGCTGCTCAACAATTGTTTGTTGCCTGATTTAACATTGACCTAGACCAAGATTTCTGAACTTGATCCTTCATGATGTCCCTAAATGCCTGTAATGTCATACAAAATGTCAGGGTTATGAATGATTTCTCTGGAGACACAGTTCATATTAAGATTCTTAATCTTTCTTCAATAACTTGAAGAATCACCAATGTGGTCTTTTGGTACAGTATTAAAGTTTAACATATTTTGAATTATATAGGTGCCTTCCCCCACCTTCTTGCTCATTGTTAGCACATATAGCTTAATTTAGAAAATGCTTATAAAGTATGGCTTTCCTCTTGTTTGGGAAAATTTGAGCAGTTGGGCTCACTTTGGTAGATAGTGCTGTTGAAAGGCTATAGTTTCAGTTCCTGTTATTGTCATCTTCACAGAGAAAATGACCCTCTGGCTTCATTTCTCAGCCTCTGACCTTCTCTGCTGTTAGTTCTCCAAACATGTCTTAGTCTTTCATTCCTCCATGCCTGTTCACTTGCTTTCCTCCTTGAAACATTCTTCTCCAACCCTGTTCCCACCCTGTATCACCCAGCTATAGAAAAACGTGTTTTAAGGCCATAAATTCTGTCTCTAGATAATATTCAGACAGATATCTCAGTAGCTGGACCTTCTTACTACCTGGGTGCAGAAATTCACTGAGTTTTGTCCGGGGGCTCAGTTGTTGAGAAAGGAAGCCAAAGGAAACTTGATCTTTATGGCGTGATTTGGAATTAGCTTCTGCTTTTATCAGAATTATGAGTGTGAAGTTCTGTCATATAATGATATCAGAACAACCTAGTTCATTCCCAGACAGGCAGAAAAAGAATTTTTGTCCTCTGTCTCGTATTTTGAATTGTGGAATAAAAATGGATTTTATCTGGCTATATCATGTAAGAAAGCATCCAGAGTACATCCTTTCTAGTATATAGCAATTATTGGTTTAGTGCCTGTCTTAGAAATTTACTATGTTTTAATATTCACTCAAATATCAAGCAATTAATGATTAATTTTCATATTGTCAGAATACTCAAACTTTTAAGCTGTTCTGGGGCCACGTTAGTATAAAGGCTAAACCTAATTTCTAGCATATTTAATGTAGTTATTAAATGTAAAAAAACAAGCACATACATATATATACATACACATATATGGATAAATGGACTAGAAGATTTAGATTGCTGAATATCTGTGGATATTTACATTCATTTGAAATAAAAATATATACATACTTACTGATGAACTGATGGCTCCAACTAAATAGGTACTTCAGCATGTTTTAAAATATTCTTTAAGTGTTCTACTCTTTGAAATTTTACTGAGTGTTAACATGTTTGCAGGTTCTGTAATAACATTCAGTTACCATAGGCACACATGCAAATAGATTTAGGTTTATTGAATCATTAGTAAACTTGAAAACATTATTTATTGTTTAAGAGGAAATGAAGGATTCAGGCAAAATACGAAAAATATCTTGAAGATTTTGTGTGTATGTGTGTACAGCTTTAAAACTTAAAAATTAGAGAAGTAATATGAATTACTTTGCAGAAACTTTAGAAAACAGAAAAGGTAAAGAAATATGAAACACCACCATCTCAAAACAGTAACTGTTAACATAGTGATGACTTTCTTCCAGTCCTCTTTTCTATGCATTTTGAAAATTCTTATAGGGAATTTTATAGGGAAAATTGTGCGATTTTGTGTCCTAGTGTTTTATTCCCTCACTTAGTCGTATATCATAAACATTGTTCTTAACCTTTGTTTTAATGGTTTAAAAGACTGTGTGCAGTATATACAAATAATTTGCCTTTTCATTTCCCAGTTATCTTACAGGCTGTTTCCTTTATTTAATGCAGACTGCCAACCAACCACACACCCAAACATCTTTGATTCATTAAATTAAAGGTCTTGTTTTATTTTCTAATTTTAAATATATTTCGTTTAATCAGTCAGTCACCTAATTTTAACTACCAGAGACCCGAACCCCTACCCAAACCAAGAACTAGAATATGGCCAGTCTTATATCTTCATGTGTGTTCTTGTCTTGTTACATTCCCTGTCTGCTTCTAGAGGTAACCACTCTTTTGAATTTTGTGAATGTTGTTCACCTGTTTTTTGTTGTTTATTTGTTTTGTCTCATATATTGGTATGCCTAAACAATATATTGCTTGGTTTCACCCATTTTAAGCTTAAAAAAGGTATTGCAGTATATATAATCCATTAGTACTTTCTTCCTCTTAACATTGTATTACAAAGATTCATTAGTTTTGTTATGTGTAGCTGTAGTTGTCATTTTTATGACTTATTAATAATAAATAGAAAAAGTCACAATTTACCCAGTAAACACTTGGGTTATTAGTATTTTTTGTTTCATTTTACTTTTACAAACAATGTTGTTATGAACATCTGATTCATGTCTTCTGTACACATACATATAATTTTCTCTTGAGTAGTGAGTGGAAAAAACTGGTTTTCCTTTGTTCTCACACCACTGCAGTCGGCACAGAAGCCTTCTTTGACTAAATGTACGGGGATTTCTCCCCTCCAGCAAGCAAACAATCAGTTCCGCAGTGGCCAGCAGCTGGTGTCCTCCAATTCAGTCCTCACACTGTCTGCCGGGACACAGCATTGTTTTACCTGTGCTTCTGGTCAGCTGACTACAAAACATACTTCCTATGACCTCCTCCTCTTCGAGTTAATTAATTTGCTAAAGTGGCTTACAGAACTTAGGGAAACACATACTTGTATCTTCTGGTTTATCATAAAGGATATTACAAAGGATACACATGAAGAGTTGCATTGGGCAAGGCATAGGGAAGGGACATGGAGCCTCCATGCCCAATCTGGGCATAACACCCTCCAGGAACCTCTATGTGATCAGCTCTCTGGAAGCTCTCCATACCCCGTCCTCCTCGGCCTTTTATGGAGACTTCTTTGGATAGGCATGACTGAAGCATGGACATCCATGTATTAATGTGATTGGACAGAAAAGGTATGCTCTAATGCTAATGGACTTTGTGGAGGAAACCCAGTAAGCCTTATCTGTTCAGATCTTCTTGGCCTTTCTATGTAGCGTTTTTTCCTCCCAGGTATAGGGTAGGACCCCTTCTGAAATGTAGGTTTTATGACCTACAATTAGACAAAGTAGGTGAGGGAATTTTTTCATGACCAGCTCCAAGACAGGAAGGGTGAGGAAGCATTCCTGCCTTGGGGAGAAAAAGGAGCTGGTGAAAGAGAGGGCAGGGGAAGCTCAGAGAGATTCTGTTTTCTGAGGGCTGCTTCTGAGGCCTAAAGTATTCCAACATAATAACAAAAGACAGTAACAAGGGCTAAGGGAGTTATGAGCCAGGAACTATGGACAAAACCAATACATATATATCATAATATACTCAGGACTGGAATTGCTGTGTCTTGGGGTATGCAAATGATTAACTTTATAGAGTCACATTCTTATCCAAGATGTATGAGAGATGCTATTGATCTACATTCTATCCAACGCTTGACATTTAAAATTTCGATAATTATTAACAGTAGAAAAGGATGTCTTATTGTGCCCTTGGTTTGCATTTCCCTTCTTGCTAATGAGTTTCAACATACGTGTTTCCTATTCTGTGAAATGCCTGTTCAAGTCTTTTGCCTGTTTTTTTTTCCCCCCATTGGATGGTCTTTCTAATTGTAGAAGTTCTTTATATGTTTAGAATACTAATAGTTTGTCAGTTATATATATGATAAGTATACTCTCTCAGCTTGTATCTTATATTTTCATTTTCTTTAAGATGCCTTTGATAAAGAGGAGTTCTTTTGTGTAGTTGAATTTATTCATCTTTTCTTTTATGGCTAGGGTGTTCAGGATCTTAAGAAATTCTTCCTTATGCCATCATATTTATTTTCATTCATAAGTTTTAAAGTTTTCCTACAGACATAAAAGCTGTTAATCCACTTGAGGTTGATTTTTGTGTATGGTGTAGAATTCCAATTTCATTTTGATTCATATAAATAAACATTTCTTCATGATATATGCATATCTGGACCCTGGGGGGTTTTTGCTTACTTTATTCTGTTTGTGAATTTGTTCCTGCACCAATACCATGCTGTTTTACTTACTGCGGCTTTATAATTAGTCTTTATATCCAGTTGGGCATGTCATTCCTTCTTTTCTTCTTCAGAAGTGTCTTGGTTATTCTTGGCCCTTTGTTGTTCTCTAATACATTTTGTAGATAAATTAATTATTCATTACAGGCTATGCTGGAAAACCACTGCCTTTCCACTTGTGCACCTGTTTCTATAAAACTCACTGCTCTCAGAGCAGAGCAGGATATCTGCTCTTTGTAAGTAAATGTGTCCCAAAGAGAGGGGAAGGGGCTCAGCTATTCATGACAAACTGCATACCCTACATGCATCTATAAGAGAAGTCACTCTGGTACCTCTGGGAAACACCGGGTGAGGGATGGCGAAGAAGCCAGGGGAGCGCAGGGAAAATCCTAGAAGGAAACTAGAGGAGAGGTGAATAAGACCAAAATTTCCAAGACTGACTCTTTAGAACAATCACAGTGCACTGACACACTGTGAGAGCTCTGCCTCACAGCAGATGGGCCTTTGTGTATATTTATTCTACAGAAGAAATCAACTTCTGTTGTATTAAAGATCCTATAACTATGGCTAGGCACAGTGGCTCACGCCTGTAATCCCAGCACTTTGGGAGGCCAAGGCAGGTGGATCACTTGAGGTCAGGAGTTCGAGACCAGTCTGGCCAACCTGGTGAAACCCTGGCTCTACAAAACTTACAAAAATTAGCCAGGCAAGGTAACACGTGCCTGTAATCCCAGCTACTCTGGAGGCTGAGGCACAAGAATTGCTTGAACTGGGGAAGTGGAGGTTGCAGTGAGCTGAGATTGCGCCACTGCACTCCAGCCTAGGTGACAGAGCAAGACTTAGTCTTTAAAAAAATAAATAAATAAATAAAAATAGAAAACTATAATTTTTAAAATCTTTTTTAATTTAAATAATAATGATCAACATTTTATTTAAGAAAAAGATTTGTTATAATGTATATTTATAGGCTATTATCCTAGAGTTACTAAGTCTTTCCACATTGATACCTCATATGATGAAGTATTGAGTAGCCTTCTGTACTTCCTAAAATGTCTTTAAGAAAAAACAGCAACAATACTTTGAAGCCAGAGTGTATGTAATGCCATTTTACCGTCCTCCTGCCTCCTCCCCTAGTTTGTTTTTGAGAAGTAGAGATTTTTAGCTGAGACCACAGCTATTCTAAAAGTTTTTTATGGTTACTTTCTCCCTTATATGATTATATTAAATTATTATGTTTAAAATATTATGTAATTGTTTTCCCTAAAAGGAGAAAGTTATGTAATATAAGGGAGATACCTGCTTTGATTCCTTCTAATTTCCTGTCAGCTTAAGCTAGCACAGAAGATCCTGTGAGAATGTGTCAAATGCCTCACTAGGAATGAGGTGTAAATTCTGTGGGCAATATTGGCCCTAAAATCTTCTATTGGTTCAATATAAAACATTCAGAGTAATTACCTTTCTGTGTTTTTTATACTAGAGTGGAAGGAAAGTAATAAATAGTGGTTTCTGATATAGTATTCTTCCTCAGAGTGTGGAACTCTTAGTGGACCAGGAACATATTGGTAGCATAAAACCATTTTTTTCTTTTTTCGAAGCAGGGTCTCTCTGTGTCACCCAGGCTGGAGTGCAGTGGTGTGATCTCAGCTCATTGTGTCCTCAACCTCCTGGCTCACGCGATCCTTCCGCCTCAGCCTCCAGGGTAGCTGGGACTGTAGGTGTGCACTACCACACCCTGCTAATTTTTGTATTTTTTGTAGAGATTGGTTCTCTGTGTTGCCCAGGCCGGTCACGAACTCCTGAGCTCAAGCAATCTGCCTACCTCGGCCTCCCAAAGTGCTGGGATTACAGGTGTGAGCCACTGTGCCCAACCAGCAGCATAAAGCTTTACGTACACGCCTATGCATACATATATACACATATATATTTTGCCAGCATGTAGTCTTATATACACACTCAGATACACATATATGTGTGTGTGCATGTGTGTACATGCTCACACACACCCTGGGACACCCTGGATTATGCTATAGGAAATAGAGGGATAAAGGACAGAAAGTGGCAAATTACAAAAAAGCCTGTGAATGCTGCTGGGAGGCTTTGCATGAAGCAGTATGGGAGCCCAGAGGACCGCCAGCTAGCAGACCTGCAGCCCAAAACGCTGTGTAGAGGTTTGTCACTCTAAGAAAGTAGGAAAGGAAATGTCCCCTCCTACCTTCTCTGTGACTCCCTTTTTTAACTCCTACAGTTTGGTACATGACTAGGTTTTCCCCAGCATTCTCTGCTTGGTCCCCTCCTCTCTTCTTTTCCTTGTTACACTCATCATTACCTATCACCTGACTGGGAATCATTTCCAGCTTTCTCTCTCCAGATCTCATCTCTCTGCTGAGCTCCAGGCTTTTACTTTCAGCTGCTTGCTAGACTTCTCCATGTGAATAGCCTTCAGTTACTTTAAGCTGTTATGCTTGAATTCTACTTATTTTTATTAGCACCATTTGTACAGATTTGAAACCTTAAAGTTATGTTTGACTCTTCACTCTCTTTAGCTCAGACTTTTTATTCCTGTGTAATAGCTCCTCTTTTCCATGTTCACTGCCACTACCCTTTTAGTAGCTACTGCCTCTGTCTCAAATCTCTTAAATGCACAGTTGTCAGAATGATCTTCCTAATAATCACCATATAATTCAAAAATTTCCGTGGCTTGTCATTGCTTTTAGAATATAATCTCCTTAGCCTGGTATAGAAGACCCCTATATTCTAAAACTATTTCACATTCTTTTTTTTATTTTAAGATTTTTATCATTTATTTTTTAATGTAGAGACAAGGTCTCGCTCTGTTGCCCAGGCTGGTCTAGAACTCTTGGCCTCAAGCGATCCTCCTACCTCAATCCCCTAAGGTGCTGGGATTACAGGTGTGAGCCACCGTGCTGGCCTACTTCACATTCTAGCTTTAGTTCCCACTTACTGTTTTCAGTATCTCTATCTTGGGCCAAATTAAACTGGTTTTTCTTTCCCAGGTATAATTGGAGTTGTTCTGCTTCTAGGCTTGATTCATTAATTCAACAAATATTTATTTAGCATCAAATATTCAAATATTTATTAAGCACCTACATGCCAGGCATTGTTCTAAACCCTTGAGCAACATCTGCAAGCAAAATGACAGAAGTCGTCTCAACCCCTGCCTTCTTGCAGGGGGAAGGGGTTGAGGGGCAGTAAGTAGAATAAATTAGTGTATTTTTTATAATATATTAGAAGATGGTAGATGCTATGCCAAAAGACTAGAGAAGAGCAAAAGATGAAGAAGACGGTGGCCATGAGGGGAGGTGGTCAGGATAGGATTCAACTTCTGCTGTGGTTTATTCTTTAGGTGCACCCTTATTTCTTCTTGTCAAATCTGAATGGATTTAGGGACCTCTCTGGGGTGACACTTCTGTTGTGAGGTCCTCCCCTTTGTCTACTGAGGTCAACTTCCTCTGAATATCTATGACTTTCTTATTGTTGTTGACCTTGCTTATTGATAAGTATTGCTTTCTTCCTTGGTTTTCAGTTATTTGTTAATTTATCTTTACTTTCCTATTAAGCTCTGATATCTTTGAGGAAAGGGTTATTACACCTTAGTATACCTAATTTTTATTGTTTCTTTAGGGTAGTAGGTAAAAGCATTGGCTTTAGAGGTGGTCTGCCTGGTTTGCCTCCTGGCCCCACCACTCCCTAGCCACAAGACTGGGGCAGCTTATCAACCCGTGCCTCAGGTTCTTCTTTATCCTTGAGATTTCTTTCTAAAATTGATTGTTTTCTGCCTTATTTTCTATGTCACTCTCTTGCTTGCTCTTAGTATTATTATACTTTGGAATTTGTATGTCTATGTGTTCGCCTTCCTCCCCTGAATGTAAGGTACAAAAAGGCAGAAACCCTGTTATTAGTCCCTAGTATGCCTTCCCACCCATTTTGAATAAATGGATGTTTGTATGAGTAAAACGAAATAATTTCGAACACCTTGTGTCTTGTATAAATATATAAAATACACAAATATAAAATGAAATGTGCAGTGAACATTTGTGACCATTGAACTTAGGTCTTTTGTTAACACGTCTTAGTAATGATGAGGAAGAATATCCCTTCTTCATATGGCTTCTACTTTGTGTTATCCCGGGTAGTCCGGCTCTTCACACTTCATCTGCTTCCTTCCTGTGTTTCCCTTGGAAGTCATATAGGCATTCGCTCCTTTAATGTCTTTATCTTTATGGTTTTAGTAGCATTGATTTTTGTGGGGTATAACTAGTAAATGATTCTAAGATATTTTGAGAATATAAATGCAAGAAAAGTATTTTATAATAATGGATGAGAAAAGAGGGAAGGAGAAAGGGTTTCCATACTCTTTCATTGAATTTCAGCCCCCGAATGTGTGGTAATTCCTGGAATGATGGTAGTCAGTACTGATTCCCAAGCCCATCGCCTCTGCTGACTGGAAGCACAGAATGATGGGCCCATGCTTTCAAGAATATGTGACTGTTCTTGAGGGAACACTAAAATTAACTCGTATTCTATCTAAATTCTTATAACCATTAATACTTTATAGCCATTAATCTCCATATGATTTCCCTATGTAATCATGAGTGCATGCTTCAATACATTTACTCTTGAAAGACTGACTTGTAAAAATGTGAAAAAAGAACCATAGCTCATCCCAGCTAAAGCAAAATGGTTCAGTTTTACCATCCTTAAATTTGATCTATGTTTACATCTGTTTACAAATCTGAGCATTCCCTCCCCGCAACTGACCTAATGCTTCAGTGCCCTCTTCTAATAAAAAAATCAATATACACATCCAGCACTCATGAGTAACCCTATAATAATAAACCAGATCTCATGCAATTGAAAAAAATAATTTCAGGAAAAAACTCATTAGGATTGTGACCAACCACAGTCTTTCTTGAAAATAAGTATCATGCAGTTTAGGAATATAATAATCCTTTTAATTTGATTATGCTATTTTCTTAAGCCTTAATCTTAGTTAAAAAAATGTCTTTATTAAAATGATGTATTTGGTGTTCTTTTTCTTCACACAATTAATGATGCAGTTAATCTAAGGAATGTTAAATTAAGTTGTTTTAAAATCTGATTTAGCTCAATTTTATAATTCTTTTTCTGCCTCTTTTTTTTTCATGAACATTTACAATATAAATATTTATGAAGGAGTACATGTGTTCTAAACCATTGGTTTGTATCATATAATACATGAAAATATTACATAGTAAAAAGTGTATCTTTTAAAAAATATATCTTTGTTTTTCTAGAAATACAATTGCTCTATTTCTATGTTAACTGTTTTGCTTTCTATTTCACAAATGTTTTACATTAAAAAATCTGCTTTAAAAATATGAATTTTTAAATACTTTTGTAAAATACATCAATTACGTGAAACAGCGAAAGTACAGTTTATATTCTTTTTCTAATCCTTGATGGTTGCACTTTGATAAATAAATAGATCATCTAAGATTCAATAGGCCAATTGCAGCATATAATAGCTATTCAGAGGCAATTAAACTGCCTTTTTTCATGCCGGCGTGTGAGCCGCCCTTTCACAACCTTCAACTTGATTCGTGGTGATTCAAAATTAACTTAAAAGTCTTGTTTGCTGACAGCTTAAGGCTTAATTGACTGAAAGCCAAATAGAGTGTGTTCTGTATTCAGCACTAAGGCTATTGATAAAGCCATGTGTAAATTGTGCATGGTGAAAGACAGCGATTGGGCCTCCTGTTCTTGTATTAGTCCACAACTTAGCATTGCTGCACAGTCAGAATTGCTTTGTCAAGTCTTTTATCACACCAGGTTAACTCTCTCTGGAGTTGTTCCAGCAGCAGAGCAGTCGAGTATTGAGCTTCTACAACACTGTAGGGCCTGCTATAATTCTGTTACTTATTTGTGGTTTCATTTTTTTTTCTTTAATATAGTATTGGCCTTTCATTTCTGAACAGGATTGTTGGTAGCATATTTCAAGAACCCACTGATTTTCTGTATTTGTCACTTTAGGAGTGAACAGCATGTTAAGGTTTAGCGGTTTTGAGAAATAGTTTAAGAAAAATAAGTATCATAATATTGATCTCTGCTCCTATGAAAATTAAATCTCATGATTTTGAACACTTAATTAGGTTAAGGAATGCATGCTTAATAGCCTCGAGTGTAATGTAACTATTACATTCCAATAACAATTAGACCGTTGGACTTTTTCAGTACTTTTACACACAGAAAAATTTCAGTGATTCTTGTACCTATAGATAGGTGCATTTCTTTATATAAATTGATGTTTAAGGGGTAAATGAGATGGATTATTTATATATGTAAGTATATTCTATAAAATTTGTTATGCCTTTTTCCAAATAAGCCTAAGTATACGTAGTAGATGAAAATTTGCATATAAATATAAATTAACGAAGAAAAATTCAGAAACAAAGCTAAAATAATTTTTAGAACTACTTTACTATCGTCCACTATTATGTTGTATATCTTGGAAGTCTGCATACTTTATTTTTTAATGTGAAGATTTTGATCTGATATTGATTTAATAACTTACAAATGTAAATTCATCAAGTAATGCATTTTGAAGATATTTACATTATCAATAATGTTTATGTTGTAATTATAGCTTTTTGAATTAACGGTATATGAATAGTATTTAAAAGTTTGTGATAAACTCTCTCTTGTGTTTTTTATTTATCTTAATTTTATACAGTCAACTCTTAAATTCAACATAGCATACTCACTACATTTTAAGAAATTTTTCTTATTTATATAACATTACCTATATTAAAGAAATATTTGAAATGTGATAAAGCTTAAATTGCCTGTTTTATATCTTTACATTTCAGTATAGTTGTTTTAGTTTTTAGAACCTGCAAATGAAAAATATAAAATAAAACCCTGTCTTGATAATAATTTTGATAATGAAGTAACAATAGTGAAAATTTTTTAATTATGTCTTTCAGGTTATATATAATGGCATTGAAAATATAGTCTGCATCTTAAACATTTGCATGCAGAAGATGTACCTTTATTTTAGTATCTTTTACTTTTTATTTTAGCATAAGACTTGGAATTGGATATTGCTATATCTCTTATTGATATTCTGGTAACCATGGCTATCTAATTTTACCTGCCTTCCAATTGATTTCCAATAAAAACCTAGTCTGTTCATAAAGAATCAGGATAAGTTGCAACTTAGTTTCAAAATGACTATAATTTAGAATAGTGTGTTACTCCTATATACTTTTCAATAAAATAGTAATCATGCTTCAAAATGTAAAATCCAGAGGAGTACCAGTTTTATTGAAGTTTCACCTATACCCAGTGAGATTTGAGAGTCAAGAATGAATTGCTTTTATTGATCATGTTTTTGTATTAACAGTTAATCTAACATATCTTTAAAGGCATGAATTATTTGAAAACAACATTTTGTTTCTTTTTCATAACATAGTTGTTTAGTATATACAAAACAATTGTAGTGTTAGAGAGGACAAATAAAATCTCTTTTCTTATTTTTACCTTTAAAAATAAGGCTAAATTTAATTGTAGGGATAATAAATCAATTTTGTTTTAAATTAAATAGTTGTAATAATAAAGCAAAACATTTCTCAAAATTTAGGAAATATGTTACAAATATTGATTCTGTAGTGAGTAAGAGATTAGCAATATGAAATTCTTGTTACAGAATTTGAGAGGGATAAAAGCACTTTGCCAGCACTGTTTTATAGATGAAGAAATGAGAATTTACTGAGGTTTTGAAGGAGTGTACCTCTACAAGAAGGGGAGAGCACAGTCAGGTTCAGTGGTACTAATTTTATAAATTATTATAGATTATATATTTTTGAAAAAGTATTACATTTCCTGGCAAATTATTATAATTGTAAACTTCATATTTTTATTTATTGCAAAAGTACAAAATTTTGAGATTCAGGGCTTTTCTAGGAAAGTAATTTATATTTACATTATTCTTAACTTTGGATATTAACCTTTTCTCTTGTTATCTGCATATTATACAAGTATTAATAGATGACTTTTAGCTTTACTGTTTTTCTTGAATTTTCCCAAAGAAGTTTGTCCTTTTCACAATGACTAAACTGGTACTTTGTTTTTAGTTAGCTGTTTGATCAGTTCTGTGTACCTATTGATGTACCTTAACAAGTGAAAGTGAATGGCCATTTTATATCTCGAAATGTATTGAAAGAGTTCTAAAAATCTCAATACTGCATGTAAAAGACAACTTGACATTAAAATGATCTGTGATGAGTTTTGGTTTTATATAATGTTATCTTCTTTAATTTCTGAGGCTTAAAATGTTTTATAAATTGAAATATAATATTGTGATACTACATTTACCAAACTATCCAAGTAATATTTTACTTGCTCATATCTTAGCAATTGAAATTTTATGTTGTGCTCTTGAGAGAAAAAAGAAAAAGCATCAAATGGACTTATGATAATTAGAATACTAGAACATTTCTAAATATTACAGTTTATATTTATACAATGTGTATTTAAAAAACCTAATAGCTAAAATATACTTTTATTTGTTTTTAGTTACTTAAATACTTCTGGGAAAATATCAAATATCATCTGGTTAAATGAAATGTTTATATAATGTCATGACTCTCACTTAGCTTGAAATCTGTATTAAATTGAAAGTGATGTTATAAAACTGTAAATGAGATCATAAGTATCTGGCCATATATTTTTGTTTGAGCTTTTAAAAATGAAGAACAATTTAATGTCTTGCGAAAATGACATTTTCATTAACATTAACTTGAAATGGAGAGGATTAGTATAATAGCATACAAAAATTAACTTGTTACCAGTACAGAAAAAATTACCGTGACCATCAAATTTATACATTTGATCTAATAACATTACTAAATAAAGATCATTCTGTGTTATGTATTTAACCTCTCGGGTAATAGAAGATAAATATATCTTAATTTTGTCTCTCTACTTCATGATATCTAAAATAATGCAGGGTCCATTATAGTAGATATTCAGCAATTGAGATGATCATATATTGAAATTGAGATATGAATAGCATTGATAAAGGAAGCATTATTTTAAAATACATTCAGGATCAAAGCCAAGATTGCCTCCTGATGAATTCTCTATCATTATTAACTTAATTTCATTTGACATATATGTGGTACTGAATAATATATGATACTCAATGAGAAGAAAGACACTGGGTTTTATTTTGATAGATTAACCAGGAAAGAGTTGATTGTAGCTCTGTGAGGTTATGCCATGTTATCCAAACAAGACCGATCATTACATTGATATCCTTTTTACTAATCATTTGTATCCAATGCACTCTAATCCAGCGGTAAATATGTATTAATATTTTGCAGTCTTTTTTGAAAAAGTGATACATGTTTAAAAAGAGTGGTTGAAACATCTCTAAGTGCTAATAAGTACTTACTTGGTAGTCTATACTAATGTTGTAGTGGATGCTGAACAAGTTTAGGTGTTAAGCTTTTTAGGAAGAGTGAATGATGGCTAATGATTATTTAATGACATCTCTGGACTGAAAGGCATTTAGCACTCAAAGTATACTGCAAAGCCTATTTCTCAAAGCTTCAGACAGGTTTATTTGGTCTCACCTTGAATACAACAGTGCTGTATTGATTTCATTGGTGTGGATTTAAACACACTATCGGCTTAGAATAGCACTAGTATGCAGTAGAAAATGATTGTCTTAACCCTTATGTTGATTCTTAGCTATTGTTTGATATTACACAGTAAACTTCAGAAATGATTATGAATTTATTTGCAGTATTCTGAGGTGCAGTATGTGACTTTTGAAAATATTTGTACATGCATGTTTATAGTAGACAACTTACAGGAAGGTTTATGTAGAGAAATTAATGTTTAATTCATATTTTGAATTAGTGTTATTGACCATATATTGTATTTGGAGAAATTTTTCTTCTGTGGAAATGGTTGATGTTTCTGTGGAAGGCATGCTGATTTTATTCTGTTAAATCATTTAAGTATTTGATTTCTGTATGGTAATGCATTGATGCTCAGTACTTTGTTTTTGGTATGTTTCAGTATTTCATATTTATCTTTCATATAAAAACAATTTAATGTAGTTCATATGCTTGATAGAATATCTCTTCTGGCATTTTCTACATTTTTTAGATAGCTTTGTACTAAATATATATAACATTAGATACCATGGTCCAAAACTTTTTTTAAGACTTTTTTCTAATTATAAATTTTGCTTGCTTATTATTTTTTAAGGAACATTTAAAACTATACAAGATTTGAAGATACATAATAGAGATTCATGTTGGCATAGGCATCAAATATTAACTAATTTCTATGCAGTAAACACTGAGATTGTAGGTCAGTGAAGATTCTGGTGATCCATCCAGAATGATGTTGCCAGGAATGCCCACTCTGTTTGTGCCCTTCACCTTGTGGCTTGAACACTTCACATACTTAACTTTCCTTATCTATAAAATATCTGTTGTTCTGATTAAAAGAGCAGCTCTGTAATCTCCTTTTTTCTCTAAAATTTTAAAATTCAGCCAGTCATCTTACCTTGGACCTAAGAGATGCTTTACACACTCAGCTTCCAATATGTTTTTTGTTTTTTTAAATCTTAATAGTTTTTCTGTTTTTTTTTAATGAATCTGGAAAGTGATTGTAGTAGGCATATAATTATGTCATTATAACAAATACAGTATTAGGAGGTATATGAATCACCTTAAGTAAAAGGTGGACTTCAGTTTTTTTGTTGATGTTTTTAAAATGGAGGAACTTTTTATCTTTAACATATTTCGAAAGATTTTTTTTCTATGAGTAAATACTATTTCTTATTGAGTATTTTTTAGAAATCAAAAACATTGGATTAAGTATTAGATAAATTATTTTTTCTTTTGCTAATAGGAGAAATTATGTTTCAGAGAAATGATAAGCACATATTAAATTCTTGCTTTGGATTGCTTTTGTCTGTGTTCAGCTCTTATATGGCAAAATATTCGTGACACTGACACTGGTGATTTTATGGCAGTGGTGGTAGGAGTTTTCAGTAAAGTTTATCTCCTCTTGACTTTATGTTCCTTTTTTTGTCCTGCCAGAGAGTCTCAGAGCCTATTGTATATTTTGAAATAACTGGAAGAGAAGAATCTGAGCATTTCTAGCATAAAGAAAAGACAAATATTTAAGGTGATGAATATCCCAGTTACACTCATTTGATCTTTACAAATTACATGAATGTATTAAATTACCACATATACCCTGAAAATATGTACATCTATTATGCAACAACTTTATTTACTTACTTATTTATTTATTTATTTATTTATTTATTTTTGAGGCAGGGTCTCACTCTGTTGCCCAGGCTGGAGTGCAGTGGCACAATAACAGCTCACTGCAACCTCCGCCCCCTGGGCTCAAGCGATTCTCCCATCTCAGCCTCCTGAGCAGCTGAGACTGCAGGCACTCACCACCACACCTGGCTAATTTTTTTTATTTCTTTTGTATTTTTAGTAGAAATGTGGTTTCACCATGTTGCCTAGGCTGGTCTCGAACTCCTGAGCTCAAGCCATCTGCCTGCCTTGGCCTCCTAAAGTGCTGGGATTACAGGCATGAGTCAGCACGCCCAGCATAAAATTTTTTTAAAAATCTCAGAGCAGTTTAAGTACAATAATAGCCATCTTGAGGATGTATGTTTACCAAACATCAATACATATATATTTTCCAGGTTTTTACATATGCTGTTATCTCTGTCTTAATAAAAGACTAGAGATTAGAAAGCCGTCTCTTCACAATTCCAGAGTAACCTAATGATTCAAATCATTGGGAGGGAGATAGATAGGGAGGATTTTGAGGAAACGATTATGTTGTATCATAGCAGAAACAGATTTGTTTTAAAATTAGTTTTGGAAAAATGGCATGACATCTTATAAACCTGAGTATCTGACTACATACATATCTAGGCAAACATTAAACTTTTCCCCTACTGTTTATTTCAGGAGTAGTAGCATTTCCAAATCCATAGTTGTAATACATGAATGAGTTAGATATTCAGTATCTCTAGGCATATGTGCTAAGTTAAACATTGGAATAATTGTGCAAAAAATTCAAGGACTGAAAGCTGTTTCAGTCTGATATTTGCAACAGAGGCAACTCAGAGCCAAATTCGAAATGAAATTAACTAGATAATAGGAAATCCTATAAAGTAGTTACAGGAAAGAGAATATTAGTACATTTTTATATCTCTATATGCTCATTTGAAAAGGTATATAGTAAAAGAAATTATGTATATAGAAAAAGGTCTATGAAAAAAATTTGCCAAATAACAACTAGGTACCACAAAGGTGTGGGCATTAATTTCCAAGATACTATGTTGCCCCTAACTATGCTCCTTTATTTCTACTTAACATCTCACTTACAGTAAAGAAAGCAGAAGAAAAAATAACGTAAAATAAGGTGATCATTTTTCAAAGCTAGAGATCCTTTAGAGGTTCTAATTTACTCCAAACGAACCTTTAAAAAATGGTCACTTTTAGTCACATGTCATTGTTTTATTATTGCGATATAATTTAAAAAAATGAATACTACAGATACTCCTTATAAATGAACAGATGTACTTGTTAATGGCTCAGAAGTAGAGCAAGGCCTTTTTCATCTCAGTTTTATATCACTGAGTTGGTAATGACCCAGGTGAAAATATGTTTTAAGTGAATCCAGTAAATGATTTGTCATTTTATAAATAAAAATGACCTTAGGTTTATTTATTTCTTACTATGCTGAAATGCACAGATATAAAATCTTCATAGGAGGTATTCTACCAGTCCACCAAATGTTGTCTCATGTTTTCTATTTGATCTTTTACAGAAACGTACCATGTCTACCCCGCTATTTTTATAAGTAAATCTCATTGCCAGAGTTTCTTTTTCTAAGTAGTAACTGTATGAGAAAATATCTGAGAATGATATGCTGTGTTTTCAGATTTGTATAATTTTACAAGTCACTACCCACTGTGTTTCTGAAATATTCCTTTTCTCATGGAAATGCGAATAATGGTCTCAGTGTTACAATTTGTAGTTTCTTAAATTTGCCATGTGTATCAGATTCACCTTTGAAAGGTCAATTGAAGCAAAAAAGTTAGACGTTTTTGGAGATAGTTTTTACCTATAAGACTTCTGATTACTTAGCTGCCTTAGATACTTGGGATTACTAAAATCTCAATTTCCTTTCAAACTGAGAATGTTTGCCCTAATAGTAAAGGCAAAGAAAAAAATTAACTTGTTATTCAGGTAGAGAATAAAGGGAAATATAAGATGATGCAGATGGTAGGAAAATAGGTATAGGACAGGATCTTTGTGAAAAATAAGAAATTGTTTCATGAATTACTTGAAAAACATGTGAATTGCCCTCAAAGCTTAAGATTTATAATTATCAAAATAATTGACACACCTTCAGAGGAGTGATTATTTCTTTGAAAAAGAAAATCATTTTAGAGTGGTCATATATTTTGCATTTATCTGATTTAATGGAAAATAGCTTTGTCTATTTTGTCAACTGCACACACATGTAATACATGTGTATACAAGAGGCATTATTTCAGAATGGCTTAATCAGCAGCTGCAGAAAGAAATATGCATTTGCAGAACCTATTGTGTTCCAGCAGGGGGCTATCGTGCATACATACAAATTAATAGCATGTTTGTTTACTTCAGTTTTCAAGTGAGTGGGGAAGTAACACAGCAGCAACACCAGCAGCAAAAGCCTCTTAGATTTGGGGAGCAAATTCCATATGTTCTGTCAGTAGATGTGAGGAAAACATTGGCAGATGTGTCACAAAGTAACTCAAATATGTGTTTAATACAGTGGGGGAAAATCTATGCCGCTAACACAAGATTAGCTATACACACAGTAGCTTTGATAATAATGTGAAAATTTGAAAGTAAATGTGGAAGTGCCCTATGACAGCCATTTTTAATCAGTTCATTTTCTTGATAGGAGGCAAAGAAGAAGACACAGAAAACTTAAAAACTTTATTTTATTTACTTTAGGTGCACAGGTTGAAATTTACATGTTGGCCATACAACCATGTACAATTTTATTTTTTTGTATCACTAAAATTTATTTGACATATTTTGTAGAAATTGCAGAGCTCTAAGTTATGCCAACAAATGAAAATAATATATAATATTCATATAAACACATTTGGTTTAGGAAAAGAACTTAATTACATACATTTACAATGGCATGGATCCACAACATACATCCTCCACATGAGCCTATGAAACCTGGATTCACCACCAGGACAGCGAGATCTTGGGTCCTTTCTCCCAAGCTGGATTATCACCAATCTATGTCTTTGTGTGTTCCCATTTAACAAATTTAGCTTTGAAGTATTTGACTTCAAAGACTTGGGGTACATTGGATGACTTATGTAGCATTTTAAGTTCTTTTAAAGCCAAAGTGTTTTAAAAATGAATATTAACAGATTTTTGTTTGTTTTTAAGATTTTTTTCCTATTGTTAGCAAGCTATTTTGAAAGACTATTGTTATATATCTGATAAAATTTGACATTTTTATGGTATTGTACTTTATCCCTACTTTAAGCAACCCTAAGAATAACAAGTAGGTATGGAAAATGTTTGAGCCATACATATATGGAAACAACTTATTTACACTGTGAAAACTCCACTGAGGGCCAACATTTTTCTCATTATAATTCTAAAACATGTTTTAAAAAAATCTCAAAAGTGTAGTTCTAGCTTGCTTAGGTATCATGTCTTGGTACCTTCACTAAGAATGCTATATACTTATGTGTAGATGTATAATTATGTACATGCAATGTATTTATGTATGTAAATATAGAATTAACATATTTGATTACCAGCATACAATGATAATTAAAAAGATAGATCTTAAAAATTGTTAATATTCCATTAGGCAGCCAGGTGTATCAATTAATTAATTAATTTAGAGATGGGGTCTTGCTCTGTTGCCCAGGTTGACCTTGAACTCCTGGGCTGAAGCAATCTTCCTGCCTCAGCTTCCAAAGTACTGGAATTAGAGGTGTGAGCCACCATGCCCAGCCTCAATTTGGATAGTAGTCAGGAGAAAGGTAAAGTTATTTTGATTAAAGTACATCTAAAGACAATTTGAATGTAACTCACTTTTGAAGATCTAGTTTGAAATATATTTTGATTGGACACATTTCACTATCATGTATTGTTTTAAACTCAATACAGTATACAGTTTTATATATGCTTTTTATAGTCAGTGTGTGCTGATAATGCCATATCACATTTAAAATATCCTTGGGACTGAGAAAATAGAAATAAAATGAAAATTTTAGAAGAATATTTTACTGGTCTGAAAATAGAAATCTTTTGCAGCTTTATTGACTAACATTTGTAGGGCTCTGAATGATGTGCTCAGACTATTTATTTTGACTATATGCAGACATTGTACATAGTAAATCGTGTCTTAAGTCTGAAAGTTCGCTTGTTCTCCAGAATGTCAGTATTAACAAAGTTCACTTTGCTAAGTTTGCTCTTGCTCTTTAATAATTAATCAAAATCTAATATTAGCAAATACACTTTATTACAAATAAAACAAGGCTCTAAAAAACCATAATAGAAAGTATTTTCTAGCTTAATCCAAATTATTTTAGTCTCTACATGTTGCCATTTAGTTTTCTGCTGTGAGATCTTACAGCTCACTGTTTTTCTAGTCATTTATGTAAAGTCTTACAAAGTCACGGTTATTTTTAAAACTATGTCTTATTAAATGCAAATTGTATTTTTCACTTTGGAGGCAGCAAATAGTAAAACCAAATTATCTTTGTACACGTATGATTCTCAAACATATTATTAAATATTTAAAAGTAAAGAAACACTTTTATTGTTTATTTTTATTTATCATGAACCAATAGACATTTCTGACCTTTCAAAAGGTTTTTAGGGTATATTGCAATTTATACTAAATTTAGACAATATTTGTATCATTGTGAATTTCGTTTGGACTCCATCTTGTGCCAGAAATTTCTGGCATAAAATTGTTATGTTAACACAAATCTTAATATAATGTGTTGGGTTAAAAAAATCCTAATGACATGTTTATTTTATAGTTTATGTTTTCAATATGGTTATTATCTTGACGGGAGTTCTGACTGAATTCAACCGCATTATTTTAATTTTTACTAGAAATTTACTTATATATGTCAGCTGTAACAAGTATTATGACACTCATTTCTAAATAAAGAATTGAATGTTTAAGAACAGTTTTTTCAGGTCAAAGCACAGTTCTGAAAGTATTCTCGGAGTAGTAAATTGGTGGTATCTACTTATCTAAGGTTTTAATACCTAATGCAATAATAAAGCCCCATCAATATATGGCTCAATAGCACATATAAAGTATCTGCTAGTAGTCCATCTCTCATAAAACCGCCTTTAGCCTTAATTCAAATCCATTGATTCCTATTCCAGTTAAAACTGAAGAACTTAATATGTCTTTTAATCCTTTTATTGTAAGCCAGGATAAAATTAATTTTACCCTAGCACTGCACAAAGCCAATTAACATGATCTTTAGAGTTATTTAGTAAAGTGCTTCAAACTGTTAAATTTATCTTGACCTCTTGGTTGCACTCTCTGACTGCTTTTTAAATGAAGTAATCAATACCTCATAGCCCTTTAAATAGCTTAAACTTCTCAAATATTTTACCTGTATTCTAGTTAAGCTGTAAGTAAAGTGTTTACTCCAGTTTGTGTAAATCTAGAGTCAATTATGCTAAATCTGAAGACAATTACGTACATTTGAAGAACACTCTGTCAAGTAAATTGTTGTTTTAATCAAAATTAAAGCCTCATATTTTGTTATAAGTAACCCAATAATGAGACCACGTATCATTTTCACACAGAACATGTATTCTGTTTGCAACTTAAAATGTAGAACATTAATGTCCTTTACCATCGCATATAGCTTCTCTTTTCCACACAGGGCTAGTTGAAGGTATTAATTTTCTTACTGTGATAGGGTGATCAACCGTCCTGTCAAGAAAATGGATCTCCATGTCACCCCTTAGCATGATTAAATGGAGGCATGTCTCTGGAAAAAAAATACCAAATTTTCATGAGACAAATGAAACTGTAGAAAGGTTTACTTTTACAGAATTATTTTATTTTTAATATCTCAAAATCTTCCATTTGGTTGTCATTTTATTTGTAGGAAAACATTGCAACTAGTTACATATTTCTTCTGTTAACAGAAAGTACAGGCAAGCCAATAATTTAAAGATATTTCCAAATTTGAAAAATTATAGGAATGAGAAATTGCTGTGTTATTTTTAGAACAGTAGCAGGATGGGCATCTCTCCCTTATAGAAACACTAATCAGTCAGTGTCTCCTTTAGGGACTCCTTTCCTTGTTCTTTTTTACCTCTTTCCTTGTTAATGAAGGGCTATCATCTTTTTAGATTTGAATACTGATAAAAATTACATACTGTAGAATTTCAGCATCAGTAGTGTTAATTGCCAGTTGGGCGGTGTTCTTATGAGCCTATGTACATGCCAACCTTTAAACTACACCAAGTGATGTACTTGACAGCTAATTAAGATTTCATATTTTGGCCACTTAGCAGAGGGTACCTGTTACAATTCTTTCCATTAGCTTAGGGATAAAATTTACAAATGATTGTTTGAAAGTACACTGTTAAAACTTCCCTAAAGTCTTAATTCCTTCCCCTGGAGTGGGAGTTAAGACAAAATTGAGGCAATTAAACAAAAGGAACATAAAGAAGGTGGGGGACCAGGGATGGAGGCGGAGCTCACCAAATGCCCCTGTTGTTTAATTTCCTACTGGAAGCAGCCCATATGTGCTTCTGTGCCCCCTCCCGCTTCAAGCAGTGGCCATTGCAGAGGCTGAACGGCTGGGGTCAATGCCTTGCCTATTGATCAGTATCCCTGCAGTCCCGTGCTCCAGCAGCTGCTTCATTGGCTTCTTTCAGGGCCTGCTTCAGTACATTAGAATAGAAATCCATAACCAGAGCTGTGCTCATCCAAGCAGGGGAAGAAACTAAATTAAATGGTATAAAACAATCTTGAATCAGGAGTTTGTGCCAATTCATCTTGATCTAAGATGTCACACCAGGCTCTCTGTCTGAGCACCTGGGCTAGAGGCAGCCATAGTGAAAATAGATGGAGCTGCGATCATTCATTTGTCAGCTAAGGAGCAAGGCAGCGGTTAGCAATTCCCTTCTGCAGAGGTCAGCTGACAGAACAATCAGTGCAACTGCAGAATAGAGCTTTCCTTTGAACTATTGTTATGGAGCATGCTCTTGCTGAGACATGGGGGAGGGGAGCTTGGTTTGCTTCCTGTTTCAAGAATACTATGTAAAGAGTAAAATATATAGTATGTGAATCTAGATGCTGTGCCACAGAGCTTTTCCTCCTTGTGCCTGTTCTTATACATAAACAAAGTTGGTTTTAAATGCATATCCTGAGATACAGATTATCAAAATGTTAAATATCACTTTTTCTAGAATTAAGGTTCTTCTAAACACAGAGGCAATGATTATTGATTTTTTTTTCTTCTTAGTATGGTTACGCATTTAGGTGGTTTTTTTCCCCCTTTAGTTACCATAGCTATCACAGATTGGTGTCACACTTTGAATCTGTAATAGCATATACCTGCTAATACTTTTTACTGACATTTCCTCTCTGTCTTTAAAAAACTAAAACTTTCCATGAAGAGAGAGAAATGCATACTTTGGTATCAGACTAGAAGATATTTTAATTATTAATTTAAAATATTTTATAAGAAATATAATTCACAAAATATGATTTATCATGACAAAATAATTTGTAACATTGGAGGGGCATCATTATTAATCAACCTGCATGTGATCTGAAATATCCTATACAAAATTCAACAAATTAAGAAAATGTTTCATAACTAAACTTTTACGTGAGCAATTAGAATAGTTTTAAAGATAAATCTATTATCTGTGGACTCCTTTTCGATTTTTCCTTTCTGTACACTACCTAAAAGTGAATGGCAAACATCCAGAACTAACTTTAAAAAAAGAAAAAGAATAAAGTGTGATGTGCGGAAGCTAAGAAACCATAACAGCAACAAGAAGAAATCTTTTTTATACTCATAATTGCACCAAACATTTTAGGAATCCAAGTAAGTAATACTCTGGTGTTACCATCTTAGTTTTCTAGATAACCAATCCTCCTTTTTCCCTTACATACGTTAAGCCACTTTCTCACTCAGTTCTTTTTAAATTATTAGATTCTTTATAATATCCTATAATTTCCATTTCTTAGACTCAACTAGGTCTTCTTGCCAACATCCAGATTTTTTTGTGCCTTTCAGCACAGCTAAACAATGGAATTTAAAGTGTATACTATAAAGTCGTGTCCTCCAGAAGTTTTTTAAAGTCAGCTTCTGGAAAGGCTGTATCTACTTTTGTTACCAGGGTTGTTTTGTTCTGTTTTGTTTTCATCAGTAATTTTTAAAAGAACTTAGGATATGATATCTCAAATCTTTCTGCCATATTTCCATCTTCTCAGACCTCATCGTGTATTGTAAAGCTCTCCACTTCCCGTGTCTTCTGTTTAACATCACAAAACCAAATCCACTGTAATCTCTCATCTTGATTTCTACAGTACCCCTCAAGTGATCACCCCACTTCTAATATTCTTTATACTATGCTTACAGTGGATTTTTGAAACCCTAAATCTAATTAAGCTATTCTGTAGTTTAAAACCCATCTTGCATACCTTCCCACTGTTTGTGGGATATAAATTGGAATGTGCATATGACCTACAGAATCATATATGATCTGGCCCTTTCCTGCCTCTCCTGCTTCATTTTCTGCAGTTCTCCTCTAGAGTTATAGAGTTCCAGCCAACTTAGCTGTCCTTGAAATAGAAATCCACAGACTCCTTCATGCTTTAAGTTCTTAAACATACTGTTTTTTCGATCCAGAAAGTTCTCATTGATTCTGTAACTTACACATTTCCAATGCCTGTTTAGTAGCCCTTAAGTTCAATGAGGGCAGGGCTTTACTTAACTGTATTAATTTTTATCTAGCATAATCCAGGCATACACAAGACCTGCAATTCTTACATGTTGAATAACTGAGTTCAGTAATGGATGGAATGAACTGCCACCACCACTGGTTCTTATTGTTGTTCACCTGATCATTGTGTGAGTCTTCTTTTGGTTTTCCTTGACACCAGTCTTGTTTGACCTCACAATTCATCCACCATACTGCCACTACCATGATCTAACAGTGAATGAATCTAACATCACCACCTTATACAGAACTATTTAATGGCTTTCAATTAGCCATAGGTTAGAAGTCTTCAGCTTGCCATATGAGGCCTCTCATGGTTTGGCACCTCTTTAGTTTGCCTTACCTCCAGTAATACAGAATGACAAAGTAAAACAAATAGATAAAATAAAACAAAATACCAAAAAATATTCAGAGAGCCTTGCTGCTAATTTCTCGGTTGGCATACCGAGCTTTGAGTGACCTTTGTTATACTCATTTAATCAACATATAGCGCAAAGAACTGAAAGCGGCCAGAAAAACTGGGTGGATTAGTATTAGAAAGAGCAGAAAGCTGACCTCCAATCAAGATGGCTCCGGGAGTTCACTTTTTTAATCCTTCTGTGCCAAATACATTGCTATGATGGATAAAGTATACAAAGAGAAAACCAAAGAGACATAACTAGGCTCAAAAAAGATATCTCTGTGGACCAGTAATGAAATAGAAATGTAATGATCTGGGCTGAAACCATTAGCTACTTTCCAGAAGCAGGCTTTTGGCTCCTATGAGCTAAAGAGGACTTACAATACATCATGAATAAAGTTTAAAGCCAGGAGCTAGGCTATAGCTTCCTCAGTTCCTGAAAGGACATTGAAAAGATCTGAGTGCATTGCTACTCAGAAAAAAATTGATAAAAAAGAAGAGGAAAATGCATGTATTAAATACGTGACTGGCAATGTTAACCATAATGTAAAATAGTGGAAATAAGTGAGTTCTATTCAACACAAGAAACTAGAAGCAAAACAGAAGAAAGAGATAATCTAAAGACAGTAGAAGGAGAAATAATAAAAATAAGAGCAGAAATTAATAAGATAGAAAACAATGATACAAAAGATCAAAACCAAAGTACTTTTTAAAACTAATTTGGGGCTGGGCACAGTGGTTCATGCCTGTAATTCCTGCGCTTTGGGAGGCGAAGGCAGGAAGATCACTTGTGGCCAGGAGTACAAGACCACCTTGGGAAACATAGTGAAACCCTGTCTCTACAAAAATAAAAATAAAAACCAAAACAAAAATAATCTGATAAAACATATATTTCCAGCAAAACTTTAAGAAAAGCATGAAAAATAATATTAGAGAAGGTATAAATACACAGTGTTTAAGGGATCCATATCTGCTGATATACTTGAGTTTTTTTAATCATATAGAGAATACTGTAAATAATTCCATACCAATAAATTTGAAAATGTAGATGAAATAGATAATTCTTTTAAAATTATAATCTGCCAGAAATGACTCAAGAAGAAGAAAGTCAAACTAAATAAGGAGCTATTTATAATAAATATTCCTTCCTTCATCCTGCTACTTTTGCCACCATATCCTACCCTCTGACTCCACACAGGGAGTGTCTCGAAATGCAGACTTAATAGTTTTAGAGGAGAACTTTCATGAAACTTCAAGAATCCTTCAACTGTTTTCAAGGAATGATGGAAGGGGGACCTCAGGGACTGAGAGTGAACGTTACTTAACTCATTTCTGAGGCTCGTATTATGTTGATACTAAGTATAGAATATGAAAAGAAAAGTATAGACCAGTCTCACTTATGGACATGGATATAAAAAAGCCTATTAGCAAATTTAGTTCAGGGTCTGTCTGT
The DNA here is from genome assembly GCF_000001405.40 of Homo sapiens. Taxonomy (NCBI): domain Eukaryota; kingdom Metazoa; phylum Chordata; class Mammalia; order Primates; family Hominidae; genus Homo; species Homo sapiens. Next base: position 56,877,630 of record NC_000018.10, read on the forward strand.
TGGTGTGTTTATCTGTTGGTGTTATCTATCTGTCACTGCTTATCCATGCATACGTTTGTTTATCCAGGGTTTACCCCAGATATGGAAGCATAGTTCAAGGCCAGAAAATATATTAATTTATTTCAGGTAACATTGATATAATTATATAATAGATATAAAATTTGATAAGGTCAGAATTGTGGTGACCTTTAGGGCAGGAGGGCAAGGCAGTGAGGTCAAGACACAGTCCATGGTGGGCTTTGATAATACCCAGATTAATTACTTTATAAAAATTGGAAACCTTTGGAAAAACATCAGTATTTTATAAGGTTCATTAGTTGTGTACATGTTAGTCATGATTTCTTTATATATTTTCTACTAATTCTGTGGATGCTTATAATATTGCATAATAAATATCAAAAAATAATGGTAGACTATTTTTAGAATGGAGTAGAACTAAAAAAGGGTAGAACTATGTAAGTCTTAAAAGAATGTAGCAAGAGTGAGGTTAAGAAAGGAAATTTTAAGAAGTAACATTCCTATTATGCCCTATTTATTGGTATTCTAATCAAGATATAAAATTGTTTTAATTATTTTTGGGTATCCTTCTAATCTTTCTTCTGAATATGAAACTATGCTGAGCTTTGCTCCAGTAACAAGTATTTCTTCAAATATCTGATTGCTGTTTTGCATTCTGTGCCATACTGGATGAAATAATCATCCTTCTCCTCCTCGTATGGCCCATCCCTCTTATTGCCTGGAAAACTTACCCTTTGAGTCTTAAATCCAATGTGCTCTCTTTTTTTCATGCACTTGTGAGATTCTTAGAAACCTGAGCTGTTTATTTTCATGCTTGTTATTTTCTGATCCAAAGTAGATGCCCAATAAATATTTGTTAAATTAATGGGCACATTAATAAATTACTCAATGAACAATCTTTCTAAAAAAACAAATGTACTGAGATAAGATGTATGTTGTATAAAATTCATCCTTTTAAAATGTGGAATTCAGTGATTCTTAGCATATTTGGGGTTGTGCAGATATTACCTCAATCTAATTTTAGAACATTTTCATTACTCCCTAAAACTAGTACTTATTAGCTATTGTTAACCATTTTACCCCCACTCCAGCCAACCACTAATCTGCTTTCTGTCTCTATGGATTTGCCTATTCTAAACATTTCATATAAATGGAATCATACAATATATGGTCTTTTGTGACCAGCTTCTTCCCCTTAGCGTAATGTTTTCAGCGTCATTTTTGTGGCATGTATCATTACTTCATTCCTTTTTTATTGCTGAGTAATCTAATTTTGTATGGATATACTTAGATTTGTACAAAAGTAATCGCTATTTTTGCCACTGAAAGTAATGGCAAATACTGCGATTACTTTTGCACCAACCTAATACATTTTCTTTATTCTTCAGTTGATGGACATTTCAGTTGTTTCCAAGGCTATTTTGAATAATGCTGCTGTGAGCATCCATGTCTTTGTGTGTACATGTGTGTCATTTCTGTTTGGGAGATACGTTGGAGTGGAGTTGCTGGGCCACATGGTAACCCTATGTCTAACTTGTTGAGGAACTGCCAAGCTGTTTTCCAAAGTAGTTGTGCCATTTTTATCATGCCCAACAACAAAGCATGAGGGTTTCCATTTCTGTGCATCCTCAACAGCACTGTAATGGTCTTTTTTATTGCAGCCATTCTCATGGATGTGAAGTGGTATCTCATTGTGGTTTTGCTTTGCATTTTCCTCATGACTAATGATGTTTAGCATCTTTTCATGTGCGTGTTGACCATTCATACAACTTTGGAAAAATATCTATTCAGATTGTTCTTATTATTGAGTCATGAAAGTTTTTATATATTCTGGAAATAATTTTTATTAGATAGGTGATTTGACAATAGTTTCTCTGATTCTGTGGGTTGTCTTTATCCTTTCTTGATTCTGTCTTTTCAAGCACAAAAGTTTTTAGTATTGATGAAATCCTATGTAAAATTTTTAAAAAATTACTGGTGCTTTTGGTATCATATCTAAGAAATCATTATATAATCCAGAATTACAAACATATACACCTATGTTGCCTTCTTAGAGTTGTTTTTTGTTTTAGCTGTTATATTTAGGATTATGATCAATTTTCAGGTTTTTTTTTGGAAGGTTAGAGATAGGGGTCTGTCTAAATTCATCCTTTTGCCTGTGAGTAACCATTTGTCCTAGTGCCATTTGCTGAAAATGCTATTCTTTCCGAACGTGCAGTCCTGAATGTTTTTCTAATCATGTGTCTTTTTGTATATTGATTTGTTCTAAGTTGAGATTCTATGTTTTGGTCTTCAGGTTGCTTATCAAGTGTCCCACAAATGAAAAAAATTTCTACATCTTACGAGGAAAGACGGAAGCAAGCTACCGCTATTGTTTTACTTGGAGTAATAGGAGCTGAATTTGGTGCTGAAATTGAACCTCCTAAACTATTGACCAGACCTCGAAGCTCTAGCCAAATTCCTGAGGGATTCGGGTTGACTAGTGGTGGATCCAACTACTCGCTGGCCAGACATACTTGTAAGTTTTAAAACTTCTAATGCTGATCTGTTGCTTCTGAATACATATTATTTGTCAGCAAAATCTCATAACATTGACTATATCCTGAGTTTTAGCTCATTTAGATTGCTTGCGTGAAGTTAGAAAGCAGTACAATCTGGCACATTTCCCGTTAGTTACAGTAACCTGAACTCCTTTTTAAAAGTTAAAACATCGTCTTTTAAATGCTATTCTTAAAATAACACATTTCTGACCTTTGTATTTTTGCATTGTTCGTCAAGATTTTAGCCAGAATTTATGAAAGCTAGATTCAAGTTAAAGCTTTTAAAATAATTTCTGGAAAACTATGCAGTTTGTTCTGAATGTGGTTTGAAAAGTCAGGACTGGGGTGGAACACCAGTCTTTTCTTTTGAAAAGAAAATATATTCATTCTCCTTTCAATAAATAAATTCTCAACACATATTTGTTAAATTAATGGGCATATTAATAAATTTGTATATGTGATAATACATATAAATAATACATGGGTTTATGAAAAAGAGCATACATGATGAATTATGAATTAACCCTGTAATTTAAAAAATATTCCAGTAACAGTTTTTAAATGACTATAGACTATAACAATCAAAATTCAAAGGGCTGTGTCATTCTACTCTCTTTGGTTCTGTGCTTGGTATGTTAATAATAGGTAAGGGTGCTTTAAAATAAGCTCTTTTGGTTCTTCAGTGTCAGAATTCCTTTCAGTAAGGTCAGAGTGGCATGTGGCACCATATAGCAAAATTATTTCTAATAAATTGTGTCCTCTTAAGGAACAAATATAGTCCAACTGAATACATCACAAAATATTCTTGTAGAACAAAATGCAATAGATCCTTTTGCTTTTTTGGCCTTTAAGCAAGAGAAAAAGATGCATGTTACTTTGTTATTTATGACAGCAGTGAACTTCACTGGACCATTGCCACATACTCTTGCTGTAAAACTGAGGGCCATGTTAGTGACTTTTATTATAAAAGCCCTTCAATAGACTTAGCTGCCCCTCCTATAACTGTTTTTTGAAAGACTTCATTCAACAAATACTTATTAGTGATAATCTCTTGATCTCAGTTTGAGAATCAGAGTAATAACGTTTAAATTTAAACAATACCACCACCAACCATAATGATGCAACTATTATGAGCACTATTTTTTTTTAGCTCTTTACATGCATTACCTCACTTCATCCTCATAATAACCCTGTAAAGTGGATCCCTCTTATCTCGATTTTATGCATAAAGCTGGTGGGGCATAGAGAGGTTTAGTTAACCTGGCAAGGATCATACCTCTGGGAAAGGAGTTTTTGTTTCCATCTAGTCTGTTGTTCCAGAGTTCATGCTTTTGACCATTATGCAAACTGCTGCTATTCAGTGGCTCCCAGTTGGAAAGGGCTTAATGACTAATATGTGCTGTAACTTTACAATTTATTGATTTATTTTATTTTATTTTTTGAGACAGAGTCTCTCTCTGTCACCCAGGCTGGAGTGCAGTGGCATGATCTTGGTTCACTGCAACCTCCTGCCTCAGCCTCCCAAGTAGCCAGGATTACAGGTGTAGGCCACGATGACTGGGTAATTTTTGTATTTTTCATAGAGACGGGGTTTCCCCATGTTGGCCAGGCTGGCCTCAAACTCCTGACCAGAAAGGATCCACCCACCTCAGCCTCCCAAAGTGCTAGGATTACAGGCATGAGCCACTGCACCTGGCTATAACTTTACAATTTAAAAAACACTTTCTTTCCTGTCTTTCCCCTCATTTGATCTTCAAAATGAACTTAAGACTTCTTCAAAGTGACTCAGCCAAAAAGTAGTAAAACCTAAACTTGAACTCAAGTGTCTTGCGACCTGAGAACCGTTTCCCTTCTCCACCTGGGCACATTACTCTCCCTCTACGGCCAACAACTACATGCTTACTGGCTCCTACCTCCCCACTCGGGCTTATTTATCTTTTCTCAAGTTCTTCAAGATCCCTGCTATCCATTCCTAAAACCTTGCTTAAATCTCACCATTTCTACAAAGGGCTCTTTAATTAGTCTAGCTTATCTGTCACTTCAGACAGCCCAGGACTTAACATATGTAGAGCAGGTCCTTATTTAGAAGTTTGGCATTAGACTATTAGAGGTTAATGAAGCTTTGACATGATTTGGTGTGGTGGCTTTCAAACTTTTTTGCTCAATAACTCCCTGAGAGTGTCAAGAAATGTCTAATCCTTTGCACATTTTATGTTGACAGCTACAACTTTTTAATTGCAAAATATATTTTCACAGTATCTTGAGGAGATTGTGAATATTGATGTTTAAAAATAAAACTTATGGCTCTTTCTAATATATTCAGTAGAATATTTAACTATTTCATATCCATCATCATCAATTTTTAATAAATACCTGAACAAACTTCCCATTAAAAATCAGAAATCTTAAATCCTTTATTATTTTCTTTGAAGTGGAAATTTCTACCCTCACAGTTTTAGGGAAGGAGTTCATTAGCAAATTTAGCACCCAGAAATCAATTCCTTTAAAATACCTAGGTCTTAAACTGTTTGTGCTTCTAAAACTACCTATTCCTTGAAACTTTTAATATACTCCTGTTTGAAGAGGGTTACCTATTTTGAAGACCACTGATTAAGTCTAACATATTTTGTGTAATTTCTCAACACCATCCTTTTGTATTTGATATTTTCCTGCAAGGAGAGTGAAAATAAATGCTGTTTCATTTAGAATTTTTCCATTGCTTAGTACAAATATCTGTATATAAATGTAGGAACGGCTGGGCGCGGTGGCTCACACCTGTAATCCCAGCACTTTGGGAGGCCGAGGTGGGTGGATCGGGAGGTCAGGAGATTGAGACCACAGTGAAACCCCATCTCTACTAAAAATACAAAAAATTGGCCAGATGCGGTGGCAGGCGCCTGTAGTCCCAGCTGCTCGGGAGGCTGAGGCAGGAGAATGGCGTGAACCTGGGAGGTGGAGCTTGCAGTGAGCCGAGGTGGCGCCACTGCCCTCCAGCCTGGGCGACAGAGCGAGACTCCGTCTCAAAAAAAAAAAAAAAAAAAAAGCAGGAAGGTGGTAAATAAATGAATTGCTGATTGGTTGCATTCAGGCTCTGGGCTGGATGCTGGGTAGGTTAGTTTACATCTCATTATCCTAGTTATGTAAGAGAGTACTGTTGTCATCACTTTTCTAATCACAGTTTATCTTTACACAAAATTGTGTTATTTGTGAATTAGCTTCTATATGACTTTTCTTTTAACTGTAATAATTTTATTTTTTAAATTTTTATCTGTTTACAGTTTTTTTAAAAGTCCATTTAATCTCTCAGTCTTGTTTTTTTGTTTTTTTTTTTTAAATTTCAATAGGTTTTGGAGGAGCAAGTGTTGTTTGGTTACATGAATAAGTCCTTTAGTCGTGATTTCTGAGATTTTGGTTCACCCATCACCCTACCAGTGCACACTGTACCCAGTGTGCAATCTTTTATCCCTCACCCCTCTCCCACCCTTTCCCCTGAATCCTGAATGTCCATTGTATCATTCTTATGCTTTTGAGACATCATAGCTTAGTTCCCACGTATGAGTGAGAACATACGATGTTTGGTTTTCTATTCCTGAGTTACTTCACTTAGAATAATGGTCTCCAGTTCCATCCAGATTTCTGTAAATGCCAATATTTCATTCCTTTTTATGGCTGAGTAGTACTCCATGGTGTGTATATATACCACAATTTCTTTATCCAGTCATTGATTGATGGGCATTTCGGCTGATTCCATATTTTTGCAATTGCTAATTGTGCTGCTATAAATATGGGTGTGCAAGTATCTTATTCATATAATGACTTGTTTTCCTCTGGGTAGATACCCTATATTGGGATTGCTGGATTAAGTGGTAGTTCTACTCTTAGTTTTTTAAGGAATCTTCACACTGTTTTGCATAGTGGTTGTACTAGTTTACATTCCCAACAATGGTGTAAAAGCGTTCCCTTTTCATAACATCCACGACAACATCTATTATTTTTTGATCATGGCCATTCTTGCAGGAGCAAGGTGGTGTCGCATTGTGGTTTTGATTTGCCTTTCCCTGATAATTAGCGATGTTGACCATTTTTTTCATATGTTTGTTGGCCATTTGTATATCTCCTTTTGAAAATTGTCTATTCATGTCCTTAGCCAGTCTTTTGATGGGATTGTTTGTTCTTACTGATTTGTTTGAGTTCCTTGTAGTTTCTGGATATTTGTCCTTTGTCAGATGTGTAGATTGTGAAGATTTTCTCCCACTTTGTGGGTTGTCTGTTTACTCTGCTGGTGGTTTCTTTTGCTGTGTAGAAGCTTTTTCATTTAATTAACTCCCATCTATTTATCTTTGTTTTTGTTGCATTTGCTTTTGGGTTCTTGGTCATGAAGTCTTTCCCTAAGCCAATGTCTAGAAGGGCCTGAGAACCACACTCCCATCCCCCACCACGGCTGCAGCAAGCCAGGCCCAAAAAGAGTCTGAGCTCAGACATGCCTAACCCTGCCCCAACCTGATGGTCTTTCTCTACCTGCCCTGATAGCAAAGACAAAGGACATAAACACTTGGGAGCTCTAGGGCCCTACCCACCACCTGATCCTCCCTATACTACCACAGCTGATGCTTTCTTGAAAGCACCACCTCCTGGCTGGAAGCCAACCAACACAAAACTGGTGCAATAAAACTACAACTAAGGATGCTCACAGAGTCTATTTCACTCCCTGGCCACCTCCACTGGAGTGGGTGCTGGTATCCATGGCTGAGAGACCTGAAGACGGTTCACATCACAGGTCTCTGTGCAGAATGCCTCAGTCCCAGCCCAGAGCCCGGTAGCTCTGCTGGCTGTCTAGACCCAGAAGACAAATAACCATTACAGTTTGGCTCTCAGGAAGCCACATCCACAGTGGAAGGGGGAGAGCAGTACATCAAGGGAGCACCCCATGGGACAAAAGAATCTGAACAGCAGCCTTGAGCCCCAGATCTCTTTGACATAGCCTATCCAAATGAGAAGGAACCAGAAAAACAATTCTGGTAATATGACAAAACAAGGTTTTGTAATACCTCCAAAAGATCATACTAGCTCACCAGCAATGGATCCAAACCAAGAATAAATTTCTGAATTGCCAGAAAAAGAATTCAGAAGGTCAATTATTAAGCTAATCAAGGAGGCACCAGAGAAAGGTGAAGTTCAACTTAATGAAATCAAAAAAATTATATAAGATATGAAGGGAAAAATCTTCAGTGAAACAGATAGCACAAATAAACAATCACAACTTCTGGAATGAAGGACATGCTTAGAGAAATGTGAAATACACTGGAAAGTCTCAGCAATAGAATCGAACAAGCAGAAGAAAGAACTTCAGAACTCAGCTGGGCGCGGTGGCTCATGCCTGTAATCCCAGCACTTTGGGAGGCCCAGGCGGGCGGATCACGAGGTCAGATCAAGACCATCCTAGCTAACACGGTGAAACCCTGTCTCTACTAAAAAAAAAAATACAGAAAATTAGCCAGGCATGGTGACGGGCACCTGTAGTCCCAGCTACTCGGGAGACTGAGGCAGGAGAATGGCATGAACCCAGGAGGCGGAGTTCGCAGTGAGCCGAGATCACGCCACTGCACTCCAGCCTAGGCGACAGAGCGAGACTCTGTCTCAAAAAAAAAAAAAAACAAAAAACTTCAGAACTCGAACACAAGGTTTTTGAATTAACCCAATCCAACAAAGACAAAATAATTTTAAAAGAATTTTTAAAAATGAACAAAGCCTCCAAGAAGTTTGGCATTTTGTTAAATGACCTGAGACCTAAATGACCTCTCCTGTTTAAACCTAAGAATAATTGGTGTTCCTGAGAAAGAAGGGGAATCTAAAAGTTTGGAAAACATATTTGAGGGAATAATCGAGGAAAACATTTGCACCCTTGCTAGAGATCTAGACATCCAAATACAAGAAGCTCAACACCTGAGAAATTTATCACAAAAAGATCATGACCTAGGCACATAGTCATCAGGTTATCTAAAGTCGAGATGAAGGAAAGATTCTTAAGAGCTGTGAGGCAAAAGCACCAGGTAACCTATAAAGGAAAACCTATCAGATTAACAGCAGATTTCTCAGCAGAAGCCCTAAAAACCAGAAGGGATTGAGGCCCTACCTTTAGCTTCCTTAGCCAAAACAATTATCAGCCAAGAATTTTGTATCCAGCAAAACTAAGTAAGATCCATAAATGAAGGAAAGATAAAGTCTTTTTCAGACAAACAAATGCTAAGAGAATTTGCCTCTACCAAGCCAGCACTACAGGAACTGCTAAAAGGTCTAAATCTTGAAACAAATCCTTGAAATACACCAAAATAGAACCTCCTGAAAACATAAATCTCACAGGACCTACAAAACAAAAATAAATAAAAAGGTATTCAGGCAACAAATAGCACAATGAATAGAATAATACCTCATATCTCAGTACTAACATTGAATGTAAATGGCCTAAATGCTCCACTTAAAAGATACAGAATGGCAGAATGGATAAGAATTCACCAACCAAGTTTCTGCTGTCTTCAAGACACTCACCTAACACATAAGGACTCATGTAAACTTAAGCTAAAGCGGATATCTTTTTCTACAAAAGATATTCCATGCAAATGGACATCAAAAATAAGCAGAAATAGCTATTCTTATATCAGACAAATTTTAAAGCAACAGCAGAAAGACAAAGAGGGACATTATCTAATGATAAAAGGACTTGCCCAACAGGAAAATATCACAATTTTAAATATATATACACCTAACACTGGAGCTCCCAAATTTATAAAACAATTACTACTAGAACTAAGAAATGAGATAGCAACACAATAATAATGGGGGACTTCAGTACTCCACTAACTGTGATAATTTTATTTGAAAATTGTTACTACTATCACTAGAAAAAGAGGAAAGAATTAGGGGAAAAAAGGGATTTGAAAAGCTGTGGCAGAGTAGAAACATATTTTTCAAAGAAATCTTGGGAACTGAAGGGCCTTAGGACTGCTCATTTGGATTGTTAAAAGACAGGAAGTTGAACTATATGGAAAGGGGTTCTGGAGTGTATTTCTGGCATGAGCTCAACCTGGGCTGAACGGCACTATGGGGAGGGACTTTTGCATGATTTCTCCTCAACTTTCCCAATGAAGATAAATAAAATTTATGCAAACATTTTAAATATTTAAGTGTTTTAGAACCTGGCCTGTTCTTTGAGCATTTTGAATAAAGGACTAGATATGGGAAGGGAAGACTGCAATGCTTCTTAGTAAATTCTATTTATGAGCGATTTTGGGAAGTTTCTAGCAGGCAAGGAATAGTGTATCAGAATGAATGATATAGTACCTCATAGAAACAATTTAAAATGTGTAGAATGTCCTTGATATTTTTTTTCCTTTCTTGTTCTTAGCCTATTTTATTTTAACTGCTATAAAAATATTTTAAAGGTAAACATGGATTTGCTTTTAACTTTTATCCCATTAACCTATTTTTTTTTTTCCTCAGAGGTCTTAAGTTCCTTGATGGTAATTTTGCCAACCACAGGGATTTTCAAGACCTTTCTTATTTGAATTGGGATGTCTTAATTAAATTTAAATTTATCAGTTTAAATCTTGCTCTCCTGTTTGAAAACAATTAGATGTCTAAATGACCCTCTGTCTTACGTGTACTCTTTTTGATCAGTCATGTGTAATATTAACCTATTATAATGTTAACCTGCTGGAAGCTGTTACATGTATTGTCATGTTTGTTTATGTGGCATTTAGAATGCATTGCTACCATTAAATATTTACTCTTTATGGCATCCTATTGAATGAGAGAATAATTATTATCCTCATTTTGAGATAAGGCCATTAAGATACAATATTTAATGAACTTTAATTGCTAATGTAGTTAGAGGCATAGATAGTGAGTTCTAACCTTCCTCCTGAAGCATTCTGTGAAAACCCATAATGTAGTGAAACCCCAGTTATCCACATTGATGGGAGGAAGGAATGACACTGATGCGTAATTCAAAAGCCATACTTAGTTTTGTAACGTATCTTATACTTTTTTGAACATAGATGAATCTTTTATGGGAGTTACACTTTACATATATTGAAATCACATGTCAAAGACGAAGCTGAAGGACTCTGAAGATTAATGAGAAGCCTAGATTAGGCTAGTGTTACGTTGTGCCCTTGGGTAAGCTATGTATCCCTCTGGGTTGCAGAATTCTCTTGCATAAAATAAAAGGCAGGAGCTATTCTGACTTTAAAACTTCTTTTGGTCCAAATAGTCTTCTGCTCCTGAAGGGAAATACAAAGCATTTCAGGAAATTCATCTCCTTCATCACCTTCCGATTTTCTTCTCCATGCAGGGATGGCTGCTGTCTTGTTTTATATCAGCACACTTCAGTGGAGATCCTTCTGCATTTTTATTCCAACCCACAAATGAGGCATTATTAGAATGTTTTAAGGTATTATTTATGACATTACCTTATAGGTCTTTTGGTTCATTCTTTCATTGGGTCTCTTCTGCTCATTTTATAATTGTGGAATTATGCTGGCACATCTGTAGTAAATTCCATTTTGCTCTCTCATTAGCTTTTTGACTTTGGGCAAGTGTCGTAAGTCATTTCCCGAGGCAGCAGACTCCGAGGCAGATTTGTGTGCAGGGGTATTCTTAGGATCAATGTCTATCTTAAGGGGAGTGAAACAGGATTAGGCAGAGGGGGAAGTTGAATTGTGTTTTAGTTACATAGAAGGCCTCAGTTGATTTGGGGGAACTCTGGAGCTGGGATGACCCTTCAGACTTGTCCTGAATTAGGGATCAGGGCTCAACTTTAATATCCCCTTGTCAGTCAGTCATTGGATTGGAAAAGGGTTGGGAGGCCTAGGAAGGGGATGTAACTTTGGATAAGGCAGCTTTCCTTATCCTAGGGCAAAGCCCACAGAGGGATTCCACTGAGACTTGTCAGCCACAGACACAAGAACTTAGGGAAGTGGGGACTTCAGTCATGATGGGGAGGAGATGGGCAACCTTGCCAGCTTCCTCTGCAGCATGCTACTAAATTACGTGTGTCCCAGTTCTCTTTCTATTTTAACAAATGGAGAGAGGAAGAAACTGTCATTTATTTAACACCTTTTTAATTCCAACTCCATACATATCTCTTGTTACCCTGAAAGACATTTTTGTCCAACACTTAGCACAATATGAGGCATGTTAATAATAGCTGATCATTGACCATTTACTGTTTGCCAGACATTTTGCTGTATACTTGACGTGTATTATTTACTCTCTTAGTCCTATCAAATAAGTACCATTGCTATTCTCATTTATCAGATGAAGAAACTGAAGCTTTGCTTAGTACCACTGAATATATTTACTAAAGATTTCTAAAATTGGATTAAACTTTGTGCAGACAATAAATTGAGGGCATAGGTTAAATTTTTTAAAAAGATTACACTGCTAAAAAGTACGAAGCCTGGACTGAAACACCTGTGTTCTAACTCTAAAGCAGCATATTTTCACCATTCCACATATTTTTGTGTGTTATAAAGAAGATTCAGAACTGCTGCTACAGAGAAGAGAGGAGGGGATGCCAGCAAGTACCAGGTCACCTGTGAATACGGACATCTATTGAAGCTTTCATTTAGGAATGTGCTGTTGCTATGGATATGCATAGACATAAAAAATTCACATATCTGGGCTTTAGGAATGGCTTTCTCTTTGGTATGAGATACACTAGAGATAATTAATTTTTTCCCACAGTGAGTCTTTAGAAATACTACAATGCTGGCCAAGGTACATGATCTACCTGCCATTACATGGAAAAAGCCACATTTATGTGCATTTGTGGTTTTTGTTTTTGTTGCTGTTTTCCCTAGGAAAAGGATGCACAGATTCCATGAAGTTCTCAAAAGAAGGCCATTAAATAAAAATGGATAAGAACCACTGCAGGAGTTTGTTGAAATAATTGCTTACCTGTTATTATGACTTTTTAAAACAATATAGTTACAGATTAGTTCAGCCACAACACTGCACCACTAAATGGAAGCCTCAATTCTGCCTAAGGGATATTGCAATTCTATGAACTTGTATTTCAATTTTTATATTGTTCTGGTGCTGTTTGGTTTTTATTTTGTTGTAGTGTACTTTGTGAAAATGATCCCCCAAGTACTCCCTGTGCTTTTTAATCATGCATATTTTATTTAATGAATAGGTTAATATAGGTTGAGATTGATTTTATAATGAATTTATTTCCTAGATTTTAAGAGAAGAAAGTGAAGCCAAATTTCAAATGTTTTATTAGCAAGCTTACGACAATGCCACAGAATTGCAATTAATAACAAAACTAGTGGTAGTTGCAAGTTATGTTAAAAAGTAGCAACAATGACAAGCCATTTGCAAAGATAAGCAATAGCAAAAGAACAGATATTCTTACCATTCACAAATAGTTATCAGATTGTGTTGCTGAAATGCTGCTGTGGCCATAGAGATTGCATTTCTGTTTGATTTCCTTTGTGTTTCCAACCTGGCCATCCTGGCACTTGGAATGAATCTGGCCTTCCTATCTGGCTCCTTACTCTCTTCTCTGACTTGTTTGTTCTCAGTGCACTAACTCAGCGTCCCATGTTCCTTACCACCACCTCTCACTTGTATTTTTATCTTTGAAAATCATCCTGGTTGCAGATGCCACTGGACTTACATCACCATTACATCTGTGTTTAGACAGTGACTCTTCACTTAAGCTATGTACTCAAATCACTTGCAGAATGTTTTTAAAATGTGAGTATCTGAGCATTTAGGTAGTCTTCCTATTCAGAAAGCCAGGGGTGGGATTCAGGCATCTGTATTCTTTTTAAAACTTCATATGTAATTTTGATGTGTAGCCAGAGTAGAGAGACCCAGTAGAATCTAGAATCTTTTACAGTTATTTTAAATTGAGTATTTTATGGTAGCTGTAGTCATTAAACTACCTTAATGCACAAATTATACCTTTTCTTTACATTTTCAAATGGAAGAGATAACGGGAACTAATCAGAGTGAATACATGACATTTATACTACTTTCAGAACTAATTCTTTAGGTAGTTCAGCCTTTTTATTGTGATTTTGTTATTTGGGAACCAGAGCTTGGTTTCGAATCTTGGTATCACCACATCACAGCTGTGTGGCCTTGAATACTTTGTGGCTCGATTTCCTTAACTAAGACACAGGAATAGTATATAACAGTAGCTCCTACCTCACAGTTATTGTAAGGATTAAGTAAATCAATGCATGAAAAAAATGCCTGACATATAAGTACTTATAAATGTTAGTTTCTGTTGTTGTTGTTGTTAAATGTGTTTGTAGAAGAATAAGGAAAGGAAATAGCTCTTTAAAATCTGTATATAGTTTTTAATCTTCGTAAGAACCCTGTGAGGTAGATAGTATTATCACCATTTTGTATATAAGTGAACTGATATTCTTAAAAAATCAAGTAAATTCCTTAAAGTTATCTGTCCTATAAACACTCTGAATCCAGATGCATTTTTCCCCCAAAGCTCATGCTGTTCTTTTCTGTAACATATACTGATTTTCACTGTTTGTGGTAAAATACATTAGTTCTCAGAGGATTTGTGTAAAAATATACTTTTCTTTGGCCACATTATCATACACATTTTATATGTTTAAATATAACACTAAATATTTTTGTAATTATTTATGTTTGGATGAATTTCTGTATGTTTATTACCTTATTTCTCATTTCAACCACATCAGCATACTAAGTTCAGATTGGATGGAAGTTTTGGCTACTCATTTTGCTCTTACTTGTAAATAATATATGTTGTATAACAGCTTTATCATTTTTAACTGCGATCTGACACTTACATTATAGACCCTGCCTGTCTTGATGATGTAATCTCATCCTACTTCTCCAAAAATAACTTTAATTTGCAACCATTTTTTGTTAAGCCACTACACTAAGGACTTTGAATTTCTCTTCCAGAAAACAAGTAATTCACACAAAGCTATTTCTAAGGCCATTTCCATCTGAAATTATAGACCTCTATGAAATTAATGTGATGTATTATTTTAACTGTAGAGTGCTTGTATTTATTTTGCCACTTGAACTTGCCTATCTCACTTTAATTGTTCTATACCAGTTGTTCTGTCTGCTTTTATACATTCCAGTAGTCCATAGCTATGCTATGTGCTTGAAGCTGAGCATCTTTAAAGTATTTTTCTGCTGTCTGTCCTTTACATAACTCATTTTCCACACATGTTCAGCTTCATATACTTGTGTTATGTTGAATATAATTGTACTATAGGCCACAGATCAGCAAACCATAACTGTATGTCAAACGTGGCCCCATTCCCATTTTTTTTTGCAAATAAAGTTTTATTGGAACACAGCCATACCCATGTGTTTACGTATTATTAATGGTTGTTTCATGCTAAAACAGCAGAGTCAAGTAGTTGCTATAGAAATCGTATGGCCTGCAAAGCCAGAAATATTCACTGTCTGGCTTTTTACAAAAGGAAAAAGACAACAGAAAACTACCAATCCCTACTGTACATCATTTGAAAAGTCTGTTAATGGTCGTTTCTTGACATTTAATATGCAAAAGGGCTTTGAGGTGACTTTGATGAAGAAGATACTTCAGTAGTTAAATATAACATCCGTGGTAGTAACATTTAGATAGTTTTAGTTTAGTTTAGATGAGATTACATCATCAAGACAGGGTCTGTAATGCAAGTAGAGATCACAGTTAAAAATTATAAAGCTGTTATACAACATACAATATTTATAAGTAAAAGCAAAATGAGAACTGTACCCTTATAGGAATTTAAGTAGTATGAAGGCTTTATAATAATTTTTTGGTCTAGAATGTGATGCAGCATGGTACAAGACTCTTTCTGCCAGCCACCTAAAGTATATACTGGTTACTTTGATTCAATTTTTCATTTTAGTTCAGTTTTTTTGATTCTTTGTCACTAGATTGCCTTTGTAGCCAATTTAATAACGGGTCACATTGTTTGCTGGTGACTTTTTTTTTTTCTGCATTAGGACATTGTGGTTCCTAATTTTTAAATAAACTTGGCCTGTAGTTTTCTGACAGTCCTGCAGAGTGATGGCTTCATATTTGTATGTCTTAATATATAAGTGCATCAGGATCTCTGTAATTAAAGTATTGAAGTTTCTATAAGTTCAAACAATTTTTTATCAAGAAAGGACCATGAACATCTAGTGTTAATCCCTCTAAGAACTGCAGAGCTTTTGATGGTTCTCTTAAAAAGCCTTTCAGTAAGAGGTATATAGAAACATTTTGTGAACTTGTTTGTAGACCACCTGCCATGTCCTTAGAAAACACAATTTTTAAGACTTTGTTGAATGGTAGGGAGTCCAAGTCTATTTTGTTTCTTTGCCCTTTAGCCTGTGTGTCAAACGGTAGGTGCTCATGGACTTCTTGTTGCTACCCAATTCAACTGGACACTGCCAGACCCAAGTCCACTAGAGGACTCGAATGTTTGTGTGAAATCAATAAATGTATGGCTCTTTCCTTATACCTTTGGTTTTTAAATTATATTCTTCAAAACCCTGGGGTTAGATGGAGATGGCTCAGTGGCTACCTAGGCCCTTCGCACTACTTCAAGAACAGCAGAACTGATTTGTGCATGTGTGTTTTAGAAGTTGGTGTTTGACATCACATTGTATCTGCAAAAATAGGGGTAGATTCCTAAAAAATTGACAAAACTTTGAAAACTAGATGTTATATAGCCTTCAAAAACTCAATAATAGTCAAAATTCTTGGTTTTCCCATCTAAACCTATTCTACTTGTGGCCTTCCCTGTCTCAGTTGATGCTTATTCATTTTTTCCAGTTTCTTAGGTTCATCCCTAATTCCTCTTTTTCTCTGACATAACACATCTAATCTATCAAGTATATCTTATTGGGTCTACTTGAAAATATATCCCAAAGTCAGCTATTTCTCACCACCTTTCCTGTTAGCATCAGGGTTGCCTACCTTCATTCTTACCCGGGTTCCTGCGAAGGCTTCCTGCCTCACCGTTTTTCCCTTCCAGCATAGCAGTCGTGGTAGTGATTCTTTAAGAACCTAATGTGGATCACATCCATGTTTGGCTCAAAATTCTGCAAGGGTCTAAAAGCCAGAGTCCTCCCCATGCCCTGAAAAGCACTATGTGAACTCAGTTTTCTCCTACTTTTCACCTTGCTTACTCCAGTGCCCTGGCTGCTTCTCAGGCATACTAGTCACTCCTTCTGCTGGGACACTCTTTCCCCCAGATACCTGCTTGGTTAACTCCTTCACTTCTTTCAAGCAGTTGCTCAATTTTCAACTTCTCAATGAGACCTATCCAGATCACTCTATTTAATCCTGCAAACTGCTGCCTTTCCTCCCCCATATCCAGTCCCTTGTATATTGTTCTATACTTTCTTTTTTAAAGTATTTGTTGCCTTCCAACATCCTATATATAATTTACCTATTTACAGTAGTTATTCTACCAAGTCATGAATCTTTGTCTATTTTGTTGAGCAACGACTGAAGTAATGAGTGAAAACTAAAGTGCTTATACATAAAGCAGCCCTTGTAGTATCTTACATTTTAACTGAAACTTTCTCTTTGATTATGTAACTGCTGAGATTAGTTTGCTAATCTTTTTGAAAGTGTATTGTCTGTTAACTGGACACTCATGGTATGATATATTGTCCAATATAAAAAGTATACAAGTAGTCAAAGGAAAAAATATATGATTATTTCAACAGAAGTAAAAAATAAAAAAGACATTTTTAAAATTCAGTATCTTTTCCACATAAGGACTCTTAATAAACAATGAGTAGAATAACTTTCATTAGCATGATACAGAATATTAAGCTGAAACTAAAAGCTACGTCATCCTTAGTCGGTTCACATTAGATATATTCTAACAAGTAGCATGTTAATGGTATTATTTAGCATGGACATTTTAGCAAATGTAGCAAAATAAGAGTTATAAATATTGAACAGCTTGTAATTGTATATTTGGAAAACCAAGGATATCCATATGTCAATCAGCAAGATAAATAATCAAAAATGAGTAACTTCTGTCTACTAGTGAACAAAGTAGAAAATGTAAAAAATCATCATTTTTTGAAAGACCCTTCTAACTAGTAAGACCATAAAAACCGGGAAGTAAAATACAACAAAAAAAAATTTTTAAAGGCTACAGGTAGGCATTTTGTCATAGGAGGAATGCAGATGACAATACAATTTCAACTTACCCAATTACCAAAAGCATTAGGGGATAGGAAAAATTTGCTAGATACACTTGGATTTTTTTAAAAATTTTTTTTACAGTGAATAGATATTTGTGTGGTTAAAATAAATTAAAATGATGCTCAAATTTAATAGTAAAAAAAAAACTCAACAATTATGGCTACGAAATGAAATTGCATAGCTAAGAATACACTTAAGAAATACATTTTCCTGTTGTGATTATTACACATTGTATGACTGTATCAAAACATCACATGTACCCCTAAATATGTATATCTACCATGTACCCATAAAAATTAAAAATTAAAAATGAAGAGAAAAAAAGAATTACAGAATATACTACCGAGGGAACTAAAATAATATTTGAGTAAATGGTTTGCATTTCTTGGATGGGTGATTCCATATGGCAAATATCTCAGTTGCTCTCAAATTAATATACACATTGTACACAATCACAATCAAAATCTCATCATTCTTATAATAACTAGGCCAAATTATTCTAAAATGAATATACCAGAGATAAATGGAATATATGATTTATTTTGTTTTATTCAATAAACACATGTAGTGCTGACAATATACTGGTTACTATTTTGGGCACTTTATAAATATTAACTCATATAATCCTCATTGTAACCTTTGAGGTAGATAATAGTAAATCAACTAGACAATATTATAAAATATAAAATACCAAAGCATTAACCTAACAAAAAATATGTAAGACTTATAGAAAAAAATTTAAAATCTTACTGAAAGAGATTTTGAAACACCTAGAGAGATATACATTTTTTGTGACTAGGAGTACTGAATATTATAAAGATGTCAATTTTCATAAACTTATTGATAGATTAATACCATTCCAAACTAAACACCAGTTGAATATTTGTCATCGTTTTTGTTATTGAACTTGGCATGCTGATTCTGAAATTTATATGAGAGAGCAATAGACTAAGAAAAGCCATGACACTCCTAAAGAAGATAAACAAGGTGGAGGGATTTCCCTTACCTTATGTCAAAAGCTGTTCTAAATTTATTGTAATTATTACATTGTTACCTTGGTGCAGGAGAGACCAGCAGACTCACAGAACAAAATAGGCAGCATAGAAATCATTCATACATGCATAGGAATTTGATTTTATATAGACCTAGCATTGTAGATCAGTGAAATAAAAGATTGCATTTTTAAATAAATGGTATATATACTATTAGCTAACCACAAGAAAAAATAATGAAATTGGATCACCTAATGCCTGTCATTACCAAAAATCAATTCCATGTGGATTTACAGACAAAACCTTTCAAAAATTTTGAAAGATGATATAGGAAAATATGACCTTGGAATGGGGAAAGATTTCATAAATAGGTGACAGAATGCCAAACCAAGCCACTAAGAAGACTGACAAATTCAAGTACATTAAACTTACAAACTTTTCTTCATCAAAAATACTTGAAAGAAAGTGAAAAATAAAGGTACAAAGAGAAACAAAAAGTGATTGTAACATAGGTCACTGACAAGAGATGGTTAAATATCTTTATATTTAAAAAATAAGAAAAAGAGAAATCCGTAGCAGAAAATGGATAAAGGTTGAAAAAGTATTTCTCAGAAAGGAAACAAGGATGGCCAGTACACTTATGAAAAGATGCTAAGCCCTATTGTCAAGGAAATGCAAATTAAAAGCACAATGTACTATAATATTTTACCTTCCAGACTGAAAACCTAAAGTCCAACATTATCAAGTTTTGTGGAGGACTTGGAACAACCAGAACTCTTTTATACTTATTATAAGAATGTAAATTGGTTTAGTCTCTTTGGAAAACAATTGAGTATATTATCTTGTGAGTCCACCCTTTTCTATATTTAGAGAAACCTTTTCACATGTAACCCAGGAAACATGTACAAGCATGTTCATAGCAAACAGTTTGAAATAACAAAAATTGGAATCAGCGCATGTGCATTAAGTATTGGACAAATATACTGAGCAAAAAAAGAATGGAAAAAGAATGAACTTTTATGAAGTTCAAAACCATGTAAAATGAAATAATTTATTATTAGGGATACAAACGTATGTAGTAAGAAAAATGAAAGCTAGGGAATGAAACCACACAACTCAGAACAATGATTACTCTAAAGGGTGCTAAGAAAGGGGGTGAATTCAGGTAGAACTACCCAAGGGGCTTCATAAATATTGTAAGACATTGATATTTTTTATGTTGTCACATAAAAATTATGCATCTTTACCTTTGTATTGTTGAGCCAAATAAAAGAAGGGCATAAAAATGTGTACACTTTGATTCAGTCTTGTAGTAAATATTATGATTCAAGTATCTAAAATAGCAGTGACCAAGATTATAAAAATGTTTCTCTCAGTTACAATTAAGGAAAAAGAAAAGGGTAGAATGAATCTCGAAATATAATTATGACCTCATAGTTTAGTATGCATGCATACAGATATAGAAATAAATATAAATACTTTTTTATACCTTGATTGGTGTGGAGACGTATATTTCCTACCTCTGGCCACTGAGAGGGTCCAGGAGCAATGACACTCCAGTAGCAAAGTCCATACCTATAGCAAAGATGTTGGTTTTGAAATACCATTATCTAATAAAAGGAACTAGGACTCCTTGGAGAAGCAGTTGATTTTAGGGCTTAGAACATCTGTCTGTGATGTCAAAAAATAAGGGCTTAAAAAGGATAGGGGCACGTCAAAAGGACATGGGACCAACCTGAAGGTGCTTCTAATAGCCAAAACTGGAACAATTTAGGCAACAAAATATGATATATTTTATGGAATTATAATCTATAGAATAAAATACCCATGAAGCCATACTATTAGAATAAATAAATAAATGAAGGATAAGGGACAGCTCTTACAGAAGGATTCTGGTTAATAAATATAGCAAGAATCAGGGAAATCTTTATTAGGCGAAGATCACAGAAGTAATTGTTGCAGACAAGATTCAGGGGTGGATGTTAAAATCAGTATATTTAACACAGCCTTCAAGTTTTTCCTCCCAAGATATGTATCAGTTGCAAAGGGAAAGTTGATTTCTCCACTGTAATTCGTTAGCTTAAACAAATGATGAAGGGTAGCGTTGTCAGTAATAAAACATTTCAACGTCAGATTTTCCTTGGAATGATACACTTGCAAGGACATATCTGTGATATTCTAGTCAAAGGGCATACCTTTAATCTAATCTTGAGAAAACATCCCAACTGAGAGACATTCCACAAAATGAACCATTATTCACCAAAAATGTCAGAGTCTTGGAAGAGAAGATGAACCATGTCAGGAACTGTCACAGATTGAAGAAGACTAAAGAGACATGACAACTAAATACAGTGTGGGATCTAGAAGTGGATGTGGGAACCAAAAAGGGCGCTGGTGAAGCTTAAACCAGGTCTGTAGGCTAGTGAGTAGGATTCTACCAATACTAATTTTGATAATCATACAATGGTTATGTAAGTTGACCTTAGAAGAATCTGAGTGAAGAATTCTGTGAAATCTCTGTATTTATGCAAGTTTTCTGGAAGCCAAAAATTATTTCAAAATAGTTCTTAAAAAGCGGTTCTTCCTAGGTAGCAGAATAAAGATAGATTTATATTTTATAGTAGTATAAGTAATACTATATTTCAAAGTAGCTGATTATGTTAAGAATTAAGAATAGCAATTTAATGTTTCTATTCCTTCCCCAATATTTCTCCCTTTCCAGTTTTCGAGGGTGCTATACAACCCATGGGTAGAAAGTTTGGTACAGTTTTATTTATAGATTTAAAAATAGAAGCATAATAATTAGAGATTTTTAGCATATATCATTGTGTTATTAGGTAGGTCTTGGAATAGAGAGTATATTTTTCACATTCAACTTTATCCATGTCCATTAAGCCATGATGCTTCTTACCTCTAATTCATTATTTTAAATAGGTATATTTTTCCCCACTATATTACATGAAATAAAGTTGAAACAAAATATTAGAGTAAGTCATATTCTGAATTTTGTTTGTTGCTAGTCATAGGAGAAAAAAAGAAAAATCTTCCATGCTGTCCTCAAAGTTTTAAAAATTCTTATATTAAAGACACAATAATGTGTTTCTAAGGTATTGCCTAAATTCCTGAAAATTTTAAGGCATCTTTTGTTTTACCTTTTCAGAGTGTTTTTCTTCTGCACATGCCCATTGCAATTAATTGGTATTTTCCTTGAGCCCACACTAAGGAAAGCTACCCATGGGAATTAGATCCCAGTACAACATACTTTTCATTTGTTACCTTTAGTTTTGTATTTTATTGTTTTAAAAAAAAATCATTCTAGACTGTACAAGCCTGAAACTAATCTTGACTATATCTAATGTGTAAGAAATAAATGCTTTTTGTGTTAACGATTTCTGATCATCATATAAGCTTTAAGAATAAAGGAGTTTTATATTTCCATTGACAAAGTGCTGACACATTGATAAACAAGTAACTTTAGAAATAATCCCTAAGAATTCAATATGTGCTTTAAAGTTTTGCATTATTTATGTGTGCCTAGGTGATGACTGTCTGATTTATGCTCCAAACCTGTAGATTTTCTCCTTTAAGCAAATAAGAGTACATCATGATTAATAAGTGATCTCTGAATTAAGCTCACTGGACACATATATATATGTGTGTGTGTGTGTGTGTATATATATATATATATATATATATATAAAATTGTTAATGGCATTTTGATTTAGGCATTTTAGTAAATTTTCACTGTTATCAGAAATTTTATCTTGTCATCTATAGAGTAGACGGGCTGGACACTTTGGAGAACTTTTATAGTAACTGAATTGTACTACTTCATGATTTTGTAAAGAAAAGAGAAGGTAGAATTTTCTAGAATACTATTAAAGCTATGTAGTAGTCTCCAAGCCAGAGAAGTAAAAGCGGTTACTTTAGGTAGTGTAAAGTTGGTTCCCATTCATTCTTGAAGGGAGATGGAGAGGAAGGGAGGTAAATCAGTCAGGAAATAGAAACCACATCAGTTACCTAAACAGTGGAAGTTTAATACAAAGAGCTTCTCACTAGCAGAAAATGATTAACTACTAAAAGAGGTAAAAAGAGACTCAGGGGTCCAGAGATACTATGTGCAAAATATCAGCTACTACCTCGTCTAGGGTGCGGAAGAGTGGATAGTAAAGTGACTCAGGACTGGGAGAGGCCCTCCTCCAAGGCTAAGATTAGACTTCTTTAAAGAGTCAGTGATTCCTAGGGGAACATCGGGCTTGTAGATAATGAAATTTGCCAAAGTGGCCTACCGCTGCCTGTGAGTGGAGGCAGCTTGTTGCTAATCTGGAAGTTTCTTCAGGGATGGGGGCTAGAGCTGATGGGCTGGTCCAAGCTGGTCTATAGACACAGCCTGCCATTTTCCAAGGGTTAGGCCATCCACAGCAGCTTGGGGAGGGAAGTGTTTTTCCCCTTGCCGGATCTCTCCATTGACCTCTATCAATGAAGCTTAACATTCTGCCAGCTGGCAAAGGACATGTTTCCAGAGTCCAGCTCCAGTATTGCAAAGCAGTAGGTAAACAATGAATTTAGAGCTGAGATACTATACATTGCTAACTGTTCTAGAAGGAATAATTTACTGTTATAATTCTAAATACAGTCTCATAAATCAAAACTTTCACATCACTAAAATTTTATTATCTGCTTGGTTCTTTATAATGCTAATCATGGGCTAGGCATGATGGCTCATGCCTGTAATCCCAGCACTTGGGGAGGCTAAGGCCGAAGGATTGCTTGAGGCCAGGAGTTTAACACCAGTGTGGGCATAGCAAGACCGTGTCTTTGAAAATTTTTAAAAATAATAATGCTAATTATATTCTCTATAAATAGTTATTATAATGTCATTGTCTTAAGTTTTGAAAGGACAATCCAGAAATTGTTCTCTATTTTGTTGCTTTCTGGGAAGTACTCTTATCATAGCTGGGTAGATCTCTAGGCAGTATAGTCATGGGGTAGGTTTGAAAACCAGGCCATGCCTCAAAAAATGAATTCTACCTCTGTAGAGTAAGCACAACTAACTCCATTTTGCATTTACAGATAAATAAATGATGGTTGGCAACTGTTGTCCCCAAATTTGCATTTCAATGGCCTAGTAATGTCCCATCGCTTACCTAGTACTTCACAAGGATGTTAGTGATAAGGAATAATTAATGATCTGTTAACAAGATCACATCTTTGATTATAATGTACAATAGATGTACAAATTCTATATTTAACTTTTATTTGCCTTTTAATTGCTATGGATTTCTGAGCCTGCTACTAGGTGCTTTATCAGACTGAAGAAATGGTCCCTATAATCTCTTATCCTCAGTCCCAGTGGTCATTACAATGTATTTTCTCCAAAATAGAAAAGGCAACCTAGTTGCATTGTATGTTGTAAAATGTTGGAGTGCCATCCATTTTAGCTGCGGTTGTCAGTTCACTGGGACAGCATTCTGGGAGTAAAGAAAGAATAAAAATGGCAAGCAGAGGATTTACTAGTGTCTTTGTGTTCATGGTTTGAAGGGCGAATACTACTATTGGCAAGTGGAGAATTCTTCAGACTTTTAAGTGCTACAGAAGAGTTTCAGGCTTGTTAAGCTCAAGCTCATTTAAAATTCTACTTTGTCTGACTGACCATCACATCACAAAGCAGTCTGCTCAGAATGTCACCAGTGTCAGTTCTGTGACCTCCGGAACTGCATATAGCAGTTGGCTTGAGTTGAACAGGCCACTCTGCTTCTGGGAAGAGAAGAGTTCTGGGCAATAACACAAGTCCTAAAATATTGATGTGGCTACTTCTAAAGTATAGCAATATTACATAGTTATATGCAGTGTGTCATTCAAGCTGTTTTCATTGCCCAGAAATCATAGTGCTGAGCCTATCTTTTGTCAATCAAGTTAATTTTGGTAACTACAAAGTAGAGTTTGCCTTTGTGGACATTTATATAGGGACATGTATATATAATTATATAATGTGCTTATTTAAAAGCTATATTTTTTAAATGCTAGACAAAGATTGAAATGTTATTGTCTTATTTAGTACCTCCCTTAAATCATGTACAGACAGACATCCAGGTAAACACAGATGGAAACTCTGTGATTTTTCTGTCTGAATGCCTGTGTTGCAGGTGTAGTGGTATTAAGGACTATTGTATCAAATATTAACTTGTGTCATATGAAATTGCCATTTTTGAGGGTCAAAGATGGTCAAATATTGGCTATTTCACATGGCTCATCCTAATAGTAAATTTTCAACTGTGCTAGGATTTGGAAGTGCACCAGCTTTTTAAAGCAAATTATATAAACCAGAGCTCAAATTAACAACTGGACAAAAGACAGACAAGTATGATGTTAAGGGAAGTAAAAGGTAATGAGTGACTTATGACTCAGTCTTTTACTGCAGCAGCATAAGGAAGGTGTGACTCTCATCACTGTATCGATAGAAAGTGTTTTGGTTAACAGATTTTTTCATTCTCTCAAAAATGCGTTTTATGTCTAGGAATGTGTGAATTTTTGCAGGTTCTTTCAAACTTGCTTACGTGGTTGCCCTCCTGACACACCACCCAGTAGGTTCTTATTTCAGAACCTTTCTGAAATAAATATTGGCCTTTCTGACTTAAATATCAAGGTGATTGCCCGTTGGCAGCATTGTGTATTAATGCCTTGGGTGGTAGTTACTTGCTTTTGTTTTATACTTAATAGCAACCTTGCCTAAAAACATACTAGAGAGTACCTCATCAACCGTTGAGGTTTTGCATCTTTTATTGGTCTGCCTTTATTTTCTGATATTTTCTAAAGATGGTGTTTCACTGAGGTCTTTTAATTCCATGAATGAAGTTGTAATTAGTTCGGTATTATTTTTAATAATCTTCATTCTGGTGGTAAAATTCACTTGTTGTTTTGAGAGTTGAGCTGTGGATAGTAAGTATCCATTAATAAAACAGTAGCCAATTGGTATATTTGTTTTTCATTTTATTTTTATTATTTATTTATTTATTTATTTACTTTGAGAAGGAGTCTTGCCCTGTCACCCAGGCTGGAATGCAGTGACGTGATCTCGACTCACTGCAGCCTCCGCCACCTGGGTTCAAGTGATTCTTCTGCCTCAGCCTCCCGAGTAGCTGGGATTACAGGCATGTGCCACCATGCCTGGCTAATTTTTGTATTTTTAGTAGAGACAGGGTTTCACCATGTTGGCCAGGCTGGTCTTGAACTCCTGACCTCAAGTGATGCGCACTCCTCGGCCTCCCAAAGTGCTGGGATTACAGATGTGAGCCACCACACCCAGCCATTTTTCCATTTTCAATGGAAGTTGGATTTGGTGTTCTGTCAGATTCAAGAAAATTACTATGGACCACAAGTAGATTCCTTGCCATCTCACTGGTGATAAGCAATCATTTTGTTCTGTTATCCAGAAATGAAGTTATTTTAAAAATTTGGTTGTGACCTCGTTTGATTCCACCTTCCATGGTTCAAAATCTAGCTAAATTACAATGTGCTATTCAGAGAATTTTTTATTTCCTGACTCACAGCTTAACCTTTAAAGTGCGGTTAATGCAGTGTTTAGTTAATGCATTGTTTAAAGTTGATGGATTGATAAATTTGCAGAACTCTTTTATCTTAAATATGAGAATGCTCAAAATAATTTTTTTTTTTTTGAGATGGAGTCTTTCTCAGTTGCCCAGGATGGAGTGCAGTGGCGCGATCTCAGCTCACTGCAACCTCTGCCTCCTGGGTTCGAGTGATTCTCCTGCCTCAGCCTCCCGAGTAGCTGGGATTACAGGCACCTGCCACTATGCCCAGCTAATTTTTGTATTTTTAATAGAGACGAGGTTTCACCATGTTAGCCAGGCTGGTCTCTAACTCCTGACCTCAGGTGATCCGCCTGTCTCATCCTCCCAAAGTGCTGGGATTACAGGTGTGAGCTACTGTGCCTGGCCTCATAATAATTTTTAATGCAGTGTATTTTTCAAAACCTCAGCTATTAGTATAGTTTTTAATTAGAAGTGTTCTGCATTTAAGCTTAATTACCTCTAAACTTGCTAACAATAATAGCCTAACTTTTGGGGCAACAATATGTTTTTTGTAGCCTTTTGATTTCAAGATACTCATGATTTTTTATGTGACATTATTAGGTTTTTACAATTATTGCCCCTGTGCAGAGTGGAGAGTGGCAGCCATTCCTGCTTTCCACATGTGGAAACCAAGATAAAGAATGCACTTTCTTCCTGACAGAAAGAAAGAATCCATGTGCAGAGTCTTTTGCTCTTATTTAGGATTATTAAGTGACTATGTGTAAGCTCATGTTTGAATACATTATCTTGCTTAGGAAACTCACCTTCAATTAACCCTTTTTTTTGAGCTTCTTCCCTGAAAATGCCAGAATCTTTGTGGTGTGGTCATCTCCAGATGAACTAGAGAACATTAACAAATTGTTATATAAAACAGTGAGAGAACCATGGAAGGAATGACGCAGCTACTTATTAGGGCAAATGTTCTCCAGGCAAAAAATTGACCCGAAGCCGTTACAAACATAAGAAGAAAGTAGATAGATAGTCTCACAGATTGAAAGGTAAGTGTGGCTTAGAGAGTATGAAAAAGGTAGGACTTTGGTGAAGACAATTAAACCTAAAATTTAAGGAGTATCTTACCTGAAACAATAAGGAACTTGTAGACTGTATTATTTCCCTTTATGATTATAGACAATTTCTGTTTGTTTATTTTGTTTTATTCTGTTTTGAGATAGTCTTGCTCTGTCATCCAGTTTAGAGTGCAGTGGCACCATCTTGGCTCACCCCAACCTCCACCTCCTGGGTTCAAGAGATTCTCATGCCTCAGCCTCCCGAGTAGCTGGGACTACAGTTTTGCACCACCACACCCAGCTAGTTTCTGTATTTTTAGTAGAGACGGGGTTTCTCCATGTTGGCCAGGCTGGTCTTGAGCTCCTGGCCTCAAGTGATCTGCCCACCTCAGCCTCCCAAAGTGCTGGGATTACAGGCATGAGCCACTGTGCCTGGTGTGATTATAGACAATTTTCAGAAGATATTGATAAGGATTTCTGCTTAGCTTCTGACTACTTTTATTCTAGAGGATTAAGAGTTACAAATGTACCCTGAGAACTTACAATTCAAGGAAAATCTTTTATATTTAGTAGCAGTAACTACATGAAATTTTATTTATATTTATTATGAAACTATATATATATATATATATCATATGAAATTATACAGGTGCTAAAAGAAATGTAATTTAATGTGAAAACACCTCCACTTACAGTGACTGAGAATCCAGGAGCGATTTATCTATTTATATTTCTTTCAAATATTATAAGCAAAATAAAAAGACAATACTAACTGTAGTGGATTGAAATAGGAACCTATCAAATTTACTTTGATTCATTGAAGAGTTCAAAGTGGTACTCGGGGAAAAAAAATCACATAAACCTCAGTGTCATTTTTGAATGATGCTAGGGAATTAACTTATTTTGAAAATTAGTACATTTTATACACATGTACCTCAGCATAATCAAATGGTTGATGAAAGGAAATTCTTCTTTATAACAATATTGTAGCCAATAAATGAAGAAGGAATGATGGAATATAATCATTTTGCCACCCCTAATGTATTAATGGACCTGGGCAATCACTCCTAATATCACCGTAAGAGAGAGCCAGGCATTGTACGCTTCTGATGGAAGTACATAGCAGATCTAAGAAATCGTTAAAAATTCAAACTGAATCTGTTCAACCAGTTTATAGGAACTACAAAGGCTAGAAAACACTTTAAATATTGTCATAGGAATATACTCAGCAGGATCCAGATTTGAGGAGACTCTATGGGATAAAAGAACTGATTTCTTCAAGAAAAGGGGTAGGGGCAAACTGTAGATTAAGCGATTTAGGAGACATTTGAATTATGATTGGAAGAGACAGATGTAAATAAGTGAAGGAAAGAAAAAAGGCATGAAAGAGACAAGAGAGGGCATTAAAGAGGGGGAAGCAAATGAGAGTGTGGATGAAACAAGATTAGCCACTGGTTCAAAGTTGTTGAAGCTGGATGATGGGTACAGCAAGGCTTATATGCTTCTTTTTTCTTTTTCTTTCTTTCTTTCCTTCTTTTTTTTTTTTTTTTGAGATGGAATTTCACTCTTGTTGCCCAGGCTGGAATGCAATGGCATGATCTTGGCTCACAGCAACCTCCACCTGCCAGCTTCAAGTGATTCTTCTGCCTCAGCCTCCTGAGTAGCTGGGATTACAGACATGTGCCACCACAGCCAGCTAATTTGTATTTCTAGTAGAGACAGGATTTCACCATGTTGGCCAGGCTGGTCTTGAACTCCTGACCTCAGGTGATCCACCCACCTTGGCCTCCCAAAGTGCTGGGATTACAGGCATGAGCCACCATGCCCAGTCTACACTTCTTTCTACTTTTGCTTATCTTTGCATTTTGCATAATGAAAAAGTCTAAGATTGGCACTGGCTGTCACACAGAATAGTGAACTTCATGCCACTGGACTGTGTTCTGCATCTCTAGGTCTGCAGTGGAGCTAAGAATTTGTGTTTTCATTAAGCTCATCAGGTGATTCTCAATACCAACCAGGGTTAGAACCCTCTGGGCCGGATTATCTGTTAAGATTCTTTTTCACTCAGCTTTCCAAGTCTGTGTGTTTTTTAATGGTATAAAGATGTGCTACAGAGATTCAAGAACAAAATAGCTGGGGTGACCATCTGTTTCCTTTATTTTGGTAAAAAAAGTAAAACTGAACTGAGACCTTGAAAAATGCTTAAAATATGGACGGTGAAGTGTGAATCAATTCTTTCATTCCACAAATATTTTTTAGTGCTTCCTCAATGCCAGAGAGTATGTTAAGCATTGGGGTATGGTTGTGATCAAAAATGGTTAAAATGACAACAGTTATAATGACAATAACTTTGAACCTCACTTCTTATGGATGCCTTCTATTACCATGGAGGGAATGCCGGTTTTTGAGACAGGAGCTTTGGATTCTGGACGTGCCGTGACGCTTGGCTCTTTAGTGTGGAGTAAACCATAATAACCTCTTTGAGGTTTGATTTTCTGATCTGCCTAATAAGATTGTACCCTTCTAGCTCTTGGCTTTTGTAAAATAGGCATGAAGATATTTTGTTGTAATCTTTAGCTATTCTCTTAGTCTACTTGGGCTGCTATAACAAAATACTTTAGGCTCGGTAATTTATTAAAAAACAGAAATGTATTGCTCGGCAGTTCTGAAGGCTAGGAAGTCCAAGGTAAAGACTCTAGTGGATTCAGTATCTGGTGAGGGCCTGTTCCTCATGGATGGTGCCTTCTTCCTGAGAGTCCTCACTTGGTAGAAAGGGTGAACAAACTCCCTCAGGCTTCTTTTGTAAAGGCACTAATCTCATTAGTGCCCAGGACCCCCACCTCGTAATACCATCACCTTGGGGGTTACATTTCAACATATGATTTTGGGAGGCTACAAACATGCAGAACAGCAGCTGTATATGCGGATGTGGTAGGTGGGACCGAATGGCTTTTTGGCACTATCGATAACCATAACATCTGTTTGTCATTGAGGGTGGGAGTGTATTCTCTTTTCTTCTGCCTCTATAATATAGTTCTATAAACATGCATTTAAGCTTGTATAGTTAGATTCTCTCCATAAGCTGAAACTGGTCTGATTTTAAGCTCATTTACTGTCTTAGAACAGAATTGATCTTGCTTTCACATTTGATTCACCCTCCACAGACTTCGAGAGGAAGAAAAATAGCATTGCTAGTTCAGTTTAACTAGGCCAGAGTTAACAGGGCAAAGGCTGGGAAACCAGTTTTTGGAATATTGGTTTGCCTTTCTCTGACTTATTTTTATGTGCTAATACATGTTGATCATTCAAATTAATTTCTGCCATCCTTGGGAAACTCTGCCAATCAAGCTTTTCACTTTTCATACATGTTAAAATGATTCAGCACTTCTTTGATTACGAACCCAGTTTATAGTTGCTGGGATCATCTGGAGAAAACAATATGGTGTATTTCATTTGCAATATTAAACATAAAACTCCTTTGCAGATAGCATCCTAAGTGTGGAATATGACATACATTATTACTTTCAAACAAGTATTGTATATAATATAATGGTCAGACAGAGGCTGTCAAGTCAGGTCAACCTTATTTTGGCAATTCAAACAGTATAATCTAGAATAAGTTATTTAGGTTTTGGAGAAGTAATTTTTCTCATATTCAAAATTGAAACTACTATCATCTCCCTCACAAGTCTGTTTTCAGAAATGAGTGAAATACTACATGTAAACACCCAGCACAGGACCTACCAGGTGGACTGCCACCTACCAGTCAGTCAGCAAATAAAATTTCCCTGTTTCCCTCTTTCCTTCCCATCATTCAATCATTGCACTGTTTTTTCTTAGTTTGATAACATGCTTTATAGTATTTTTAAAGGATCGGAGTCCAATAAGTTTTCCTTTGTAAAAAATAGTCAATTTTCAAGTCTAAGTATAATTTCCAGATAAATATCTGTGATTGAAGAAAGTAACTAAGGAACCGTTTATCTGTACATATGTACAGGAGTATGGAGGGAGAGGCATATAATATATCAAGAGTCTACCCTGTGTTATTTTTACTCCTATCTGTTCAAGAATAGGTCTTACCTCTGTCTCATTTTATCTCATTGAATGAGGAAACTTATACCCAGTTTGTTACCCAAGATCAAACAGTTACCAAATATTAAGCTTGGGATTAGAATCCAGGTCTTACTTAATAGCTCTCTCCTACCATCCATAGATTTTTAGTCACTGGAGAGAGAAAGAAGGGTAGCATTTGGCTTCTGGGTGGAAAGGGGAAGGGGCAAGATGTGGAGTGAGGGAATATATCTGGATTGTCTGGAGGACTTTTAAAAATTATACTCCCTCCAGTTTTGGAACATTTTGCCATTTTAAAACATGGTTTGGTAATGTCATATTCTTCAGGTATGTTGGGGTAGAGGAAAAGATTGTGCACTATTGTTCTGTGATATACTGCCTAGACATGAAATTATTATAGAAATAATTATAGCAAGTTAAACTCATACATGGTTGTAAAGTTTGAAAAATACTTTGACAGCCTTATTTATTTTTCTTTATTGCTCCTAGA
This sequence comes from Homo sapiens, assembly GCF_000001405.40. Lineage (NCBI taxonomy): Eukaryota > Metazoa > Chordata > Mammalia > Primates > Hominidae > Homo > Homo sapiens. The sequence goes on from NC_000018.10 coordinate 56,909,572, forward strand.
CAATTTTGAAGTATTTGGACATTTTTATATGTTTTATATATAACATAAGAAGTGAATACCGTATTATGTTATTTTAGGTTATGCTTAGCTATCAATGGCAATAGAATAACAGAAAAATATATTAATATTTCTTATTTTGGTTTACAGTATTCTTTCACCTTTTATTAAAAATGAAGATGGTGTTATAGTGCTTTTCAGTCTAAATTTGATTATATGGAACAATTAGCTAATGAAAACTAAGCCATTTGCTGCTATTTTGCAAATTTAGTAAAAGAGGAGTTATATTTGAGGGAAAACTTAGGAAATATTAAAACCATACACTAGCCAATAAGGTATGAGGCAACTAATTGCTTCCTGTCCCTTTTGAAATTGCTCAGCCTGAAAAAAGATAGCACATATTGATTTACTGTATAGTAAATGTCCCATTGTTTCTCTCCCTTTAACATCCAGACACACACACACCCTGCCATACATATGTACATGGCAGTAGCAGCAAGAGCTGCATATCTGACAATTTCTTCCTTCAAACTTACATAATAACAAAATTAGGATGGAATATTTTCTTCCTTTGTAAAAGAAAATTGCATAAAAGTATTAAAATGTTCAAAAGTGAACAGGAGTGTAGTGTTATAAATTCATGACATGTTTGTTTAAGCTCAAAAGATAAACAAGTTCCCAAGGGAAAATAAATATTTCCTGATAATGTAATCTCAGTCTGTCATATATGTTAGTAGCTTCTATAGATATGAATATATGATATTAGAAGCAATGTAAAAACTTAGCCTGTATTTGATAATTTTTGGGGAAGTTGATATGAAGATTATGCAGACTCAAATGGTACTCTCCAATGTGGTCTTTCACTCTATTTCAGAAATGGCCCACTAATCTAGAGAATGAAAGTTTTAGTCATATGATATGGTATGTTTTCACTCCTATATAGATTTTTGTCCTGCTATTTGTGATTTTTCTCCAAGCATTTAATTTTTTTTCAACATAGACTTTGAAATGCTAGTTGTAATTGTCCTAAAGCCAAATCAGTAAAATTAGTGAGAAGTTCCAAAAACATCCAGATTTTATAAAGCAAGCTTCTCTAAAGGGTAATCTCATGTAAACATATAGATTTCAGAAGTACAGTATCATGTTATGCTTCTTTTTTGTCTTAAATGAATGTAAATTATCTAAGATTTTTAATTGTCTGTGATTTCAGTTTCTATAGCTCAGATAGTCGGGAATTCATATTATAGTATCTTGTGCTTTATCTTGAAAGGATCAGCGCATCCTTATTTGTAGAAGGGAGAGTATTTTGTGATTGACGTGACTTTTCCTTTGTAATATTCTGTTACTTAAAAGTTATTGTGTATCCTTTTGTTAAAAAATATTTCTTTGGAAATATATTTGCCTTCCCTCTTTGTTTGACATTGACATCTCTTCCAGAAAGAGCCCTGCTGCAGATTTTCATAGAGCTTTGTTGAGGCCTGTCTTGTAAATACACCAGCACCCCTTTCATCCCAGAATTCTGAGCGTGGGCTTGCTGCTGTGGTCAGGCTGGGAACTACTGGCGAGTTCCCATTAACACAGCCACCACTTCTGGGTTAGATAATGGACTCAAAGGTTAAGAGCAGAAGATCTCAACAGCTCCAATCAGCAGGGCTTTTCCAGGGCTAATTACCTCTTTACTGCGCTGACTCTAATGTGACATGTTTATTGCCTTAACTAACAACTCATTAGCTTAGTTGATGTTTTTGTCAATATTAATTCGTTCATTTAAGCCAAGTCAAAGCTTAAACAAAGATGTCCAGACTGAGAAACGGGCAGCAGAGTGACTTTTGTTTGCTCATCTTTTTTCCCCCTTACTCAATTTCAATAAAATAAATGTGTAGAAAGGAAACATTTAAAGTGCTTGTATTGAGAATGTCAGTGTTTGTCCATTTACCAACATGTAAAACAATTCTGAATTTATTTCTCCTACACTTACTCTAGTATCCATATCACAGTGTACTGAGTATTTAGTGTCCACCAAGGGCATACTTATCTGGGGTCTTTGACTGTGTATGCGTAAAGGGTTAACACTCAGCAATTCCTTGTTCCAGTTGAGTCCTTTACTGTGGTTATTAGAAAAGAGATCAAATAATTTTTCATATGATTTTAATCTCCACTGGACTACCTATAAGATCACTTTGAGATTTATCTTGTAATGATAGCTTACTTAATTAGCTTATGTGAATTATTTAAAAGAAGAGACAATTATGAAGTTATAATGAAATACTTCTTTTCAGTTTCTTGCCATATTTTTGGTTGACATTAATGGCATTTCTTTGGAGAATGTCATTGTTTGGGTTTTATGTACTTTTTAATAATACTTTAATTCTTAACTCTCTACATTAGCGCGAATGGATAAAAAACTGAGCATGAGCCTTTGACTGAGTGGTAAGTTCATCACTTTGGGGAGGTACATTGACACCATCAGAACCCTGGAATCTGTGGCAAGCCCCCCTTCACGGATGTTTAATGGTGTATGGGTGACCAGAAAGGGTGAAGATGCATTCCTGTAGAAATCAGAAGTGAGTGAGTGAAGCTGGAGTGTTAGGTGAGTTTTATCCCTGGGAAGGCCAGAGACTCACTCTGATTGGTTGATTCCTGGAGGTGGTCAGGCCCAGAGGAGGCTGATAGAAGCAATGGATAGAACATGGACTGCTACTTCATTTTTAGTGAGAAATCCGTGTCACATAAACCAGAGACACTCATATCCATTTCATCCACCATTCTCTTCCTATAGAAGGTTACAGGAACACCAAGTTTAACATCATGATTAATAAGTGATCTCTGAATTGAGCTCACTGCACCAAATTATCAGTAGCCATAGGAAATCATGGTCACAGGAGATCTATATAATTGTGTACATTCTATACTAAATACTCTGACTAAATTTACCTTCTCTGCTTTCTCAGCTACCATTCTTTCCTGAATTTGCTTCAACCAGGCTTTCCTGCCTTTCACCCTACTAAAATCTTTTTGTGAGGTTACCATTGGCTTATAAATTGCCAAATCCAATGAGTGATTCTCAGCCCTTGTCTCAGGCTCTTGGTAGCATATGATAATTCCAACTATGTTAAACCTTGACACTTTCTTCACTTGTTTTCAGTGACATCATCTCCTGCTTTTCACCCACCTCATTGGCCACTTGTACTCAGTCTTGACATTGCTTTTCAACCTGTAAAAGTTCTTCAGTATCTACATTAATTCTGTAGGTATCACATCCAGTTCCATGGCCTCTGAGCCATCTGTACATGTATTTTTAGTTTTAATTTAATTTTTTTTTTTTTGAGACGGTCTCACTCTGTCACCCAGGCTGGAGTGCAGTGGTGTGATCATAGCTCACTGCAGCCTTTACCTCCTGGGCTCAAGGGATCCTCTTATATCAGCCTCCCAGCTAGCTGGGACTGCAGGTACACACACCATGCCTAATTTTTTCAAGAATTTTTTGTAGAGACAGGGTCTCACTTTGTTGCCCAGGCTGGTCTTGATTGCCTGAGCTCAAACGATCCTCTCACCTCAGGCTCTCGAAGTGCTGGGATTACAAGCATGAGCCACTGTGTCCAACCTAATTTTAATTCTAGTGCTGGTTTCTGTATTGGTCTCCAGATTTGTGTATCCAGTGACTTAGCTGACACCCACCCTTAAATGTTTGATGCGTATCTAAAGTTTGAAATGTCCCAAAACTAAACTTTGGATAACTGCCCCTTGCTTCAAAACAACAAGAGGAAACTCTTCTTCTCTCTTATTATCGTTTCACTACATGTAACCACCATTCACCTAATTGTTTATGCCCAATTTTTGAGAATCATACTTTCTTTCTGTCATGACTACATCTAATCCCTAAATTAATCCTGTCCACTCTATCTTTAAAAAAAAATGTTTTTAATCTAGAATTCAGACAAGAAAGAGTGGCTCATGCCTGTAATCTGAGCACTTTGGGAGGCTTAGGTGGGAGGATCACTCAAGCCCAGGAGTTTGAGACCAGCCTGGGCAACAGAGTGAGACCCCATCTCTACAAAAAAAAAAAAAAAAAAAAAATTAGCCTGATGTGGTGGTGTGCACCTGTAGTCCCAGGTACTCAGGAGGCTAAGGTGGGAGGATCGCGTGAGCCCAGTAGGTATAGGCTGCAGTGAACTGTGATCACACCACTGCACTCCAGCCTGGGTGACAGAGTGAGACCCTGTTTCAAAAAAATAAAATAAAAAATCCAGAATTCAGTTATCACTACTCCATGACTCCTGTTATAGTCCAACCCCAGCATTCTGTCTTGCCTGAGCCGTTGGGAGCCTCTCAGTAGGCCTCCCTAATTTTACTCTTGCCCCACTACGGTCTATTCCATACACAGGACCCAGCTGCTTTCAAGTTGAAAGCAGTCTGCATCACTGTCCTCCACATAACCTTCCACAAGTTTCTCATGACACTTAGAATAAAACCCCACATTTAAAAGGCCCAGCATGATCCATCCCGCAGCTACCTCTGTGACTTCATGTCCTACCACTCTGCCTTGTTCACTGCCATCCGGCCACACTGGACGTTTTGCTGTCCCTCAGAGATCCCAGGCAGGCTCCTGCCTCAGGGCCCTTTGTGCTTCTCCCACAGATACTCACACGATTCTCTTTCATCTCACTCAAGTCTTTGTTCAAATGTCACCTTCTGCAGAGTCCTTCCCTGTCTGTCACTTTCTAGGATCTTACCCTGCTTTATTTTTCTTCACAGCACTTAGTGCCACTTGATACATTTGTTTATTTGGTTTGTATGTCCCAACTAGAAGATAAGCTTCAGAAGAGCATAGACTTTTGTAAATCTGCACTTAAAATAGGGCCTGGTACACAGCAGGCACTCAGTAAATACGAAATGAATAATAGGATCATTCAGCTAATAGGTGCTCGAGCTAGAACTGAAACCTGGCTGTTCTCTTGTCTGTCTCCCTTCCTCCCTCCTTCCATCTCTTTCGCTCATGCCATTCAATAGTCCTCCCGCTTTTGGGAAGGGGATATAGAAGTGTTCGGACTATTCAATTAAAGATTCAGTAGGTTAATGGATTTTTTTTAACACCTCTTTGACCACATAAACATCTGTTTCTGTTATTTACTTCTTTATTGCTGATCCCCTGACCATCAAACAATCAGCACTTTTTACCTTCCCTAGGTAGAAGACGGCTACATGCATTAAGTAACATCATTTTGCTCATTTATAGGAAGCTAAGACTGTCTCCTATTTTGGTCTGCCATCCAAAATACATTATACCAAAAGCAAAATGAGATTAAATTTCCCTACATGACACAACTTAATTTGAAATTCAGCAGAACAGAAAAAAATGTGCTTTAAATCAAAGAGAATTTGGATTTTATACTCTTCTGATTATAGGACAGGAAATAGCTAACTACTTTGAAGACTGTTTTGATTAAACTGATGTTAATGAATTTTAAAATATCTTTATTAAATTAATTTCTTAATTTAACAGTTATTGTATGCTTTCCATTAAAAGAAATGACTTATTTTTATGCAGTACAGGATATAAAAAGTTTGAAAACAATTTTTAATAATTGCATTAACACAAAGCTTCTAGTTATAGAAGTGTTTCTCAATCCATATTCATAAATAATGGGTACCTTGGAATTATTTTTAATTAAATCAAGGATGTGTATAAAGCAAAGAAATAGAATTCTAGATGGCACTGTGCCATCCTTGTTCTTTGATGGACATTAGCAAGTGGGAAAAGGCTTCATTCACTTGGTTACACTTTGAAATAAGTGGCCAATCATTATTAATTCATTTTGCACTCATTGTAATGGCATAAATCATCATAAATTCATTTGGTTTAAAGTGCATATAATATATTCTCCCATAGGAATTTGGTTGTAATTGAGCTACTAATTAAAGTATTTTTAAAATATGACCTTTTTCCCCTTCTTCACTATTCAGATCCAGCAACCTGCAGTGGCTATGTCTTCATTGATGATTTTCTTTTAAGTATGAGGAATGAAATTGTCTTAACTAGGCCAGTTGACTAGCCTAGGGGGGACCAAAGCCCGAGAAAGTAGTTATTTGTGTTTCCTACCAGCAGACAGCAGTAATACTCATGAATTATCCCTCAGGGGTGTTTGAAAAATTCTCTAAAACTCTCTGGTTTTGTAATAATTCTATTAAGAAAATGTTATTCTCCCTAGTAAACATGGTTTGACTCGTTTTAATTTCTAATCCTAAAAACTCCTCTCTCTGGCCAATGGTCTTCTGTTAGCATTGGTTGCCATTCAATCCAAGTTCCCTTGCCTCTAGCGAGGGACCCTTTGTCATGGAGGAGTTCTCCCCTCCTCCTTTCTGTGTACCATCCGTCCACATTTTCCTCCGTCAGCCTCCTCAGTAATCCACTGCCTGTCACTGTCTTCTAATGGGTGTACTGGCGGTTTATGGGGGCTTATGATGGCTGGTTCTAGAAACTTCCTGCGGGTAACTGCAGATTCCTATGAGGTCTTTGGGTTTAAGGGAAACATCAATGGAAAACTTAGACAAAATTTTTTTTATTATATTTTAAGTTCTAGGGTACATGTGCACAACGTGCAGTTTTGTTACACAGGTATACGTGTGCCATGTTGGTGTGCTGTACCCATTAACTCGTCATTTACATTAGGTATATCTCCTAATGCTATCCCTCCCCCCTCCCGCCACCCCACGACAGGTCCCGGTGTGTGATGTTCCCCTTCCTGTGTCCAAGTGTTCTCATTGTTCAATTCCCACCTATGAGTGAGAACATGCGGTGTTTGGTTTTCTGTCCTTGCGATAGTTTGCTCAGAATGATGGTTTCCAGCTTCATCCATATCCCTACAAAGGACATGAACTCATCCTTTTTTATGGCTGCATAGTATTCCATGGTGTATATGTGCCACATTTTCTTAATCCGGAACTTAGACAAAAATTTAAAAAAGGAAATAAAAATTACAAATGGAAGGCTGGGAACGACGTCACTAGTTTTACAACTTTTAAAATCCTTAATTATCTTGTGCCATTTCTGCACAAATGGAAACTATTTTTTAAAAAAACTGCATGATTAATATCTCAGTTGCATCTGTGGTTATAAGAAAATAAAGGTGTGAGGCACCTCTGGTATTGTATTAGTATACACCACTGGCATTTTACTGTTTGTGTGTATGTGTGTATGTGTTTTAAATGAATAAAATAATTGTAGTGATTAAAAGAAGTCCGTGTTCTGTTTGGGAGGCCCGAGGCAGGTAGATCATGAGGTCAGGAGTTCCAGACCAGCCTGGCCAACATGGTGAAACCCCCTCTCTACTAAAGATACCAAAAATTAGCCGGGCGTGGTGGCTCACGCCTGTAATCCCAGTACTTTGGGAGGCCGAGGCAGGCGGATCATGAGGTTAGGAGTTCGAGACCAGCCTGGCCAACATGGTGAAACCCTGTCTGTACTAAAGATACAAAAAATTAGCCAGGCATGGTGGTGCATGCCTGTAATCCCAGCTACTTGGGAATCTGAGACAGGAGAATCACTTGAACCCGGGAGACAGATGTTGCAGTGAGCCGAGATCATGCCGTTGCACTCCAGCCTGGGCGACAGGGTGACATTCCGTCTCAAAAAAAAAAAATTCCGCGTTCTGTGTGTCTGTTGTGTATGTGCTGTGAACTGAAGGTCCTACTATCAGGTGTAGTCCCTACCCTTGTTCTAAAGATGTAAGAGAGGAAAAGTGAAATAGCAATATAAAAGTGTTATTTATCAAACAAATTATGCTGAAAATGATACGTGATGCTTATAAAAATATGTAACTATATTTCTTTATAGTTAATGATGTGTTTTCCTATAACAGGCATTCAATAAATGTAGCGTGCGTTAATAAATTGAGTCTGTGCTTTGTGATAGGGATAAATAAATGTTCCAAAAAAGAAATTCATTAAGCAATTCTAAGTAATAAGAGAGAACAAATGTGTGTGCATGCATGTGTGTGGGTGTGTGTTATGGCTTTTAAAAGGGCTAGCCATTATACGTAGCCAGATACTACAAAAGTTTTAAACATTGGCATTTTTCACTGGTCGGTTCATGATTGAACAATATTCATCTTGCTGGAGCAACAAGTTACCCATAGTATAATACTGTCATCTATTTAGCCACAGCTTACATAGGCTTTATTTTGCGCTCTCTGCCTCAGTCCTTTTCTCCTTTTTAGCATTTTGCTGTTACAGCAAAGTGTAAATATTTTCTGGCAGCTTTGCTCTTTCATATCACCTCATAGCACCTTTAAAAAAAAAGTACAATTAAAGTTGGGACTCTTAAGAAATGTAAAAATTTGATATGAATTAATAGCATTAAAATATGAGCTATTATTATTCTTGACAGCATAACAGAATTCATTTCTCAACAGCCAGAGGGTCTAAGTTGTGATGTATCCAATGCTGGATTTTAAGTGTTTTCTGCTTTTTAAAGGATTTTGTTTCATTTTGATTTGTCTTCTAGTGTTCTGAGTCTGTCTGCATTTCGGTAGTTTATTTGTACATTTGGCCTGACATAACAGAGGTGGTGCTGAGATGTTACACACTAAATTCTCACTATAAAGCTGCTGCAGTATCTGTACTGCTCACCTAGCTTATAGGTAAGAAACACCACTGATTTGATAACTTAATCTTGAAGATGGCCCCAGATTGACATGAATAATGCTGAATTCCATCTTGTAACAAGTTGAGTTAGGAGTCTCTTGACATTCTCAATAAAGAGTCAGTGACTAGTAAAAGGTCTTACTGTTTGTGTTACTTATATAGAGAAGGTGCTCTTTAGTTCCCCCAGGATAGTAAATTTATTACAAATGGCAATGATTTCTAGTCTTTTGGATATCATAGACTAGTAAAATTTCTAAAAATAAAATGTGAGGGCATGTATTAGTACTATTTCAATTTTTTTATTTTGTTTTTTATAAACATTAGAGAATACCACTCTATTAAAAAAATGTATTCACCAAAAAAAGTGGTAAGAAAATCACCTCACCGAAATAGTAAGACCATACCGCAGAATAAGCACTCCTTTACATTGAATAAATATAGCTTTATGAAAAAACTTAGTACATTGTTTATATTTTTCATATTTCACCATACAACTGGAAACTTTGCCATTGTCCAAGACAAGTTTGTAGCAGACTCTTAGAAATTTCTGACCTGTGCATAATTTTGACTGTGCTAGGCACATATGGTATAAAGTAATTTTCAACATTTACCAAAGCAACAATTATATATTAAGTTCTTATTGAGTATAAAGCACTGTGCTAAGCCTTAGGCCAAACATAAAAGTGTTTTTCTTGAATGTCATTTGGCCCAGGGAACTTAACCTGTTTAGCAAGTGTGAAAGGTAAATTAATAAATAAATAAAAATAGCTTTAAGCAATAGAATAAATGCCAAAAGATAGTATATTTGTGTTTGTTCACTGTGTGTGCAGTATTTGCTATATTAAAAGGAAAAATTTCATTCTAACATAAGCAGGGAAGATGCAGTAGAAATTGGTAGCTACCTACCCCATTCAATTCTCCCCTTCCAGGTCACAAAGCCTCAGTTTTGTTGAAACTGGCAATATGTACAGCTGACAAACTGCATTTCCCATCCTCCCTGGAAAATAGGGAATTATTATATGGTATAATTCTGGCCAATGAAATATGTAATTAGACCTTAAAAGGAGCTGGACTTAACTGACACATGTCCTTTTGTCCTTCACCCTCCTCCCACTTCCTGCCTGGGAAGTGGATGCTGTGCTGGATGTGGAATTAACCATTTTGTGGCCATGATGCAACTAAGTTAGAGCAAAGACAATTACAGGAACCTTGGTATTGTTATCTGTTGCATCAGTGACAAAAACTCATTGTTTGAGAAAAGATAAAACATTACTTCATCTTCTGTTTTGGGGAGATGCTCGTTAACTCAGCTGAAATTATTTCTGAAGGAGGAGAAAGTGGACTTGGGATTGGTTGTAGATGTAGTTCTGAATCCATAGTTGGTAGTGTCATGAATACAGCATGTTCACAAGGATATAAATTGTGTACTAGTTATTACACATTGTTGGGGCCACAGAGACCTCAATTCCTTACCCAGAGCTACACCTAACCACTTGTCCTCCATGGTTCTGTTATCTCATAGAACATAGAAATATACCAGATTTTTCTAAAGGTCTTTCCATTCAGAAATTCTATGATTCTAATTAATCCCATTTGGCTGGGGATGAGAAGATCAGAATTAAAAGGGCATTTGCCCTTTTCTAATCACATGACACCTCAAATACTGATTTTTTAAAAATGAAATGTGATCAGATCTCTCCTTTGCTTAAAACTTTGTAATGGTTTTTTATTATCACCAGAATAAACAAATTCCTTAGCGTGGCATATAAGGCCCTTTGTCCTGGAGCTGTAATAACCTGTCTTGCCTTTTGTTTCACTGTTACACTTCATCCCCCCGCCCTCTTCTCCCCTTCACCTATTTATCCCTTCCCCAACCATACATACACACAGTTTCTAGCCATGTTTTACTACATGTAACCCCTTGATCTTGCCATGTTCCCTCTTATTTCCTGGTCTTTACACATGCTCTTTCCTCTGCCTGGAATGTTTTCTTTCCCTTCTCCTTTAACTGGCTAATTCCTACTTATTTTTAAGGTTGTGGCATAAAGATCACCTTCCCCTGGAAGCCTTCTTATAGCCCCCAAGATGAGGTTAAGTGCCTCTGTTAAGCTCTGTCTTGATAGCTTGTGCTTATAAAAATTATAACACAATGCACAATATATTCAGATTGCCTGTTTGCTCCTGTTTCCTGAATTGTAATAAATTTCCTTAAGGGAAGAAACTGAGTCTTATTCTCTTTTTTTCCCTAGCACATAGTAGAGTATAGCAATTTGCAATTCATAGGTATTACATGAATCTTTGAGTTGATGGGTTGGCACCAAATGCGAAAATCCTTGACTGAATGCCAGGCCAGTTAGCTGAACTTTTTAATACCGTCACTGGAGAACCTTTAAGAAGGGATTGGTGTTGATGCTCAATGGTAGCATCATTCCCCACCTTGCCCTCTCAGTGAGATACTGTGGAATAGTGGTCCATTTATATCAAATAAGGAAATATTTATTTTCTACAAAATTAGATTCTATCTTATACAGATTAAAGTATACAACTTTTATTCAATACCAACTGTTTAAGAAAAATTATGGGAGGCAAAATTCATAAAATTCTGTCATGAGACTTTATCAAAAGGGAAGACCTATCATTATCTTAATTTCAGCATTTGGTCCTCTTTGATCCATGTTGCAGAGCACCTGTGTCATATGGAATTATAAATTAGAAAACCCCTAAATTAGAGAATACAATATAAGTTAAGAAAGGAATAAATTTAGCTATATCTTTCTATTATATAATATTTTTTAAAGGCTGGTTTCTTAATATCAGCATAAAGAATAGATGATTAAGAAGTTTGAAGTCTTAGGCATCCCAGATTATTCCTGCAGAACATCATTGTCATTAATGCTAGTAGCAGAAAAGTAGTATGCTTCCTATTAATCAACAAGGCTAGAAATCAAAAGGTTTAACTTGAATATCCTTTTTCACTTCTGTTATTTACATGTTTTATTTGGGAAAAGTTGTTAGAGATAGACAGGGAGTTTTAACATTTGTACATCTTTGTAATTCCAAAACAGCTCCCTGAAAAACAGGAAACATCATACTCTTACCAGTAGATTTGAAATTTGTGTGTAGAGTAGCCCATTTTCCTCTCTCCTTTTAATGCCCTCACATGGCCTGCCAGAGCTGTAAAAACTGCCCTGCCAAAACTGTAGGGATCTTTACTTTATGTTACTTGGAGACTATAATTTGAACTAAAGAAGGAGAGATGCTATAGGGGAATTTTACTTATGAGATCGTTGAGTGAAATAGAACATGATTTAAGAGAAGGGATGCTGGTGCTCTAGGGGCCCTGTGTTTTCTGCTGAGCCACACATTCTCACAGTGAGGCCATGCTTGACAGAGGAGCAGCAGGCACTCTTGTGGCCCTTGTAGAGCCAGGGTCTTCTGAAAGGAGGGTCTTTTGAAAGGAGGTAGAAAAGGAGAACGCTTTTCTGTCATTTCATCCAAGTGCAAGTGATCAGTTCCCCTGTGCTGTCCTTCCCACTTTGTCAGAACAGTGATGGAAAATATCAAAACATCGACCACTTATTGTTTATTTTCACTCTCAGGAAAAAATTGTCCAGAGCGGTGAGGAAGCTTCCTCTAGAGCTCCCAACACAGAGGCCCTTAGGAATCAGTCAGGCCTCTAGTGTTGCCTGTATGCTCCCATCTGTAATGAATACAAAAATGGTAAAGTGCCACTAAGGAAAATGACTGAAATGCTGTAAAAGATTGTACTTAGGAAACTTTACCTCCTTTTGCAATATTTAGCAAGGATTCACCTCCAGGGACCCTTATTGCTTAGATTGGAAGCCATGGCTGCTGGTGTTTCAGGATGTCTGCAGAGAATAGCAGCTGGAGTTTTTCTGTAGCTCTTATGACTTCCAAGAAGTAAAAAATAAACAGGAAAATGGTAGATAACTAGACATTTTGAAATATCATTCTGACAAACTGGGGCAGGGAGCTGTATTAGAAATATTCTGACAGTAAAGGCAGACCTATTTTTCATTTATGTAAATAATGTGTGCACTGTGGTTGGTGGTTTAGAAGATGCAAAGTTATGTGAAACACAGTTTCTACCCTCAAGGAGCTGACAGACTTACTGAGGAAAAGGGAAATGCTCATATTTAAAAATATGAGCATTTCATGTGATAAAAGGACACGTATGTGCTGGCAGAAAATAGAAAAATGTGTGTTACCTTTTTTAAAGGAGTTTAATATTTTTCTGATCCAAAAGTAAAACATGAAGCTTTACATATTATAATTATATGGTTAAATACAAAAGTAAAATTTACAAATACACATACGAAATATGAATTTTGGGATGTTTAGTTTACTGCAGGAATTGTTAATCTACAATCCATGGCCGCCTTGACATTCTTCTGCAGAATTTGATGGGTATGACTGTGTGTGTAGTTTCCTGGGGAAAGGACTGATGGCTTTCATCAGATTCTTAAAGGGTTCCATGACTGAGAAGAAATTCAGAATCACTACTTTTCAGTGTATCCACTGACTCTTATCCTGGCTTTACAATACTCTTCCCTTCTCTTCCTTTCCATTTCAATCCATTCTCATTTAACAATTGACTATAATATAAAAATTATTATATACTTTTGTTGGTTGGATATGTTGTATTAAAGTTTATATGCCATTTTCTTCATTTAGAAAAGAGCCATGTTTAATAGGTATTCAGAATAAGCTCAGTAGTATGAGAAAAGTCAGGCTCAGTGAGTACCTTCCTAGGCCTGCCCCCGATAAGTTATGGAACCGTGGTTAATTCCCTGTCTTAAACCTGAAGCATGTGTTCCTTTTAATCAGTATACTGTACTGTTCTGTGACTTAGGAACTATTTTCTTTCTTCCCCTCAAAAAAACAAACAAACAAAAACTCTTCTAAATTACAATTGGCTTTTCGTAACCCCTGCTGGTTTTCTTTTTTAAATGTCAAAATGCCTTCTGAAGTAGATAAAGTTTTGTGGCTTAATAGCCACTAGACGTAAGTATACAAATTGTCAGCATCATCGTCAACATAAAGGAATACATGTTCATTAAGATCTAGGTCATCTTACCAGATTTAGAAATAATATTGAACTATTAACACGTTTAACAAAATCATATGAAGAGCTTACCACACACTTGACATCATTGTACTATATCAGTACATACACCAGAATATAGAGGAAAATAGATGCTTTAGGAAGGAAGCTTTTTCAAACTACATGTTCTACATTCTCCATCCTTCATTGCAACGCGCCTGTAATGAGAGGTGTTACTGAGGGGGAGTATTTTACATATGAACTGTGTTAGATGCAGAAGAAAGGTTAAGAAGTACCACATTACATTATTTGAAACCATCTCCACTTTGCAGAACCCTGAGTTAGGGAGAAACATTGTTTGGAATTTAAGATCACTGATATGTTTTGAAATTATATATACTCATTTACGTACAATATGTAATTAAAACACTTTAGAATATGGTATAAAACAATATAGCCTAACTTTTCTCTTCAAAGAATGTGGCTGAGCAAACCATTTATCCAAGATCTTGTGTAGTCTTGAGGTTCAATACCTTTTTCAGTTAAAAAATCAAAAATGGATTATATTTTGAAAGTATGCTTCAAAAGAAACAATTACAAAAGTAAAATTCCCCTTTTGCTCTGCATTTTATTCTATAATTTCAGGCAAGGCACTGACGTTTCTTCTGCTACAGCCTCCAAGCCCCAAACTTCCTCCACACAGCACTATCCGAAGAACAGCCATTGATCTGATTGGACGTGGGTTCACTGTTTGGGAGCCTTACATGGATGTGTCCGCTGTTCTGATGGGGCTTCTCGAACTTTGTGCCGATGCCGAGAAACAACTTGCCAAGTATGTGTGGATTCCGGTTAATTTAATTTGTCACTGTTTTTTGTTTTAGGGGTTTTTTTGGTGGGTTTATTGATCATTCTGTATAGATTGTGCATGTTTAATAGATAAAAAATACACAAATGTTTCAATATGTGAAGTTTTGAATATGGACAATGAAAAGGAAGCATGTTTCTATAATTTTAACACAATCGGGATTTAGCCCTGAGCCAGTGAATGATATGTGACATAGTTTTCCAATTGTATTTGTTATACCGTGAAGTATTACTCACTAATAATAGTATAATATTGTTAATAAGGAAAATGATATATATATTAAATACATGATACTTGATCAGAAATGATTATGGCCAGCATACGTGGCCAAATTGGGGAATTGCTCCTCCACACTCATATTAGCTTTTAAATCAACTACGTTGAGGTTTCACTTAAACACAGTAAAGGACCAGCCATGAGGAGGTGGCAGTGATCCAGGGAAGCAATGATGAGAGAGTTCTACAAGAGGAAGATGAACTGAGGGAGCTGCTAAAGTCAAATAGGTGGGAAACACACGTGGTGACCAACTGACTAGGATTGATGGGGCAGGGGGTCCTATTGGTGGTGGAGATTACTGTTGGTTTGAAAACTCAATCTCCTGATTCCTGCAAAGAGTTCTTTTGTTTCCTTTTGGTGTATAATACACATATCATGAAATTTACCACTGTAGCCATCTTAAAGTCTATAATTCAGTGGCATTAAGTATAATCACAGTGTTGTGCAACTGTTACCACTATTTAGTCCCCACAGAAGTCACCCTGAATGGAAGCCCCATGCCCATTAAGCAGTCCTCCCCTGTTACCACTTCAACAGGCCCTGGCAACCATTAATCTTCTGTCTCTGTGAATTTGCCTATTCTGCATATCTCATATAAACAGAACCATACAAACTGTGGTCCTTTGTGACTGGCTTCTTCACTGACATGATGTCTTTCAAGGTCCATTCATGTTGTGGCATATCATAGTGCTTTGTTGCTCTTTATGGCTGAATAACATTCCATTCATGGTTATATCACATATAGTTAATCCATTTACCTGTTGATGGACATTTGGGTTGTTTCTGCCTTTTGGCTATTGTGAATGTAGCTGCTATAAACATTTGTGCATAAGTATTTGAACACCTGTTTTCATTTGAGTAGACATGTAGGAGTAGAATTTCTGGGTCATCTGATAATTCCATGTTTAACTTATTGAGGAACCACCAGACTGTTTTCCCACCAGCAGTGCACAACAGTTCCATTTTCTCTACAGCCTCGCCAACACTTGTTTTTTTCTTTCTTTCTCTCTTTTTTATTTTTTTAGTATAATCATCCCAGTGGGTATGAAGTGGTTGGAATTCTTGAACTGTCCCATAATGCCTCCCTTAACGAAAATGTTACCACCACTTGGATTTTCTCAATGAATGGTGTTTCATTCTTGTCCTTGCTAACTTTTTTTAAGAGTAGAGTTCTTAGCCCTTTGCTTTGCCATTCCCTTAAGTTCTGGCATGCTTTGGGTCCATAGTTGTCTACTGACTGCTCTATGCTCAGGAAGTAGAGACCAGAGAAGCAATTGAAGGCTAGAATGGAACTCTGTGGCTTTGTCTACAGATTGGGCATTGCCAGCGTAAAGTCCCAAGAAGATTGGTAGAGGACATTCATTCAAACCTAAACAGCTGCTGCCTGCCCCCCAGTTACCTCCTATCATACTACCATGCATCCTAAACTTTACCTCGGTGTCTCCCTAGCCGTATGCCCTCCAGCAAATTACTTTACCTCTCTGTATCTACAAGTTGGGGCTAATTAAAGTACCTGTCTCCTAAGATATATTAAATGAGCTTATATTTGCAAATTGCTTAGAATAGTGAGCATATATTAAGAGATGAAATGTCTTCCTATGTGGCAGAAGTACTGGTGGTACTGGTGGTGATGCCATTGTTAGGTCCTTGTATTCAGCAGATCAAGAGCTGCCTGACTCTAGAATGAGCAGTTTAGCATAATGGTAGGCAGGATAGTTTTCTGGATACAGGAGGCCTGAAGATTCTCAATGGGACTTGAAGGATTAGGAGGCAATTTGAGCCCAGGAGTCTGTGCCTATAGTACGAGGCAGCTGGCCTTTGCATGAAGCTCTAGAACATCTTTTCAACCTCTGCCCTCCCCTTGGCTGCAGCTGCCATGTGCACCCGCCACACATCAACAGTGTTGGCTTCTGTTATTGCAGCTCTCCTGGTTTGTCTTGAGAAACATTCACATTTTTCGATTGTCTGAAATTTTGCTTTGACTTAATTTTGGAGCTTATTTTTAAATCTGATCAAAACACAATTTCAGTAGTATACACTGTTTTGTTGCCTGGGAGGAGAAGTGAAGGGCTTTTATTCAGGGTTAGTATTTAATATTTTGTTTGATTTTGTTTTTAAAGAAATTTACATTAGGCTTGTACCAGCAAGCATAAAGATGTGCTTAGGTCTTATCTACATGTAGTTTGTCCACAGACACAAACACTGAAGTTTTCAGTAGGCAATTTAAATCTTGCTATTACATCCTTTTCTGTCATGAAGATTAGTGTGACTTTCTGTACACAGCTCTGAATAAATGAATGTATCAGCATGTAGCCTTGAGGAGTCCAATGTAATTTTCATCATGATAAATTGCATAATAAGCAAGAAAATGTTTGCTTATTAATCTATAACAAGATTTAGATGGAAAATGGCCTGTTACATCCGTGACACACTCGGCAGAGGGTGCAGAGCCTGAGATGGTGGGAAGTGGAGCAGCAATGTGTGCAGAGGGTTAAGTGTGGATCTTACCCTTGTGCTGCCCTGTTGGGCTGCCCCTTTTTGTGCCTGATTTACTGTGTACACAGTAACGGTGCTCAGCCGCCTTGCTTCTGTCTGTGATGTTAAGCTTGCTTTATGAAGAAGCTTTTATGTTAGGCCTGTGCTTTTTAAAATTTCAGTTCACGTTTATTGAAAAAGAAAAAAAAACATAAGCAGTGTTTCCTACTTTCTTCTTATTCTTGTGAGTTTATGAGGGCAGGGGTTTTGCGGAGGGGCAACCAATCAGGTCCCCTGCCTTGTCTAGAGAACACATATCATGGCAGAGTTCCCTTTTGCCTCTCCCCCATGTCCCGACATCTCCTGCTGAGCTGACTCCTAAGAGGTCTCCTAAAACACTGTATATGCCTCGAGATGAAGAGGGTATTTTCTGGCTGGGCTTGGTGGCTCATGCTTGTAATCCCAGCACTTTGGGAGGTTGAGGTGAGAGGATCGCTTGAGCCCAGGAATTTGAGACCAGCCTGAGCAAAACAGGAAGACCCCCCCATCTCTAAAAAATAAATAAATAAAAAATTAACAGGGCATGTGGCATACACCTGTGGTCCCAGCTACTCAGGAGGCTGAAGGGGAAGGATTGCTTGAGCCAAGAAGTTCAAGGTTGCAGTGAGCCATGATCGAACCACTGCACTCCAGCATGGGCAACAGTGAGACCCGACTCTTAAAAAAAAATAGAGTATTTTTCCAGAATTGGTTACCCCTTTATTTTAGAAACATGATATGCAACTTTACATCTTTGAAATCAAAATATCTACAGTTGTTTTCTAATGTTTTCAGATATTTTGCCAAATTTTAACTATTAATTAATCAAGCATATTGTATAATTAATATGTGAAAAGAACAACATTAGGTTTTCTCTGTAGTTGCAAATTTGAATCAAAAATCATGTCTTCAAGACAGTTGCAGTCTTACAGGAAAGACAAGATCTGCCCCAAAATAACCATGATGCAAAGTGGGAAGGAAGGTAAAAAGTATAGACATTCAGGGCATAGTGAAATGAATCACCCTGGGTAACCAGAGGGGATGCAAGGAGGGGTTTCATTTGGATCTGTCATTTGAGTAGTTATGAAGAGAGCGGGGGAAGGACAGGGGCATGCGAAAGAAAGGGGTAGGAAAGCGCAGGCATGCCAAACATCTGTGAAAGGAGGAAAATGCTATTTTTAGCTAATTTTATTTGTTAATTTCTTGTAGAACTTAAACTGGGATTCTCCCATGTAAAACTGAAACACAGTGGCTGGACGTGGTGGCTCATACCTGTAATCCTAGCACTTTGGGAGGCCGAGGTGGGAGGATTGCTTGAGCTCAGGAGTTTGAAAACAGCCTGGGTAACATAGCGAGACCCCGTCTCTACAAACAAAAATAATAATTACCTGGGCATGGTGCCGTGTACCTGTAGTCCCAGCTACCAGGGAGGCTGAGGAGGAAGGATCGCTTGAGTCTGGGAGGCCAAGGCTGCACTAAGTGGTGATTGGACCACTACTCTACAGCCTGGGTGACAGAACAAGACCTTGACTCTAAATAAATAAATAAATCTCAAACATAATTTCCTTCCCAATTATCTCAGGGGAATAGATTAGGGTCAGATAAAGAATTGGTGTGTCTTGACTTTATGAAAAGATTGTTGCAGTGAGTTTTTTCTTTGTTTTAGCACCTATCACATAGCTAGCCTTGTGCAGGGATATAGTGGCCTGGGATGCAGTCCTTCTATTGAATGCTTACTACCTATGAGCTTCTGTGCTATTCAGATCTCCAATGTCCTCAACTTGTTTTAGAGAAATTCAAGAAATAGGCATTATCATCCCCACTTTGCAGATGAGAAAAAAATGAATCTGATAGAGAGATGCTGCCTCTTGTCCAGAGTAACATTGTAGTTACTGAAAAAAATAAGATTCAAACCCTACTCTAGCTTATTCCAAAAGCCAGAGCTCCTAATACTGTGTGATCTTGCATTCCAAATCTTAACATCCACAGAATTAAAACAATTCGTTAAAGTACATAATCAGAATTTTCAGTGTACTTTAGATTTTTAAATATGTTTAATAAAATTATTTTCAGCTGGACATGATGGTTCACACCTGTAATCCCAGCACTCTGGGAGGCTGAGGCAGGATCACTTGAGCCCAGGAGTTTGAGACCAGCCTGGGCAACATAGTGAGAACCTGTCTCTACAAAATTTAAGAAATTAAAAAAACTACAGGAGCATGTAGTTCCAGCTACTTAGGAGGCTGAGGCAGGAGGATCACTTGAGCACAGGAGGTCAAGGCTGCAGTGAGCTATGATCGTACCACTGTACTCCAGCCTGGGCAACAGAGCAAGACCCTGTCTCAAAAAAAAAAATATTTTCATCAAAGATTTTGTACCTTCTAGATTGTAAAAGCCTTATTTACATATCAGTAAACTCTTGAGTGCTTGTGTCATATATTATGTGTTTATTCTTATTTACTCATAACATTTGCCAAGTGATTTGCACACAATAAATGTTGAATAAAGTCATGGGATTTAAAGATTTTCCTTTTAGAGATGAAAATCTTTTCAACATCATCTGATCCAGTATCCGTAATGTGCTATTAAGTAAAAATAAGGTTTAGACAGATTAAACAACTTGGCTGAGGTCACAGTGGTACTCTAAGAGCCAAGACTGTCACTCAGGTTTCCTGACTCCCATCTTGCAGCTCCTGTACCATACGGCTATGCCACCCTTAATAAGGTGAGTGATTCACTGGTAAAATCTTATGTGAGGAAATTTTTAAATAATGGGGATGGACTGTTCATTCATGATGAACTGTTTAAGAGAAAACTGAGACTGCACTTCATTGGAATCATAGACTGAGCCATCCCCAGCTAATTGTGAGAAAAGTAGAAACATATAGTATTAACCTTTTTATGCATTCATAATTTTGTTAGATCAGCATGGTCATGTACATATTGATTGATAACATGATAGAAACAGCAGAAAATCCCACTATACTAAGGAGCAGAAAAATTCTGCTGCTCTTGGAAGCCTAGACTTCCATCTCTCTAAGTTGTGGTCTGTGATTTTGATCCATTTGCCTCGTTCATGTGGCAGGGCCTTTACTCTGAAAGAGAACAGTGGAGCAGTGCCGGCCCAGCTGCTGAAGGGGCCGGGCGAGCATCACATACTGCCACAGCTGAGGGACATTAGTGAATTACAGACTGCCCACTGCTTTTCTGGGATCATCACAATTTACCAAACATTCAGAGAGAAGCATAAAGTCACTGGAAACCACACATGCTTTGATGACACACAGATAAGCACCATACATTAGAAAGATTCCTTTTGAACTACATAGAATGCGAGAAAAACATTTTTTGTATGCTAGCTCAAATCTCAGCCATTCTTGAATTTTGGGGGTGAGGAGTGGAGACAGAAACACATCATGCAAACACTAAGATGCTTTAGGATTCCATATTTAAGCTATTCATATTTTTCCTGTTTCTGTGAAATTTATTCTTAACAGAAAATTTATAATCTGAGGAAGCCATATAAATAAATCCTATTAGCATAGTTTTTATTCACTGTAATTGTATTTAGCATACAGGAAATAGATCTTAAAGATACACATTTAAGGGAGGAATTGCCACCTTTGGGTTTAGGAACTCAATGCCACCTGCAAGTTGTGAAATAAAGGTACGACATGACAGAGGAATTGAAGATATCTTGTGAAATTGAGGACAAATATTAACATACCTGTTTAGCCAGGAAGGAATAAAATGGGAATACCAGGGGCTATACATTAAGTATGTGTTTTTAAAGTCATTTTAGAAGTCTTTGTTTTTGATGTGGCCTATTTTCATTACCCTGTTCCTATTGACCAAAATTTTCAGGCTATTCAATGAAAGTTTATATGTCTCCTCCACCGGCCCCCCTGGAATATTCTCTTACATTATTCCTTAATTTGACAGCTGATAAAGTCTGACAATTTTAGATCATGACATTTAACCAAAGTGTTCTTACATGTAACTTTTGAAATGCTTTCACCACGATGGAGTGAGCTTTAGAACAGGATTAATGAGCAGTTCTGTGAAGGGGGAGCTCAGGCTGCGTGGACTATTTTTCCATTCATATTTTTATTTAAAATACCTGTCATCTCTGATATTTCATATTGGGTGTGTACACTGAAATGCTGAGTAAAGCAGAGAGTCTGTCATGTCCTCTTTTTTTTTTAGAATAAAGAGAACCGAAAGACCCATCCTGTAAACCTGTGTAACGGGTGATCCGCATAACAGCCAGATAGGTGGGATCAGATGACACAAATGCGTTCCATATTTACACTGCAGTTTCCAGAATAAGGTTGACACTCCTTTAATTTCAAACCTCTGATAGTATGGTCCTTCTTCATTCAGATAGAATCTCACATTAAAATATATCACACAGACAATGCACTCTTGACTTTAAAGATAACCAAATGCAGAATTAGACTTCATCTGTTGGGACTACCAGATCAATTGCTTTGACTTCATTGCCTGGTCAATTCAGTCCAATAGCTAGCTTAAATGATTTTTTTTTCTGCCTGCTGAATTTGCCAGCTACTTCACTTACTGTGTAACTGTGGAGCTACCACCATGTCCAGGGGCTGTACCGGGCACTTTGGGGAGTTACACAGAATTGTCAGGCATGTTTCAAATCTGTGCAGAGTTCATAATATAAAACTAATTAGTAAGGCCTGGCAAAATGTGATTTAGTATTAAGGGCCTGGAATAAATGGGGTTTGCTGTTGATTATTTTTGTTTCACTAGAAGTCAATGAGTGCTATCGTAGTTAAGAGAATACCATGTGGGAAGACAAGAATTGAACAGAGAGGAGGGAGGAGACTGCACCAATGGGGAAAGGGCTAGAGGAGAAACCTTAGCAAAATACTAGAATAAAATAAAGGAACAGACCTTTAGGGACCAGCTTGGAAATTAGCCTGACTTCAGGAGCATTGGTGTTGAAAAGAGTGAGTTGAAAATTAGGGAACTAGATTATGGAGGGCCTAGAATCTTAAGCCAAGGTGTTTAGAGTTTTTCCTAGAGGTGGTAGAGAAGGCTACTTTTAAGTAGGGCAACCAGGAAATAAAGTTGGTGCTTTGGGAAGATGACTATGATGACGGTGAATTGAGTAGACTAGAGGAGGGACACAAGGTTTCTCCCTATGCCTTGACCATCTCTCTACCCTCACACACACAGCCCCCAACTTTTGCACTGTGGATGCCATACCCTCCAGGTCACTGCAGAGCCCTGACCTCAGAGCTGTAGAATTATCCACATTCTGCAGTCCTGTGCTCAGACTGCCAGACACCAATGGAGAGAATCCCTCAGGTGCGCACACTGATGCCTCTTCAAAAGTGCTGGCTTTTCCAGCTTCCACTGAACTCAGTGGGCAATAGGTTCACATGTCTTTGATTCACTTCCTTCCCCCTTACCCTATAGCTTCTCTTCTAGACCCACCACCCAGCACCAAAGCACCAACCTTTATCATTTTTATGACTATAGGAAGTTTGCTGATTCCCCCAAATTCACAAGGCCATTTGTTGACATGGGGGAAGGATGACGTGTGGCTAGGCCTCTTGGCTTGAAGCAGCAACCTGCTGGTAGTTTATCTCATTTTCCCTTCACTTTGCTTTTTTTTATGAGAAGCGTCTTTGGTCAGAAGAAGCATTTATTGTACATATAATAGAGGAGCCGGCAGGGCTAGTTGTTTTTGTATTTGTTACCTCATTTAGTCTTCTTGTCAGTGCTGTGAAGTAGATATTTTAATATACCCATTTTACAGATGATGTACTTATTCAGTCCAGGGTGGCCACAGGACACAGCATAAGGGTAAGGGGAAACTATCCACTTGTCACTGTGGCATGAACCCTGAAGATCTGTCAACTGACCACTCCCACACTCAAGTGCACACATGATTGTATCTCTTCATTCTGGGTGTGTGTGTGTGTGTGTGTGTGTGTGTGTGTCTATCTGTCTGTCTCCCTCTCTTAGCTTCTCACTAAACATTTCCATGAAAAGAACCGGAGAAGGGATGGAAGCGAGAACTTAGAGGTAATGGTGAGTTTGCTATGATCCTGCTTATGTTGGTTTCCAATGGCAAGGGGTCCCAGCAGCACACAGCTGGGGACAGACTGGACTTCTCTGGATTCTAGGAGGACACTGTAACTCTTGTCCTGCAGAAGCCAGACCCTTTCTCTTAGCACCTAGGGAGAAGTATATCCACGGGGAGGGCAGACAGGTGCCCAGAGCCATGAACTACAGCAGGAGTAACACCTTCCCTATTATTGTATTTCTCATGACACAGCCCAGCTCTTTGGGCAGCAGAATCACTACCACACATATTTATGTTTCAGATGCAATCCTCAGTAGTTCACGAGCCTGGTTCAGCAGTGTGTTGCCAATCCCACACCTGTGAAGTTGGTCATTTTTGTGCCCACACATAAGACTTCTTATTTAGCTGAGTTTGATCTTTCTGATAACTCTGTAGATGTTAGTTCTGTTTTGTAATATGGCTGCTCTCCCTTACAATTTTTATAACCACACCAACTGATAACTGTGCCTCCTGTATCTTCATTCAAACCATTATTAATATTGAATAAAACAGCTGAAAGCTAAGTATTATAACATATCACTAAAATCTTCTCTCAAAGATGCAATCTAACCATTCATCCAAAGCCACTGAGTTTAGTCACATTACTGATTCAGTAATCCAAGTAACCACAGTATGGTCACTCCTCTCCCCCGTGTATTGTCTCCAAAGGTTAGCTGTCCTGAAAGACATCCACAACTACCCAGCCTGTCACTTAAGTTCTCAGACCCGCCTTCTCACTTGTAAATACCTGTATCAACCACTTCATAGGGATATTCTGGAGCAGATGCAAAGGGCATGAAATAACACAGGAAAGCCTGGCTTTCAACCTAGACCTTGGGCTCTGCACCCAGTTCTTCCTCTGTAGCGTGCCTTCCAGATCTAGGAGGGGCTGCCCAGGAGATGGACATTCCTTTTCCCTGGCTGACTGCTTGTCAGAGATGTTGCCTGGGAAATCTTTGCCAACTCCAGCATTCTGTGATTTTATTGATTTTCCCAAACTTGATTTCATTTTGTGTAGAATTATTCAATTAATGTAACATTTTGATTGTTTACAGCCTTGCAGTATCATCAATCCCTATTCATCCACATTGATGGATGAAAAGAAGCATCACAGGGTATCTACATGTAGTTTAATTGGCTTTTGTATTGTTTAAAACTTGACTTAAAATTTGGGTTTATAATCTGAATTTTACAATAAGTATTAAGCAGTCTAGCCCCAGCACTACTCACACAGTAAACATTTCTTTCACTGAATTTGCAGTTAGCCAAGTTTAATCCAGAAAAGAAACTGGCCAACTGCCCATCTTGCTTTCTCGCAAAACACCTCTTTCCAGCTCCTACTGGGACCCAAGAGCATCGGGCTCTTCCATGGCAGGGAGGTGGGGAGATGCCCACCGATGCCTTCTGCTTGTGCATTGTTCAATATGTGTGTGTTCTCTCAGCTCACATCTTTCTTTTTAGTGTTAAACATCCAAGGAAAACTCTCCATAGTTCTGTCTTCTGAGCCCCTGCTTCGTCTCTACCCTCCGTATGGGAAAAAGAAGAGAGACAGTTATACTATCAGTCAGAGATTTAAGCAGTGTAACAGTCACAAAGACTTATAAGCAGAATTTCCTTTAACAATGAAGAGAATGCCTACATAATTTTTATTTTCAGCTACAAGTTAAAATAATGGTTCTTAGATCAATTATAGAGATACCTGTAAACTTTTTGAGAATTTTCAGTAAACACAATCCAGTTTACATATAAAGCACATATACTCATTTAATTGGAGTAGGATAAGTGTTCATATGTCTTCAAATACATATTTAAATTTAAAAATATTTAACTCGGGAAACTATAATTGTATTCCATACTGAGTAACAAAATACTCCTTGTATACAGTTAATGGGCAGATCACGTGCCACATTTTAGTAAAAGTCTTGATACTGTTCCCAGTGGATTATATATAATATAAAGGAAGCTTGGAAACAAGAATATTGATATTTTCATGTAGTAGAGGTGGGGAGTGAATATAGCATCACTCTCCTATCATGACCCTGGCATTCTCGGAGTTTGGGAAGATTTATTTCATTGTGTGCCTCGTCTTACAAATAGCCTGGACAACATCATGCTATCCCTTCTTTATATAAACAGAATTAGTATCAGTTAATAGAATTTTTGGCATTAGTACTAAATAACTGTTGGTGGAGCATGCTGTTTAGTAGATTGGTTCTAAAAGTACTAAACTGGGGTAAACCAGTGGTACTAAGGATATTTCAAATGAAAAATAATATACAAACAAAAAATAATTTTGTCATTCTCAGTACTTGTGACAATTTTATAGACAGGAGTGAATCTTGCCTTCCTTTCAGATATACAACCTTACAGTCTTTTAATATGGCTTTATAAATAAATACTTAACTATTTTTAGGAAAAATTTGAAAATATTCAGCACAATATTCGTTCTTACCTCATTCTGAGCTTTGTGATATGTATTCAGTACTAGTTCTTGATAATTTGTTAACAAGGCGTTTTTAACACTTTGGACAGATGCACATACTGTTTTCAATCTTCACGGTTAATTATTCCATTTTGTATTTGATGCCAGAACACCCTGACTCCTAATCACTGCCCATTGTTGCAAGTCCATTATATTCTAACTGTTTGAGTGCTCCCATTGACCTTGAACTGACATTATAAGCTGTGTCTAATCTTTTCAGTCCATATTTCTAATGCTTCTTTTCTTTTTTTCCCTTTTTCTGATCCCTGTTTAGCATCACAATGGGGTTGCCTCTGAGCCCAGCAGCTGACTCGGCCCGCTCTGCGAGGCATGCCCTCTCGCTCATTGCCACCGCCAGACCACCCGCCTTCATCACCACCATAGCCAAAGAGGTGAGCGGAACTTCTCAGTGTGCTCCATCTTCTCATTTAGAGGAATTATTTGATACTATAAGCTGAGGGTTCATATCCACAAATCCCCTTTACAGTTTATTCTAGAACAATGCAAGTTAATAATTTAGTACTGAAATGAACACATGTGTCTGTGTGCATGTACACTGAATTCCACGGTGTGGTGCATTCATTACTTCTGCTTCTGTATTCATTTCTGTTCTCAAAGTTAATTCACTTATAAATATTTGACAATCATTTTTCAATCTGAATTACAGCAGGCATATGAAAACTCAAATACATTAAAGGTGTTCACACTTTTCACATGTAAGTACCTACTTGTCATCAAAACTAAACTTCTTATTTAGTACTGGCTCTCTAACTGTAAACGAAAAATGTAAGTCATAAACTTGCTAATTGTTTTTCCTATTACTTGTCACAGATAAAGACTTGAATGCCAGTTGATTCCCACATTCTTAGTGTTCAAACTAATTGCCCACATCTAACTGGAAAACTAGTAAAGAACAATGAGCCAATTATAGGAACTTTCCTATAGGTCTTAGTAGGAGGAAGAAAAGGAAAGGATGATCAGCTCTTAAATTTTTTTTAAAGGTTTATTCCATTTCAGCATGAATAATGGGCAGACTCAGTGTCCATGGGGTATGGGCTCTGTCTGAGTTGTTTTTCCTGTAGCTATGATGAATTTTTAAAGTAATAAATTACCTCTGAGTCTATTCAGATAAACTGAAACCTACTGGGCCTATGTCTGCCCCAGAGCTATCCCTAATAGGCATGCTGTAAATATTTGTGCCATGCATTTCGCTGGGAGGGGAGGAAAGAAAGTCCTAATAGCATTTTGTATAGGCTTATGTGAGGCACTGAGGCTTTGAATTCATATCTAAAATAAATTTGTAGACTTAAGGGTGTGCATTTTTCTAATAGTGCATAATGTTATAGTAAGGTTCCACTAGATTTAAAATGCACATATGTATGTATTTATTTTGTAGGTATTATATAGTTTTATATAATGTGTGCATATATATATATGAGCATAAATGGCCAATTTTATTAGTCTTGGAAGGTTTTTTTTGCCAGTTTTTCCCATCAGTGGAATATGCACAGGTCATAATATTGAATATAGTGAATAAGCCTCACATTAGTCTGACAGGTCCTTGTATTAATTGTGTTTTCAAACTTCATTTGCACCATTTACATATGAGTATTTTTTTAAAAATGAACTGTTAGAATACCCATGCTTTGAATTCATTCTACTCCAGCTTTTGGCTGGAAAGATAATTTTAAAGTAACAGTCCACATTTATTACCTTTAAAAAGAAGTTTTCAGCCTGGTACTGTGGCATGTGCCTGTAGTCCTAGCTGTTTGGGAGGCTGAGGCAGGAGGATGGCTTAAGCCTAGGAGTTTGAGTCTAGCCTGGGCAACATAGTGAAGTGAAACCCTATCTGTAAATATTATATAATAAAAAATAAATAAATAAAAATAAATGAAACAACACACACAAGTTTTCCACTTCATTGTTCAATCTTAGAGTATTAGAGTAAAATACTAAAGTATTTCTTATTATTATCTCTGACCTCTACCCCGTTTCTATGCCTACTACCTTATGGCTCTTCCCGGGCTAGTCCAGGGCCTGTTAATATTCTTTCTCCTCTGAACTATAAAGCTTACGATTGTATAGGGAAAATCACACTGAATGTATATTATTTGCCATGCTCATTATTTTTGGAGGCATGTTCATATGGATTTTCCAACTTAATTGTAAAGCACTTAGAGAATAATTTCTGGGACACAGTGAGTGTGGTTAAAGTCTTATTTGCAGTTGATCCTCAAACAGTAAGGGAGTTAGGGGCACTGATCCCCCTAGCAGTCAAAAACCCACAAATAATATTTGACTGCTCCAAAACTTAACTACTCTTAGCCCACTGTTGACCAAAAGTCTTACTGATAACATAAACAATTAACACATATTTTGTATGTTATATATATTATATACTGTAGTCTTACTATAAAGTAAACTAGAGAAAAGAAAATGTGAAGAAACTCATAAGGAAGTGAAAATCTATGTCCTATTCATTAAGTGAAAGTGGATCATCATAAAGGTCTTCATCCTTGTCATCTCCACATTGAGTAGACTGAGGGGGAGGAAGTGGAGGGGATTAGTCTTGCTAATCAGAGGCTCAGAGGCAGAAGAAAATCTGAGTATAAGTCGGGTCATGCATTTCAAACCCATGTTGTTCATGGGTCAGCTGCACTATCATTACTTGAGAGCAAGGATCGTATCTTTTACTTCCTGGGCATCTGCCAACTTCTGTCTACTTCAGTTCCAAATGTACCAAATTCACAAGTCCTCAATATGTTTCTTTTTAAACATGTCATGATAGTGTTGTATTAACGTCTCATATAATGTTCAGGAACTTACAGAATTCTATTAGGCAATACCTATTGAGTTTTTATTATACTAAGTATTGTTTTTGTAAACAAAAGTATTTTCTGACTCACCCACAAGAAGTTTATTTTTTTCTATAGTATTAGAAAGTAAAAAATAAACCATGGCTAGAAATGTAAAACTATATCAGTGTCAATCATATCTACAGCATAGAAATGTTTTGTAGGTACACAGACATACGGCTCTTGCAGCAAATACCCAATCACAGCAGAATATGCACACAACAACTCTTGCACGAGCTAAAGGGGAAATTTTGAGAGTCATTGAAATTCTTATTGAAAAGATGCCCACAGATGTTGTGGATCTTCTCGTGGAGGTAAGAATATCCTGTTTTAAATGATCCATCAGCAACCTAAATTAAATATTCTAATGAAGTAATATAAATCAGTATCTTTATTTCCAGCATCTCTAAAAGAGATGAAGGGTGAGAGAGAAAGAATGAGTGTGTGTGTGTGTGTGTGTGTGTGTGTGTGTGTAAGAGAGAGATAACTAAAATTAACTTTTGTGCCATTTCTGGAAGACTTATTTAAATTTCCTCAAAAATCAAAACGATTTTCAAGTTCATTCACCATTCACATGGAATTGGTCTGTAATATGTAAAGGTCTGTAATATGTAAAGGTTATGTTCCCTTTGACATCTTTCATTATAAATAAAATATATAATGTGTTGAATAATGTATTATGTACATAAATATGAATTGACTTTAAACTAAACAAGTCTGTTGTCTTTATTTTATTGCACTGTCCTTTAAATTTCTTTTCACAGATAAGAGAAAGGATAGACTGTAGTATACACATGGCTTAAATTGCTTTTGTTTTTATTTTAAATACTAAAATAAAGCTATATAGACTTTCTATGGGCAAATGAGGCCTAAATTAATCATTTACATTTTGGAAAATTAAGTATTTGAAATTAATTTTAAATCTGTTCTTTTCTGTCAAAGGTTATGGACATCATTATGTACTGCCTTGAAGGATCTTTAGTTAAAAAGAAAGGTCTTCAAGAATGTTTCCCAGCCATCTGCAGGTAAAGAAGCCTTCAAGAGCATGCAGAATAAATAATTTTCAGTAACAAATAATTTTAAAAATTTTTGGCATGGTGTTAGTAGTCTTGGTCAATTAGAAATCCAGTTATTTATTAATGTCTGCTTACTTTCTAAAACAATATGGGCAGGTTACAGTTAAAAACAAAAATATAGTAGAGTTAGCTATTTGAAATTGGGTGATGAAGATATTTTGCTCAAACCTTAGAAAAAATGAGTAAGAGAGAACATTCATTGAATATGTCTGTATTCTTATATTCATTACTCTAATTATTATTTACATTATACAATTGAGTTAGGAAGCTTCTGGCTTTGGAAAGAAAATGTTCTTTTCTGCCAGCAGACATCTTTGTGCCACGCTTTCACTGATAAAGTTTATTTTTAATACCAAGGCCAGTCTTTGCATTACGTTCTCTTAAGTATAGGTGTTTTCCTTATGAGAAAGCAGGAAAAGAAGCCAAGAAAAGTTAAAACTTTCATAAACAATGTTGCATTTGCTAAGTATAACTATAAATTATATATATACATAATTTAATAATTATATAGCATATAATTATTATAGCATGAAGGGGTATTTTTAGAGCCAAAGTGTAGTAACGTTATGTTTATTTTTCTTTCAAAGCTGTTTTAAGCTTGGTTCTCAAAATGCTTATAGATTGAGGTACATCTTGTTAAAAAAGGTTTAATCTCCATGCGGTCGTTAGAAATAGTATTTAAATCTGTTGAAGATAATTGTTTTTGTAGAAAACAGAACAACCAGTTATTCATAGTTATATAACATTTTTCTTTTTAAGACAAGTTCAATGATATTCTATTTTTGCTCATTTTTATGAATACATTGTAGTAGAAAGCTTCATTTTAGACTACAGCTTTCCTGAGAGCAATGGCATTACCTGCTATGCAAATGTATTTCAGCACGTGATTGTACTCTATGAGCCTTCGCATATCTTTTTCTGTATTTACAATAGACCTTGTATCCTATCTCTTTATTTTGCAGTTTCTGATTCATGCATCCCAAAATTTAAAAACATAAACACAAATTTTAAAAAAATTATACTGTAGCATACCTGTTTACAGATGCATATTTTCTTGTGATGGGGTTTGGCAAATTAGAATACAGCCGTGTTTTAACATTATGCCGTGTGTTTGGTTTATGGTCTTCTTCTTAAGAATTGTATATATTAAATCTTATGCACAATTAATTGATTTTAAGAATACAGGTAGTTGTTATTTTTCCAGTTGACTATTTTCAATGGGAATGTCTAAGCGAAAATGTACTTTTGCCTGTCACTTCCTGGAGGTGATGAGGAAGCAGTTTTATTAGGGCTTATTTTACTGAATTTTAACAGTGCTCCTTATAGCACCAGCCACTGGCATGTAAAGAAGCTTCCTGGAGTTAACATGAAAGTGCTCAATGTTTAAAGGATCTGTTTTTCCCCTCTGCTGGAAGCCTACCTCCTCCACAAGCCATATACTCAATCCCTAAAACCACCTTAGTCTGCTGCATATGCACTTTTGTTTCCTATTATGTGGTCAGTGAAGAGTCAGGGTTCTGCTAGAATGCTAAGGAGGCGTGTGTCTTAACTGAAGGCTCAGTATAAATTTTTTCTGATTTGGCGGAAAGGAGTTCTATTTTGTTTATCAATTTAATAACATTTATTGAACACCTACTGTGTATCAAGTACTAGCCAGGCCCTGGGGAAACAATGATGAATAAGATGATATCCTCACGGGGCACAGGAGAGGTAATTATACAGACAGATGATTCCAGCTTCTTCCTATGCTGGAGTAGAATTACATACCAGGGACTGAGGTAGGCAATAAATGGAGTGCTTAATTCTGGGTATGGGAGTCTGAAAAAGTTTCACAAAGGAGAAGGCATAATAATAATAATAATAATAACCTGTGAAAAATGCCTTAATAAAAGTGTCTGCCAAATGGAAAGAGGGATTTTCCCTCTGAGGGAGTTGTGGTGATGGAAAAGTGGTGGTGGATTCTGGAAGCTTCACAGAAGAGTTGATGGGGTGGGCTTTGCAGGATAATTAGGGGTGTGTCATCTTGAATTGCAGAGGGAACCAGGCTGGCAAATGTTTGGCAGCACAGCAGTGTACAGCAAGTTTGGTAAATGCTGTGTAGTAGAGTGGCTAGAACATAGGTTGAGGATAGGAGTCTAGTATAGTGCCCGAGTATAGAGGGCTTTGAATTTCATAGGAAAGAGTTTGACTATTACAGCAGGTCCTTGAATAATGTCATTTCATTCAACATCATTTCATCATAATGTTGAAGAGAAAAAAATAATTCTCAGCTGGGGTCACTGTCTATGTGGCCTTTACACTTTCTCCTCAGGTCCATGTGGGTTTTCTCTGGGTACTCTGGTTTCCTCCCACATCCCAAAGATGTGCCCATTAGGTGAACTAGCATTTCTAAATGGTCCCCATCTGAGCGAGAGTGTCTGGCGTGTGCACACGCACTCTGCCATGGAATGGCATCCTATCCAGGGCTGGTTCTGCCTAGTGCCCTGAGTCGCTGGGAGAGACTCCAGCCATCCATGATCCTGAACTAGAATAAGTGGGTAAATAATGATCTTACCTGTTTTTGTCACTGGTAGGTGGAGTTCTTTCCCTGCTTTGTTATCAGTCGCAAAGCAGGAAAAAGTCAAGCAGGGTTTACTCCTGGCCAGGCCTGGAGAAGGAAAGAACTCTTGGTCTAAAGACGCCCTCTCCCCGACAAATAGAAGGCATGGTGCGTTTAAGGACCGGGTATGGGGAGGGAGAGGGATGTTAGCATGCACAGGGTGGGACCCCAGATGCACAGGCTCAGTGCATAAACATACATCTTCATGCAACCCATGACACAAAATGGCGAGGTGTTCTTTTGGGGGAGGGAATTTTAGCATTATAATGATAATATTAAGGATCTAAAGGCAACTAGGGGTCACTTGTTCCAGTTTGTGCCAGTTGGGGATCTTATCTCCCTCTGGTATCTGGTCAGGAATGGAGAAGCTCTGGTGCTACTGGGCTGTCTGGTTTCTTTATGCAGCTGTGCCTACAAATAAAGGGCATAAATAAAGAAAAACAGTAAGAAAAAGAACTTTTCCAATTATTTCATCAGGGTGGTCCTGGTAACATTTTTATTAATCTTTCTTAAATGTATGTAGATCTCAACTTTATTTCAGTGTTTAACATTGGAAGTGTTTTGGGTCTTTCTGAGTTTGGTGATGTTTTTGTGACCAGAAATGTGCCATAGAAACATAACTATTTATTTATATCAATTAGCCTGTGGTACAACTGGTTTCATTATAGGTCAGTTTTCAAGAACATATTAAATCCTCACGTTAAGTAAGGACTTACTGTATTTGATAGGCAATAGAAAGTCAGAAAAAGTTAAGCAAAAATGTGTAATTCTTCTACCAGAACATAGTTGATAACACAAAATTTTATGAAACATCAGATTTATAACAAAGTTATTAAGTTATGTAGATATTATTAAGATTATGAAAATAAAGTCCACATAGGCCCATTTATTTGTGAGTCAGCACATAAACATAGAAGAATGATTAACAATATAAGCTTGTAGCTTATGCTAAATGTGAGCTGCAATAGATGATAAATTATAGAGGACTTCAGAGAACACTAAGCTTGCATGGGATCTCAGAAGTTTCACAGGTCAATGCCACTCCATCTGTTGGCTGATTTTTACTAGGTTAATATATGAACAACAACAAAGGTAACATATCAGTAGGAGTTAAAATTATTTTATTGAATATCTGCCATGTCTGTACCGTTGGATTCTACTAGGTGCCTTACAGCACTTTTGAGTCTTCTATGTACAAAATGCCTTTCATGAAATAGGAAACTCCAAAGTCAATGGCATGAATATCTGTGGTTCAGATATGTGATGTTTGTTTTTAAAATCTTTATATAGTTTTGTATTCTTTTTTTTTTTGTTTCCTTCCTTTTACCTTTTTTAAAATGTGCTCTGGGTTTTATCTTAGACTAACCTCTTTAATGTTGCCTTATGTCAGCATTCGGTTGCTGTGGTTGACAGATCACAAAATGGTGTGAAACTTCATTAGTGTTCTTCATAAATGAAATATTTATGGATGCATCTAGAAAAGTGCTTATGATTTGGGTATTCACACAATATTATTTTTCCATGGATCTCTCTAAGAATAATGTGAAAATCCAAAATGTATACAAAATATTAGCTAATATGTATTTCAAAGTAATATATAAGTAAAAAACTACCAGATGACATTATTGCTTTCATATCTGTAAAAAAGTAATAAATAATTTTTAGTCAGCATTGTAAACATGATCTTCACATCTAAAGCTGTATTAATTTAATTAAGAGCTAACTAATATAGTATCCTGAAGTCATTGAGTATTTAAAAACAGAATGTATTCTGACTTGTGGTAAACATAAAATTATTCTCTGTGAGTCCAAAGATAAAATAGCATTATATATAGAATGCTGAATAATCCTGAGTTTGGGTTTTTTGGTTTTATTTTGTTATTTAGTTTTTTTCACCTTCACCAGTGGGCTTGTAGGGTTTTTTTGTATGTTTTGTGGGTTTTTTTTTTTTTTTTTTTTTTTTTGAGATGGAGTCTCACTCCCTTGCCAGGCTGGAGTGCAGTGGCGCAATCTCGGCTCACTGCAACCTCTGCCTCCCAGGTTCAAGCAGTTCTCCTGCCTCAGCCTCCCAAGTAGCTGGGACTTCAGGTGTGAGCCACCACGCCCAGCTCATTTTTGTATTCTTTTTTCAGTTGAGATGGGGTTTCACCATGTTGGCCAGGATGGTGTTGATCTCTTGACCTCATGATCTGCCTGGCTCGTCCTCCCAAAGTGCTGGGATTATAGGCGTGAGCCACTGCGCCCAGCCAGTCTTGTAGTTCTCATGTGCACCTGGGTTTTCATTTTTAGGTTCAGGATTTTAAAACTTTAACGTGGTAATTTCTCTAAGATTTTCTTTATTTTGATAGTTATTTATCAGGTTGCAAATTAAAATTTCCATTTTATTAAAGTCCCGTTTATTAATGATTTCATAATGACTTAATATATAATTTAATGAGTGGTACATTCAGTCACCAAATTACAATGTTAACTGAATTTCTTTGTTCTGTGATAACTTTCTTCAAAACATATTTAAAATTTGAGCTATAAACTGTGAATCCATTGAAAGCATCTATACAAAAAATTTAGTTTTAAAAATTTTGTTCATATAATAGCTTTTCTATCAGCTGTTAAAACTTCCGATGTCATCTGTTTGAAAACAGAAATGGTTTAGAGCGCATACCAGTAAAATTTGATAGACATTCTTTCTATATCACTGACTGAATCTCGCTTGTTGATATTAAAACATGGGATTATAGCAATGCATAATTAATAATATATTTTTCATTTATATCGCACTTTGCAGATTAAATGTTTTCAAACCTATTAATTCACAAGCAAATTAAAGAAGACACTATGTAAATGTAAACATTTTTGGAGAATTAGATAGTGATATTTATAGTGATATTTATTAGTTCAGTGACTAATAAAGTTCTAACTCCAAGATAAAACCCAAACCTTCTTATTCATCATTGATTATTTTTTATATCTAGCTTTTAACCTGTATGTATTTATCCATCTGTGTATGCATGTACACATACATACACACATACTTAAAACATCCACTTACCCTGTTCCGTAAAGGAGTTTAAGCAGCTTTGAAAGTGATCATCAAATGTAAAAATAGTGAGGAAATTGAGGCAAAGGAAGAATAGGAGTAGGAAAGCAAGACAAGGCCAACATGAGAATAGAAGTCCTCTGTATTTGCCAGAGGTGAGCCATACATTTGTGTCTAAACTTTTTAGGGGCCAACGTGCAAAGAAGAGTTGACTTTTCTGAACAGTCACACTGTTCAACTCTTCTATTATGCAATTCGTGTCCAACTCTATAAAAATCTATCCTATGAACAGTGTGACTGCCCTAGAATAGTCTGTAGCTGTCTGTAGGACTGAGGTCAGCATGAAATTGCAGGTTCTCATAGAGAAGACATAAAATATGTGTGTAGTTTATAAACCAGGTAGTTTTAGAGATTCCGTGACTGTCAAGAACATGCTAGGAAGGAGCTCACACAACTGAATATTAAATAAGGTACATTCAGTGCCTAGTAGCTGAGAGAACTGAGGACACAGATAGGAAGGTGAAATTTAGAAACATGCAGAGTACTTGCTCCCTGTCAGGCACTGGGGAGAAGAATGATCTCAGAGTACTGTTCCCAGACTACCTTCAAGAGAATGACCTGATTTCTAGGATCCACATGACAGCCACTACAGCTGACTTTCCTGAAGCCTGGCAATTTCATAGCCTCCCCCGGTGATTCTTATGAACACTAAACTTTGAAAACCAAGTACTCTAGTAATCCAAAATCAAGAAAAACAAAACCTGAGTCATTGTTCTCTGTGGCCATGTTGTGTTATGTAAAACCTTAAGTCCTTGGATGTTTATTCATTTATATATTGAATAAACTCAGAATTTCTAAGGAAATGCCTGAAGATATTCCTTCATCCCATGCATTCCAGAGATACACCATGAGCTTTTAAAGACTTGATCTTAGTGCCACAGAATGCCTGCTGATGACTTTAAGTGCAAACTTTCATTAATCAGGTTTTATCTAAAACTCAGCTGAGAAACACAGAGCACTAAGAAGCTAGTTTAGAATACATGTGGTCCATTTATTCCTCAGAGTATTCTAGTTTACATCCCTAGATTGGGTGAAACCATCCAAGAGCTGCATGTTTGGCCTAGGCTGTCTGTTCTCCTCCGGGGTTTCCTTGCCCATGTTCCTCTTCAGCATTAGGCCTGCCATTTGCATGGAGCCACCTTTCAAGGGAGTGCATAAGAACATGGTGGCCCCGTTATCGCAGGGCTGTCATGTTGATGTCACTCAGTACATTGTTTAGTGTCCCTTCTACGAAGACTCAATCGAGACATTTCTTTTAAATCTAGATGACAGCCCGTTTTTGTTTTCCTAAGGAACCTAGAATGTGGGTTTTGTTTGTTTGTGTTTGTTTGTTTGTTTTTCTCGTATAACCGGTGTTAATTTTAAAATTTGCCTTGGGCATTAAGCAGTTCAAAGCCAAAGTCCCTGCTTATGTCTAGGAAGTTATGGCTTTTGTCTCCTGTATTCCTTCCCTCATAATCATACCTTCAGCTTTGTCTTTTTTGTCTTTTTACTGTATTCTAGAAGCTTCCCTAAGTCCTTTATGTTATGTATGTGTGTGTATGTATTATGTATGTGTATATGTACCTAAGTACATATATGTGTGTGTGTATATGAAATACACGGTTTTATTTCAAAAGCCATGAAAGTAAAAATCATTGTGAGAATATTATCAGCTATGATTATTTTCTACAATAAAAAAGACATTTTTTGTATTAACTGAAATACTTTAGCTCTTCCTGGAGTTGTTTACGTAGCTATAGATATTTTTCTGTAATAAATCCAGTAAAAGTTGTAAAAATCACACACTATTAACTAGCTGTATTAATGTTATAGTCATAGCTTTAAATATTTCCTAATAATTCACATTTCACTTTCTGGGATATTAATAATATAGTGTCATCTACTAATAATACAAGAAAATTACTTAGATTTCAGTGCCCTTGAAAAAATGTAGCACACACATCCTTCAAAACACAGTTATACAAAATAGTTCTCCTGTCAGATGTTTTATCACTGTAACAAATATGGCTGTATTATTTTATAGGAATCAAACTGCATCCATTTTAAATCACAAACGTATTAGCCACAAGACTGCTGCAGCACTGAATTAGTTTTATGTTTATAAATGAGCAGAATAGGAAGCACAATAAGGTAACATTTAAGAAATGAATCTCTGTTGGTTCTTTCCCAGCTGGGCCTTGGCTTTGCCTTCATACGTCTCCTCGGTGATCTTCAAAAAGGCATCATCTAGCACTCTAGATAATTATTGTTAGAGGGTTCTGAGTAATTTACATTTAATTGCCTGGACTATAAATAATACAGCATCCTCAGTTAAAAATACCCTAGACGCCAAGAAAGTAGAACTGACTCCTTTCAAGGCTTGGGAGGATAAACATCACTGAAATTTCTTCAGAATTCCTTGTTAAAATTCCTTTGCAAGTTGCCACGTTACTGAACTCAGATCCCCTTGTGAAGTCCCTCACGCAGAAGACCAATCAACACGGAGTGTGCCATGCTTGACTCAGTTGGATTATGTGTCTTCCTTTGGTCACTGGATCAATGCTGACTGGTGTTACACTACTTAGTGTGCTGCAGCATCATGAAACGTGAAGGCGTAGAGCAGTACTTGCGGTGTGTTCTGCACAGATGCTACTGAGTCCAGAGAAAAGCACTCTAGAATCTGTATGTGTGATACGCACATGTTCCAAAAGGAATGCTTGTTTTTTATTTGGCAAAAGTATTCTTTACTAATGTCAGAATAGAGAGGTTTAAGCTCTTGGAAGCTACTATCAAGGCTCCGTTAGAAATGAAGATAAAATACTTCTACAAATATAATGTACTTTGTAAGTTTACGGTGATTGTATTATGATCTTGAGGTCTGGTAGTGGCGTAATGCATGACAAATAAAGGATTAGGGTTTTTTTTTAATGAAATTGTAAGTCATAAGAGATTTTAGGATTTCTTCAGAGCAAAAATTAGATATGCCTCTAGACGTGATTTTTGGTCACTTAAAACTGCACAGTCGTACATTATATGCACGACTGCACATTATAAGTAGCTTAAAACTGCACATTATAAGTAGCTTGAGGAAAGGGGCTTTCCCCTTCATTTCTTTTATAGCAACTAGTAGAGGACTCCAACTAGCCAAAGACCATATGTCCCAGCATTCCCAGATAGGTCCTTATTTCACTCACTTTTATTGTTTTAAGTTAAGGCAGTTTATTTGATGTATAACCAAGAATGATTTAATTTTATGGTTTTCAAAGACTTGTCAAATAAATTCACAGATTCAAAAAAAAAAAAGATCCTTTGTTGGGCTCTGTCCCAATTTTTAGTTTAAAAAAATATACGCCCTCAATGTAGCCACTCAGTTCAGTAACTGTGCTTGAATAATGACACTAGCTATGGCGCTTCATGTGTTTAGTCCTTAATTTCATCCTAATAAATGGCATCAGTTCTTTCGCTTAAGCAGTGACCTTACTGCATTATTTTTATAGAATTACAAGTTGTAAAATTTTGATTCTATAAAAGACCTTCTGTTATGACTTACTGCCTCCTGTCCTTCATTTTAAAAACAGGCAAACTGATGAGCTTTTTTTGTGCTGACAATCAGACCAAAGTGAAGCCCAGCTTTCCTGAACAGATCTCATCCCTGCTCTGTGCTCTTCAGAGTGGGGTGTGCACTCTTACACAGGCTTACACGTGTCAGGGGCACACATGGAGTTCAGCCATCTCATCAGAGGATGAGCTGACCATTGCTGAGTTCCAAGCCCAGGCCTCTTCCTCTCCATCCTTCATCTCATTTTCTCTCTATGGCATCTCTTTCTCAGCCTGGAAGTGTATTTTGTTCTCTTGTAAAAACCCTTCCTTCTCTCTGCATCTTCTCCACCTACTGTCCAGTCCATCCTTCTCCAGGACAAGGAGTTTACACTTCATCCAGTTTGTCACCTCTCCCACTCTCTTCATCTACTGGAATCTGATTTTTGCCCCCACTGGTTTTCTAAAGTCTCTCTCTCTCTCTCTCTCTCTCTCTTTCCCTTTGGCTACAAGCAATCTTTGATTACGAAATGCTTTTCAGTCTTTAAAGTAGTGGTTCTCAAACTTTTTGGTCTCAGGATCTCATCAAAATTGAAGACCTGAGTTTTTGTTTATGAAGGTTGTATCTATATTTTCATCTTTTAAAAATTAAAACTGAGCATTTTAAAAATATTGATTTATTTAAAATAAACTCATTTTGCATTGATGTAGAAATATTTTATGAAAAATACTTTCCAAAATGAACAAATATTGAGAAAAGTAGCCTTGCTTTACATTTGTCAGATCTCTTTACTGTCTAGAAGACAGGTGGAATTTAATATCTATGCATGTCTTTCATCTGTTGCAGTATATTGTTTTGGTTGGAATATATGGTCAGAATTTAAAAATCTGCTTGCGCAGACGTGTAGTTGAAAAGTGAGGAATGTTTTAATAGCCTTTTCAGGTAATTTTGTATCTTCTTGGGCACTACACCAAAACTCAACATGTGATTGTTTTTTAAAGGTTAGTTGCAGTATGGAATCTGCAGTCACATGAACTTTACTGTTATATTAAATCCACCAGTGTATCTTGCACTTTGAATGGGTCTTTCACCTGCCTGTGATTTTGTAACATTATGCACTGGTCTTCGGAGAATGTTGGTCCACTGAGTTATGTTGTCTCTCCATATATGGTCACTTTGCATTTAACAATATTAAAATAGCACATTTGCTAATATTACTGCTGATCTCCTCAAAAAAGTTAGTTTTGAGAAGCCAGATACAGGCTTCCAAAATTCTTATTTTTACTTAAAAGCTTGAATTTATCGTTGGCAATAAATCTTGTCAGTTGTTTTCCTGGAAAGGCTTAACTTTGTTCATATTCAAGAAAGTATCTCCCAAATAACTGTAGTTTTTCTCTCAGTTATGCTTTCAAGTAAATGGTGTTCGATGAGAAAAGCAGCTAGTTCATTTTGCAAGTCAATCTGACGAGTGTTTTTCTCCAAGACAACCATGAGATTTCAGTATACAGAAGTGCTTTGTGTGTACTTTCCACTTTGTCACACTGAATATTGAAACAATGTGTACTCAAGGGTTGAAATTTAATTGATTAATAACTTTTTCATCATGGATATTCTGAAGTGAAACTGTTCTGTTGTTTTGCTCACTGCCAGCGTGGCAGTGAAGAATATAGCAACTGCTAAACTAGTACGTGTCAGTGCCCCTGCCTTGATTCGGGTTAAAGTGCCAGCAGTTTTACCCACCATTGCTTTTGCACCATCAGTGCAAAGTCAACACGATGAAAAGGTCAAATAATACCTCAGTATTTTTATGAAAATTGTTTTGATCTCATAGACTTCTCAAAGGAAAGGCATCTGCAAACCACAGTTTGAGAACCACTGATGTAGTGAAATCCTTTTGCACAGAATCATGAAACATATTTTTTCTTTCTTAAAACTCGTTATTTTCTGCATCTCCCATATCCCAAAGTGATAACCTTTCCTACAATCCAGTACCTGGAGAGAAGGTAGGCTAGATTTCAGGAAAACTAAGGCTACGTTTCCTGTAGCTCAATAGAAATCCTGAAACTTCTACTTATTTTAAAGGACCATTAACTTTTCTTGGGATTCCTGACTGTCCTCAAATTCCAGTGCCACTGATTCCAGAAGGGGACCTCCTTAAGGAACCATGGGCATTTGATGTTAAATCACCATGGTACATAATACTTGGTAGCAAATCTGCCTATTGTTTTGAGGTCATGTTATAGATGACGTCCTCTTAAATGTGTCAGGCTTGCATTCTTGAAGTGCCATTCTCAAATTCTGTAGGCTCAGGGCCCATTAGTCTTTTTTCTTTTCCTTTAATAAGGCCAAGCTTATTCCTACCTCAGAACTTTTGTTGTTGCTATTTCCTCTGCCTAGAAGGCACCTCCTCCAGATATTGACGAAGCCAGCTTGGTCTCACCGTTCAGGTCAACCTCCTCTGACCTCCCTATGTATAATAGCCTCCTCGCCATCACTCTCACATTATTACCCTTTTAGCTTCACAGAATTCTATAATCTTCACTCCTCTTGTTTATCCTTTTTTTACTCATTAGGCCCTTAAGAACAGGGAACTTCTCTGATAATTTCCTATTATAGTCCCAGCAACCTTAACTGTTGAATGATGAATGCAGAGACCCTGTGCCTGCACTGAGGATTAAAGAGCCTGCTCCTAGAACAGAGAGCCAGGGCGCACACTCCCGTACCTCTTCCTCACACCCTCTTCCTCACCTTTGTTACCTTGGCTTTCCCTTCTCTAGTTGACAGTTACCTCTCCCCATCCTAAATGTCATCTCATCTGTCGATTCTAAGGTTATCTTACAGTTTCTTCTCAGCAACCCTAAGCATTTGTGTTTAGCTTGCTTTTGTGTCTTTGAAACAAAATTCTCAAAGATACAGAATATATATAATTCCCTAAAATATGGAATTTATATATGAAATCTTAAGATATATACACACGTGATGTATATATCTTAAGCTACATATATACTGTATATCTGTATTATATCTTAAGATATTTATATGCACACTATATGTATATACACATGCACATATACATATATGCATATATACACTATGTATATAGTCTGCTTTTTCAAAGATTTAAGACTCTAAGTGAATAATTTTCAACCTCTTTAATCTTAGGACCCCTTTAAACTCTTAAAAATTATTGAAGAGCCCAAAGAACATTTGTTTACAGTGAGTTATAACTATCAATATTTGCCATATTAGAAATTTAAACTGAGAAATTTTAAAATTATTTATTTTGTTTAAAAACCCATTATATGTTAACATAAAAATACTTTTATGAAAAATGATGTTTGCCAACCTCTTTGATGTCTGGCTTAACATAAGTCAGCTGAATTATCTTATCCGCTTCCACCTGTGATATCTCAGATCATGTAAAATCTGGAAAACTCAGCTATGCATTTGTGAGAAAATGAGAGTGAAAAGGGCAAATAACATCCTGGTGTCAGTGTGGACACTTGAGAAGCACTGCTCTCAGCTGTCCCTGTGGGACTGCCTCTGGTGAGACAGCGAATTCCAGGTGGTGAGGGCTCCCGCCTTTGCCACACCCAGCTGTGCAGTCTGGAGCACATCACTCGACTTCAGTTTCCTCCTGTATGAAACAAGGGGCTCTTGTGCCTGCTAACCTTGGCAACATTCAACTCCAAAATATTAAAATTTTTGCGTAGCAGCTACTTTTCTCGTGACTGACTTACAAATATATGATTACCAACCATTGTCTTACAATACTGAAACATGTTAAAATATATACATCTTAATGCAGGGCTATATGAATGCTGCAGCTTCTTTGATGCCTTCCTAAAAATTCTTTGAAATAATTACTCTCAAACGTAATCCTACACTAAGACTATTTAATGAACAAAGAACTCAATTAATATGGAAAGTAAATCACATGTTTTAAGAAAAACAAGGAGTTCCTATTTTGTTTAATGCTATTTTTGTATCTGATGAAGTTTTATGGAGAAAAACGTTTAAGTGGAAACCAAACGGATAGTTTTTTAAAAGCATATTACCTCTCTTACATTCAGACAATGGAATATTTTTCAGCACTATTAAAAAATTAGCTGTCAAGCCATGAAAAGACATGGAGAAATGCATATTACTAAATGCATATTACTAAATGCAAGAAATCAATCTGGAAAGGCTATCTATTATATGATCCCCAGCTATATGACATCCTGGAAATGGCAAAACTATAGTCAGAAAAAGATTAGTGGTTGCCAGAGGTCGGGGGAGAAAGGATTTTCAGGGTAGTGACACTATGTTATATGATACATATGATACTCTAATGGTAGATGTATGCCATTATACATTTGTCAAAATCCATAGAATGTACAAAACCAAGAGTGAACGCTAATGTGAATGATATGTAAATTTATCAGAAAGCTGTCACCCTGGTGGAGGATATTGATAGTGGGGGAGGCTGTGTGTATGCAGAGGTAGGAGTAATATAGGAACTCTCTCCTCATTTTGCTTTGATTTTAAAACATCTCTAAAAAATAAACCGTATTTTTAAAAAAGCATATCATCCACTCAGTATACTTATTAAAGAGATGAAAAATCAATAGAAACTTCAGTCATATTTAATGTTGATATTTATAACACTATATGGTGTTTATCTTTAGAACTGAAAATAAAAATGAAAATATTTTAACTGACTGGTTTTTAACATATAAATGGCTAATCTTAGTACCCAATTCCAAAATTAGAAAAAAACAAGCCACTCAACAAATAGGAATCAAAAAATTGAACTTGTTCAATTTAACAAAGTAAAATAATTTTTAAGCACTTGTGTGACTTCTCTGAAAATTTCCAATTCATTCAATTCTTCGTTTGTCTGTGCTGTGTGCTATGCTGGGCCTGTCAGGCAGTCCCTGCCCTAAAGGGCCTTAAAGTTGGCTTGGCAGAGACAGAGAGATCAATCAGTGAGCTGTCACAAACACTATGAGAAAAGAGTGTCCAGGACACACAGAAGAGACCCAGTGCCATGATAAGAGGGACACAAAGGAGGGAGCTGGCAGTTTTGCATAGAGGAAAGGAGAACTGGTAGTATTTTTAGCAGAGTTTTCAAAGATGAGTAGATGTTTGTCAGGCAGATATATCCTTCTGACTCCAAAATCTATGCTTATTTTTATATATAAGAATGACTCTCATTGAACGAAATACTAATTAAACACTATTGTGAATCGCTGACT
Source organism: Homo sapiens (assembly GCF_000001405.40). Classification (NCBI taxonomy): domain Eukaryota; kingdom Metazoa; phylum Chordata; class Mammalia; order Primates; family Hominidae; genus Homo; species Homo sapiens. The sequence goes on from NC_000018.10 coordinate 56,953,901, forward strand.
AATGAATCAATGATTACTTTGCAAAAATTACAGTGTGTATTCTTTTACATTGCATATTTCATGGCAAAGAATGAAGAAATTCTCAAGCACTATGTGCATAGAACTGAACAATGCATGTAATGACTCAACTACTTTGGCTTTCCAGTAGATATTAAAGACATTAGTAGTGGCATGGAGGGTACTAACTTTAAAGGACTTGGGATATAATTTTCTCTAATTTACTTAAGATGTTACTTCTATATTCACAAGTAGAAATCCCTCTAAAATCATTGACATTAAAATTTAAAGTGTTTAATACTGTTTTTGCTGGATTTAACTGATTAACTTTTAGTTGACCTTTGTCGGAAGTTATGTTGGTATTTACATAGAATAATATGCTTTATATTAAAACACTCATTCACTTGTGTCCTCTAAATGAAATTATTTCTTACTAACAGTTGCCTCTATTAAATGTAGAGAACTGTGGCATACCATACAGCCATTAAAAAGATTGAGGTAAGCCATTTCTACTGACATGGAAAGATGTTAGCAAAAGAGAAATTTTAAAAGAAGCTAGCAATATTGCAGAAGAGTATGTAAAATAAAATCATTTTTAAAAAAGAAAACTATATGTGAAGATCAATATTCATACCTATACAGGTATATATATGAAGAGAAAAAGATCTGGAAAGACACACCCCAAGCTATGACTGGTGAATACTGGGGGTGATGGGAGGGAATTATTGGTAAAGAGTTACGTTCACTTCTTAACTGTTTTTCTATGATAAATCATCTGTGTTTCTCTTTTCAATGAGTGTGTGTTTCTTTAAAATTGGATATATATTAGAATAATGCAAATGAAAGAAATAGTAAAAAGTGTCATTGGGGAAACGTTATAGCTATAACACAGATAAGATTTAAAAAATTCAAGGTAAAATAAGTGTTTAAACTTTTGAACTGAATGAAAAAACTAATCTAGACAGAACAGTTAAAAGTCTGCATTTTCAGAGATAGCTTACCTTTTCTTAAACTTCGTTATTATGTAGACAGACTGATTGATTTTGCTTTTCAAGTGAAAAGCTGAATCAGCTCTGTTCACCTAAATGGGCACTTAAAATCTAGTAAGGAAATGAACACTGTCTACTTTAGAACAGTGCATGAGCTCATATTTTAAGAAACTCCTCCAAATCTGTGGTTTGTTTTTATCCCATATGGTGATTACAATAATGGGATGTAAAGTAGCTTCAGTCCTAAATTCCAGTAAAATTCTTAAGTTAGGTCTCATTTTATAGAATACATTTCATGATAAATAATTATAGATGTTACTTCTATATTCACAAGTAGAACTCCCTCTAAAATCATTCTAGTCCAGTTTGTCTATCCTAAAATCTCCCAGACAGGTGGCTGTCTTTTAATGCTAAAGTTCTTCATATTAAAACAAAAAACTTGACCTTCCAGCAGTATTCCATTTCACTGTATAACAGGAGGAATATTTAATTTTCAGCCTGTTTGAAATGCTACAGAAAAGTGTTTCAGACCAAATCCCTATTATATTAGCAAATTTAGATGGAAGCTATAAAATAATTTGCAATTATTATCAGGTTTATACTTGTAAATTGTAAGTATTTGAAAATATATAAATTTAAAATATTCTGAGCATTCATTTTCCTTATGTATTAGCATGTTATTAGTTGACACTTATTTGCCCTAGGAAAATAGCAAATTAACTACATCTTATTTAATCTCTCTGTAGTATATATTCAGAGATGCAGATGGATGATGATGATGATGATGATGATGATGATGATGATGATAGCTGATACGGTTTGCATGCACCTACCAGTGTTTACTATGTGTCAGGCACTGTTTTAGGTACTTCTGTTGCATTAACTCATTTCAACCACACAATACTTTAATAAGTACCATTATTGTTCCCCTGTTCCATATCAGGACACTGAGACATAGACAAGTTAATGAACTTACTCATGGTTACACAATTAGTAAGTATAGATCCAGGCAATAAGGAACCTGTTTCTCAGCCATTGTACCTCAAACCCTAGATGTGCATGCTATTTTTCCTTGCAGGATTGCTGATGCCTGGATAGCCCAGGAAACATTTTTGATCTTGCTTGTAACATGCCAGCTACAGTGTGCTTGTGGCAAGTTTTTCAGAGGGAAATGAACTACTCAGCAGGAAATACTTATTGACTATTTACAGTGTGCAAAACCTTGATTGGGAAGTAGTGACTCTCAAATGGAATTCCCCAGTGTCTGTCACCATCCCAGAATAAGAGATATTTCATTTGGTTTTTTGAACTAGTGCTCTCCACAGGAATGATGCATTTCTGGAAAACATTGCCCCACCCTCCACCGTTCATAGCCCCCAAAACTAACAACACAGCTCGCCCTGAGCTGATGCCTTCACCAAAGCCACCTTGATGTCTATGAACCTTTCAAACATATTAGCAGCATGGCAGTCTGAAATTCTGGAGGGTGTATGCAAACATGTTCTAGACAGTGCCTCTTCCTGAACAAAACTGTCCCCCTTGATTGTGGCTATGGCATCCATGAGGGCTGTTGACCAATTCTCTGAGAACCTACCCTTGAATCTTTTAGGCTGAGCTCCTCAAGTTTGTGGCCCCGAAAGAGCTCTTTGGCATCTTGTCCTGTCTAGCCAAGGAGGTTGAGGTAGTTGGTTGTCACTGGTACCTTCTTGGGGTCAAAGTGACATGTACATTGCTCCACTGTAGAAGTCCTGTTGTTCTTTCCTGCAGAACCAGCTTGCCTGTGTTGTGTAATCAAATCTTTCCTGTGGTTTATTGGGAATACCTCATAGGTATTTCCTTTCCCATCCAGTATGCATGATGAATAAAGGGATGCAACATGCAGTTGATTCGATTTTAAATAATTTTTCTTTACATTAAGAATGTAACCTACATGCATATCCTGCAGACTGTAACCAAGTGGATCAGTCTAAAAAGTCACTTTGTGTAAATTAAAACAAAAATGTGATACTTTTTTTCCTCTTATTGGCAAAAAAGTATGAAGTTTGGTAATACCAAGTAGGAACATTCTTTTAGTGAAAAGTGAAGGCAATTTTGCATTGTCTACTAAAATTTAAAATGTACATATGCTTTGATGCAGCTTTGGTGACTATCCTACAAAAATACCTAGGTATACAAGGATCTGTGTACAGTATAACCTAAGTTCCCATCAGAAAAAGAATGGTTAAATAATATAATGCACATACGCAGAACTACAATGCAGATGTGAGCAAGAATGACATGAGATCCATGTGTGCTGACATGAGAGGACCATCCCATGAAGAAAGCGAAGTTGCAGAAAAGTATGTGTAGTATGTACATCACTTTTGTATTAAAGGTTAGAAAATAGACGATACTTTCAAGGATCATTTCTATAGTTTGTTACTAGAGAAATTGCTCTGAATGTGTAGAGCAGCAGAAATCACAAAGAGGAGGCGCAGCATCCTCCCCTGAGCATGTTGCTTCCCTTCAACTGCGCTTTGCCATTACTGATGGTTCTTCTCTTCCTCTGCGAGAGTAAGAGGGAGAGGATGCAGTCTGAATGGGAAAAAAAAAAAAAAAGGTAGAAAAAGCTCTCTTAAGATCCAGATCCAGTAAATAGTTAAGAGTAGTTACTGTTAGTGGGTGTGAAACATTTTAAATCAATGTTAAGAATTCCTAAAAACAACTCAATAAGAATTGCTCATAATACCTCGGTTACTTTTGAAAATACATATACAGATACTTAGGACAGTGCCTGATACATAATACTCAGTAAATGTTAGCTGCACATAGTAGTAGTTGTGGTATTATTTTGGGGAAAAAAAGATAGTTTTATTCCCTATATTCTCTTTTGTGTACGCTTAGATTTAAGATGGTTTCATGTGAAGCTGGAGGTTAATCTTGGATTAATTGAAGAGTGTTTCTTGTTGCATTCTAATGTCCAAGGAAGTGATATACAGCAGTAACTTAACATCCTGAGATCATTGCAAATTGCTGAACTCATAGTTAAAGTGATTTTACAGGTTTCTATCTTTCTCCCAAGTCCTAATCTGCTGAGAGTTGCATGTTTTCTATTTCTTTTTTCAAATTAACTTTTAAGTTTCACACATTTTCTCTTATTTGCAGGCCATTTTTGATAAAGATTAAAAGTTCATCAATCCAAGGGAAAGTATAAATAGGGAGTGCCAAAGTTATTTAGAAACTCAGGTACTGAGTGTTTGGCAAACTCCCAAGCAACATGGTGTGCTTCAAAGTGATTTGCTGTGCCAGAGTAGACTCAGTTCATATTTGTGTTTCAAACTCAAACCATCCCTCTCCGGGGTTTTGTACACCCCACTGTGGGTTGCTCCTCAATAGTTGAAGTCACAAATACATCTCGGAAGAACTGGATTGTATCACTCCTCCACAATAACGTGTTCTAGTAATAGTTAACAATGATTGATAAATGATTATCTTTTAATTATGTTTTGCCCTATTTCAATAATGGCATCAAAATGATACCATTTTTATTGAAATTTGTGTGTGCTAATATAAATCTTTGGCAAATTCTTAGAGTCATTTTTTTTCCAGGACAACATTTATATTGAAAATATATTTTATTGTGTATATTATTATTTAGACTGTTTGTATTTACCTTTTTGAATTTCAGCTCATGCAATCTTTTCTAATTCCCTAATATATAACTACATATTTTTTATTATGTAACTGTCAGTCTCATGCTAAGGTACCCAGACTCCAGGAGTCTTTACAGATAACTTCTTGTAAATCTACAATTGTTTGTTTCCACTGAAAATACATTTCTAGAAGGGTCATGGGAGAGCCCATTTCTTGATTTCTGCCATTTTTGGACAGTTTTTGTTTCCTTTGTTGTTCATCTCAATTATTACTTTAGACCCTATAAAATATTCATTGGTCATAAAAATCCATGTTTAGCATAGATCATACACTGGATAATGGGTAAGTGTAATGTTTCAAACTTCACTTTCTGTTGCATCCTACTTGCTTGGACCATATTTATGTATTCATGCAAAACACAAAGTCCCAGATGGAGGATAAAAAGCAATAAATAAAAATCATTGTTTAATATCTCAATAGTGATGGACATAATAAAGAAAAAGTAGGATATTGCGTTAAAAATAATGGGTAAAAGGCTGTTGTGTTAAACAAGGTGGCCCATAAAAGCCTCCTTTGTCAAGATAACTTTGGAACAGAGATGTAAATGAAGTGAGGGCACGAGCAATGGCAGTTAACAGGCTGATGAGATTTTCAAGCAGAGGGAGCAGCAACTGTCAAAACCCCCAAATGGGAACCCCTTTGGCATATTCAAGAAAGTGCAAGGAGATCACTGTGACTAGAGCAGCGTGAACAGGGCTGTGAACAGAAGGGAGGTGATTTATTGTTGAAAAGTTACTCTGACTGCATGCGGACAATGATGAAAGCATGGAGATCAGTGACTTTCAACTTATTGGATGATGACCACCTCAGCTCCAGCAAGAAATATAATTTACATTATTACCCATTTCCACTTGATTCTTCTTTCACTGACTTGAGTGATGATGTGTTCTCTGGCTTCACAGTTTCCTTGTGGTCTGCCTAGCAGAGGAGAACTGTTGTTCAAACATGAATATAAAAATGGTTCTTGCCAGGTCATGGGCAACTGCCTAAGTGACATGTTATCAACACAGTGAACTGGAGACCAAGACACCATTTCCAGAAGGCTCAACACACAATAACACTTACTCTGAAACCCCCAAATTTTACAGGAATTTTCATCCCGTAGGAAAAATCGGTCATGCAGGATCTGGTCAAGATTAGAAAAGTGCAGCTTTAAAAACTATAACGGACCCTTCTCTTCAATCCATTGATCCCTTCAGGGCAGGGAGCAAGTAATGCATCTTGCTCCTTCGTCTTGACAGACCTTACATAGAGGACTTACCATCCTTCGTCTTGACAGACCCTACATGGAGGACTGGCTCCAGGAAAGAGCAGACCAGGAGGATGGTGGGCTCTGGAAGCCTCAGCAGGGATTGGTTCACTGCAGCTGGTTCCCATAGTGAATACTTGGGAAGTGACTGCGTACATACCACTGATTTCTTTTGTTAAGAGAGCCACTGCTAAAGGAATAAAAAGTTTAACAAGAAATCCTAAGATTAAAACATGCCTTATGACCTTCACTGTCCAGAATTCTTTAAGTTATTGTTTACAAGTATTAGTCCAGTAGTAAATTCCAAAGAATGAAAAATGCAGACCTGTAATATATATGGTCCTTTCAGGAAAAGTAACGATTTGATTCCAGGAATAGATTTGATCTTTCTTTCTACCATAAATAATGGTGTTTGTAGATGATACAGAAGGATGAGTTTGATATCCAGAGCATAGGAAATGGGCAATGTAACAAAACCTCTTCAGATTCTAGTTTCACTAAGTAAGATTTTGTCAACACAAGTATATCTTACCAATGTATTGTTTTGAAGAGGGTTATTTTGGGGGTAATTATTTTCAGTTTTGCAAAAGGATGTTGGCAATATAGTTGTTAAATTTGTGCAAATAATAGGTAAAACAAAATACCACTGCAAATTATATTTTCCTGTGCCTATTAACCTGCACAGAATAAATATTTGCTAAAACATTTGTTAGATATTATATTCTATGTACCATAATAAGACATACATTATTCATGAGTATATGTGTATAGATATAGATGTAGATGTAGGCACAGTTATGGACACAGTGATGCCCAATACTTAGACCACTGTAATTATCGAGTAACAAAACAGTAAATTGTTTTTTAAACTCTTCTAAATCATTTTCATTTTCAAATGTGAGAATGGTAGGTTTTGAATGCTGATTCCCACTCTTTCTCTTAAGGTAGAGTAATATTCTTTGGACAAGAAAAACTTTGAGAAACTAGCTTTTTCCTAACCACTTAGTAGCCAGGGAAGCTTCATATGTTTTAGGAGCTTTCTATATCCTTCCTTCTCTCAAACCAATGTACAAAGAGGACAGTGCCATTCATGAGCACAGAAAATCCACCCAGCAGGACACACTAAAGTGGTTTCCTTCCTGTTACTAAAAGTTAAAAAAAAAAAATGAGCATTAACCTTCCACTAAAGGGGAGGAGGTTGGTTATTCAGTGGGGCTTAGGGTTGGGACAAAAATATTGTTCAGTGTATTACTTGATAATAAGTAACAAAAGTTTAAAAATTTAATGGTTTGTTTTCCAGATTTATGAAATATATATGAATGTCATAGTGTCTGCTAATGCCAAATGGCTTTGTCAGAATATCCCTGGTTTCAGAATGCTCCCACATTCAAATATCTTGTCTCTCTCAGCCTCTATTACTAGAATATCAGAAATGCTGTCCCATGCCCTGGTATATCTACCTCAGGAAAGCATTAGAGAAATGAGATTTTTTTTTCTGTCATGTTTTGCCTCTTCCTCCCCCCTTATAAAATATAAATATTAACAGAACAGTTAGTTTGGTATTATGGAACCCAAGGGGAAAAGACAAAGAACGTGTAATAGAATTGGTGCAAAATCCTCCTAAATATCTAGGGTAGGCCACTTGTTCATCTGGGCAACTCACACTGAGACAATAGGACTAGATAATGGGAAGGTATATTTGAAACTATTCGCAGATATAAAATTATACCTTATTTATACTTCTCATAATTTTTATTCTTACCTTCAGGCCTCAGCCATGTAGACGTGAAATCAGTATGGCAATGCACAGACAAGGAATTCAAATACTTAACCTCATCATGAAAATTAATCTGGAAAAATAAAAATAAATAATAAATCAATCTCTTACAATCTTCAAACCATCCTTGCTAAATCCTATTTTTATGCAATGCAATATAAGTACCAAATATGCTTATTCACACTGCTAAAAGCCATGGCTATCATTAGATAAGCTGGTAAACATGGGAAATCAAGGGAACTTGACAGGATAACTTTTTCTGGTGGATAGTTTTCTAATTTTATTCTAAACTACTGATATGAACTTAGGCATAAATTTTATGTAGTCTTTTTATGATTGTTCTGCCAGAAACAATCATAAATAGAGTAAATAGTGTTTACTCTTTAATACTATAATAAACCAGGAGAACATAATTACATGGAATACGTAAGTCTTCTCATCTTTTCCATTTCTGCTCAAATAGAACTATTTGCATAGTAGTCACCGTAGCAAAATTGGATTTTCATATTTAATTTTTTTTTATTTGGCCCTTATTTCTTGTTTCAAAAATTCAAGGGTGCTTGTGATTGTAAGTTGTTTCTGTTGAAAATAATTATTAAGAGGCCAAAGTGATATTCTACATCATTTTTCTTTCAGCTAATTTTCAAGAATTACTAAAATGAAACATTTTTGAAAAATCATAATATATTTATTATGGATATATTTATTTCAAAATATATATCAGAGCTGGCTTTAACCTTTGAAATGTTGCTGTCCACTTCCAAGTGCAGGTCATCTCACCTGGCTTCTTGTTTTTGTTTTTGTTGTTAAAATGTTCAACTCAGGTTCTACATGGTCAGCTATTATGAGCGGAATCACAGAATAGCAGTTGGAGCTCGCCATGGTTCAGTGGCCCTGTACGACATCCGGACTGGAAAATGTCAGGTAAATAAATCATTGTGACTTCCTCTCCATAAAGCGTGGAAGTTATTGAAAGGAGAGAGAGACTAGCACTTCACCAGTTGACGTGCTGAGCTGCTGGAACATTATGGATAATGCTAAAGGGATCAATAGTTTAATGAAGGACGCACAGAATATAGAGCCCTACTGTCTTCATTCACTGGGACTGAAGGGTTGCCACAGAAGAGTTCATAAGAGAGCCCAGAGTAAGGTGGCACTGCTAACAAACTATTTTGCAATACATATTTTCTTGTTTTAAACCGAGTTTTCTGATCTTATTTTTGCCATGTGTTTTCTGAAAAGTTTGATGATATGTTATTATGATATAATGATTGAACAAAAATTAATTTTCTCTAAGCAAAATGAGGTATTTCACAATTATAAGACAGTGATCTAGTCAGAGTTCAAAAAAGAAAAAATCACAACAGCATTTATTATAGTTCTGTGAAAAGGAAATACATGCTGTACTTGAAATACTACTTTTTAAACTTTTGTAACACTTTATGCTTTTATAACACTTCACTGTTTGTGAAAAATTATTGATTTAGTTCCTGATCTTGATCACCTGATTCTCAATATATACCAGTTGGGAAGAGAGGGCAAATCTAACCCCACTTTAGATGTAAAGGAATTGAAACATAGCCTTAAATCACTTTATCCCAGAGTCGCACTGTTACTTCACAAAATCGGGGTTAGGCTCCACCATGATCATGGTAAATTTATAATGTTGCATTGGTAAATAGTTCCAAGTCATAGCTTCTTATATTTCTTTGTAGCATTTATTAATGTGGATATATTCCATATTATCGTATTAGGAATTTCCAGAAGGATAGGAAGAAATTCATAAGGATGTAGCTAAAATGTTAAACTGTCTGTTAAATTTAATGAACTATTAATTAATTATCTAAAAGTCTGGCTTCTTTCCATGAAGTAGTTCTAAGAGATGGTAACAGGTGTTGAGGTGTTGGGGGTAAAAATTTCAGGGGTCAGACAAGTTTAGGGGATACTGTTGGAATGTTAAACAGCTTTCTTTGTTCAGACCTTCTCAAAGTCTCTAATGTGTGAATGTGCATTGTGCATTTTCTGGGCGTGCATCAAATATGCACTATTTGCCATACTTGTTTAACTGTCAAATTTTGTTTGTGATTTTTTTTAAGACATTAACTCCCCACCATATTCTTCTACTGTGGGCCCTCACTGAGAACAATGAAAACACTCTGAATACTTGTTTAAAAGTTAAATTGCATGTTATTTATAAGATCCTTTCATAAGAGAGACAGGTTCTTCAGATAGCATTTTCAGATTCTCTTTTGTTAAGACAGTTTTTAAAACTGGAGTATATTACTGCTAGTAAATTTGAGAGAAATAAACCACAAGCATCTACCAGGTAAAGAAAAAAAAAAAAGAACAAGGTGACCTTGTCAGGCTTCTTTAAAAATGAAGTGAGGAGATCACAGAGAGGACTCTTTGTTACCACATAAGACACAGCTGCCATCAGCAGAGGAAGAGTGAGGCAGTGTGAGCACTGTGAGGCGACCCCAAGATGAGTGAGAGAACAACAGCTATTAGGAAGAATTAATGAGAAAGGACAAAGTTGTACTTCAGGGTATATTTCTGTATTTTTCTTCCTACTAAGTGGTCTCAGTGAAGATCTTGGTAACATGCAAAAAAAAAAAAAAAAAAGAATATTTTTGAATATCTTATCTTTTTCAATTAAAATACTTGAGAAACACTTATCAAAAAGACATTCTTTCTTAACAAGAATATGTAATGTCATTCATATGCCATTTTATGTATATCATTTTAGTATATTTAGGCATCTTATTTTTGTTTTGTTTGTTTTTGGGATGGAGTGTCTGTCTGTTGCCCAGGCTAGAGTACAGAAGGTGTGATCTTGGCTCACTGCAACCTCTTCCTTGAGGGTTCAAGCAATTCTCAGTTCAAGTGATTCTCACTTCAGCCTCCCGAGTAGTTGGGATTACAGGCGCACACCACCACACCTGGCTAATTTTTTTGTATTTTTAGTAGAGATGGGGTCTCATCATGTTGGCCAGGCTGATCTCAAATTTGTGACCTCAAGTGATCCGCCCACCTCAGCCTCCCAAAGTGCTGGGACTACAGGCATGAGCCACTGCATCCAGCCTATTTAGACATTTTAGTGTCCCCATAATTTTTTCCTACCTCATCTTCTTGATTTTGATACCCAAAGTTACCAACCCAAATTATTGAATAACCTTTACCTTCCACTTCTGTATGAAAGGGAAGGCTGCACCTTCCTCTCATCATTCAGAACGTGAAAACAAGGCTAAATCTCTAACATCAATCATTACTTTTGTCAGTTACCAGTTATATCCAGTGACACTGAACTCTTAAGCTATTCTCTTAATTCTTTTATTTTACTAGCATTATAATATTTGGAAAAAAATGAGCCAACATTTGAAACAAGATTCATAGTATGGGTAGCATGTTTAGAAATGATGTATTATAGGTGAATCAAAGGATCATTTTGAACTAAGAATGCAATTAAGCATTTCTTAAAGAATCTGTTGGAATCAGTTAACAGAGGGTGTGGGACAATTTTTTTTAGTATGAACAAAGACACAGCGATATCACATAAAAATACATATAAAGGGATAACTAGAAAATTCACTTGGCTGTAGGGGTATGGTCCCAGTTGGATGGAAAAATAAGACATGATCACTTAGATTGGGGGAATCACACTGAAACGCAAGAAAGGATCCTGAGGCTGAGAAGAGGCCCAGTGGGATCAGAGAACCCATGACTGAGAGACTGAAGGGTCATATATGTCCCCTGTTGTCATTGTGAGATTGGTTGGTAAAAGATAAAGGAAAAATTAAATCCTTTTCCTTTACCTTTTGGTATTGACTTCTGCCTTTTTTTTTTTAATCTGTTTTTTTTTTTAGATCTGTTATTCCCAAACAGATTATGCAAAACCACAGGATAAGTATGGCATGTTGGCCTGAAATATGAATTGTCCTTATATCAAGGGGTGACAAACTATGGCCTGAAGCTAGCCTGCCACTTGTTTTAGTAAATAAAGTTTTATTCGAACACAGGCACACACATTCGTTTATATATTGTCTACTACAATGTCAGAATTGAGTAGTTGTCACTGGCAAAAACTGTTTTGTGGTCCACAAGCCTAAAATATTATCTGGCCCTTTACAGAAAGGGTTTGCTAACCCCTACCTGAAATAATTGAGGAGGAAGAGTCAACTAATTTAAAAGTGATTTAAAACATTATAGTATAATATAGAGGATAAGGATAACTAGAAATTTGTGTGGGGTTGAACTCCATCTCTATGTTAATGATTATATATATAATTATATTGATACAAGATTAATATAATTAACTTTGTATCCTTGGAATAGTTTATTAACTTCTGTAAGCTGAAGCTTCCTGATTTGTAAAATCGTAACAGAAATAATATCTATTATTGTTAGAAGTGTTAAAGAGAAATCTGTCTACTTACTTGTTAACAAACATGGTAAAGCAGACTTTATCAAAGGCAGACATGGTGGTGGGCATAGTGACCGCTACAACGGGGTCTTGCAGTGAGGGAGAGACTCCAGCTCCTACAGGGACAATTGAGGATTTATAACCAAGGAGCAGGGTGGGGTCAGTGCATGGAAAATTGCAGTTGACCCTTGAACAAGGGTTTGGACTGTGTGGGTTCACCTATACGTGGATTTTTTTCAATAAAAGTTACGTCAAGTGTGCCTTGCCTCTCCTGCCCCCTCTTACACCTCCTTCACCTCTTCTCCCTCTGCCACCCCTGAGACAGCAAGACCAACCCCTCTTCTTCATCCTCCTCCTCTGCCTATTCAACATGAAGTTGAGGAGGATGAAGGCCTTTATGATGACCCATTTCCACTTGATGAAGAGTAAATAGATTTTCTCTTCCTTATGATTTTAATATTTTCTTTTCTCTAGCTTAATTGTAAGAATATAGTATATAACACATATAACATACAAGATATGTGTCAAATGACTGGTTTGTGTCAACTTATTGGTTAAGGCTTCTAGTCTTCTAGTACTCTATAAGTAGTAGTCAAATTTGGGGAAAGTCAAAAGTTACATGTTGACTTTTAACTCTGAGGGAGTTGGCACCCCTTACCCCTGCATTCTTCAAGAGTCAACTGTACTACAAAGAAACATCAAGGATACGGGGTTTCTGGCTAAGCTGACTAGACAGGATTCTTGCTGAAGGCAGGCCAGGGGATTAAGATATTGGAGGTATGGTCAGATGCCCAGGGAGATTTCCTTCTAACTGACTTAGGATTCTTGTTCAAACTGGATTCAAGAAGGACAGAGAGGGAAGCCCAAGTTCAGGCCTAGTCAAGCAGGGAACTCAGAGGAGCCTGATGAAGGTTTTGGTCAAAGGAGAGAGTCTGTGTCAGAAGTCAAAATGGTAACTTAGGTAAAATTCTTAGCCAGCACCAGCCAAGTAGTTAGCATTCAGTAAATGTTGGCGATTATTATATTAAAATAAAATTGGAAATATATTGCATTACAATTAAATTTCATTAATTGTAGGGAATTTTATAGATGAAACTGGAGACATCTAGGCTTTTGTAGGTGCTAAGGCCAGGAGTTCAGCCTGCTCAATAGGGAGCGCTTGGGTGGAAAAGTTGAAGCAGCACTGCCTTAGGCCATGTGAAGGTTTCCTTTCTGCAGGCTGTTCTTGCCTGTGGTGGTAGCTGAGTCTCCACTGATTATGGAGATCAGAAACTTTGATGCAATTCAGTAGTTAAGGTCCTGCTGTGCTGCTGACTGTGCTTTTACTTGGGAACCGCCAGCAATTTAGGAACATACCTGACTGGAATTTTACTTAATTTTTTTTTTAAGTATCTAACTCCCTATGAAGAAGTGCTTAAATTGTGTTTGATAGGCTGTGCTCTTGCTAAGCAGATGAATTAGGGTCCCTGACTCCTTAGCGGTCCAGGCATGTGTTTGGTTAAGTCAGCAATGAAAATCTTCCCTCTATCAATATTTGCCTTTGGTTTGGCAGACTTGATATCATATCTCACTGATTTCTAATCCTTTTTGAATGCATTCTTTGTAATAACTGCTCGCTCTTTGCAAGATTCTCTTAGGCTCGTGTTAACTAGCTTTCCTCGTGAAGTTTGTACAGTCATCCTTGGGTGGAGTATCCACAGGGAATTGGCTCTAGGCCACCCTGGGATACCAAAATCCATAGATGCTCAAGTCCCTGATATAAAATGGTGAGGCATTTACATTTAACAAAAGCACCTCCTCTCATATACTTTAAATCACCTCTAGATTACTTGTAACATCTAATACTATGTAAATGTTATATAAATAGTTATACTGTATTGGTTAGGGAATAATGACCAAAAAAAAGTCTATACACATTAAATGCAGATGCAGCCATCCATTTTGCCTCCAAATATTTTCCATCAGCAGTTGATTGAATCCAAGGGTGAGAAAACCACAGACAGACTGTACTATGTCACTTGGAGGCGTCATCCACTTTGGTAGATGTAGGCATTTACTTTCTTCTCATACTTTGGTGAAGGGCTACCAAAAAAAAAAAAGCAATGATGTATAGAGAAAGAAAGTGTAGCTAAAGACTTCTCTATATCAAATTATTAAAATAACTTTACTATTGAAAAGTTTTAAGTTCCTTAAAGAACCTGTTCTTAAAGCTTCCTGTTGTCTAGTGCCTGGTATATAGTAGATGCACAATGCAATGCATGTTGTTCAACTAAAAAACTCTGAGGCTTTAGAATAAAAAAAACTTTAAAAATATAATATGACATGGTAAACCAAAACAAACTGTGCTGTAATTATATCAAATATATTAGTTTGGTTATGGTTATATTTCAGTATTTCAGAATCATGTCATCAAATTGTTGTTTCTGTGTAGAGAGAATAGGATATCTTTTCAGAAAAAGCATAGAAAAACCTTTCTTATGAGTCATAAAAGATCTATCTATATTTCTGTATTAAACCATTACAGGCCTGACATAGGCCAGATAATGAAAGAAATAAAATAGAAGCAAAGATTGATGGTATCTACAGCACTATGGCAACTGTGGTCTAACTCTAATCCCGTATAGAGCAGGAGGTAAATTCTGGAACGTTAACATGTGCCTTGTCACGCAGCCTACAGCACCCCCTCCACCCCACACCTTCTAGCTTCCACCTTTACCGAGCCACTGAAACCACACACATCCTTGGCATGGCTTAATACAACTGACTTCCCTCTCTCTCAAATTCTATCTTCCCTTAACTTCCATAGCATTGTCACCTGCCTTGGTTTGCAACTATCTCATTTACTGGATTTCCTAATCTCTTAGAGGACCTTAATGTTAATTCTTATCACTCTACTGCCCAGGATACAGATTTCTCCTTTCATCTATACTTTTTCCTGACTTTGGCTGAAAATCCACACATTATTATTGATACTGATTATTCTCTGTAAGCAGGTAAGACAAATCAGGTCTCCAGCCAGGGCCCTGCCTAAACTCCAGCTCCATGACTTTTAACAGTCTGCTAGACATTTCCATTTGGATATCTTTTGTCTCAAATTCAATGTGTCAGACAATCTCTCTAGCCCATACTTTCTACCAGCATCCTTTCTAACCTGCCTTTTCCTGTAACTGGCATAATAATATGGCACCACAAGTCATGTTGCCTCTCCTTCACCTGTCCATATCCAGTTACTAAGTTCAGTTAACTTTTCTTTAATGGTATACCTGAAATCTACCTTTTCTCTCTGCTGACAGCCTAAATTAGGCTCTTGGCCTTTCCTCAAGACCTTTGAGATTCTGGTTTTGATCATCATACATAATCTTCTCCTCCTATGAGCTGTTTCATTCAATAACCCCATTCGCTGTCATTCCCTATACTCCTTTCCCAGGTTACACAGGAAGCATTCAGAAATATCTGTTGGATGATTTGTTACAAACACAGTAAGGATTTCAGGAGATGCCTGGTTCCAGTTACATTTATCTTTATATTATATTGAAATGTCTCACCGAGTAAATACAGTTACTCTATACTAATAGGTGAAGCACTCCTGGCAAACAAAAATGCTGAAGACAGTCCACATTAAAATAATGAGTGTTGGCTCTGTGTTTGTTAATGTTTTCATTAATGCTTCTATTGAAATTAATTTTGCCTGCCCTTTGTATTACTTATACCCCTTGTAAGTTACACAGCCCTCTCAGGCTCTTTATTTGTATTCATATTTGTTGCTCAAAATAATTATCTTATTGCTGGTGTTTATAATATGCCATATTTAATATGATCTCTAAATTTAATTACTAGGCTATTTATTTCGTCTTTCTTACTAGAGAAGGCAGTGTGGTTGCGTAGTTAATAGAGTAGATTCTGAAACTGAGCTGCCTGAATTCAAGTCCTTCCTCAGCTTCTTCTTAGTTTTGTGGCTTTGAGCAAGGCACTTAAACTCCTGTACTTCTTTATTCATCTATAAAATGGACATAATAACACTTCTAGCATTGTGTTATAAATATATGTAAAATAAATATCAAAAAATGTTAGCTATCCTAATTATTATTTAACCATCGGTTTAAATAAGATTAAATCAGCTCACCCTATTCTGTTCCCTCCTGCTGCAGGATACACTACTTCATACTGGCTAGATCTGTTGAAATTGCTTTCTTAGGATTTTTTTTGGTTTGTTTTTTTTTTTGCTGTTTTTTTTTTCCCCCAGGACTATTTGAACTAGTAGTAGAATGAATACAACATTCAAGATTATACTTACTGATCTGTCCTCATTCATCTGTGCTTAATAATTGTCACTTTGTCTATCCTGATTTTTTTCCAGCACATTAATCTGTTGTCCTACTGATATTCTGTTCTTCAATATTTAAAAAAATGTATTATAAAATAAATATTGCTTTTAACATTACTGCCATATTAGGCTCCTTCTGAGTCAACTGATTAAAATTTATTTAACATACTTTTTTAGAACAGTTTTAGGTTCACAGCAAAATTCAGCAGAAGGTACAGAGATTTTCCATATACCTCTGCTCCCACGCATGCATAGCCTCACCCATGATCAGCATCCCCTGCGCGAGTGGGATATTTGTTACAACTGATGAACTTATACTGACACATTGTCACCAGGAGTACATTAGGGTTCACTCTCCGTGTTGTGCATTCTATGGGTGTGGGCAAATATATAATGACGTGTATTCACCCATTATTGTATCATCCAGTATAGTTTCACTGCCCTAGAAATCCTTATTTATATAACTTTTATGAATATTTGGTTTTTTAGGGTAAATTCTGGATGAGCACTGCTAAGTGAAAAGATTTGTGCATTTTATTATCAGAATGCTCTGATGCTGTTTCACAAATAGTTTATAAGCAACTGTGAATAATGGAAAGACTTTTGAACTGTGGGTATTCTCATAAAAAATGGAACTCCCAGCTGGGCGCAGTGGCTCGCACCAGTAATCCCAGCACTTTGGGAGGCCAAGGCAGGCGGATCACCTGAGGTCAGGAGTTCGAGACCAGCCTGGCCAATGTGGTGAAACCCCATCTCTACTAAAAATACAAAAATTAGCTGAGCATGGTGATAGGTGCCTGTAATCCCAGCTACTCAGGAGGCTGAGGCAAGAGAATCACTTGAACCTGGGAGGCGGAAGTTGCAGTTTGCAGTGAGCCGAGATCGCACCACTGCACTCCAGCCTGAGCGACAAGAGCGAAATTCTGTCTCCCAAAAAAAAAAAAAAAAAGGAACACCCCCACTATTGGCCTGTTTTGCCTCCTGTATTTGTCATCTTAGACAACAGATTGTTTCTCCATTTATTCATGATTTATTATTCATTTTGTTTATAAAACAAACTTATGATGGCTCTTATGTGCGCCAGACACTGTATTATAGGCAAGAGATCAAAAAGTAAATATGAACTGTTCCTACCCTCAGGGAACATAATTTGGTATAGAAGGCAGATATACATCCATAATTGAAGTGCCGTGCACAACCTTTCAAGGAGGGCAGCCTGGAGTGATAGGGGAGAAAGCAAGAAGAGCACTACCCCAGATTTGTTTAGGGTCTGGGGAGGATTGGTTAGGAAGGGCTTCCTGAAGGAGAGGATATCTGAACTGAGCAATTAACAATTAGGAGTTAGGCAAAGGAGGGGAAGGGCAAGGGACATTATTCCAGGCAGAAGGTATAACATATGCAAAGCCCAGAGAACCAAGAAAACACAGGGAAAGCATGCTTATCAGAAATATCAGAAATGTGTCCCCTGATGTGTGTGAACGGTCCATATTACAGCAATTTTCAAATCAGCATAATATGGGGAATTTCACAAATCTTAAGTGAGAAACAATTATTTCAATAGATAAGCAGAGACATTTCTTATCTGTGATTTATTACATGCTAAATGAGTAATATAGATGTTGTAAACAAAGTTACATAGTATTAGCAAAATATTAAATAACTGAATGCTGACATTTTCTGTTAGCTAAAATTATATTTTGGGGGAAAGGGGACTTAGCAAGGTATGAAAATGTCTTCAGTGTGTGATTTAAAGCATTTAATGAAAATGAGCCAATGTAATCTTCTATGACAGATTTAATTCTGTCAAGCACTCTAAGACACTAGATAGCAAAAGAAAGCTGATATTCAAGTCTAAACAGAAATGTCAGCAAACACACCTATATTAATGGAAGTTTGGAAAGCAATGTGTTCTTCTCTCTAAAAATAACAAAGATTTTACTTCTAGTTAGGAGGAGCAGTGGACCTTAGGGATCTTGTGGACAGTAAGATTGATGTTTGTTTGAGGCAGAATTTTGAGCTTCGGGCACAGTTTTCACTGAGCAGAAGTCTATAACGCTTATACATCAAGGGCACTTATGTGGTGATTGCAAAAATTGCAGTGAGAATTGACTACAGTACTTAGACAGTGACATTTTAGGTATTTTCTTCCTGCTCTTTTCAGCAGCTGGTTTTATGGCAGGTGTTTTCTGTGACATTCTGGAGCAACAACCAGAAATATGGCATCAGGGGTGATCATAAGATGAATGGTTGGAGAAGACAATGGCTTCCTGACACTGCATTGAAGAATTGCCTAACAAGCTACTAGTTTTAAAAGTGAAATGCTATTTAGAGAAAAACTTCTAGGTAGAGAAACAGATATCCAGAACAATGCCTGAAATTAGACCATCATTTATTCTGAAAGTTTAAAATTTTTTAAAGAATAGTTTTAACTGACCGTGTGGAGGAGTATTTCTCTGTTATTTATCCCACCACTCACAAGTACTTCTTGGTTTTTTTTTGTTTTGTTTTGTTTTTTGTGTTTTGTTTTGTTTTTAGACAAAGTCTCACTCTGTCACCCAGGCTGGAATGCAGTCGTGCAATCTCGGCTCACTGCAACCTCTGTTTCCTGGGTTCAAGGGATTCTCCTGCCTCAGCTGCCTATGTAGCTGGGATTACAGGTGTGTGCCGCCATGCCCAGCTAATTTTTCTTTGTATTTTTAGTGGAGACGGGGTTTCACCATGTTGGCCAGGCTGGTCTCAAACTCCTGACCTCAAGTGATCAAGTGATCCGCCTACCTCATCCTACCAAAGTGCTGGGATTACAGGCGCGAGCCACCGCGCCCGGCCATGGGTACTTCTTATATCTGTGTTACACTTTGAATGGCAGTATTCAAGAATTTTGCACCAAGAAAAAATAAATTATATCCTTCGTAATATCTATAATGGGATGAGACAGAGAGTTCTACTGTTTACAAACTGAGCAGTTGTTATAGGCATTTCAACATCCTTGCAAAAGCATTTGATAGGCTAAAATTTATTTTGAGTAAAAATTCACATTATTTTGTATATTTCTTAATGCCATTCTTTCCCATCTAGCCATTCTCTTTTTCTCTTCAACACTAAAAAGATAAATATAAATGCCTAATATATATACATATTGTGTGTGGGGGGGGTGTATTCCACCTATATATAGTCCACAAAATTAGGAAATACTAGATAGAAGAGTCCTAGTACATTGAATTCATTCTGGATTCACTGCCTCGTATTCTTCATATCCACTCTGAGTATATAAAGAATTTAGCACAAGGCCTGGCATCTTGATAGTTATTTGCCAAATATGACTCATGAGTATTCTAAAACATATGTAATGAGGACATGACTCTGTCATTCCTGATAGGTTGTAAAGAGTGCTGATGCTGATTTCAAGGGTTGTGTCAAGATTTGGTAGGTCCTGTCTCAAATGGAACTTCAGATAGACCTCAAGTCTAGTAGAGGAAGAGGCACATACCTGGTACCATTAAAGCTCTGGATCCAGGACCTCAGCCCCAGAAGTCGGTCACTTCATCAAAAATGTTGCTCAAGTGTAGGATCATATAAAATGATGTATGTCCTAAACCATTTCCTTTTAAGTTTTATGAAGATAGTCTTATTTCCCATCTCTTTTATGGTGGGACCAAAGACTCTTGTCTCCATTGTTGGTCCATTGTTGTAGTTCTGGAACATTTTTCTTGCTAAGACATACCATTTTCTGTTTAAGTGCACTGACAAATTAAAGATACTTATAAAGCATTCTCAGAGTATAATTCTAGATTTTTGTGTTTTTTCCCATCTTTTACAGTTATCTCACACCTAATTTCATGTGTGTACATATGTTTTTTAAAAGCCCTATTTCCACTCTTATTGTATGAATTATATATCCTATGTAACCTGACTGCATTGCCAAGCACAACTAGCATTAGCACATCTTGCCTTGTCTTGTCCTTTCCCTTTTCCTTTCCTTTTCCTTTTCCTTTTCCTTTCTTTGCTTTTCTTGCTTTTTTTTTTTTTTTTTTTGAGATGGGAGTCTCACTTTGTTGCCCAAGCTGGAGTGCAGTGGCTGTTCACAGGCATGATCATAGTGCACTACAGCCCTGAACTCCTGGACTCAAGTGATCCTCCCAAGTAGCTGGTACTACAGGTACACACTACCGTTATTCAGCTTTGGTTAACTCTAGGTCATAGAGCTTAACTAGTTAGAGCAATAGTGAGTGGAATTATCAGAGAGTAGCCTCCCGACCACGGGCATTGCTCATGTGCTAGGCACCAGTTAGGATATGTGACAGAGGGAATAGGAGTCTTGGTTAACCCCACGAGTCAGTAAAGTGAAAGTCAATTAAGAGAGATTGTGTTATCATACCTTCAGCATATGATATCTAGAAGTATTGACATGGCACTATGAAATGCAAAAGGGAACGACTACCTGGGTGGGCAAGGTATTTACAATCTGGCAGGAAAGACAAAGATGAAACAAATAAGTACAATAAAGCTTTTCAGTGCTCCAGTAGAATGTGACAGTCTGCAGAGGAGGACAGGCTGAATCCTGTGGAGGGGAGAAGAACAGGAAAAGGTTCATCAGAAGGGTGATGTTTGGACTGGGTGTGGTGGCTCACACCTGTAATCCCAGCACTTTGGGAGGCTGAGGCGGGTGGATCACGGGGTCAGGAGTTCGAGACCACCCTGGCTAACATGGTGAAACCCCGTATCTACTAAAAATACAAAAATTAGCCGGGTGTGGTGGCGGGCGTCTAATCCCAGCTACTCAGGAGGCAGAGGCAGGAGAATCGCTTGAACCTGGGAGGCAGAGGTTGTAGTGAGCTGAGATCACGCCACTGCACTCCAGCCTAGGCGACAGAGCAAGACTCCGTCTCGGGGGTAGTGGGGCAAAGGGATATTTGAGTTGATCCCTGAGTAGGTGTTCTGTGGGCAGACATGGGAGAAGAAAACTTTTCTGGGAGAGGATGAAGCATCAGCAGAAGCACAGAGAATCATTTAGCTGATGGTACATTCCAGGGACTGTAAGGTTTTTGTTTTTGTTATGCCTGAAGCAAAGGTTGCAAAGGAGTGTGAAAGTGTGATAGAGGAGGAGGTGGACAAGCCTAATGGTTAGGAGGAATGAGATTCTGGAAAGCCTCCCCTGGACAGATTGCTTTATAGTTTGGAGTGTCATGAGTCAGCAGTGACAAACACCAATGCCTGCAGAGATGAAGAAGGTGGCATAAATTAATAAAAGATCAGCCCTCTTTTTTTATGTTTTTCCATTTTTGATAGTACCATCCCAGAAATATTTTTCTTTTTAATTCTACCGTCTGTAAAACAACAGGTAAAGCCTTGAACAAAATGCCAAGTGATATTTTGCTTCAGTATTGGAATTGAGAGGAGTGGAGACTGTGGCACACCGGAGGGCACATGCTGTATGGAGAGGAATCAGATGTGCCTCAGATCCCATCACTTGGTGCCAGGTGAAAGGGTGGACCTAGTGTTGCCTGGTCTTCAGATTTTTCAAGATAAGCTGAACATCTGGATTTTTATTTTAAAATCTCCCAATTTTTAATTGTTAGTGACTGACTTCAGAAGTTGAGTGCATAAATTAATACTCTGCTGAATGCCTGGCGTTACTTTCAGAGAAACCACTTGAAGAGTTTGAAGCAGGAAAGCAACAAAATCAGACCTTCAATTTTGGAAGGTCGGTGTGCTGTCCACACCGTTGAGGTTGAATTGAAGAAGGTTTGCTCCTGGAGGCTTTGGAAATGATCCCAGCACAGTCGATCAGGGCTTCATTGACATCACTGGTGGCTGGGTGAAGAAAAAGAGTAAGAATCATGACAAATAGCAAGCAGATTTTGATCAACCTTAAAATACAGCATGTTAAATATATACATTAAGTAAAAATAGAAATTGATACTATAATGCAGAAGCAAAAGCTGTATTTTCTGAGAATAGTGAGAAAAAGGATGTGCTACAGACTGATAGGAAAGACTGACATGAGACAACGGAAAGATTTAGTTTAGGTATGGGCAGGAATTTTTAAAAGAAAAGAATTATAGAATTGTTAGAAAGATTTAATAATTAGGGCATTTCATCTGCAAAGTAATAGTCATAAAAAGGCTTTAAATTAATTTATTATTTCACACAACAAAGCATCCAGAGGTAGGTAGTATGGTGAGCAACTCAGTGGTGTTCTCAGAAACCCGAGTCTATCAGGAGACTCTGTTTTGCTTATTCGGCATCTCAGCCTCTTTGGCAGGACCACCTCAGGGTACAACATGGCTGCCACCAAGCCAGCAACCTATGCAGAGGATACCATCCTGAGGCAGAAAGGGGAACTTTAAAACAAATACACCCGTTAAGAAAACCCCTTTCTCTTGTCTTGTTGACCAAAATCATATCACTTACCCATTTAAAAACCTGTTGCTGGAATGAAAATGGAACTATCATGATTGACTGAGATTCATTCCTGAGAGAAAAGAGGGCCTCACCCTTCCCTGAGCACAAGGGGTGGGCCCAAGGAAGGCAACCAACATTTGCCTTCTCAAGAAAACTTGCTGACATCTGCCATGGAGTACTCTGAGACAAGTCAACAGGAAAATAACAGTTGATGGCAGAGGCTTTGGAATAGATCTGGGTTTGGGTAGCTGCCCTTTCACTTACTGTCCTTGAGACCCAGAACAAGTGACTTGTTCTCTTTAAAGCAGCTTCTTTGCCTGTAAAATAGGAATAATTTTAGATCCTCTTGAAGATTAATCAAGCCAATGTATGTAAGATATTTAGATTCATGACTGTTACATTTTAACTACTCAATAAATCGTGGTGGTGGGTTGATTCATAATCATCTTTAAAGGGCAGTCCAGTTAATTTGAAAGAGAATTGTTGGCTTGGTCTAAGAACAAAACGCTTGCCAATAGGAAACATGTTAAAAGTAACTAGACATTAATAGTAAAGTTACTTTAAAAGTTTCAGCTGTCCCCTTTATTCTTACTGAAACTGTGAGCTGGGATGGAAGAGTGCAGGATAAGCCTTGGAAGATTCGGCTCTGATCCATTCTGGCATCCTGAATAGAGGCCAAGGCCCGCTTCCCCATGGCTTCATTGCACTGAGAGGAAAGGCTGGCCTTGCAAACCTTAGTGTCCCACATCCCTCCCAGCTCAGCTGATCTGTGTTCCTGCTTTAGAGTGAGCTGTTAAGCAGCTTGTAGACAAAGTAGGTGCTTAGAAATAATTTGCATTCATTGCTTTGAATGTTTACTTAAGTAATTCTGCTCCTGCTTTAAAGTATCATCTTAATCTAGAATATTCATTAATGCAGAGAAAGGTATTAAAAACGTAGTTTACTTTTGAAGGAATGACAGGAGCAAGAAAACATTTATATAATGAAAACATTATATAAGAAGGGATATAAGAAAACATCTACATAAGTAAAATGCTTCTATCTCATATATACTGAGAGTGGCCCTTTATAGTAGTAAGAAAACCAGCTGCCTAAAGCCTCCTGAGTCTCTGGGTGAAAGTCCCAGCAATATGGCATTGTTACTGTGTTGCTGTAATTTATGTAAATGCGTTGTCAGAGATGAATTAAAACTTATAGTTGTAAATCTACAAGGACACAGCAGTAACTCACACAGATTTATTACTTGTAGACACGTATATAAGCCTCTGGAATTACTGCCTCTACTGTAGACAGAGGTTAAAGAAGAAGGCAACAACTTACATGCCATTATACCTATACAGCAGTTTGTCATTCATTGGTAGTGGTATGAATGCAAAATACAGGCATGTGGACTGTCCTTCACCCAATACAGCCTAATCCACAAATTTCAACAAGAATGCTAGCATCAAAGAAAGAGCATCAAATGAGGAGTCAGAAAATTTGCTTGTATACCCATTTACTAAGTTTGTTGTTTAACTTCTCTGAGCCCAAGTTTATTAGGGATAAGACAATTTTTTAAAAAACCTGTCAATGTCCCCCAATGTACTCTGCATGGCTTTTAGTGGTAACCATGCATGCATTCATTGATTTAAGAAACATTTATTGAGTGCTACTATATATCAGACACAAGACTGTATTTTTAGGCTAAAGGAAATAGTTTCGTCCAACATCCTTATTTTTGCAAAAAGAGTGTGAGAAGAGAAAGGTGAGATGCCTTCTAGAAGTAGGTATGTGAAAGGGCTTTTGAAAATTGCAAAGCCCAGTCAAGGGAAAATAATCATTAATTGTAATACAAACCCAGTATTTCCTTTATCTGATGATGTATGTGTGTTTAGTTCTCCATGGATGTTTCCATCTGTCTAGGAGTTCCTTTTATGTAAATTCACTGGGCATTGCCATTTAGCATTGTTCTTTCCAAACCAGGTGACATATCAGAATCATGTAGGAAATTTCAAAATAGACTCCTCCTTCCTCAGACGTCCTGAGGTCTTTAATTCAGAATCTTTAATGCAGGGACACAGGTATCTACGTTTCTATAGCATGCCCGCATGTAATTCTAAGGCAGGCTGGATTTGGAAACTCTGAGTTTACGGAATAAAATAACATACTGTATGAGGAACAAATAATGTGTGAATTAATATTTCAGTCCCCAAGGCCTATAAAATCAAATAATTTAAAAATAAGGAAAAATCATTTGCTTGAGATCTAGAATCACATAGGCTGAAATGGAACTTTAAGATGAGTGGAATTTGATTTTTTTATTATTATTGAAAAGGCAATGTAGCAACAGCCTTGAAGAAAGGTTTACAGGGGGAAAACCTATGATATTGCCGCAAACAATGATTTTTGCCTATATATGGGTTATTAATATGTATAAGTATAGATATTTGCAGTCTATATACTCCTATATTTGCTTTGAAATATTACCTAAAATCATAACATTTTAGTTAATAGGGTTTTAGTTATTCCTTTCTACCCATAAATTTCTCTCACTGTCCTGAGCTTAGTTAGGGCTAGGATCCCTAGATTTCTGTGTTATATTTGAGAATTTTCCTGTGACATTATGCTAAACCACCCAGCCAGAATTTTAAGTCCCTACTGTTGAAGACACATACAGCCTCCTTTTCTCTCAACCAGTGCCCTTTTTGATGTCTTTTCAGTTCTTCAAATTACAACAGGAGGGAGCCTCTATCTGATAAAATCGCTAATAGAAAATGTGCTTAAGGAAGTCACCAATATCTTGTTAACCCTTTGTAGCTTTGCTCCGAACAGGGACATTTTCTCCAATTACTCAGATCAACACAGAATTCAGGATGCCCCTATCTCTGGATCTCTGTCACAATTTGGTAGACTGTCTTCTTTTGCTGCAGTATCCATCAAATAATTTCTAAATTTAACAAATAGTATTTACCACCTACTAGCTACTAGGCTAGTGCTACACACTATTGAAGTAATATATTTCTATTTAATTATTATGAGGCATTATTACTAATGCCTCCTCTATGGAGATAATTAGAAGAACACTTTTAGCTGCCTTACTTTTCCAAGTGGTAAATCCAGTGAAATTACCAAGATATTAGCCATTTCTATACGTTGGGAAAATACTAAGCATTTAGTTTGTTACTATATCCTTCATGATATACTAAAAGTAATTATGCACCACGGTTTTATGGTAAAGCAACCAGAGACTTCCTTAACCAGCAGCCATAGCCTTTTTTCTGCCAAAGCCACAGGCCATTCTGAGCTCTCCTCTAAGTGTCCTCTACCCACAATGGCAATTACACATGCTCCAGAGCAAAAGTAGGGACTCAGGTTAGGCTCTACCAGAGAGCTCTTTTCTGGCTTTAGGTCATGATGAGACATAGAGGAGGTTCAGGTTGGTTCCTGGGTGCTCCCATTTTAGAGACTTAGATTGTTTGGGAATTCTGAGCTATCCTCTTTCCCTCAGCCATATTTTTAATACAAAGGGGCTTCTTAGAACAGCCCCTGCAGAGGGACTGTTGATCCCCATCCACAAGCTGTGGCTAGCACCCCCAGATTGCATTTGCATACCAGACGCTCTGGCAGTGGTGTGGAGCCGTGTGTAGAAGCCCAAGACATATGGAGTGTGATTTTACAAGGCTGAGCTCGTTCATCCACTCATTCATTTAACACATGTTAGTGAGTAGGTGTGTGTGCTGGGTTCTATGTCAGGCAGTGATGTAGAATGGTTAGCAAGACAGGTAGTGCTGACTACCTTCATGGAGCTTGCAGGCTAAAGGAGTTAATAAGCAAATAATTAAAGAAACACATTATTACATTTTGCGATAAATACTATGAAGAAAAGTATAAAGTGTGGTGAAAAAGTATGCAACAGGGAGAACTAAAAGGATGATGTCCAACCTTTGTAAGAAAGTGACATCTAACTCAAAGCTATGTGTAATGAGTAAGGGTTATGGAGACATCAAGTGGATGGGAGAGAAGAGCATGTGCAAAGGCCCTGAGGTGAGGAAGATCTTAGGGTCCTTGAGGAACTGAATGGAGTGAATGGGAGGAAAGGGAACCTGACACAAGACAGACAGATGGGCCACAGCCAGCTCACCAGAGGCCCTCGCCAGTCAGGATGAGGAATTTTGATATTATCCTCAGTGCAGTGAGAAATCATGAAGGGTTCTGAGCAAGTTACATTATCTGATCTACCCTTTTATAAAGATCATTTTTGCTGCTGTGTGGGGAATGGATTCAGCAAGACAAAAGTAGAAATGGGGAGACTAGTTTCAGGCTATTCCAGAAGTACTCCAGGTTAGAGATGAGAGTAGCCTTGACCGTTATGAAGACAGTGAAAATTGGGAGAAATGAACCAATTTAAGATAAAGCCTAAAGGTAAAATTGACTGAACTTGTGATGACTTTGGTATGGTAATTAAGAGAGAATGAAGTTTTGAGGATAATTCACAGTTTTTGGCATGAGGAGCTGAATAGATGGGAAACATTGGAAGAGGAGCAATTTGTGGAATAAAGAGTAGAAGAAAATTAATAGTTCAGTTTTTGATGTTAGCTCTGAGATACCTAACAAGTATTCAGCTATATACATGTGGAGATGCCAAGTATTTAGCTATATGCATGGCTCTGGAGCACAGACATGTCTGTGCTCGACATAAAAATTTAGATATCATTGGCTTGTTGATGTATTTAGAGCTATGGCAACAGATAAATGTAGAGTGAGAAGAAAATAGGGCTGGGACAAAGCCCTGAAAAACTTCAGTGTTTAGAGATAAGATGGAGAGATGCATCTGGCAACAATGGGAGAGTGGATGGTTTGAAGGCATGAGAAAAGTCAGAATGTGGTGGTGCCATAGATACTCAAAGAGGAGTGTCTCATGGAAGAAATGCTGCCAAAAGGTCAAGTAAGATAAAAATTATGAGAAGTCCATCAGATTTGGCAACAGAAGGTCACTGGTGACTTTACAAAAGCAAGCTCTGTGCAGTAGTGAGGTAAAGGCCTGGCAGCAGTGGACTAAGTAGGAAGGCAGGCCAGTTGAGACCTGCTTAGCTTGAAAAGTAAGAGAAGAGATAGAAGAGAGTTTTGCTTTTTAAGATGTCTGTTGTTACATGTGCTGTAGGATATTTCACTACTACAGGAGAACAACTGACCCATGGTTTACCAAGGTAAAACCCTCAGTGATAGGGAAGGGTTTAACAAGAGATGTGAAAGATATGATTTTGGATATGCCATGAAAAAAATACTCCGCACATTGTATACTGATCAGTGTTAACACTATTATTCTGAACCGTTTTAATATCAATTTAATGTTAACCCCCAAAATCCAAGGGGCATTAAGGTCTGTGCTGATGAAAGTAATGAAGGGACCATTGAGACAAACCTGAAATCCTAGGTTTGTGCCAAAAGCCCGTATCTGACTTTAAATAGGGCCACTTGTCCAGGGGTTTCAAGGACACACATTACTTTAAAATTTGGTGGATTTCAAAGGCACCCAGCTTCTGAATATTCTTAAAAGAAATTATGCTTACAGGATTAATGAGCATATCTGTTTTGCCAAGGAGGGAGCATTATTCGTTTCACAACAAAGGCTTCCTTTTCATATTAGCAAAGGTATCAGAATTGACTCCCACAATTGTTAGAGGCTTTTTCTTCATTTTTGGTGAGGGGTGTAGATTCAGTTTTGGAATTTTCATCAAGGAAAATTTTCGTCAAGGAAATACAAGAAGGCTCATGAGCTTGAGCTATTTTCACATGGTTTAGGCATCTCACTGAAAGAAGAGCTTCTTTTCTAATTTTTCACCTTTTTCCATGAAGCAGATAGAGAGCTGTTTACTACAGCCTTTGTCTGGGTTTGGCATTGATTTTAAATCACCTGGATTGATCATGTGGTTATGGGACTTAAAAAAATCCCACCAAATACCAAAGCCTCTAAACACAATTAGAATTGAGGGGTTTTTAATCTGCTAGCATTATGTCCATAGGAGTACATTCTAAATTATTCTTAACTTCTGCTCATGTTAGGTGAAAATAAAGCACCATGATAATGTGTAGTGTCTGAGGTTCAGCAGATGCTCTCTAAACATGTAGAAATGTTCCTAGTTTTCAAAATGAGGAAGCATCTAAAATCTATGTCTGTCTTGGAGTATTTCACTGCCTTGGCAGTTTCCTCAGCCAATAAGAGAAAAATAGGCAAATCAACCAGCTGTCATGTCACACACTCCTCAGCTGCAGGACAACAGCAGGATTTAGGCAAGCTGATCTCAACCAGATTTGACAAAGAGGTGGAAGGTCTAAAATTAAATAGGTCAACACAAATTATCTAATAATAGGTAGGTGTGAAGGGACAACAAGGGGTCCCAGAGGAGAATTGCTTTTTAAAGACTGTGTATACTCTTGCTTTTCATTTCGGACTTGTCATTGTTAGCAGCATCTGAGTCTGAACCGTCTTATTTGATAATGAAAAGGTTCCTATTTTTTACTAAATACCTTTAGATTGTTAGTAAAAGTGGCGTTTTCATGAAGTAAATATTTACAAAGCTTCAAACTACTTTAAGAAGCCACCTTTCCTATTTTCAAGGCAGTAATTTTTCTGTGGCTTGCTATAGTACTCAGTTTTGTTGTCATGGTGACTAGATAATATAACTTTTCAAAAATGGAAACCTGCTTCTAACTATATTGCACCAGCCTACCAGTCATAAATGTAGAGTCCAGAGTGGACAATTTATACTCAGTTTCTCTCCTAGTTAAAGTCTAGGTTTACTTTATAGACATCATATTTCAATAAACACACACACACACAGAGAGAGAGAGAGAGAGAGAGAGAGAAATAAACTCCCTGTCAGTTTCCTAACAGTAAAACATAACCATCAACAAAGAAATTATTTTTTGATTCATATTCTTACTAGTCAAAAAATGTGTCCCCAGAATAAGTATAATTTTGGAGCATTCTTATGGTAGCATCTTACTAAACAATATAGAACTGTTATCCTCAATAGCTGTAAATAATTGTCAGTGAAAAAGGGAAACAAGATAGTCTCTTATCACTAGAATAAACAGATAATATTCCTTTAAAATACAATTAAAATGCTATAAGGGATCAGTGATTTGTTTCCTAAATTCACTTACATGCCATTTTACACAATTGCAGTTTTTTCTTTTTTCATTTCTTTTAAATATTGTAACAATAGAAACATATTACACTTCTTCCTATGACATATTTGAGGAATGTTTACAGTTATCACAGTCTTGAGCTAGGACACGTCCTAATGCTTAAAGATACTATTTTATCCGTTTGAAAAAAAGAAGAAATTTTAATTGTGAAAAATAAGAAATAAACCTTAAAAATTTTCACTGTCCTATTTTCTTCCAGCACCTTTTCTTCATGTTTCATGAAAGATGGCTTTACATAGTAACTTAGAAATAACACCCAATGATTAACAGAATGATGGATGTGATGAATCACCTTTCTCTTGAGAAATAATAAATCAACATATTCCTACCCATAAATTTTTACTGAAATGTATGAAATATTAGCATCATATATTTAGCAAAGTGTCAGTTACAAAAACTGTTGGCAAAATGTCCTCAGAACCAATAGAATACATTTAAATGTTATGTTCCTTTTTTGGAAACAAAGTTATTCAAATATAATTCACACTTTCTAAAATGTAGCATAGTTTTAGTTCTTATTTACCCTTCTAATGATAAACATGAGCATGATCTGTTTGAGCACTAGCAATACTAGACACCAAAGTTAACAAAGTAAAATCTCCCAAACTGGAATGTTTTACTCACAAAAAAACTTGGTTAAACTTTGATTTTAATATTATAAACTAGAATACTTCATAAGACCATGTTTGCCCTTTTTTATATTTAAGTCATTATGTCTTAATCCCTATTTATGCAGCACTTTTTAAATGAAACCTTCCCCTGGGTTCATTTTTGGGCAGACTTTATATTGAATTGTGTTTGGATTTTTTGGAAGCCTCTTTGAAGGATGAATTTGTGATTGTTAGTTGCACAACCAGTTTCCTTTATTTTCATTTTGGGGGCGGTTTTCCTACAGCAGCCATAGCGTACTGTGGGAAGTGGAGCAGGGCAGTGCCCTTCCCTGGCTGTATTGATTTGCCCTTCAGCTGTGTGCAGTGCCGAGAGAACCTCGGGCCTTGTTGTTGATTATCTACACAATGTCTCTGGGAGCATTATTGACCCATTGCTGCCGACTGCCTGTGGCTCTTGATTTTTCACACCATCTCCATGACACTCATAATAAAACATACTATCTTATTGCTACTCAGCTCTGGGAGCCAACTGATTCAGCCTTAGAACACCACAGTGTTTCTGGAGAACATTTATTGTATGTGGGGTAAAGTGTTGCAGCAATTTTAGGATTCTGTCCTGTGTACTTTTAATAGCTACTTCTATAGCAAGATTCCACACACTGCTAAATTTTTATTGTCTTAAAAAAGCCAGTGCTAGCTTTGCATATATTGTCAACATGAAATTTAGCATGATTAATATAAATATTATACTTTTAAAATAATAGGCTAAGGAAAAGAATATTTTGCATTAACATTAGGCTTGACATGTTGCTATAACATGTATTTTCAAAACCAAATTTTAAAATATATCACAAGGATTATGCTATGATTTGTTACTGTGGTATATATTTGTTATAGTGAATGGGGAGGAGGTGGGGGAAGTTGAAGTTTCTGATTGTATTTGATTAGTATGTTTCTAATTTGCCATTCTCAAAATGTCTTCCAAGATACATTTTAACTTCTCTATATCAAGTACACAAAATCAAGTAAAATCTTTCCTCTTAGTTACCTTGAAATATTTTTTTAATTGAAGCTTTAATCAGTGGAAAATGGGTCTCCTTGAGCATGTATTTTTGTTTTATATTGTTTTATATTGGAGGTTTTATATATTTTATTAATTTTTAATTATTTCTGATATATTTCCTAATCCACAATTAGCATTAACAGGTATTGTACACTAAGTATTGATGGAAATTATAGCATGTCAAAAGGAGCTCAGAGATCCTAAGAAACAGGCTTTTTCTGTTGGTAGAGTGAATAAAATGTACATGTTTCTTAAAGAGAGTTTAAATATTTTCATGTATATTAACTGCTGTTACTATAGGAAAGGCAATATAGCTCAAAAAGGGGCAATTACTCTAAATTTGTGTTGGACATTTTTATAGGAAAGATAGGTCACAAATTAGGTTAATATAATTGGTTGCTTTTTACTGAAGTTGTTTAGAGTGTTTTCATTAGAACAAAATTTTCTTTAACAAACCTACTTTAAATAAATTCAGACTTTGGAAATTATAATAGAGCTAATTTCAGCTTCTTTGTGTGTGTGTGTGTGTGTGTGTGTGTGTGTGTGTGTGTGTGTGTGTGTGTATACATATTCAACTTCATGATTTCCCTGAACTAGGGTCTGTTTCCAAAACATCTACTGTAATACTGATAGCGATATGTTCAATGATTAGTAGCTCACCACTTTAAGATGTTTAAAATTTTGACCATTTATATCAGTGAATTTTGCAATTTAAGAAAAGGATCTTGCTTTTAAACTGTGGTATTATCAAACTACCAACACTTTGACATTTTGAAATGATAATTCCTTTGTTCTGGTTTATGGATTTAGTTTTCATGTTTTATCATACTTTGATAGGTTTTATGTTTGAAGGATACATAGTTTTCTAAATGTATGCTTTTAAAAATGTCAAACCACTATAAAATAAGGATTTTTAAATTAAAGCTTTCAGAAGTGTGGCTTCAGAGGGTGGGGTGGTATATAGTATAGCCTTAGTGGGCTGCCTCTGGATGACAGATCTGTACAGAACCCCAGACAACAAAGTTGTCCCTAATTTTAATCTAGCTGCTTCTCAGCTGATTTACTTTCAGTTTATGTCCACTTGATGTAAACAGAACCCAATGACGGGGGAAAATAAAAAAAAAATAAAAATAAAAGGCATTCCACTTCTCATCCCTCCAAATTAGTGTTGTTCTATTGAATTAAAAAATTGAATCTCCTCATCATTTTTCATGCCAAATTCATGACATTTTAGGACACAGGATGAGAGTAGATGCCATTAAACCCTGTAAGTCTCAAGCAGAGGCCTTTTTTAAAATCAAGGTCCATAGGCTTAGGCAACAGTTCAGTAACCTTTGGGAAAACCACAGGGTGTGTTTTACCTATTGTTATGCAAACATTGTTCTTCCAGAGCTGACCTTTACTCACAGGGATTTAACAGCCATAGTAAGTCAGGGTTTGAATTCCCTGTGTCTGAGTTGCGGATCAAGTTTACAATAACCATGTTCACAATTGTTTTGAGCGCTTCCACCTGATGGTTTTTGATAGCATGAGGTTTGTGTTCCACTTAAGCCTAAGTATTTCAGTGTGTCTTTGGACATTCAGAACCACTTGAAAGTGTACACAAGGATTCCTCTAACTGAGACATAATCATCAGGTATTGCAAAGGTTAAGCCTTATCATCTGTACCAAAAAAAAAAAAAAAAAAAAAAAAAAGGTGAGGTTTCATCAAAAACTTCCATCCTCACAACCTTTCGACCACAATTTGATGATGATTATTGATTATCTCACAGCCTTTCACTCACGCTCTGCCACCGCGGCCAGCCCTGATATACAGATAGGGCTGCAGTCCAGCTAAAATAAGACTCCATCTTGATAATGGACTGAGATGAGGATACTGTTATTTGATAAAGATAATTGATGTTTCACAGTGAATTGGAAAGCAGCTTCAAGTGCACCATATCTGAAGCTATATTTTGTCCACAAATATGGCAGTTGTTTATAAAAATAGAACAAAAGAACTAAAGTTACGTATTTGGGCATAACCTTTTAAAGCATTTTGGTGCTATGATTTTTTTTCTTTTGTGCTTGATTATTTTAAGGTGTAATAGAGAAAAAAATAGTAAAGAGTATATCACGTTATTTTTTGTCTCTGGTTTCAGGTTACTTTGTTAAAATCGTACATGGTGTAGGTGTTATTGATCAGTTCCCTTGCAGACTTAATACTTAAATCCTATGCTTGGATTATGATGAATCACTGTCATGCATAAGCTGGATATCTTAGGTCAAAGTTAAATTTCATGTTATCATTAATTTCTTGAACATTTTACATACTGTGTGAAAACACAATTTAAATTATTAATCATAAATATCATGTCTCCTGGAAAATGTAATTCAAATAATCTGGGAATGCAGACTGGGTTTCTCCTCATTTATTATTAACAAATTTCTCTAAAAATAACATGTAACTCATTGTGTCTGTTCATCACGCCTCCTTCAGCCACCAGATTTAAGTTGATTAAGGTATCATTCATCTTAGGTACTGTTCATCCGATTTCTTTTAGTCTTATCACCTTCGTAACCCCTAATTAAGCAATAAGGCTTGACAGGGAGTATGGTTATCATGAGATAATGACACCCCAAGTGTGTTGTGAGGCATAAGGTTCAGCTGAGTGCTTCTAAACCTCTAGGGGTGTGATTATCTCATGATAAACATACCACATTGCTGCTCATTGATATCATTGCTGCCTGTGTGCAGCACTCCAGTTGAGGCAAAATTGACATTTCCTTGCCCACCTTCTCAGCCAATCCAAATTGGTGCTTCTATAAAATTGTTAGTTCAGGTCTCAGATTTATAAGCCAAAGTTTAAACCCATAAGCTTTTATTTTATTGTTTAAGTGGTATCAGTTGAACATGCAAGTACATCTTTGAAAAAAATATAAATTTATTTTTTAAAGGTAAGTTTCCTCAGAAGAAAGACCTCATGGAAGGCAAGTGTGTGTGTGTGTGTGTGTGTGTGTGTGTGTGTGTGTGTGTGTGTATAGAGTCGTCGCAATTTTGCAGCAGTTAATAGACCCTACTCCAATAAAAAAAATTGGGCATTCTTATAAATTCAGAAGAAGCATGGTTGTGCTTTAATTCAAAAAAAGTTATTAAATAGTTGGAAGTTCTATAGGGAATATTAATTGGATGTTTGGTTTAGGAAATTCTTTTTAACTTATTTGCAATTATCACAGTTAATAATAGACCAAGGGAGAGGGGGATGGAGAAAAATGTTAGTTTTGTAGCCTTGTTTTTGTTCCGGTTTCTTGTAAATTGATTATATTTCAGGGAAGAATAATTTATGTTTTTTTATATTGGCTCTGATTTGGTATTTAACAGAAAAAAATTGAATTATCTACAGTAATTTTGGTTTGACTCTTAAAGGAGAAAAAGATGCCACCTTTTAGATATAACTCTCAGGAGTATATGTGTGTATGGTTTTTTGAAAAAAAAAAAAAATGGTGAGAATACCATGGCTAATTTTATAATGTTTTCAGCATGAATTTAACTGTGTCTTCTAAAGCAACATTATTCATTAGGACTTTCTGTGATGATAAAAATATTCTGTGTCTGTACTCTCCAGTGTGATAGCCATTAGCCATATGTGGCTAATAAGACTGAGGAGTTGAGTTCTTTGTTTTACTTAGATGTCATATTCTAAAGAAAATCCTTGAAAGTTAATTTTTCTCAAGCTCCTCACAAAATTTCCAATAAATGAATTATCTTATGGCTTTAAAAAATGATATTTTTTCCAAGTAATTAGTTTCTTTGATGGTCTTTTTTATCTTTTGATGTTCAAATAAGAACTGGAAGAGTCTGTTCATTTTATAGAGATTTAAAATTCTTCTTAGTACAACTTCTACTCTAATTTGTATGCAATTTTCAGAAGGTCTTGTCAAGTAGTTAGGCATTTAATGCATGCTGAAACTATTAATCTACTTATGAAATTAAAATAATAACTTCCCTGGCGAAGTGAAAGACTTTTTTAGGAAGAATTTCTATCAACCAAAAATGCCAGGACTTTTGGTGCTTATTTTTTAAATAACTTATGATACTTGATTATACCTGTAATTTTATTTGTCTCAATAGAGTATTTTTTTCTTAATAAGAATTATAAGTTTCCAAGCTTACCTTTATTCCCGTAGGTACAGTTCCTACATTGAAAATGTCCAGAATATTATTTAAACCTTGACTGCTCTCTCGATGGCACCCAGCCTTCATCACTTACATGGCTGAGTTTGTTCATTCTTAAAACAGTCTTTGGATTTTAAACTAAAATATTTATCAAACCCAAGTCTATAGTAAGTGTCCACTAAATGAGCAAACAGGACCATGTAAAACTAATGTCTTTCTTTAAGTGGAAAGTTAACACTTCTTAAAGCATAAGCTGACTCCTTACTATTCCTATTTTTTAATTAATTTTGGTTTTTAAAAAGATTAGGCCATCCTAAGCAGAAAACTATAAACAAAATTGCTGGTATATAAAAGCATAGAATTTGGAATTAAATCCAGGAAACCAAAGGGCACAGAGCTGAAGACCCAAGAATTCTCCTTTCATTGCGTGAACTGCATTGCCATTCATGGCAGGTAAAACTGTCTGAAACAAAGACCTGAAGTCCTTAGGTGAGTGGCAGTAGAAGCTGCTGCCAGTGTTGCCTAGCAGGAAAGGAACTTGGAGCAATCAGGGAATCAGAGGTGCTGTGGACCAAAAGCCCATATGGGAATCCTTGTGCTTCTCCAGAGCCTAGTGAGAGCCACCTCACTCCACCTTTACGTTTCATTTTAAACTTCTTTTTCACAATAGTAGGAAGTTACATTAAAAACAAACATCCTATAGATGAGAACATATGATTTCTAAGGTTTTCTTTCAAACAATATGAGAGGGGGAAAAAGAAGATGAACCTGGATGAAGCAAAATTATGCTAAAGCTGGGCAAAGGGTACACAGAGGTTCATTATAGGTACTATTCTGTCTGCTGTTGTACACTTGGAAAAGTTTCCATCATGATTTTAAAATGCAAATATTATAAAGGCTGAGTTGATGTAAATGTTTATATTACTAATAATACTTAGGAGGTAAGCTTTACTTATATATACCATAGTTATTCTGTCTTACCCTCCTACCTATTGCTCCAGCTTTTTCTCACCAGGCTCTCCCCTGCAGCCTCTGTGCTCAGGCTACACCAGCTGACTTTTTGTTGTTGTTATTTCAATCTCAGCTTTTCTCTCTCACCCCAGGACCTTTGCATATGCCATTTCCCCATTCCGGGTTCTCTTCTTTCCTCACTTATTCCTAAACCCAACAACTACTTACTACCTCACTAGTACACCAAATTGTATTGTTAGGTACTAGACTGATTCTCATTCCATTCAGTTCCCATTCAGGTTGGGTTGCTCACTGCCTGTTCTCCTGTGATGAAAGTCAGGGCATGTGCCTTTCTCAGCTTTGGACACAACTTATGAAGATAGCACCACCTCTTACTAGCTACCGTACACCTTCTCCTCATTTTTTTTTTTTTTTTTTTTTGAGACGGAGTCTCGCTCTGTCGCCCAGGCTGGAGTGAAGTGGCACGATCGCGGCTCACCGCAAGCTCCGCCTCCTGGGTTCATGCCATTCTCCTGCCTCAGCCTCCCGAGTAGCTGGGACTACAGGCGTCCGTCACCACTCCCGGCTGATTTTTTGTATTTTTGGTAGAGACGGGTTTCACCGTGTTAGCCAGGATGGTCTCGATCTTCTGACCTCGTGATCCGCCTGCCTTGGCCTCCCAAAGTGCTAGGATTACAGGCATGAGCCACCATGCCCGGCCTCATTTTTTAAATATTGGAGAAACTGGCCAAATGAGAGTTGGAGTAATCCTGAAGGAGGCAAGGGACCATGAGACTAGAGATTGCCTAACCCTGTTGGGGGGAAAAAAGAACTCTAAAAATTTTAGACATTATGTGGACCAAACAAAACAGGTTTATGGACAACACTGAGCCTGTGGGCAGTCCATAGCTATGGATTTGGAAGTGTGAGTGATTATAGAGTAAGAAAGAAAAAGGAATCTGTCTTTGTTGAACTCTCCATAACTGATACCTTTATTTGAAATGTGGCTTATTGGCAACAGCCCAAGATATTATTTAAATTGTGAATACTAATACCCTGCTTTAAAATGTGATCCCAGCGATCTCTAAGAACAAACTGTTAATGGAGAGAGATGATCTGTATCTGTCAGTTCAGTTTCCCATTATGAGTTCATGTGTAATTTAATAAAATGTTCAGACTATTCATGGCTTTCAAAATATATTATTTTTGTTACAAATGTATTTTGCCTGATTTTTAATATTCTCCATTTCTTCTTCTAATTAATCATATTAATCAATTAAAATAGAAAACGAGTCCTGCTCAGTGTAAAATAACCTCAAGCCCATGCTGTTTAATTTTATAAAGTACTCATAATGAAAAAGAATAATTTAGCTAATCAAATAACAACTTCCTTTTTCCTTACCTATCTTAAGACAACTGATCTTCTGTAATCACTCCTTCAGCCTAAGAATCTATTCCGAGCTAGACCTATCAGTAGCAAAATGCATTAATATGAATGCTTTAGAGCTGGAAAGCTGAGAGTGCCTGCCTTCTTTATGTAACTAGCGATAGAACAGAGCAACTTGTCACTTGGTGAATTTAAATGTCTATGGGAAGAAACTATGGAATATCTTTATGATGATGAAATTATCTATGTGGAATGTTTCTTAACAAACTTGGTTATCTCAAAAATGATAGGACCAGTATCAAGGCAAATATGGGATAGTGTGGAGACTGCATACAGAGATTATTCCCAAAGGAGTGAACTTTCTTAAGCTAATTTTAAAATTAATATTAAAGCTTGAATTTTGGCCAAAAGTAGAAATTAACATATTTTTAACAAAACTCTGAAAAGGTCTATGTCTTAATTAGGAGTATGAATTGGAAGTTAACATTAGGGCCACACGGAACATATAACGGTAATGGAGAACTATTCCAGGTAAAAGATAGTAATTATTTTGAAAAATGATGTAATGCAAACCTAGTCAAATGAAGGTATGATGAACCAGACATTTTCTGGCGCATTGTCTTCCTCAGTCTTGTCCTGTGACTTCTCTAAGCCAATCCAATCAATTCCCAAATATTTCACTGAACTAGAAGTTCAGGGATACGATAGTTAAAAGAACCTACAGCATGCATTTGGTAAGTTTCTCATGAAGAGACATGTCCCAGGTCTGGATAGTTGTTTGTCCTCATTTGGGGCTTGAATGAGAGCAGTAGGTAAACCATACTGATGTTTTGATAGATAATGATCCTTGCTGATTCAAACTACAAGCTGACTCACTGCTGTAATAACCTAACATTTTCTGAAATTCTACACCTCCCAAACTCAAACCCAAAGCTCTATTGCTGGTAATTGACTATATATTATATCTGTTTTTACATATGTGACAAATAGTTTAGATGAAATGGAGTAATTTGAGGGAAGAAACAAGGTACTTAGTAGATGAATAAATTGGTCTCCTTAGAAGGAAAGTTTAAAAGCTGGTTATTTTGGAAATACTCAGATTGTTTAAATATGCATCTATGAACTTAAGAAATTCTTATAGCAAGAATTTGGAATTGAGAAAATAATTTTTCTCGAGTTTCTACCTAATACTTAGCTCTTATCAAAAAACAATTTGGCATATGGATGCCAAGGTTGACATAGTAATCAATTTAATTTTTTTCTTTTATTTTCTTTTGGAATGATGCCATCTGCTATAATGAGATGAGGCTGCCTGGAAAAATTGTAAAGTTGCTGACCACTCTTGAAGCCACATCATCCAGTACTGTGATTTTAAATTTTTATTATCGTAAAAAGTGTGACGTCGTGTCTAGGGTAAAGGCTCTTAAAAAATTGAATTTGTATCAAAAGAAATGCAGAAATGTATCTAATTTCCCTCCATCTCCCAGGATAGGCCTTTTCAGCTTTTAACTCTGTAAATGCTCCATTTTAAGTGTGTTAGCAAAGCATTTTTGTTCAGGCTGTCAAAAGGAGCTTTTGTCTAGGGAAGATGGTGGGATGCGGGAGGGAGATGAGTGTGTGTTTTTCCTGTTCATCCGAATTTATAGGAAACCCCTTCACAGGAATGATATTTTCCTGTAAAGTGATCAGTCATCTCAGAGGATAATCTTCGGATTACTGGATACATATTTGGCAGAAATCAAACAGATAAATTGTTGCCAGTCAATTGTAGGCAGGTGCCTGGGGAGACATAGTGTTCCTCACTAGTATACCGCTTACTTTATATTGTCGTTGATTTGAATGGAACAAGTGTCATCGCTCATCTGTTACTCTTTATTTATTTTTTTCATCCATTACTTTTTTTTTCTTTTTTTTTTTTTTTCTTCTTGAGACAGGGTCTCACTGTGTCACCCAGTCTAGAGGGCAGTGTCACCATCTTGGCTCATTGCAGCCTCGACCTCCTGGGCTCAAGCAATCCTCCCACCTCAGCCCCACAAGTAGCTAGGACTACAGGCATACGCCACCACGCCTGGCTAATTTTTTTGTATTCTTTCTGTAGAGATGGG
Organism: Homo sapiens; assembly: GCF_000001405.40. Classification (NCBI taxonomy): domain Eukaryota; kingdom Metazoa; phylum Chordata; class Mammalia; order Primates; family Hominidae; genus Homo; species Homo sapiens. The sequence continues at coordinate 56,994,216 of NC_000018.10, forward strand.
GTTTCTCCATGTTGGCCAGGCTAGTCTCGAACTCCTGAGCTCAAGCGATTTGCCTGCCTCAGCCTCCCAAAGTGCTAGGATTACAGGCTTGAGCCACTGCACCAGCCCATTCATTACTATTTAAAGGGGCATTTTCATTGTATTCTGTGTGTGTTATGTATGTTCTGTTGAAGTAAGTGAAAATCCTTGGAAACATGTGAGTTTTGTTATGCTTGTAGCATTTCTGAGTTACTTGTTCAATGATTCTGTTAAATTTTTACCATTAAATGTGCTCTCTCATCTTTTTAAAAAAAAGAGTTTGTTCACATAAGTCCTGGGAATTTTTTCTTTTTGTGTGTTTTCTCTCCTAAAGTTTTCCCTGAAAAATTTAATTGCAAACTCTTATGATGTTGGCTGAATATGTTTACTTTTGCAAGGGCATAATTGAATAGGTTCTGTGCTTTTAAAATAAGTAGCAAGATTTTCAGCATCCTATCTTGGTAAACCATCTATCCATGAACTATACCCTGTAGTGATCATTATGGGAAGAAAAATCCCATTGCATGCTACTCTAGCACACATTCAGTCTTTCAAACCCACTAATAGCATAGCTTCTCTTCATTCTAGCATCCAGAGTTCTAGGCTTCAAGATTTTAACAGAGGATTTTACAAACTCACCAGAGGCTAGACAGTGTTAAATTTCTAGTAATTTATTAATTCTTTCAACAAAAATTTCAGGAACCAGTGGTGCATTTCTCACGTGAATTAAATTATCAAATTTAGAATCTAAGTTGCTAAAACAATTTAGTTTTTTTAGTTGCTCTTCGTATTTGTTGTGTTGAAATAATTTAAGCTAGAATATGAGAGAAAAAAAACTTCCTTTTGAAACTCAGACTTCTATATTTTCTGAGTCTGGTATAAAGCTAAGGATATTAAATTCTGAAAGGGGTTACTGGTGTGCTTAGTAACTGCCTATAGTTATAGGATAAATTAAGATAGAGGAGGACATTGAGAAACCTTTTGGTAAAATCCTGCCTATTTCCTCAGAAACACACATTTTACCTGAATTCATAGGATGGGTTCCTCTTCAAAATGCTTATTCCCTGATATTCCATGGCAGAAACAAGTTTTTAAGGGTATGAAATATGTGGTTTCATTTAAGCATGGTATAAATGATTGTAGAATGTGTAGCATCTATTAGGGTTGGGGAAGGATCTGATTGATAGTCAGAATTGCATACTACTGAAAGTAGATCTACATGTACTAAGAAGTATGTTCCGTACATCACTCATTCTGTATTCAGTAAACACTGCTGAGATTATTTGACATCACAGTTTTTTTCTAAGTCATGTTCATAATCGCCTATTTTTGAACTTTTCCTAGTTCTAACTAAATTCGTAGATTTGCTTTTCTTTCATCCTCCACCTCCAGTCATTCATCCCAAATTTCTAAAATTTAGTCCTTTATACCACAAAACATTACAAAGTTATTTTCACTTGAGATTTCATGAGAACTACTAGAACCCACAGGGATCCTCCCTGTTTCTGATGTTCCTCTGACCTCTGCCTCCTGTCTGTGTGTACTACATCCCCAGACTGAGTCCCAGCGTCAGCTCTCTGAGCTTGGTGTGATGTGTGCATGTCCGTGGGTTCCTTTCCCAAGGCATTGTCATGGAGATAGAATGGGGTCTGCAGGTGAAGAGCTATTTTGTCCATTGTGCTATACATATAGAAGCTGGGCTCCACAGAGCAGGTGGTTGGAATTAATGCACATTTGGTACCTGGGCCACTTGTTTTTTTTCAGGCGTAATGATTCCAAAGGTCAGAATAGAGCAATAATTTGAGATGTGCCAAAGGGATATGGAGCATCAGCATGTCCCACTTTTTAAAGTGAGTTTAGAAGTATTTAATAAGGAGCTGACTGTGATCTCTTCTTACCCTGATTAATTTACACATGAATTAAAAATTTCCTGTAATATAAATTGATTGAGAATCTGTTTCTGCTCCTAAATTGTTCATCAAGCATCTACTGTCTGTGTGAGAGCTGGTAACTGCTTCTTTTTTTCTTTTTTCTTTTTTAGGTGAACCTAATTAAAAGGAAAGATTAGATTCTATATAAAGCATGCTCTTTTGTGCATATAATTATAGAGAGAAGAAATAAGGGATTCATCTAATAGATTCTGGGGCTTTGAAAGAGACTTTTGCATAGTTCATACATCATAGAAAGCATTTAGAAATTACATTTTCAGAAAGATAAAACAGTATTACGACCAAATTTATCAGAGAGATTACATTTCTTAATTTGGAAATGTAAAATTTTTAGTAGTTTTGACAAATGGTTGTAACCAAAAGGTTATCAGCTAGGATAGAAATAAAATTAGGCTGCTGGTAGATTAGGAAATCATGTAGAATTAGACGATGTCTGGTAAAAATTTTGTTTTCCTTTCAACTTTGAGGCAGTTAGTCTAATAGAACCCTCAGTGGAGTTAGAAGTGCCCAGAATTATTAGGAAGTGGGCAGGGGAGGCTGCCTCATTACTTCCTTCAGCTTTCAATCAGTACAAAATGGAGCTTAAAATCAGGCTTTCAGCAGACAGCAGGATGTTCCATATCTACCTATCCACAAATATTCCTCATTATTTTTAGCCTGTAACTGTCATATAGCACTTAAACTTATTTTTAAATGCTTTGCTAATGTTTCACTTGAGTAGAAAAACGCACATGATATTCTATAAAATTTACCTGCAAATATACTAAGAAGAAGAAAAAAAAACTGGATCTTTTCTAAGCTTAATACAAAAGGAGTAACAAAGAATAACATATCTTAACCAGAAACAGTATCATATGAATTTACTGTTAGTGAAAATTATGGAATTTAAATACTTAATTTTCTGAGCATCTTAGAGTATGACTTGCATTGAGACCTTAAAAAATCAAATTTAAAACAAACCTGGATAAACAATGAATTGTTCAGAGGAAAGGAAGCAATTACTTTTCAGAAACAACATATTCTTCTCCATGCTCCCTGGCAGAGTGTTTTCAACTATGATTTGATCAATAATCTCACAGTAGTGGCAGATATAGAAAAAAATAAATGTTTATCACACTTGTAAACATCTCAGGCAAAGCCACAGTGTTTGCTGAGAAGACAACGTTCATTCTTGAATTTCCCCATGGGTCAGATCTGGGGGGCATTTACTATTTGACTTGTAAGGTTGGGTATTAATGACTCAAACCAGAAGTTAATGCATTATTGTAAATATTATGTGGGTGGGTTGTTGCCTGACAAAGTGAAATACAGAGTTATGCTGAATTATCCAAAGGGTGCTTATCTCTATTTGGACCAATAACGAAGACCTTGTCAACCAAAGGAGGTAGGGAAAAGTTGTTTATTTAGGGCTTCTTAAAAACAAACAGATATAACCTACAGCTTTTTTTAAAGCCTTTGAAAATTATTCACTCCTTGTAAAAAATATATTTTAATTCATCTTGGGATTTTTTTTGGCACTTGGATTGATCTCTAGATTCCATCTTTTTCAGAAGAAAGATGAATAAATTACTTAGAGTATAAACAGATGAGCAAATAGCGGCCTATAACAGTGGGATGTAAAATGTATATAGCAAGAGCTAAAAGTGTTGGAGAAGGTAATCAGCCTTTCTCCTTTGCAGTTTTTTAAATTCAATTATATGTCTCCTGATTAAATCATAAACGTGTATGTGTCTGTGTTATAAAACTTTCCTTCCTCCTGGATCTGATATTAGATAAGCCATTTTTCTTGATCATCTTTCCAGGAAGGATGAAGAGCAGCGGAGAAGCCACACTTCTTATCATGTATGGCTTTCTTTATGTTCTGTGCAAAACAAAGCAAAGGAGTGAAGACAAATCAGGTGTATATTTGGACATCATGGGGCTTCTAAAACCTGGGAGGAGAGTGCTGAGGTCATTTTTCAAAAGTTTGATATCAAAAAGCCCCAAGGTATAAGCAGTGAAGACTTAGGTATCCGTAATTTTTGTGCCTGTGTTACTCTCTCAGACCCATGAGAGATTGGGTTTAAACTCGGGTCTCTTGGGAGCTGTGCTCGTTCCCCAGGATTTTCACTGGGCATCACAGCAGCAAAGGTCAACTGCTGCCATCTCTCTGCACATATATTTGACTCTGCAATTGTAGGCATAATGCAGGTATTTTATGGGTTCTATTTGATAACATTGGGCCAAAGTAGACCTTCCTAAAACATGGGAGTCGGGGCATACTTCGTGGGACATAATGATCTGCAGGGAAAGAGTTAAACTCTATCAGCAGACTTGAAAACAGTGGTCTTAGTAGCTTTGAATTAATCGTTTAACTTCTGTACTTCTTTACTCTGCTGTTTGCTTTTATAGCACATCCCACATAGAATTCTATTAAGGAATATGAGCTGAAGCTAGAAGGTCCACTTCAATGAGTTTGCCATCAAATGATACAATAACTGTTAAAATCTTTGTAAAATGTCATTATACAAAAGCAAGTCACTAAAAATTAAATGTACTAAATTGTGTACATAGAATGTCATCTTTCTTACCCAAGGAATAGTCTTTTTTTGTGGGTCTGAATGTGATTTAAGTGGCTATTTATATAAGAGAAATAAGTGATTATTCTACTTATAAAATGAGAGCATATATTTTAAAAATTTAAAAATACTGAATACTTAAGAAATGGCAGGCCTTATTCTTGATTGTCCCAAGTTCTTGATGGTACATCGTAGCGCTTAATAGCTGAAGAAAACAAGCTTTTAGCAACAGTTTTTCCAACTACTAGTATGAATAATGTGTCATATATAAGGTATTATTTCCAATTTCCAATGTCTGGGGATGTCCTGCAGGAAGAAGTCAGAGTTATGAAAATATTTATGGAATCTTATATTCGCAAATATAGTGTGAAGAAGTTTACAGAGGCTGTCAGTGAAATGAAATCCTCACAGTATAACCTTTTAGTTTGATGTGAGGCTGCATGGCAAACAATAACAGAGTTCTAAGTCTTTTCATATTCTACAAAATCCATCTGGTTTCTTTGTACTGTGTGTGTTAGAAGAAGCCTGGTGAAGAATTTAGGGTTTGGGGGAATGTTTTTGAATACAGAAATATAGAAAAGTTAAATTTGTTAGATGGGTGGAGATATTAGAGATAAATATTTTAGGAATAAGTAAATATTAGGAAATATATATGAAGTAGTGATAATGGTTTATGTATTAAACTTCAGTTGAACAGAAAGAGAAATCCATAGAACTCTTTTAAACCACTTATTCTGAGGTGACTAAAATAATAGGAAAGAGAAGTAAAAAATTATTTTTAATCTTTCTCCATGATGTCAGCCCCTATATTAGTCTGGGCTATCTAAGTCCTTGAAAAATCTCTAGAAAAAAGGGTGGTGGGCACTTATCAAGGAAAGATGTTCTTTGTGTTGACAGCTGAGAAAAGGTAGAGATATATTATAGTAGAGAAAACAACTAAGGAAAAATAACAGAAACTAATGCAAATTTAATGCTCTTACACTATCATCTTATACAATAAATCCAACAATACCAAGGAGACAGGAGGAAGGATGGCAAGAAAAGTAGAAAACTGCGGAGAACCTTGTAGCTGGGGCAGAAATAGGACTGCTAGAAAACCCCCCTAGAGAACGGACCACCCAAGGCCTTGTCAAGATAGTTCTCTGAACAGAAGGGATCTCCCATCTTTTGACCGCTATGAGCTTCTCCTGTCAACAAAATTCCCTCCACTTCAGTTGCATTTGAGGCAGAATTCTCTGTGACAAATTCCTATCCTCTGGACCTGGAACAGTGCTGCAGCTGGCCAGCGTACCACAATTTCCTCAGCTGGGAGCAGACTGGGCATGAAGAATTGGAAGTATCCAAATATTTTTAGTCATAGAATAAGAGCTCTAGTATGGAAACATTCAGGGAGAATGTCAGTAAACCAAAATCCTGACAGTATAATCCTTCCCTTTATGAAGTAGTTTAAAAGAGATTTATTAGTATTTGTATTTAATTAACTAAAATCACATTTATACTTTTAAAAGCCTGTTATAAACCAGAAGTAATTCAGTGGCCAAGAAGAAGAGAAGGCTTAATGAATCGTATTCTTGCTGATTTCCACTGATCCTGTATTATTTAATTTCCTGTTTTTCTTAATAAAAAAGGTGTCAATTAAGCACGATATAAAAATATTGATTTTTTTCTGCCTTCATTGAATATTATTTTTGTTTCCTGTGCCCCTTTGTTGGGTTATTTTAGCTATATGTACCATATTCTGTAAAAAGATTTATTTTTTCTAATGGGCCATAATCATTTTGTTTTTTAGTGGTTTTGTAATCTATTTTTGGAAGAGAATTTGCTCATTGAACATTTGTAAGCTCAAACAGCACTATTTAACTGATTACTCTCTACTCACAAGCCTTCAGAGAAGAGGAAAGCCCTTTTAAAACTGCAGTGATGCACACAGGAAGTGCATGATTGTATTATTTTCTTATAGTTTGGTTGTTGTTCTAGAAAATGTTCAAAAGCTTTCTTCTTGTAAAAGCTAGACTGTCAATTCTGGGACTGTGCTGTTTATTAAAGATAGCTCTTAATAAATTTCTGGTGTAGAATCTTTAGCGTATAGAGGTTTATATATTCTGGAATTTTAAAAATATTTCTCTAAATTCTTTAGCTTTTCAGTTGAATATAAATATTAGTGGACAATAAGAGATGTAAATGTAGGGCCATGTATAGTGAATCCCAGCACTTTAGGAGGCCAACATGGGAGGATCAGTTGGGCCCAGGAGTTGGAGACCAGCCTGGACAACATAGTGTAAAACCATGAGACCCCATCTCTACAAAAGAGAGAGAGAGAGAGAGAGAGAGAGAGAGAGAGAGAGAGATGTAAGTTTATGTTTAGGGCCCAAAAATAAAAACATTAAGAATGGTTTGGACAAGCAATCCTGAATCAATAGCTAGTAATATAAATTAAGCAAAAATGTCTAGCTTATATTTAAAAAATATGTATATATCACTTGTGGCATACACAAATCTACTAGAGAGTGATGAACAAGAATTCAAGGAGAAGAACACTTCCAGCAGATTTACAGGAAAGGCATCCTTACCGAGAAATGGTAGCTTGTGGTTAAGTTTCCCCAAGGGAAATTGTGGGAGCACTGTCGGTTGAGACCTGATGGAAAACTTGAAAATGCGTTCTGGGGAACAGCCTTAGCCTTGTGCTCTCAATAGTGAGCCTTTTGCATGTTCATTTCTCAGTGGATCCAGGCAGGAGCAACAAAAGCTCCAACTCACTCTTTCCTGATGTATCTATTTTTCTGTGCATGTGGCATAGGTAACTGCCTTAATGAGGTAAAATACACATAAAATAACTTCACTTGTTTTAAGTGCACAGTTTGATAAGTGGTAGCAAATGTATACAACCATGTGACCACCACCATAATCAGGATAAGAACATATCCATTACCCAAAAAGTGTCCTTCTGCCCCTTTGCAGTCAGTCCTCTTCCCCTGACAATCACCAATCTTTCTTGCACTGTGGTTTTTGCCTGATTAAGAATTTTATATAAATGGAATCATACAGCATGTAACTGTTTGTGTCTAGCTTGTTTCTCTTAGCATCACGTTTATGTTTATCTGCCTAACCTGTATTTCAATCTGTTTCCTTACTAAGAACTAATATTAAATTTCTGGATATAGAATACCAAATATGAACCCTAACTAGAAAACTGGGCCTGTCTACACTGGAACCGAAATTCTTTAACCATGTTAAATAAAGGAAAAGCAAAAATACCCATGATTAGAGCAGTCATTACTTTTGGAGTTTATTTCTAAACCTTATTATTGTTTGTTCAGGTTTTCATTCCCTTTGTTTTACCCCTCCTGAGGTGCTTTCCATAATAATATCTATATTTTTAAATAAAAGGAAAAATTGTTTTGAGCTTCAGCATTTTGTGATAATTTCATAGTGTCTATGATAATGTACTATGCCCTGAGTTGTCTCGAACCCAGACTAGAAATCTTTGGGTCAGAAAATGCTTACATAAAAAAATTAAACATAACTTAAACCTATATGTGACTGTACTATAATTTTCTTTATTGATATGAACATACATATAGTACAAATAAATTATCTAAATGGATACCTATTTTTGCATCCTAGAAAAATGTAAACTGTGCATTGAAAATAATTATCATAAAAACTAGGACAGGAGTTATTTCTGTAGTCAGACTTTAGCTGCATACATTTTTGTTAAGTATCCAGGAAAGTTTTCCACAATGTGTCTCTGAATTACTGTTTATCGCATCCTACACCAGAAATTATTTAATTAGAAAAATAGATTGAAGAGGATATAAGAAGCTATTCTATAAGCGAAAAGAGACTAAGAAAGTAAGATAACTTGTTGGCTGTCACATTTAGTGATATAGTATTTAGAATATATAATCATGTCTTTTACAAACGTGTAAAATGTTCTGTAACACTTGAATGGCTGCAGCTGTCAGCTCATTTTTTCTGGATTAAGTTTGGTCAAGAAAGAAACCGCCTCATTTTCTAGTTGTCATTTGCCCAGGAAGTAAAAGCAAAATTGTAATGAGGGAATCACAGCAGGAGAGCCTCCTAACAAATGAGAGGCATATATTGACTGGCAGCCAGCATGCCATTTCAGTGATAAATGTATTTTTATACACTGCTGTTCAAGGTCACTCACTGTTGTCCTTGAGTGTGCAGCCATCAAAAGTCATTCAGTTCACATTCTAAACAGTTCTAATAATCAGTGCAAAGATGCCTGACTTTAAAAAATCAGTTATTAATTTTATACAACATTTATGTAAATTATACATCTTGATATTTCACTGCAGTTTCATCTTGCTATTGTTGAAAATTGTTGAGAAATCAAAGAAGATGTAAATTTATGAGGCATTTGTGAGATGCATTAGTATAGATTTATTACAGTGTCCACAGAAGCCAAACTTAAACATGGATGAACTTCAGTAATTACCCCTTCTGTGTTTTGTGCTTCTTCAGTGTTTAAAATTCATAAAGAACTTTTATAAATCTAAGCATTCCAAAACAAAGCTATTATCAATTTAAGACTAATGCTATGTTTGAAATAGAAATTATACTAAAAAAATACAAAAAAGGACATTTTGCTTTTAGATCTGCCTCAATTCAAAGGAAATGTTGTTACTTTTTGAACAACATTTAAAAAGCACTCTTTTTAAAGTCCTTTAAAAAGTCCTTTAAAAAGCACTCTCTAATTACTCAGAGAGAGTGATCTAGTTATTCACCATTTTGTTACTCAAAACTCAAACACACTTTCTAAATATAGAATGAACAAAACCATGTTGTTACTCAGGTTTTTGATCTCCATAAATAGCAAAATGTTCAGGGATTAATCTAGTATTAAATAGCTGTCTTTTCAAAGTTAAATTAGATGCAAAATGTAATGATTTGGATCACACGAATCTTTCAGTAAATATTTTTTAAAATATTATGATTGTTGGATTTAATAATCCTTACGTTAAATATGTGTTCACAGTGCATATTCACAGAAAATCACGGGGCCCTTTATGGTCTGTCTTCAGACTAATTTGCCAACTATGCTTATCTGACTCCACTTCATTCCTTGCACTGTAAATATTGATCATTCTGGAGGGCTTTTTGTTTGTTTGTTTTTCCCCAACAAGCTATACTCTCCTTCCTTTAGGCTTTTGAATATAGTATTCCCTCCGCATGGAGGGTGTGTGTTATACCCTTCACATTATATGTATGTTATATCATACCCTCCGCATTATATTATACCCTCCACATGTGTGTATGTGTGTGTGCGCGCACACACACACCCTAGCCTTTGTAATCATTCATACCCAGAAAATCTCCAAGGTTTCTCACCTGGCCTACACAGTAATCCCATAATTTAACTTCTACCTGAGGTTATGGGTGTAGGAGGAGGTAAATGAATGTCTCCCTGATTTTAGCTTAGAGCTTTGGATGAATCTAATATCTAGGAGCTCCAGATAGGTAATCTCATACTTCCCTCTGACATCCCACACATACCACCCTGGCCTAGTACCACACATATATTCCTCCTGTATATCCAGAGATGTTAGAAGTTATATGTCTCTGGTGTCTACAGTAGACAATTAAGTTCCTTGGGGCTGGCTTGGACCTTGAAATGCTTTTCCCCATAGAAACTATTATAAATAGTACTTAGGAGATTGAACTGGCACTATAAATTCTACAACATTAAGAATTCTCTTGGCTTTTGGAAACTGGCCCAGAAATCTATCTGTCGCATTGTTCCTGTTTAAAGGTGTGCAGAGTTCCAAACAACTGAATTCCAAACAAACTTTAGGACCTCTCATTTGATGGCTGCCCATGTGGAAACACTGCAACCTACTAAACGTAAAAATGTCACTAGCAGGTCATTTTAAAAATTACCACATTGCATACGGAATAGCCAGGAGTGACACAGTAAATATACAGAACTACAAATAGAAGGATTTCTTGTATTTAAAGTTATATTAGTTATCAATATTTTACAGATCAAAACAGTTCTTACAGTTTCACTCTTTTTTAACTTTGCAAGCAGAATTTGCCTTTCAGTGAGCCCATTATGACATTGAGTTCTGAGTTTTTCATAGCTGGAACAGGAAGTATGAGTCAGATTTCTCAGTGAAGTCTAAACTTTCCAAAGATGAAACCCATAAATGGCATTTGTAGTTCTGTATTAACTCGTACTCACACCTTGAGTTGAAGGCCTGTATCATATTTAAAGAGTACTCTTGGGTTTCCTGGTTGACTTCCTTTGTAATTTAACCTTTGGCAAAGCAGTTATAAACTCTGACACCTGAACAGTCATAAATTAAAAATCTGTATTTTATAATACCGTGTCAGGCATCTTAATGTACAATGCTGTATCTAACCACTAATCTCAATTGACTGTTAAATAGAAATGTTTAGCATAAAACTATTATCATATTATAAAAAACTGTTTAAAAAAATGATGTCCTTATCATTTCTAAACTATAAAAGCAACTAAATGTATGTTAAATAATTTTTTTTGTTAATAATCTTCCTTTTTTAAAAAAAGCAGAAGCACAGTTTTAGGGAGCATGCATTTACCATATAATATTACACTTACCATGTAATGTTATAATTTTAATTTCAACATTTAAAGTGATCTGGCAACTATGACTCTCATCTCTGAGCAAGTAAAATATTTTTATGGAAAAATAAAATAGTGCATAGGAGTATGAAATTGTTTATACCAGGAAAATCTGATAAACTTTAAGATTTCAAAGACAAGCTAATATGAAATCTGGAAGACTGTAAGCCAGTGACTTATGGTGGTTCTTCTGAGGGATGGGATTTGATGAGTAAGTATATTTGGGTAGGGTTTTCAGTTTTATTATAAGTACCCCAAAAATAGTAGTACTATAGGTAATTTTTAGTTTCTTTTTTTATATTTTTCCCGGTGTTTTTCAAAGAAAAAAATATTTAAATCAGGGGTGTCTTAATCTTTTGACTTTCCTGGGCCATACTGGAAGAAGAAGAATTGTCTTGGTCCACACACATAAAATATACTAACACTAATGCTAGCTTATGAGCTAAAAACAAAAAATCTCATCTTTTAAGAAAGTTTATGAATTTGTGTTGGGCCACATTCAAAGCCATCCTGGGCCGCATGTGGCCCATAGACCACAGGTTGGACAAGCTTGGTCTAAATAAAAATTATGCTTCTACTAAAAATTATTTTTGCTAATGCAAAGTTCATATATAAAGTCTTTTAAGCCTCAGAAGTGTGTCCAAACTACCTTCTCATATACTTACTCCTAAAGGAAAATATTATATTAAATGGAAAGCTTCTGGTTGAGTTTTAGATGCTTTTTTCTTTAAAGTGAATAAAATTAGCATGCATAGTATTAAAGTGTGCCCTTAATAGCATCTGTAATAAGGCATAGAATGTTATTTTAAGGCACACGTCTCTGGGTCACATGCATGATAGTAATTATGAGCAGATTACTAACAAAGTGCATTCTGTGTTATAAACAGAGAGCATCACAGGATTCACGTCTGCTTGGAAAGAACATAAGTTAAAACATCAAAGCAGTTTTTTTTTTTTCTTCAAGATTGTAGTTATTTAGATAGCTTGTCAGTGGTAGTGCAACAAGTGGGCTTGTGTTATTGATTTTCACCTGTATTACCACAACATTTTTCATTGACAAATATTAATTGCTTATTAAGTACTAAAGAGTTTGATGGTCCAAATATTGAATTTTGTAATGAATTGACCTTTTAGTTTTGCTTATCATTAGGCAGTATGATTGCATTAAAGATACAAAGGTTTAAGCCAATATATCTCCCACTTTAAGAACATTAAATAGATATTCCTCTAAAATTTAATTTTAGTGATAGGATATTCACTTTCCCTTTCATTCAGGTAAATTACCTTTGGCCAAACTATAGGGAATGCTTATATAAATATGAATTGTGTGGCTATAATTAGTAGTAAAGTATCCAGCATTTTTTGCATTGATTCTAGCTTATGAATACAGAGACTAATTGAAATTTGTATCAAAACCAAATTGGTGATTATGATCACTAATGTAGATTTTTTAAAGTCATTAATTTGGTTAATTTTTTTGTGTGTTCGAGAAGAATCTGCATATCTAAGTGAGCAACCAGTACATATGTGTGTATGTATGTATACAGGCATGTACATCCACAAATATATACAAGTTCCAGTTTAATTCCTTTTTTGTTATCTTTCCTAACTTTTTTTTTTTTTTTTGAGACGGAATCTCGCTCTGTCACCCAGGCTGGAGTGCAGTGGCCCAATCTCAGCTCACTGCAAGCTCCACCTCCCGGGTTCACGCCATTCTCCTGCCTCAGCCTCCCGAGTAGCTGCGACTACAGGCGCCCGCCACAACACCCAGCTAATTTTTTGTATTTTTAGTAGAGACGGGGTTTCACCATGTTAGCCACGATAGTCTCGATCTCCTGACCTCGTGATCCACCCGCCTTGGCCTCCCAAAGTGCTGGGATTACAGGCGTGAGCCACCGCTCCCGGCCTCCTAATGTTTAATAGTATATTTTTTCTTTTTATAATTATACTTGGAGAAAAAAATAATTATACTTGGAGAAATCTTAAGTATATTATACATTGGGCTTTCTAAAACATAATTTGTGGATAACTGATGAAATTTAAAGTTAAAATTAGAGAAATTAGAGTGTTTTGAGTTGGCAAGTATTTGTAGATTAAAATGTTAAATTTAATTCAAATATATGTTTTTGATTGCAGAAATTTGACTTTTTAATAATTGATTTTCTGATCTCTGAGTCAGATAATTACTACTTGATAAAGGGTTATCATTTAAAAGTTTAAATACTGTCAACCTTCAAAGCAATTTTGTTATTAACTACATTAATTTATCACAAAATCCTCTTTTAAAGGTGATTTGTACATTGGGAACAACCTTGAAATATTTAATTTAAAAATAAAATATTAGATAAAATATTATATTTCAGGTCTACAATGTGTACAATGAGCCCAGGTCTTTCTTTTCTGCCCACCCCTTATACTGCTAGTGTCTCCTGTCGTTTTATCCTCATCCTTTTGGTCTTTTCACTCTATCTACTCTTCATGGACTTTCTCAACCATTTACATTGGATTTTTTAACAAACATTCCTGGAGAAGCTGCTGTGTACCAGGAACAGGGCTGAGTGCAGGGTCTATTCCTTCCACATCTCTCTATGTGCTGGTTCCTCCCAAATCTGCCTTTCTTTTCATAAACCTGTTCCTAAGCTCCAAATTCATTTTCCTCACTCTCTAACATATTTCTGTGTGCTCAGTCCCTCCACCTGAATTCTCACACTGAGCTCATTATTTCCTCTGACACCTTCCCACTGATCCCTATCCGCCGCGCCCTCCCCAGGGTCTTCTTTCGTTTGTGCCTTCCCTGTCCAGGTCACAGCAGCACCACCAGCCCCGCTTGCCCTCTCCTTCCTGTCCATGCCCACTTCCTCATTCAGCTCCCCATTTCTCTGCTACATTTGCTTCCCAACAAGTCCTTCTTCCTTTCTGTTTCCCTCTTCTCCACCCTCTGCAGAATTTTCTTAAAACTAGTCTGATCTGACCATTCTCATATTTAAAAACTTCAGAAAACTCTCTATTGACTATGAATTAAGTCCACATTTCTTGACACCACAAGAAGGCGGCTTATAGCCTGGCCATAGCTGCCTTTCTGCCTCGTTTTCAAGCCTGCCTGTCTCCACCTCTCCTCGCCCCCTGGTGCTCCCCTAGGCAGAGTGACACGGGAGTGCTGGCCGTTTTCTTGGACCCCTCTGAAGTCTTCACTTGGCACATGTTTGCTTAGACTCATCTCTTGTTCTTCTCACCAACTTCTGGTGGTCCTTTAAAGCTCAGTTCAAATACAACCTTCTCTCTGTACCTTTTTCTGACATCTCCTGCCGCTGGACAGAAACTACTGTCTCCTCGTCTGTGTTTCTGTGACATCTTCAGCACATCTCTATTACGCTGTTGATTGCACCATACCATAGTCGCTTACTGTCAACCTGTTGGTCTCCCATTCCTAGATTCACTGGCAGGGGTCCTATCTCATCTTTATACTCTGATATCTTGCACAGGACCTAAAACAAAAATCTCAGTAAATATTTTTAACTACATTTTCCTAAAACTATTTAATCCCATGAGGTAGGCAAGACAGATAATATTATTTTACAAATAAGCAAATCAGAAAATTTTACCTATTCATAAAACCAGCAAAGACAAATTTTAATCCACTAAGTGAAAGTGGATAGTCTAAGTATAAGTCAGAGGACTGACAAGTAATGTCAGTGTTATTTTGCCACAGTAATTACTCTGGGAGATTTGCAAATGCAATTGCTATGTGAAAAAAAGACATATATTGCATATTTTATGAATATTATGATTTTAATAGAAAAATGTTGGATGTTATATCAAAAGTAGAAGGTTAATTTTATCTTTTTGTAACTTGGTATTTCTTTATATTTTTATTGCATTTATTTTGAACAATGCAATTGTTTTACTATTAAAATTGTATTGGGAAAAGTAAAAATGTGAAAGGAGCTTTAAGTTAGAAGGTATTCATTCTAGATCAGTCTCTAAGAAGTCACCATCATCAAGGGAATTCACTTTTTGTTTTTTTATTTCAATAGGTTTTGGGGGAACAGGTGGTGTTTGGTTACATGACTAAATAACTTGGTATTTCTTAACAAAAGGAATGAACCTTGTAATGCAGAACAACATACAACATAAATTAGGTTATGTTCCAGACTAATCTAATTTTTCAGTTTTAATAAGTGGAAGAGGCATAATAAACTACACATAAAAGTGTAAAATTTCTAAATCTGTAATGTGTCCTAGTGAATATGTTCTATCATTATCCAAAATAAACATGAATCCAAAGGTATGGTAATGTTGGTTAATATATGTATGAATTTTAGAATTTTATTTTATGTTGTAATGTAACACTTTCAAGCATTTCTCTTTTCAGAATGGTGAAAATGTTAAATACTTTTGAAACATAATTTCAAAAAATATAAATTCCCTAGCTTTATAATCTACATCAGACAATTTTGTGTCACCAGGCACTATACCAGGCAAAGGAGAGGTGACAAAGGAGCGGGAACACATGTGAAGATCCTGACCTACTGCTCTAACCAAACCATCTTCCGTTAACCATAACCCAAATCAAAACCCACGAAAATGCCAAGTCCCATCATGACGGACATTTACTTAGGAATGTGATTGCTGTCCAGTGAGTTAGTGTGTACATGTGTCTGCTGAAGTCCTGCCATGTAAAAGCCTGAAATGTCTAGAAAGGGTGGAGATAATCAAGACCATTCATGCTGCTGAGGAACTCCATGTGGAAGCAGGAGGGGAGGGATTTATTTTCATAGCACAGTATAAGACTTCTAGCATGTGTTCAAATAGTTTTCTATTAGAAATACTGAAAAAAACATTTAGCTTTGGGTTTGCCCAGATCTGAAGAAAACATTTTGTGTGACTTTTTAGGCATATGCAAGTGAAACTTTAATAAATATTTCATATGAGCAGTGTAAATATTTGATAATTTATTCACTATTCTTTTATTTAAAACAACCACATTTATCTAAATTATATTAGTATTCAGCAGTAGAGTGTCCATGAATCATCTTTAAGTATGGCTGTGTAATTATATTTTTAAATGTTAAATTATATCAAAACGTTATGTTTTCATTTATGTCTTTAGGCTTTTTTAATCATTATTGAGTCTAAAAGTTGTACAGTACAAACATACTGCTGTCATTTTATTAGCCAAAAATTGGTGGTGATCATATAATATATTAACTTGTGATGTTTGGGATTTTTAGCAAACCTAATTTTCAAAGTATGATTCTATATAATTAATCATTTCAACATGCAAAGAAAAGACATATCAATTATGTATAATTTAATTGGATATTCTATTGTTACTTTATCCTGGAAATATTGGGCCTAATAAATCAGAAGAACAGGGAAGAGCAAGGCTAGTTCCTGATTATCTGCAGCAAGAAAAGGGGAAAGAAGGGCTTAGACATTAATAGGTGAATTAATGTCTAATTGATGGAGAACTTTTCTTTGAATCTGGAAGTTTCCCAGTTAAATCGAAGGGAAAATGCTCCTAAAATCAGTACCTATTTTTTAGAGTTTGCTGTATGATGATTACAGCGTTTTTAAGTTTGGTAAGCAACGATTGGCTTAAATGTTTATTCTCTATTTTTCTATTCATAAAACTTCCTTTTAAAAATAATTTTGATAATTTATAAAGGATCTTAGTGAAAATATAAGCCTCGATACCATAAAAAACTTATTAGGAATGTCAAAATTACAATAATACAATAGTTTTGAGCATGTATTTTGATTCTCACTATTCCTAGATAAGGGTGTTGTATGTGTATATGTGCATATGCACATGCATGTTAATATATAACCCCCCCACAGAAGAAATATTGAAAACTATTACTTGCATCATAAGGATTGTCAATATGTAGGTAGTGAAAAGCTCTTTCAATTCATCAATGTCAGTTTGTCCTCGAATGACATATACGTAACTTTTAGTAACTGAAAATGAGCAGTAAACACTGAAGCTAGTTTTAAGAAATAAAGAGAGCCTGTTTACTTGAGGCATTATATCTTACAATAAAACTTAAGATAGCTCACTTTATTATATTTATCCTTAAATCTATTTTCCATTAAGATGTTAAAATGATATCAAGTCTACTTGTTTTTCCCTCTGAATATATATTCTTTTCAATTAGATGGTGATAGAAAATAATTCATTGAATAGTTTCAATACCTTGGCTTGGAAAATGCCAAAACAGGTTGACTTTATAACATAAAGTTGGCATAATGTGAATAAAAAGCATTGCCTCAGCCCTCCATCAAGAAAAGAAATTATAGAGATAAACACTCGGTTTTCAACTCTCAAATCTCTGTTCAAAATCATTGTAGAACTGCCAAAGGGCAGCATCTAGTCTTATGTGCGTAGACTATAGGAGATAGTACACCCAATAAGAAAAGCTGAGTTCTTTTCAATACTAGAGAGTTTTAGGATTGCATTTACCATGTACTTCCATTTTGGTCGATATTTTTAGTTTTTATATTTTGCGTCCCAAGTGAGAAAGAAACAGGTTCCTAACTCTAATTATCCTTTACTTAAAAAGTGCTTATTTATGGTCCTTGTAGGAAGATATTGCCTCTTTGGGGGTACAGACAAGCTGATGGGAGGGTGAAAACCTTCAGGCACTGAGGACCAGGGAGGGAGGCTGCTGGTGAGAGAGATGGGGCTACCATCTCTGTAACCTGGCCTGGGTATCTGGGGAAATCAACACAGGTGCCTTCCTCCTCCTTAGCCAGTGAAGAAGGCCAGGACAACTCTGTTTTAAGAGGTTTGAACTCCTGGAGGTGGGTCAAATAAAAGAGTGTTTCTTCATCCTCACTGTGACAGTGGGCCAGTGGACCCTGCCTCACCCCACACGAAGGCAGGACTACCCTGGGAAAATGGGCTTCCTATGTCCCAGGCAGTGCTGTCATCCCAGCCGTCCTCACAGGGATGGCAGGGTAGGGGAGATTGCCGTGGACCAGGACAGCACCAGGATAGGAAGGGAGGTTGGGCCAATCCAGGGACCTTCCTGTGTATGTGGAAGCCACCTCCATGCCACATGGGGTTGGGAGTCTAGGGGTTCTGCGAGGTCCCCTGAAATTCAGAAGGGTCTGCAAGGTGGCCTGGCTGACTGTTGCCTGTCCAGAATGAGGAGACGGACACTTCTGCCGGGCAAGCTCCAGCACCGCCACAAGCTCTTGTTTCCAAGCAGCCCTGCTGTAGCTGCCTGGGCTGGGGCTGCACCCAGCCTCCAAGCACCACCAGACATCACTCAAGGTCTTTGTTATTTGGTGTGGCGAAGTCACTTATAAGTGTTAGTGTATAATATACATAAGACTTTCTCAGCTGTAGGAAAGTCAAGCTACGGAAATTGAAGATCCAGCAGTTCATAGCTTTCTTTTACCTGGTATTCTGTGAGGCAGCAGACTCTGGCCCCAGACTGCCTGGATTCTAACCCAAACAAGTTATCGCACCTCCCTGTGCCTCGGTCCCCTCATCTATGAGGTGGGGAATAACATAGTCTGCTTATCTCATTGGGTTGATATGTAAAGATTAAAAAGTTTATGTAAAAGTGTCTGGAACAGCACCTGGCATATCATACATGCTACAAAAGTTTGCCTTCTTAGTATGCTTTTTGAATTCTCTATAGCAACAGTCCCCAACCTTTTTGGCAGCAGGGACCAGTTTCATGGAAGACAAGTTTTCCATGGACCTGAGTGGGATGGATGGTTTTGTGATGAAACTGTTCCTCCTCAGATCATCAGGCATTAGTTAGATTCTCATAAGGAGGGCACAACCTAGATTCCTCGCATGCACAGTTCACAATAGGGTTTGCACACCTATGAGAATCTAACACTGCCACTGACCTGACAGGAGGCAGAGGCTTGCTTACCTGTCACCCACCCTCCTGCTGTACGGCCTGGTTCTTAACAGGCCATGGACCGGTACCAGTCCATGGTCCAGGGGTTGAGGACCACTGTTCTGTGGTATAGCATAGTAATGCATGTTTACCCTTCCATGTACAATTTTAAAATTTATTTCAAGGATGACGACAACTGTTTTATAGTTGACCTTTGCTAAATCCACTTTTTGTTTTAAATTAAAGTATTACGTTATATGATGCAATTTTATCAAGACCCAATGGTGAGACAGAAACTAACCTCTTTAAGCACCCAGGTGATATGATGTAAGTGTTGAGAATTAGTAAATTGGAGAAGAGAGAAATAGAAGAGGGTTAACGAGCAATAAATGAATGGGAGTACATGTTTAATGAAAATAAACAGGGTGCAAAATGAGTACTAATGTATTTTGGAAAGTGATAGAAGAGGCTTTAGAGCAGGGGTTGATCATCTGGGTTTTTGTCAGTGGATGCCTCTTCAAGATGTTTCTGCAGCCCCAAGACACTGTCCATTGGCTTAGGTGTGCACATCTCACTCTCCTAAAGATAACGGGGAGCACTGCAGATGCAGCCATCTGCATGCCAACAACTGTACGAGTTTTTCCTTTTCAAGGAGTTCTAGTAAATTATCTTTTAATGGTGATCATCAGCCACAATTGCTGTTTTCTGATAAAATAAGCATATGCTGGCCAGGCTGCATAGGGTTATGAGAAACTGTAATGACATCTGATCTAATTCCAGTACTCAGTCTGGTTTGAAATTCCACATCTTGGCTGGGCACAGTGGTTCACGCCTATAATCCCAGCACTTTGAGAGGCCGAGGCAGGTGGATCACTTGGGGTCAGGAGTTCAAGACCAGCCTGGCCAACTTGGGGAAACCCTGTCTCCAATAAAAATACAAAAATTAGCTGGGCGTCATGGCATGCACCTGTAATCCCAGCTACTCGGGAGGCTGAGGCAGGAGAATCACTTGAACCTTGGAGGCAGAGATTGCAGTGAGCCGAGATCGTGCCATTGCACTCTGCATTCCAGTCTAGGTGACAGAGTAAGACTCCATCTCAAAAAAAAAAAAAAGAAGAAAAGGAATAAAAGAAAGTCCACATCTTGAGGCCAGGTGCTCACACCTGTAATCCCAGCACTTTGGGAGGCTGAGGTGGGTGGATCACCTGAGGTCAGGAGTTCAAGACCAGCCTGACCAACATGGAGAAACCCTGTCTCTACTAAAAATACAAAAAATTCGCCAGGCGGTTGGTGGGTGCCTATAATCCCAGCTACTCAGGAGGCTGAGGCAGGAGAATCACTTGAACCTGAGATGCGGAGGTTGCAGTGAGCCGAGATCGCGCCATTGCACTCCAGCCTGGGCAACAAGAGTAAAACTCTGTCTCAAAAGAAAAAAAAAAGGAAGAAAAGAAATTCCACATCATGAGATGTAGTTGAATAAGGTGACCTCAAAGATACCATCCAACTCTAAGATGTCTTGATTGGAAAGCTTGGAGAGAGTTTAAGGAAAATCCACTGAAATTATTAAAAAGTTGAGAAATAAAACCTGAAAGGAAAGGTTATAGTCACTGGGATTTTTTTTTTTTAATCCTGAAAACAAAATTAAGTAAAAGAGGGGGCAGGCTGCTGCAACAGTCCTCAAGCTTTTAAAAGGCTGTCACACTAAGATTGGTCACCAGCTGTTCTCCATCTCTACTGAGGCCAGGACCAGAGGAAGCAAGCTTCAACTGCAGTGTTTTGGATTTAGATTTGATATAAGGAAAAATTCCCTGACAGCACACATTGTTAAACACTGAAAAGGGTCCTCAGGGGAGATGTGGGAATCTTTCTCTGGAGATATCTGAAAACAGAATAGATTTTCATCTGTCTGACCTGCTTCACCGTAGCCCTGTCCACACACACAGCAGAATGGGTGACCTTTCAGTGTTCTTGGCAACACCATGTGATCTTAAGAGCCTATGCACAAAGAGACTTGAGAAGGCTTAGTTCATCGTGATAATTAAATTGGACTTGAACCTTCTAATCGGCCATAGATGAGATTATCTGTTTTTTAATGGCGTTATTATCTGCCTAAATTATTTGTTGAATCTATAATTTGTTTCCTTGAGCAGATGAACCTGAAATATCTAATAAAATTTTCACAAATTGATTGCTTGGGAGAAAAGAAGGGGGATTTTTTTTTCCTGGAACATAATTAATTCTTAACTTTTAAACTCTTTTGAAATGGCTCTTTTTTGATGAGCCTTTCCCTTGCCTAACAGAGCTGTCAGTCAGAGCGATGTCTTTGTCTTCTCTCTGCCTTGAGCAGTTACCTCCCTGCCAGCCAGCCATGAAATCTACGGGCTCCTGTATTGGGATGTCAGAAAGGCATGCAAATCAGAGCCTGGTTCCCCCTCCTTAGCTGCCCTTTTCTGACTTCAGCTGCTGTTAACATGAGAGAGATGCCAAACGTACGATGAGTGCTGCAAGCACCCGCTGCACCTCACTTGGCGTTGCCGGGTATCATTAAGTGGGAGCAGCACTGGGAAGATGTGGGTATTTGCAGGTCTTTGGTATTGCCTCTCCTTTTGAGAGTTCTTCCTCACTTCTGAGGCACTGACTGCCTTGAATTTCTGACCTGTCTTACCTATTTTTTGACTCCATACACACACAGACACTTCATTCAGGCTCACCCTAAAGTCAGGGCATCTGCCATGCTTGTACCTTATGAAAACAAGCTTGTCCTGTTTGCCCTCTGCCGGAGCACATTCTAGGGAAAATGCCTCAGGTGAAGGCATAATTGTGTTTTTCGAGATTTCAGAGGCCACGTGCAGCCAACTGGGGAGGACGTATTTCGGCTCAGCAGACCTTTCAAGCGCCCCTCAAATTGCAACTGCCTGACTTAATCTAAAGTCAGCCACACTGCTTCCTGAGAAGCCCACAGCCACACCGGCCGCTTCCCTCTCAGCCCCTCAAGATCTTGGGGGTCATCAAGGTTCAGTCCACGCTCGTGCATTTTTCCAGTTTATGTTACTAAATGTTATACAAAATACATGGGTCAGTACTTTATGAATCTTTTCCTTGTGCTGGTATTTATGATAGGGAAATCTTACCTACTTTTGGAAATCTCGTTTTCATAATTTATGTTAAGAAAATGGTTTAGATAGGATTTTGTGTTCCCCCTTAAAGAAAAAAAAATGATGAGACCTACAAGTAAACATAAGATGTTCTCTTTAATTTTATTCAACCTCAAAGTGGGTTGGTTTCAAGTCCCAAACTTGTCATTTGGAAGCTGACAAACCATGTGAGAGCAGTTTTAAAGAGAATATTCTAGAAAGTCATGGCTTTTATTGACGCTGACCAAATCATTTTAGAAATTCTCATTTCTGGTTCCTTCTCTGTACAACTGGGTTAATTATATTTCTTTGCAGAGCACATTGAAAATGTGTGTTAAAAACTTGGGTACATTAAGTATTGTTCATTATTCTGCTTCCCAGTTCCTTTTCTTTAATGAGAAAAAGGGGTGGGGGTGTTTAACAGTTCAACACTCTTATCTCCTGCTAGGAATAATTGCTTGATTTTTTTTAATTGTTTGTAGCACTTCCTGAATTTGATTAATTTCTTTATATTCCATTTCTGTCTTTTCAAGACAGCAATTTCTTTGACTAAAAATATAACAAGGCATGATACTCATTCGCATATAAAAAGTCTACCAAACCTCTATTTATGTTGAAACTTGTTTGTTTTTTGGAAAATGTTCTTCAAGGTCTAGCATTTGAGACCCAAACCATCCAATCCGCTCCATCACAAAGCACTTACAAGTTCTGTGCGATCCGCACAGCTGCATCTCTAATGCCAGAGTAGAGGTTAAAGTCAGTTCAGGTGGTGCCTGCACAGATCTTAGAAGTTCAGAGAATCTGAACAAAAGACAATGGCAACATTTCCATTACAGTGAGGGTTGAAGCACCTCTCGGGCTGAGATTGTAATGAACTCACCAGATGTACCAAGCCATTTAAAACAGCGAACTTCCCTGCACTGCTTGAGCGGTGCTTGCTCTTACGAGACAGCAGGTCTGTCTGTCAGCTGCAGTCAGCACTCTGTGGTTTTTCTTTAGGTTGCTTTAAAAAGCCAGCCCTGTAGGGCACCTAGCAGCATCATGCTGTGTGTGTGTGTGTGTGTGTGTGTGTGTGTGCATGTGTGTGTGCTGTTCTTATCCAAGTCATGCTGTGTGTGTGTGTGTGTGTGTGTGTGTGTGTGTGTGTGTGTGTGATGTTCTGATCCAAGATGTAGTCCCCCTTTGTCCAAAGAAGACTTTCAAGAAAGTTAAACTCAGTATATGACAGGACTTCAACAACAACAAATGAAAACGGAACAGTGATGAGTAAAATGAGTAGGAGGAAGTATTTATTACTTGATCTACATAGAATGAGCATAAATTTAGTTCTGAGTTTCCTGGCAGTAAAGCAAGACAGTGTTAGGTTATGTAATTATTGTTACATGATAAATGAAAGCAACAAATTTATCTGGAAAGACAAACATTTTCCCAGCAGACAATTCAGGCTGAACTTATTTCCCAAAATCTTCTTTGAGAGACACTTAAATAACAATGATCAGTGTCTTCAGCTGAAATAGAAGTACCCTTCACGTGGATGTTTTAAATACTCGCCAGAGGAAGACAAAAAATGGAATATTTAGAGAACACTGTTCTGAAGGAGCAAATATGGTCCCAGTGAGTCTGTTTTACTACTTTTACAAAAAGCTAACTTGCTAGCCTCAAAGAAAGGGTTGTGAATGTGTCCACTGGGTTGTAACATGCTTTGGACCTGGTGGTTTATAGCCTGCTTACTGTTATGTTCTCTAACTTACTGAAGCAACCTTCTGGTTGCTGATTAAGGAAGGATGCTAATCTGAAGGAGGAAGGCTTGGCATTCTGTTTTGAAACTGAGGGGCCCAATCTCCAGAAGGAGGCTCAGTCCACCTCTACACAGAGTTGGGCTTTGGGGGCTTTCAAGAAGGGCCAGTTTTTCTTAGAAGAACTTTTAATCTACTCACAGTTTTAGATGGATATTAGGATCCCAGAGCATGGAAGAAACTTTGAATTTTGAATCAAATATTTGTAATAGAAAGGTTGCATTAAATGCCAGGAGGGACCAGGTGGGAAATAAGTGAGCTGGGCAGCCTGGTACACAGGTCTTCTTTTGTGTCAGTGCTGGACTGGTGAAGTGAAGAGCACATGCTCAGGCTGAAGTGCTCACCACCACTCAGCCCTGGCTGATGCTGCCACATGTGAACAGAGGCCCAGTATTGTCCGATCCTCCAGTTTTTCAGGAGAGGCTGGAAATCTTGTTTTTACAGAAGATCTGATCAATTAGAAAGATGGGCTGAAAAAATTTGTTTTTTGCACTTTTGCAGGCCAAACCAAACACATCTATTATCTAATTTCAGGTTAAGGGTTTTGAGTTTGCAGCCTCTAAGTCAAGGACTTACTGTCCTACTGTCTTTACTATAAAGTGTCCTCAGATTGGCCCAATAGAATTTCAGACTTTTAGCAGAACTGAATCTTGATGTTAAAAAACAGTTAAAAATGCTTTCCCAATGAGCTGATTAAACTGACCTAGTAAGTGGGAATGGACCACTTTTTCCGATTTAATTGGTGAAAGGCTTTTTTCCTGCCTGAGTGATTCTCATTCCAGAATAGTTCATGTTAAGCTGGTTTCTTGCGCTAATTATGCAGCAAGTGCACTCCATTTCTTAAATTAGTACATTTATGGGCCAGCATCATGAGTAATCACATCTATTTCATCAAATGCCACAGTCTGAAGTCTGTGTTTGTAGGCAACCTGGTATGCTACGTGATGGTGATTCTGAGATATGTGATTAAGGCAGAGTTTTGGAGAAGGGTTCATTGAATAGTGTACTCAAGTGATTGAGTTATATGACTGTTTATATGTGTCTGGTCAACTCTAAGCAAGCAGGAGTAACAAAAATATTAAAAGTATTGAATTGTTATATGCCATGCATTGTGCAGAACGCTACGTATTACCTCATTTAACCTTTACAAAGCTCTTTGAGTTAGATATTATCATTATCATCATCATCATCGTTCCTACTTTACAAACATGGGTACTCTGCAATGTTAAGTTTCTTAAATAACGTGGCCTTAGGTTCCACAGTTAATACGTAGTAGAGCTCACATGCAAACCCAGGAAGTCCGGCTCACATCAATGCTCTCTCCCTGCCCAGAGCCCAGTTCTATACCAACATAACTTTTTTTTTGAGTGTTAGAAAACAAGTGTTATTTGGGACACCACAGTCCCTTGAAAGTCTAATGACAAGAAAGGACAGAATGCAAAGGCAGCAAGGAATGTGCTTGTGTCCCTACCCCTGTTTTCCCTCTTCTTCTTCATCTTAGGCATTCAGATATGTAATATGAAAAAAATCTCCTGAAATGTACACTACCTGTGGGCCGAAACACATAACAAGCCTGATGCTCCCACTGAGACTCAGGGCTCACAATTCTTTATCAAAAATGACAGCTGGAAGTAAACCTGTCCTGAATTTTCTTAGTTTAAGGGCACACATTTCCTATTCCTTTCTAGACAAAGGGAGGAGACCAACCTACAGCTTGTAAGCCAGATTGAATATTGGTTATTGTGGCAGAGGTATGGTTTTAAATAGTTCAGTACAGGGAGATTAATACAATATTATGCTAATTTGCTTAGTATCCAATGTCTTCTGTAATTATTAATATCATCAGACTTGAGTATTGTTTTTATTAGGAGGGACCTTCTATCAAAGACCTAGTCTAAAATACAACTTCCTTTTTATTATTCATGGTTAAATCAATGATAGCTATTTGGCAGAGGTTCAAAACTATCCCTGTTAACTTGTTTTTAATGGTATTTGATTTATGTGTGTGCCCAAACCTCCCACATGTGTGTGGATGTATATTTACTAATTGCAGCTATATACATTTAAATACAGTGTTATTGGTAGAAAATGAAGCATAAAGCATGAGCAGTGTATAATTATTAAGGAGATGAAATTATAGTCTTTAACTCCTTCCAGAACAGGGATTTTTATAACGCAGCTTTGATTGTTTTTTATTTCAGATGAGCAAAGTTCCTGGATACTTCTGGTGATCAGTTTCTTACCTTTCTAACTAATTGTAAAATTTTTCCCTGTGGTGGACATAAATGAATTAGCACATTGGTTTGCCTATTAATATATGCTTTTTCTTTGGGCTCATGCTGCCCTCCCCAACTAGGAGGCAGGTGGACACCTCAGAACAAGATTGAAGCCCTTGGAGAGTTCCCTCAATGAGAGAACGTCTGTTGCTTTGCTTATTTTTCTAAGCTGATTTTATAAACAAAGAAGATAACAGCATCTAATACCCATGACGTAACTTGTTCAACATTGAATGCATTTGTGTGTGTACTTGTAATTGTCCTGTGAAATGCTTATCATTCATGATATCTGAATTTTATTTTAGACAATCCATGGACACAAGGGACCAATCACTGCAGTGGCTTTTGCTCCTGATGGAAGATATCTTGCCACCTACTCAAACACTGACAGCCACATTTCTTTTTGGCAGGTAAGAGTAGATGCTCCAGGGTCTTAAAGCATATACTGCGTGATATGCCTTTGGTAGTAAGCCTTCCTGTTGAGCCTACCTGCCGGCCCTCCTTCCTGTCCTCCCTCCCTCCTTGCAGCAAACATCCAGTCTGTATTGATTGCTGATGATGTGCCAGGCACTAGCATGCAGGGTGCTGAGAATACAATTAGCAATCTGGAAAGAGGGGCATCTGCTCTCATGGAGCTTGCAGTCTGAAGTAGACATACATAAATAAGCAAGCAATTATGGTCCCAGGGGAGCCTGAGAATAAGGTGGTGGGAAGGCTTTTCAGGGGAAGTGACACCTAAACTGAGGCTTGAGTGATGTGGAGGAAGGGCTCAGTGTTCAGGGTGGGTCAGGAGGTGTGGGTGGTTAAGAAGGGGGCACAGGTGCATGAGTAGCCGTGAGCAAGGGCCGGCATGTTTGAGGGCCTGGCCTGAGAGGAATCGGGCAGGAGAAGCCTCGCTGGCTTCAGCTATTCATTTACACGAGGCCTTCACACTTGGTCCCTGGGTCTGTGACTCTAACAGGGTGTAGGGCATAGGATAATAAGGTGTTTTCCTAGTGTTCACCTCATGTCCCTTTTATAATTATCTCATTTTTCTTTGCATTCTGAATTTCCCACATAATACTCATAATGCTCAAACTGTTCAGAACATTTCTTAAGATCTCACGTAGTCTTTGGTAAGCAGTTCATGAGAATGCCTATGTTTAGTTCTGAATAAAATGAACATTAATTTTGAGCAACTAATTTTGGCAATAGAATATGTTTGATCCTCACTGCTTAATTTCTATCCCATCTTCTTTTTAATTACCTTACTCTTTTAGTCCTGAAAATTACCAAGAAATTAAACACCCCCAAAAAAGTTAATTTAAAATTTTGTTGTTACCTTTATTTTCTTAGAATGCCAGTATGTTTTATGAGATTCAGTTTATTGCTTTGAAATCTAAAACAAAACAAAATAAAAGTTTAAACAAGGCTTCAGCATAACTGGGTGATAGTTGGAAAAAATCAATAGGTAATAAAATGTAAAATGGATACAATAAATTACTTAAGTAACAACGTGCTATTAAAGCATGACAACTTCAAAATCTGTCAGACTTCTTCTACTTTTATCTAATTTAGTTTTCCAGTTTATTTTCTCATTAGCCTTTCTTCCAGAATATATCTCCAGCATCTTAATTCGCTCATATTAAACTCCCTTTATCAGAGATCTCACCCAGCCCTCATTTTCCCAGTGAGTATCCACAGCACTGGTGTTTTCCACTCCTGAAATTCCACAGTGATTCCATTAGGTGTCCAGAAACTGGGCTTTTGCAGCAGTGGTTCTTTAAGGATTTTACCTACTGATTTTTTTGGGGTCCCCCCCGCCGCCACTCGTGTCTAACTCAATGGCCTCTGTTATGTCAGCTGTACCTTCATACAAATTTTCTTTTATTTCCTGTTCTCTTGGGATCTTGGAGGAATATTTATATAAAGCTCCACTCATTCCACATTTATTGGATGTCTGAGTGGTAGGTACTGGCCTGTGCATTAGAGACACAGAGATCAGTAAGTCATGGGTCCGTGCTTGCCAGAAACCTGTGTTCTGTCCAGGGTTTCTTCTTTGGAATAAACAAACAAAACATCTCTTTTTTCCAACTTTCTTTCTGCTAAGAAAACATAATTTCTTATATAAGAAATACCTCACATATTAGCCAGATTTGAAACTTTTCCCAGTATTTTCAGGAGTATTTTAAATGAAATTTTCTAAATGTTAAATTATCTTTTTCCCCTAAGATCTTCAAGGTTTTATTTGGATATGCTCATCCCTTCCTTGAATATTTTTCTATTTATATCAAAATTACTGCCCAGGTCACTGATGGGATTATGGGTAACATCCTTTTCACTTAGAGACCAAGCTCGTTTATTAGATGGCTTCCTTTTCAGGTAACATCTTTTTGTCTTCCAGTTCCTCTCTGAAGCCTCCTGCTGTTGACTCTGGGCTTTGCCAAGCGCACTCACATCTGTGTGCCTGGACACGTGGCTTTGCACACAGTGGGGCTGCAGTACATGTCCTTAATCCACAAGCTCACCTACTCCAAGGGCTGCTTCCTGTTATTTGCACATGCCAAAGCCAAAGCAGCCCAGGCAACACCCAGGTCATTCTTGCCTCTAAAACCAATGTCGGAATTTAACATACAGCCCATTTCTTCATGTTTATGTTGTACCAAACTCAGTCTTGAAATTTTAATGGAAGATACAAAAACAAGTCCTTTCAGCTTTCTCAGGAAAATGCAATGAAATCTCTTCCAGAATTGTAGTTGTCTTATTTGAATTAAGAGTCCAAAAAACAGTATTAGATCTACTGCTGCTCTCCCCAAATGGGCTTTGCTGATTTATTTAGATACATGTTGTTTCGTTGTAATGATGTATCAGAATACTTTTATATTATTCCAGTAAGTGTACTGTAATATATTTTGAAAAGTTAATGAAGTCTTATTAATACAGAGCCTTACTAAAGCTATCAGCTATTAAAATCTTTGCTGAGAAATGAGTGTTAATGAGAAATATTGGTTGGATAATTACTCAAGTGAGACTTAGTAAGGTCTGTGTGCAGCATTACTTACATTGGGAATAGCATTAAAACATTTCCTGTTGTGATGAATTATAGCTGTGTTTCTGTGTGTTCAGAAAATAATCTTCAAAGAACCAGTTTTGTGAAGCGTTTATTTTTGAAGGGAAGAAAAAAGCCAAAGTTACACTTGAGTGAATTTACATTCTCATCTATCAAATGATGTAATTTGGCAGTCTTTCAAGCCCTTTGATTTTCTAACCCCGTTTTCTACAATTTGAATATTTCACTTCTCTGTATCCATTGGCATTTGAGCAAGAGGAGGAGTTTAGTAATGAAATACAGTCACAATTCTCTCACCCAAATCTTACCACCACTGTCCAGCAAATATCCTTTTTCAGAAATGCTGATAATAAATTAGGTAGATACTGGTTTCGTTTATTTTTATTTACTCCATTGTATAGTAGAATACTATTCAGCCATTTAAAAGGAATAATGTAAATTTGTAGTCATTAACAAGAGAAGACTGCCATCAGCATTTTGTTGAACAAAAAGGCAAATTATGAAACTACATTTTAATATAAGCTTGTTTATATAAAATTTATTAACTCTGCTTCTCTTCATCTTTATGTATATGTGGAGGTCTGGAAGGTTGTTTACCAAAATTTTAACAGTGACTGTCTTTGGGAAAAGATATTTCAGGGGTTTTTTGCTTTCCTTTTTGTACTTTTCTTTATTATTTGAATTTTCCACAATGAGTATTTACTATCTTTGCAATCAGGAAAAAGTGAATGTTACCAAATCTCATAATTCCACATAGTTTGCATTCATTCAAGGCTCAAGATGTCCTTACTCGAGCATCGTTTGTATCCAGTCGCTGTTCAAGAAAACATTAATATTGAAAAAATTGTTAGTTGTTTCAGAGAGAGTCATTTGTCTGAGTTTATTGGAAAAATTAATACCGTTACTATAATACTTCACATTCATGCCGAATTTGAAGAGGTCATAGGGAAAGGATGATCTTGAGCAATGCATTTTAGTGAACATGGGGGTCTTTATCGTTCCACATGTTATGTCCCTTACAGGATTTCACATATCCCTATTCTCAGACAGGAATAGGGATATGTGAGCTATGATAGTTATGTCCCTTATAGAATTTCACATATCCCTATTCTCAGGCAGGAATAGGGATATGTGAGCTATGATAGTTATGTCCCTTATAGAATTTCACATATCCCTATTCTCAGACAGGAATAGGGATATGTGAACTATGATAGTTATGTCCCTTACAGGATTTCACATATCCCTATTCTCAGACAGGAATAGGGATATGTGAGCTATGATAGTTATGTCCCTTATAGAATTTCACATATCCCTATTCTCAGACAGGAATAGGGATATGTGAGCTATGATAGTTATGTCCCTTACAGGATTTCACATATCCCTATTCTCAGGCAGGAATAGGGATATGTGAACTATGATAGTTATGTCCCTTATAGAATTTCACAAATCCCTATTCTCAGGCAGGAAGGCTATTTGACCTGACCAAAGGCATTTATCAAAGTAGGGATGGCTCAGGTTATAAGAGGAACCCAGTTGTAATGGCCTTTTCTAAAATCTTTACATCTAGAGTATTCCCATGAGATATTCTCTCCCTTTTCATGTTTAGCTCTCAACCCATTTTTTGTTCCTGGCTAAATTTGAAGAGAGGAATTAAAAATAAGGAAGTGTCTGAGCATTATATGCCCCTTGCATTTTGAATTACCAGCAGAAGTCAAGCTTCATACATATATTCATAGAAAATCCATAAAGAATGAAAAATACCTTGTAGTTATTTATCAACTGAGAAATTAGATTTTTTCTAAAACACACTACGCCTGTTGATGCCAGTTAATGTTAACCAGCAATCTTCTGTGTCATTTGGATCTATCAAATTAAGCTCATCATCATTATTTATATTTTAACTATTTGGGAACATCCAAGAAAGCAATAAGGCATTGATTTTTATCTTCTGTGAAGTTTTTGGGAAAAGGAGAGAAGGAAGCAAAGAAACACGCTTCTGAAAGGGTGACAGTAAGGAACTGCCTGGCTGGAAACAGGAACCGAACTTTAACAGAAAGAGTTAACAATAACCATACATTTGGTTTTAAAATGTGACCTCGTACACTAGTGATTTTTTTTCACCTCTGTGTTGTGTTCAGCGCTATTATTAATGCAGGAAAATCAGTAACATTAGTCATCTTAAAAGGGTTATTACTCAAGATGATTTAAATTGTGAAAATGTCAGTGGAGCCTGCACACACTCTGCTAGAGATGCCATGATTTACGCCCTCTGACACCATCCTGCTGCTGAGAAGGGCTAGAAAAAGGAATGGCTTGTGTTTTGCACTGATCCACATGCAGGGGATGATGTCAGTGATAACGCATCTTAAATGTCCTAGGATTTGCCAGAGTTTCATGGATCAACCATTTGTAGATGTTGGATCATAATCTGCATGCTTCATGCAAATCTCTAGAATCTTACATCGAGATGGAGGTTATACTGGAGAGAAGCATTGGAAATGAAAATTAGTACAAAGAAAAAGTGTTATTTCCAAGGCTTCTTTCCAGATTTTCAGTATTCTTTCCATGTGATATTATAATAGCACACATAATGCTATTGAAGATATTTTAAGTAATATTTAGAATCTAAAGAAATCTTCAGACTCAGTTGCTTAGGAAACAGTTCACTTAGACAGCTACCATTCAGTATTTAGTACTTCAACCTGAATGCATAGTTGTTCATGATTCATAATTTCCATGTTGTTTTTCATTTATGTGGCTGGATTAAGAAAACCTAAAATTTAAATCCAGAAAAACTGCCAAAAAGCAGAAGTTATCAATTGATAAAAAGGTATTGTCAATAAAATATTAACAGCAGACTCTCCTTAGTATGATAGCAAAACAGTGAGGCACAGACATAGTGTTGAGATGAAATTGATTCTGGTTCTGCACTTTATAATAAGCAAGAGCTTTCCAGAAAGCGAGTTTTTAAAAAGCAAGTGAAGAGTGAAGGTATTAGTAGGTGGGAAATGGGGGTGGAAGGGAGTCTTGAGCTTTATTTGATCCAATTGTCACTCTATCTACTGCTTAACTTTGCTTCCTTTTCTTGAACTAATTACAAATCCCAAAACTTGTCTTCGCTGACTCATCCTTCAGGGAGTGAGTGCAGTTAGCATTGTGGTAAAGAACATGAAAGTCTTCAGTTTTAAATATCCACAATTTCCAAATATCTGTGTTGTCTAAATGAACCATTTTATTAAGAGGTATAATTTAGCCCTCTTCCTAAAGATCCATGGACTCTCCTTTTGTCAGGTTCTACCCCTATAAAATTCCTCTAGATTTCTGCATTTACCATAACAGCATCGGAACAATTCCAAGCACACTGAAAGGAACTTTTGAGAGGTTAAGAACAAGCTTAGGTGAAGGAGAATAACCATGATGGAGGGGAAAGTAGCCAGGAGAGATCGACCCAGTCTCTGTGATAGGGAAAGGGAGAGGGCTGTTCAAGTGACACATGTGCTCTCCTGTCCCTCCAGATGAACACGTCACTGCTGGGAAGCATCGGCATGCTGAACTCGGCACCTCAGCTGCGCTGCATTAAAACCTACCAGGTGCCCCCTGTGCAGCCCGCGTCCCCCGGCTCCCACAATGCCCTCAAGCTGGCCCGGCTCATCTGGACTTCCAACCGCAACGTCATCCTCATGGCCCATGACGGGAAGGAGCACCGCTTCATGGTCTAATGCTGCTGCCTGCCGCCGTGACTGCGTTTTAGTTCTCTAAATTATCCAAGCCGATGTTGCTCTGTCCTTCCTCACACCAGATTGTTCCCAGGGGCCTGCCCACCCCAGTGCCATCCAGTGGCACGGCCGGGTCTTGTCACTTGTGCATGCTTCTCAGGGGCAGAACCCGCTCGTGCCATCTGTCGATTCAGAGGCACGCACACATGCTCTGCAGGATGTGGCCATCCTGTCACCAGGTAGTTTTTCCCTGCCAGAGATGGCAGGGGAAAGCCAGTGGTTCCTGGGAACGCTCTTGTTGCTTGGTGCAACAGAAGCACAAAAATCAATAAACACTGTGATTGCACTCCCAGCCCAGATCAGCATTTTTAGCCATCTCAACCGCACCTCTGAAGTGCTGCTTGAATCTGGCCGTTCTGACACTGGGTGTTGAGGTCATGTGGCAGTCCTCACGATTGAAATTATTGCCCTTTGAATTACCTAAAATATTGTTTACCAAAAAGATTCTGTGTTTACATGTTCTTTTCTTCTGGTGATTGCTAGGAAATTACTCAATCCAATTTCCTAGGGTTTAGCTACCACCTTCTTTATCAACAGCTAACCAATTTGAGATTCATGATTAATTATGTACACAAAAATATTTTCCTTGTAGAAAATAGTTTTCCAGACACTTAGCCTTCTGAAGTGCTCATCTCTTGCTTAAATGATAGTCTATTTAGTAGTTTAAAATAAAAATAATCACTCCCTATGATCTAGTTAATGTAATTATCCAGTCACTGTAACTAATCTCTTGAAGGGACTTTTGTGATAAAGAGCCAAGTTCAGAAGCATAGCGTGTACCGAAAATGAAGACTCTCCTATCTACTGCTACAGATCCTGTTGAAGAAAGAGCTTACCCCTTTCCCCCGGAAAACTTGCAATCCTGTAGTTCCCATATGTGTGGCATATGTCAGTTATGAAATTATTATAATTCAGCCTTCAAACTACTACTGATCAACTAAAGGAAAGCTAATAAGGTATTTCTTTTAAACAAGTATTCTGGAAAAGTAATAACTATGGCACAAATGTTCAGGAGTGTATATAAAAATATGTGGGCTCTCGATTTATTTGAGCAAACATTGCAATGAGGGTGTTCATTATGCTTCTAAGTAAGCTTTAACTAGACCACTTTCTTCTTATGTCAGATTGTGCTGGTTCTAGCTCATAATAATGAAAAAAATAGAATTATATTTTGTATGAATTGTTTCTAACAAACCTTGATCTGTATATACTTGTGAGGGGTTGTTTGGTTGCCTAATTGTTGATTGGTTGGTTAGTTGGGCAAAATCATTTATTACATGCAAAAATAGAAAATTATTTGTTAAATTCAGAGAAAATATGTGAAGTTTACAAAGGAACCAAAATGATAATGGGAGAATTTAGTCTTAAAAGTTTAGGTTGTCAGAGTTTATCTGATATACAAAAAAGTAGGATCAAAGTCTAGGAACAAACATTGGTTATTTCACTGAAACAGATTTTTAAAGAGCATATTAAGAAATTAAGACCATTAGATCATCTCTTTCATAATGATATGATGTTATTTCCATTGACGGCAAATCTATACTGTTCCTTGGTTTTAGAGTTGGGTATTCTTTCAAAAGTGAATTTAGGCACATGCATGTACATTGTATTTATAAAGATTATATATGTAGTTTCCAAGGAAGAAACAAAGACCTATACAGTTTAGACTTTATTTGTTTGGTGAACGTGCTGTTGTGTTTGGCATAGCTAGAGAAATGTAAGGTAAAAGGCTCACTTTGTTTTCCAGTGGGTCCAGAGTCTTCTCTATACCCAACATATGTTTACTTTATGAACTTAAATGGAAATTAATTTATTGTAGACTACATCTCTATTTGGAATGATGAGGTAAATGTATACCTTAGCATTTTCTTTAACAAAAATGTTCTGTGTGTCAGGAAAGAGGTGTGAGAGTGGTAGGCAGCCTGCCGCAAACACACGGATGGCTCCCCCCGCCACGAAGGTTGAGAACAAAGCCAGGGGGCCCAGAGGAGCAATAGCCCTGGGCCACAAGCGTGGGTAGGCCTTTCACGTATTCCGTCTGCACAGGCAACCAAGGCCAGTAGAAAGCTATGGCTGCAAAACCCTGGGGTGGACGATGTTTGATGATTAGACGGTCATCTCTAACTACTAAACTAATATCTGCATTCTTGTTAACATAAATCTCTCCTTGGCTATTTTAATAGCCACAGTCCCAAACTTCATCCCAGCTTAGATTTCTCAGCACTGAGGTAAACTCTGCATTGTCATCCCAGCGTACACCTTTAATGTTTTATTGATTTCACTGGCACTGTATTTGGACCTGTCCTTGTATATGTAGAGACATATGTGGCTTCATTGGTAATTTACAAGCAAAAGATGACATGACGTGACACCTGTATGAAAATGTGATGATTGAACTCCCTGTGTACAGCGAGTGAATTAAAATGTCTGCCTCTCCAGACATTTCTTAATGATTCCACTTAATAGACTCTATGTGTGCTGAATGTTCCTGTGTACATATGTGTGTTAAATAAAACAATTGTATTGAAGACTGTTTTTCTCACAATATTACCTTTTCCAGTGTTCACTCATCTTAAACATCCTCAGTTGAAATCCGTATGCTCCGCTAGCCCTGCTGCTTCTAATCATTCATTTCCCTGGAGAGCTGGCTTGGGAAAGGCAACTTATTCCCAGAGGACAGTAGAGCAGAAGTGCAGAGGTAAGCTCTCCCTCCAGAAACTCACTGGCACTCTCTGTGGTTTGGGAAAGGCGTTGCATGCCTGTTGCTTTATCTCTACTCTACATGCTCCCAAATAGACTGGTAATGGCACCAAATCATATCTTGTCAGATTGGATGGCATGGGTTGGCTGCCTCTCGGGAGCTAGGCTGAGATCATCAAGTTCATTGCATTTCACGCTCAGTTTGGAGTCGAATTTGAATCCCTCAGGTAAAGGGTATAATTGGTTTTCAGAAAAATCAAGAATAATAAAATAGGTCCTTACTGCTCATAGAGGGTTATGTGTAAGTAGTGAATGTACTTCTTGTCTCTTAATTATTTCAGATAAGAACACAAAAGCTTGATTTGAGTCAATCATCGTGTAACAGTATAATTTTCTGTAAGAATTCGGTGAACATTCCAGGAGTGGTCTGAGGCATCTTGGGCCCTATTAAATGCCCACTGTGGGCCCCAGGAAATGTTTTAACATCTCATGACTTAAATGTATTCTTATAGGGAAAATAGGGGCAGTAACAGTTCTATATGATCAGCGATCACATAAACTGATCAAATGTGGAAAGGCGTGACGTTAATAGGAAGGTAAAGCCAAGCAGTGCTGGGTGAACTTTCACCTTTCACCCCTTCGGCTGACTGACAGAGCCCAGTGTTGAAGAAAATCAATACTTTGGAGCCAGGAGGGAAATACTTCCACCCTCTAACTAGAGAATGTGTTTTGACAAGGCCAAGATAATCCAAGCTGCACAGGAGAAAGAGAAAAGAAGACTCATTTTTAAAGCCTGACACTTCAAGGTGTTTTTGTGCAATGGTTTAGAGATCGTCAATACATACAAATACCAAAGGTCAAAAAGAAAAGCCAGAAGAATTTCAAAAATTAGATGTTCAGTTCTTTTTGCTGTTTAAAAAAAAAAAAAAAAGGACTACAGAGAGTTTTGTGCTTGTAATTGTCCTTTTAATGAACTAAGCTCACAATTGTGTGACCATTGAGGTGATCATCCCTCTTTAATCAAAACTTACATTTTTGTAGCAGCAGAACGATGAATATTGAATGCTCAAAAAGCATTCAGACTTCCTGCTTCTGTACACCTTTTGGCTACAGATTGTTTTGTTTTGTTTTGTTTTGTTTTTTTGAGTGGTTACATTGTTTTGTGCTAACATCTCAGAATTTGGTTTTGCAATTCATGTTGATTCTGCCATAATGGCATTGTAAATCCTGGATCCTCCTTCACATTCAGTTCAATCCTTTGCATGAGAAAAGAGTTCTTGTACCTAGAACTTAATTTTTTTTCTAGTTTCCCAAGTCCCTTTAAGCAAATTACTTATGAAGATATTCTAATTAATGTCTCTCTGAGTGAGAGGTTTATGCACCTCTAGGAAGATGGTAAACAATTCATTCTTACCAGCAAGATTAGAGCCATTCATTCTGTAGACAAATACCTCCATCAAGTGGATATAGATTCTTTGCTTTCCTACTGATAAGAAAACTAAGAAGCCAGTGGTGCCCATACCTGCCAGACAAGCTCAGAAGGACAAAGGAGTCTTAAGTATCTAAAGTACATCATCAGGCCTGCTGTAAACATGTGCTAATTAAAGAGTATTAAAAATATAGTGAAAATATAGCTTCTATTTATATACCTGCTTACTCATTAATAAATCCCGTTCTATTCTGAGGTGATAGATCAGGCTGGAAATTTTTATTTTGTTTTGTTTCAAAAAGAGAACGCAGCCAGCCAAACCTCCTCAATATTCTGAGATTTCCCAGAGAAGGCCAGGAGTCTAGCACTGCTCGAATTGTAGGGGTATGAAGTAAATATGTGCTGCATTTGTGAAATCCATTGTATTGCACCTGTCAAATGCTCAGAAGAGTGGCACACAGGAAGCACTCAATAGATGTAAGCTAATATTTTTAGGAGACAGGAGTCCTAATTGAGCATGGATAAACAAGATGACCTGTGTTCTTTGGAAAACTTGGATTTTTGTTTTATGTTTTCATCTCTATGTGGACTCCACAAGTAGATCTGAACATCCTATCCAAAGGAGGGCTCCTGTGGTTCTGTTTGTATTCCCCAGCTGCTTTGCCATATTGCTATGTGTTACCACCCCGCTTCTCACCAAAATTTGTAGACATGAAGAAATGCCTAAATACATGCCAATGGAGGAAACTGGTTGGTTGTGGCTGAAGTTATCACTGATTCCTCAAAAAGAAAGATCACCGCATTAGATTTAGGACTCACATTAGCATCAGGGGTGACTTTGAGTTTCTTAATGAGTTTCTTCCAAATATGCATCTATCGAGATTGAATAAGACTCTGGACAAAAGTATTGTAGAGTGGATTTCATGGAATCACCAAAGCAAAGGAAACTGAATATGTAGGTTCTGTTGCCAATATCTTCTTGTTCTGACTTAACGTCAAAATGACTTAGTGCTTTAGTCTTCCCAAATTTGAAATGTATTCTCTAAAACAGCGGCCCTCAACCCCTGATATCAGACTGTGGCCTGTGAGGAACCAGGCTGCACAGCAGGAGGTGAGTGGTGGTGAGCCAGCAAAGTTTCATCTGTATTTACAGAGGTCCCCATCACTTGCATTACTGCCTGAGCTCAGCCTCCTGTCATATCAGCTGCGGCATTAGATTCTCATAAGAGCGTGAATCCTATTGTGAACTGAGCATGTGAGGGATCTAGGTTGCACTCTCCTTGTGAGAATCTAATACCTGATGATCTGTCAGTGTATCCCATCACCCCCAGAGAGGACCGTTTAGTTGCAGGAAAACAAGCTCAGGGCTCTCACTGATTCTACATTATGGTGAGTTGTATAATTATTTTATATATATATATATATATATATATATATATATATATATATATACAGTGTAATAATAGAAATAATGTGCACAATAAATATAATGCATTTGAATCATCCCGAAAACATCCCCAACCACCAGCCTTTTTTGCATGAAACTGGTCCCTCGTGCAAAAAAGGTTGGGAAATGATGCTCTAAAACTTGACCCACCCAGCGGCACTTCAAGTTTTAGTGAAAATGTGTGAATAAAGATACGGCAATGAAACATTATTTGTATTCAACCAGCAAGCTTGTATTGAACCTTAGAATATGCCAAGCGTATGTTCTTTATTTTATTTTCCTCTTGCTGATGAGCTCACAATCTCACCAAGCACCATAACACTATGGAATAAGTGCTGAGACCCGGGGCAGGTAAAGAGCAATGAGAACACAGGAAGTGATCGATTCTGATGAGGTGGTATTGTTAGGTTTCCCAGAGAGGAAACATTTGGGCTAGGCCTTAAAAAATAAATAGGAATTAATTAGGAGGATACTGGGGATGTTATAATGTAGGAATTTATAGAAGTCAAAGTTTTGTGTGATCGGAATGAGTATAAACTACTTCAGACCTACAACCTGAAGGACATTGGTAGATGCTGCCAACAATCAAGAAAGTTCTTCACTTTGCAGCCATTATTGCAATAACAGAAAACCAGACTCCTTTGTCAAAGGACACTCGAAATCCATAAGTCA
Source organism: Homo sapiens (assembly GCF_000001405.40). Taxonomy (NCBI): domain Eukaryota; kingdom Metazoa; phylum Chordata; class Mammalia; order Primates; family Hominidae; genus Homo; species Homo sapiens. The sequence continues at coordinate 57,033,513 of NC_000018.10, forward strand.
AAAACCCTAATAAAAGATTTTTCCGGCTTTAGTGTTTTCCATGTTTCATTTTCTTTATTTAAGAAAAGCTTTTGTTGTTTTAAAAATAAGTTGTGTGTTCTCCTACTCCTGGATTCTACTGTGTGACTGGCACAGTGAGTTGAATGCCTGGCACAGTGCACTGCCCAGGTCCTCCCACCCCCACCCAAATCCCACTGCAGAACCGAAGCATTCTAACAGCTGTGTGCTGAGTCCTTCCGTAAAGATTGCTTCCCAGCCAAAGAGAACTGTCTCACCCAAGGTCATGCTTCCTTTCCTGGGGAGCAAACACATCCCATGATGGGTCAGGAAAGAGGTTTAAAGACCCAGCCCCGGCTGAGGTGTGGTGGCTCATGCCTGTAATCCCAGCATTTTGCGAGGGTGAGGCGGGGAGGATCACTTGAGGTCAGGAGTTCAAGACCAGCCTGGACAATGTGGTGAAACCCCATCTGTATTAGAAATACAAAAATTAGATGGGCGTGTTGGTGGGCATCTGTAATCCCAGCTACTCAGGAGGCTGAGGCAGGAGAATCACTTGAACCCAGGAGGTGGAGGTTGCAACAAGCCGAGATTGTGCCACTGCACTCCAGCCCAGGCAAGAGAGTGAGACTCTGGGTGACAGAGACTCAGCAAGTCGTAAGGAAGGTGCTAAGGATGGTGAGTCTCCGCCTCAAAAAAAAAATAAATAAATAAAAATAAAAGACCCAGCCCCAAGCTCCATTTCAAAACCACTTGGAAAGGCCATCCCAGCTCCAGAACTCCCTTGAGCATTGACTGAAGGCTTCACTGAACTGCATCCCAGCTCAACCTCTCTGTCTGCCCAGGCCTGGGCATTTCCTTACAGATGCTGATCCCGAGAACACTGCTCCATAAACTTCCTATGTGCAGACCTCTCTCACACATAGTCTGCATCCCAAAGAACCCACCAGGAGTGTCCCAAGAAAACAGATTCAAAAATGGAGTTTGGGAGCTGAGCCACCCATTGAACCATGAAAAGAAGGACCCATCACTGGTCGTGGGCCCTCATGGACAGCCTCTGGCACGCTTGGCTGCACAATTGTTAAAACTTTCCTTGGTGATGCTTGTATGGCGTGCTGATGGAGGGCGATGTGCTGGAGGGTACCACGTGGCAGGAATTGAAAAGTAAGGGAAAGGAAAAATTATAAAGACGATGGACTTGGATGACTGTTGTGGAGTGCTCTGGAAAAAAGACAATGAAAAGCTGAAGGGTGATTAATCACCCAGTAGAGGCTAAATGTGAAAGCCTCTGGCTTTCTCTCAGAGAGAGAAAGTCTCTCTGAGACTCCTTAACATCTAAGGAGAGCTTCATCTCCTACAGCCAAACATGAGCAGGCTCAGCCCATGGAGAAGCACAGCTCCAGAGGCTGAACTCACCTCTAAAAATCTTCTGCCCCAGGGTCAGAGCCCTGACAGAGGTGAACGGGGTTCTCTGGGTTGATGCACTTGAACAATCTTGAACCCCCGATTCCAGTGAACCCTCCTCGGGCCTGCCTACATGGCCAGCTCCTCCCTGTTCAAAGCCGGCGTTCCTCTTTCTTTGCTTGAAGATAATGCAGAGGCTTCTCCCATGCAAAACTACACATGCCCCCCACTGGAGTGACTTGGGTTAAGTCATGGTACAACCTGGCTGCCAAAGTGCTGGACCTGCTAGGACAGGGAAAGAACCATCTCCCATAGGAGCTGTAGGTCCTCACCAACATGTACCCAACATAGCCACTGAAATGGGACTGGATTTAGCAGGTGCTGGGTCAAGGGGAAACGGACTATAAAGTGGGTCAAGGGAGAGTTTATCGATAGGAGATTGAACAACCCGCAAGGACCCAGGGAAAAAGTGCTGCCCTGATGTTATAAGCTGCTTGGCTTGGAGAAAATGGTGGCTGACACTAAGAAGAAATGTCAGAACTGATGTGACAGAGGGTGGAGGCAAGAACAGGAAAGCTCAGAGTGAGGAGACTGCTGGAGCAGGTATGCTAGGTACCCCCAAATCCACTGGATGCCTCTGCTCTGCGAGAGAGGCTGGGGACATTCATTCCAGCAATGAATTGAAGGAAGGTGCTAGAAGGGCACCCACATCCCTGCAGGCCAGGACTGAGGGTAGAAGATGTCATGACAGAACTGGGCCCCAGGTATCAAGGAGGATGACAAGGTCCTGAAATAATACAGACCTGGTGGGTGCAATCATCATAATTAGTAGCAAGTTTGGAGTGGCGGCCAGAGAGACCAGACCTGCAGAGATCTTTGGATCTAATAAAACATGTCATCCCTAAGTGCAAGATGGGAGGGCAGCCAACAAGGGTATTGTTCATCTATACAGGCAAAAGAAATCGAAAATGGATCACAGGAGGCTGAAAGCAGCCATTCCAGTAAGAAGTCAAAATCCCTTGCCTGGTTTGTAAACCCAAATGGCATGGTTAGCAGGAGCTCAGACCCCTTGTGGATGAGACTCTGGGTTTGCCCAGTAGTAAGCAATGGAAAGTAGCAGAGATTCTTGCCAAGGGGGAGGAGAGTTTAGAATGAGTAGTAGAGAAGGGAAGCAATAGATATCAGTGGTGGCTTTGGGAGCAGCTGCGACAGCAGGGGTTGTAGTTTGTTCCACTAATATTTCTGTTATGTTTCCCCCAGAATCCTGGAATGGCTGTTCCCAGGCTTTTTTCAAAGCAAGTGGATCTGAGCGGGGCAAAGGGTGAAGGCAGGGGACACTGTGGTATGCATTCACTCCCCCAGGTACTGGGTTGTCGGCAGCTGATATTTCCCAACTGAGACCTGCTACAGGAATTGCTTGAGGCTAAAGAGAGCCACTCTCCTCAAGGCCACATCCTCCTCCCTAATGAGAGCTACACCCAATAACCCATCATGGGGATAAAAGGACTCAACCCTCTTTGCTTCAGTTTGGAACATCTCTGAAGGGCCATTCCAGCTTCATAGCTCCCAGCGCATTTGTCAGAGAACTCTGTTGCAACCACATCACAGTCCAGCTCCCCCCTGCCTATGTATTGCTTCCTTCACACAGATGTTGATCCCAGGAACACTTCCTAATACACCCGCTTTCAGCAAATCTGTCTCAGAGTCTCCTTCCCAGATGAACCCACCTAGGTTCAAGTATGGCTCTGCCACTTATTAGCCAGATAACTCCCTTTGTATACCACTCACATCTCCATGTCCCTGGTGTCCTTGCCTGGAAAATGGGAGTGATGATCATGCCTGCCTCATAGTCTTCTTGTAAGAATGAAAAGAGAAAAGAGTTAATATATGCAGCGCACTTAGATCATTGTAAACATTCAGTGAATGCCACTATCCTAACTCTTCTTGTCTTCTTAAATTATGAGATTTTTCAGGTCTTAATTTCCTGCTTCTGTGTTACAGGAAAATAAGCTTTACCATGAACTCTTTTCCTGTTTTTTTTTTTTTCTTTCTTCAACCAAATCCAAATGCTCAGTTTTAAAAAGTAAAGAGGAAAGCTGGAAGGGAACTAATATTTCTGAGGACTTATTGTGCACCAGGTACCATAGTAGGTGCATTCATTATTTTTCTTAATTCTTCATTCTGAAAGCCAAGAATTAGCTCCCTTTTAGAAATGAAAATAACTGCAGGTCACATAGACAAATGACCAAGATTGCACCAAAAATAAAAGGGAAATCTAATATTTTTGAGTCCCAGACTCTGTTGCCAAGGCCCAGTTTCCTCTGTGTTTCCAGTGGCCCTCGTGGAACAGGAGATGAGGAGGGAATCGCCAGGGACTATCCGGCCACAGTCTTTAGAAGCAGGAGGAAGTGTGGGGAGAATAGAAGAGGTTTTTGGTTCATGTAAGCCCCTGTGTTTTCCCTTTGGATGTATGGCCATTGTGCCAAATTTTACAAGTACTGGAACTATGTTGATTCTCATTTGTGAATAGCAGGACTATTCACAAATTAGTGATTTTACAACTCAGCAACCAGTTTTTTGTTTGTTTGTTTGTTTGTTTTCTTGTAGACAATGGA